>NC_000008.11:120714222-121964222 GCF_000001405.40 Homo sapiens | reverse complement strand
TTCTCCTCTATTTTGTATTTCCTGAATATTTTCTTAACCAAATTATTACTCCTGGCACTATTCACATTTTTAATACTGTTTGGACTAATCTTCAAGGGTGATTTAAAAAATTCTTCCTGACGGACAACACATCGCAAAGATAAAATCAAATGTATATGTACAAGTGCAAATAGAAAATGAAGAAAAATAAGGTCAATGAGTGATGCTGAGGATCAACACAAGTATTTGTAGTTTTTTTTGTGGTAGTCTATGTTTAGGATGCGCTGAAAGAAGTAGAAAGATTCAGGACTTGGGCTTTGTTTTTACTTTCTTATTGTAAGACTTTATAAGTTAGTTGAAAAAATAAGTATATATCTTCCTAAAACTTTATCTGGGGGCAAACTATCATACTAGTGTCATTAAAGAGACAATAAGCATTATTTATATAAATAGATTTGTATTTAGTAGTACCAGTAGCAGTAAAACTTACTCCTGTGAACACAGTTGTCTTCTTAGGAATTTTAATACTATACATAGCAGATCCTGTTGCTGTGAATATCTTGATGTGTTTAACTAATTTGGTGAATTAGACGTAAGAAAAAGATAAGTTGTTCTACAAAATAGAAAAAGTTGTCTTTGAAGTCAATAGGGCAGTATAGGAGGGGGTTGAGGAGCAAAAAGAGGAAAGAAAATACGGAGTAAACATGGAAGGTTGTGAGTTGACCCTGCCTGAACAGGGGATGGCTCAGAGAGGAGTCCCAGTGGCTAAAAATGGCTCAAAAGAACAGAAATATCTGGTCTAAAATTTTCTATTATTTGATATAATCCACTCCTTATAATTTCCAGTAGATTCTGTACATTTTTTTCTTTAGAAATTTGTGAAAGTCCAATTGTAATTTTTGGAAGGATTTGGGTGAATGAGGACAGCAAACAAAGAAGCCAGATCCCTGAAGAAAAGACTATTGGCTTCTTTCAGACATGTTCATGAAAGTTTCAGGAAAATCTCGTCTAGCTCCTAAGTTGCATGAAGTTGTCAGTTGATACCAAGGCTCTAACCTATTTATATACAAAAGTTTAATTTACACTAAGTATATATGAATAATAATTTATGTAGTATTGGTATATTTATACACTCTATTACATACTTTTTTTACACTGTATTAAAATTCATGATTTATGTGTCTGTTTTCTCCACTAGAAAATGTTTTTCTTGATGGAAGAAACTATTATTAATATCTGTATTCCCAAGGCCTAGAAATGATTATGGAAGGTGGAAAGCATGCAATAAAATATTATTGAGGGAATAATTATTTCATTTTTGAGTAAGTATCATATGACAGGCACTTTATTAGTCAACTAACAACTATGAATAAGAGCTAACAACTATTAATATATACTAAGTGCTTACCATGTTTCAGGAGCTATCCTAAACACATTATAAATATGATCACTTTTAATCCTTACCTTAATCATCTATGCTAAATTAGAGATAAGGAAATAAACAGATAATAAGGTTAACTTTCTCAGGGTAAATCTTATACGTAAACAAGTAAGTACATATGTCACATAATGATAAGTTGTTATGGAAAAAAATCAGTGAAAAGGGGTGAGAGGTGTCAAGGATTAAAAAAGCCATTTTAAATCAGGTTGATCAGAGAGTGTTTTGTTCATAAATGACATTTGATCATTTATATACAATAAATGTGGAAGGAGTTTGGGGGAAGTATTGAGTATCAAGATCTTGAGACATATTTGCAAACCAATAAGGAGACCAGAATAAAGTGAGAAGTAGGGTGGAGAGGGATGAAAAGGGGATATAGGAGATGAGAGTTGAGATGTAAGAGAGTTAAGCTATGTGGGATCTTGATTGTTATTATAAAAACTTTGCCCTATCTGGAATAATAGGTCATTGAATGGAGTTAATCTAAGAAGTGACATGATCTGTCTTGCTTTCAAGAAATTGACTCTGGTACTATGCTGGAGATGTTAGAGCCATTCAGGTGAAATAGTTGAGTGGCTTGAGCTATGGTGGTAGAAGTAGAGGTGACAAGAGCTGGCTGAATTTTGGTTGTATGTTGAAGGTAGAGCTATGTATTAGGCCATTCTTGCATTGCTACAAAGAAATACCTGAGACTGGATTATTTACCAGAAAGGAGGTTTAATTGGCTCACAGTTCTGCAGACTGTACAGGAAGCATAATGCTGGCATCTGCTAAGCTTCTAGGGTGGCCTGAGGAAGCTTACAATCCTGGCAGAATATGAAGGGAGAGCAGGCACATCACATAGTGAAAGCAGGGGCAAATGTGTGAGAGAAAGAGAGGGAGAGAGAGAGAAAAAGAGGGCGGGAAGGCCGTGCCATACATTTTTAAATGACCAGATCTCTGAAGAACTCACCATTATGAAGACATCACCAAGCCATGAGGGATTCACCATGACCCAAACACCTCCCACCAGGCCCCACCTCCAGCATGGGGATTAAAATTCAACATGAGATTTAGGCAGGGACAAATATACAAACTATATCAAGTTGTCGGGATAAACTAATGGGTTAGATGTGAATTTCACACACACACATAAACACACACACACACGCACACAAAATCAAGCATTGGCCTGAGCAACTAGGGGCATTGGGTTTTCAAATACAGAGTTGGAGACAGCTATGTTGGATACTGGGGGATGAGGAAACCTTTTGTGGACATGCCAATTTTAAGATTTCGATTATGTTATGTTGGACAGGCAGTTTGATATATGAGTCTTGAGCTCAGCAAATAAGTTGAGACTTCCGATATAAATTTGGAGTCCTCAACATAGAAATAACAGTAATAACCATGCTATTAGAGTGTGGTAACCAAGGAAGTGTGTGCAGATAGAAAAGGGATTCAAGGATGGAGCCCTAGAAAAATCCAAGGACTAAATACATGGAGGAAACAGCAAAAACAAATAAACAAAAAGTGAAGCGAGACATGCAGACAACAATATAGGAGAAAACCAATAAGAAAGCATCTCTGTATCCAAGCAAAGAAAGCACTTAAAGAAAGTTATTTTCTCACTGCAAGATTTCAGGCCATACGTGGATAGTCACCTCTGTAGCTTCCACAGTACTCTGTACAGTGTCTGGCACACAATGGCTACTCAAAATGATTGCCGATTTGACTTATTGTATACAACATTTTCTAATGAACTCTAAGTAGAATATTTACTGAATTCCTTAGGTAGCTTCTCCTCATATATGAGAGTTTGAAGTTTGTGCTTTCTGAAATCCATAGCCATAATTCTCCTAAATTTCCCTAAAATTCACTATTATTGGCAGGTGAAATAAAGGCATTACCATACTATGTCATTGCCCTGGCTAGACCAAGTACTGACAAAATCTTCTAAACATAGCTCTCAGATGTAAGACTAACATTTATACATAATTCTTATAACCTGGAATTATAAATAAGCAAAAACTGAAGTAGTATTTTGCAGGATCAGGCAAGAGGATGGAAAAGCTTTTCCATGGTGGCTTATGTAAGACTAAAAGGTAGAGTGGGTGGATGGGTGGAAGTGGTATTCACCCACCAATCTGGATTATGACTCACACAAACCTGAGGTTACCAGGCTGACAGACTACACATAATGCATCCTCTGTTATAAGTGGCCAGATGTAAGTCCTAAGTTTAAATTCACAGAGAGTTATTTGAGTGGGCCAACAAATGGCCCAGTACAACGTTGAACGTGGCCTCTATATTTGCTTCTGTTATGATTGCACATACAAGTAGAATATCTTTCAAATTGCACAGGGAAAGTGAGTTTGACAAGATGGAGAAGAAAAGGATCAAGTAGTTATTCTTTGGAGGGAAAATGAATCATACTGTCAGCAGGTGGAAGAGGATGCCTTGGAGAAGCAGGGAGCAAAATCCACATATGCTTGGATTCATGTGGGGCAAGACGTGGAGGAGCTTTCCCTTCTGTGTTCCCAGGGACATGGTGAACATGAGCTGTTCCACTTGGGCTGCTGATATGTCCTCTCCATTCACCAGAGTGAACTGTGAGAATTCTGAAACAAAGTCACCAGCAGGCCAACCAGCACTCACTTATGGCGGTGGGTGCGCTGCATTCTAATGGCGGCTTCAACTTAGTTCCTCTCAGGGCCACCAAAGAGTGAGCCTGGGCAGAACAGAGTGAAGAGAAGAAAGTGACTAGCTTTCTTTTCCAGTAGCATTGAATTGTCCCTCCTACTGAAGAAACAGGTGTTCCCCATACTGAAAAAATCCAATATATAAGTATCTAAGCATTCAGAAAACTTGAGAATGATTTGTCTTATAAAATGATTCATAGCAGGTTATCATTAAGTAATTGGGAGAAAATAGCCAAATAAGTTTATTGGCACTCGTAAGTAAGACAAGGGGCATTTCCTAAACCTTTCCTAAATACAAAAAAAGTCAACTCAATATTTAACTTAATAGTAATAAACTAGACTTTCTAGAATGGGGCCTTTCTTAGCATGGATTTTTCTGGAGAATCAAAAACAAATTGTTCGTGAAGGAGAAAACCTGGAAAAAGAAACAGCAGAGCCCAGTTTTAGTGATTCTAATTTTAAACACTCATTCATAATATTATTACTAAGATTTCTTTCTCTTCCTGTTCTCATGATTAATTTATCCTTTAGAGAAATTGCCAATCTAAGGATTTAAAATCCTATTTGTCCATTTCCAAAAGAGTATTTCTGAATTGTTTCTCTGCTATGATATATACATAATAGACATTGGCCACATGTGATTGTCTTTCTAAGTCTAACATGCTAATGCAAATAGGGAGATTTCTGACTCCCTACCCTGTTAGGAAAATAACCTTGAATCAAGTTTCATTTAACCTTACCATCCCGTTGATCCTAATGGGAAACTGCATTTGGAGCAAACTGCCCTTATTTTGGGGCACAGTAGCATTGTGAGCAAAAATGTGGATCCACATTCACTCCCTCTGAAATTCTTCACCTGAGTATGGGGTATTCACTCCCTCATCATTAATTACAGTTGCTCAAATGTTGCTGTAACAGTGAGGCTCTTTCTAATCACACTACTTAAAACAGCAACTTTCCCTAGTGTATGCCATCTTTCAGACTTGTTTCACCTCTCAGTATACTATGCATTTACTTAATTATTATGTTTATCTTTTTCTTCATTCCCACTAAAAGGTAAGTTCCATAAGGGCAGAGACTCTAGTCTGTTTTTAACATTGTATTTGCCTGGTTCCAGAAGAGTATGTAGCACAGAACAGGCACCCAACAGATGTGGAAAGTAAATGAATGAAAAATGCCATTATAATTCCATTATTTCCTGTTTTATACTTGGAAAAGGTATAAATAGTGGGGGTTGGCAAGTGAAAATAATTTGTCAGAGGTCCCATGGCTAGTAAAAGGTAGAGGAGTATTGAAACCCTAGTCCATCTGACCCCAAGCACAGGCCTTACTCATTTACACTCTTGTTTTACAAGCACTTTTCTGACTATAATCCTACTGCTTGCTGGATGGTCGTCTTGTTTGTTTGTTTTTAAAGATCCATTATCTTTGGACTTTGGTTCCATAGCTCTTTCATATCAGTGACTAATTGACAAAGCCATCTGTGTGCTAGGTTCATATATTGTTAAAAAAAAACTGTTGGTTTTTGTTGGTTTGTTTTAATGTGAAGTTCACAAAGTACAAAACAAGCTAGCCAAGTATATTTTGCATTATTTTGGAAACCTTACATAATCCATTGGGAAAGTAAATACAAATGTTCTGGTTATTTTACATGGGGTTTCAACAACTATTTGATGACTAAAGTGTCCATAGGGCATTTTCAAAAATAAGCAATGGGAAGTTGAACTGAGTTTAGAGAGAAACAGTTGAGGCTCCTCCCCGAGATCCCTCAATCACAACAAGCTGTGTAATAAATCTTATATAAATAATTTTTTAAATAGCAATTCATTTTATAAATCTTATACAAATCAATATAATTTTAAAATAAAAATTCTCAAGGTTTTAAGTTTATGGAACAAGCCACATTTCCATCTATTCCTGTCGGGGGGATTATTATGCTGGGAGAACAATTATTGAACTAGCCCCACTCTGGACTGACAAAATGCCAACTGCTTAGGGGTAAAGAGTTTCTCTACCATTACTGCTTCTCTTTCTGCAGTCAGTGATCCCACCTCCCACATGTATGTGAAACTATAAGATCCATCTTCCATCCAGGGCAACAACAACAACAAAAAAAAACAGTGAAGACCAAGGAATTTTGACATAGACATCTTTTTGTTTGTTTCATTTCAAA
Organism: Homo sapiens; assembly: GCF_000001405.40. Taxonomy (NCBI): domain Eukaryota; kingdom Metazoa; phylum Chordata; class Mammalia; order Primates; family Hominidae; genus Homo; species Homo sapiens. The sequence goes on along the minus strand of NC_000008.11, from coordinate 121,957,948 downwards.
GGATGAAAGTTGACATACACATCTTTTTGTATGTTTCATTTCAAAGGATGATGTACACTTTCAGACTGATATTCTTGCTCCTGGTAATGTAGCTCTAAATTAGTAGTAGCTTGTAGTATCTGAAAGTCTGTTTATTAGGTTGAAAATTACAATTAAAAATTTCTAAATTGAAATTAGAGCATATAAACATACAAATGGTAATATAAGACAACTTATCAAGTGCAAAGTCTTTGGTGGATGTGCAGTGTGTAAGTATGTGTTTAAAATTTTGAAAAAATTGGAATATTAATTTATAGCTAGCTTAATAACTTGCTGTTGCCATGATGTAGCTTGTAGAGTGGAAGAAGAGGTTGAAGTGTAAAACAAATGTCTGTTTGAATCCCAGCTCTTTCATTCCTGAACTTTAAGTGGAGATCAGTAATAGTTACTTTAGATGATTATTGTAATTGTTAGTGAATAATTATAGATAAATGACTTCTTTCCTAAAGTGTAAAAGGTAAAGCTGTGAAGTATATTTAAAAACACAAGAGTTGAAATGCAGAGTTTTAAGATGTAGAATGATATGAAATTTTTTTTTCCTGAAAAGGAAAAATATTTAAATATGCTGTTCCTGCAAATCCTATTAGACAAAGGCTCTATTATTGATGAGGAAATATACCATGTATGTGGTTTATATATATATATATAGCCTATATTGAAAATCTGTGGTATTGCTAAATAATCATATCATGGATAAATTTCCTAGTATATTTTGATTATTATATCATGTACTGTCTTCATAAAATATTTTATATTTTTGCCATTTTGTATTTATGTTTGTTAGTACTGACATTTACGGAAAATGCATTACTTATAAGTGAAATGGTCACAGTCTGCAAGATTGAAAAGAGGGAGAGAGAAGCCATTGGCCTATTCAAGATACAAATGATGATAATTTCAATCTTTGGTAATAAAGAGTAGCAATAACTAAGTGTTGCTATAGTCTGGGTATTTTTAATCTAAAAGTTAGCATCAACTAAGAAAACATGCTCTCCAGACTTGTAATAAAAGTTAAAATTTCTAATATTTTTGTCCATATTAGATCCAGAAATGTATCAGTAAATTAGGCCAAATAGAAGTCAATCAAGGTATATGTATGAATTGATTTGTTGATGAACTCAGATACCTAAATTTACTACTTATAACTATAATTTCATTTCAGTTCAATAACCATTTACTACACAAGGCCTGGGCCATGTGATTCTGATAGACTTCTAAAATTAGTAGTACCCTAGATGAGTTTATAGAATTGTAGCAGAGATGCTCCAACAAAAAATAATTCCAAATAACCTAAGCAATTGATGGTTATTTCTATAGAATAGAAATAAAAGAAGGTTAACTGAAACATGGTACAGAGAACATGGTGCATGACTTACCCTCAAAAAATTAGGGAGAATATTCTGGAGTAGTTAGATACATCCTTTTTTATTTATTTATTTTTTTTTGAGATGGAGTCTCACTCTGTCGCCTAGGCTGGAGTGCAGTGGCACAATCCCAGCTCACTACAACCTCTGCCTCCCAGGTTCAAGTGATTCTCCTGCCTCAGCCGCCTGAGTAGCTGGGATTACAGGTGCCTGCCACCACACCTGGCTAATTTTTGTATTTTTAGTAGAGACGGGGTTTCACCATGTGGGTCAGGCTGGTCTTGAACATCTGACCTTGTGATCCACCCACCTCGGCCTCCCAAAGCACGGGGATTATAGGCATGAGCCAACACGCCCAGCATTGTAGTAGTTAGATATATCTTAAAGCTTATTTTATGTCATATATACAGTCATGCATCACATAATGGCATTTCAGTCAATCCCAAACTACATATATGATGGTGGTCCTGTAAGAACATAATATCATATTTTTACTGCACTCTTCTATGATTAGATACAATTAGGTATTATTAGTACACCAATACATATCATTGTGTTATAATTGCCTACAGAATTCAGTCCAGTCACATGCTCTACAAGTTTCTTGCCCAGGAACAATAGGCTATATCATATAGCCTACATATGTAGTAAGTTATACATACATATACCTATGCATACATATGTATGCACACACATACACACACACACATATATATATAATGCTTATAATTTCCTCCTCTGTGGAAAGGCAAAGGGCAGATTAACATTATTCCCCAGGTATTAAAAATGATGGTAACATCCATATCTCCTTCAATTGCTCTCCATTAAACTGCTACTGCGTATTCAGTAAGTAGACTAAAAAAGGGCAGGATTACTATGAAGTTGCAGTAGCCTTCAGAAGACTAAAAGTGGAGCTAATGTCACATACACAATGCTTAGTTGACATCTTGGTCACAGTCTTGTGAGAGCCTGAGAAGAGAACCCATCTAAGCTGTGCCCAGACACTTGACCCAAGGCAACTATGAGACAATAAATGTGTGCTGTTTTAAGCCAGACAAAATATGTGGTGATTTGTTACTAATAGAAAACTAATATATACACATACCCAGTAATTGAACAATTCCATTCTAGGATATATGTCCAACATAATTACATATAAGGTTCAATCGCATGCAAAAATAATCTGAGGTTATAAGTCAGAATGGTGGTTACCCTTGGTGACCAAGGGTAGTGACCAGTAGGAGGCCAAAGAAGGCTTATGATAATATCCTATTTCTTGATCTGGATTCTGGAAACATAGACAATGCTTTATTGTCTGAAAATTGATGAAGCTGTTCACTTGTAATTTGTGTATTTTCTGTACATACATTATACTTCAAGAAAATTTACATTTAAAGTTTATAGCTCAGCAGTCCCAAGATGGCCGAATAGGAACAGCTCCAGTCTACAGCTCCCAGCGTGAGTGATGCAGAAGATGGGTGACTTCTGCATTTCCAACCAAGGTACCGGGTTTATCTCACTGGGGCTTGTTGGACAGTGGGTGCAATCCACGAAGTGTGAGCCAAAGCAGGGCGGGGCATCACCTCACCCAGGAAGTGCAAGAGGTCGGGGAATTCCCTTTCCTAGCTGAGGGAAGCCATGACAGATGGTACCTGGAAAATCGGGACACTCCCATCCTGATACTGCACTTTTCCAAAGGTCTTAGCAAATGGCACACCAGGAGATTATATCCCACGCCTGGCTCAGAGGGTCCCACGCCCACGGAGCCTCGCTCACTGCTAGCACAGCAGTCTGAGACTGAACTGCAAGGTGGCAATGAGGCTGGGGGAGGGGGGTCCACCATTGCTGACGTTTGAGTAGGTAAACAAAACACTCCAGCCTGGGCGACGGACTGAGACTCTGTCTCAAAAAAAAAAAAAAGAAGACATTTATGCAGCCAACAGACACATGAAAAAATGCTCATCGTCACTGGCCATCAGTACTGGAGAGGATGTGGAGAAATAGGAACACTTTTACACTGTTGGTGGGACTGTAAACTAGTTCAACCATTGTGGAAGACAGTGTGGCGATTCCTCAAGGATCTAGAACTAGAAATACCATTTGACCCAGCCATCTCATTACTGGGTATATACCCAAAGGAGTATAAATCATGCTGCTATAAAGACACATGTACATGTATGTTTATTGTGGCATTATTCACAATTGCAAAGACTTGGAACCAACCCAAATGTCCATCAATGATAGACTGGATTAAGAAAATGTGGCACATATACACCATGGAATACTGTGCAGCCATAAAAAAGGATGAGTTCATGCCCTTTGTAGGGACACAGATGAAGCTGGAAACCATTCTGAGCAAACTATCGCAAGGACAAAAAACCAAACACTGCATGTTCTCACTCATAGGTGGGAATTGAACAATGAGAACACTTGGACACAGGGTGGGGAACATCACACACCGGGGCCTGTTGTGGGGTGGGGGGAGGGGGGAAGGATAGCATTAGGAGATATACCTAATGTAAATGACGAGTTAATGGGTGCAGCACACCAACAAGGCACATGTACACATATGTAACAGCTGCACGTTGTGCACGTGTACCCTAGAACTTAAAGTATAATTAAAAAAATGAAATAAAATGGCAAATAAAGAATTTGCTCATACAGCTTCTGAAAACAAAATAAAGTTTATAGCTCAAAAAAAGATTCTGTTCTTTTGAAACTTCATTAAGAATGGAAGAAGAGACATTAAAATCTGACAAGACTTTATTTTCTTAATTGAGCTTTTCAAATCCAGGACCTGCAAGTTACTGTGAGCTGTCAATTACTTACTTAACTGTGAATAAACTTTACAGTTAAATGTCACAAATGGACAAAATGTAGGCAACTTGAAAACACAATCCAGTTCTCCTGGCTTTATCTTATATTTGGATCCTTTCACCTTTTCAAAGTCACTCATCAGGAGATTGGCAAAGAGCCCTGTCATCTCAAATTCCCAGTGTTTACTTATAAACACAGGAAGTTCAAATTTCTTAGAATTAAGCCTAATGCAGAACCTGTCTTCCGTGGAATGAATTCTGCAAGTTTGTAAAGAACCTACATGAAAAATACCTGAAAGAACATGTACACTGATGAATATCTTACTCATTCAGATCCCACTAAGAACCCAGAGTCATTCAGACATTATGTGTAAAATACATCTTTTTATCTGCCGGTGAAGAAAAATCTGCTAAACAAATTAATACCGTGCAGGTAAGAATTCTAGAGATATTTAAAGGGTTCAATAGTTCAAGAACTGACCAACTGTTTTAAGCCCTTTTCTGGGACCTGTGTTGTTAATTGGTGCCGTGTGATTTCAGGATAATTGTCCTCACATGCTAGGTGGCTACTGTCTACAAGTAATCTGAATGCCTTTGAAAAACAAAACAATGCAAATATTTATCGTTCCATACCTATACTCTAAGTGACCTGTATAGCACCATTCAAAAAGTCTTAGCCAAAACCCCATAAATGGAAGACTGAGGGGTCTACGGGTAGGGCAGTTGCTGGAGAAGACCTTCCCCCCAATTATATGAACCTGAAAATAAAGCTCCTCATTTTGCTGACTTTCTATCTGAACTTTCATGGTTAATACTAAAGTTTAGCTAGCAAAAACTTTCTCTGAAAGAGAAACAGACATTTAAATGCTAAGAGCTCCTTGTGCACTTTCATATGTGTTATTTTATTTATAATTGTCCAACAAACCCATGAGGTATGTTTGGGTATTTCTACTAAATACATTAATAAATTCAGGCTGGAGCAAGTTAAGGAAATAACCCAAGGGTGAATAACTAGTAAGTAGTGAAACCCATCTGTAAATCCCCTCTTTGGTCTTTTACACTCCATTACGTTGCATTAAAGAGACTATCACTCACCTATTAGAGGCTACAAGGAGAGGGCCCTTCATACAGGAATCGGTATAACACTTAGCACATTTTCATTTTATGGTAGTGGTTTGTGTATCCATTTCCCAAACTAAGATACAACTTCCTTGTGGGCAGAGAATCTTGTCTTCTTCAAGTTGATATTCAGGGAACCTAGCACGTCTTAGCATATAGCATGGCTCAAGAAATTTTAATTAAATGAATGTACTCAGAATTAAAGGGACTAACCGAAAAACCAATCTTCAGTTTTCTGGGAGTGGTGTGGTACAGGAAAAAGAGTTGTATTAGGAATGCTTATTTAAATAAAAGAGGAAATGCTGCTGATATTTATTAACTGAATTAAACAGAAGACATCCTGTGGGTACCATACAGGGTGTGGTAGACAGAATTCTAGAAATGGATCCCAAGATTCCACACTTTAATCCCTGGAACCCGTAGATATGATGAGCTTTCTTCTGGTGATCATAGTATGTTATGTGGTATAGTTCACCCTCAGTAGAGGAGATGATCTGGGTGAGTCTAATCTCATCACATGAGCTGTTTTAAAAACAGTTTTCTCTGGCTCGTGGTAGAAAGAGGAAGTCGGAGAGATTCAAAGCTTGAGAATTTTCACGGTTGCTGACATCAATCAAGAAAAATGATTGAGACAAGTCTCAATCATTTTAGGAGGTTTATTTGCCAAAGTTAAGGATGCACACCCATGACACAGCCTCAGGAGGTCCTGATGGCATGTGCCCAAGGTGGTCGGGGTACAGCTTGGTTTTATACATTTTAAGGAGACATGAGACATCAATCAACATATGTAAGAAGTACATTGGTTCCGTCCAGAATGGCGGGGACAACTCGAAGCAGGGAGGGAACTTCCAGGTCACAAGTAGGTGAGAGACAAATGGCTGCATTCTTTGAGTTTCTGATTAGCCTTCCCAAAGGAGGCAATCAGAATATGCATCTTTCTCAGTGAGCAGAGAGATGACTTTGAATAGAATGGGAGACAGGTTTGTCCTGAGCAGTTCCCAACTTGACTTTTCCCTTAGCTTAGTAATTTTTGGGCCCCTAGGTTTTCCTTTCACACTGACTTGAAGATGGAAGAACCCAATGAGAAGGAGTGTGGATAGCCTTAAAATGCTGAGAGGCCCCCAGCTGATGGCCAGCAAGGAAACAGACAGCTCACCTCAGTCTCACAGCTGCATGAAACCAAATTCTGCCAACAACAGAAATGTGCTTGGGAGACAACCCTGAACTCCAGGTGGAAATACATTCAGCTGACACCTTGACTTTGGCCCTGGGAGATTCTAACAGAAAACCCAGCCCCTGCAATGCTAGACTATAGAACTGAAAGCTAATAAATGGGTGTGTGATAATTTATTTCACAACAATAGAAAACTGACATACAGAGTAATCCATGTTTATAAAGACTAATTCCAAAATGAATGATATTCACTGTCCTTTTTAATGATAGTGTAATGAAACTGTAAAGAAACCTAAAAAGATAGGTTTAGGGGAAAATCCCCATTTGTTTCCAGGGGTTCCACAAGAAAGAGCTTAATTATCCAATTATAAATTTAGATTAAGCAGCTATAGCTGTTTCCACCACACGATAATGGATGTGTGCTCTAAGAATTTAATGTATTCTATAGCCTTGCATCCATGTTAAAGAGGCAAATCCTCTTTAGGGGGGAAGGGGGTATTTTAACGATTTTTAAAAGATGTCAAGGCCTTTTTTGTGGCCTTATTCAACTTACCCAAAAACTTGCCTTAGAGCCCGTCACATTGAGAATATATATGTGCCTTTCTTTTATTCTTTCACGTGTTTTGAGTTTAATAACATATGTTGTTTATATTCAGTTTTTATAGAGAGCTTCTTTTTGTCTTGTAAACAGTTGCAAAGATTTACCTAGATCTGTATGGGTTTGCTCTTTTTTTCTTTCTTCTCCCACCCCTCCCCCTTGGAAAGTCTAAATAGTTCCAAGGATTAGCAGCAGCTTAACTTCAATCATGATTTGTAATAGATAAATGCAGTTATTGTTCCACTTTGGCTCTTCAGGATAGTGTGAAATTAACCACTTGGGTTTTTTTTTCTTTCTGTAGTTAACTCACCATCCACATTTTGACAGCCACTCCTACTTATGCTTTATTGACTTGTCTGAAAGAACCTATAAAAGAATCCTCAATATGCAATGAGGCACAAAGGTCCAGTTATTCTTTTAAATTAATTAGATAATCTTGGAAAACATAATTGACTCCTCTTTCTTAAAGACTTAATACATGAAAGATACTTAACTACTCAAATAACATATGCTATTTTGTGGTTATTAATATTCTCACTTTTTAGGGAAGGATACTGACGCTCAAAGAGATTAAAACACTTACCTAAAGTTTATAGATATTAAATGGAAGATCAGTATGGAGCTTAATTCAAGCTCCACTCAACACTTAGATACATGTTAAGCCTCATAAATTGCCATACTACTGCCTACCTTTTGCCTCCTAGGCAACATTCAGTTCTTGACTCTGACCCCTTGAAATCTATTATGGAAGAGCATGATCCCCGTATCATATATATTAACAATAAGACTATGGATTCAGCTGAACCCTTTTACATTTTAACCCAAACCTCCTCTGGAAAATAATATGTTCTACCATTCCTTCATGCTACTGTAGATCTGTGCTGTTCAATAAGGGATTTATACTTATATTTCTTATAGTAAAATAAAACTTAAAATTCAGCTCTTGCACTAGTTACTTTTCAAGAGTTCAGTAGCCATATGTGGCTAATGAATACCACACTGACTAATGCAGAATACTTCCATCACCTCAGTAAGGTCTATTGGACAACACTGCCATAGAGGCACAGCAACACGAGGTCAGCACTGGCCTATGTTCTGGGTACACACTGGAAATTTGAAAAGAAGTAAAATATGTCTTAGTCTAAGGTCTAGTAAGTCTCAGTTTTTTTATACTACTAAAAATATTAAAAAGTGGTTTTTGTTTTGTTTTTTCAGAATTTCTTGTACCATGTTCTAGTAAGCCAGGGTGTGAGAAAGAAGGTAACATCCCCTTTTATCCCAAGCTTGACATCCTTATATGTCCGGAATTGGTGGGTTCTTGGTCTCACTGACTTCAAGAATAAAGCCGCTGACCCTTGCTGTGAGGGTTACAGTTCTTAAAGGCGGCGTGTCCGGAATTTGTTCCTTCTGATGTTCGGATGTGTTCGCAGTTTCTTCCTTCTGGTGGGTTCATGGTCTTGCTGACTCAGGAGCAAAGCTGCAGACCTTCCTGATAAGTGTTACAACTCTTAAGGTGGCGCGTCTGGAGTTGTTCGTTCCTCCCGGTGGGTTGGTGGTCTCCATGGCTTTAGCAGTGAAGCTGCAGACCTCCGCGGTGAGTGTTACAGCTCATAAAAAATGACCCAAAAAGTGAGCAGCAGCAAGATTTATTGCAAAGAGTGAAAGAATAAACCTTCCACAGTGTTGAAGGGGGCCCCAGCAGGTTGCCACTGCTGGCTGGCGCAGCCTGCTTTTATTCTCTTATCTGGCCCCACCCACATCCTGCTGATTGGTCCATTTTACAGAGAGCTGATTGGTCTGTTTTACAGAGAGCTGATTGGTCGTTTTGACAGGGTGCTGATTGGTGCATTTACAATCCCTGAGCTAGACACAAAAGTTCTCCAGGTCACCACTAGATTAGCTAGATACAGAGTGCTGATTGGTGTATTCACAATCCCTTAGCTAGACATAAAGGTTCTCCAAGTCCCCACTAGATCAGCTAGACACAGAGCACAGATTGGTGCATTTACAAACCTTGAGCTAGACACAGAGTGCTGATTGGTGCATTTACAAATCTTGAGCTAGATACAGAGTGCCCATTGGTGTATTCACAATCCCTTAGCTAGACATAAAGATTCTCCAAGTCCCCACCAGATTAGCTAGATACAGAGTGCGGATTGGTGCATCCACAAACCCTGAGCTAGACACAGGGTGCTAATTGGTGTGTTTACAAACCTTGAGCTAGATACAGAGTGCTGATTGGTGTATTTACAATCTCTTAGCTAGACATAAAGGTTCTCCAAGTCCCCACTAAACTCAGGAGCCCAGCCGGCTTCACCCAGTGGATCCCGCACTGGGGCGCAGGTGGAGCTGCCTGCCAGTCCTCCTGTGTGCCTGCACTCCTCAGCCCTTGGGCAGTGGATGGGACCGGGTGCCCTGGAGCAGGGGGTGGCACTCATCGGGGAGGCTGGGGCTGCACAGGAGCCCATGGCGGGGGCGGGGGCGGGGGGCGGTGGGGGTAGGGTAGGGGAGTGTGCAGAGGAGGCTCAGGCATGGCGTGCTGCAGGTCCTGAGCCCTGCCCCGTGGGGAGGCAGCTAAGGCCCGGCGAGAAAATCGAGTGCAGCGCCAGTGGGCCGGCACTGCTGGGGGACCGGGCGCACCCTCCGCAGCTGCTGGCCCGGGTGCTAAGCTCTTCACTGCCCGGGGCCGGCAGGGCTGGCCGGCTGCTCTTGAGTGCGGGGCCCACCAAGCCCACGCCCACCCGGAACTCTAGCTGGCCCGCAAGCGCCGCGCGCAGCCCCGGTTCCCTCCCGCGCCTCTCCCTCCACACCTCCCCACAAGCTGAGGGAGCCGGCTCCAGCCTCGGCCATCCCAGGAGGGGGCTCCCACAGTGCAGCAGCAGGCTGAAGGGCTCCTCAAGCGCGGCCAGAGTGGGCATGAGGCTGAGGAGGCGCCAAGAGCAAGTGGGGACTGCGAGGGCTGCCAGCATGCTGTCACCTCTCACTTACAGATTTTAATCATATACCCTCTTAACTGTAAACATAAATGGTTCTCTTCATTATAAATTTCCTTCTTAAAATCAGTTCAAGTACTCATTGCAAACCTAAATGCATCAGATACTTGACTAGCGGTGCTTGAAATATAAAGAAGAATTAGTAACATCCCCTAGCGAGCCTCTACCTTAACTCAGAGCTAACTCCTAACTACCGTTTGGATTGCAAATGCCATTTCGTCTGGGAAGGCATCTCCACCTCTCTAGAAACTAAGTTAGCTGCCCTTCTCTGCATAACTAACTCAAACTTATCATGATAATCATCCCACTTTATTATTAATTTTAATATAATCATTTATATTTACTCCCCACAGAAATAGTGACTCATCAAGGAGCTCTACCTGCCTTGTTCATCCTTGGATATTTAGCTCCTAAAACAGTACCTAGCACTTGATAGAGATTTTTTATTTGTTTGGTTAGGGTTAGGGTTTTTTTTAAAAATGGTTTTTGTTTTTATTTTGAGAGTGTAGGCAAAAGAGACAATTTTTTGACATATTATATTAGGTACCATATCTACCCATCACAATATTATCTCTAACAATAGGGTTTTTTTTTAATCACTATGGTAAACTTGAAAAAAATACTATTAGAAAAAGTAATTATGGTTAATTACTTTTGCACCAACTTAATATGTTTTAGGTGTATCTTTCAATGTAAAAGAAGTGCAATACTGAAAATTTTTTCCAGAAAATTTATGACAGCATAAAATAGTGTGCCAAAAATAAGGGCATTGGAAGCAAAAGACCCAACTTAGAATGCTTTCTGTGCTGCCAAATATGCTATGTGACATTCGCCTCAACACTATATCTTTGTTCTCTGGGGTCCTCATCTATATAATGGGCATGAATATGTCTATCTCACAGAATTTCCAAAAGAATTAAATTAAATAATTCATGCTGAGTGTCAAACACATGGTAGAATATTCAATGAATGTCAATGTCTTACCTCTCTCCTATACTCAGAATTATTAGCCCTGTAGACAGTGATTTGTAGTTTGTTTTGTTTTGCTTTTCTTCTTCTTTGGTTTCTTTGGAGATCACTTTATTTGATTTGATTTTTCTCATTTTCGTTAGTATTTTAATATCTGATCTTCCTTTTCCATTCCACTTCTCCCCCGCCTTGTAGCATCCTAGCTGATGACATTCAGAGTATAATTGAGCATTGACCTCTGGCACAAATAAGCATCTGTCTTGCACATTTAGAACATTGTGTTGCCTGTAATTCCTCCAAGCTCATGATTCTAAATTAGATTTGAAATTTCTGTCTAATTTCATATTGGTAGGTTACAACTGTAATTTTATTTTGGCAGGTAATGTGCTTTTAAATGAGCTTTTCTCTACATGCATATTAAATAGTTTCATCAAATAGTGGACTGGCTTTTTATTTGTCCTTGACCAAACTAGAAATTATTACTTACTTGGCAAAGGTTCATCTACTTCCTGGAAGAAGCTTAAAATCCTATATTTCATTTGCACTGGGTTTATATTGTGTTATTTATAAGAAGATATTCTGATGCCTTTGTTTCTTTTGTGTGTGTGTGTTTTGAGGGAAAAAAAGAATCCTTCATAGTTATTTCTTTCAAAGCTATTGTTTTCTCAAAAATTATTAATTTTTATTCTTTTTATTCTTAATGAATTTTTATTCTTTTATTCTTAAGTTATTGTATGGCAGTCTGAATAATAGATCCCCAAAGATAGCCATTCTAATCTCTGAAATCTGTAAATGCGTTATTTTATGTCACAAAAACAGCTTTACAAACATAGTTAATTTAAGGAGCTTCAGATTGGGAGAAAATCCCAGATTATCTGAGTGGACTGAATGTGATCACAAGGGTCTTTATAAGAGGAGGGCAGGAGGGTCAGAGTCAAAGATGAAGATACAGCAATGGATCAAAGGTTGGAGTGATGCAGGGTAATGGGTCAAGAAAAGCAGATAGCCTCTAGAAACTGGAATAGGCAAGAAAACAGATTCCTCCTGAACCCTTCAGGGGAAACAGTGACTTCTGATGATTTTAGCCTTGTACGACTCATTTAGGATTGTGACTTCCAGAAATGTAAAATAAATATGTTTTGGTAATTAAACCATGTACGTCATTAAATTTTTGGTAATTTATTAGAGCAGCAATAGAAAGCAATATATTAAAAAGAGGGTTTTTTTTCTTTGATTATTTCCAAAGTCAAAAAGCAGATAAAAAAGCCACAAAAATAAAATAAGTTATAAAAAAGCAGATGAAAACCCAAAAATGATATACCTTTGACATCAAAGTGGGCTCCTCATGTATTTACGTGTACATCATTTTGCCAAACAAGTGTACCTGAGCACTTGAGCTGGAGGAATCTTTTATTCCCACAAAGGGGAGGTAGATACCATAGTACATTCTGAAATGTGAGTGCTAAACATATTTGTATAATCTCCTGAGCATAAATAGATTGAGGATATATGTATATACATTTGCATATCTTTAATTTTTTATTGATTTTTAATTTTAATATTTTTAATTGATCTTGAGCTAATATACAAACTTACTTACTTTTATAACTAGATGAAAGATTATTTGAGGAAAGTATTTTTATGCCAAATAATTATTTGTTGACTAATAGATTTGGGAAAGTTTAATAGAACTTAAATAAATGATGTTAAGTGAAGTTGGTTTTGAGGGCTGTAGACAGGGCTATTCTTGAGGGGAAAAGACAGATAATTCTAAATTTTAAAAATGGTGTGCCCAAGAAAACATTTGAAGTCCATGTTTTTGAAGGTAAAAATGATTCTCTCCTCATCAGCTTTACTGGCTTTTTATAATAATGCTAAGTAAATTTAATCAAACAAAATACATTGGCTATATTACAATTAGCCTGGGTTGCCCTTGGGCACTTGTGAAAATGTGTTTGGAACCTTATATATCATGTAATGGCTCAATTTGTCTTGGCCATTGTCACAGACTGTCTTGGGCTCAAGAATTAAACCTCCCTGAATCTGGTTCAATAGATTTTGAAGACTCTTTCCCATTCTAAACACTGACTGATGCTATTATTTCATTTTAAATTACTCTATATCACAAATAGAAGGACAATTTTGAGGGCCAGATGTGGTGGTGCATGTCTGTAGTCCCAGCTACTCAGGAGGCTGAGGCAGGAGGACCTCTTGATCCCAAGAGTTCAAGGCTGCAGTGAGCTATGATCTCGCCACTACATTCTAGCTGGGTGTTGGAGGGAGACCCTGTCACTAAAAAGAACAATTTGAGGAGAAATTAACAAACTGTTGCTAATACACAGCCTTCCAAGGAAATCTTCCCTGACTACTCTAGGTTGGGTGACCCCCACCCCCCCGCCACCCACATGTTCCATTAACAACCTCAGCAAACCTCTGTTATCCCCATGTTGATATTTTATTCAAAATATCTTTTTATAGGCCTGTCTTTCTCTTTTGGATATAAATGCCTGATGGCATAGACCATGTCTAATTTGTTTTTGTTTATTATAGGCCCTCAATAAATATACAGTTGAACCTAAGTACACATTTATTAGCCACTTCCCCTTCCCTACTCCATTCCTTTGAGGTGCTTACAGGACTTCAAGTGAGAACATGCATACATCTTGTGAGGGTTATCAGATGTCCTCTCTTAGTCTAGCAAAATATCCAAAGCTCAAATCTTTCACTCATTCTCTTCACAGATGAAGACCTTTTCATAAAGCCTAATTTCTGCTGTTTTGGTTTCAAGTTCATCAAAACCCTTATACAATGATTTTATACACTATTTGCAATCTCTATAAATAAACATAAACAGTACATGCTTTTTTTTTTTTTTTTTTTTAAGACAGAATCTCACTCAGTCACCAGGCTGGAGCACAGTAGTGAGATCTAGGCTCACTGCAACCTCCACCTCTCAGATTCAAGCAATTCCCCCGCCTCAGCCTCCTGAGTAGCTGGGACTACAGGCTCGTCCCACCACGACCAGCTAATTTTTTATCTTTTAGTAGAGACAGGTTTTCACCATGTTGGCCAGGATGATCTTGATCTCCTGACCTCATGATCCGCCTGCCTCAGCCTCCCAAAGTGCTGGGATTACAGGAGTGAGCCACCACACCCAGACAACAGTACATGCTTTCTATCTGTATTAGTCCATTCTCACACTGCTCTAAAGTCATACCTGAGACTGGGCAATTTATAAAGAAAAGAGGTTTAATTGACTCATTATTCTACAGACTGCAAAGGAAGCATAACTGAGGCGGCCTCAGGAAACTTACAAACATGGCAGAAGGCAAAGGGAAGGCAGACACATTTTCACCTGGCCAGCAGGAGAGAGAGAACAAAGGAGGAAGTGCTACATACCTTCAAACAGCCAGATCTCTTGAGAACAGCAAATGGGAAACTGCCCACATGATCCAATCACCTCCCATAAGGCCCCTCCCCCAACACTGAAGATTATAATTCAATAGGAGTTTTGGATGGGGACACAGAGCTAAACCATACTGCTATCTTTATCTAAGACTCTGACAGGCTTTCAGCTTTTTACTGATTAAGCAACTTTCTTACCAGAGTTTATGAATTTTGCTAAAGCACTAATTATCATTGGTAAAATACAGGTACTTATTCCCTTCACTATCTCTAAATAATGTGGAAAACATTACTCTCATTACTCTAATATTTTTCTACTATGTAATGCTATATTTGCATCTTTTATTTGCTAGTACAAGTTACCTTTGACAACTAAGCAGAAAACAGAGACGGTTGAAACAAAGGAAAAAGAGAATCCATATGTGCTTGAAGTGATTGCCTTTGGAACTTACATTTTTCTAAATGGCCAAAGCCCAAATAAATATGCTTTTGGTGAGCTGCCATTTTGATTCTATGAGATGGGCCCTCAATATGCCTTTAAAATGTAGTCCAAATTGTGTATTTCTGGGTGTTTGACATTGTTTTCTTTGACTGTATATTAGTGGTTAGTCATTGTGTATTCTAACAGCCTAATTTCTCATTGTCAATCCATCCAGTGGCCACTGCAATATAAGTGTTCAATATATAATACAAAATTAGCCAGAAATGTCTCTTTGGCTTAGTTGGAGGAGTCTGAACATGCCAATGTTATAAAATAGAATGAGAAAGCTTAACCTTGGCCTGGGCTGAGCACCAGAATCAACATGCTGCTTTAAATGACTCATTTTTCAGGGACTCAATTTCCTCATCTTTTAAAGTTAATGGAAAATATGCCAAACTCAAACTATATAACTTGCAATGATGTACATTTCTAATATTCTAAAAAGATTGAAACATGACTCCTTTTCCTGACTTACATGTATTTAGTCATCAAGTCCCACACTGTTGAAAACATATATAAACTTACTGACAAATAAATATGACCAAGTTAAGAGGCTTGCTTGTTCCTTTCTCAGAAGGGAAAGGCAGAGCCATTATTCCTGGAATCAATTCCTGGAACAACAGAATTGGTGGACCCAGAACCCATCTTCCTGTGGGGTGCGTGACATGTTCTACCCAACCCAGCATTGACTTTTATCAATCTAAGGCATTACTTATTTACACAGACACCTTCTCCAGTACCAGTCACACTGTGTATTAGTTTGTTTTCGCACTGCTACAAAGAACCACCTGAGACTTGGTAATTTATAAAGAAAAAAGGTTGAATTGACTCACAGTTCTGCATGGCTGAGGAGGCCTCAGGAAACCTACAATCATGACAGAAGCTGAAGGGGAAGCAAGCCAAGTCTTACATGACTGCAGTTGAGTGGGGAAGTGCTACACTTTTAAAGAATTAGATCTCATGAGGACTCACTCACTATCACCAAGAACAGCATGAAGGAAACTGCCTCCCCTGATCCAATCACCTCCCAGCAGGTCCCTCCCTCGACATGTGGGGATTACAATTTGAGATGAGATTTGGGTGGGGACACAGAGCCAAACCATATTACACTGTCACTTTGTATCACAGCTCTTATTAAACTCTACATGAAGCTTATCAGCATGAGACTTTTTCCATGTTAATTTATGTATTATTTCATTCTGACTTACAATATAAACAGAAGAAAATCAGGAAACTTGACAGCAATGTTTACTGTCAAATCACCAGTGCCTAGAATCATGTCTGGCATTTAACAGACATTCAATAGAGATAAGATTAATTTTATTCATTCTTTAAGAGTATGGAATGTTGCTAAAATCTAGCCACTTCACACAAAAACCTGCTATCATACTCAATTACTAGGATATGGTAGAGATAACTCATCCAAAACTGTAGATTTCCAATTCCTTATCTTCCTCAGTATCAGTAGTTATCACCATGAGTACTTCAACTACTACTTCCACAACTATATCCATGGCCTACGTGTTACACTGAATTGCTGTATATTTAAAATCGTAAATGCCAAATTGCTTTCCCTATGTCTTTTGCTTCTGTGCTCTCAACTTCCTTAATATCACTCTTGTCCTTTGCATACCACTTTGCATCTCACTTTTATTCCATTCTATTAACAGACACCTCCTGTGTTCACTTCTTGCCTCACAGTCCATGACTTCAACCACAAAACTCTTCCCTTGGTCCTCTTCTCTTTCCATCCTTTATATTATTTTCTGGACACCTTAGTCCCTTACAGATTTAAATATTACCTTAGAATAGTGAATCCCAAATATATATAACCAATGATAACCTCTTTCCAGAATATTTCCAATTAATTATAAAATACTCAAGCCTGGAGATAAAACATAAGTGTTTTAGGAAATAGCTTGTATTTTCTTTTAACTTCATTCATCCTAGGGTTTGATGGAGATAGAAAATAATATTCTTATTTCCCATCCAAGTTCAAAAACATAGGTGTCAAGCTGATGGTGTATTGTAACAATAGTTTGACTAATATTATGGCCAAAATTTAGACATATGCTTGCCCACACAAATATAAGCTTTCTTTCTAGAGGTCCACACTTATAAAAGTTATGGCATAGAAGATCAGAGATGAATCAGGGCTTCTCAGAAGAAGTTGAATGCAAAAACAGGAGAGAGAGAAAGGAGTTCAATCACACATGACCAGTTCCTTTTTGCAAACCTCCCTAATTAAGCTATTTCCTTTTTTTTTTATGGAAAGGAGTAAATAAAGTGACCAATGTGCTACAGTAATAGAAACTTCCTCACTATGAAAACATGTTGCAAAGGAGAGAAAATTATCCACCAAATTCATTCTTCCAAAAATATTATTTGATGAACAATTTTTATTGTAAGAAGCACCAACATATCACTTAGAGCTTAGAACAAAACAAATTGAAAAAGTAGTAGTTGATTGTCTGAGAGAAGATACTAAAACCTGTTTGTTTCAAACTGTATAGATAATAAAAAGAAGCTGAAAAATTACTTTAGTTTTTTGTCTTGTATTTGCTCCTTTCAAATAATGTTATGTAGTAAATGGTTATTATTAGCCTGTGGAGTTTCATTAATGCTACAGTGAAACAAAAATAGAAAACAAAAAAGCAAGCTGGGTGCAGTGGCTCACACCTATAATCCCAGCACTTTGGGCAGCTGAGTTGTGCGGATTGCTTGAGCCTAGGAGTTTGAGACCAGCATGGGCAACATGGCAAAATCCTGTCTCTACAAAAAATACAAAAAATTAACCAGGCGTGGTGGTGTGTGCTGTAGTCCCAGCTACTTGTAAGGCTGAGGTGGCAGAATCACCTGAACCTAGAAAATTGAGGCTGCAGTGAGTTATGATGGTGCCATTGCACTCCATCCTGGGCAACAAAGTGAAACCCTGCCTCAAAAAACAAAAAACAAAAAGCAAAAAAGCAAAAGCATGAATAGCCATATTAGTATTCTATTCATAATAATAATTAATTTCCATATCTGGAGCACAGCAGCAAGAATTATTTTTCTCCCACATCACTCTTATCTACATGTTCCTTGCTCATATTTCTCTTCTTCATTTAAAACATGGCTGCCTGGCATTCATCATGTTTTTTCCTAGTCCTCTCTCTCCTCTGACCTCATTTCTCCTTACTTCCTGTTATATTTCCTCAGACACCGCAGAGCACATCTGCTATCATTACCTCTTGAAAGATCTGTACCCAAGTTACACGTGGCCTTGCTTTGTGATGCTCTTCCCTAAACCTAGACAAATTTGACAAGAAAAACCTTCATGCCCTCTACCACTTCTTTCAAACAGTATGCAAAACCTTGCCTCTTTCAGAAACTATTATCTTATTAATTTCACTCTGTTTTGTAGCCACTTGGAAGTTCATATTACACCAACCACTTCTACCGATCTATAGTACTATCACATGTCTTCTGGATCCTATTGCCATTTCATCATGAAACAAGATCATATGTCATTTACATCTTTGTCTCTGCTCTCTCTCCTTTAGTATATATAGTCCAGACTTCTTCCTACTTGCACTTGTCTCATCCAGCCTGGTTTTCGATCTGTTTCTCCTCTTCTCTTCTGGCTAGGACAACTTGAATTCTACTTTCTGAAGAAAATAATTATGTAAATCAAGTTCTTCCACACTAAACACTAAGTTCTATGATGGCAGGGTTTATATCTACTTTATTCCCCACTATGTAACCAACCTAACCCTATTGCCCCCCACACAAATACTCACTAAATATTGTTAAGCAAATGAATGAATAAATGACCTCAGGGTTCATTATCAAATCATTTTCATTGTGAAAGTACAGAGATTCTTGTGCTAAGACTTGGACTCCCATTTGTGCCCACTCTGTCATCTCTGCCTCCTTATCACATGCTCTTTAATCTCATACTTCTTATCACAAGGTACCTGCTCAATCCTCTGATCCTGTGTTTCTGCCAGGGAAACCTGCCCAGAGATTCTACCCACCTCTTGGATTTGGCCCGTCCTTGAACCTCAGGCAAATGATTGACATATTTCTACTCCTTGACTTCTGACCATATTGGTAACTATTTACTATCCTTGGTTATTGAGCATTACCTGATTGATGTTCCCCACTATGGTAATCATTCTGTTAGTATTCATTTATTTATCAAATATAGTGTACGTTAATGAATTGCTAGACACTGCACTAAGAGCCAAGGGAGTAAGAATGAATAATTCAAACATAGCCCTGCTCTCAAAAAGTAGGCATTTCTATGGAAGGCAGATAAAAACAAACAAGAAATTAATAAACAAGCAAGTTTCTGATCTAGATGAAAAATACCTTCAAAGTAAAACCAGCTCAGATTAGCATCTGAATTCTTGTTCACAACACTGGAAGTAGAAGATGAAGGGACAACATCAACAAAGCACTGAGAATAAAAGGACCACATATACACTAAAAAAATCCTGTTCTCTATTAATAAAAGAAAAATTCTTATGGATTTGCAAAAAAAATCAGAAAATGTGTCAACACTGTATCTCAGTGAAAGTTATAAAATAAGGCAGGAAAGATAGACTCTCTGAGAATGTGTAACATAAGTGCTATAAAAGAGTTCTTGAGGCTGGGCATGGTGGCTTATGCCTGTAATCCCAGCACTTTGGGAGGCCGAGGCAGGTGGATCACCTGAGGTCAGGAGTTCGAGATCAGCCTGGCCAATATGGCGAAACCCCATCTCTACTAAATACACAAAAATTAACTGGGCATGGTGGCAGGCACCTGCAATCCCAGCTACTAGGGAGGCTGAGGCAGGGAGAATTGCTTGAACCCAGGAGGCAGAGGTTGCAGTGAGCTGAGAGCATGACAGTGCACTCCAGCCTGGGTGACAGAGCGAGACTTTGTCTCAAAAAAAAAAATAAAAATAAAAAAATAAAAAATAAAAAAAAGAGTTATTGAAATTCCTTATGTAGGCTTTTTTTTTAAATTGTGCACTAATGATCATAGCAAAATCTGATTATTGGCAATAGAAAAGAGATAAAGGCATTCAAGAGGGGGGAAGGTAGGAGATGGGAGGACATTTCTTATCTAAAGATTTTATTCTATTGAGATGAGGGAAAGCAGTAGGCAAATACAGTAAAAACACAGAGAAAAAAGCCATATAACTTGGTTGTTACTGTACAGATGTTGGCTCCATACTACTTAGATGTGTGATCTTAGGTAAGTAACTAAACTTTCTGTTGCTCAGCCATCTCATCTGTAAAATGGAGATATTAGTGTGCATCCCTTGAGTTGTTTCAA
Organism: Homo sapiens; assembly: GCF_000001405.40. Classification (NCBI taxonomy): domain Eukaryota; kingdom Metazoa; phylum Chordata; class Mammalia; order Primates; family Hominidae; genus Homo; species Homo sapiens. The sequence continues at coordinate 121,937,683 of NC_000008.11, read as the reverse complement.
GAATTAAAATATACTTGTGTCAGCTATTACTTATTTTTGTCTAAAAAAGATAAATAGGGTTTTAATTTTCAGTGCTTTTTAAAAAATAGGCTAAAGAATTGCTAATAGTAATAGAAAACAAAGTTAACATGAATTTTTTTAAAAAGGACAATCTAAGCAATAAAACCAGCAATGTTAGAGAAAAGAAAAAAAATTAATGTAAATATACAGCATGATGAAAGAAGTGAAATAACATTAAAATAAATTTGACAAGACAAAAAATTTTATTGTATAGACAGGAATATCAGATTGGGTTAGTGCAAAGCATACTATATGCTATTTTAAATAAACACTTAAAATAAAGTGATAAATATTGAAAGTAATGTGAGGGATAAAAGATACCAAACTAATCAAACAAAATGAGAAAAATGGTGTCAATATTAATCAAAGACAAAGTAGAATTTATGATTAAAAGCATAAAACAAGACAGAATAGGACATTATTTAATGATAAATATCCAATGCATATGTAACATGATGAATCTATATGCACCAAACAACAGAACACTAAATTTATTCAAAACAAAAATTATTTGAAATTCAAAGTATACTTGAAAATAATACAAGTATAGTGTTAGATTCCAAATATATCTCAACTACTTGGAAATATAAAAAGCACATTCCTTCATAACTAATTGATCAAAATGTCTATCACAACTGAAATAATTAAACTACTAGAAAACAATGAGAGAAAAATGCTTCCAGTTTAAAAACAAGGGGAAAGAACAAAAGCTGTGCACAAAGAAATGGCTAAGGCTTTCAGTGACTTCATTATAATATAATATATTATATATAATATATTATATATAATATATTATAATATATTATATTATATATAATATAATATATAAATGCTACTAATAATGCAGCTGGGATTTATATTTTTAAATTAGACTTTTTTTAAAGTTCCAAAATTTTCTATTTTTCTCTTTATTTCTTATATGAGAAGTAATTTTCATTACTAAAATCTGAATCTATCTTCAGCTTTATTTAACTGATAATTTTTCTTTTGTCATAAGTTGACTTTACTGAGCTATACTGTATATATAATAAGATGCCCTATTTATGTCTATTTATCAGCATAAATTTGTTCATAGTACTACTTTATCCTTTTCGGTATCTGCAGTGGTATCTCTTCTTTCAGTCCTAATACTGGTGGTTTGTGTGTTTTTATTCTTTGATTATTCAAGCTGGAAATTTATCAATTTTATTGATCTTTTCAAAGGATAACTTTCTTTTTTGAAGGAAATTGTTGACTTTCTCCCTGATTTTTTATATTCTATTTTATTGATATTTTTCTATGATCTTTATTTTTTTCTTCCTTTTATTTATTTTGTGTTTAATTTGCTCACCTTTCTTCTACCCTCTTTAGATAGAAGCTTCAATTATTGCTTTAGATCTTTCATTATTTCTGATGTGTTTTTCAATATAAATTTTTCCTCATACAATATAAATGCACACCAGAAATTTGGTATATTATGTGTTCATCATCATTCAATTAAAATATTTCCTAATTTTTCTTGATCCAAAAAATGTTTAGAACCTGTTATTATTAAGTAATTTAATTACTTTTTGATAAAAATGTGCTCTTTGGCATACCAATCATTTAAAATCTATGGAAATATTTTATGGCTGAACATACAGACTATTTTTGTGAACATTCCATGTGTACTTAAATACAGTTTTGGGGACAGTCTTTCATAAATTTCAGTTAAGGCTGCCAATAGCATTGTTCACATCTTCTTTATATTTAAATTTATCTTTCTCCTATTTGATCTGTCAGTTTTTGCTTTATGTATTTTGAAGCTTTATCATTAGGTGTATACACCTTTATAATTGTTATATCTTCCTAATGTAATGATTCTCTTTAACATTATGAATTGGCTCTTTTTATTATTAAATAACAAGTCTGCCTTGATGGTTATGTAATTTGATGTCAGCATAGCCTTTCCAGCTCTCTGATATATATATATATATATATTTTTTTTTTTTGTATTGCACATCTTTTATCATTCTTCTATCTTCAAAGTATTTGTATCTTTCTATTTAAAGTAAGTCTTCTTAAGGGTGTTGTTATGGACTGAAAGTTTGTGTCTCCCCCACAATTCATACATTGAAATACTAATTCCCAATATGACAGTATTAAAAGATGGGGCCTTTGGAAAGTAGTTATGAATGAGAGTGGTACCATAATAAGAAGAGACAAGAGCTTGTTTCCTCTCTCTTCTCTCTGCCATTTGAATATACAATGAGAAGAGAGCCATCTGTGAACCAGGAAGCAGACCCTCACCAGACACTGAATCTGCTCACACCTTGATCTTAGACTCCCCAGCTTCCAGAACTGTGAGAATAAGTGTTTGTTATTTAAGCCACCCAGTCATTGGTAATTTGTTATTGTAGCCCAAACTGATGAGACAGATGTATATAGTTTTGCCATCCTTTTCCTTCAAATGTATTCTGGCAGTCTCTGCTTTCTGATTCAAATGCTTGCTCTATTTACATTTAAAGTGATGAGTAAAATTGGTAGATATAGGCCTGCTATTGGCTATAACTTTCTTATTTGTCTCATAAGTTTATTTCTTTTGTTCTCCCTTTATTCCCTGTTCTATGTTGAACAAATATTTTTGTAATCTGTTACACATCTTCTATTGCTGTTATAGCTGTGTTTCTTTGAATTCTTTTTAGAGGTTGCGCTGGGAATTATCATTTTTAAATCTTCAAAATCTACTTAAATTCAATATTGAATCACAAGTATTAATATAGGAATCTTGAAAAATATAGTTCTATTTACCCCACTATCCTTGCTATATTATATTCATACATGTTACATTACCTATAAAATAAAACAATATAGTGTTATAAATTGTACTTTATGCAATTAAAAATTAAGAGAAAAACTATTCATGAATATGGATATAAATATATAGGTAGATAGACAAACCATTATACTGGATATAGAATTCTACATTGATGGCCAGGTGCAGTGGCTCACACCTGTAATCTCAGCACTTTGGGAGGCCGAGACATGCAGATCACTTGAGGTCAGGAGTTCAAGACCAGCCTGGCCAACATGGTGAAACCCAATCTCTACTAAAAATACAAAAATTAGCCTGGCATGGTGGTGGGCGCTTGTAATCCCAGCTATTTGGGAGACTAAGGCAGGAGAATCACTTGAACCTCGGAGGCAGAGGTTTCAGTGAGCTGAGATTGCACTACTGCACTCCAGGCTAGGCAACAAGAAAAAGACTCTGTCTAAAAAAAAAAAAGAATTCTACATTGATGGTATTTTTCAGCACTTCTAAAATTTCATTAAAATTTTTTTTGCCATTTTTTTCTAATTTATATATATTATGTCCCTTTTATTTTGCTTTTTAAGGACTGTCTAATTATATTTGGCTTTCAGCAGTTTGACAATGATGTCATAAATGATATATATGTATGTATATATATACTATTTTCACAAGATAAATTGTGAACAAAATTCTTCAGCATTAAATATTTTCTTTGTTTCCCAAAGAAGTTTCACAGGCTGGAGATCCTTTTCTTTATTAAAAGCCAAGACTTTTCTTTTTCTTTATGAGCCATTCAAACATATTTTTATTTTTATTTTTATTTTTTTTTGAGACAGAGTCTTGCTCTGTCACCTAGGCTGGAGTATAGTGGTGTAATCTCAGCTCACTGCAACCTCCTCCTCCCAGGTTGAAGCAAATCTCTGCCTCAGCCTCCAGAGTAGCTGGGATTACAGGCACCCACCACTGCACCTGGCCGATTTTTGTATTTTTAGTAGAGAGAGGGTTTCACCGTATTGGCCAGGCTGGTCTTGAACTTCTGACCTCAAATGATACACCTGCCTCGGCCTCCCAAATATCTGGGATTACAGGCGTGAGCTGCCGTGTCTGGCCTCAAACATATTTTTAAAATAGCACAATATTGCTCATTCATAAGCATTTTCTCACAATTGTATATGTATATGCAAATGTATCCTTGAATATTTACTACTTCTTAGAGGGAATTTTGAGGTATAATATATACGGAACGGAGTAAGGATTTTTTTTCAATGAGTGGGCAATTCTTAAAACAATATAGAGTTATTGGAGAACTTTTTTTTTTTTTTTTTGAGACGGAGTCTCGCTCTGTCGCCCAGGCTGCAGTGCAGTGGCGCCATCTCAGCTCACTACAAGCTCCGCCTCCTGGGTTCACGCCATTCTCCTGCCTCAGCCTCCCGAGTAGCTGGGACTACAGGTGCCCGCCACCACGCCCGGCTAATTTTTTGTATTTTTAGTAGAGACGGGGTTTCACTGTGTTAGCCAGGATGGTCTCGATCTCTTGACTTCGTAGTATGCCTGACTTGGCCTCCCAGAGTGCTGGGATTACAGGCGTGAGCCACCGCACCCGGCGCTAGAACTCTTAAAGAATAGTTTACCAGGGATTACCAGTGGTGTGCTGGTAAATATTTGAAGTTACCAGCTCTACAGGGAAATGAAAACAAAAACAACAATGACAACAACAACAAAAGGACCTTAATTTGTAGCATTTGCTTATTTCTGTGATGTAAATAGTCTCACTATGGCCGATATCAAGCTATCAACAGGTCATCATTGAACATGCAATTGGAAAGAGATGCATAGTGGTAGCACAATGTTACAAAGTGTTTCTACCATACATAATAGCCATAAATAAACTTAAGAGCATAAATGCAGTAAAATAATTAAATGCAATAAAATCATTAAAAAGCGGTAAGTTTTGAGTATTTACTACCATTATTTGTAATATAATTTATTTGATTGTAAGCTTATACCTAATGTAATTTAAATTACAGTAATGCCAGAGTTTACCAACTGGATCACAAAACTTCTGAAATTTTAGCAATTGGCTCTTGCAAGCCGGTACAAGCCATTTCCAGTTAACCATTAAAAATGTGGATGTCATTGCACATGTGCCTACTCATGTCATAGTACAGAGAGGTTTTTTTGTGCCCAAATTGTTGACAGCAAATGTGAATTCATTGGGAACAATCATGAAGGTAGTGGGCAAATTATCTGGAATATATTTGTAAACAGTCTACTGATATTACAAGTCTTGGTGAGGTTCAATCAGCTATAGTCTTATTTTCCTTTTTTTTTTTTCTTTAGACAGGGTCTCCCTTGATTGTCCAGGCTGGAGTCCAGTGGCACAGTCACAGCTTACTGCAGCCTCAATCTCTGGGACCCAAGCAATCCTCCCACCTCAGCCTCCTGAGTAGCTGGGACCACAGGCATGTACTACCACATCTGGTTAATGTTTGTTTGTTTTGTAGAGAGAGGGTCTTGCTATGTTGCCCAGGCTGGTTTTAAACTCCTACCCTTAAGCAATCCTCCCTTCTTAGCTCCCAAAGTACGGGGATTATAGATGTGAGCCCCAAGCCCAGCCAATAGTCTTATTTTTCTTCAAACCTTCTTCCTGCCCTTTGTCAGGATATCAAGAAAACTCAAGATCTTGGGTTACTTTCTTTTATTAGAATAGTCCCATTTTATGTATTAAAATAAAAATATATTATCACTAGGCTGTGCTCTAATTGTTATGCTTCTCAGGAGGCTGAGGCAGGAGAATCATTTGAACCTGGGAGGCGAAGGTTGCAGTGAGCTGAGATTGCGCCACAGCTCTCCAGCCTGGGTGACAGACTGAGTCTTGGAGTCAAAAAAAAAAGAAAAAAAAATTCCATTTAGTTTATTTATCTTCATTTCTTCATTTTTTTTCCCTCCGTTTCCTCCCAGTATGTGTCCAACCCAAGCACTAACTTGCTGTGGGGAAGGAGGATGTGATGGTGTCTTCTCTGACCTTTCACAATCCTTTCTCATTTTCTTGCTGTTTTCTGGTCTTTCAAGTATGAAGCAGGAAAAAGGAAAGAGCAGTAAAATGGCAAAATGAATTTTTACTTGTATGATGTTATTTACATTTCTCTCCCAGCAGGTGAATGACTTCTGTCCAGCAGATATCCAAATGCTCGATAACATGGTCTCTCTCTTATAAGGGACTTTCATTGTACTGTGAATCCCTTCTGCCTACTGCCACCATCATAGCTGATAACTTGTACCATTCCCTGAAAGGGATAATGCTAGGTCTGGCTGATGTTTTTTTCCAATTTGTCCTCAATTTCTACTCCAATGACACAGGTTGTAGGTTGTATAAACTCTTACTTCAAAGGTTATTTAGACACAGAGGCATCTCTTTTGGTCAAATTCCTTTCAAGATGGCTCAAACCCAATCACTGTACTTTCTATGATTATTATTCTGACACAAAAAAAGTACCACGCCTGTATCAAACCCTGAATGAATAGACTTCTCCTAAAAATGTATTTCTATTACTCTCTGATGGTGACCTGGGATGGAACTACAAATTCTTTCCTATGAAATATCTAGACCAAGGGTAACAGATGCAATTCTTCCCTCTTTCTAAGTTACCCCTGTCTACAAGTGGGCCCCTTCAACTTCCCCTTACTTTTTTTTATGGTAGGATCATGCCTGTCTATTCTTCCTCCCAAAAGAAGGTGAGAATCAATGCATAGCATTTACTGCCAGGCTGAAAAATCTTCCCTGGAAATACTTACTTATAAATTTCCATAATGAAATGGCCAGCTTGTCTTTTATGTAGGATAGAGGTGGATGATAAGCAATTCTTTTTTTGTTTGTTTGTTTGTTTTGAGATAGAGTCTCACTGTGTGGCCCAGGATGGAGTGCAGTGGCGCAGTCTAGGCTCACTGCAAGCTCCACCTCCCGGGTTCACACCATTCTCCTGCCTCAGCCTCCCGAGTAGCTGGGACTACAGGCGCCTGCCACCAAGCCCAGCTAATTTTTTTGTATTTTTAATAGAGACAGGGTTTCACCATGTTAGCCAGGACGGTCTTGATCTCTTGACCTTGTGATCTGCCCACCTTGGCCTCCCAAAGTGCTGGGATTACAGGTGTGAGCCACCGCACCCAGCTGCAATTCTTTAAATAACTTGTTTGGGATACTTCTTTGTAATTCCTTCATGTATGATTAAGAGCTTCTCTTCAGAATGTAAGGGACTTTAATGCTAATTGTTTTTACCTTTGAGACCTCAATCAAAATTTCCAGACAACAAAAAAATGTTTATTTAACTTATCTGCTCTTGCTTTTATAGGCATTTTAGGATATGGAGAGTGGATGGGTATGACTGCATAGAATAGTCATGGAAGAACTTATAATGCTTAACAGGTACTAGAGTTATTTGGGGTGTTGGCAGAATTATTTTTGTAATTAATTGCATGGTTAATAATATGTATTTCATAACACTAATGGTTAACATTTACTGAGTATTTACTCTATGCCAGGCATTTTTCTAAACCATTTACATGAATAAACTTGTTTAATTGAGAACAAATATTATTGAGCCAGAGTTTGAGGTTGAATGAGGCACTTGTGATTATTTCTATGTCGATCTGAGGAGGAATAGGTTTCTCTTTATGTTATCAGAAGGACCTCTTGGAGATTGGTAAGAAGTAAGTGAGATGAAGAGCTCTTGATCACCATCCCTTCCTAAGTCAGACCAGCTTTGGACTTCTGTATCTTTTACATGATATGATAACTTTCCCTCCAAGATTTTTGTCTGCATAAAAGATCTTTGGTGGACAAACATTCTCCCTTTTTTCAATAACAACAGTTATTTTTCCTTTGGCGAATCTTTGCCCTGACTCATAGTCCATTTTGTTTAAGTGGACATAATATTTCTCCCATTCATGACTTATTACCACCCAATATTAGAATAGATCATTTAGAGAGCTCCACCTCCTAGAGTAACAGGCATATGATTGAAGCCCGGAAAACTGGGCCAAATGCAGGACTTCTATTGAAACAACTGGGAATTGGCATCCCTCTCATTTCTGTTGATGTAATAGAGCTGCTGAAAGTTGAACTCAGAATAGCTTCTGGTAGCTATATCATCAAAACAAAAGGAGAGAATTTGCCTAAAAATAAAGTTCAAAATGAGGAAAAAAAAAAAAAAAGCTGAGAGATAGAAAGAGATCAAGTCCTAGTGATAGTGGTAGAGTCTTTGGTCCTAGCCAAGCCTGATCATAGATCTGCCACTGGATTTTTTAAAGTTTTGGGTTATGTGAACAATTCCTTTCTGGCTGAAGCCAGTTTAAAGCAAGGTTGTATCCCTTATTTTAAAAGCCGGTAAGTTTCTGCTAATATTTCATTTTCTTTCAAATCACTAGTCTAGAGTGCACAACTAGTACTGGTTAGTTCCACCCTGTCTTCCTTCAGGTCATCCACCCTCCCTTTTTGATCGTATGTATCAGGCTGAATGTTACACAATTTTTTAAGGCAATCTCAGTGCTGTTTATCTCCTCCATAAATTAAGTTTCCTGGAACACTTAATAAAATATATGAGGAAAGAGATCGGAACTTCTCAAATGTTTTAGGCCCGATTTGTTATTTTTGTCTTTGCATGCATATTTATTTGGATAGTACATCACTGGCTGTCCTTTCAGAGTTAAAAGTGTAATCCTGGTGTGTCTGCACAACATTAAATATTTGGATGGATACAAAAAGATTCTACATCTGGTTGGAAAGTAAGAGTCAATCCAACATGTCTGGATAACACCAAACAACCAGATGTTTGACCAATTAAAAAAAAATTATTCCTGATTTGAATGGTCTTGACTGAAATAAATTGAACCAATTGAGTTACTAAAACGTGCCATGTACTGCATGAGGGATTCTCATATGTGAATTATCTATATAACTGTTATAATAATCTTGCCCAATTGACAATTACATTACCAGTTTTTACTACAGAAGAAATGGAAGCTGACTATGCCAAGAATGCACAAGTAATAAATGGCAGAGTTGGGATTCAAACTCATGCCACATTCTGGCATGTTGTTATTTTCAACACAGCCTCCACTTGTACACATTCAAAGTGCACCATGTCACCTTTAGACTTGTTTGTCATTCTAGCTGGTCAAGCCTTTCTGATGAAACATGACCTCATGTTGCTGGTGGTGTCAATTTTTTTCACATGTGACCGTTTAATTTTTGAGTTGCTCATCTGTACAGGGGTCTTTCACATCCTCTAGGGCTTCATTCTAATTCGGCATAACCCTAGACCCAAAATGTTCCAATTTATTCAATTATGTTTTTGGTGTTTGTGGAAAGAACATTTGATGTTATTAGTTTCATTTCCACTCATCTACCCCATCACTGCAATACAGAACAGATACATGAAGCAAAGCAGGCCATGCTCTATCATGTGACATGGGCATGGTCCTGAAAGAGTCTTTTCCTAAAGTCCTTAGATAGTTAAATATAATGGATACCATTATCCCCCATGATGCTCATATATTTTTTAATTACATTATTTTGCTTTATCAAAATAAATCTCTCTCAAAGTTGGCAGGAAATTGTTTCATCCATGACCTGGAGACCAAGAGTCTCTCTGTGATTCACAGGAGAATACATTAATGCTTATGCAATGCAGAACATTTGGGAGGAAAGGGCCTTTGGATAGCTATCCATTCTGGTGACCTAGAAAAATGCTGGTGTTAAAGTTTGTGTGATCTGCGTGAGGACTGATGTTCCACTTCTACACTGTCCATAGAAACCACTTTCTCCATGCCACTTAGCCTCGTCCTTAAAACTCCCAAGGCATAAAATTTTTAACTCTTCAGTTTCCAGGAATCATTGTATCACTTGATCCAAGTTAATGTCTCCTGTGTAGTCACATGTCTTTGGGGATGTGCTGCTCCTACCGCCTCAGAGTTAAGTGAACCAATGTATATCTATGGTCTAGACTTTCTCCTCTCAGATATTCTGGTTCACAAGCTCTAAAAGCCTCAGCTTTCATATACCATGCAAAGTTCTGTAACTGCTCTGGGCAAAAGGATCCCACACTCCAGAACAGAAGCATTTTCTAAGGAAAATGGGGTGAGCTATTAAATCTCTGACAGTGATGAGAACACGGTGGAAATGGATCTCTTTATAAATTACATTTCTGTATTTTTAAACTTTTAATATTAAAAAACTAACATTTAAAAAAATAAAAATAATGAAATAAAAAACTAACATTTGAAAAAAATTACAAATTAGAAGTGTGAAACATTTTATATTTAGATTAATGACAATAGCCAACACTTATTAAACACTTATTGACAAGTATCATTCTAAAATCTAAAAATCAAAATTCAAAACATATATAGTAGCTGGTTGTACAGCTACAGTATATGAGAAAATAATGTTCTGTACTATTTCACTCTTACAGATGTGGAAAGCAAGGCTGACACAGGTTGATAGTTAGCTTGGTTTTAGAAGATCACATAGAATGCATACGTTAAAGCCAGGTTTTAGACCCAAGTTTGATGGATTTTAAAGCCTGTGTTCTGAACCACTACAGTGGTCTCTGATTCATAGCATTGATACTAAATGTCCTACAGACAACGCAGGTTCAGGGTTTCTTAAAAGTGGTTCATGGCCGGGCGCAGTGGCTTACACCTGTAATCCCAGCACTTTGGGAGGCCAAGGCGGGCAGATCACGAGGTCAGGAAATCGAGACCATCCTAGCTAACACAGTGAAACCCTGTCTCTACTAAAAATACAAAAAATTGGCAGGGTGTGGTGGCGGGCGCCTGTAGTCCCAGCTACTCAGGAGGCTGAGGCAGGAGAATGGCCTGAACCCGGGAGGCGGAGCTTGCGGTAAGCTGAGATCGCGCCACTGCACTCCAGCCTGGGCGACAGAGCGAAACTCCGTCTCAAAACAAAAACAAAAACAAAAACAAAAACAAAAGTGGTTCATGAACTATGAACTATCAGCACTAGTAAATTTATTTGAACTACTCCAGAACTTCTGAATCAGAATATTTGGGTATGAGACCCAGGATGTGTATGTGACCAAGTTCCTTGAGTGATTCTTAGACACAGTAACTTTAAGAATAGATTATCATATATCCACTGTATCTAAAGGGTTTTTGCTTGTTTTGGGCTGCAACATAAATGATACTAACATGTACAACAAACTTTGATGTATACCCAATGTCATGTGCACATTTCAGGACATTCACTTCAACACAGCTCATTTCTCTCAAAAAATGTGTTAAAATAATGGTGAAAGGAGTTAATAGAGATACAACTTTGAACTTTCATTAAAAATTTTTCAGGGCCAGGCGCAGTGGCTCACACCCGTAATCTCAGCACTTTTTGAGGCTGAGGTGGGTGGATCACGAGGTCAGGAGTTCAAGACCAGCCTCGCCAATATGATGAAACCCCGTCTCTACTAAAAATACAAAAAAGTTAGCTGGATGTGGTGGCGCATGCCTGTAGTCCCAGCTGCTTGGGAGGCTGAGGTAGGAGAATCACTTGAACTCGGGAGGTGGAGGTTACAGTGAGCCTAGATCGTGCCATTGCACTCCAGCCTGGGCAACAAGAGCGAGACTCCATCTCAAAAAAAAAAAAAAAAAAATCAGATATTACAGTGTTTTAAAGGTTATCAATAATAAATAACTTGTAGTTCCCACAACTGTGTTGATACATTGAGAGTGAGGAACTCTGGTCTAGTCCAACGCAATTTTTTTTTTTTTTGAGGCATGGTCTTGCCATCACCCAGGCTGCAACACAGTGGCGTGATCTCAGCTCACTGCAACCTCCGCCTCCCAGGTTCTAGCTATTCTCCTGCCTCAGGCTCCTGAGTAGCTGGAATTACAGGCATGCAACACCACGCCTGGCTAATTTTTGTATTTTTAGTAGAGACAGGGTTTCACCATGTTGGCCAGGCTGGTCTTGAACTCCTGGCCCCAAGTGATCCACCCACCTTGGCCTCCCAAAGTGCTAGGATTACAGATATGAGCCACCACACCCAGCCCCAACATTAATTTTTTTCAAGATGAGGAAATGAAACAGAAAATTTTAGTGATTTACACAAATTCTAAAAGCTAATGAGAGACAAAACTAGAATTTAAATCCACAGATGCCTAAACCTTCAGGATATTCTGGTACCTTCTAGTACATGGCATATGGTAGGTGTCTAAATACATATTGAGATAGGAGTCTTCTATGTTGCCTAGGCTTATCTTGAACTCCTGCCCCCAAGCAACCCTCCCACCTCAGTTTCCTGAGTAGCTAGAACTATAAGGCTTGTGCCACCCTGCCCGGTCCTTATTTATTGGTATTGAATTTATATAACTGTCTTTTAACTCTGGCAGTTCATTTAATATTTGAGTGAAAGAAATTGGAATCAATCTGTGGATACTCTTGGGCCCATATGTGTGAGCTGTGAGATATAATTGTTTAGGCAATAAAAATGCTATGGCCTCAGATGAGTTTTAAAACTGGATTCAATGAATGTAATTTGCACTTGGGGTTGGAGTTTGCTGTAATTTACCTCATTTCATGTAGATTATGACTGAAGAAAGATGAGTCCAGATCACTTATGACTGAAAAAGACCATAGAACATATTGGGAAAAACTCAGCATGGAACCAAAACCAAATTACTAGTGTAGAAATCATGAAGCAGGGTGTATTAGTCAGTTCTGGTTGCCATAACAAAATACCATACACTGAGTGGCTTGAACAAGAATTTGTTTGTCATGGTTATGAAGGCTGGAAAGTCCACGATCAAGATGCCAGCAGATGCAGGACCTGCTTGGGGTTCACTTCCTGGCATCAGACTGCTGCCTTCTTGCTGTATCCTAATATGGAAGAGAAAGATAAAGGAAGCTCTCTTTTCTTTTAAGGGCACTAATTCCATCATGGGGGCCCCTACCCTCATGATCTCATCTAAACCTAATCACTTCCGGAAGGTCTCATCTCCAAATACCATCACCTGCAAGATTAGGGGCTTAACATACGAATTTTGGGGAATACAATTCAGTCCATAGCATATGGGATGGTTCCGGAATATCTATACAGCATCCCAGAAAACTAGAAGTGACAGACTACAAGTAAGAAGAGTGTGAGGTCCTAGTTTTCTACTGAAGGAAGATGTACTAGAAGATATGAAAAAATGAAAAAAATGGCACATCAAAATTTAAATAAGTATCATTAAAATAGTGATATTTAACAATAATTGTCATCTAATAATTACCATCTGTCAATCCTTCACATGAATTATTTTAATAAAACCATAATAGACCTATTAAGTAGATACTAATATTATTGTCACTTTACAAATGAACAAATTAGCCCTAAATAATGCAACTACTGTGCGCCAGACTGAGTCTAAAACCTACGCTATTGCAAATTTCTATAACATAAACTTCTAGTACTTTAAATTTCAATATACCAGCTGTAGAGACACTCACTCTTGCTTGACCATGTCTAGTAATATGGAGGCAATTCTCTTTTGAGGTTGCCTATTCTCCTTTAAAATATTAATGCTATGGTTCCTGATACACACAAGAAGAATTAAGCTGATTTCTTTTTTATATAGCAAAGCTCTAGATATCTGAATGTAGCCATAATTATCCCACCCTATTCAGTTTATCCAACTAATGGGTTCTCGTCTTCAAGCTTCATTTATCCTACATCTGCCAACATAACTCATAGAATATTATTAATTAGCCAGTCAATCCCCCGGAATAATCTTTTATTTATTTATTTATTTATTTATTTGAGATGGAGTCTCACTCTGTTGCCCAGGCTGGAGTGCAGTGGGACGATTTTGGCTCACTGAAACCTCTGCCTTCTGGGTTCAAGCTATTCTCCTGCCTCAGCCTCCTGAGTAGCTGAGACTAAGGGCAAGCATCACCATGCCCAGCTAAATTTTTGTATTTTTAGTAGAGACAGGGTTTCACTATGTTGATCAGGCTGGTCTCAAACTCCTGAGCTCAAATGACCCTCCTGCCTCAGTCTCCCAAAGTGTTGAGATTACTGGCGTGAGCCACTGTGCCGGGCCTGGATAATCTTCTTTGAAACACCTTCATCTTGATTTTAGTCTCCAGAAATGAAAATGCTCTGGACATACCAATACTTTAGATACAAACAGAGCAGAATGGAGGGGATAGATGGTCACATCTTTCCTGAGTGTGGTGAGCATACTCTACATCACAGTTGGGCTTTGACAATTCTATTTTCATCTTCCCTGATCATAACTCTATAGTGTCAGCTCTCCTTGCTTTATGACCAAACCACAGCAGATTAGGCTAGAGATGGACACAATCCACAGGAAACGAACCCAATGGCTGGCTAATGAACATATAATTATTTTATCCTCAAGGTTATAAACTAAGGTACAAATAACAGAAATTACTAAAATGGTATCAGAACTCAGAGATTTATAACTAAAGATTATCATGAAGAATCTGGGCCTGACTCAGAAAAAAAAGATAAAATATTGATAAATAGAATCTATGGATACAAATGAAGGTAACTTTATTTGTTTATCTTTATGTTTCCAGTGTCTTTCATTTTACCTGACAGATACCAGAAACTCAACAAATTGTTGTTAAAAGAACTATATTTAAAATCATGAAGAGGTTTTTATGTAATGAAATATAGACTACAGTGAATATGGAAGGTATATTCTAGCCCTAGTCTATATAACAAGTACTCAAGAGATGCTCAAATGATTAAATAATTTATATTATCTGTCATAAATGAAGATAGAGATGAACTGAGCAGAAATAAATGTATTTGCTTTGGACCATGATGAACCATGAGATAAAGTACAAGAACTCTATATGAAGTCTTCTAAAAAACAGGACAGGTTACAGTCTCTTTTGCTTACATGCTTGTTTTCTCCAGCCAAGCTAGATTACTTCTACTTCCTCACCTGCGTCATATGGTCTCAGGTCTTAAACTATCTCACAGATCTCAGGATCTGTCCAGCCCTCTACCTTCACGCAGCTAATGCCAATATTTTCCCCAATGTTTTGTCAATAGGCCCCAATATAATTTGGAATGCCTTCTACTGTGTTCATTTAGCATATTGTGAGAATCCTCACCATAAGTTTATTATGCCATACTTTTTGTGAGTGTAAAATGTACATTAAGAACTTTTCTATGTTCTGGCTAGGAAAGTGAACTCTGTAATCAGGAAGTCAAAGGTTGCCATCCTGGCTTTGGTTTTAAATTGTATTCCCCAGAAATCCAGCTACGGGGCAACATGAAATGACTTAATCTTATTCTTAGCCTCTGATATTTTCTGAATATCCAATGACATGGGCATTACAACAAGTCAGGGCTCCCCCCACATCAGATAGACTTGAGAATAAATTGAAGTATGTGACTTAGAATCTGTGTAAATCATCTCTGAAATAGTTATTAAAATATCAATATTACATGTCAAATGCACTTAATGTCAAGATTTTTAGATTTAAAGGGTTATTTTCACATCAAGAGTATTTTGCAACTGTAAAGCACTTTTTTATTTGCAAAGCTTTTCCACATATGTTCCTATTAAGTCATCACACCCATCTTATTGGATAGACAAGACGTGCATTCTACTCCCTTTTACAGATAAGAATATTGAAGCTGAGGCTCAGAGAGGTAGTAACTCTTCAATGCTGTCCAGCTCATAAAAGGCAGAGCTGTTACTCCACCTATGGTTTTCTGGCTCCCAGTCCCATGTTCTTTTCCATTACACCACATATGTCACTGATTGCTCCTATCGGTCAAGTTTGGGGAGGTAGTAACTCAAGAAGCCAATTAAAGAATAATCTGGTGTGTCATAAGGCAGGAGGAGGAAAGGTGGCAGGCTGTGTGGTGAAGCTCAACTGGACGGCCTGAACGTTTTACTCTTAAGTTACTAAATACATAGCTATTGTTTATGTGAGCAACAGGAAAGGCTGTGTTCTAAGGTAACTTGTTTAGCATGATTTGCTGAATGTAGGGATTCACTAAAAAGCATCTGCCAAAGTCAATCAAACATATATATGAAAATGTGTTAAAAATCTAACTTCAAATCAAACCTTGCAGACAAGCTTTGACAAAAGTCAGTGCAATGGGGTTTTGGAGGTGAGAGGAATGTGCATTTCATCACTTACGCAGTAGGTCCTTATAGCCTTTTGGAACAAAGCTTTGTGAATCACATATAAATACAGTTTGTCTTGGTAGACTCTGGAATTAGCTCACACATTAAAACTTTCTTTAGAATGCTGAATTCAGTTCTAAAAGGTTCTTGGCTTTCGGGTGTCTGCCCTCACAAGATAGCACTTAAAAGTTTTCCCCCTTTAGTGCTATCCTTCTTATTTCTCTTACATATCATTATTTCATCAAATGTAGGTATTCAGTATGATTCCAATTTTATTTCGTTTGTTGGGCCATGAACCTGGATAACCCAAGGCACATGGCCAAGTATCTGGTAACAATAAAATCAACATTACAATAAAAGAACATCAAGAATCCTGCAACCGTAAGGTAATGTAGAGTCCATCTGGGTAGCTATGAAAAATACATAATAGTGTGTTTTCTTCTATGATAGTTGTGTTCTCTGAGTTGACAGAACTAGGTCAAAGATCTTGACAGCATATTTTCAATACATTTAGCCAAGAGAAAATAGCACTTGTCCTATGCATCTGGTTCAGATTTTTTTTTTGATTTATCATTTCTTCTGAGATTCTTAGAATCACAGAACCCTAAAAACTACAGATACAATATATTGATCAGGTCACCAGTTTAAAAGAGAAGGGCAGCCTGCCTATATATAAACACATCTTATGTTTGACAGGTTTTGTTTTCACATTTGAAGTCCTGGGTAGAATGGAGAAGAGTCTATGAAAGTGTATTTTTCTTGAGATATTCATGCTATATGTTCCTTTCCTTCATTTTGGCACATTATTTTGTCACTAGCACCGAGCCCCATTTTAGGTACCTACTAGGTACCAAAATATATTTGGTGAATCCTGAGGTCAGGAGTTCAAAACCAGCCTGGCCAATATGGTGAAACCCTGTCTCTACTAAAAATACAAAAATTAGCTGGGTGTGTTGGCGGACGCCTGTAATCCCAGCTACTAGGGAGGCTGAGGCAGGAGAATCACTTGAACCTGGGAGGTGGAGGTTGCAGTGAGTCGATATCAGACCGCTGCATTCCAGCCTGGGTGACAGAAAAAGACTCTGACTCAAAAACAAAAAAAAAAACATATATATATATTTGGTGATTAAAGGAATGAGTAAACTACCCTGTTTTCATTCTTCACTCCATTGTAAACCATGCTTCTTTCTTTGATGTTTGCACTGACCTCTTATTTATAAATTGTGTACTCTTCATATACCAACTACTTAGATAATCAGTCCTTAGTTATTAAATCAGAAGAATAAGTTAATCATTTTTCCCTAGATTGTTTAAATGAATTTCTAATTTGATTAACTTTGAAAATTTTTCCATAGCTTAATTGCTTCAGAATTGGAGGTTTATGCTTAGGCTTCCTTTTTCCATTTCAAGTTCCACACAAGTTATTTTCTTTAGTTTTCAGCAAGTATTTATGATGAGCACCTGTTAGTTAACATGAAGTAATACATTTTCCATTTGGAAACATGTAAACTAAGGCTTACAGTTTTGGGAGCTGCTGTTCTTAAATGTTTCTTAAGAAAGTCAATTCATGTTTCCCTTTAATACTAGGGTGATAAGCAACAAGACTTTAGAGAAACCACTTGTCTTTACATCTTCTTCAAAAATATTATTAACCTTTGTATCTCTAGAGTCCGTTTCTGTCTTTCCGTTAACAAGTCTATGATCCAAAAGAAAAATATAAAATACCTCTTTTCAAAGAATGCTGGCCCAACATATAAGAAAAAACAGAATATTAATATTCTCTCTGTATAATGAAAAATTGTTTTGGCTTGAATTTTTTGGCCAAAATATTGTCTCTGTTGCCACCGACATTTCACATGAACACACATTTGGCCTCTCTGGATATTTCTGCTTCAGACAAACAGCAATACAGAGGGCTACTCAAGAGGAAATTGTTAGCTCATTTCCGAATTAGATTACCCTGAGCATTGAGGAACCACACTTGTTCTGAAGTCTTGAGGAAGAAATTGGAAATTTATGGCTCCTTTAAAGTTGCCTCCTTTTCTACAAATTTTCACTGTCAGAACTCCTTTACAACAATAGCAGCATCTTCACACATTACTTGTGTCTCCGTTAAAAAAACAAGTAAAATGACATTTGTTTTCTTTGGCAAAAAGTTAAGACCTGAAAACCATGTCCTACACTTCCCACTCTTTCTTTAAGTCTCCACTCAATTCTTAGGTTATGAGGGCACTGCTGGGAGACATCTTTTAATCTCTGTCTTATTCTCAACCAGAGGCAAGATGACTTCTGTCTGGGAGTCTATGACCCCTCCTTTCCAGAATTAGGCATGACTCAGGCCACTGAGTCAAGCAAGATAAGATTCCCCAGCATTTACACCAAGTAATAAATGAACTTATGTTTCATCATATATTTTCTTTGCCGATTATATATTTCCTAAACATATGCCTTATCTGAAGAACTGAATTTACATTTCTTACTGCAGGTGTTGCCAAATTTTGATGTCATCTATCACATTTTCACAGGCTCAGGCATTTAACAAGTGCTTGTACATGTACAGTGTGATTGGACACAGTGTCAATCACAGCAGTAATTGCAAAAAAAGACAATAGTAGTAACAATAACCACCTTAGGATGATCCCATACATGCCGGATGCTGATTTTTTTAGGATGTCATATGGATGTATCCACAGACCTCAATGTGGTGACATTCCCTTTCATGCCTAAATTTCAATAGATCCAAACTCTTGTCTTTCCTAGTTCTACCAGATTCCTCTCCCAGAGCAATATCTGATATTTCCCCTCCAAAACATGTACGTGCTTCACAGCTTTACCGTGTCTTTCCTTTCTCTCTCTAATTGATCACCCTACTTTGACCTGATTCTCTTCAAAGCACCTAAAAATGTGCCTTCAGATTAATCACTGCTAATTCCAGGCTACAGTATTTAATAAATTTTAGGAAAATAGTTTTGGTATATTTAACAATTTTAGGATAATTTAAATAGATGTGTAGCTAAGCATATATATAATAAATACATAACATATATATATAAAACAAACGAATACACTAATTAATTAAATACTTTGACTGCTACTAGAAATAAATATGCCTAAAAACAAAGACCAAGTTCATCCACATATCCTCTTCCAAATCCCGCTGCTTCTGTGAACTGAAGGCAAGCTAATTCCCAGTAGGAATCATTTTCTATTTCTATCCCATGGAGTCTAGCTCCAAATTCCTCATAGCTCCAGAGATAGAAGAACTTTCTTCCACAGACTCAAAAGAACTAAATTCTGCCCCGTGGTGTGCATAATGGCAACACCTATATACTCTGGTGGATACTCACTCATTTAACAATTATCTCATCTATATATTCAACAGCTATAATAATTTCCGGTACCAGGCATTGTGCTAAGCTACTGGATGCTCAGTGATTACAAACAACAGCAAAATGAAACAACAACACACATATTACTTGTTCTTATGGATCTTACCATCTATTGGGGAGACATCATTGCATATCTCCACATCTGGGAAATTTTATCTTAAATATATGTGGGGCATAGAGTCTTGTTCATGTAGCACTCTAAGGTTCTTTTTTATATATTTTTCTCTACTGTGAAGGAAAGTTCAGTCCTGAGTTAGTAGCTTACACACACACACACGCACTCACATTCTTCCCAAAAGCAAATGAACACAGCATTTGGTAATAAAGAAAATAAGTTTTAGGAAAAAACACAAAACAAAACTATAACCCTGTCTGCTTCTGCTTACATTAATAAGCCAGGCTATATAACTGATGAGAATATGTAGCATTTAACTTTGAAGCACTTGCATTTAAATTACTTTGCTGGTTTAGGGCTTTCTCAAGAATAAAGAATACATATTTGTTTTATGTTTTCATAATGAATTGGCTAATGCTTGTGATCCTTCCATACCAAAAAGTCATTGTTAAGGTGACTCCAACTATGTAAAAAATAATTATTATACTATTTCTATTATTATTATATTCTATTACTGTAATAGCATGATCATTCTTATTATTACTCACATTACAAACATGCTTTCATTAGGCTTCAAAGAAAATTTGCCTTTCACATACCTCTTTTCAGATAGTTTTCTCATGAATCCTCAAAAATTAACTTCGGTTTAGTTATGCAGCTTTTTAAATATGAAATTACATATTTATAGACAGTGACTTATACAAGGCAACACAATTAAATTGTCAATGTAGATTTGTGTTATTGATCCAGGTCTTTCTGATTCCAAAGTTTTGCTTTATTCCACATATGCTTTTGGATAGGTATGGGCTTATTTCCTTTAGGAGATTGATGACTTCTTTTGTTTTATACAACTTTTTGTCCAGTACGACTTGCTAATATATAATATATACATGAACAACAGACAGAGAAAGAAGAAATAAATCATCCATGCCATGCCAGTGACAAAGAAACATCTTTACAGTGACATGGAGACGAAGCCACTAGAAATGGGTATATATTTGACTTTTTAGTCTGTTAAAATAAAATGGTCTTAACAGACCACTCAGTAATTTTCAAACATCTATGAAACCTTTTAGTTTTCATTATGAATATAATACCTTTTACTCATTTACCAAATATAAAATTGGTAAATTTTATATTAGTATACATTTAAGTATAGTATACATTACTATTTAATGTAATTTTTCAAGTAAGAGATAATTTCCCTCCCAAAGTGTCAGCTATATTTCTGCATTAGGCCAAGCTCTATACCCCAGCCTCCTGACTCAGGGCAGCATTGAGGTTCACATACCTGGGCTGAACCATCTACTCTCCACAGCAACCCACCTCACCTCCAACACAAATACACATGCACACACATACACACAATCCCAAGCTATTCTAAGTAAAGTACCTCATTGACTTCTACCACATTGAAAGGAAAACTGTCATTCTGGTATTTTTCAGTGTTAAAAACAGCTATAGCCAGTAAAGAAACCTAAAATGGGCTAATTGATGAGCACTCAACCAACAAGACATTTAAATTAAAAGGCAAAAAATAAAGATCTAAATCAAAACTTTCAAGTAAACTGCAGTCTAAGAATAAAAGTTCAGCAAAATGCATTGCTTCTCTCTCTATGTGTTATTTGAAAAAGGCTCTATTAACAACAACAAACAGCTAACAAAATTTTGGGGAAAAATTTGTGATTCAAAACATCTAGTTTATAGACAAATTGCAAAATATTTAGTGGTTGACTGAATTTAATAATTTTTTAAATGACTGTATATAAAGCCCCTGTGAAAATTCCCAACAATATAACTACCTTTTTCTACTATATTCCTACAATAAGCAAAAATTATTATCAATAATTTGAGGCATATGCAAACCCACAGCAAATATTTTTATCTGATGTCTAAAAATTATACAGATGATTCAATAATCAATAATTTTTATCTCACATGGGGTGTGGCAGGCCTATTATAAACCAACAAAAATGAGTTTCCATTCTGAATTCAGTAGAAGATTCCTTGGCATACCTGTTGAAAGATGTGCTATTGAAAACTAAATATGATTCAAAATTTTAAAGTGTTCCAATAAGACATCTACTTCACTAATTCCTCCTTTTTTTTTTTTTTTTTTTGAGACAGAGTCTCGCTCCGTCGCCCAGGCTGGAGTGCAGTGATGCCAGCTCAGCTCACTGCAAGCTCCGCCTCCCGGGTTCATGACATTCTGCTGCCTCAGCCTCCTGAGTAGCTGGGACTACAGGCGTCCGCCACTATGCCCAGCTAATTTTTGTATTTTTAGTAGAAACGGGGTTTCACCGTGTTAGCCAGGATGGTCTCGATCTCCTGACCTCGTGATCCACCCGCCTCGGCCTCCCAAAGTGCTGGGATTACAGGCATGAGCCACCACGCCCGGCCAATTCCTCCGTTTTTTATCATTTACAAAAATGACCCTATGTCCCAGGTTGATAATTGGATTTGAAATTGTGGCTCAAAATGTCACTGAACATAAAAAAGTTTGTCCACTGGTGACAGGATCTGCTCACCTGCGAGCAGCTTCCTGGATCTCTCATTTGTATGCTTCCAGTTTAATTTCCGCCATCTCTGCAGCTTGTAATGCCTTTTTAAAGCCCTTGTTACTTTGACAACATGTTTTAACATCCCTCTCCATTTTGGTTCTTGGCTGGCTGTCCCATATGGATCCAATTTTGCTCTCTTATCTTTTTAGTTTCAAGCACAGAAGCCTTCTGGGAGAGCTTTCCTAAAAGCAGCTCTGCGCCTGGGTGATATCTACTGGCAGGGCCTACCTGAAGGGGCCTTCACACACAAGAGGAGAAAAGGAATTATAAATATGGAATTTAAAATATTGTCTGTCTGTCAATCTTCTTTTATTTCCTCATTCCCTTCCTGTCAGCCACATTCTCCAGTTCCATAAAGTCAACATATATCTCTAGTTTGGGACACTAAGGGACTTTATAATGCAGTTTCTTACTTCCTATTTTAATATGGTTAAAGAGAAACCCAGGTAAGTTATGTGACTTGTGCAAAACTACACAAACTGCTAGAGCTAAAACGAAGACTTTGCCAAAAAAATTTCCTGGTTCCCCCTTCCTCTTTTAAACCACTTCATTATTCTCTTTGGGTCCATTGTTCAAGTTGTTTAGTTGGGAAAAATTTTAAATCCTCCATTAAAGGACAGAAATTGTTATTGGAAAATTAAACTAAGTTTAAACATTTTTAATTGTATGTAAAAAATATGCTTCAAATCTCAGAATTGTCTGTTGGATAATAAAGGGTATGTCCTATATTGTACATTTGGATGACCAGAAACAGATGCCATTACTGTACATACTTGGCTTTTTGAGCTAAGGAAATCCCCATGAAATCTTTGCAGATTCAGGCCCCTTCTCTATAGGCACAACTCTCTGGATGATATTAAATGAATAGGGATAGTGTTTCAAAGCCTCTCAACTAGAAGATCTGACAGATTGAGGTAAAGAAGTCTGTTCTCTGCTCCATAGTTGGGTTCCTCTATGAAAACCGTGAAAGAAAGAGCCTCAGTCTCCTCATCTATAAAATGGGGATAGCCACATTTGCTTCAAAGCATTTTCGAAGCGCCCTATAGCGTACATACATACACACATACACACAAACACATACACATATAATGTATATATAAGTAATTTTTTCAGTTGAACACTGTTGTATAAACATTTACAAGCTAATGCTTGTACCCTTAGAATCCACTCTACTTGTCGCCTTTGTGAAATCAGCTTGTGAAAAGCTTAAACAGCCTAGTTCAATTGGTGAAGTTGTACCCCTACTTCCCTCAAGTATTGATTCAGGGATGTACCCATATATAGGCCTATGAAAATGAGGACAGAAAGTTTCCCTGGATACAATGAGGATGTAAGTATGAGATGATAGAAGCTCTCTCTTCTCCAAGATGAGGCATGATACAGATATTAGACCTGAAGCGTCTTTAATTTTAACAGGAAGAAAATAAGCCTGGAATTGAACCTACACAAAAGCAAGATGGTAGAGCCAAAAGAATCGCTGAGAACAGGAGCTGGCACTGATAAACCATGCTATATCCTGCCCTACCTCTACCTCTGGCCTTTCAGATACATGTTTTGATATGATTGGTAATTTTAAACCAATTGATTTGGAATTTCTGTTTCTTGAAATCCAAAACATCCTAACTTATAGAAAGTGGAAGGTAATTTGTTTTATAAATGTTGATTTGTTTTCATTCAAATACCAGGGCAAGGGAATCTGAACAGAATGCCTGCTTTTAGCCTCACCTTTTTACCAGGAGCCTACTTGGAAGGCCAGTAAGTCGGGTATGCACTAACCGGGGCCATTACAGATTCTAAACTGCATATTTTAAATTTCTCCAAGAACTCTCTATCTGAAGAGATGGGAATACAATCTGCTATCTGAAAAAAAGCACAGAAGGAAGTTTCTGTCCAGGAAAGAATCATAACATCAGTGGATAGGTTTTGCTTTTCCCCTCTGCCACAATTCTCCTTATATTAAGGGGGAATTGGAATGGAGGTCAGCATCTGTGGAATCTGATTAATGGGAAATTGGGATGTGGAGACATTTACTTTGGGTTTAGTGAAACAGAATTACGTGAGTTTTGAAATATTACTTATAGGCGTAGTTCTTGCTAGCTGTCCTGTATGGGTTTGACTCAGTATGACGCACATGTGCAGGGCCAGAAGTTGTACTACAATGTTAATATGTCCAATGACACCAGACACCAGAAGCGGGTGGGTAATGGGAGGAGAAACCAGTTTTAATATGTCCTCATCTAGAAGCTACCAGTGCAAAAACTTTCAAGTCACCAGATGTATAATTTTTTTTTTTTTAACTTAAAGTTCCGGGATACATGTGCAGAACGTGCAGGTTTGTTACATAGGTATACATGTGCCATGGTGGTTTGCTGCACCCATAAACCCATCATCTAGGTTTTAAGTCCCACATGCATTAGTTATTTGTCCTAATGCTCTCCCTCCACTTGCCTCCCAGCCCCTGACAGGCCCCTGTGTGTGATGTTCCCCTCCCTGTGTCCATGTTTTGTAACTGTTCAACTCCCACTTATGAGTGAGAGCATACAGTGCTTGGTTTTTTGTTCCTGTGTTAGTTTGCTGAGAATAATGGCTTCCAGCTTCATCCATGTTGCTGCAAAGGACGTGAACTCATTCTTTTTTACGGCTGCATAGTATTCCATGGTGTATATGTGCCACATTTTCTTTATCCAGTCTATCATTGATGGGCATTTGGGTTGGTACCAAGTCTTTGCAATTGTAAATAGTGCTGAAATAAACATACATGTGCATGTCTTTATATGAGAATGATTTATAATCCTTTGGGTGTATACCCAGTAATGGGATTGCTGGGTCTATGGTATTTCTAGTTCTACATCCTTGAGGAATCACCGCACTGTCTTCCACAATGGTTGAACTAATTTACACTCCCACCAACCGTGTAAAAGCGTTCCTATTTCTCCACAGCCTCGCGAGCATCTGTTGTTTCCTGATTTCTTAATAATCATCATTCTGTCATGAGATGATATCTCACTGTGGTTTTGATTTGCATTTCTCTAATGACCAGTGATGATGAGCTTTTTTTCATATGTTTCTTGGCTGCATAAACGTCTTCTTTTGAGAAGTATCTGTTCATATGCTTCGCCCACTTTTTGATGGGGTTGTTTGCTTTTTTCTTGCAAATTTGTTTAAGTTCCTTGTAGATTCTGAATATTAAACCTTTGTCAGATGGGTAGATTGCAAAAATTTTCTCCCATTCTGTAGGTTGCCTATTCACCCTGATGATCATTTATTTTGCTGTGCAGAAGCTCTTTAGTTTAATTAGATCCCATTTGTCAATTATGGCTTTTGTTGCCATTGCTTTTGGTGTTTTAGTAAATGAAGTCTTTACCGAAGCCTATGTCCTGAATGGTATTGCCTAGGTTTTCTTCTAGGGTTTTTTACAGTTTTAGGTTTTAGGTTTTATTTTAAGTCTTTAATCCATCTTAATTTTTGTATAAGGTGTAAGGAAGGGGTCCAGTTTCAGTTTTCTGCATATGGCTAGCCAGTTTTCCCAGCACCTTTTATTAAATAGCGAATCCTTTTCCCATCACTTGTTTTTGTCAGGTTTATCGAAGATCAGATGGTTATAGATGTGTGCTGCTATTTCTGAGGTCTCTGTTCTGTTCCATTGGTCTATATATGTATTTTGGTACAAGTACCATGCTGTTTTGGTTACTGTGCCTTGTAGTATAGTTTGAAGTCAGGTAGCGTGATGCCTCCAGCTTTGTTCTTTTTGCTTAGGATTGTCTTGGCTATATGGGCTCTTTGTCCTCTTTGTACCTCTGGAAGAATTTGGCTGTGAACCCATCTGGTCCTGGGCTTTTTTTTTTTTTTTTTTGGTTGATAGGCTATTAATTACTGCCTCAATTTCAGACCTTGTTACTGGTCTATTTAGGGATTTGACTTCTTCCTGGTTTAGTCTTGGGAGGGTGTATGTGCCCAGGAATTTATCCATTTCTTCTAGATTTTCTAGTTTATCTGCATAGAGGTGTTTATAGAATTCTCTGATGGTAGTTTGTATTTCTGTGGGATCAGTGGTGATCTCCCCTTTATCATTTTTTATTGTGTCCATTTGATTCTTCTCTGTTTTCTTCTTTATTATTCTGGCTAGCGGTCTATCTACTTTGTTAATCTTTCAAAAAACCAGCTCCTGGATTCATTGATTTTTTGAAGGGTTTTTCATGTCTCTATCTCATTCAGTTCTGCTCTGATCATAGTTATTTTTTGTCTTCTGCTGACTTTTGGATTTATTTGCTCTTGCTTCTCTAGTTCTTTTAATTGTGATGTTAGGGTGTCAATATTAGATCATTCCAGCTTTCTGATGTGGGCATTTAGTGCTACAAATTTCCCTTTTAAAACTGCTTTAGCTGTGTCCCAGAGAATCTGGTATGTTGTCTCTTTGTTCTCATTGGTTTCAAAGAACTTATTTATTTCTGCCTTGATTTCATTATTTACCCAGTAGTCATTCAGGAGCAAGTTGTTCAATTTCCATGTAGTTGTGTGGTTTTGAGTGAGTTTTTTTTGTTTCTTTGTTTTTATTTTTTTGTTTTTTTTTTGAGATGCAGTCTTGCTCTGTTGCCCAGGCTGGAGTGCAGTGGCGTGATCTCAGCTCACTGCAACCTCTGCTGCCTGGGTTCAAGTGATTCTCCTGCCTCAGCTCCTGAGTAGCTGGAATTACAGGCATGTGCCACCACACCCAGCTAATTTTTGTATTGTTAGTAGAGACGGGGTTTCAACATCTTGGCCAGGCTGGTCTTGAACCCCTGACCTTGTGATCCACCCGTCTCGGCCTCCCAAAGTGCTGGGATTACAGGCATGAGCCACCACGCCTGGCCCTTGAGTAAGTTTCTTAATCCTGAGTTCTAATTTGATTTCACTGTGGTCTGAAAGACTGTTAGGATTTCATTCTTTTGTATTTGCTGAGGAGTGTTTTACTTGCAATAATGTGGTCGATTTTAGAATAAGTGCTATGTGGTGCTGGGAAGAATGTACATTCTGTCGATTTGGGGTGGAGAGTTCTGTAGAGGTCTATTAGGTCTGCTTGGTCCAGAGCTGAGTTCAAATCCTGATCATATTGTTAATATTCCGTCTCACTGAGCTGTCTAATATTGACAGTGGGGTGTAAAAGCCTCCCACTATTATTGTGTGGGAGTCTAAGTCTCTTTGTAGGTCTCTAAGAACTTCTTTTATGAATCTGGGTTTTCCGTATTGGGTGCATATATATTCAGGATAGTTAGTGCTTCTTGTTGCATTGATCCCCTTACCGATATGTAATGCCCTTCTTTCTCTTCTTTGATCTTTGTTGGTTTACAGTCTGTTTACAGAGGATTGCAACCTCTGTTTTTTTTTTTTTTTTTTTTTTTTTGCTTTCCATTTGCTTGGTAAATATTCCTCCATCCCTTTATTTTCAGTCTATGTGAGATGAGTCTCCTGAATATAGCTCATGGATGGGTCTTGACTCTATCCAATTTGCCAGTCTGTGTCTTTTAATTGGGGCATTTAGCCCATTTACCTTTAAGGTTAATATTGTTATGTGTGAATCTGATACTGTCATCATGATGCTGGCTGGTTATTTTGCACATTAGTTGCAGTTTCTTCATAGTGTCATTGTTCTTTATATTTTGGTGTTTTTGCAGTGGCTGGTACCAGTTTTTTCTTTCCATATTTAGTGCTTCCTTCAGGAGCTCTTTTAATGCAGGCCTGGTAGTGCCAAAATCCCTCAGCATTTGCTTGTCTGTAAAGGATTTTATTTCTCCTTCACTTATGAAGCTTAGTTTGGCTGGATATGAAATTCTGGGTTGAAAATTCTTTTCTATAAGAATGTTGAATATTGGCCCCTCACTCTCTTCTGGCTTGTAGAGTTTCTGCAGAGAGATCCACTGTTAGTCTGATGGGCTTCCCTTTGTAGGTAACCTGACCTTTCTCTCTGGCCGCGCTTAATATTTTTTCCTTCTTTTCAACCTTGGAGAATCTGACAATTACGTGTCTTGGGGTTGCTCTTCTCAAGGAGTATTGTAGTGGTGATCTCTGTATTTCTTGAATTTGAATGCTGGTCTGTCTTGCTAGGTTGGGGAAGTTCTCCTGGATAATATCCTGAAGTGTGTTTTCCAACTTGGTTCCATTCTCCCTGTCACTTTCAGGTACACCAATCAATCATAGGTTTGCTCTTTTCACATAGTCCTCTATTTCTTAAAGGCTTCCTTCGTTTCTTTTCATTCTTTTTTCTCTAATCTTGTCCTCATGCCTTATTTCAGTAAGTTGATCTTCAATCTCTGATATCCTTTCTTCTGCTTGATTGATTCGGCTACTGATACTTCTGTATGCTTCACGAAGTTCTCGTGCTGTTTTTCATCTCCAACAGGTCATTTATGTTCCTCTCTAAACTGGTTATTCTAATTAGCAGTTCCTGTAACCTTTTATCAAGGTTTTTAGCTTCCTTGCATTTGGGTTAGAATATGCTCTTTTAGCTCAGAGGAGTTTGTTATTACCCACCTTCTGAAGCCTACTTCTGTCAATTCATCAATCTCATTCTCCGTCCAGTTTTGTGCCCTTGCTGGAGAGGAGTTGCGGTCATTTGGAGGAGAAGAGGCATTCTGGTTTTGGGAATTTTCAGCGTTTTTGCGCTGATTTTTCCTCATCTTCGTGGATTTATCTACCTTTGATCTTTGAGGCTGATGACCTTTGGTTGGAAATTTTTTATGGGGGTCCTTTATGTTGATGTTGATTTGTTGCTTTCTGTTTGTTAGTTTTTCTTTTAACAGTCAGGCCCCTTTGCTGCTGGTCTACTGCAGTTTGCTGGAGGCCCACTCCAGAACCTGTTCACCTGGGTATCACTAGTGGAGGCTGCAGAACAGCAAAGATTGCTGCCTGCCCCTTCCTCTGAAAGCTTCATCCCAGAGGGCACCAGCCTGATGCCAGCCAGAGCTCTCCTGTATGAGGTGTCTGTTGATCCCTGTTGTGAGGTCTCTTCCAGTCAGGAGCCACAGGGGTCAGGGACCCACTTGAGGAGGCAGTCTGTCCCTTAGCAGAGCTGGGGCGCTATGCTGGGAGAATCCCTCTGTCAGGATCAGCTGCTCTCTTCAGAGCAGGCAGAAATGATTGAATCTGTTGAAGCTGCACCCACAGCCGCCCCTTCCCCCAGGTGCTCTGTTCCAGGGAGATGGTAGTTTTACCTGTAAGCCCCTGACTGGGGCTGTTACCTTTCCTTCAGAGATGGCCTGCCCAGTGAGGAGGAATCTAGAGAAGCAGTCTTGCCATAGCCACTTTGCCGCACTATGGTGAATTTTGCCCAGTCCAGACCTCCCAGCCTCCTTGGCACTGTCAGGGGAAAACCGCCTACTAAAGCCTCAGTAATGGCGGACACCCCTCATCCTACCAAGCTCGATCATCCCAGGGCCACTTCAGACTGCTGTGCTAGCAGCGAGAATTTCAAACCAGTGTTTCTTAGCTTGCTGGGCTGCATGGGAGTGGGACCCGCTGAGCGAGGCCACTTGGCTCCCTGGCTTCAGTCCCCTTTCCAGGGGAGTGAACAGTTCTGTCTCGCTGGGGTTCCAGGTGCCACTGGGGTATGAAGAAAAAACTCCTGCAGCTAGCTTGGTGTCTGCCCAAACAGCTGCCCAGTTTTGTGCTTGAAACCCAGGGCTTTGGTGGTGTAGGCACACTAGGGGATCTCCTGATCTGCAGATTGCAAAAATCCTGGGAAAAGCATAGTAACCCAGCTGGGTAGCATGGCTTCCCGTGGCTGGGGAGGGAGGTCCCCCGGCTCCTTGTACTTCCCGGTTGAAGCAATGCCCCACCCTGATTCTTCTCACCCTCCGTGGGTTGGGCCCACTGCCTAACCAGTCTTAATGAAATGAACAGGGTACCTCAGTTGGAAATGCAGAAGTCACCCACCTTCTGCATTCGTCTTGCTTGGAGCTGCAGATTGGAGCTGTTCCTATTCAGCCATCTTGGCCCCTCCCTTGAAGATGTGTAAAATTTTAAAGAGATAATTTTGTTAATTGATAACTAATAAAAATCAAATTGTTCTGTTTTCTCTTTTTAATTCATCACTAGAAGATTTTGTGTGTGTGTGTGTGTGTGTGTGTGTTTGTGAACACAATCTATAGTGTAAAGTGAGAGTACATTTTGTGGGAACATGCATATTTTATGCACTCTAAATATACATTAAAAATTTGATTTCTCATGCCAGAGGCAAAGCTGAATCATCTTTCTTCATTTTTTATAGAAAATGTTAACAAGTTATTGAGTTATGACAATTTTAACAAAAACTGCAGTCAAAATATATGTGGAAAATGGGTATAGAGGTGTGCTGACCAATTAGTTAATAAAAATATTGTTACTTTTTTGAATTTTGTGATGTTCTTTGTATTTCTCAGGTTTTAAAAATCCAACTTTGTTGTACTTTTTCTTAGTATAAACACATATTTGCATTTAAATTTAGCTGTTAATTGCAATTACAGTATTTTTTTTCTAAAGAGGGTTCCCCCTAAAGTAAATGTGTATCAACTTCCAAAAACTTTGGATTCTTCCTAAGGTGTGTACTAGGAATTAGGTAGAAAAAATGATTAATAATTCAATTATCTGTGTGAGGATAAAAACTTTTACAAAGAGTTATATTTAAGAATGATCCTGCAAAGTAAGTAAACTGGGGTAAATAGAGGAAAGAAACATTAGTCTTTAGTTCAAAAGTCACTGAAATACCTCTACTGAACACTCTATCTCAAACTGCACCCTACACTCACCTTGCCTAGTGATATGGTTCGTCTGTGTCCCCGCCCAAATCTCACCTTGAATTGTAATAATCCCCACATGTCAAGGGCAGGGCCAGGTGGAGATAATTGAATCATGGGGGTGGTTTCCCCCATACTGGTCTTGTGACAGTGAATAAGTCTCACGAGATCTGATAGTTTTATAAATGGGAGTTCCCCTGCACAAACCCTCTTGGCTGCCACCATATAAGACGTGATTTTCTTCCCCTTTGCCTTCCACCGTGATTGTGAGGCCTTCCCAGCCATGTGAAACTGTGAGTTCATAAACCTCTTTCCTTTATAAATTACCCAGTCTCAGGTATGCCTTTCTTAGCAGCACGAGAACAGACTCATACACCTAGTCACTCTCTATTCTATTGCTCTGAGTGTTCATTACTTTTTACCTCTATATATTCACTAAAATATAAGCTTCATAAAAGCAACAATTTGTTCCACCTTGTTTATCACTATAATCCTACAGCCTAAAACAGTACCTGCCATATAGCACATAATAAACATAGGTACTTTATAAATATTTGTTTAGTGAATGGTTGAATACCCTAAAGTTTCCTATATTCATGCACACTTCTTTGATTTTAATTATTTGGCAAAAGAGAATAGCCAATAAGATATCGGAACACTTCTAAATCTAGCTAAGTTTTGTTTCTGTATGTTGAGCTTTCAAAACCCTATGGTAGTTTTATTTACAGTTATTAAACACACACACACACACACACACACACACACACACACACGGAAAATTGGAGCAATCTAGAAAGTCAAACCTGGAATTTAAAAAAAATTACTCTATAACCATTTTCAGAAAAGCAGAAAAATATATGATCAGAATAAAAAGATACATCTGGCCACCATATTAAAAACGCAACATCTTGACAACAGCTAATTTAATTGGAAATTGTGCAGAAATTTTCTCACAGAGCTCACAAATCTTAGCAGTCGTGCTGATAATCTTTCCAGGAACTTAGAAGCAATCCTGATACTTTTGGTGTAAGTTACTTCTTTTAATCATGTAAATTTTTTAGGTGAAAGTTATATTTTGTAATCATGAATAAGAGGACCCAAAGGGATCTTCTCAGTTCCAGGCAACTCTCCAGTCACAAGAATGGGACAAAGATTTCCCAACACTAGCTTGCCTATGGCATTAAACTTTATCTGGCATAATTTTCTCCATCACAATTTTGAAGCTGAAAGGGACCTTGGTAGTCTCTGTGGCAGAAATGGATGCATACCAAATAGTCACTTTCCACCTTCTCCTTGCAAACAGAACCTCTTTTTGTTTTGGGGCAAAAATGTGCCCAGGTCTCTATTTGTTTTCGCATTTCCTTTTTCAGCTAGAGGTTGCCATATGACATATTTCTGGTGGCGATATGTAAGACAAAATCTAATTTTTTAAAAAAAATTCCTGATATAAGAAACTAGCATAGCAGGCAGCTGAATTGAATGTAGGTGCAAAGTGTGGAGCCGTAGCTGCCACTTTATGACCATGAGGTGACAAGCAAACAGCTAGGAATAGTGAGTATCATAGAGCCACCGGCCATGCGTTAGATTACTCATCTCCAAACCACTTATGTAAGAAACATAAGCCTATATTTAAGTTATTATTAGCTAGGCTTCTGCCACTTACAACAAAAAGTATTGGTGTTATAGTTATTACTTCTAATGCCTTTATTTATTTAGGAGAAAAAAACAACTGAGGCTCAATAAGAACAAAAAATTTGGCTGGAGTCATTGATATTTTCGGTAAGAAACACATTACAAGAGACTGTTCCTCTTCCCGATACTCACAAGCACAACCTATGGACATTGAGTAAGATTAGGGGTCTGTTTCATCTGCCTCTTCAAGGCAAGGAAACATTGAGCATGGCAAAATGCTTACAGTAGAAAATGTCCGAATTGTTGATGATTACAAAGATGAGTGCTAGATGTTAATACACTGAAATATTTGTATATAATATTAATCTTTTAAAAATATTTTATGTAACATATTGAAGCCAAATTACTATCATCCACAATAAAATATGTGTACATTATTGGATCAAAACATCTGGATGACAAGTCAAAGATTCTGTTATTCATTAAGCTGTTCTTTATTCTCATTTCTAATTATCCAACTATCTACATGCTTTGACATCATGAAAATTCCATCGAGTTAAGTGTCGAGTTAAGGAGGAATTTGTGATTTGAGTAATACAATTACTGTGATTTGAGACCTCCAATCTTTACTTTTCTCTCATGGGTTTTTTCTTTTAATAAAGGATTCTAGAAGACTCCAGATTGACTCTATGCCATCTGTGTTTTGTTTCAGTCTTCAGTTATTAATTTATGCTAAATTAAAGTTGACAACTTCGTATATAACTTCTTACAAAGAAGGTTTTTCTCTGACTTACTAATGCTAACACCCAGTCCCAGGCATTGCTCTCTCTTTACCACATTTCCATGCAAATAACTGACAAACAAATAAATACTCTTAGTAAGGCATTTGGTATCTTCATCTTCTTTCATGAAAATGCAATTCTGAGATTTCCAATTATACATATGCACCATATGTGAACCATGACGTCAATGAACAGGAACTTTAATATGGTTTTGCAGTCACGGACCATGTATTGTATCCCTTTTATGATAGTATTTTCTTTATCATTCACTGTTGCAAGGCAGCTGATGCAAGTGCCTGAGTGCCCCCACTTCTTGGCATGTTCTTTCTCTTTCTGTGCCATTTTCACGTTCCCAATCCAATGGAAGATCTAAAAATGGCTGCAGAGGAAAAATAAGACTTTCTGTTTCACCTCCAAAATGTGAATGCAAATACATGGCACATGTGTCACCATGGGGGACAGTAAGGGTCAGTTATGGCACTCTTTCTGACTTAAATTTGGCCTTGAATTCTTCTCAACACATTGCAATTCAGTCCATTCAAATTGGCACTCAGGACAATCTACCTGCTGTCAATATAACCTTCTTAATCTAAATTTAATTTACACTTTCCACAGTTCTGTCCCCCCTATCAGTTTCTCCTTTGGAAGAAAAATATTGAGCAATTTTTTATCAATGATTATAATGAAAAGAAAGAGAACTCTTTGGCACATATGTGGTGTGTGTGTGTGTGTGTCTATGTGATTTCAAACTGGAAGGCATAAGTGACTCCAGTGGAGGAAAGACCCGAATTCCAAAATATACATCAAATGTATCCACTCCTTTTCATCTTAATTTCTTTCAGCCAAGGTATAACTACCACTTCCCCCACAAAACTACTGTGACAATTACACATCCGTGTTCTTATAGCCACTTGTACCTCTGTCTAGACATCATTTCATGCAGCAGCTAGAGGAGCTTTCGCTAATGAAAATCTGTTGCTCATTCCACTCTGAGAATTCTTCAGTGAATCTCATTACACCTAAAACAAATATCAGAATCATTAGCATCATCTATAAAATCTATAAAATCTGGCAAGCCCCTGCCTTTATTTTATCCTCCTTATCAAATATTCATTATTTTGTTCATTTCATTCCATCCTCAATGATCTTCTGCTTCTTAAACTGCCATGCTCATTTCTGTCCAAGGCCTTTCCTTTCACTCACTTATTCATTTAATTTATATTTATTAAGTGTTTCATTTATTTCAAGCAGTTCACTGTCTCTTCACTTGGTTAGTTCCTACAGTATCAACTGCAGGATGAAAACCCTTCTACAAGAAGGCCTCATCTGGCTATGACAGAAACTTCTATGTGTTCAACAAAGCCTTTTACTGTTCTTCTTTCTACACTTCTGTCATTCTCAGTTTGTTCCTGCATTTCTAAGTAGCATGCAACTAGTATTTACCTACTGGATGTAAGCAGAATTGTGACATGCCACTTCTAAGCTGAAGTGTTTAAAAACAGGAGTGGTAGAAGCAAAGGATAATGCCCTGAATCGTTGGGAGGAAGACCCCAGGTTTTCTAGCTTCTAGAGGTCACCTGCCTTCCTTGGCTCCACATCACACTGCCTTCTACTTCAATGACACATTTCTTCTCTGACTCTGGTGTCCCTGACTCCCTCTTATAAGGGATCTTGTGATTACATTGGGCCCACCTGAATAATCCAGGACACTGTCTCCATCTCCAATGCTTAGTTTAATCACATCTATAAAGTCCCTTTTGCTATGTCAGGTAACATTTTTGCAGGTCTGGGACATGGATATCTTGGGAATGGCAATGGGGAGCAAGCATTCTCCCTATCACACCAAATGACAAGATATAGGCCTACTGAAAGTTACAACCGAAAAGGGTCATTAATATTCAAACCTAGGGCAAACATAAATCCAAAGGTGAGGCTTTTTTACTATAGCATATTATCTGCAGGAATTTCAGAGTAGCCATAATTAAATTTGAAAGAGAGAGTCATGTAAAGAAAGAAGAAAAGAGTAGATTTGAGAACCACATATAAAAATGAACATTCATGTGAATACTAGTATGTGAATTTGGAAACAAACAGAACAGAGGCTACTAAACTTCCATGGAAATTGTATTACCACTCAAAAAGGAGCTTAGAGTAAAAAAAAAAAAAATCCCTTGTCTGTTGAAGCCTTTAAACAACTTTCCAGCTCCACACTTGCACCAACTGGAAATAGGTTTTGGAAATGGCATTGCCCTCGACTAGGGCATGACCTCAACACATCCCATTGGACACAGTTCTCTGGTGAGTTATCTGGCCTTACATAGAATATCCACCCAAGTATGCCCACATATTTGAGACTTTTAACATCTTATTTATCATCTGCCATAGCAATTCCTGTCATAGTTTTTGCTGTTCTTCCAAGAGTCATTTTAAAAGCATGTTTGCATTATAACCTGGTGTTTTCCCAAGGCTGTTAAATTCTGTGTATCAGAAGAATTCTCCCAAATTGATAAACTCTCCCTTATTAAACATTATGTTCCAGCTTCCTTGATCGAAGGCCTTCAGAATCTACTTCCACGAATCCTCTCCCAGCTTCTGCCAACGCATGCTGGCTGAGTCCTGAAGCTCTTTTGGAGTATCGTCCCTTGTCTCCCTTATCAGGGCCAACATTTCTCCTGCTGCCTTAGAATTCACTGAACCCTATTACAGGCCTGGGGTTGAGAATGTATAGCTGTTTTCAAATATATGGTTTTATATGTTTTATAAGATTGGTATACTGCAGAAGATAGCCCATACCTAGCATATATAGAGAAGCATATATAGAGAAGTAGACAATGGAATGTGAATGTGTGTGTGTGTGTGTGTGTGTGTGTGTGTGTGTGTGTGTGTGTATGTATGTGTCTAGTAGACCACAGAATAAGCCACAAAAAAAATAAGCAATTAACATGCGGATGCTGTCAGAGATGTTAGCTAAACTTCAAAAGGATGGGATATAAGGAAACTCCTTTTGGAAATAAAAATTCCCATAGGTTTGTAAAACGTAACTATATTTCTTGTTAAATGAAAGCATATATTCATTATCTTTCTTTATATTCCTTTCTTATCCTTCAACACATAATCCCTGTTGTGAGTTTGCCTATTATTTCTTGACATCAAACCTCTGAATAGAGTCTGAGTAATTACAAATCTTCATATGTTGTGAATGAAAATTTCAATGAATGTGTGCTTGGGAAATGAAAGGCAGATGGTCTTCCAGTCTGTATCTCCTTTATCTCCTTTGTCAACACAGAATCAACTTCACATGTCTTCTCCATTTTATTCATATCAATAAGCTTGCATTTGTTTCATAAATCATTTTTTCTTTCGCTTTTACCAGTTCTAATTCTTTGAATGTCTTATCCACTGAAATCTTCTTGATTGCTTTTCCCCTCTTACTACTCTAATTTATTTCTCAGTTGTGTCCTCACAGTTTTTTCCTCCAGACTTTTCTAAATAAAAAGCCATATTAACCAAGTCTTTCTTTGGCATAAAACAATTTAATAAACTTGCATATTCACGTTTTCATTTGACACCTAAGTTTTGAGCATCTGCCACACAGAAGGCACTGAATAGTCAAGAGAGAACAAAACTAATTTATTCCTCTCCTCCTTCTTCACTTTCTTAAACCTGGAGAATCAAGAAGCATCACTGGGATTGAAGGAGGAAAGGAAATGGAAGGAGGTAGGGAGGGATGAAGAACAGACCATTCTCCCTTCTCCCATTGCTCTATCATGGAAACCAAGGGATCATTCTGCTCTGAAACAAGGAGAAGTTTTGAATTGGAAACTTTTATCTGAACCTGAAAATGAGACTGTCCATCTGTGGCTGGAACAGTTAGGACTTCATGAGATCCAGTCAGAGACTGAGAAGGGGAATTTGATACATCAGGTTTGAGAGCAGTGCTTGAAAAAAAATCCAATTTCATGACTGTACTTGACTGAGTCCAGCACTTTTTGATACCTGGATTTTACATAAATACGTTTTTTAAGTATGAAATAAAAATCAGCTGTACAAGATGTAGAAATCTAAGATGCATTACTTACTAGTGGTGTGATATTGGACAAATAAAATAAGAATAGTAGTTTCTCACTGCGTTGTCATGAGGTGTGTGTGTGTGTGTGTGTATATATATATATATATATATATATATATATATATATATATATATATATTTTTTTTTTTTTTTTTTTTTTTTTTTTGAGACGGAGTCTCTCTCTGTCACCCAGGCTGGAGTGCAGTGGCGTGATCTCGGCTCACTGCAACCTCTGCCTCCCAGGTTCAAGCGATTCTCCTGCCTCAGCCTCCGGAGTAGCTGGGACTACAGGCGCGTGCCACCACGCCTGGCTAGTTTTTTGTGTTTTTAGTAGAGACAGGGTTTCATTGTGTTAGTCAGGATGGTATCAATCTCCTGACCTCATGATCCACCTGCCTCAACCTCCCGAAGTGCTGGGATTACAGGCGTGAGCCACCGCGCCTGGCCATGAGGTGTAAATTTTAAAAACTGTCAAAACATCCAGCACAATAACTGACATATAGAAAGCCCTCAACTCAACCTTGTTCACTTTCCTCAGGATTTTTTATCATTGTGTATTTTTTGAGGAGCTACTATATAAATAGGAACTATACTAGAAAAGTGCAAGATAAATTTCTTTCTCTGTATTTTATAAGTCATTAAGGAACACAAGGATGATACAAATAAAATAAACAAGTGCAAAGTTATTGCTAAGCTAAAATGTGTGGTTTAAACTATAGTATAGTTGTTTGGGAAATTCAGAGAAAATGAAGCAAAATGTGAACTAACAAAGCACACTTCCTAGAAAACAACCTAAAGTTCAAGTCAACAAGGGTTGTTTTTCTTCCTTCTGGCTTTTTCCAATTTGAAAAACATCCATGGCCTTCTCTGAAAACCAAGAAGCTTAAAGACTGGAGGAGCCAACAGTAGATGTCATTGTATTAGTTTGTTATCCAAGACACAGATTTGTATTGTCCAGATTCTTACAGAACACTCCTCACTGGTACCCTGTTTCAGCATTTGCAACAGATTATTTGGAAAATGTTGTTGGGGGCAAAGCCACATCTAACAACTCCCATTCCTAGAACATCAGATTTTGATTTTAATGAAAACATGATCCAAAGCTTTTGGACATCAATTTATGGCAATGGGAGCTGTAAATAAAGTATAATCCCTAGTTACACTGAGTTTATTAATGCAAAACCAAAATTAAATAAATGGTTTGCTTAAAGAATCTAGGTTTAGTTTACCTTGGATTAAGAAAGCATTTCATTCCACTGTATATGAGAGCTATAAATATGAATATATAAAGAAAAAAATATAAAATGGGAGAGTTTGCAATTTTTTTTTACTCCTCCAGCCCTTCAAAGAGAGTCCTACTTATTGACAGCCCCCAACCCCCTCTTTTCAACCTAGAAGATTTAATCTTGGTTAGACTAGTTCTTAATCTTATATGACGCAGAGTCAGAACAAAAGCAGAGAAAGCTCGGCAAAGAGGGTAAAGTGGCAAACAAAAGGTTAAGTCAATCTATATAATATGTAAGAGAGAAGGTGGGGGAGAGGGAGAGACGGAGACAGAGAGATGAAAAGAAACAGTAGGAGGTAGAATAAAAGCTGCTTTGACTGGAAATAGAAACATTGTGTAGATGTTACAAGGAGGATCATACATGAGAGAATCTCTTGAGTATTGTGTATTAAACATGAAGAGAAAATGAGATATGAAAGTGTTGCTAAGGTTACAAATTGCATATATTTAATTTTAGTTTTTATTTTTTTGAGACTCTGTTGCCTAGACTGGAGTACAGTGGCATGACCTTAGTTTACTGCAGCCTTGACCTCTCTGGCTCAAGCGATCCTCCTTCCTCAGCCTCCTGAGTAGCTGTGACTACAGGTGCACACTACCACGTTCAGCTAATTTCATATTTTTAGTAGAGAGGGGGTTTTGCCACATTGCCCAGGCTGGTCTGAAACTCCTAGGCTCAAGGGATCCACCTACCTCGCCTTCCCAAAGTGCTGAGATTAAAGAGCAACCAGCCACATGTGTTTTAATATCTTACAAGGAACACAAGTAATGCTTGGAATTTCTTTGGGCCATTTTTGGTTTTGGCTTGTAAATTTTTGCGTATGTTGAAAGCAAAACTATTTATAGACTAAACAATTTGTATCTCTGAATTATAAGGGATATACTCATACTCCAATAACCAGAAAAAATATTTTAATATTTAATATTTTGAAATATTTAAAAATCTATCCATAGAATGTTATTTGTGTATTACAAACGTAATCTACAATGGTTAAGTCATTGGGCAAGAGACTTACTTGTAAGAAGCTTCATGCACTAGATCAACATAAGATCTGGGAATGTAAATGAGGAAAACAGAACCACAGATATTCAGAAAAGGAGGGGAATAAAAGAAGAGAGAAAGAGATTCGAATTCAGTGAATGAAAACGTAATTATATGGCAATTCGGAAGGTTCAGAAGATTTTAGAACCAGAAGAAACAAGTTTCAAAGAGATACAAAACTCTTCCTAAAATGCAGAGCAATCTGAACTGAGAGAAGTCTCTGGAGAAACAAACGAGTTCTTTTCTTCTTGGTGACTAAGATCTGTTATATGTTCCACCTAGGAGCTAAACTCCATCCAGATACCTTATATCATTAGTACTTGCCCCAGAGTGCATATACAGTAAGTATTTGGTGAACAAATGATCTTGCCTCCGCATAAGCTACTACTGCATCCCTCTACTATAGTACTGACTCTAAGAAATTAAAACTGTTTAAGCATCAGGTTCTCTAACCAACTTTAAGTTCTCTCTGATAAAGGACAGTATTGTCTTCATGTCTGGGGCCCCAGCTGGCAGAGTGAGTGCTCAATCAACAGATGTTGAACTGAACTGAAAAAGAAATATACAGAAAATAAGCTCTAGCTTAGGCAGAAAGTAGAGTGGGTAAAGTTAGATATAGACCAACTTCACAGTTAGGCAGAAAAATATTTGCAAACAAATTGAGGTGAATTCAGGCTTGCCATGTAAAACCTTGTAAACTAGATACAGGATGTCTAATTGTCCGCTAACAATATATGTAAAATTATGTCCTGTCTCATACTCTGTGCCGTAATTTTATAGGCCTTGTCAGAAGATGGTATCAAATGCAAATAATAAGAGTATCTCCATATTCTCTTAACTTGAAGTCAGTTAGAAATGAGTCTAACTTGTATTGGGACACCAGAACTCTTCACTTACGCAAGAAATACTATTAGAGAATAGTTCCCTTGAGATACTGTTATCCTCACTCTAATAATACTATTAATTGCTCAACATCTTTTGGGAACTGCCTTCAAACCTTTCACAAATCATTTTCTTTTTAAGTGAATATTATTTTGCAAACAGGCGAAAGTTAATCCACACCTTGTGAATAAATGAGGGTTATTGAACTAAGTAATGTAGTATTTCGGAAAGAAAATAAAGTGTGCTAACAAAATGAGTCATATTTGCGGATGTTTATAATATGACCCTGAAATCAATGTTATTAGAAGCCACAAGAATATTCTTATCAGGGCAATATTGTGAGGATAAGTACAATGTTTTCTGAGAAGATTACAATGGAAACCAATAATCTTGTGAACACATAAATTCTGGCAAGCTTGTTCAGGAAGTCTCAGAACTTTAAGAGAATTCCTTCCAACTCTTAATTATGTCTGAATCACATGAATTTTTCTCTGAGTACTTTTATGAGGAATGCCAAAGAACAATGAAAGAGACAGGGAGTAGGGGGAAACGATAGAAACTGAGCAACCCTTTGTTAACAGAGAGACACTGACTCAAAGGCTTAGGTCAAAGAGTATATGAAATTTAGTCAATAAAACAACAAATAAAATGATATTTAGTTGATGAGAAGAAAATGATAGCAGACCTATCAACTTCCTGTGGCAAATTGCTATCCTGATGGGGTTTGTGAACCCTACTAGACTTGTCCATCTTTTAAATAATTTGATATTTATCAAGACAGCCTAGATGTGAGAGGGTAGAAAATATAGCCCCAACCCTATTCCACCCCTATGCATTCACTGGCTATGTTGTTTGGACTATCAGTGCAATAAAATCCTATGCTTACGAGAAACCTTATTGGTCCTCCACTTCTAAAGTGTTGGTATGAATAGTTTCCACGAACTGAATAATCTCTCTTGTGCCATTAAGTTCCCACTAAGTTAAATCTCTACCCTCTACTGGAAAATACGATATCTGTGCCAGAACATTCTCCTTATTTCCAAGCTTATGGAAATCATAAACCAATACATCAATCACAAAACAGTATAATTTCCTTAAATATATTGATATCCTTAAAATTTATGATTGTTCTATATTTGAATTGTGTTTTTGTTTATTCAACCCACTATAAAAGCTATATATTTAAGGATGCCATACACCACAGGGCCTGTTTCTTTGCACTGGCAAAGAAATGGAGAGGAATAGTCCCTGTCTTCTAGATCAGTGTGTGCAATAGAGTAGCCGTTAAGCACATGTGCCAACAACACAACTGAAATGTGGATAGTCCAAATAAAAATGTGCCGAAAGTATAATATACACACCAGGCTTCTAAAACTTAGTACCAAAAAGGAACTTAAAAATGTAATTATTGTTTACATTGATTCTATTTTGAAAGAATATTTTGAATATATTATGTAAAAGATATTACTTAATGTACCCATTTCATTTTGGATTTTAATATGACTACTAAAAAATTTAAAATTTCATATGACCTAAATTTGTGGTTCACTTTATATTTCAGTTGGACAGCAGTGCTCTAGAAACTCTGAGAGAGACAGATACATATCTCACCAATTATGTATATAATACATATATATATTTAGATCTAGCTGGTTTATAATAAGCAATACATATATTTAGTATCATAT
Organism: Homo sapiens; assembly: GCF_000001405.40. Lineage (NCBI taxonomy): Eukaryota > Metazoa > Chordata > Mammalia > Primates > Hominidae > Homo > Homo sapiens. Next base: position 121,895,494 of record NC_000008.11, on the reverse strand, counting down.
TATTTATCATTATATGTGCTATTGTTATTTTATTTGCCAGATATATATATTAAATATATATTATTAAATAAATATATAAATATATATATTTAGATCTACCTGGTATATTATATATATATATGTTCTTGCATAACTGATACCTGAGTTAAGTTTTTAATGATAAATAGAAGTTAGATAAATTTTTTTCCTGTGAAATAAATCTATAGAAATGGGAATTGCATTTGAGTACATGTGTATTAAAGCTGTTCTGAGGGAAAATAAGTAGTACGATTCTTTTTGTTTTTTTTCTTGAGATGGAGTCTCACTCTGTCACCAGACTGTAGTGCAGTGGCATGATCTCAGCTCACTACAACCTCTGACTTCCTGGTTCAAGTGATGCTCCTGCCTCAGCTTCCCTAGTAGCTGGGACTACAGCCGCGTGCCACCACACCCAGCTAATTTTTGTATTTTTAGTAGAGACAGGATTTCACCATGTTGGCCAGGATGGTCTTGATCTCCTGACCTGGTGATCCGCCCACCTTGGCCTCCCAAAGTCCTGGGATTACAGGCGTGACCCACTGCACCGGGTCAGTAGTACAATTCTTTATTGTCAAAATTGTCAAAACATCTGAGTGCCATTTAGGCAATATGTGGCATGAAGAGAAGGAGGACGAAGAAGAGGAGGAGGGAGAGGAGAAGAAGCAAAATGAGTAGGAGGAAGAGGAGTAGGAAGAAGGAGAAGAAAGAGAACACAAACAGATAAGAAACAAGGGGAAAAAATCATTCTTGCTCACAGAAGATTTCTATTTGGCTTAAAGGAGTAAAATTCTAAGCTTTTGTAAATCTACCCCTTTAGAAATTTAAGACTCAATGAATCTATGATGTTTGTAAGTCTCAAAATTGACCTTTATTCCATGTATAAAGAGATTAACTGGCAGTCAGTGTGCTTCTAATACAAGAGGATTGTCTGAACAATAAACTTAATGGTGAGTCCCTAGAAGATTTATAAGTTGACAAACAGCTAAAATCAGGTCATAGGATATTTGCATACTATAGTATATGATACCCTTATGCTTCAGGGATTTTGAAAATTTCCTGCTAGAGAAACACTTGCTAGTCATAAAAAAGAGAAAACATAATTTTCAATAATTAAAAAGGGCATATTCTACCTTTTGATAAATCTCATCATCCAAGGTAAATGTTTCTGTTTGGGTAAGGGATGGGGGCAGATGAGGAGAGGCAGAATTGTTACTTTTAGGCTCCACATGTGTGAGGGTTTGTGGGGGATCTCTGCCTGCTGCCCCGCTGTGATCTGATGTATTACTAGAGAGATGTGGCCCCTGATCATCAGCAGGAAAAAAAAAAAAAAAGACAAGTTCCCGTGAAAGATTAAGAAATGCAGATGAGGAAGTGGAGGGGAAAAACACATAGAGAATGTTAGGATGATGAAATAAGAGTGATAATAAAGATGCTATGTGTGTGAGAATGGGCTTTTAACTCCATCAGCAAAGGCTTCCTGGAAGGTAGGAGTCTGAGTTGAGACTTAATTAATGAGTAGATTTCAGTCTTGCAAATAATTGATGTCAAAAGCATTCCAGGCAGTAGGACAAATGGGAAAGATGAGTCATGTGCAGAATCATCTAGTGTGAGGCTGAGCAGTCCAGTGTTTCTCAAGCATAGAGTGAAAGGAGTGGGAGACAGACGGGAGATGAGGTGAGGAAGCTCAGTTCTTGGAAAGCCTTTTGGTCTATTTTAAGCATCTTAGATTATAAGCTTTGGGCAATGGGGATCATTGAAGAGTGTTGGAGAGAGAGTGAAGTAGATTCATATGAAGGGAAAATGCTTATGTCTACCTTCTTTATACCATGCTCTTAGACCTATTCCTCCCCTCCATACTAGCCTTTCTGTTTGTTGTGTATCTTCCTTTGGTCCAGTCAAGAGGTCTTCAGTTTGCAAAAAATAATGAGAATACTCTGATGTTTGCTAGTCCCCCAAATTAAAGCTTTCGTCAACTAAAGCCATTTTATTCATCATTCAATTTAATCTTTTTGAAATTTTGGTGAAAATATTTAAGTATCTTTGAAGATATTCAGTGAAAACTTTCCAATCTTCTTGAATAAAATCTAATAAGTGTTAAGTAAGATATAAACCAATACCCTTTCTCCATAGCCTGTTATGACAAAAAAGAAGATACTAGTAAAGTGTCTTCGGAGCAGGAGATATGTCTGTATTTCTCTCCTCGGTGTTAATTACAAGGCATTAAATGCAAAGTGTATTCAAAAATTAACAGTATGAATCAGAGTCAGGAAAACAAAGCTTAAGGTCAAACATTGCCAATTGTTATCTGTATGTTCTTGGGCAAGACAATTTTCTAAAGACTCTTTCCATAGACATAATATTAGAATAATAAAATGAGCTAGCATTTATTGCATACTTGTGTGCCAACAACTATCCTAATTACACTGCTTTACTTTTATTAAACTACTTAATCCTCATAGGTAGTCAATATTATCTTTATTCCTATTTTATAAATAAGAATGATATGGCATAGGGTGAAACAAATTCATCCAAAGTCACATATCAAGAAAGTAGTAAAGTTAGGATTTGAATTCACGAATTCTAATCCAGAGCCCATATGTTTCATCACTCTGTACCTATAAAACAGATTTGTTAGGATTACACTGATGAACAAGTATGAATTATATTTGTACACTGAAGACTGTTGTCCAAATTTAGATAGCACAGGCAGTTGTATTTGAAATAATGCATGTTAAAGTAATATTTGGTGTATAGATGTTCTCAGAAAAAAATGAATTCTCATTTATTCTTCCACAAAAGCAGCTGCTCTTCCTATCTCTATATCCCCAGTACAGGAAGGACTTCAAAATGTGTTCCTCTTCCTGTAAATCCCAGTATTAAAGAATTGAAAGGAAATGCAAACTGGTACCAGATGTTCTGTAGCTGTTCTAGTTTGAATGTACCTTGATTTCCTGAGCATCACTTATACTTTGACAGTTTTGTCTTCACTATCTTCACATGCATCCCACCTGAAATTGCTTGAGGAGCAAAATGGGATAGTCACAGCCTCAAAGCTAATATGCTCATTTTCCAACTGTTTAATTTCCCCTCCCAAGATTCAGAGGACTTTCTTGTGTTCAAGTTCATGTGATCAAAGAAAGACAGACTGAAGGGAAGATGGATGCATTACAACCACACCCACCCAAAACCCTGAACTAAACAGCCCACGTGAAACTTCTTTCCCAAAAAGCATTCCAGGTGTCTATGGCTCTGGCTATATAACCCTAACATAAAAATTGTCAAATGCCTTCCTTGTGTGACTCAGTGTAGATAACAACCCTATGTAGGTTCACTACATTTTGAATATTTCACCTATCAGAAAATCTGGACAGAAAAAGAGACTATTTGTCAGGATAGGAGACCATACGCATTATGGTTCATGCAAGAGAAAGTGGTTATAAAACAATATAAATCAAAGGAAACATATTTATTTAACTTTGTACGAATATACTAAGAACAATCCTCCTTCAATAAATACTCGTAAGAATCTTCAGAGTCTATAAATCTCATCTTTAATAGTTTTCTAAATCTCATTCTGTCCCTCTCCCATCAGTTTTTATTCCCTGGCATTGCTTCATTTAAGTTATAGAAATGTTTACTATCAAAACAGTCTTTATTTGTTTATTTTTATATTGGCTGGGGCTTCTTCCAAAATATATGATAAATAAAGAATGGGTACTTACCATTATTCATCTCTTTCCTTGAGCAGTGTCTGTCACACAGTTTGCATTCAAAAAATAATGGGTTAAATATTTAGAGAGAATAAAATAATGAATTTTCATAATCCTTTACAATTCAGCTCCAGTCACCTCTGTGAAGCCTTCACCAGTTACCTCGATCTCTAAAAACAACAGTGACATATGAAATACCCAGGTATGGCCTAACAAGTACTTGGCACTCAGTAAGTGGATGCAGAGATTATGATTGAGTCCCTATATATTCTTCCCCCAAACCCTACAAAAATGATGAATTGACAATGTATGAATTATTATTCTAACTTTAAATATGAGAAAATCATGAAGCCTAGTGATGTTAATAAAATAAGAGCTAGCATTATAGGCAGGTGTGTGTGTGTGTGTGTGTGTGTGTCTGTGTAAGGCAGACATATTATTCTGCTTTCCAAATGCTCACTTGTTTAGTGTAAACTACACACCATGTGTTTTAAGTGCCCTTTTAAACTTGGAGAAAATGAATTGTCCAAGTTCACAGCATAATTCAATGACAAAACTAGGATATGAATTCAGCCTCAGCCCAGGGTTCTTACTTGCTATACCATACAGCCTATCTAAAGTTGAGCAACTGGCCCCAAGTCACACAGCTGGCAGAAGAGCAAGAATATGAACCACACCTGCCTAGTTTGTTCTTCAACACCATACTGCCTTTTCCAATAGTCCTAGTCTTTTAACTTCAATGCCACTTAAAATTTTAGAGCTGGAAGAAACTTTAGAGTTGATCTAACTTCATTCCCTTATTCTCCGATCATAGATCTGATGCTCACAGGAGAGAAGAGAGTTTGCAAAAGTAACATAGCAACTTAATGTAGGAATTAAGTCCCAAACCTAAGTCTTCTCTTCATATTCACCATGTACCATCCACACTGGGACTCTTTCATAACTTGTTTTGTAAATGCTTTCTGTTTCTAAGATTTGTATCCATCATAAAATAGCAGATGAAAAGACAGATCTAAGAAAAAGATTATAATAACCTCGTGAATTAAAAGGAGGTAAACACAAATCTCAGACACACATCTTTGGAATAGACCATTCTGAATATCCATGTAAATTTCCAGCATAATTATTCACACAAAATTGTGAGATAGCTCCCATTTATTTACTTGTTTACCCCAGCAGACATTTGCTCTTACAAAAATCATCCATTCAACAGTTATGTAAGTGAAAGAGAAATAAAATCCTTCTCAGGCAAGCAAATGCTAAGGAAATTTGTTACAACTGGACTAGCTTTACAAAAGTTCCTTAAGGGAGTGCTAAACATGAAAGTGAAAGAACAACACCTGCTACTACAAAAACACACTTAAGCACATAACCCACAAACACTGTAAAGCAGTTACACAAGTCTAAAAAAAACCAGCTAACAACACGATGACAGCATCAAAATCACACATGTCAATATTAACCCTTAATTTAAACAGTCTAAATGCACATTTAAAAAACAAAGAGTGGCAAGCTGGATAAAAGACAAGACAAAACTATCTGCTGTCTTTGAGAGACCCGCTTCATATGTAACAACATCCACAGTCTCCAAGTAAGGGGATGAAGAAAAATCTACCATGCAAACAGAAAACAAAAAATAATAGGGGTCATAATTTTTACATCAGATAAGATAGATGTTAAACTAACAATTAAGAAGAATAAAGAAGGGATTACATAATAATGAAGGGTTCAATTCAACAAGAAGACTTAACTATTATAAACGTATATATCCTCAACATTGGAGCACCCAGATTCATAAAAAAAAAAGTACTTCTTGGCCTATGGAGAGACCTAGACAGCCAAATAATAATAGTGGCACACTTTAACACCCCACTGACAGTGTTATTATCGAGGCAGAAACTAAGAAAGAAATTCTGGTCTTAAAACTTGACACTTGACCAATTGGAACTAATAGACATCTACAGAATAGTCCACCCAACAACCACAGAGTATACATTCTTCTCATCTGCACATGGAACATATACTAAGATTGACCACATGATCAGTCATAAAGTAAGTCTAAATAAATTTTTTTAAAAATCAAAATCATGCCAAGCACACTCTTGGACCACACAGTGCAATAAAAACACAAACCAATAACAAGATCTCTCAAAACAACTCAAATGCATGGAAATTAAACAACTTATTCCTGAACAACTCTTGGGTGAAAAATGAAATTAAGCCAGAAATAAAAAATTCATTGAAATTAATGAAAATAGAGATACAACTCACCAAAATTCTTGGGATGTAGCTAGAGCAGTGTTAAGAGGAAAGTTTATAGCACTAAACACTTTCACCAAGAAGTTAGAAAGATCTCAAATTAACAATCTAACATTGCACCTAGATAAACTAGAAAAGAACAAACCAACTCCAAAGCTAACAGAAGAAAATAAATAACTAAAATTAGAGATGAGCAAAATAAAATTGATATGCAAAAGTCCCTATAAAAGATCAATGGAAACAGGAATCAGTTATTCAAAATAATAAATAAGATTAATTAACCAATTAACAAAAAAATCCAAATTAGGTACAATCAGAAATGACAAAGATGACATTAAAACTGCTTACACAGAGATAGAAAAGATCTGCAGAAAGTATTATGAAAATTCTATGCACACAAATTAGAAAATATAGAGGAAATGGATAAATTCCTGGAACATACAATCTCCTAAGACTAAACCAGGAAGAAAGTGAAAACCTAAGCAGAACAATAAGAAGTTCTGAAATTGAGTCAGTAATTAAAAACTTACCAACAAAAAAAATCCTGGACCAGATGGATTCCTAGTCAAATTCTGCCAGACATGCAATGATACCAACCCTGCTGAATGTATTCCCAACAGTTGACGAGGAGGGACTCTTTCCTAACTCATTCCACGAAGACAGCATCAGTCAGATACCAAAATCTGGCAAAGACACAATGAAAAAAAAAAAAAAACTGTCAGGCCAATATCCTTGATGAACTTAGATGCAAAAATTCTTGACAAAGTACTATCAAACCAAATCCAGCAGCACATCCAAAAGTTAATATACCATAATCAATTAGGCTTTATTCCTGGGATGCAAGGTTGGTTCAACATATGCAAATCAATAAATGTGATTCACCAGATAAACAGAAATAAAAACAAAAAAATGATCATCTTGATAGAGGCAGAAAATGCTTTTGATAAAATCTAACATCCCTTCATGATGAAAACCCTCAGACTGGGCAGTGGAATTTACCTCAAAATATTAAGAGCCATCTTTGACAAACCCACAGACATCTTATTAAATGGGCAAAAGCTGGAAGCATTCACCTTAAGAACCAGAAAACGACAAGATGCCCACTCTCACCACTCCAATTCAAATCAGTAGTGGAAGTCCTAGCCAGAGCAATCAGGCATCAGAAAAAAGAAAAGGCATCCAAATAGGAAAATAAGGAGTCATTTCCTATCTCTCTTCATGGACAATATGATTCTATACTGAGAAAACCCTAAGACTACACCAAAAGGCTCCTAGAGCAGATAAATAACTTCAGTAAAGTTTCAGGATACAAAATCAATGCACAAAATTATTGGCATTTCTATACACTAATAATGTTCAAGCTGAGCTTCAAATCAAGAACAAATCCCATTTTCAACAGCCACACACACACAAAGGAAATACCTCAGAATACATCTAATCAAGGAAGTGAAAGATCTTTACAAGGAGAACTACAAAACACTGCTGAAAGCAATCATAGATAACACAAAGAAATGGAAAAACATTCCATGCTCATGGATTAGATGGATCCATATCATTAAAATGGCCATACTGCCCAAAGCAATCCACAGATTCAATGCTATTCCTATCAAACTATCAGTATCATTTTTCTCAGAAATAGAAAAAACTATCCTAAAATTCAGACAGCATCAAAGAGCCCAAATAGCCAAAGCAATCCTAAGCAAAACGAACAAAGCTGAAGGCATCACACTACCTGACTTCAAACTATACTATAAGGCTACAGTAACCAAAACAACATGGTACTAGTACAAAAACAGACCCATAGATCAATGGGACAGAATAGAGAAAACAGAAATAAAGCTACACACGTACAACCAACTTATCTTTGAAAAAGTCTACAAAAATAAGCAATGGGAAAAGAGCTTCCTATTCAATAAATGGTGCTGAGATAGTAGGCTAGCCATTTGCAGAAGAATAAAACTGGATCCCTACCCATCACCATAAACAAAAACTAATTAAAAATGGATTAGAGTTTTAAGTGTAAGATCTCAAATCATAAAAACCCTAGAAGAAAATCTAGGAAATTCTGTTCTGGACATCAGCCTTGAGGATTTATGACTAAGTCTTCAAAAGCAATTGCAACAAAAACAAAAATTGACAAGTGGAAACAAATTAAACTAAAGAGCTTCTGTACACCAAAAGAAGCTATCAACAAAGTAAACACACAACCTATGGAATGAGAGAAACTATTTGCAAACTATGCATCCAACAAAGGTATAATATTAGAATCTATGAGGAACTTAAAAAAAAATTAAAAAGCGGACAAAAGACATGAACAGATACTTCTCAAAAGAAGGTATACAAATGGTCAACAAACATATGAAAAAAATGCTTATTATCACTAATCATCAGAGAAATGCAAATCAAAACCACAGTGAGATACCGCACCAGTTGGTATGTTGAGATGTCACACCAATCAGAATGGCTACTATTAAAAAGTCAAAAGACAATAGATACTGGTGAGGGAATGCTTACGCACTATTGGTAGGAATGTAAATTAGTTCAGCCACTATAGAAAGCAGTTTGGATATTGCTCAAAAAACTTAAAACAGAGCTACCATTCAACCCAGTAATCCCACTATTGGATATATACCCAAAGGAAATTAAATCATTCCACCAAAAAGACCCATGCACTTGCATGTTCATCACAGCGCTAATCACAATAGCAAAGGCAAGGAATCACCCTAAATGCCCATCAACAGTGAACTAGATAAAGAAGATGTGGTACATATACACCATGGAATACTACACAGGCATAAAAAGGAATGATTTTTTTGCAGCAACATGGATGCAGTTGGAGGCCATTATCCAAGCGAATTACACCACAACACAAAACCAAATACTGCATCTTCTCTCTGATAAGTGGGAGCTAGACACTGAGTACTCATGGACATAAAGATGAGAACAATAGACACTAAGGACAATCAGAGTAGGGAGAGAGGGAGGAGGACGAGTTGAAAAACTACCTGTTAGGTACTATGCTCACTACCTGGGTAAATGGATCATCCATACCCCAAACCCCAACATCACACAATATGCCCATGTAAGAAACCTGCCCATGTACCCCCTGTATCTAAAATAAAAGTTAAAATTATAAATAATAATATTCCTAAGGGTGAATCATTTTATACCTATTTTCCAGGCAAGAAAACTCATGTTCAAACTGTCTCCAGGTCACAAAAAGTTAAGTAAATAATACAACCAGAATTTAAATTCACATATGGCTTATTCCAACTTTTATATTATGGTATCTCTTATTGTGTAATGTGGCTCTATATCTTCCAGAATCAGAATTTCTTTTTTTTTCTTTCTTTCTTTCTTTTTCTTTTTTTTTTTTTTTGAGACAGAGTCTCACTCTGTCACCCAGGCTGGAGTGCAGTGGTGCAATCCAATCCCATCTCACTGCAACCCCCATCTCCTGGGTTCAATCGATTCTCCTGCCTCAGCCTCTGAGTAGCTGGGACTACCGGTGTGCTCCACCACACACGGCTAATTTTTGTATTTTTAGTAGAGAAGGGGTTTCACCACGTTAGCCAGGCTGGTCTATAACTCCTGACCTCAAGTGATCCATCCGCCTCGGCCTCCCAAGTTGCTGGGATTACAGGCGTAAGCCACCATGCCTGGCCTATATCTTCCAGAATTTCTGCACAAACATTGCATGCACACACACACACACACACACACACACACACACACGGACACCATAACAACTACAAGCAGAAGAAATTACTGGTAAGCTGAGCTGTTTTGCATTCAAATATATTTGATAAGTTTTGTCACCGTCAGTTCCTGTGCTGAGAGTTGTGTGAGGTTTTTGGTTATCTCACTGCTCTGTGGCTTAGTGTTTCTTCTGCCCTGAACCAGAAGTTTAACTATCTCCATATGTTCAGGAGCTCACAGAAAGAGAATTAAGAACAGCTTCATTTAGTATAGGCTGGGTGTTGGGTAACTCCCCTCTTAGAGTAAGATATTTCTCTTCTTATTACACAGCATGAAGTCTCTCCACAGTTCATCAGTTAACACCGTGGCTCCTTAATGACCAACTACTAAATCTTGGGTTTCAACCTCTTTGAGAATGTTTCATTTACTGATAGATAATCAAGACGCATTTATCGAACACCTGCTACGAGAAAGCCCCAACAGGGGGTTACAAAGAATTATGAAACTGTGCTACTTTTCCTCAAGGAATGCAGTTCCTAAGTAAGAAAAAATTAAGAGAATTCTTCAACACATTCTGTAGTTGTTTTCATTTGTTTGAAAGTTGTACAGAGAACATAGTAAAATCTTAACATTTAGTAAGTGAAGGGAATTAGATTGGAAAAGTGTGTATACATAACTTCAGTTGCATCTACAATTAATTATTTTTATTATTTCTTTGAAAGTTCTAAAGCAAACAGGGCAAGGTGTTAAGTTGGTTGATTAAGTCTGGGCTATACTTCCATGAGTATTAGTAAAACTTTTCTCTCAGTGTTTGATATATTTTATAATAAATAAAAATAAACTTTTAAAATGGAGGATTTATTTGTTCATGCAATTACAATATCCAATATAGAGTACACCTAAGGTGTGTGTGTAATTTATTACCGTGAATCAGATCCATTCACGTGTCATCAGGGTCCTGGATCAGTTTTGCTAAGTTTCACTTTGTTTCTCCCTAATCCATGCATTAACTTCATTCTTGGTCTAGCTTCCTGCAGAACAGCAAAAAAGGCTTGTAGGCAGTTTTAGTTTCCTCATACACTTACAACACCAGCCAGTCAACAAGTGCCCTTTGTTTCAACATTCTAAGAGATGTTCAGAGATTCATTCTCATTAGAATGTCTTGCCCTCCTCCCCAATCCAAAGTAATCACTGTGGTCAAATAAAAGTATTTCCTCAGCTTGAGTTATATACCTCACCCCTGGACCCAGGAGTGGAGTCAATCTGTTTAGAACCTCATGGATACTCTTACAGAAAATAAAAGCTATTGAGAAGAGAAACGGAGGCAAAGGATGTCGGAGGTCAATCAACTAATATCTACTCCATCATCTAGCCCTTGATTGCTCAGTCAAGTGTCAGGAAAAATATCAGCAATGCCCTTTTTATTTAATACCATGCATTTCTTTTATGGTCAACACTATTTTAAGTATGCAAATAAAGTATGCAAATATGTGTGTGTGTGTGTGTGTGCATTATGAAACTCAACTGTCACTTACAAATTTACTGATTAATTTACTCAATAAATATATATATATATTTTAATTTTTTGAGATGGAGTCTCACTCTGTCACCCAGGCTGGAGTGCAATGGCGTGATCTCGGCCCACTGCAACCTCCATCTCCAGGGTTCAAGCGATTTTCCTGCCTCAGCCTCCCCAGTAGCTGGGATTACAGGCATGCGCCACATGCCCAGCTAATTTTTGTATTTTTAGTAGAGACGGGATTTCACCGTGTCGGCCAGGCTGGTCTCCAACTCCTGCCTCAGGTGATCCACCCACCTAGGCCTCCCAAAGTGCTGGGCTTACAGGTGTGAGTCACTGCACCTGGCCAATATTTCCTGAACACCTGTTTTGGGTTAGCCACTGAGATTCTATTTATTTATTTATATTTTGTTTTCAATCTGTTTATCTTTTAATGTTATTACAGTGTCTCCAAGCTGCAGTGATAGAACTAATTATTTTTTTCTAATTTTTTTTTGTTCTATCCAAACTCACTTAAAATATTAGGACAAGGGAAACAAATTAATATACTTCAATGTTATTTTCTTCTCTCCAAAATCCAAATTATTGTTAGGCTTTCTTTGAAGTCATCTTCAGAGACTAGACTTTGTAGGCACTGTAGAATTATGGTTCAGGGGACAGACTAGAGCAGGACTTGTTGAGTTCAAATTTTAGCTCACACCATTTACCACCTTTCTGACCTCGAACAAGTTGCCTAACTTCTCTGTGCCTCAGTTTCAATAGATGATAAATAAGGTTAAAGACATTATCTTCATCATACAGACTTTGCAAGGATGAAATGGTCCCACCCTGGTATAGCACTTAGAAGAGCACCTGGCATATTGCAAACACTTAATATTACACTCTAACAAAAAAGTGTAATGTTTACACCAAAATATTGTTTAGAAAAAAGATAAAAATTTTGCACAAAAGATTAAATGGTGTAATGGTGTAAAAAAGGGAAAAAAAGGCAACTGGCATCACCAAATATCTAAAGCTTTTAAATCATATCCGAGCACAAACACACATTTAGAAATTCTATTAAAATAAAGAATGTGAAGACAAGCAGAGGAAACTTATTTTTACATTCTTGTTTTCAACTATTAAAAGATATGTATATATGTGAGTTTTCTAATCGGGAGCCTAGAAATCCAACAGGCTTCAAAAAGTAGGCCGAAAAAAAAAAAAATCCCACAATGTGTCTTTGATGGTTCCGGTCTCAAATTATATTGACTGCTTGACAGACAAAGCGATGACCTATCTATCCTAATGGCCCAGATGAAGATTTAGACAATCTTATCTTCAGAAAGACTTTAAAGATAAAGAAACTTCCCCACTAGAATAGGGAACCCACTTCAGTATCCTAAACAGGCTATCATCAAGCTTCTGTAAATAAAGCTGGAGAGCTCAGTACTTGACAAGGCAAGCCCTCTGTCCTTTCTGAGCCTCTCTAATCATTTAAAAGTTTTCCTTGTAAATTCTTTAGACGGAAACTCTTCAGTGCCTTTAGGTTTTCCACACATGAACTACTTTCTAGAGCCTTCATCATGAGCACCTTCTGTTTTGATCAGTGATCACACTAAGGTGGCCCACGGCATGAATATTAAGCCCCTACATTGATTTTAAAGAATGCAAATTGTTTGCCAACATTTAAACTCCAGCAGAGTTTAGAAGTCTCTTACAGGATGAGACAGTTTGCAGACCTGCCTACATAGCTACAAAATGCTGTCAGACTCTGCCCTCCTCAAATTTTAACATACCTTTTCCAGAACCTCTGATAGATAACCATATAAACAACCTATAGACAACCACTGATATAAACTTTCTGATATTCACCTCACACCTCACAATATAGCAACCAGGATTAAATAATAATAAAACACTCAAGGTAAGCTCAGACCAGCTTATGGGAAAATTTTCTCTTTTTCTATGCATGATATTCAGCTGAATAATATCAGTTAGCTTTTATGTGTGACATTTGAAAGTCAAAATTAACCTAAATTCATACCCTTGTTAGTTTTCAAAAATAAAACATTTTTTAAATTATAAAAAATGTACATTCTTATTACAACAACTTTAAACAATACTAAAAAGTAGGTAAAGCATAAAACAAAAGCCAACCCATCTAAGCCTTCCATTACCACACAAAGCAATTATTTTCAAAGGCCTGTTAGAATCTCCTTCATCAGCCACTAATATACCTATAAAGACATGAACCCAAATCTAATAAATAACTGTACCCTTCCCTTAAGGGTTACTATGTTCTGTTAATACAGAGATTCTAAGCTGTACCAAGCTCTGAGATGTTGAAGAGCAAATTATTTGAAATCACAGAAGTATGACTTTCCCATGATTCAACAAAAAAGGATCCAGAAAGAAGTTAAAATATTTCAGACGGGTGGTCACATAGACATGTCAATTCCTAATCTGTGCAGCTGCTCTTTGTCTGATACTCACTGTGGGCTTTCCACCCATCTCTGGGGAAAAACTAATGTCTATATGAACTGGCTGTTTTTAGCCCAGGCACTATCCTGCAGCCTTTAGCAAAGCTAAAGGCTTACTTTTACCAAGGCTTGGTTTATCTTTACCAACGCTTGGTTGATTTTTTTCTAGAATAATGCCACAACAGCTCCAATAGGGGATTGGCAGAGATCTTTGGCACTCTGAAGTTTAGGGTGGATATGGTTAACTTAATCTCAATCTATCATTAAGATCACACCAACAAGTAAATTTCTGTATTATTCCATATGATCAGGGAATAATTTAAACACACACACATACATACCTCCAAAATACAGATGTTCATTTTAAAAGGCAAGACAGCTTAATAAGACAAAGGAAGCTATATTTTTAACTGTCCCATAATTTTATAAGGATGTCTTCCTAATAACGGAACTAGTTCTTCACATTAATAGGGATAAATGGAGTCGTATTAGAGTCACTGCCGTCCTCTCACATTTGCCACCCTCCCCAACCCCTACCCCTGGACCTACAAGGTATAAAACATGGGCCAATTTCTGGGCCTTACAGTTTTGATGAAATTCTTACCTAGCAATTTTGTCATCTATATGTATTTGTATTCTTTTGAAAGTTGTCCACAGAGACATAATAGGTACACAGACATGTATATCATATTTACATGCTTTCAGTATATTATCTTAGCCATCTTGTTCTTCAGAAGATATGTTTTCCTACTAAGTCTGAGTTCTTAAAATCATTACAGTTAGAAAATGTTCTCTTGTTATAAAAAGATAATCACTGAAGCCAATTGAGTCTTTTTAGAATTAGAACCCTTTCATTTTTAAGTTACTAGCCTTTTTGTGGGGGGGAGGCGGGGACAGTCTTGCTCTGTCACCCAGGCTGGAGTGCAGTGGCGCAATCTCAGCTCGGCTCACTGCAACCTCTTCCTTTCGTGTTCAAGTGATTCTCCTGCCTCAGCCTCCAGAGTAGCTGGGATCACAGGCGCATGCCACCACACCTGTCTAATTTTTTTTTTTTTTTTTGTATTTTTAGTAGAGACAGGATTTCACCACATTGGCCAGGCTGGTCTTGAACTCCTGACCTCAGGCAATCTGCCCACCTCGGCCTCCCAAAGTGCTGGGATTACAGGTGTGAGCCACTGTGCCCAGCCAGCTATCTCTTTTAACCAACTTGGAAAGCACTCCGAATCTTGAGAAGGATGACTTCAATATCTTCATCTTCATTATTGATAAAAATATCACATGAGATGAGTCACTTAAGAGAAGCCTGTGATACCTCCCTCCATGGTGGCATTTATCCATTAATAAAAGCTCATTGATTACAAGTTTTAAACCAGCTCTGATTTTCACTGTATGATCTATCGCATATTTCTCAGCCTTGTCTGCCAAAAAAATTATGCAAGTCTTTGCCAAATTCCTTGGTGAAATCCAGATATATTGCTTATGAGATTTACTGAATCTGTGAATTTGCTAACTTTCTCATGAAAGGGAATGAGGTAAGTTTGGCCTGACTTAAGGTACCGGTATTAGCTCATAATGATCATCACTTCACTTTAGAAGAACTCACAAATCACCCTTATTATTGTTCAGTCTGGACTTCTGCCTGCCCCAAGAAATACACAGTCTGTAATTTCTAGAATTTATACCCATTCTGGTTTATAAGATTTCTAGAATTATTTGTAGTAATTCTGGGACTACACCTGCATTATCTTTTTGGTATCACATAAATAAATTAAGTCCATATTCCAAGATGCACCTAGTCTTGAATTTATTCCAAAGAGCTGGATTCTCTAACACTGTCATCCAGGCACACCTGGAACTTTAATGTTCATCTGTTCACATGTGTATTATTGTTCCAGTTTGATAATCATTTGCCTTAATAAAGAACACAGAGTGTACCAGCTAAGGTGCTCTTGGCTGAAAGTAACAGGAATTCCAACTCAAACTGCCTAAGATAATTAAGGTATGTATAACTTTCAGGAGTAGATCAGGCTTCAGCATTTGTTAATTTGTGTCTCAACATTACCATCCTGTCTGCTTGCTCTTTGTATCTTTCAGTCCGTTGCTTATAGCATCAACGTCATAACGAGGCTGATTCTGCTTATAGTCATAAGGTGGCTTCCAGCATCAGTCTGAGTTCATGTTTTCTGATTCATATTACACTGGAGAGACAGAAGACAGAGAATGAGAAAATGAGAAAGAGAGAAATTCTTCTAAGAATGTTAAGCTTTCCTTCTAGAATGATTGGGCACCCACATGTCACAGTCCCATCCATGTATCATCATAGTCCAAATGGATTAAATGAATTAGTATCTACCCAATAGGAATAAGAACAAGCTTGGAGAAAGTATGAACATCCCAGCACTTTGGGAGGCTGAGGCGTGTGCATCACGAGGTCAGGAGATCGAGACCATCCTGGCTAACACAGTGAAACCCGTCTCTACTAAAAATACAAAAAATTAGCCGGGCATGGTGGCGGGCGCCTGTAATCCCAGCTACTCAGGAGGCTGAGGCAGGAGAATGGCATGAACCCGGGAGGCGGAGCTTGCAGTGAGCGAGATTGCGCCACTGCACTCCAGCCTGGGGGACAGAGCGAGACTCTGTCTCAAAAAAAAAAAAAAAAAAAAAAAAAAAAGAAGAAGAAGTTAAGGGGAAATGGGATAATGCTGGGTAGGAAACCAAGGCTGTTCACTTTAGGAAATAAGTAATAAATAGAGAGACCTTATTTATATGTATTTTGTTTTTAATCTTTCATCTTTTGTTTAAATAGAGAGACCTTATTTATATATATTTTGTTTTTAATCTTTCATCTTTTGTTTATCTTTTAATGTTATTCTAGTGCCTCCAAGCTGGGGTGCTAGAACTTTCTAATTAATTTTCCCACACCAAACATAATCTGAATATCTTTTATCAGGTATATCATGTAGAGAAGTCCAAACTTATTCTAGATTTTTATATTTCAGACAAATTCTTTAGGAATAGAGTTATAAATTTTTATTTTTCATTGGTTACATTTCTCTTTTTCAATATATTACTCATGGCAACTGAGATATGTATTTCCAAACCTCTTTTGTAGATGAACTAATAATAATACTGTCTGGAAGGGCTAATGACTTTCTCAAGGTCTTTGTGTCTAGTTAATAACGTATATGAGATTAGAACACAGATTTATTTCATTCTTAACCAATATTAAAAGCTCACTGATTACAAGTTTTAAACCAGCTCTGATTTTAACTATATCATCATCGCATATTTCTCAGCCTTGTCTGCCAAAAAATTACACAAGTCTTTGCCAAATTCCTTGGTGAAATCCAGATATATTGCTTATGAGATTACCAAACCTGCGACTATTCCCAGGAGTTACTGGTTATATTCTCAATGGGCCTCAGTGGAAGAGGTCCTGTCCTTCTTGTCCTCTCTACACTAAGTTTCTTTTTTTGTGAAAAATTCTACTCTTTCAATAACCTCTCTTTTTCAATATAGAGTGGTGTTCAGGAGTTGCTCATAATCATGCATTACACTTATGATTCCCCAATAGCAAAATTTAGCCTCCAAATTCTATGATGTTGTAGAAATACAAAAAGCTTTGATTCTCTTGAATTTCATTTTTATCACTCATTTTAGCAAGGTACTTAACCTCAGAGAAATTCCATTTTCTCATTTGAAAAAAAAAATACTCATCTAAAATGGTGTTATAATAAGGGTTAAATGTAATTAAAATATATGAATGATTTTGTACATAAAATAAAGTCAGTAAATGATAGTATTTAAGTGGTAGTTTCTATTTTTGCTGCTATTATCATCTACAAATTATAGTGGAAGTTTTAACCAGTATCCCTGAAGTCATTGAATGACTTCTGTAACTTTCCTACCTATGTTGATAGTTTCCTGTGCCTAGGCTGTTCTTTCCTATTACCTGTGCTACTAAAACCTACTTCATCCTTTAACAAAGCCTTTCTCTACCTTTTTGTTTCCTTCAAACTAATTTAATGAGGTGAAGGTATTAGAACTAGCATCTTTTCTTCTCTCCATGTTTAATTGAATCATGCAATTCTTTATGAGAAATCTTACTAAGGAGGCATAAGTATGCCATTAATGTGAAGCCAGGAGAAGCAAGCAGATTCATTTGGTTTGAACATAATAGGAAACAATGGGAGAAATGGGAAGGAATACTATCTTGAAAACACTGTAGAGATATCACAGCTCACTTAGAAAAATATCTGTATTAAAAGGTTCCACCAAAAGTGTATGGAAAAACTGGCCAGGCATGGTGGCTCACGCCTGTAATCCCAGCACTTTAGGAGGCAGAGGCGGGCAGTTCACCTGAGGTCAGGAGTTCAAGACCAGCCCGGCCAACATAGCAAAACTCTGTCTCCTTTAAAAATACAAAAATTACCCAGGCTTGGTGGTGGGCACCTGTAATCCCAGCTACTCAGGAGGCTGAGGCAGGAGAATCACTTGAACCTGGAAGGAGGAGGTTGCAGTGAGCCGAGATCACGCCACTGCACTCCAGCCTGGGTGACAGAGCGAGACTCCGTCTCAAAAACAAACAAACAAAAAAGATGTATGGAAAAACATTTTAGAGGAAGCCTTATATTAAACATACATCTGCATAAATTAAGGAATCCTTCCATTTTCCATTCCTGTGAAAAGTATTTATTATAATCAAACTAAAATTTTCAGTCATATAAACATGCGGATTGAGATCAAGGTTTAGATACAAATGAAGAACATTTCTGAGCAGTGCAGAATAGTCAATAGGATTTGACAGTAGACTCCAGGATGTGAGAGCTACTTAATTCATAATGTAAAGAAAGTCTTTTTTGGCAGAAGACACAGCAAAGATGACACATTGGGGGTCCTTCAAGAAGTTCAGCCATGTCTGTGAGTAAATCTCACCTAAACTTTGCCATCACCACAGGGAACACAGGTTTGGAAATAAAGGTTTATTAAAGTATTTTCTTTTCACTACAAAGATGTTGAAAAATGCATTCAACAAAGTGACATAGGAAAGTTGGCTCAAGAGAAAAACCCCAGGTACTAGAGAAGTGTTCATTACAGAGTTGATATTTTTCCACCTGACCCATATGATACCAAAGTGGAGTAGGTTATAAAAAAACGAACTTCGCTAATACAGTTTAAACTAAGCTGGTATTCAAGGATGGCCAAAGCCAAATTCTGATATATACTACTACCCCAACACACACACACACACACACACACACATTGTTAGAATTCCTCCCCTTTTCTAGAAGTGTCCTTATCTTGTCCAAAGAGCTCACCTAGGCATGTCTACCTCATGTTTCATGTTCATTTTCCTCTAGGAAAATGAGATTTTTTTTTCTGCATCTTTTTCCTTCGTGGCACTTAGAGGTAACTTGTTGGATAATCATCCAGAACAATAGCTTAGGGAATATGTAATTTCTCACAATGATTTATTGAATATATTATGTTGGTGCAAAAGTAATTCCTGTTTTTGCCATTAAAAGTAATGATGTTTTTGCCATTACTTTTAATGCAAAAACAAGAATTACTTTTTCACCAACCTAATATTAACAACACAATAGGTTATACATTGTATCCGATATATTAATATCTTCAAACCCCATGTCTATACTTTTGTTCAAGTTATTGATATCTCAGCCTCTTCTAAAGAGTATCTGAGGATGTTTTCTACAGTATACATAGGCTTACTATATAGATCATTATAATATAATTATTTGTCAATTGTGGAGAGTTATGATGAATTATGGTTCCTATGTATTTCTACCACATATGGAAGACCTCAGAAGGAATATTTAGGTCCAAAGACCTCTTGGACCTCCTTTATTCCTTATATAAATACCCCCACAAAAGTTCTCTGCCACAGTTGCAAGTAATAGTAGCATGCATTACAATTTTCTGAGCACTGGCTAAGCACTGGATGCGTGCATCATCTTATTAGAAAAATCCCTAGATCTTGATAGTTGGAGAAATAATGTCAGAGAGGTTATTTTTTTCTCAAGATCACTTAACTAAAGGTGACATAGCCTGAATTGATATTAGGTTCTATCTAAATCACAAATTCATGTTCTTTCTAGCATAGCCCATCTAGAAGATTTTTGTTTTGGTTACACCCTCATAGTTGCACAACGTTATCAATAAGGCATCAGTAGCACAAGAAAGGCCTTCAACTGACCATCGAACAGTTCCACTATCCTGGGCTTAGTCATTAAAGTGCCAATTGCGGATGCCTTTGTCAGTCACCTGGGAGTGATAGCTGTGCGTGGTAGGGACAGAAGGTCAGGCCAGGAATAAATAACCTCAAGCAGATAAGGTTACAGAAGTGGCCTCCTAACACTCAAGGATTACCTCCAGATGCATAGGGAATTCATTATGAGTAAAAACGAGTTATTTAGAAGACAGATATGAACAACTCAGAGTAGTAATATAAAGTTAAACAGGGGTGAGGTTGAAAGTGTGGAGGAATATCTCATTTATTCAGCCTTGGTTCACTGAAATTCTCCTAATAACAATCAGAATATGAAACCCGCTGAATCATTGATATACAGAAGCACCAAATAAAATACATGTGGAAATTAATCTGTGTCTACTGTGGAATATATATTATGAAAATATTATCGTCTGTAGGTGTGTTGAGGGAGGGGTGGTTATTTTTAGCTTTTTTTTAAGTTTATGCCTATTATTTTTAGTGTTATGATTGTGAGTTTTTTATATTTTATAAAATATTCTATACCATTAAATTATTTATAATATTATTGTGGTATAAATATTAAAAATCCTATCATCAGAGAAAGTCTTAGCAAATTTAAGTGTTGCAAACTATGAAAAAGCTTTAGTTATTATTTGTTTTTTTAATTGCTTGATGATTATAACGTATCATTTATAAACTTTGTACTATTCATTAATTTTATTTTCCACCAAAGGAGATGTGAGAGAAAAGTAATAAGGAACTTAAATAATGAAATGAATTACAATATTAGTTGTGAAATTAAGTAATTAGAGCGATCAAAGCCTAACTGATAGGCCTTTCTTGCCTTATAGTAAGATGAACAGGGATAAAAACTGTCATATATTCTAAGACAGAATTTTAAGAAATTCTGTATGATGATAGGAGAAGATATATCTCAAGTCAATGGCAAATCCAGAAGTCATCAAAATTAGTCAAAGTCACCAATAATGACTCTGCCCTTTTCTCTTTCGTGACTACAACAGGAACAGAAGGATATCTTTAGACTTCAATAAAACTATTAAAGTGTTTTCAACTTGATCCCAATATACGATTCAGCAGAATTTGAAAGGGTGAATGGGAAATAACTTAGAGCAGAGAAAGTAGGAACAGAGTAGGACACCAAATGAGAAACAAGCTGATTGCCCCACAGAAACCACTCAACCTCAGAAAAGAGAGGCTCTAGGCATGAAGAAGGTGGAGGCAAAGAGACTGGGCCAAAAACCAGGTGGATTACTTGAATGTCTAGGAAAGTGGTCATTTTCATTCCTATCCTATGCAACGACTGCTCCTGCTCTCTCTCCATAGGAAAATGGAGATGTATATTCTGAAGAAATTGAACTAAGGCCACTCTTGATTCAAGAAAATAAAGCTCAGAAAAGGGTAAGAGGTGAAGTTCTGAAGGTAAAGACAAAGGAGGTGAAGTCACAGGTGAAAGGAAAGACCTCAGCTCCCCTCATTTTACCTTACTCACAGGAGACTGGTATCCTTCTTTCAAGATCCTAAACTGCCCCAGAGAAGAGGACTATTAATAAGGACATTTGGGAAAAGTCATTTTTAAATGCCAGCTGTCCACGTGATTGCCTACTACTTGCTAAATTCTGCTTACTGGTAGAATTTCTATTTTTAAAAGGCTCCAAAATGCATTTCTGTTTTTAACGGCTCAAAGATCACAAAATTTTGGAGGAAAGTTTCCAGCATGAAGTATAAAGGGGAACAATAAAGACAATTAGAACTGGGAACTATTTAAAAATGATAGTCCATATTTCATCCACATGAAAGAAAATATTGCATCAATAAAACAAGAACAAGATGCTATGGGTAAACAGAAACTCTGATAAAAATTAATCCCTGAAGAAAAAAAGGGACAGAATTTTTTTTTCAAATCAGTAAAAAGATTGAAAGAAATAACTGACAAAATGCTCCAGAAAATAGAACAAAAAAGTGGAGCTAGACAATAGAAGAGAAAAGATCAATTCAGAAAGTATCCAAGTGCAAAAAATAAGCACTAAAGGAATAAAATGCCTAGAATACAATGTAGATAAGTTAACAAATAAATAACAAAATACAGTATTTTATAACTGAGGCCATAAGTCTCCAAATTGAATGAGCCCACTAAATTGAAAACAAGATGAAATTTGTAAAGGCACAGACCAGAGCAACTAAGTGGGAAATTTCAATAATTATGGTTTTAAAAAAAGATTCTGAAAGCAATACAAAGGTCTAAAATTCACATACAAAAAAAAATTGTATAAGAACAGCATCATATGAATGATGATGAAAGCTGGAAAGTAATGCTTTCAAATGTCTGAGTGAAATTAAATGTCCACCTAGAATTCCATATCCATTCAAACTACCAACTGAGAATAAAGATAGACTAAAAATATTTTCAGAAAAGTGGAATGTCAAAAATATTACCTCCTTGAACAGTTTCTCAAGAATCTACTCAAAAACAAAAAAAGTCTCATCATAATAAGTAAGTAAATCAAGAAAAAAGACATGAGATCCTGCTAACAGTCAATCCAAAACAAAATAAAAGTAAAAGCAATTCTTGGGATACTGAGAAGGAAAAATCCCAAACAACAGCAGTGTGGCAGGCACAGACAAACCCAGATTCAGATAGGAACAGAAAAAAGGAGGTCACCAGGACCCACCTCTAGGTAAAAGTGGAACTGGTACATTATGTATTAGGTTGGTGCAAAAGTAATTGCGGTTTTTGCCATTAAAAGTAATTACTTTTGGCCGGGCGCAGTGGCTCATGCCTGTAATCCCAGCACTTTGGGAGGCCAAGGCGGGCGGATCACAAGGTCAGGAGTTCGAGACCAGCCTGGCCAATATGGTGAAACCCTGTCTCTACTAAAAATAGAAAAATGAGCCGGGCGTGGTGGCGGGCACCTGTAGTCCCAGCTACTCGGGAGGCTGAGACAGGAGAATCACTTGAACCCAGGAGGCAGAGGTTACAGTGAGCCGAGATTGCACCACTACACTCCAGCCTGGGTGACAGAGTGAGACTCTGTCTCAAAAAAAAAAGAAAAAGAAAAGTAATTACTTTTATGTTACTAAACTACTTACTTTATAAAAAAGTAATTACTTTTTTATATTACTAAAAGTAATTACTTCTAATGCCAAAAACCTTAATTACTTTTGCACCAAGCCAGTTTAAAGTTTGTAAAATCTTTTACTAAGAGGCATTTTGCAGAGCTTATTTAAGATGTTGGAAGATTTAGCTCAATGATCACGCATTAAGCAAATTACATAGTAATTAAATGGGAGAGAGGGAGGTGTCGAAGCTGTTTTCAAAAAAGTTATCCTGGTACTCGGCACTAAGTAGCTCAGCAGTGAAAAACAAATGTTTACATTGCCATAGTAACAATAATATGGACTACGAATTTAACAAGCATTTCAAAATCTATATATTGATGAAGCAGCAAGAAAGGAGAGGATATAAATAGTTAATATCTGAACTTGTGAGTCAAGAGATAGCAATATAGAGATATTGATTTGATATATATGTGGAGCTAAGAAGAAACTGGCTTAAAAAAAAAAGCTACCTTTGATGAACAGTTGGAGGCTTAGGGGTCATGATGGTGGTCAGCATATGAAATAGAAGTGGGTGCAGGGTACCATTCTTAGAAATGCATTTGAATGTTTAAACTCTGTGTATATGTTACATTGATGGATAATAAAATGACTAATTTTAAAAAATTATTTGGTACATCCCCAGATGTAGATGATTGTCTTTACATTGTGTATAGTTATGACATTATTTATCAATATTAATGAAATAAAACAGGAATATTTATAGTATGATACCATTTTTAAAACAAAACAAAAAACTCAATATATGGTACATATGTAATAGTATATGCTTCTGCATACAGAGAAAAATCTATAAAGGTACATACCAGATTATCAAAAGTGTTTACCTCTAGAAGGAAAAAAAGGGGCAACTTTTACTTTTAACTTTTTATTTTGCATCTAAATTGGAACTTTAGAGTGACTGTGTACAAATTTTGTGTTTAAAATTTTTATTGGATTTTATAGAAACAAAGGGGGGATCAAAGTAACAGGGTAGAACTCTCCAAATAATGGAAAGGGAAAATCAGTCCCCTGGCATACAGCAAGTAAGTTACATTTGATCCATTTGACTTTCAACTCCCTTTGAAATTGTTTGACTTGAAATTGTTCAGCAGTTGTGCTGGAAGAGGCTCAGATGCAAAGACACTGATATTGTCTCCTACCTCCATTTCAAGTCAAGACTTCTTTTTCAAGTTTCTGTATCTCAGACCCCCCATATTTGGTGCTAAGGAGAGAAAGTTAAGATGTGATCCCTGTTCTAAGTAGTCTAAAGTCTGATTGGGACAAGTGAATATGTAAACAAATATAATCCTATATAATTATATTACCTTAAACTGCTCTAGAAGTTATAGAGATATAAGATATTGTTAGTAGCAATATTAATAACATCCAGTGTTTATTAAGTATATACCATGAAATAGTCTTTTAAGGACTTTAGTATCATTACTGTATTTAGCCCTCCTAATGGTCCTGTAAGGTGAAAAATTTTGTTATTTGATTTTCTAGATAAAGAAACTGAGGGTTATAGGTGTTGAATAACTCATTCAAGATTGTACTCTGATAAATGCTGTAATGAAAACCTAAACTTTATCAGGCAAGTTTGACTCAAAATCTCATGCTCATACCACTACACTCTACTGTTTCCCAAATGTTTTTAGGTACACAGGAGTTATTTGATTAAGTCTGGTAAACTGAAAAATATTAGTAGATCCATTTTGTAAATAAACATTTGCTATAGGTTGAACCTTTTAGTTTCCCACAAAATTTATATGTTGAAATCCCAAGCCTCAAGGTAGTGGTATAAGGAGGTAGGGTTTTTAGGGAATGATTAGGTCATGAGGGTAGAGTTCTCATAAATCGGATTAGTGCCTTTATAAAAGAGACCCCAGAGATATCTCTGATGCAGTTTTTTACCATGTAAGGACACAGCAAGAGGCAGCTATGAAGCAGAAAGTGGGCCCTCTCCCGTTGCTGAATCTGTTGCATCTTGATCTTGGATTTCCCACCCTCCAGAACTATGAGAAATAAATATTTATTTCTTGTATTTTTGTTATAGCAGCCCGAATAGACTAAGACAAAAGCAAGACGAAACATGAGCTTCAGGACTGAAGAAGACACTCAAGCAATGACCCAGGGTGAGACTAGGAAACCAGATCTTTTGCTCCAAGTCTCCTTTTCTCCCTTTTGCTCTAATGTGGCCTTGAAGTTTGGGCATCATAAGAAAAAGTTACAGCTCCTCCCTCCCCCATTTACTGAAGAGAAGACTGAACAGTTTCTTTTTCTTTCTAACCTAACAATAGATTTTATTCCAAACCCAGAGTTATCCAACCTGGCTGATTTCCTTGGCAAAATTGTATTTGTGACTCCAACAAGTGTGGATTTGAGGGATGTTGCAGAACCATGGAAGGGGTCACTTAGAAAGAAAGAATTAACTTACAACCTGTGTAGCCTGTGCTTTCTGATCCAGCACCTCGAAAAAGGGAAAGCCTGAAGCATGTCACAGGAGCAAGAAGGAAAACATAAATAATGTCACCCATAACGTAATATGGTTCAGAGGAAGAAATGGGGTCAGGCCATTAAAGAGTCGAAGATGAGATCATTATGCTTTAACAAGGCAAACTGTGACTAGAGGAAGACAGCAATGAAAAGTGGGCTGGGATATTGAAAGCCAGTATGTGAACACCAGGGGTAAAACAGAGCTTCCTAATCAAAACCATATTCCCAAGCTCTCAAGCAGTAATGCAAGAAGGATAAATGAGATAACAGAGATGAAGGAAGCAGACTGAGGGAGTTGTAAATACAGCGAGGGATGGAGATGGCACATGGCCTGAAGGAGTACTCTATAGTTGGGGAAACCAAGACAGCTTTGAAACAAAGCTGAAAGAAGACAAAATTGCATCTGGATAGACCATGCTAGAAATTCAGGATCCAAATTCTAATCTAACAGGAGAAAACCATCCTAGGAAGGAGATGTCAAATCACAACAGGAGAGGAAGAAGAAGTTAATGGAAAACAATATTTCAAGTCGGCTTTGCCTCTGAGGGTGTTGAACTGAAATCTGTGGAAATCAAGGTGTGCTGGAGGTAATAATCTTCACGTGTTCGTGTGAAACTCAAAACCCTCTTGATGTTCTGCCTGGCAAATTCTGTATTTCCCTGTTTTGACCTACAGCAGGAGATATTGTCCAAGGACTTGGGCTGGGGGCCTGAGAGGACTCAAGTTGCACCAGACGTCTTTAAAACTCTCAAAGTCCTCACTGTGCTTCAAATACACCCCCTCTCCAAACACACACCCCCTCCAACACCAGCCCTGTAGTGATAGGCACCTCCTCTTTGATATGCAGAAGTAAGAGGAGGTTTGGTAAAAAGTTTTCAGACATTTGAGACCTCTTTCTTAGTGATTGATTTGATGAAACAGCATAGGCAGAATCTATAAAGAAAGATGATATCTGCTGGGCACAGTGGCTCACGCCTGTAACCCCAGCACTTTGGGAGGCCGAGGTGGGCGGATCACCTGGGGTCAGCAGCTCAGGACCAGCCTGGCCAACATGGTGAAACCCTGTCTCTACTAAAAACACAAAAATTAGCCATGCATGGTGGTGCATGCCTGTAATCCCAGCTACTCAGGAGGCTGAGGCAGTAGAATCACTTGAATCTGGGAGGCAGAGGTTGCAGTGAGCCAAGATTGTGCCACTGCACTCCAGCCTAGGCAACAGAGTGAGACTCCATCTCAAAAAAAAAAAAAAAAAAGAAAGATTATATCATTGATTTAAACCACTACAGAAGCAGAAGATACGAGGCTCTTAAGATGTTTTAAACAATAGTTGTTTAAAACATAATAGCACAGCTATGCTTCCAACACAAGTTTAGTTATTTGTTTTACTTGCTTTCTCTACTAGCTTAACGAAGAGCCAAAATGACGACAGTCATGTGTCACTTATCAATGAAGTTTCATTCTGAGAAATGTGTTGTTAGGCAATTTGTCATTGTGGGAACAAGGTAGAGTATACTTACACAAATCTAGATGGTATAGCCTGCTACACACCTAGGTTGTATAGTATAGCTTATTGCTACTAAGCTACAAACATGTACAACATGTTCCTGTACTGACTACTATAGGCAATTATAATATAATGGTAAGTATTTGTATATCTAAATATATCTAAACAAACATAGTAAAGGTAGAGTAAAAATATTATAATCTTATGGGACCACCATTATATATGCGTCCATCATTGACCAAAACATTGTTATGAGGTGCATGAGTATTTTAGTTTTGGAGGCTTATTTTCCCCTGATCACTCTATGTCAGAATAACTATGCAAATAAAATTCTTTTTAAGAGAAAGGTGAGATGGGAGGAAATTATTAGAATTGTTTGAAACTCTCTACTGGTCAATTTGAGAATTTAATAAATTCCTGCTTTTTCGCTCATTCCTTCATTCAGTTATTATTAATAGAATTCCTAACGTACACTAGGCATTGTGGTGAGCCCTGGAGATCTGATAGTAAATAAGACAAGTAGAGTGCCTATCAACTTACATTTTAGCAGGAGACAGACTCACAGATTATTTAGAGTTGTTGTCAGTGCTACTAGGAAAACTTCGAACATTCTATGATATTTATAGGTTTATTATATATTATATAACATAAGAGGAGACATGACCTAGTGGATGAGGAGAGGCTAAGAAATCTTCTCTAAGGAAGAGACATTTTATTTGAGACCACCAAACTAATACAAATTATAGGATCTACCTGGGGCAGGGAGGAGAACAAGGGAGCATTCAGACAGAAAGAAAAGCTAGTACAAAGGCTTATAGCAGAAAAGAGCAGACATAACATTTACAAAATGCAAGAAGCTAAAGGACTACAGGAGGTAAGAGGGGTGAATACCAGGTTATGTAGGAACTATGGGCCTTGGTTAAGATCTTGGGCTTTTGCCTAAGATCAATGGTAAGAAATGACATTTCTAGCAGGAAAGTCAAAAAATCTATGTACTTTTAAAAATGTATGGTCATATGTCTCTAGTACTTGTATTTGTAATTTTGACTACAATTTATTTCCCATGTGTGGCATGATTTTTAAAGGTGGCTTCCTCATTATTTCTCCCTTGGACACATGTCTCAGTCTGAACCAGATCCATCTCGTAGAATGCAGTGCTGAAGTTAGTTTGTACCATCTAGCAAGAGCTGACTGTGCATATCTTGTCATAACTCTATGTTCAGTGGCATCAAGATGAAGCTAGAAATCAGTGATGGTGAAAATATTTACTCCATGGGAGTTGACAAACACCACAGAAAAGGGCTTTTTAAATTAGAGACCCAATGGACCAGCACCTAACAAGAGCTGTCTCTGGGGTCCAGTGATTGGAGAAATTGCCTAATCACAACTTAGACGAACAATGACCAGGATAAATTAAATTAAAGTATGCTGGTTCACGCCTGTAATCCTAGCACTTTGGGAGGAGGATCACTTGAGATCAGAAGTTCAAAACCAGCCTGGCCAACATGGTGAAACCCCATCTCTACTAAAAATACAAAAAAAAAATAAAATTAGCCTGGTGTGGTGGTGGGCACCTGTAATCCCAGCTACTTGGGAGGCTGAGGCAGGAGAATTGCTTGAACCTGAGAGGTGGAGGTTGCAGTGAGCCGAGATTGCACCACGGCACTCCAGCCTGAACGACAGAGCAAAACTCTGCATCAAAAAAAAAAAATAGAGTATGCATACATAATCCTATATATGTATGAAAAGCAAATGTATACAAAAATAATATATATACGCATAATATATGGATATATATAATCACATACATACATCATACATAGAGAGAGAGAGAGTTTAAAAAGAACTGCTTGCTCCTAGAGATGAAGGATTCTTTTATTCTTCATCTTACTTTCAAGTGTCTTGCAAGGTACTTGGCATATAGTAAATATTCAATAAGTATATATTTAATGAATGGGACAAAAGCTCTGCTATTTTGTATGTATACTCGTAGATCCTAACCACCACTACTCTTTCCAAAATATACACACAGCCAAAAAGTTAATCCCAGTGCATTCAGGAAGAGCTCAAAAACACTGTGTATGGGAAAAGCAATAAAGGTGTCTGGCAGCAGTCTTGAATATATCTATATGATTCATGTAAATATGTGTGATTTGCAATGCCATTTTCAAGTGCACTACTGATGTCTGGATCTATGAACTAAGAGATCTGATGTAAATTGAGAGCCATTACTAACTCAACTACTGAAAGATATCAAATATCATCTGCACTAAGCAGGCAACTTATCAGAAATTCCTACTGTTTGGGTCATTCCTAAATGATGCAGCAAAATATAGTTTCTCCTTCTTCATTAATTGGCAATGCTGCTTCTGCTGAGAATTTTCCACAGACCCTCTAGGAGGAAAAAGAAAAAAAAAGTCTCTCCTTTCTCCTCTGAGAGCATGATGCTTATAGTACTACATAGTATGTTTTATTACAGTGTACTTTTTAAAATATTAAATACATTTGCTAGTACAGATACATATATTTGTATATACTTAAAATTTCTTGATTATAGAAATTGTCTTTTTCACCTCATGATCTCTTTACAAAAAAAAATGTTGAATAGATAAAACATCTGTCTTTATGTTTAGCGTCTCTCCTTCAATAGATGAAAATTTACTAGGAACGAAAGGCCGTCTTATCCATGTTTGTACCCCAGTCTCTAGCAGAGAGTCTAGCAAAAGAAGACTTTGAAAAATTAATTGAATCAACGGATGGAATTGAACCAGATCTCCTTTTTCTGCTATACCTGAGAATATGGAATTTCAGCACTCCCAGATCTGCCTGCCTAGCTGAATTATCTCTTTTCATCCTTTCTCTTCTTTCCCTAACTCTAAAGTCCAATATTTTAAAAAACCATAAAAGCGGCTGGGCGTGGTGGCTCCCATCTGTAATCCCAGCACTTTGAGAAGCTGAGGCGAGTGGAGTTCAAGACCAGCCTAGCCAACATGGTAAAATCCCAACTCTACTAAAAATACAAAAATTAGGTGGGTGTGGTGGTGGGCGCCTGTAATCCCAGCTACTTGGGAGGTTGAGGCAGGAGAATTGCAGTGAGCCGAGATCACGCTATTGCACTCCAGCCTGGGCAACAAGAGCGAAACTCCATTTCAAATAATAATAATAATAATAAATAGAAAACCATAAAAGCAGTGAATAAACTAAACCATAGATTTAACTACCTGTGAAATTTCAGTCAAGTCAATTAATTCAGTTTCTTCATCAGCAAAACGCATAACCAAAGCTCTATTTAAAAAATAGCTTAAATTTGACGATTTGATTGGGCTGTTCCCATTAGAATGTGAAGCCACAATATGTGAAATGAACACTGAACCCCAGGGATTAATGGAGCATCCTTTGACTAGCTTCATGAGACCATCGGAAGCCTCTGGTAGGTTAATTTATTAGTTTTTATTAATATTATTAATGTATTAATGGAGCATCCTTTGACTAGCTTCATGAGAACATCAGAAGCCTCTAGTAGGTTAATTTATTGATCCCCCAAATTAGCCAGACTCTAAAATTTGTTAGTACTTTTCAATTCCCCCAAGAAGCTCATAAAATCATAGAACTCTATCATTAAAATGAACATTAAAGATCTTTCTTGATCTCTTTTTATATATAAAGATAATACCAGCATTTAAAGGCTATCTCATCTTATCTACTACCTAGGAGCACCTACCACAGTTATTACAGTGGATTTGTTACCTTTTGTTGACAATCCCACTCAAAACTATATATGGAATTCCAGCATGTAAAATAGATCAATAGAAATACTCCTGTTGAATCACAGTAGGGAACAAGTTCTCCCTTTCTGCCATCTTGTGCAAATCCTGATGGCCTTCTCCATATCTCAGGAGGCTCAATTACACAAGATTTTAAAATGCTGTTCTTCAAACATTGCTGTGAACTTATCTTCTAGCCTTTGTTTGAACACCTTTAGAGATGGGCAACTAACTTAACAAAGTTACTCAATTCAACATCTTTACCCAGTTTTGACTATTGCAAAAAAGACATTAAATACAGTATTGTGCTGAAATTTCATTCCTTGTAGTTTCTGACCTATTTTTATAATTATACTCTTGGGGTCATGTAGAATACAGTAGTCTGTGGTAGCTGACAATTTCTTTTTAAAATCTGCTCTGCCAGCTCTATATCTACTTTCTTCCATATGTTCATGGAGCAGGCTTGTTCCAATTATAGCACTGGATATATCTTGCAATAATGATTGCTTCGAAGCAGGGAAAGGAGAAATGGCCTATTCTGGGCTGATAACACACCTTCCCTGAGACTGATATAGATGCTGGTGAAATTATGTTCTTACTTTCCTCTAGGTCTGCTAAAACGAGAATGTCAGTAGTCAGATATCCTGCCACATGGAGAAAATCTGTCTGCATAGGAAAGAATGAGGTCAGCAAGCAAAAAAAGCAAAGATTAGAGAGAAAACGAAAGAATATTACCTGATGTTTTGAGTGCTAGGTTCCAGTTCTTCTATTTTGATTTGTATAATTCCTACTTCAATTTTTGTGACCTCACCTTGATATTCTTCTCATATATGTAAACACCAACAAAATTATTTTTACTATAGAAAATTTGAAATGTGTACTTATCGTTTGATGTCAAAGCATCCTGACTAATAATGAAAACAGTTCTAATATTTTCTGCTCCTTAAATCCATTAAAGTAACTGAACTGCAGATTATGTTTAAAAATACAGATGAACATAAGAAAATAAAATTTTGTTGTTTGCAACATGAATAAACCTGGAGGACATTATGTTTAGTGAAGTAAGCCAGACACAGACAGACAAATATTTTACTCTCTACTTCACTAAAATCAACCCTTTTAGATTCTACATATGACCTCACTCATATGATCTCACTCATATGTGGAATCTACAAGGGTTGATTTCAGTGAAGTAGAGAGTAAAATAGTGGTTACCAGAGGCTGGATAAGGGAAAGGAAAGGGAGAGAGGAGGAAAGGCTGGTCAACTGGAACAAACTTACAGTTAGATAGAAGGAATGAGTTCTGGTGTTCTTTTGTACAGCACGGTGATTATAGTTAGCAATAATATATTGTGTATTCAAAATAGCTAGAAAAGAGGATTCTGAATGTTCTCACCACAAAGAAATGATAAATGTTTGAGGTGATGGGTTTGCTAGTTACCCTGATTTGATCATTACACAATATATGCAAGTAACGAAACATCACATCATATCCCATAAATATGTACAATTATTTTGTGTTGATTAAAAATAAAACAAAATTTAATAAATAAAATTAAATTTAAAAATGTAGATAGAGACACTATTATCACTTAGACTTCCTTTGATTCTGAGGGGTCTCATTTCCCCTCTTTTATGTAGTCTAAACCACACCTCCTCAGCTCTCATGTATTTGAGATGTCTTTGGCACAAAGGGCCTGTTTTCTTTTACCTTTTCTTTACTTTATTAGGAAGACATGGCTCATTTGACTTGGCTACAGCACAGAAACCTGGGAAAGTCTCTCCACTTGAATTCCTGTTAATTGCAAAGTATCAGAAGGAAAATTCATTAAAAGGAAAGTACACATGTATCGTTTATTATTTAGTCTGCAACAGGCAAACTGCAGCCACGGCAGAACCCTACCATTCCCTACATCCTATACAGGAAGGACAATGCTTCAATGTCACTTGACCCCATGTGAAAAAAACTGTTTCTATTAGGAAGTCCTGTATTGGTTTTCCTCATATGACTCTTCTAAGTGGCTCTAGAATCTTCTTACATTCTTTAATTTCTCCAGCTATGTAGGTAATCCTCTTCCCTTCTGGAGAGCTTGGGATTTTATGAGAAAAAATCTAAGCCTTCCTGCTGTAATCTGGATAGATATTACATCCTTTCCAGTTAAAATACGTTAATGGGCCTTTAGGATAATCCAGCGTTTATTTCTGAATTCTCAAATTATCTCTCAGGAAACTTCACATTCCCCTTCTCTTTTCTGATCATAAGACTCTGAGAGAGATAGCAGTCTTGTTACAGAGTCAACTAAGTGTTCCTACTTTCGACTGAAGGCTGAAGTCCTTCAGTTTCCAACGGAAACCTTTTTACTTTCCCAGGACCTATTAAGACTGGCAACTATTCCCAGCTTATTCTCATGAGAAAATGAGAGAGATGAATGAAGACACTCAGAAAAGCCACTGTTGGGAAGTATTCCCAACCCATGCAACCATGTGGCTCTTTCCTTGAGTTTGCTTGAAGCACCTTAGTTCTTGTGTAAGCCAAATTTCTGTGGCTTATGTCGGTCAGGCTACATATACATCAAGAAGAGTGGGAAAGAACTAAGATTACGTGTGGACCAAACTCCTTTTATGAATTATGGTGAGTGGTTTGTATGAGTTATCTGTCATATAACTAAATGAGGATAGCTAAATATAAATGAAAACAGAATGCCTAATACCAGCTCTGAAAAGTTCCATCATTTGGAGTCTGAGCAAAGAAACAACCAGGAAAAGAGACTGAGATGGATTGTTCAGTGAGGTAGGAGCAAAACCACAATATGATGACCTGAAAACCAAGAGAAGAAAATGCTTTTAAAAAGAGGGAGTGCTTGTCAGGGTGGGGCGCTGTGGCTCACGCCTGTAATCCCAGCATTTTGGGAGGCCGAGGCGGGTGGATCACCTGAGGTCAGCAGTTCAAGACCAGCCTGGCCAACCTGGCGAAACCCTATCTCTACTAAAAATACAAAAATTAGCTGGGCGTGGTGGCAGGCACCTATAATCCCAGCTATTCGGGAGGCTTAGGCAGGAGAATCACTTGAACCCAGGAGGCCGAGGTTGCAGTGAGCTGAGATTGCGCTGTGGCACTGCAGCCTAGGCGACAGAGTGAGACTCTGTCAAAAAGAAAAAAAAAAAAAAAGAGGGAGTGCTGCCAAGAAGGATGAAAACAGACATGAAAAAGACTGGGAAAGACACTCAGTAATGTAATCAGATCATTTTCTGTTGAGTGTGAGGGCGTGAAGCCTGTTAGCCTGTTTGTAAACAATTAAAAAGGAGCAGACCAGGAAGTTCAGTCAGTAATATAAACAACTTTTCTAGAAAAAAGGGATACAGAGAATTAGGGTGGTAGCTGAAGGGACTGTGAAGTTAGGAAATACTTTAAATAGTTTATGTTTTCAGATAGGAAACTGTAGAGCTTGCGTGTGTGCTGTAGAGAGTAACCCAGCTAAAGGGAGAAATTGATGAAGCTGAATAAAAGGGAATATTGTAGAAAGTTTCCTAAGAAAGTTGAAGGACCAAAGTACTGGTGAAGTTGTTCTAAAACACATTGTAACAGGAAGAAAATCAAAGAATTCAGACACAAAAGTGGGGAAGTTGGCATCTTTGGTTACAAGAAAAGAGAGGGATTTCCCATCTGTTTGCTTTTATTTTCTCAGTGAAGTATAAGGAAGAGTTATCTGCTGAGAGTTTAGGTAGGCAGAATAGAAAATAAGGAATTAACGGGGGTGATATGAGGAGAGTAGGGAGAGGAAGAATGTTCTAAGTAGCCTACAATAGGAGGTTACAGATCAGGCTCGAGGAACTAACAAACCGCCAATGCAAACAGAGCACAATTAACTAAGGAACAATCAATTTACTATAGTATTAACGGAACCAAAAATGGTAAGAAGGAACTAACTAGGCCTTGCAGGTCACTGATCAGGATTTCGATCATTCATTAAAGCAGTATGCAGATACCCAAAAGTTTTCAGCACAGAGGTAATACGATCATGTACGCATTTTTAAATTATCACTCTTCCTGCAAGAAAGAAATACATTCAAAGAAGGCACAGGGAATTTAAAGGGATCAGTAGGAAATCTCTTGTCCATGTGAGAAACAGTGTTAGAATAATCTAGAAGGATGATGATAAAGTGGAGTGAGGTGGGTAGACTTGAGGGATATTTCAATGGTAACATTGGCTTTAAAATCCATTTCATTTCACTTGGTAAGACTTGTTTTTTTAAAAAGAGAATTGATATAAGTAGGATAGAAGAAAGAGAGTCTTTCTTAAAAAAAAAATTGATGTAGGTAGGACAGAAAAAAGATGTCTTCTAAGGTTCTGGCCAGTACATCTGGATGGAGGCTATTACCATTCACAGACATGGGAACCTCCCGAGGCTTAGTTTTGAGGATACAAACTTGTAAGTTTAATATCAGAATGTTCCATTTTTAGAATAATTAGTATATTGAAAGGTAGGATGTTGAATAGTTGTTGAGATATATGGGTGAAGAGAAAAAATGGGAAGTCCAATCTGAATACATGAAATGGAAGTTCTTTCAGGAAAAAGTAACAGTTCTGAAGAGGATTATGGCGATTTTGACAATCATAATATTAGCTAACACATATTGGGTGATTACAGTTTGTCAGGCACTGTGTCAAGGATTTTAATGTAGACTATCCCATTTAATACTCACTAAGCTCAAGAAAGTAAGGTACTGTTATTAGCTACATTTGCAGAAATGCAAGTGAGAAGAATAGTAAACTAAGACACATAGATGGTAAATTTGCAGCTAGAATTTGACTGTAAACTATTAGTAGAAGTGGGGGTCTGTATCACTGAAAGAGATACTAAGATAGCT
This sequence comes from Homo sapiens, assembly GCF_000001405.40. Lineage (NCBI taxonomy): Eukaryota > Metazoa > Chordata > Mammalia > Primates > Hominidae > Homo > Homo sapiens. Next base: position 121,859,850 of record NC_000008.11, on the reverse strand, counting down.
GATAAAATAGCCTTTCTTTAAGGTAGAAATTTCTCTTTAGCCACAGCTCTGCATAACTGCAATTAATGAAATTTCTAAACACTGTGCATGAGTTTACTTTGAATTTCTATATGAGTGTGTGTTTACCATAAATCACTGGTATTTTTAAGTTTTTAATAATGTATTTGTTTTTATTACAGAAGCAATAAATGACCATGTAGACAAAATACCAAATTTAGATAAGCATGGAAAAAAATTAAATAATGCAGATATTTCCACCGCCAAAAATGTAAAAAAGAATTGGTTATATTTTAATGCGTTCTAGCCTGCATGTGTCTGTACACATATATATCCATATTTGTGACAAAGTGGAATAAAACACATATATTTATTATAACCTGCTGTTTTGGTAATACATAGCAAGTATCTTTTAGTTATTTACACATGTTCTATTACTTAATAAACAAGTCAACTATCTGTTCCTGCGACCATAGCAGACAGTTGGCAGTTCATTTCCTCTTCTTTATTTTCATGTAACTAGTTTATAACTCAGAGGTATTTTCTTGTGGTTGGTGATGGGAGTGTGTGTGATTGTATGTGTCTCGGGATGGGGGCTGGCATTTTATGTCAAACTCATGTTCCACATACATCTAGAAGCAATTCCTAAAGAGGCCATGCATATTTATTTTCTAATTTCCTCTCTTGTTTAATCTTTTCTCCTTCTCATAACCTCTGATTTCTTTGTTCCCAGTGTCACTGCTGATGATTTGTAATGTTGGTGGCAAAGGAAGCAAAGCGTTTATTATTATTTTCCCTTGGGCTTTGCTTTGTTAAGGCCAGGGGATGTGTTGCTTTGTTTTCAGAATTGGGCTTTATGTATATTTTGTTAAATTCCCCGAAGTCCTCTAGACACCAAGGGCTGGAAAATGAAAAATGACTATTTTTGCTACCCTGCTTTGCCCAGGCCTGGAACCACCACATGTTTCTGACTTCCCAGTCTCTAAACTCCTCCTTTGCTGGCCATGAGCTGAGGGTCAAGCAGAGCTGTTGACTCTTTCTACAATAATCCCAGAGGCATACATGGTCCTGAATAAACAGAAATTTGTAAAAGTTACTTTAATTCACACATGGGCTCTTCAGTTTTTGCATAATTTGAGCCATAAGTAACAACAAAAAAGGGTGAGGGAAGTTCTGTCAATTCAGCCAAAATGATTAGTTTCCTCCACACCAAATATTGACATTTTGGAAGAGTCCAGGCAGTTGAGATAATTTGTTTATTTTTCATACAGATGTTTGTCATGCAGATCCAGACTGTAATGATTCTTACTTTATTTTATTTTCTTTAAAATATAAAATCAATCCACACAGGGTTATTAAGTATTTCTTGTACAAAAGACACTGTGCTAAACACTATGGAAGTATGTATAAGGCAACTTGGTGTGGTGAGAAAAGCAATCAAACAAAAGAAAACAAAACCTAAAATCAGAAAGTCAAAGACCTGCTTTTGCCCCTTAAAAGTGAAGAGAGCACACAAGTCAATTACCTCTGTAATCTCTACTTCCTTCCCTGCCTTCTCACAAAACTGTTATGAAAAATGAATGTGACAATGTGTATTCAAGAATTTTATACACTGTGATGTTCACACAAATGATAGTGCTTGCCAATTATTTGTAAAATATTCTCCCTTAACCAGAAGAAACCTATAGCCTAGTGAAGGCAATCAGAGATAACAAATTCAAGAATTTAGTAACAATAAAGAGCTAAATAGTACCAGACAGAGACTCGAGAGATGTTGCAAGACAACACAGGATTAACTGTCAAAGAATAAAGGCTTGAGCAGAGAGAAACAGGGAGTAGTGTGAGCTAGAATCATCAAGGGACAAATGAAAGAGTTGCCAAAACACCATGCAGGCTCAACTAAGCTTTCAGACCAGGAATCTGCAGAAGGTCAAGTTAGCACAAAAATGAAGGAGTATCAAGCTTTAATTACGAACATCTAACATTTTGATAAACAACTTTCATAAGTAAAAAAATCTTCACAATTTCAGACCTTTAAATATTAATGTTGGAAAGGGAGACAAACCTGCAGAGATATCCCCTGAATCTAAAATAAATGTTGAAAATAAATAAATAAAACAATTTATTGGCTTTGAAACTATTCATATCAGATCGTTAATATTCAGTGTGGCTTACAATGTTATGACAGTGTTATCCAGTTATAAAAGAGAGAGTGACCAAGGAATCAGAGAAAACTGAGTTTGAATTCTGACTGCCCCTTTCCTATTGCATTCATGACCTTAAAACCCAGAAAGACATATCTAGGAACAAGCCCAGAAAGTCATACTTACCTCATGGGCTATTAGGAGTTAGCAGAATTAACTAGGCAAAGGATGAGCTTTGTGTGGGGGTGGGTGGGAATGTGCCATAAAAAGAGGAACAGCATGCCCCAAGTCCAGAAACAGAGAAATGGTTTTGAGCATCAGCTGAAAAAAGACAAGGACAAGTTATCTGCATTTAGTGGGTGGGTTGCTATATCTGGAGGGACAGGAAAGAGCCAGGGTAGGCAGAGACATTGTAGGTCACAGTGAATATTACAGACTTGATGTGAATAAATAGTCTCAAAGCCAATGGATTGTTTTACTCATTTATTTATTTTCAACTTTTATTTTAGATTCCTGGGGGACATGTGCAGGTTTGTTACAAGTGTATACTGTGTGATGCTGAGGTTTGGGGTATAATTGAACCCGTCACCCAGGTAGGGAGCATAGTACCTAATAGGTAGTTTTTCAACTCTTTCCCTGCCCTCTCCCCACCTTTATAGTCCTCAATGTCTGTTGTTCCTATCTTTATATCATCTGTGTATAACCACTGTTTAGCTTCCACTTATAAGTGAGAACATGCAGTATTTGGTATTCCATTTCTGCATTAATTTGCTTATAATAATAGCCTCCGGCTGCATCCATGTTGCTGAAAAGGACATGATTTCATTCTTTTTTATGTCTGCATGGTATTCCATAGTGTATATGTACCACATTTTTTTATCCTGTCCACCACTGATGAGAACCTAGGTTGACTGTCTTTTGCTACCGTCAATAGTGCTGTTGATGTCTTTGCTATTGTGAATAGCATTACAATGAACATATGAGTACATGTGTCTTTTTGGTAGAATGATACATTTTCCTTTGGGTATATACCCAGTAATGAGATTGCTGGGTTGGATGGTACTTCTATTTTTAGTTCTTTGAGAATCACCAAACTGCTTTCCACAGTGGCTGAACTAATTTACATTTCCACTAACAGTATATAAGCATTCCCTTTTCTCTGTAGCCTTGCCAGAAACTGTTATTTTTTTACTTTTTCATAATAGCCATTCTGACTGGTGTGAGATGATATCTCACTGTGATTTTGATTTGCATTTCTCCGTTGATTAGTGATGTTAACCATGTTTTCATATGTTTCTTGGCTGCTTGTATGTATTCTATTGAGAAGTGTCTGTTCACGTCTTTTGCTCATTTTTAATGGGATTATTATTATTATTATTGCTTGTTGATTTAAGTTCTTAATAGATTGTGAACATCAGACCTTTATCGGATGCAAAGTTTGTGGATATTTTCTCCTATTCTGTAGATTGTCTGTTTACTCTGTTTATAGTTTATTCTGCTGTGCGGTCTTTGTAATTTAATTAGATCTCACTTGTCAATTTTTGGTTTTGTTGCAATGGCTTTTGAGGACCTAGTCATAAATTCTTTGCCAAGGCCAATGTTCAGAAGGGTATTTTCTAGGTTTTCTTCCAGAATTTTAGTAGTTTCAGTCTTACATTTATGTCTTGAAGCCACCTTCAGTTAATTTTGTATGTGGTAATGGGTAAAGGTCCAGTCTCAGACTTTTGCATATGGCTAGCCAGCTATCCCAGCATCATTTATTAAATAGGGAGCCCTTTTCCCATTGCTTATTTTTATAGACTTTGTCAAAGATCAGTTGATTGCAGGTGTGTAGCTTTATTTCTTGGTTCTCTATTCTGTTCCACTAGTCTATGGGTCTGCTTTTGTACTAATATCAGGCTGTTTTGGTTACTGTAGCCTTGTAGTATAGCTTGAAGTCAGGTAGTGTGATGCCTTTGGCTTTGTTCTTTTTGCTTAGGATTGCTTTGGCTACTTGGGCTCTTCTTTGATTCTATATGAATTTTAGAATAGTTTTGTTCTATTTCTGAGAAAAATGATGCTGGTAGTTTAATACGAATAGTGTTGAGTGTGTGGATTGTTTTGGGTAATATGTCCATTTTAATGATATTGATTCATCCAGTCCATGGGTATGGAATGTTTTTCCATTTGTTTGTGTCATGTATTATTTCTTTCACCCATGTTTTGTAGTTCTTCTTGTAGAAATCTTTCCTTTCCTTAATTAGCTGTATTCACAGGAATTTTGTGTGTGTGTGTGTGGCTACTATAAATGAAATTGGGTTCTTAAAGTAACTCTCAGCTTGAACATTATTGGGGTATAGAAATGCTACTAATTTTTGTATAGTGATTTTATATCCTAAAACTTTACCGAAGTCATTTATCACGTCTAGGAGCCTCTTGGCAGTCTTGAGGGTTTCCTGGGTATAGAATCGTATCATTAGGTAGGAGAGATACTTTGAATTTTATTTCCTATTCAGATGCCTTTTGTATCTTTCTCTTGCCTGATTGCTGTGGATAGGACTTCCAGTACTATGTTGAATAGGAGTGGGGAGAGTTGCCCTCCTTGTCTTGTTCCAGTTCTTACGGGGAATGCTTTCAGCTTTTACCCATTCAGTATGATGTTGGCTGTGAGTTTTTCATATATGGCTCTTATTATTATTTTGATATATGTTCCTTTGATGCTTAGTTTGTTGAGGGTTTTTATCCTGAAGGGATAGGGATATCAGATTATATTGAAAGTTTTTTCTGCATCTATTGAGATGCAGTTTTTGTTTTTAATTCTGTTTATGTGGTGAATCAAATTTATTAATTGTGTATGTTGAACCAATCTTGCTTCCTAGGCATAAAGCCTACTTGATCATGGTTAATTAACTATTTGATGTGCGCTGGATTTGGCTTGCTAGTATTTTGTTGAGACTTTTTGTGTCTATGTTCATCAGGGATATTTGCCTGTAGTTTTCTTTTTTCCTTGTGTCTTTGCCAGATTTTGGTATCAAGATGATGCTGGTTTATGCAGTTAAGAATGAGTTAAGAAATAGTACCTCTTCCTCAGTTTTTTGGAATAGTTTCAGTAGGACTGGTATCAGCTCTTCTTTTTCTCTCTGGTAAAATTTGATTATGAATCCATCTGGCCAAAGGATATTTTTGATTGGTAGGTTCTTTATTAATGATTCAACTTCTGAACTTGTTTTGGTCTATTCAGGGTTTCAATTTCTTCAATCTTGGGAGGTTGTATTTTCCAGGCATTTATCTATTTCCTCTAGATTTTCTAGTTTGTGTTCATAATAGTTTGTAAGAATCTTTTGTATTTCTGTGGGATTAGTTGTAATGTCATCTTTGTTGTTTTTGATCATGCTTATTTGGATCTTCTCTCTTTTTTCTTTGTTAATCTAGATAGCAGTCTATCAATCTTGTTATTTTTTCAAAAAACTAACTTTTCATTTTGTTGACCCTTTGTATGGATTTCCTAGTCTCAATTTTTTCAATTCTGCTCTGATTTTAGCTATTTCTTTTCTTCTGCTAGCTTTGGGGTTAATTTGTTCTTGGTTTTCTATTTCCTCTAGGTACAATGTTGGATTAGTAATTTGAGATCCTTCTGTCTTCTTGATGGAGGCATTTAGTGTTATAGATTTTCCTCTTAACATTGCTTTTGGTCTATCCCATAGATTTTGGAATATTGTGCCTCTGTTTTCATTTATTTCAAAGAATTTTTTTTATTTCTGCCTGAATATCATTGTTTACCCAAAAGTCATTCAGGATAAAGTTGTTTAGTTTCTGTGTAATTGTGTGGTTTTGAGAGATTCTGTTGGTATTCATTTCTATTTTTATTTCATTATGGTCTGGCAATACGCTTGGCATGACCTGAATTTTTTTAGAACCTATTGAGATAGCCATAAAGGCTAAGCATGTGGTCAGTGCTAGTGTATGCTCTGTGTGCAGATGAGAAAAATGTCTATTCTGTGAGTGCTGGATGTTGTATTCTGGAGCTGTCTATTAAGTCCAACTGGTCAGATGACAAATTTCAGTCCAGAATATCTTTGTTAGTTTTCTGCCTCAATAATCTGTCCAACTCTGTCAGTGGGGTGTTTAAATCCCCCACTATTACTGTGTGGCTGCCTGAGTTTTTTCATAAGTCTTGAAGTACTTGTTTTATGAGTCTAGTGTTCCAATGTTGAGTGTGTATATATTTAAAAATAGTTAAGTCTTCCTGTTGAATTGAATCCTTTATCATTACGTAATGCCTTTCTTTGTCCATTTTTTACTGTTGTGGGTTTCAAGCATGTTTTAGGACGGCGCACTGGCTCACACCTGTAATCCCAGCACTTTGGGAGGTTGAGGAGGGTGGATCACAAGGTCAGGAGTTCGAAACCAGCTTGGCCAACATGGTGGAACCCCGTCTCTACTAAAAGTACAAAAATTAGCTGGGCGTGGTGGTGTGCACTGGTAATCCCAGATACTCAGGAGGCTGAGGTAGGAGAATTGCTTGAACCCAGGAGACAGAGGTTGCAGTGAGCCAAGACTGCGCCACTGCACTCCAGCGTGGGCGACAGAACAAGACTCCATCTTGGATGGATGGATAAATAAATAAATAAATAAATGAATAAATAAAGTCTGTTTTATCTGATACAAGAATAGTGACTCCTGTTCTTTTTTGTTTCCTGTTTGCCTGGTAGGGCTTTCTCCATTTCTTTACTTCAATTCTCTGAATATCATTACATGTGAGATGGGTCCCTTGAAGACAGCAGAAGGTTGGGCTTTGTTTTTTGTTAATCCAACTTGCCACTCTGCTTTAATTGGGGGCATTTAGACTCTTTACATTCAAGGTTAATATTGATATGTCACATTTTGATCATGTTATAATGTTGTTAGCTGGTTCGAAGACAATGGATTGTTTTACTGCCATGGGAGGGCTGGTGGCAGTAGGGAAGGACTGATGTTTGCAGGTATGGGAGATTGCTTATCTTGAGGGAATATGTGCTGTGTACTTTTTTATCTTGGCATATTAAAGCTGAAAAATTAGGTCCACTTAATGTGTTAGGCTAAGTTTAGGATTAAAAATAATGCTAATTCAGTATTTATTCCCACTAATCTTTCAACTTGCTTTGGTTATTTCCCATTCTCTGAAGTGACGGTTTGAGCTTTCATCTCTTCTCTTCAACCTTGTTGGAATACAGAGTAACCTGGATTTACAGACTTGAACTACTAAGACATGCATTCAGAGATCATTATAAAGGATGAACTTCCATTATTTCAAGAATCATAAGCTCAAATCAAGGAACTTTTTGATTTATTGGGGTTAAGGATTAAGGAGCTAGATAGAGAAAGAGATCTATATAGCTATACGTTTATATATAGATCTACACATCTGTAAAGCTATAGCTAAAGATATATACACCTCTCTCTCTCTCTCTCTCTATATATATATATATCTGCCTATCTATCTATCTATCTATATCTATCATCTATCACCTGCTCTCCAAGCATCAATTTCTGAACTCCCATTTTTTGTTGCCTTCACTATATAGAATGAAAAATCCAGCAACAACTGGGATAACTAAACAAACAAACAAACTTTGAGGCAGGGCCCAGAGGCCCTCAAACCAAGGCAAGCTGGGCCTCATCTCTGATTTATGCAGTTTTTTCACTAGTTAGTTTTCCTTATAGTTAAAAATTACATTTCATCTTGTGTGTGTTTTAACAACTCCCTTAGGGGATAATGAGCAAGAAAAATTTTATATTCTAAAATATGAACATAATCCCTTAGCAGATAAGCGAGATGAAGAAATATGGATTCAGGAAAGGTGGTGTTAAGTCTGTGAACAGATGCCAGCTTCCTCATAATCAAAAACGCCTGAATCAGGAAGCAAGTTAAGGTTTGTGATGTTTATTGCAGAATTTCCATTTCTAAGAGAGTGATTAACATACTGCCAAAAAATATTTAGCACATTGTTTTAAAAAAAGTAGGGTGAGATTATGCCCCTAACACCTACACATTTTCTGATCTAAGCTGGAGTTGGTATAAAAATCCATGAGATGAATTAGAATTTTTAAACCAAGCAGTAAATTATTATCCAAGTCATATGCCTCTTTTCTTTACTTTCCATTCTCTTCTGGTTTCTTGGTGCAAAATCAGCTATATTAGAATAAACTGAAAGCAAAAATGGAATAACATATGAGAAACAGATCACATCCAAGATACATGCTTGTCATATTCTGTCAAAGATGTAATATTAGCTAGCAGTGCATAAGCTAAATCAAGAAGAAAATTCAAATTGCACGCATTAGGGACTGGGATGCTAAATGGAAAATATGCAAGAAATCTCCATGCATATTAAGCATGCCATCATTGTCTATCTCCCCTCTTTTTGTGTCAGGGTCACAAATGAGAAATTATTCCAGACTGCCAAAGCCTCCCAAACAATGTTAATACCTTAATGCTCAGGAAACTGGAGTGGAAGTTTCCATTTCTCATCATTGTTTTCAGCCTTTTTTCTTTTCATCCATAAAAACTTGTCTTAAGGGTTTTAATTTCTTCTCCAAATATGTCAGCCAAATGGACCTATCACCTAACATGCACTATGCATGATGGTTAGGAACTTTGAATGTGGCACTAATGTACCTATATCTGAATTTCCCTCTGCAATTGACTATATAATTGCTCAACTCTTCTGTGCCTCAGTTCCTTTTCTGTAAGAAACAATGATATGAGAATAATATGTAGGGCTAGTGTGAGGATTATGTCAGCCATTATGTACAAACGAATTAGAATAGGGCTGGTCATATACTAAGCATTGTTAGTATTATTACTATTACTCCAGTTCTTGAATGTGAAGTAATTAGGACAACCAAATATGTTTGCAAATAACCACATTTTCTAATTGATGAAACCAAAGTCCAGGGTGATGAAGACATCTCTGCCAAGTTCATTGCATAAGTAATGTAAACCCAGGACTCCTGGATCCCAGACTGTTTCTCCTCTTCTTTACCAGTTTGTCAAATTGGAAAACTTTGTAATGAGATTCCATTGGTGAGATTTAGAGATAGCTATTCTTGAATTTAAAAAGAGTGGCAAAACTTTGATATAGATGATTATAATTTTTTGCCCACTTTTTACGTATGGGGTGCTTTAAGTGAATTATCTATAATCTTACAAGGTAAAAATTGGTTCATATGATACAAATGAGTAAAGTGAGACATCAGGTCAAGGAACACATAGGCAGCTGTGATCCATATCTTTTCCAATATACCTTCAACACAGATAGGAGCAAGGAAAAGAGAACTAGTGTATTCCTTGAACCTTCTGATTTGTTTCCTGTTATCTTTATCCCATTGTAAAAGACTTTATAGATATCTGCCTTTAGTTTTAAAGCATTATTAAGAGGAATAACCTAACAGTCTTAGAATTAGTCAACACCCAAGAAAGTAAACACTGGGAGGAGAGCCAGGTATTCTGTGATCTGAACTTTGCATTACCGTGGCAGGTCATCAACCTGAATGTTTTCTTACAGGCTTTTATGCACTATTCACGCTGGGCTCTGGCTTGCTTGTTCACCTTTCCTTTGAGAATTTAAGACTCGCTCTTGCTACATACATACTTGTCTATAAGCCATATTTTTTCTCATTCAGGTTAGAAGACATTATTGACAGGATATGTATCAACTCAATATTTAAGTCAGCCTTTTTTTAAAGAAACTTCAACATTTGTTCACTAAATATACTAATCTACTCCTAAAATGTGAAAACTTTTGCTAGAATTATTGATTTTACTTTCTTTATCTTTACTTCTTTTAATTCTAAACTTTTAGCCCCTTTTTTGTTCATTGAGTAGTGGATGCAAACTCAAAACAATGATCAATACAGTAAACAAAAGGTAGATGGATGGAAACAGAGATAGAAAGAGGGAAATAGTCTTCCTAGTCACAACACCAAGTGAGAGGCAATGAGTTGAAAACAAGCTATGAGATAAAAGGGGCTTTAATGGTATGCTTTCTTTGGTTGATTTTGTGTTAGCTCTGGAAAGAACTTTGTAACAGGTAATTTGAAATCTCACTGAATTTATAACTAATCATAAACATATTGGCTCAAATAGCTCAGGCATAATAAATCCTCCAAGTAGGATCAATGGTTAGACATTCAAATTGGTAATTTAGTAGATTTGAAGATAAAGTTAAGACCAATATCAAACAGCTGGGCACAGTGGCTCACGCCTGTAATCCCAACACTTTGGGAGGCAAAAGTGGGTGGATCACTTGAGGTCAGGAGTTCGAGACCAGCTTGACCAATATGGTGAAATCTTGTCTCTACTAAAAATACAAAATTAGTTGGGTGTGGTAGCCTACGCCTGTAATCTCAGCTACTCGGGAGGCTGAGGCAGGAGAATCACTTGAACCCAGGAGGCAGAGATTGCAGTGAGCTGAGATAGCGCCATTGCACTCCAGCCTGGGCACTCCGTCTCAAAAAAAAAAAAAAAAAGACTAACATCAACTGGATAAGACAGACTACATATGTCTGATTAAATGACCCATGAGTAGTTTGCTCTTCTTAGCTTCTTAATGAAACAAGCAAAACAACCCTGAGCATTTTAAACCCTAGACCCTTCTTTTATCTAGCACCAGTACTACTTTTTACGTGACAAAATGAATAAGAAACCTACATTAAATAAAATACCCCAGAGGTCAAACGATGTCTCAGTCCATTTCATTAGGATAGTAAAAGATAAAGGATTACAAGACAGATGCTTGATCTAGAAATAAATCCAGACACAAAATGTATGCAGTTGGAATTTTCCCTTTGGCTCCTCTTTGTCTGCCCACAATCTCTATATTGGTGTTTCCTGGGATTTTCTTCTCAGTTTTTCTCTCTTCTGTTTACATGGTTCCCCTGCGGATGAACTCTATGCCTGTGACCCACAAAGCTATGACTCTGTCTTTTGTTCCTGACCTGTTTGAATAACAGGGCATCCCTACCTAGATGCTCTACGTTTATCATCCCCTAAACAATACCCAATTCTCTTTCTCCCCAGTAGTTTCAGGATCATAAAACTGTAATCGTATCATTCCTATACTTAAAATAATACCACCATCACTTCACAATGCCTTTAGAATCAAAAGCCAAGCTCCTTCTCATGGTCTACAAAGGGTCTGTATGATCTGGCCTCTGGCTGCCTCCATTAACTCATCTACTCTTCCTCCAAATAACCTCCCACATGCCATAAAGGCTTTATTTCGTTTGCAAACATGTCAAAGACCATGCCATTTCTAGGCCTTTGAATTACTTTTCTATTTGGCTGGATTTTTGTTTGATTTTGTATCACTTGGGCAATCAGAAAAAAAAAATTGATAATAATGTTTAATATTAATGAAAGAGTTTGGGTTGTATAAGGTACCCTGTGATAAACCGTATACATCTCTGCTCTGATGTATAACGTCAGGTCATACATATTTTATTTTATTAATATTATCACTGTAAACATGGAAAGATTTCTTGCTTAAAGTCAGGATTTAAAATGAATCATTGTGTAATGTTCCTTTTTGTCCCTAGTGATTGTCTTCGCTCTAAAGTCTGTTTTAGCTAATATTAATATAGCCACTTTAGCTATTTTTAATGTTTGCATAATATACTTTTTCTACCCTTTTAATTTCAATCTACTCATGTTATATTTAAAACGAATTTCTTGTAGACAGAATACAGTTGGGTCATTGTTTGTTTTGTTTTATAAACTCTGCCAAGGTCTGTCTTTGTATTGGTGCATTAATACCCTTTATATTTAAAATGTTTATTGATACATTGGGTTTAAGACTGCCATTTTATATTTTGTTTTCTATTTGCTCCTTTTATTTCTCTTTCTTCTTTCTCTTTACTTTTTGTAGGTCACTCAAACGTTATCTAGCATCTCATTTTGATTTATGTAGTGTTTTTGAGTATATTGCTTTGTATAGTGTCCTTAGCCATTGCTCTAGGTATTGCAACATACATACATGACTTATTGCAGTCTACTAGTATTGACATTTTACTACTTCCAGTGTAGTGAAACTTTACTTCCACTTTGGTTCCTTTCCCTTCTCCAATTTAAAAATATAATGTCTTAACTACTTATTATATAAAATATAATAAATATATAAAATATATTAAGATATTTAATATAAGTATACAAAATGTATTATATAAAATATATTATAAATATTATTATATAAAATATGATGTCTTGACTATTTCCTTTACATTACAACATCCAAAATATGTTGTTATAATTTTTGCTTTAATCATCACATATGATCTAATAAACTCCTGAGGAGTAAAATAATTATATTTCTCCATATTTTTACCCATTCCTTTGTTCTGTCCTCTCTGAAGCTCCAAGCCTTCTTCAGTTATCATTTTCTTTCTGTTTGAAAAACTTTCTTTAGTCATTTTTTAAGGAAAAGTCAGCTGATAACAACTTATCTTAGTTTTTCATCATCTGGAATTTTTTTTCCTTTTATTGTTAATGAAGTAAATTTTTACTGAATGTAGGATTCCTTTTCTTTCAGTACTTGAAAAATGTGCCACTTAATTCCAGCCTCCATGGTCCGAGATGAGAAATCTAATGTCATTCAAATAAGTGGTCCCCTATAGATAGAGTCATTTTTCTCTGGCTACTTTCAAGATCTTTTCTTTGTCTTTATTTTCAGACATTCAGTTACGATAAGTCTTGCTCTGAATTCTTTGGGTTTCTTTTACTTGTAGTTCAATCAGCTCTTTGAAATCTGTAGGTCTATGTCATTTGCCAAATGTGGGAAGTTTTTAATTATTACTTCTTCAAATAAATTTGCAGTCCTACCTTCTTTGTCTTCTTTTTCTGACACATGGATGGTATAAGTAATAGATATTTTGTTATGGCCCTTGAGGCTCTGTTCATTGTTTTTCTATTTTCTCTGTGTTGTTAAGATTAAATAATTTATATTGTTCTATTTTCAAGTTACTATTTTTTCCTTTATTATATTCACTCCACTATCAAGCCCACTCAGTGAAATTTTAAAATTTATTTATATTGTATTTTTCAGTTCTATATTTTCCATTTATTTTTTATTTCTCCTATATTTTGAGACAATTTTCTATTTTTTCAAGAGTATTTGAAATTGTCCATTGGAACATTTTTATGATGGCTGTTTTAACATCCTTATTAAACAATTTCAACATATGATTCATTTCAATTAGAATCTCTTTTCTTTTCTCATTTCTTGATAAAAGAAGTTATTTCTCATCGTCTCCTGGATATTTGGGTGTTATTCTAAGAGACTCTGGACCCTATTTAAACTTTTATTTTAGCAGGGAGACACCCTGTTTAGACTTAGCACACAAGTCCCGACCTGCTTCTGTGAGCTGCGGTTTCAATGACAATTTAGTTTTCAGAGCCCTTGGAATGCTATTCTGTTATCCTTGGTGACAGTCGGGCTCTGGCTCCATTTTTCTACTGGTTCTGTCACTGGCGAAAGAATGTGTTCCTTGCACCTGGTGCTGCTAGTTTGAGGGTGAGGAGGAAATTGTGGGCCTGTAAGGGTGGAAGACTCTTCTCCAGGTTGCAAGGTACTCCTGCTTCGTCCCTGTTAGTGAAGGGAGGAAAGGATCTCCCCAGGCTGCATGATGAGGGGCTCAGACGTCATTTCACTTGGCCTGCTCTACAGGCTGGCTGATGTCAACTCAGCTCCCACTTGCTCTCTGCTCATGTTACTGTGGAGAACTGAGCCCATTCTCCTCCTAAGGGGAGCACCGGGAAATGACAGGCCTGACATCTTCCACCAATGGGTGCAGAGTCAGAAGACAGAGGATCATTGTGCTTTTACTCAAGTCCTGGACTTGGTTCCTCATCAGTTCACTTTCTTCTGTCCACCTTTCAGAATTCTCTTATTACTGTCCTCTGTATTATTTCCATGTGTTTTTAGTTGTACTTAGCAGGGAGAAGCAGGGGAAATGAGTGTATGCCATTTCATCTCAAACCTGAAGCCTCAAAAAATATTTTAAAAATATCACTTGTCATTAGTCAATAAATCTCATTTCATTTCACACTTACAAGCATTTTTTTTAAATTCCTGGTTGAAATTTGTCTTCTCTTGCACCAAACCTGAAATAATGATCAGTCTCTTAGTTTAAAATGGTTAAAAATTCAGAAATGTTAAGTAGTAAGTCCATGTAGCATAGGACATAGATTGTACACTTTGGAGTCAGACAAATCTAGGTCATCAATTCTCACATGCTATAGGTATACTATCTTTCATGAATCACTTGTCTATGTTCTCAATTTCATCAGCTGTAAAAAAGAGAAAATAACTACCATAAAAGATTATTATTATACCTAAACACACCATGTTGTACATAATAAATGTACTTAGCATTATCTGTCAATTAAAAAAAAAATTTGGCCGGGCGCAGTGGCTCACGCCTGTAATCCCTGAACTTTGGGAGGCCGAGGCGGGTGGATCATGAGGTCAGGAAATCGAGATCATCCTGGCTTACACGGTGAAACCCTGTCTCTACTAAAAATACAAAACATTAGTCGGGCATGGTGGCGGGCGCCTGTAGTCGCAACTACTCGGGAGGCTGAGGCAGGAGAATGGCGTGAACCCAGGAGGCAGAGCTTGCAGTGAGCCGAGATCGTGGCACTGCACTCCCACCTGGGCGACAGAGCCAGACTCTGTCTCAAAAAAAAAAAAAAAAAAATTAAGATTACTATTTTGATTAATTGAAATCATTATATAGAATGCCTCATGCAGGGCTAGCCATATAGCAGTGGAAAATTTAGCTGATTCTTTTGTAGTATTGTATCACCAATATTTTTACCTCTTTTGTTCTTCATTTTTATTACACACATCTCAAGGAGACCGCTTTTTCTTTAATAATTCTCTATTTTACAATATCCAGTATCTTATTTTCTACATACTATTAGGTTTGTGCAAAAGTAATTGTGCCAACCTAATAATAATGTCTTAAAGATTTCTTCCCCTGAGTGCTCCTCTTTGTAGCTGCTCTGTGTTTTTAGCCTCATTGCAACGTAAGAAGGAAGCTTTTAGCTGTTGTTATACAATTTCTATGTTGTGCCTAAAGGGAAGAGGACCCCATACTGAGCGGTGTGGGCAACATTACTCAGGCCTCTGAAGCTTGGGATCTTACTTACAAACCATTTTGCACTCATCATTGTTATGTAGGTCAGACACACTTCCCAAATATGACTCAATTCAAGTTTGGATTCTTCAATGAAAAAATATCTGAAAATCTGCGAATACTTCCCAGTGTGCTGAGAGAGCACCTTTATTTGTTATAGTGTACTTTCCCCCAGGGGTCTGTGGTCTGGGAAGGGAAACTAGAATACCCTGGATTATACTTAGCATTTTATAATTACTAACTGAAACCCAATCCAAGGCTTTCCAGGCACTTGCCATCCTTAACACATCTGGCCTCCCTTTTCCCTTTTTCCCTGGTCTGGCCCTACAAGAGGAGCCCTTAGATAAATAAACTGAAACGTGTATGTGGTCACCAAAAGATCTCTGCGGATAGCAGAATCTAACCAAAGCAACCCCGGGGCCTGCTGTGCCTTTGTTCACTGCCTTTCAGGGATGTAAGCAGCCAGGAGGTGTATACTGCAAAATCATTGCTGTTCTAGCTGGGTCCACACTTTCCCTGACAATAACTCATACTTGGGAATGGCCAAACAAGGCATTCTGACCATCTGCATTTCTGCAAAGAGAAAGATGTTATTATTAAATTTCTTGTCTTTTATATATATTTAAGCCAACATTGATTGAATCTCTGCTTAGTACTTGAATTATAGTATTTTAGATTTTACCAAAATGAGCAAAAAATCTGTAAAAGGAACTTATTTGCTGAGACAGTGTTTATGTACATAAAAAATGAAGGGAGAAAGAAAAATGAAATTAAGATATACTGAGCATCTACTCTGTAAAATAGGACAAACCAAATAGAAATAGTGTATTTGTCAAGCTAATTTGCAAAATGAAATCTAGATAGTGGAACTGTGGAGTTGGAATGCTGCTGTTTTAAGGAGGGATTTATTTTTAACTCTATTCTCAGGATGTAGATGATAGAAAATAATCCTATATAGGCCTAGATGTAGAGGAAGAGATGTGTGATGAATTACATGCCTAAAATGCAATAGGGCTATGCTAGCAGGTATCATTCCCATTTCACGGATGAGGAAGTAAATCTGTCAGAATCCCACTATCTTTAATTTATTCATTATCTCCTTCATTCATTCATTAAATATTTACCAAATGCCTATGTATTTGTTCCTTCTCATGCTGCTAATGAAGACATACCTGAGACTTGGTAATTTATAAAGGAAAGAGGTTTAATTGGCTCACAGTTCAGCATGTGTAGGGGGGCCTCAGGAAACTTGCAATCATGGTGGAAGGGGAAGTAAACATGTCCTTCACATGATGGCAGAAAGGAGAAGTGCTAAGCAAAAAGGGGAAAAGCCCCTTATAAAACCATCAGATCTCATGAGAACTCACTCACTATCACAAGAACAGCAGCCTGGGGGTAACCACCCCCATGATTCAATTACCTCCCACTGGGTCCCTCCCATGACATGTGGGGATTATGAGAACTACAATTCAAGATGAGATTTGGGTGGGGACACCAGCCAAACCATATCATTCCACCCCAGCCCCTCCCAAATCTCATGTCCTCACATTTCAAAACACAATTATGCCTTTCCAACAGCCCCCTTCCCCCCAAGTCTTAACTAATTCTGGCTTTAACCCAAAAGTCCAAGTCCAAAGTCTCATCTGAGAAAGGCAAATTCCTTCCACCTATGAGCCTGTACAAACAAAAGCAAGTTAGTTATTTCCTAGATACAATGGGGTACAAGCATTGGGTAAACACACCTATTCCAAATGGGAGAAATTTACTGAAACAAAGGGGCTACAGGCCCCATGCAAGTCCAAAATCCAGCAAAGCAGTCAAATCTTAAAGCTCTGAAATTATCTACTTTGACTTCCTGTCTCACATTCAGGTCACACTGATGCAAGAGGTGGGCTCCTATGGCCTTAGGAAGTTCTGCCCCTGTGACTTTGCAGGGTACAGCCCCACTCCAAGCTTCCTTCATAGGATGGCATTGAGTGTCTGTGGCTTTTCCAGGTGCATGGTGCAAGCTGTCAGTGGATCTACCATTCTGGGGTCTGGAGGACAATGGGGCACTCTCAGGCAGACCTGTGTTTGAGGTCTGGAGGACAGGTCTACTAGGGAATGCCCCAGTGGGGACTCTGTGTGGGCTCTCCAAACCCACATTTCCCTTCTGCACTGGCCTAGCCAAGGTTCTCCATGAGGGCCCTGCCCCTGCAGCAAACTTCTGCCTGGACATCCAGGCATTTCCATACATCCTCTGAAATCTAGGTGGAGGTTCCCAAACTTGAATTCTTGACTTCTGTGCACCCACAGGCTCAACACAATGTGCAAGCTGTCAGGGCTTGGGACTTGCACCCTCTGAAGCCATGGCTTGAGCTGTACCTTGGCCTCTTTTAGTCACAGCTAAAAGACACAGGGCACCAAGTCCTGAGACTGCCCAAAGCCACAAGGCCCTGGGCCCCACCCATGAAACCATTTTTTCCTCCTAGGTCTCTGGGCCTGTGATGGGAGAAGCTGCCGTGAAGACCTCTGACATGCCTTGGAAACATTTTCCCCATTGTCTTGGCAATTAACTTTTGGCTCCTTGCTGCTAGTTATGCAAATTTCTGCAGCTGGCTTGAATTTCTACTCAGAAAATGAGTTTTTCTTTTCTATTGCATCATCAAGCTGTAAATTTTCTGTAATTTTATGCTCTGCTTCTCTTTTAAACATAAGTTCCAATTCCAAACCATATCTTTGTGAATACATAAAATTGAATGCTTTTAACAGCACCCAAGTCGCATCTTGTACACTTTGCTGCTTAGAAATTTCTTCTGCCAAATACCCCAAATCATCTCTCTTAAGTTCAAAGTTTGACAGATCTCTATGGCGGGGCAAAATGTCACCAGTCTCTTTGCTAAACCATAGCAAGTGTCACCTTTATTCCAGTTCTCAACAAGTTCCTCATCTCCATCTGAGACCACCTCAGCCTGGACTTCATTGTCCATATCACTATTAGCATTTTGGTCAAAGATATTCAACTAGTCTCTAGGAAGTTCCAAACTTTCCCCCCTCTTTCTGTCTTCTGAGCCCTCCAAACTATTCCAACCTCTGCTTGTTACCCAGTTCCAGAGTCACTTCCACATTTTTACGTATCTTTATAGCAGCACCCCACTCTCTGTGGTACCAATTTACTGCATTAGTCTGTTCTCATGCTGCTAAGAAAGACATACCTGGGACTGGGTATTTATAAAGGAAAGAGGTTTAATTGACTCACAGTTCAGTGTGGCTGGAGAGGCCTCAGGAAACTTACAATCATGACAGAAGGGGAAGCAAACATGTCCTTCTTCATGTGATGGTAGGAAGGAGAAGTGCTGGGCAAAAGAGGGAAAAGCCCCTTATAAAACCATCAGATCTCATGAGAACTCGCTCACTATCACAAGAACAGCAGCATGAGGGTAACCGGGCCCAAGAATCAACTACCTCCCACTGGATTCCTCCCACAACACATGGGGATTATGGGACCTATAATTCAAAATGAGATTTGGGTAGGGACACAGCCAAACCATATCGGCATACCATATGCTAGGCATTAACTCCAGATGCTAAGAATTGATCAATGAGCATAACCAACAAATTATCTGTTCTCATAAAGTTTACATTCCACTGAAAAGAGACAAATAATAAATGACACAAGTAATATATAATATGTTGGATGGTGAGAAGAGATAAAGAAAGGGAAAAAAATGCCAACATGAAATGAGACAGAGCATGTTGTGGGGAAAAGTGATTTTAAATGGACTGGTTAAGAAATGTTCTACTGAGAAGGAAAAGTTTGTAAAAAAAAGACCTGAAGGATATGAAGGAGTAAGCCACATAGATGCCTGAAGAAAAGAAGTCAGGGCAGAGTGAAGAAAATGTGTAAAGCTCCAAACTAAGCGAGTTCTTGGTATGTTTGAGGAATACTAAAGAGACTAGAATAGTTGAAGCACAGTGAACAACATTAAGTACAAAGTAAGATTAGGAAGAAACAATGGGGCATGAGATCATATGGGGCATCATAAGCCATTGTAAGAACTTTGGCTTTTACTCTGAGGAAGATGGGTAGTCATTAGAATGAGGTGAGTAGCACAGTAGAATGACCTGGCTTGCACTCCAACCAGATCTCTTTGGCTGCTGAGATAGACTGAAGAAGAAGAATAGATTGAATAGACTAGAAGACTATGACTGCCAAGAATAGACTGAAGAACAGTAACAAAAGCAGGGAACTAGTTAGGAGACTTAATACAATAACTCTGGTGGATGGTGATTGTGTCCAAAGTCACACACATAGTAATGACAGACTTAGCATTCAGATCTTGATGTGTCTGACTTTCTACTGTTCAGTGTCACCTCCTCAGGCACATGGTCTGAGCAAAAGGTCACTATCAATGCAGGTTGTTCATTTTTTTCCATGTGTGGCCAAGACAGATGGTTACTCCAAGACCTGTGCTATTTTGGTCTTTTCTATTAGCTTATTTTATGAAAAAAAAATCAGAAAAAAAATTAGTATATTATTTACAAGAAGAAAAAATACATACATGTTATACTATGATTTCTTTAGCTTACCTTTATTTTTTCAAGCTTTATATGCTACTTTGTACAACCTGGAGAAATCTTGAAACAGAATATTTTTGACATTAGCCAAAACCTCAACTGAAATCCCTTCTGGACTCTGTTAAGTACCTTTTCTAGGTGATTATCAGCTCAGAAACATTGGTCCCTCTTCTCTTCCACTTAGGTTCCACTTAACAGCAGGAGCCATGGGGCTGCCCTTCACTTTATCTCAGTGAGAGAAGTGAGAAGGTAAAGGTCATTGTCTGAAAGTCAATTGTTTGGTAGCAACTAACCATATTAATTTATTCCTTCTGAAAGATATTTGTGGGGAAGGTGATTTGATTCAGTATGATTTCTCTCTCCAGAGATGGCTCTGGGATCCAGAATAGCATGCTCATTCACCCTATTTTGTCCATCCCCAAGACCCCGCCTTAAAATGGGAGAAAATTGTGAGTTGGATATCAGATTTCCTAGAAAAAAAAATGGAACTTGAAGAATGCACCTTAATATCCCCAGTAGATCCTTTTAAGGCCATTGACTTGGTCTACATCAGAGTCAAATGACAGCCAGGTTACTGTATTGGCACCACTTCAAGGAAAGGCCATGAAACCAATACATTTAGGAGTCTTTTTCATGTCCTAAATCATCAGGTTTCAACATAGGCTTAAAAACCAGACCTACACAATCAGAATCATTGAGAATGAACTCCAGAGTTTGTATTTTTAACAAAAATAGGTAAATCTGCTAAGCATCCATATCTGGAAACCTCTGGCATAAAGGACATGCCCAGGACTCTGTCTTCATGTTGGCCATTGGCAGCTCTCTAGAAAAATGACTTGAGTAGGGCTCAGAAGACTTAGATTCTACTACTGCCACCATAACATTTTTATCTGAATTGTATTTGGAATAGTTAGGAAACATTGGATGTTATTGTTGGAAACAAACCAAGAAATCCATTTGGCATGTAACAGAGGAGTAGATTTAGACCTAAACAGCATGAATGCCCATAACAATGAATTCATTTCAAAGGTGAAACTAGGGCCAAGTTTTACTGAGACCACCAAGTTTCTCTCTCTAAAATGGTAACACCTAGATTAACTTCAGTTTCTTTATCTCTAAAATAATGATGTCATACTTTTTCAGCCACCTCCACAGATTGGTTATAAGGACTGTATGAGAGAATCGATATGAAAAGCTATGAAAACTTCAATATGGAAGACAGATATGTATTATCTATATATGATGAGAACATGGGTGGTTGAACTTTGGGAACTGTCAGTACAATCATGGGCACCTCATAGCTGGATGGTCAGGAGTTATTGTAAATGGCAAGGAGGGTGGTTCCATTTCTATGTGAGCAGAGGACACTGAATCTGTGATTTGAAATGAGTTAAGTTGATACTTCAGTATCCAACTATGTGGCATTACAGAATCACTGAAGATGGCAGAAAGCACAAGGAGGAAAGGCTGATGACATCATTTAGAGGTCCAAAAACAAAAATTGTGTGAATCCACTCATAACACTCACATCATCACTCACATTTCCAACTTAATTTAGATAACAGCTCTGGCAATTCCATTTTCATCAAAGTATATGCTGATTTACTTTATTCTCACCACTTCTTATGTAAGTGCTTATTTAAGACTAGAAAATTTCTTTGTAAAAACATTGCTAATAGGAGAAAATGTTGAAAATGTTTCAATTTTTATTTGCACTGGGCCATTGCATGTCCCCAGACTATCATTACACAAAGTCACAGAGGGCTGATATGATTTAAATGTTAAGATTTGAAGACATGGCTGGGAGTTACATGAGGCCTCTATTCATCTTCTGGTTCACCAAACATTTACTAAGCCTAAATTATGTCAACACTGCTCTAGTGTATACAGCATAAAACTCCCATAAATGGGAGAGCCCAAATCCTGCTCCCATTAATGGCTGGCAGAGGTATAGCTATGAAGACTCTCATAAGTATATATTTTTAAAGCAGTTGCTATTTATTGAGAGCCTACTATACGACTGGAACTGTATTAGGAAATATACATATATCCTCAAGGCAATAATATTAAGTCTCTGTTTTTTATTCTAATTTTATGATGAAGAAAATGAGCAATAAACAGGTTGATTACCTTGCCTAAAGCCAACAACTGGTGAATGGTGAATACTGGATTCAAACCAAAATTGTTTGATTCTGAAGACCACTGGGGCCCTAACAAATCTTCTTTTGTTGTTTAACTAAATGTTTAATCAACTACATACAAGAAAATCATCATTTACACTGTTTAGTTTTGTTTGTTTGTTTGTTTGTTTGAGATGGAGTCTCGCACTGTTGCCTGGGCTGGAGTGCAGTGGTGTGATCTCAGCTCACTGCAACCTCCACCTCCCAGGTTCAAGCAATTCTCCTGCCTCAGCCTCCCGAGTAGCTGGGATTACAGGCACCCGCCACCACACCCAGATAATTTTTTGTATTTTTAGTAGAGAGGGGGTTTCACTATGTTGGCCAGGCTGGTCTTGAATGACTGACCTCATGATCCACCCACCTCAGCCTCCCAAAGTGCTGGGATTACAGGCATGGGCCACCGCGCCCAGCTAATACTAATTAGTTTTCATAACAACCCTATGAGCATGAAAGGTTGACTTTTGGGGGGTTACAGGATATAACTTCACCTAAATATAAGGCAAGAACATAAAATGAGTTTTCCAAGAAAGCCAGTGCAGATCTATGAGATATAAACATTGTTATTAGAGAGAAAAAAAAAAAGGCCAAAAAAAAAATCTGATCAAGAGGAAGCTTTCCTCCTTTCCTACAGAAGTTTTACTATATTGACACTTTCACTTTTGAAATGCTTAGTATGAAGAATAATCTAGCAAAATATCCCATTGTATTAGTCTGTTTTCATGTTACTGATAAAGACATACCCAAGACTGGGCAATTTACAAAAGAAAGGTTTAATGGACTTACAGTCCCACATGACTGGGGAGGCCCCACCATCATGGCAGAAGGCAAGGAGGAGCAAGTCACATCTTACATGGATGGCAGCAGGCAAAGAGAGAACTTCTGTGGGGAAACTCCCATTTTTAAAATCATCAGATCTTGTGAGACTCATTCACTATCACGAAAACAGCGCAGGAAAGACCCACCCCCATAATTCAAACACCTCCCACTGGGTTCCTCCCAAGACGTGGGAATTGTGGGAGTTACAATTCAAGATGAGATTTGGGTCAAACCCAAATGGATGATATGGCCAAACCATATCACCCATCTGCAGTGATCAGCATTAAAGCCATATTTTGAAAGAACCACATTTTCTTTAAAATATAACACAGACTAAAAACATATTTAGATGACTGTTTACAAACCTCAGGGTCTTTTCCAGAACACCATGTAGTTTTTAAAATACTAGATCACAAAAGGAGAAAGTAGGAAATTAACATGGAACGGACAGTCATGGAATCTGCATGCTAGTTTTAATCTAAATAATTTCTTCTTCCTAGCCCTCTTGTTTTTATTGAAGAGTCTTTAATTCTGTGAATTCTATGAATTGCAGAATCCTTTGAATGGGAAAACAAGTAATATTTTATATTCACAATCAATGAGGCATTTTCATTTTATTTTATTTCATTTTCATTTAACTCTTATAACAACCCTGAAATAATTGTTCACAATTTATAGATGAAAAATTAGAGTTTCTCACAAGTTCACATACCTGATAATGGGCAAGATGACACTCAAATAATTCTGGTCTTTTTTCTACTCTACTAGAAATGGGTCTTTTCCATAAGCAGTTATTGATTGACTAATTTGAGCAAGGCACTGTGTGTTTTCTAGATGACTTCAGAGATGGATTAGACATATCTACTTGCCTGCAGGAATCTGAAGTCTGATATAGGCAAATACTCACATAATTAAATTAGAAGTTAGAATGGTAAGTGTTATAATGAAAGTGGGAGTTTTATATTGGGAGAATCAGAGACATTTTGTCAAAGGGATGGATATTAGCATGTTTAAGTGAGTGGGAAGAGACATTCAAGATAAAAGTACCAGTGGAGACAAAGTTAAAAAAAAAAATTAAAAGGCATCGGTTTTATATGAGCAGTAGTATGGCTGGAGCTAGTGGTGCTTGAAGGAGAACAATGACTCACAATTATTTAGTTAAAGAAAGTTGTCTAAAAATTTGAATTTATTCCAAACATCTCTTTGATCATGATGATGATGAGGCCAAAAAGCTAGAAGAAACTTTTTGAGAAGTTCTTAAACAGAATGATTCAAATGCAGTACCATTCTCTGAAATATATTAGTTGCACCCACTGTAATTGTTCTGTGGTTTATAACTTACTCTAGAAAATTACTACAGCCTAACCAGTATATGGTGGGGGAGTGCTTGGAGGATGATGATAATTTTAATCTCTGATCTTCACCCTAGGGTTGAATACTTGGTCTAATTGGAAATGTACGCCCAAGACTTTGGATCATAAACCCTATCTTAGAGGCAGCTACCAGAAATGTATCAGCTCTTTTCATCTCCATTCAAGAACAAAGAGCATATTAGTTTATCTAATGGCTGTTAAAATGGGAGTTTAATTGGTGAAACTACAGCATAACAGATATGAGAAATGGGTATTGGCAAAATTAGTGGGATTCAATATACGCACATTGGCTAGAAATATTGCAAAGACACTGTCTTATTTTGCAGAAGTATAGAGGAATTCATTGAGTCAAGGAAGAGGGAAAAGAGCCATACACTTAATTTCTAAGCAATTCTCTGTCCACCTTCTGATTTGGACAATTCACATGACTCCAACCAGACTCTTCCCCATATCTTAGGGAGAACATGGTCACACTTGCCTCGGGTGACCCTTTTATTCGGGGTTCTACTGGAGCACTTAAAATGACAGAGAACTGGAATAAAATTTGCAACAGTTAGTTTCTGAACCTCCTGGATTAAGCAGAGTCCTTAGATGATGCAAATCCTGGCAGGCAACGTAAGAGATAAAAACGAACCTGCCTTTTCATGCCCTGGTCCCAGAGGCAAATCTATGCAAGTTAATGTTGAGGGAAGGGGTCCAAACTGAGCTGAGGGAAGGGGATAATTTAATAGCAGTATCTAGTACTTAGAAGGTATTCTTGGTGTGCTGTGCATTGCTTATGCTCTTCATATAGATAAGCTCATTTAATCGTTAAAATAACTTTGTGAGTTTATATTTTTATTGCAATTTAATAGAAAAAGAAACTGAGGCATAGAGAAGTAAAAAGTTACCTTAGGTCATTCATCTGGGAATTAGCAGGGCCAGGATTCAAATCCAAGCAGTATGTCCCTAGAGTCCTTAGCATTCACCCTACTCCTTCACATGCAACAGAATATAAAATTCCTGGGAGGTCTCTCTACATCTTTCCCTAACCAGAGAACCCAGAGGTCAGGTGCCTCTTCTGGAAGCCTGAGGTTCAGTAATAATAAGATTCCTTTAATTGTAGACATAATACAGGTTTCCAGTTTCAATGCATTTTATTTCACATGTCTGGGCTCACCTCTTCCTCACAATCACAGTGGGAAAAAGATAGAGAAATAACTGTTGTCCCACTTTTACAGATGAGGAAAATGCAACTTAGGGAATCTAAATACACTGTTCAATGCCACATAACTGGAAAGGGATAGGATAAAGATTATAACAAGTAAGGCCAAACGCTGTGGCTCACGCCTGTAATCCCAGCATTTTAGGAGGCCGAGGAGGGCAGATCACCTGAGGTCAGGAGTTTAAGACCAGCCTGGCCAACATGGCAAAACCCTCTCTCTACTAAAAATACAAAAATTAGCCAGGCGTGGTGGTACGCGCCTGTAATCCCAGCTACTCGGGAGGCTGAGACAGGAGAATCGCTTGAACCCAGGAGGCAGAGGTTGCAGTGAGCCAAGATCTGGCCACTGCACTCCAGCCTGGGTGACAGAGCAAGACTCTGTCTCAAAAAAAAAAAAAAAAATAGATTATAAAAAGTAGGCCTAGGTTGAGGAGGTGACAGCCCTCAGAGTCATCATCAGATGACACCTGGTGGCAACCTCAGGTGTCATTATCTCTTTTGCAATTTCTGTTATTTGATAATTTTCAGAAGAACTTTTCCATATGCCATATTATTAAATTCAGACCTCACATGCACCTAGACTGCATGCATGTATGCTGGCGGCAAGAAGTGTTATTTATCTTTTTCTGAGGGTGAGCAAACTTAGCCTCACAAAGGGTAAATGATGTTCTTAAGCCTGTAGAACTAGTTCTTACATTCTACTTAAGCCGGTTGAACTAGAATGTATCAGAGACAGGCAGAACTCAAATATTTCAACTCCAAATCCAGCCATAGGCTTGTAAATTCAGAGCTGTGATGTTACCGACGAAATTTATAGTTAAGTGTCTTCTGCATTTTATCTGTCTTCCTCTCTTTCTTTTCTTGGACTACTCCCATCACTCTTAAAATCCCTTATCCCTTTTGCTTCACTGTGATACTATTACTATTCAGAGCCAGAAGGGAGAAATCATTAAATATCCTTAGAACAGAAAGCATCTTGTCAAAAAACACATGTTGTGACTCTGCACCAAGGCAACACGGAATTGATGACGTGAGTGAAGGAATGCCTATGACTGTTTAGCAACAGCCTTTGATACACAGCTACAGAGTCAGCCATTAGGAGCAATGATGAGTTATCCATTGGCCTGGTGTCAGCATACTTCCCGCCATAATTGGCTTTTGAAACATTAACAGGAATTGAAGTTGCTGACCTAAGCAGATTGGTTGGAGAGGAAATAGAGCACCAGATGGCAAAATTTCTGATCTTCATAAACTCTTAGAACTAAGGAAAGTCTATTACACTTAGAATTTTGGTTTCTTCATCTGGCAAATGGGAGTTAAAGTAACTACCTTAATAAAAGACTGGACCGATCTAGGGCTGGTTTGCCTCATAAATCCTGAGTCTTTGTGACCCAGTGATAATTCTGCACAGCACCTTGGCCTTTGCCTTAGCCTTTTCATTGAGGATGAGGTGATTTATGATAGAATTTGCATAGGCAAACAAATCCCCAGCTCAAGCTGCCTGCCCTGAAGTTTCATGGTTCACTAAGGATTAAGATTCTTGGAACTCCTTCTGGGTGGCTACAGGCTATGACAGATATACTTTCCCACTTAGTTTCCTGACTGTGGTAGGTATCCCTTCACTTAGTGGCATGATGAAGTTTGACTCTACCCAGGAGGAGTGAATTAAAGATTGCGGGCTGTGAGCGCCATGTTTTGTGTAACTTAATTGCAAGGGGACTTTCTTTGGGGAAAACATTTCTTTTTCTGCAATGTGAAATAGCTAGTGCAGGAATTACAAATGACCAAAGACAAGACCATGACCAATCTCTTTGGCTTGTAGAGATTATCCAAGAGTAACGAACTTTCCTGAAAGGATTTGAGTGATTACGGAAGAACCTATTGATGCTACTTCATAAATAAGACAATAGAATAGATTCATAGGGTGACAAAAATCTCAGGATGGCAAGAGAAATAATATTTGAATCCCTGTTTAATATTCTGTCTATCCAGAGCACATCAAATGTATATTGAAACTTGGGGTGATATGGAATACAACAAAAATGAGGTAGATTATTCTTTCCTCAAACAGCTCTGTTTGGTAACAATTTTGTTACATCATTGATGTGGAATTTTTTTCTCTTAACTTTATATCCATTTGAGTCATGTAAAACAACTCAGATAACATTGACGTGACAGCCCATTTTAGACCTGTATGATTTGAAGATACCGATTATGTAATCCATAAATTTTTTCATTTTATTTAAAAGTTCAGCTGAGTCCACTGCTCTTCATATGACATGAATAAGCCTCTTTTTTAAAAGTCATATATATAATGTTATATACATATAAAACATTCAACCATATGTCAGATTTATATGTACATATAACAGAATAAGAAGGAAACCAAACACACAATTTCATAGCTCTTAATCCAGTATCGATTCTATTGTTACCTTTGCTCACTTAGCAACTGAGAATCTTAAAGTTATTTCTAGAATGTTGGAATACTATAATTAAAAGAGATATTAGAAATAATCTGATTTTTTCCATATCTTTTGATCACAAGACAGTGAGCCTCTAATCTCACCTTGAAACTCAGCTGGTGTTCCTGACAACCATGCATCTAAACTCCCTGGAACTAGGATCTCTACTACTATTCTTTAGCTAGCAACAAAACTGTAAGACATCATGCTTTACATAATAAATGGTTGTCTCTGATTGATGTACACCCATCTGATGGCAGAGATTCATTGTTTTTATGATTTTTTAAAAGAATGTGGCTATGTAATTACAGCACATTACTGCTTAATCAAATTAAAAGCAATGGAGAAAAAATTATGATTATGTCAAGGAAACATATCTAGGGTTTGGAAAAGGAATCTGAAAATTATCTAGTCAATCTGCTGTTTGAGTGAGCTACACCACATTCTGGCCAAATGCTGAACCAGCCTCTGTTTGAATCTCATGATCAGAGGTGACTGTATTCTGGGCAGTATGCAGCAGATTTATATGCTCTAGTTATTACAAAGTGCTACCCAAGACTGAGTGAAAATTGTCTCCCGGAGATTTTTATTGAGGGAACCTAGTTTTCCTCCTTGTCATTCATAAACTATTCTATTGTCAACAACTTAACTACAAAATCAGAACATCATTCTAGAAAATTGGCCCCACGCTGATGCTGGTCAGCTGGGTAAATTATAGGTTTCTGTATGGTCAGCATGCAGGAGTTATAGTGGCCTGTCACCACCACTAGCAGTGTGATTTCTGCAGGAGCCACCTCATTATATGGGAAAATGCCCTCAAAGGGTAAGTCTGTTTCTTGTCCTGGCAGACCTGTCACATCTGATGTTAGAGGAAACAGCAGCAAAGAATTGTGGCTGAAAGAATTGTAAATTTTGCCTGTGGAGAGTCACTGAGGGCAATTCTCCTGAAAGGGATTATTTGTCAACTGTGGTAAGACTCTTTGTTATTAGAATTTAATTGATATTTGCTACTGGAGACGAAAGCTGAAAACAGGATACAAGGCAAGCAATTAAATGTCTTTTATAAAGTGTAGTTAATGAGTTGTCAAATTTGGTAGAGATTATTCCCTGCCCCCGCTTTTTTTTTTTTTTTTAAATTGTAAAGATATGGAGGGCCGTCTACTATCCTGGGGAAATGTCAAACAATCGCAAGAAAGGAAAATTAAATCCAATAAGGCCAGGCAACTTTTGTGCAATAACAAGAACAAAAAAATGGGAGTCAGGGGACCTAGAAGTCTAGTTCAAATTGTTTAATAGTTAACTGTACAATTCTCCTTTGGGGCTCTTATTCTTTCATCTGTCAAAAGTGGTGTGGACTAGCTTATTTCTAGGACCCTTCTAAGTACAGTATTCTGTTTATATTCTATACAGTTATAGCATACATACAGAATAGCATAGCAGATATAAATCAAACATATCTAAATCACAGAATTCTAGCATCCCCAGTAATTAGCTATGCAGTCTCGGTTGAGTTAATCAACTTCTGTAAGTACTGATGTCCTCCTTTGCAGAAAGGGAGAGCATATGCATATCTCACAGGGTTTCATACTTGCACATTATTTGCTAAAAGCCCTGGAAGATGGAACGTGATCACCAAACGCTGGCTATTTTTATTAATATTCTGTTCCATGATCTAGATTTTTTTTAAACTACAGCCATGTATCCTAACCACCAGAGGGCACTGCTTAGATAAACAGCTAGATTTCTTTCTCTTTTAAGCTAGATACACCTATTTGCCGCTTTAAGTAATGGCTTGCTGCCTAAAAGTTTCCGGTCTCCATTTCCATCTTAGGCCAGTCTCAGTGATTGTAGGTGCTGTGCTATCTTATTCAGTCTGGCTTTTCTACTTCCCACTGCAGTTTCAAGGAATCCCAGGTGATAGAGTGTTCATTTAGAAGGAAAAATAATGAGCAAAAATGTATTGAGTATCTACCATGTGTTAGTCATTGTGTTAATCATTGCAAACATAAATATCCATTTTACAGA
This sequence comes from Homo sapiens, assembly GCF_000001405.40. Lineage (NCBI taxonomy): Eukaryota > Metazoa > Chordata > Mammalia > Primates > Hominidae > Homo > Homo sapiens. The sequence continues at coordinate 121,829,934 of NC_000008.11, read as the reverse complement.
TGGGAAAAATAAAACTCATGCACATTAAGCTCTTTGCCTAAAGTCAGACAATCCGTAAGTGGTGAAAGTATAATTCAAAGCCATGGCTGCTTGACTCCAAAAGCTGTGCCCCTTCAATTTCATCAATGCTATATTGTGATTAAACAACCGGATATTGATTATGGAACAAGCAGAAATGTCCATTATCTCCTCTACTATTTAATATTGTCAGATAAATTAGCTAAAATGGTAAAGTCCTAAAAAGCAAATAGAGGCAAAAGAAAAGATAAAACAATTTCTATCTACAGATTATAAAATTATAACTCTGGAAAACCTAAATAATTATTTATTTATTTATTTATTTATTTTTAGATGGAGTCTCGCTGTGTCACCCAGGCTGGAGTGCAGTGGTGTGATCTCTGCTGACTGCAAGCTCCGCCTCCCAGGTTCACGCCATTCTCCCGCCTCAGCCTCCCGAGTAGCTGAGACTACAGGCGCCCACCACCATACCCGGCTAATTTTTTGTATTTTTAGTAGAGATGGGTTTCATCATGTTAGCCAGGATGGTCTCGATCTCCTGATCTTGTGATCTGCCAGCCTCGGCCTCCCAAAGTGCTGGTATTACAGGCGTGAGCCACCGCACCCGGCCCACCTAAATAAATTAATATGAAAACTAGTAAAATAAGATAATTTATCAAATAGAGGGTATAGGCTGGGCACGGTGGCTCATGCCTGTAATCCCAACACTTTGGGAGGGTGAGGCGGGCGGATCACGAGGTCAGGAGATCGAGAGCATCCTGGCTAACACGGTGAAACCCCATCTCTACTAAAAATACAAAAAATTAGCCGGGCGTGGTGGCGGGCGCCTGTAGTCCCAGCTACTCGGGAGGCTGAGGCAGGAGAATGGCGTGAACCCGGGAGGCGGAGCTTGCAGTGAGCCAAGATTGCGCCACTGCACTCCAGCCTGGGCGACAGAGTGAGCCTCCGTCTAAAAGAAAAAAAACAGAGGGTATAAAATTAGCATAGAGAATTGACTTTCAGATATACAAACATAATCTAATGGAAACAATAATGGAAGAGCAAACCTAGTTTATAATCGCAACATAAAATAAAGCATAAAAGCAACATAAAGTAAAATAAAAAACTTGTGCATAAACTTAAAAGAAATGTACAAGACCTCTATTAGACACACACATGCTTAAAAGATGAAAAGCACACTATTAAATAAAGAAAAAATATTCTATATTCTTCAGTAGGAGGAGTCAACTTAATAAAGATGTCAATTCTCCCTATGTTAATTGTTCAATGTAATTTGATATTGATGATAATATTCTCCCCTACCTTCCTGGAATAAGAAAACTTGATCATAACATTCATTTGAAAAAATTAAAGAAAAAAGAAGAAAAAGAAAAAGTTGAAAAAGAAAAAGTGAGACTAGCTAGAAAAGCTGTAAAAATGAGAAGTAATGAGGAGTGGCGCTGATTCTTACGGTTCATGAAACATATCATAAAGCCTTTTGACTCAGTGTAATACTGGTGCACAAGTAGACTGACGGAATGGAATGAAAAATCCAGAAAAGAAAAAAAATACATGTGGAAATTTAGTACATGATAAAGAAGGTATCTCAAATCAATGGGGAACAATAAGGACTTTTAAATGGGCAGACAACTGATTAGCCATGAGTACATATACAAATTTGGATATTTTTTATACCTCATAAAGGGAAAGAATTCCGAATGGTTTGATATTTAAGTGTAAAACTAAGGCCATACAAACACTCGAAGAAAACACGGATGCTTTTCTTCATAATCTGGAAGATAAAACATGATGTTGATGTGACCAAGCTCCAAATGCCCTAGAGAGATGCTTATTCTTTCTTTTTTAAAAAAGTTTTTTTTCAGCCGGGAGCCGTAGCTCATGCCTGTAATCCCAGCACTTTGGGAGGCCGAGGCGGGTGGATCACCAGAGGTCGGGAGTTCGAGACCAGCCTGACCAACATGGAGAAACCCCGTGTCTAATAAAAATACAAAATTAGCCGGGCGTGGTGGCACGTGCCTGTAATCCCAGCTACTAGGGAGGCTGAGGCAGGAGAATCGCTTGAACGTGGGAGGCGGAGGTTGCCGTGGGCTGAGATCACGCCATTGCACTCCAGCCTGGGCAAGAAGAGTGAAACTCCATCTCAAAAAAAAAAAAAAAAAATTTCTTTTTCTGTAATTGACACATAGTAATTAGTAATTGTATATATTTTATGAAGTACATAGTGATGTTTCATAGATACAATGTATAGTGATCATATCAGGGTAATTTGCGTCGCCATCCAGGAATTTTTAAAGTATTTGCCATCCACCAAATGTCAAACTGAGAACAAATGTCTGCAATTTATATCATAAACAGATATTTCACTGATATATGAACAGTGTCTAAATATTGAGAAGAAAAACCAACAATCTGATAGAAAGAGTGCAAAAGATATGAATAAGACATGCAAATAATTCACAAAATTATTTTCACAAATATTTTTAAAAGTCAATTTCATTCATAATAAGAGAAATTCAATTATAACTACACTGAGATACCATTTCTCTCTCATCAGATAAAACATTCAAAAGTTTGCAGATATAATATTTGTCAAGGCAGTAGGGTATGGACACTCTTATACATTGCTGATGGTACTGAAAAATGACACAACTCAATGATGAGAAATTGGCAATATGTGGCAAAATTACATTTTGATGCAGAATTTCCACTTCTCAGAACCTATCCCAAAGATGCTTTGGCAAACCTATGAAAGGAGGTATGCCCAAGGATTCATGTTGCAGCACTATTTGTAAAAGCAAAAACATGGAAATCACCCAACAGTAAGTACATCAGCAATCAGCATGAGTTGGATTGAATATACTATGATATATCCACACAATGTTACAACATACAGCTACATAAAGGAATGAGGCCTGTATCTTCATTGTTTTTTCACAAGAATATGTCATTAAGGGAAAAAACAAAAGGCATAGAGAAGTGTCTATGTTAATTTTTATTTAAGGGAAACAAATACAAATATGTATTTATATCTACATAAATATATGCATATTTATTTGCAATTTTAAAAATAAATATTGTAAGAATAAACCAAAAGATAATAAAAATGGTTACCTGTAGGAGAAGGCAGAGAAGAGGGGGAAGGAACAGAAAGGGAAGACAGACTTTTTACAGCTTTGACTGTTAAACCATGGGAATATTTTCCTAGTTAAATAAACAGAAGTTATATCAGAAAACAAAATAAAAAACTGAAAGAAAAAATATACTTTGTCAAATTGCTCATATCATCAAATAAAAAATAATCAGTGATTTAAAAAGACAATGTGTTAACTGTACATCTCCACAAAAGTATATCTTAATGAAAAAAAATACAACAAAGGAGTCATACTTTTCACTCAGCAATCTCACTGTTAGTTACAATATCGGTAATATTATTTTGAAACACACACACATACAATAAATAAGTTCATGAATCAGCCATCATTAATAATCAAATTTTCAGTGAAAAAAAAGAGATACAAATGTAACACTAGGGCCTTAAAAATCATTTAATCTTGGGAACTGGAAATTGTACGCCTTTATTTCTCCTTTTTCTAAAAAGAAATGCATTGCTTCTGGGTTGTTTCAGTGGACAGAATCAGAAAAATATAGTTTGTTTTTTTTTCAGTAAACTAAATTGTTCAGAACCAACGGTAACATTTGGGAGATGCTGAAATATATGGGTTTAAAAACTTGTTGGATTTTATTGAGTGTCAATAGCAATATAAAAGAGGTATGAGATACCTCTTTCAAATGCACTGACACATGAAATAATGCCTCAGGGAGTGGCTAACCAAACAGGAGACCACCTCCAGGCACATCCTTCCAGGGTAGGGTGATGGAGGTCAGCTTGGGCAACTGCTATAAGACCATGTGAATCACTACCTCTGGCATATTTGCCTAATAAGCAGGCTGTCTTTCCTACTGGGCATTGGGAAGAATTTTGGAGCTAAGATATGGTATACCTGGATATTTGCATATTTGAATGAACCATTGTTTAGGTCAATCAAAATATGTCAATTGGTCATCTAATATTTCTCTTTTTTTACTGTAAGTTCTAGGAAGTGCTAAAATGAGGAAGATTGATCTTACTTACACAAAAGGTATACCATATATCTTCAAGATGGCAAGCCATTAGTGTTTCTAACTATGGCCCAGTGGAATGAGTACTCACGCTGCTGAGTGTTAGATGTTGCTTCTGAATTGTGATGTTGTATAATCTTGAACAAATTAATTGAATAAACATTAATTGAGTGCCCACTATATGTGAAGCACTATTCACAGTGATGGAGATTAACTGGAGAACAAGATAAATAAGGTCTCTGCCTTTATGGAGTTTATATTCAAGTACAAGGAGAGAGAAAATAAACATGAAACACATATGATTAACAATATTTTAATAAATTGTATTTAAAAAGAGCTGATGGAGAAAATGACTGGAGTTGTGGCGGAGGGATGTTAATTAGATTGGTTGGCCAGGAAAGATCTAATTAGCGAGTAAATGACAAGTAGCCAACCAAGGACGAATCTGGGAGCAGAAATCATTTTAAGAAAGGGAAATAATCTTCCCCAAGTCAAGAATCAGATGTTCTGTATCAAGGAACAAAAAGAATTGTGTGGCTAAAACATGGTAAGCAAGAGTGTGAATATCAGTAGATGAAATCAGGGAGGGAGGTAGGAAACAGATCCTGTAGGGTCCAGGAGTTTGAATTTAAGGAAAAGCTGTTGACAGGTTTTAAAAATAAAATTTGCTGGACAATTTTTTAAAGATTATTCTAAGGCTGCTGGGTGGAGAATGTTTGCAGGAAGACAAGAGTGGCTATTGCAGCAGGTGAACTGAGAGCTAATAATAGTTTGTACTAGAGAAAATGGAGATAAGTGAACAGAGCTTAACAGAATGGGACCAGCGTTGGTGTAGGTATCGAAAACAAAGAAGGATTCCACTATGATTCCTAGACTATTGCCTTGAGCAACTGAGTGGATGATAGCAGAAAAGTCCACAGCTCTCTTGTGTACCTTAGTTTTCTTTTTTTGGGAAAAGTTTCATTACATAGCTAAAATGCGTAACTCCAGATCTAGCATTTTGAATGTGTACAAAATGGTACCAACTACAATTTCAAGGGGAAGTGATAGTCAGTGAGAGATAACTATAAAAACTGTATTTAAATTCACAGAAATATATATATATATTTAAATGTCATAGTATTTTTAGGGCATTTGGATATTTGAAAAACTCTGTATGTTTGGTATTGTGAGGGCCAACTGGTCTTTTGCTGGATGTTTAAAGCCTACTAAAACTTTTCCTGTCTTAGAACTTTGTTCTTTCTGTTTGTTCCCTTGGCTGGACATTACATCTAGTTCTTTGCATGACTGATGACTGTCTGAATGAATGAATAAATAAATAAATGAAAGAAATAAGAATAGAAGGAAAGAAGAAATAAGAATAGAAGAAAAGAAGGAAGAATATAACTTCCTACAGTTTATATAAAGTATGACGATAAGTCAAATAAGGGCATTGATCTGAGAGGTATGAGAGTTTTGGGTTGTTTTTTCCCCCATTTGTCTTCCTTTATGTTATGGTTCTTTTCAGTTTTGAGTGGGGACTCAAATATGTTATGGAACCTTCATTAAAATATAATCATCAATTTGGCCGGGTGCGGTGGCTCACACCTGTAACCCTAGCACTTTGGGAGACTGAGGCAGGTGGATCACCTGAGGTCAGGAGTTCAAGACCAGCCTGGCCAACACAGTGAAACCTTGTCTCTACTAAACTACAAAAATTAGCCGGGCATGATGGTGGGTGCCTGTAATCCCAGCTACTGGGGAGGCTGAGACAGGAGAATCACTTGAACCCAGGAGACGGTGGTTGCAGTGAGCCAAGATCGCACCACTGCACTCCAGCCTGGGTAGCTGAGCAAGACTCCGTCCCAAAAAAAAAAAAAAAAAAAAAAAAATACATATATATATATATATATATATATATATATATATATATATATATATATAAAATCAATTGGAATGAAGGGAATGGTGGGTAAAATGTGCTCCAAAGAGGAAGCGAATGATAGGGAACAGACGTTTCCAAAGCATTCGATACTTGGTGAGGACTAAGCTCTGATTTTTTATATCTTGGCCAAATTCCTATCTAAGGGGTTTGGAGAGTCATGCCCTACAAACCATAAATTCTCATCTGATGGGTTTTATTTAACCCTGTATATTGGGACTTACTTTCCAATCTGACTCTGGCATAACAAGGAAGAAAATCAGAATATTTTACCCCAAAACATTTTTCTCTGCCACATCTTGAAATGGGCCTGCAAAGCCATCCTTTGTGGGGGACAATCTGCATCTGTAAAGAATCTCTATTAACATAGCTAGATCTTTTTCTTCCAGGCCCGCCCTATCCTGAAGAGATTAACTAAAAGTCTAGCACCTTTCAAAGATCTGAATAGGAAATATTTGTCATCTATTGTCTCCAAGGGCAGCCACTATAAGACTTCAAAAGAACCTTGGTCTCCACAATCATTTATCTTAACCTGAACATTTCCTTTCTGTCATCCCAGGTCTTTAGACAAACTCAACCAACTGCTAACCAGAAAATGTTTAAATTTACCTATAACCTGGAAGCCCCTGCTCCCCTATTTCTTAAATGTATTTGATTGACATCTCATGCCTCCCTGAAATATATAAAATCAAGCTGTACCCCGACCACCTTGGCACTCATATCTGGCTCAGAATAAATTTCTAAAAATATGTTACAGATTTGACTCTTTTTGTCAACATTGGTCATAACTTGAGAAGCTTCTCGACGTTTTGTCTGTGAGGAAAAGGAGCTGTCATCAGTCTTAGAAGAAAAAAGTCTGTCTGCACTCCTTGACAGTCATAACCTCTTGAGGAAATCCCCATCAAATCAAGAATACTATAAAAGACAACTGGAATTTCCCATCTCCTTTGGTATTATTTACATATCTGAGAAATCTTTGGAACTCAGTAGCTGAGGTTTCCTGAGTTTCAAGATATGAACACATTTCGGTTGTTATTTCCTAGAAATTTATATTTCTCTGAGACATAGCGTACTTTCTTCATTTCCGGGTCCCGGGTTGGTGGTTGCCTGGTGATTTTAGGGCATCATTAAAAACACATGAAGTAGCACTGGTGATTTTCTTATCTATGTTGCAAGAACTTCACTTGCTTTTTTAAGGAGGAAGGAGTTCTCTAAGTGAAGGCCTAGATCCAAAAGTGATACCCAAAGTAAAATCTTGGAAATAACCCAAGGTGGATATAAACATCCTTTGCAGATAAAAATGTCTAGTGCAAGTGACAAAACTTTTCTTGGCAGCCCTGTTTCATGTTCATCCCATAGTACAATTGCTTGTAAATTAGTGTGACCCTATTCAATTAATCTTTCTCAGTACAGATGATGAAGCCATGCACCATATTGTAACGATACATAATATATCATAGAGGTCCCTTTTTTTGGATCCAAAACAATAAAGAATTTTAAAAGTCTGTCAATGGCTTTATTTCTCTGGAATATATAGCCATTCTTATTTTTAATTTTTTCCAACAGATCTGAGGGCTTTGACATAAAAGTGAGGTTTCCAAAAACAGAGACTTGTCTTCAAATCATAAAAGATCTATTTCTTACTCTAGGACTAGACATATGGTAGCAGGATTGAAGAGGACTCATGTGCCTGCTTTTATATTTTTCATTTCTTACCTCTTTTCACTATTTCTTTATCTCACCACAGACTATGCCTATAATGCAGATACTGACTTGAGCCCTTTAAGAAAGAAAGATTTTATGCCGAATGTTGTCCAGTTAATGGACAATTACTCATTTTTTTATAGCAACACTGGACTAAAATCAGAACCATACTAAGCATCAGTAGAAAACTCTCCCATTTTTAAATCTATCAATTCTTTTAGTTGCCATGATTTCCTCTCCTTCTAATTCATACTTTCCTTCCTTGTCTGGAAACATACTGTATTAGTTTCCTACTGCTGCTATTTTAAACAATCCACTGATTTGTGCTTAAAACAATACAAATTTATTTCACAGTTCTTTAGATCATAAATCCAGATTTGTTCTATGGTTTCTCTCTTCTAGGTTTCACAAGACTAAAATCAAGGTGTCAGTCTGCCCAACCCCTATTAGTGAGATCCTAATCAATTAATCCTTCTCAGTACAGGGGAGATCTGGGAAGAATCTGCTTCTAAGCTTATTCAGGCAGAATCCAGTTCCTTGCAGTTGTAGGGTTAAACTCATCATTTCCATGTGTGCTGTTAGCTGGAGAGCATCTTATCTCCTAGAGGTTTATCCTCAGTCCTTGTAGGTGGGCATCTCACAGCCAGCAACGGTGCCTCTAATCCGTCTCACACTTAAAATCTCTCCAGCTTCCTCTTCTGTTACATCTCTTTTGCCTTTGTCTTCTGCTGCCTTTCTGACTCAGAGAAATTTCTCTGCTCTTAAAGTTCATATGATTAGATTGGGCCACTTGGATAAGCCAGGATAACCTCCCTCTGTTAAGGTTCATAACCTTAATTACATCTGCAAATTCCCCTTTGCCATGTAATGTAAGATACTGACAGTTTCTAGAGACTGAGGCATAGACATATTTTTGTGTTTGTTTGGTGGATAGACATTATTCTATCTACCATACATATTAAGTTTGGAGTTCTATGCATCTAATTCCTTTTTTAAATCGTGGATTAAGGAGGCAAAATTAAATCTGGATGCTAAGAATCCAGAGAACAGCTAGTATTTAGAGCATGGTTTTCCTCTAAACAAAGAGACAAAGCCAGAAAATGAGTGGAGGAAAATTAGGCAGATACTCGGGGTTATGGTTTAGGCCAATGTGATTCTCAAATTAGGGTGATCCATAGGCTCATGTCCACTGATGCTTGGAGTTTGCATCTGAATGGCAAAAATAAGGGGTAACAGGAATGCACTTGATTTTGTTTCTAGGGCTCACAACTTCCAATATTGACATTAATGTAGACAATATACTTGTTTTAGTCATAATTGATACCTAAGTTTGAAGATAGCTGAGTTAAAGACGGGTGGTGGACATCTGAGACTCTAACTCTGAGAATATGTGCCCAGCTGAATCACTTAAGGATAGATACATTCCATTTTTCCCATAGTTCTCTTAAATTAATTCTGACGTCATCAACTTGCTGATTATTACTAAACTTGTTTGGACTGGATAGTCTGAAACCTTTTTTTTTTTTTTTTTTTTTTTGAGACATAGTTTCACTCTTATTGCCCAGGCTGGAGTGCAATGGCACGATCTCAGCTCACTGCAACCTCAGCCTCCCGGGTTCAAGCGATTCTCCTGCCTCAGCCTTCCGAGTACCTGGGATTACAGGTGCGTGCCACCACGCCGAGCTAATTTTATTTGTATTTTTAGTAGAGATGGGGTTTCTCCATGTTGGTCAGGCTGGTCTCAAACTCCCGACCTCAGGTGATCCACCCGCCTCGGCCTCCCAAAGCGCTGGGATTACAGGCATTAGCCACTGCTCCTGGCCAGTGAAACATATTTTCTTAGCTACTTCCCATTCCTCTGGAGGCATGCTTTTCCCTAGAGTTATTCTCTTCTTCATTTTTCTCTGAAGAATTTAAAATCTAATAATCTGGGATCTACTGTATATCTGACTCTATCCTCGCCTTAATCTTAGGAGCCGTGGACAATCCCTGAAACAGTGGGTACTAGAGAAATAACAAATAACTGGATATGATATATTTCCCAAAGGGAAATGATCACAATTCTTTGATCACCAGAGACTGATACTTAAACCCAAAGTAGCAGCCTCCTCCTTTCATCAGCCTTCTTGGAGATGTGATTATCAAAAATGTCTTAGATCTTCTCGCGAGTGGAATAAATATCCCAAAACACGTCTCTGTGTCCTCTGTGTGGTGACAACTATTATCACTTTCCTATGCATTGACCATTTCTCTTATTTCCGATAATAGAATCTTGATTTTCCTTGGGAAAAAAATGTAGTCTCTACTCTTAGTCTATAGGATTAGGATAAAGCTGACCGTTTTCTGAACTCAATGTGTGAGCATTTGACTTACATTTGGCTAATTAGAGCCAATAAATTTTAATTCTCTATTCTTAAAAGTATAGAGAATAAAGAAGTTCTCCATCTGCTGGACTTCATTTGAAAGAATATGAGCCGGGACATTAGCAGAGTGGAAAAGGGAGTTTAGGAGCTATTCAATAAGGTAATCATATGCAAACAAAAGTAAAATTCAAAGGCCCCCTCAACCATCTGAATGGACTTTTTCCTAGGCCAGGGCACTTTTAAAATGTAAACTGAGAAACTGGTTCAGGCCAAGTCAGGAAGTGGGGGTTGAATATACCTCATGATACCTCTTTAGCGTTAACATCGACACAGGCCTTTAAGTCTGATAAGAAGCATTTACAATCTATTCTCTCTGAAGCCTGCTACCTGGAGGCTTCATCTGCATAATTAAACTTTGGCCTCCAGAACCTCTTATCGCAATCCAGACATTTCCTTTCTATGGATCCCAGGCCTTTAGATAAACTCAACCAATTGTCAACCAGAAAATGTTAATTTTAAATCTACCTGTAACCTGAAAGTTACCCCTGCCCTCTTGCTTTGAACTGTCCTGCCTTTCTGAACCAAACCAATGTGTTTCTTAAATGTATTTTATTGAAGCCTCATGTCTCCCTAAAATGCATAAAACCAAGCTGCTGCGCCCCGACCACCTTGGGCACATGTTTGTGGGCCTCCTGAGGGCTGTGTCACAGGCCATGGTCACTCATATTTGGCTCAGAATAAATCTCTTCAGATATTTTACAGTTTGACTCTTTTCACTGACACAGCAGAAGACAGACAGAGTCTTAAGTTCCCACAATGGAATTTGAGCCCCTGCATCTGAGACGGGAGAATTCCCTTAATCCCCTTGCAGGACTTGCAACAGGGGTGGCTCGTTTACTCAGCTCAATTCCCTTGGAGGAGTGGGGGGCACACAGGTGAGTGGGCGCAGGCGCTGGGGCAAGTGCCTTTGGGAACTAAGTGTCCGCAGGAACTAACCCATACTGCCCCCGGCAGTGTCTAGGTGTTGCCCACGACCTCTGGGGTCCCAGGGATCGTGTGTTACAAACAATGCTCTTTTAGCATTTGCCTTTTGCTGATGGCTAGGTGTTAAAACCAGCTCAGGGGAGGATCCCGGTAGCCTTTTACACCCTGCTCTCTTGGTACCCAGGTTCTTGTCCAGCATCCAGGAAGAATCAGGTCACAAGGACTTAAAGAATGGTGAATGCAGAGATTTTATTGGGCAGTGGAATGGCTCTCAGTGAAATGGGGAGCAGGAAAGGGGATGGAGTGGGAAGATAATCTTCCCCTAGAGTTCGGCTGTCCCTGGCCGAACTCCTTTCCAATCATCCCCGGCCAAACTCCTCCCCGATCCTAGTCTCCAATGTCCAGCGCCTCTTCCCTTCTGGATGTTCAGACGCTTCTCTCCTCTCCTTCCCTGCCACACCGCTCTGCTGCTCTGCTAGTGGAGCCTGGGGTTTCCATGGGCACAGAGTAAGGGGCGTGGTGGGCCAAAAGGCAATATTTGGATGGGAAAACAGGGATTTAAAGTTCTCATTTAGGGCCACTGGCCCAGGCTTGAGGGTGGAAACCTTGTCAGGGACCCCACCCTTCTCTTCTCTTCTCTTCTGTCCTTGTAAGGAATAATGCTCAAAATCCTAAGGAAACTGAACACTCGAACAAAGGATTCTTAGCAAAGCAATTTTACTTCTGCACAGAGGGGTGCCTCCTTGGCCAGTCGCCATGAGAGCACACCTGAACAAAGGGGCACAAGAGCCTTTATTCCTGATGCAAGTCCTGCCCCTGTACCCTTTCCCCACTGGCCAGGGTCCGGTCGTATAATCTAAACTAATTCCGGTTGGCTAAACATTTGATTTTTTTAGATAAGGTGGGCACATAAAAGAAAGTGGAGAGGAAAGGGGAAAGGGTGTCTGTAATGAGCTAGAAAGTTAGTCCTCTTTCCAAATAAGGAAAGGAATGTGAGCTGGTACTGATAACACCTGGTACTGAGGCATGCCTGGGCATCTAACAAATGCAAAAAGGGAAAAAAGGAGAAAAAGGGAAAAAAGTGGGGGGTACTATGAATTAAAGAACAAAAGACTGATCGCGTTATTTGAAGAGAAACCTTGTCATATCCCACATTCCCTCCCCTCCCTCCCCCTTCTCTTCTCTTCTCAGATGGAGTCTCACTCATGGGCCCAGCTTTGAGGGTGGAACCCTTGCCAAGGACCCCACCCTTCTCTTTTCTTTTCTTTTCCCTTTTCCCTGTTCCCTTTTCCCTCTCCTCTCCTCTCCTCTCCTCTCCTCTCCTCTCCTCTCCTCTCCTCCTCTCCTCTCCTCTCTTCTTTTTCTTTTCTTTTTGGAGATGGAGTCTCACTCTGTCACCCAGGCTGGAGTGCTATGGCGCGATCTCAGCACACTGCAACCTCTGCCTCCTGGGTTCAAGTGATTCTCCTGCCTCAGCTTCCTGAGTAGCTGGAACTACAGGCATGCACCACCATGCCCAGCTAATTTTTGTATTTTTAGTAGAGACGGGATTTCACCATGTTGGTCAGGCTGGTCTCGAATTCCTAACCTCAGGTGATCCACCCATCTCGGCCTCCCAAAGTGCTGGGGTTACAGGCATGAGCCACCACCCCTGGCCCCCCACTTTTTTCTACCTAGTATTTCCCTGCCTCCTGTCCATATCAGATCCAACCAACCTACTTTTAAATTTTTCAGCTTTGTGAGCCAAAGAATTTTCTTTCATGCTTAAATCAGTTTGAATTGGGTTTCTGTCACTTCAGCTATAGCATCCTGAGGGGATCTCATTATATCATGTCCTGTCCAAACGGTAGTTAGATTATTATACCTACATCTGAGTGCTCATCCCTGCTGCCTGATTAGAAGCATTCTGGGAGCAGCAGCCAGCTTTGTATAATACACTGCGATTGCCTTAGCTCCTGATCATTGCTGGACACATACACATCCTGTCCCCTGAAAATATACCTATGTATTTCAAAAATAAATGCAGAATGATTGATATTTTTCTTACTCTTTTTCTCTTCAACTGTATTTTTTAATAGTTTTTTGTCTTAATTGTCTGTATGGGTACTTCTTATCACAGAGTGATTAAAATAGAAACACAAAAGTCCCTAGAATCCATGAAGTGACTGTCCAGTTTTTGTTTTTTCTTTTTTTGAGATGGAGTCTCACTCTGTCACCCAGGCTGGAGTGCAGTGGTGCAATCTCATCTCACTGCAACCTCCACCTCCTGGGTTCAAATGATTCTCCTGACTCAGCCTCCTGAGTAGCTGGGATTACAGGCATGCACCACCACTCCTGGCTAATTTTTCTATTTTTAATAGAGACGGGGTTTCACCATGTTGGCCAGGCTGGTCTTGTACTCCTGACTTCAGCTCATCTGCCCGCGTTGGCCTCTCAAAGTGCTGGGATTACAGGCATGAGCCACCGCGCCCAGCCAACAGTGTTTAAAAATCATCTGGTTATCTGCCTGCCACACCATCACCTTCACTAAGACAAGTGTCAGGCCTCTGAGCCCAAGCTAAGCCATCATATCCCCTGTGACCTGCATATATACATCCAGCTGGCCTGAAGCAACTGAAGATCCACAAAGAAGTGAAAATGGGCAGTTCCTGCCTTAACTGAGGACATTCCACCATTGTGATTTCTTTCTGCCCCACTCTAACTGATCAATGTACTTTGTAATCTCCCCCACCCTTAAGAAGTTTCTTTGTAATCTCACCCACCCTTAAGAAGGTTTTTGGTAATTCTCCCCACCCTTGAGAATGTACTTTGTGAGATCCACCCCCTGCCTGCAAAACATTGCTCCTAATTCCACCGACTATCCCCAAAACCTGTAAGATCTAATGATAATCCCACCACCCTTTGCTGACTCCTTTTTCGGACTCAGCCCGCCTGCACCCAGGTGAAATAAACAGCCTTGATGCTCACACAAAGCCTGTTTGGTGGTCCCTTCACACGGATGCACGTGACAACAAGACAACAAAATCAACTCTAAGAAAAAGAAAATAAAACAAAGATTTGTGAAGTTTAATATATCAGCCATAATCTCAGGAAACTGTATTATAACTCCATTCAGCTATTGCATAAAAAATGGAGATTAGAAAATATCTGGGCAATTTAGAAGTCCAATGCGCTATCCATTGCGCAACAGAGCCAATATCTGGGCAATTTAAATCAAAATTTCCTCAGTTCTGAGGGAAGAATTTGTCAGAGAAGTACGGCTTGAGAAATTCATACTTTGGCTCACATACTGAATGCATTGTCTAATAAGGTTCAAATCTCTTTTGTTCTTTGTAGATAACAGATTTGCTAAACAGAACTGAAAAATTTTCTTCAGAAAAGAACTATTAACCTACAATACAATCTCTCTCATGAAAGTGTTGATGAAAGCCTGGGTTTCTGTTACCTTTTTGGACAGTCTACAGATCCCAAGTGTTATTATAACTCAGCCATGAATAACAGCCCCCTACTCACCCAAGAATCTTTGTGGATGAACTTCCAAAACACAACTATTTATTATTGGAATTTTGAATACTGAAGAAAAGGAGCCCTATTCCCATCATTAACTCATTAATTAAGCCCCAAATTTCTAAAGTCAGCATGTTTTTAATCACCTCATTGTATGCCTTTCATCCTGAGGCACAAAACAGTGCCCAGTACTCACATTTTTGCCAGCAGCCTTTTCTTTATTGGTGATTTTAGTTTTGTATGGGAAAAAGATGTGTTTGGGGATACTGACCACAGGGCTTTAAAAAGTACCCTTATGGTGTTTTATCAAATTGACAAATTGTTATTATGATTTATTTTCATAATAGTCCACATATTTTTACTTATCAGACTGAAGAAGGAAGGAGCTCACCCTCTGGAAGTATTGTACTACTTAAGACCACCTCAGACCCCCTTCAAAATACATCGATGTCCAGCCAATCAGAGCCCTACAACATCGTTTCCATGTGAGGAATGGCTAGTTAAAAGCACCCCAGTCTTCTGTCTTACATACAGAGTTCTCTTGTCTGCCAACATGAATGGTTGCTATCATTACATCAGCCTCCAGTGACTTCAATACATGAATGGCTAGCTTACGGTCCAAGAGTGGATGGGCTTTTCTGTCTTTTTTCAGAGGCATCTGCCAACCAATGGGAACAGGCAGACAAAGCTATCTTTAAGTATTCTGCCCCATGCAATGAATAGGCAATGCCTAAAGAGCAGCTCAAGATGAGGCTGTGAGAACATGAAGGATACCCATAGACATCTGAAAACCTCCTTCCAGCAAGAAAGCTCTTCTCACATACAGGAATGAAAGTAAACTGAACCGAAAGCAGAGCTGTGTCTACTTGACACAGGGAGCCTCCTTGAAAGGGAGGCTTAATAAAATGGCGTGGTGAAAACAATTCAAGAAGCTATAGGGATAGAAGGGTGCCTGTTATTTGTGAATGGCCCTGTTTACTCAAAGTGAGAATTCCCTAATATCCAGGAGGGAATTAACTTGGAAGACATAATATAAGAGCTCTACTTCTGCCTCAAGCACTCTTGTTTCCTTTATTTCATTTTAAACATTATTCCACTATCAAAAATAGTATCAGCTTATGGCAAATAACTAGACAAATAAAAGCATTAAGAAACAGAAACCTGTCTATAATCCTAGTGAACACAGGGAATTACTGTTATCATTTTTGGCACATTTCTTTTCAGTTTTGTTCCCATTCTTTTGTGTTTATCCAGATGACATCAGGATAAAAATATGAAAATATCCTTATTTTATACCTATGTTTTTATCCTGATTTGTTGAACTTTATATTATTAACCTCTTGTTCCATGTTATGACAAGCTTTTTATAGGCATCATTTTAATAGTAAAAAGTAATACTCATAATTTATAGAATTGTATAGACCTTCTGTAATTTTAATTGTATCCTCAATAAGGAATATTTTTATCTATAAACATTACAGCCAGGTGCGGTAGCTCACGCCTGTAATCCCAGCACTCTGGGAGGCCGAAGCGGGCGGATCATGAGGTCAGGAGATCGAGACCATCCTGGCCAACACGGTGAAACCCCGTCTTAACTAAAAATACAAAAATTAGCTGGGCGTGGTGGTGGGCGCCTGTAATCCCAGCTACTCAGGAGGCTGAGCCAGGAGAATGGCTTGAACCCAGGAGGTGGAGGTTACAGTGAGCCAAGATCATGCCACTGCACTCCAGCCTGGTGACAGGAAGAATCTGCCTCAAAAAAAAAAAAAATTACAAATCATGTAAAATATGGAAATAAACATTTTTCCCTAACTCCAACATAGACATTTTTGTGTCCCCCCAACATTTTGGTACTCCCTTCTAAGAGGACTGTCTGACTTGCTGTCACCCCCATTTGAGACTCACTGCCATAATCAGCCACAGGCTGAGGGCAGTGGGGAGTACTTAATTACAGTTGACCCTTGAACAACACAGGGGTTAGAGGCATCGACACGTTCACGTATAACTTTTGATTCTCCAAAAACTTAACTAAAACAGTCTGCTTTTGACTAGAAGCCCAATCGATAAGTGAAACAGTCAGTAAACACCTATTTTGCATGTTCTATGCATTATATACTATATTCTTACAATGAAGTAAGCTACAGAAAACAAAATGTTATTTTAAAAAATCATAAGGAAGAGAACATACACTTAGTAATAATTAAATAAAGTAGATTATCATAAAGGTCTTTACCCTAGTCATCTTCACGTTAAGGAGGCGGAGGAAAGGTTTGTCTTGCTGTCTCAGGGGTGGCGGAGGCTGAGAAAAATCTGCATGTAAGTGGATCCGCACAGCTCAAACCAATGTTGTTCAAGGGTCAACTATATATACTTCAGGTGTGTTTCATTAGGAGAAAATATGAAATCAATAGATCTATATAAAAAGAGGAGCATTAACTCTTAAGCAATGGAGACATAGTTAAAATAAGCTTTATAGCCTTTGGAGAAAAAAATGTTCATTGAGATGTATACATTAAAAGCTTTTCAAAATTGAAATCAGATTTTCTTCCTTTGGATTCAAAGACTGAACACATCAAAATACTTCAAAATATTTAAAACATTTCACACTAAACAAAGTAAAGACATCAGTTTATCTACTGCTTCTACTAATTGATGTTACATGTTTTATTTGGAGTTTTTGTTTGTTTGTTTGTTTTAGGGTTTTTTGTTTTTTTTTTTTTGAGACAGAGTTTTGCTCTTGTTGCCCAGGCTGGAGTGCAATGGCATGATCTCGTCTCACTGCAACCTCCACCTCCTGCCTCAGCCTCCCAAGTAGCTGAGATTATAGGTGCCTGCCACCATGCCCGGCTAATTTTTTGTATTTTTAGTATAGACAGGGTTTCACTATGTTGGTCAGGCTGGTCTCGAACTCCTGAACTCAGGTGATCCACCCACCTCAGTCTCCCAAAGTGTTGGAATTAGAGGCGTGAGCCACGGCGCCTGGCCTTATTTGGGGTTTTTATACGTTATATTTCAGAGGCAATAAAGGTATTTTCAGGTAAAGAAAGAACTAAGGATAATTCCGCCACTTCCCCTTATTCCAGCAAGCGCTCCACTGAATTCAACATCATGGTAATCAGCAAGTGGCCAAATAGTCCTTTACATTTTTTCTGTTTTCCCATTTGGGTAAGAAACGTGCTTTGTGAAAAGTACACTTAAATGACGAAGACAGAGAAGCAAAATGCTTGGCTAATCCCAGTGCACATGACCCATTGCCTGAAAATGGGAAAAGTGACCACAGGAATTTAACTTGAAATACTTCCTACCACCACTAAGCCAGAGCAGGGGAAGCCAACAGAATGAGGAAGTTCTGGTCAGACACACATTGACTCATTTGATATATTACTTCCTCATATAATATTCTTGTCCAGTCAGACACTGTATTGGTTCTCCTAGAAAGATACATAAAAGGAGGAGCCAAAATTCATGACTTCACAAAGTTAATGAATGCTCAAACACGGCCTTAGAATGCCCAAATTGACCAGAGAGAAGAGGAACCCAGGTTTATGGTACTTGTTAGCCACAGAGGAGGTGAAAAAGAAAAGTTGTTTGTGGACATTCTCACTTAAATGACCACATTTTTCTGATTATGAGATTTGACACTTGTTATCTCCGTCAGAGAGTAGGGTAGGTCCCTTGAATTCACACTGAAAATGCGAAAGCAGCCACATCTGGAAGACTTGGGCCCCACCCCAGGCTCATATTTACAATCCTTTGGCAGCCCAGCCCTTCTCTGAGCCCACATGGAAGCTGTCAGGGCAAAACCACAGAGGATTGGTGACGATAGATTGGATGCATTCAGGACTCCCCCAGATATGTGCCATTGATCAGTTCAATGCAATTGGATCCCTGATGCCAAGAAATCTGGAAATGAAAATACAAATTGTTTTCAGCCTACAATTTATCAGAAAATGGTTTACCTTCAAAGATGCCCAGTAGTTGGCTTCTGGCTAGAAGAAAGAATACAGATGGAAAAAAAAAATGCTGAAGGCTATTTTGTTCTCAAGTCTAGGGAACTTCCAAACATTTGAACCGTCTGCTTACGAAGAATTGCCTTACATATCACTGAGAACTTGCCAATACTTTAAAGAATTCAATGCATCTAGATCCCAAACTGAACTGAGTATAATGTTCTTCCTCCCCCTCCTCCTCTTCCTTCATCTTCTTCTTCCTCTCCTCCTTTTTTTTTTTTTTTTTTTAATTTTTTGTATTTTTAGTAGAGATGGGGTTTCACCACGCTGGCCAAGCTGGTCTTGAACTCCTGACCTCAAGTGATCCACCCGCCTCAGCCTCCCAAAGTGCTGGGACTACAGGCATGAGCCACCACGCCCAGCCAAGCCTCTCCTCCTTTTCTTCTAGCAATTTAGAAAATAAACTTCAACACAATGGCTTTTCTAATTGTCTAAAATTATAAGCAAATATCATGAGTTATAGGCAGGCAAAGTATGAAGACTATCATCAAATACCACTGCAAACCAGTGAAAATGGCACTTCTAAATGCATACATACTAGTTATGATGCTGCAGGATAGTGAGAAACCTGGTAAACTATTTGCATAAATTTCCATAATTAATGTAAAGCAAGTGAACCAAAGTTGTTATTTTTATTTCTTTTAATGTGTTACATCTTCAAGATCTATAATAATTGTCTACCTTTTGTACATTATCATTTAGCTTGATAATGACATAAAGTAAAGGATAAAAGACGGAATATAAGCAAGTTATAGGAATTACAGGATAAAATACATAGAATATAAGAAAGTTACAGGATTTGTGATTTTTTAATCACCACTACTTACTGAAATTGAATGCATTCTACATACCATTGTTCTAGAGGCTTTCCAACTTGTAACTGTGTCTGTGTGTGTGTGTGTGGGTATGCAAATTCATGTTGAAACCTTGTTTAGTGTCTCTTTAGACACATTATTCACATTATTGGAAATATTTTAGGATACTAGAGAGTATGTGGCCTTGGCTGTCTGCATATTGAACACTGAATATAACAACGATTACTTAGTAACCTAATGATGAAGTAATTAGCGGATGCAAATTTTAATGACATGTCCTGTGAAGCAGCTCTGAGTCAGAAGAAAGGTGGATGTGTAAGCATCAGTCACTTTGCTAGAAAGTCACTTTAACTTAGCCAGAGTCCTTCACTTCTGCCTTTGTCCATTTCCATTTCCAGTGCCACAGAATTTCTGAAGTTAGGAAAATGTAATTTTGTATTTAAAAAATGACCCTGACAGTTAGGAAGCAAAAAATCAAACAATTTATATAAACATGAAGAGTAAGTGAAGGTTGGCTGGGCACGGTGGCTCACACCTGTAATCCCAGCACTTTGGGAGGCCGAGGAGAGTGGATCACGAGGTCAGGAGATCAAGACCATCCTGTCCAACATAGTGAAACCCTGTCTCTACTAAAATACAAAAAATGAGCCAGGCATGGTGGTGTGTGCCTACAGTCCCAGCTACTCAGGAGGCTTAGGCAGGAGAATCGCTTGAACCTGGGAGGCAGAGGTTGCAGTGAGCTGAGATTGTGCCACTGCACTCCAGCCTGGGCGATACAGCGAGACTCTGTCTCAAAAAAAAAAAAAAAAAAAAGAGTAAGTGAAGGTATAGCAAGTGAAGTTTCCTAGTAAGAAAAATAGAGGCTTTACATAAGTTACTGACAGTGATGTCAAAAGTAGTAATAACGGGGATTACCAACAAGGGTAAGTCTGTTACCAGGAAGAGGTCTGATCCAGGCCCCAAGAGAAGGATCTTGGATCTCATGCAAGAAAGAATTCAGGGCAAGTCTATAAAGTGAAAGCAAGTTTATTAGGAAAGTAAAGGAATAAAAAATGGCTACTCCAAGGCTGGGCGTGGTGGCTCACTCCTGTAGTCCTAGCACTTTGGGAGGCCGAGGCAGGTGGATCACCTGAGGTCAGCAGTTCAAGACCACCATGGCCAACATGGTGAAACTCTGTCTCTACTAAAAATGTAAAAGCCAGGTGTGGTGGTGTGAGCCTGTAGTCCTAGCTACTTGGGAGGCTGAGGCAGGAGAATTGCTTGAACCTGGAAGACGGAGGTTGCAGTGAGCTGAGATTGAGCCATTGCACTCCAGCCTGGGCAACAGAGCAAGACTGTCTTAAAAAAAAAAAAGTGGCTACTGCATAGATAGAGCAGCTCCGAGGACTGCTGGTTGCCCATTTTTATGGTTATTTCTTGATGATATGCTAAACAAGGGGTGGATTATTCATGCCTCCCCCTTTTAGACCATATAAGGTAACTTCCTGACATTGCCGTGGCATTTTAAACTGTCACGGCACTGGTGGGAATGTAGGAATGAGGACGACCAGAGGTCACTCTTGTGGCCATCTTGGTTTTGGTGGGTTTTGGCCAGCTTCTTTACTGCAACCTGTTTTATCAGCAAGGTTTTTATGATCTGTATCTTGTGCCAACCTCCTCTCTCATCCTGTGACTTAGAATGCCTTAACCATCTGGGACATCAGCCCAGTAGGTCTCAGCCTCATTTTACCCAGCTCCTATTCAAGATGGAGTTGCTCTGGTTCAAATGCCTCTGACAAGTCTACCATACATTCTTTCCAAAAACCAGAAAATTCATTTGTAAAATTGTTTTAGTAAATGATTTGGCCAATGCAAAATTTTCTCACTCAGTGAATAAATGTTAGTGAGAGTTAAAAAGCTAACTAATTTGGTTTACATGGCTATTTTTAATGGAAATGAGACTTAGGGGTAGATTTAACATTTTAAAATAAATGGTTACATATGTAATTATTATGCATAAAACCATATATAATAAGGTAATCACATTTTATATCATATATAGGTATATAATCATAAAGAGTATAAACAGCTCTTATAAATTTCTTGCTAATATTTGTTTCAAGTATTTAGAGATTTTCAAAGTCATGACGTTTCTACCTCATGATTATTACAGCTTTGAACAATGTTGCTACTCTCTAAAATGTTTTCTTATGTAAGGAGAGTATCTACTAGTATGATCAGAACAAATTTAAGTAAATTAATTAAGACTCTTTTATCAGGTCAGGTGCAGTAGCTCATGCCTGTAATCCTAGCACTTTGGGAGGCCACGGTGGGTGGATCACCTGAAGTCTGAAGTTCGAGATCAGCCTGACCAACATGGAAAAACCCTGTCTCTACTAAAAATACAAAATTAGCTGGGCATGGTGGCACATGCCTATAATCCCAGCTACTCAGGAGGCTGAGGCAGGAGAATTGCTTGAACCCGGGAGGCAGAGATTGCAGTGAGCCGAGATCACACCACTGGAGCAAAACTCCGTCTCAAAAAAAAAAAAAAAAAGACTCTTTTATCTCCATTTATATGCTTATCCATTCACCAAACATAGAACACTCACCTATGTCAGTTACTGAATTTACATAGTCCTTATTTGTTTTTTAAAAAATCAGAGTTAAGAACAATTCAACTTATTTTGACAAAAATTTGTCTGCCACTCACAATGTACCAAGTACTTTGCTAGGTGCCTAAAATATAGCTATAATTTTTTTTCTGTGTTCCTTTATGGGCAATATTCTTAAAAACCATCCGATTGTAATGGTTGGTGTTGATTCACTAAAGAGAAGACCAGGCCAAAGTATTTCTTTTGTGAATCACTCTTAACCATCTGTGGTGGAGACGCCTTATTCCACTAAACCTCATCTTCATTGGCAAGCACACAAATGGGTATTCTCTCTCACCACTGTGGACAGTGGCAACCAGAAGCAGAGATTTGGAATGTCTAGGAGGGCCATCATCAAACAGCTCATGCATGATGGCTCTGAGGTCATCCAACTGTGCTATGGAGATAAGGCTGTATTTGTACGTTTCTCCTAAAATATATCTTACAGATTTCATTACAAATGATATATTCTTAATTTGAGGAGATGTACTGCTATTTTCTACTTTTTATAACAATACAAGGTAGCAAAAGGGAAACAAAAATTGTGTATTTGCGCCACCCAAGTAAAGAATGCCACATGTAATGGAGTATATCTTTATTCCCCTTGTGTGCTGCCTTCTCCTTAAGAAGATTAAGCATCCCTTTCTCATCCTATGAGACTTGTGTGGCCTCCTTATGAGGGGAGCATAATTCCCAATCTACTGAAGTGGATTTGGCCATGTGACTTTTTTTTCATCATTGAATGAACTGCATGCAGAAGTGGCTTGTGTGCCATGGGAGCAGAAACATTAAGAACTGTAACTTGTTCACTGTAACCCAGAATGAAACTGCTCCTACAGCTTGATCACAAAATGAGTAAGATGGTGCAAAGCCATAGATGGAAGCATAGTGGCAGCTGACTCTGCTGACCTATGCTGACATGGAATGTGAAAGGGATCTAAAACTTAATTGCTGTAATTTACCAAAATTTGGAGATTGTTTGTTCCTGTAGCATTACAAAGTGAAAGCTAAGTAATAAGAAGTTTACATGTCACTAGTAAAACTTAACTTCATTAGTTTGTAGTTATTGTCATTTCTACTTTTTATTTTATTTCACTTTTAGTTAATCTCTTGGTCATCGCTCTGCCATTAACCATTAGGGAAGCCTAGTTTCTTCCTTTTGAGGCCTTACTCTCAACCCCATTCTCATTCTTCTAATTACTCAAAAACCCTGGGCAATATAATCTGCTTTGTGCAAGAAAGACCAGTCCTCTAGGCAGAGAGGGAAAACAAACAAACAAACAAAAAAACACTAAAAAAAACTCCAATAAGTCCACCGGCATCCATGCTTTCTTCATGGCCATATGATGCAGCTATTGAAGATTAGTTCTGCTCAGACTAATAGAAACGTGTCCACTGATGTGAAATATAATTTATTACCCTGCATCTCTGGCATGGGCACATCACTTATTTTACATCCACGTGCTCAGGTGTCTTCCCCAAATGCAATCACATGTTGTGCTGGAAGTAACTTTTCTTTTCTAGCCTTTTCCCTCATGCTGAATTTAGGCTACCAGGCCACACACCACTTGCTTCACAGGAAGTTCCCTCTGTGTCATGGTGACCTTTTTAACCAGGAGACCCCCATCCACCATGGGAAGCTTCTCTAACATTGAATCACAGAGACAGTTTCAGATTAGCCCTATGACCCACGAACAAATGGTCCTTTTACAGACATTCTGAAGCCATTTGTATATACAGTCATTCATTTATAAAACCAAAAACCCCACCCATGAGCCTGTTCATAGGATAACAGTGACACTGTCAAGATGAATGACTGTGTCTCTGCATATATAGTGATGTATATGGAAGATCCCCTCAATTAAAAAAAAAAAAAAGTATCTTCTCACATTCATACAGATAATTCCTGGGCTGTCATCACTCCCACATCACTGTTGCAGCTCTAGTGTTCAGCAGGATGTTTAGTACATTTCAGGTGCTCCATAAATACCAGTTGAATAAACGGGAGAAATATTACTTACAACAATTAATAAGATCAAATTACAACAATTAATAAGATAAAAAAGGACTAGAATTTTCCCACTCTACATTTCACACTACATTTCCCAATATTACTATTTTCCCTGGTTTTCCACTTCTTCAACTAACTCTTGAAACCAAATACCTGAGGTCTTTGGGAGGGCATTTCAGAGACAGTGAAACTACATTTGGTTCTTAAAGTATTCATAAGGGCTCTTCCGACAAGCTTTAAAAAATGATGCAAATACAAGACAAAGATAAAAATATACAAATAGTTCTTATCTAGTTGTGTGAGATAATTATGACACTGAGAATGTCGCTTACGTCTTTATCCTATAATTAAATTTTAAAGTTTGATTTATTCCTATACTTGTAGCAGGACAAGCCACAGACAAAACCACTCAGACACTGAGTTAAAGAAGGAAGCGGTTTATTCGGCTGGGAGCATCGGCAGGACTCCTGTCGCAAGAGCCAAGCTCTCCGAGTGAGCAATTCCTGTCCCTTTTAAGGGCTCACAACTCTAAGGGGGTCCGCTTGAGAGGGTTGTGATCGATTGAGCAAGCAGGGGGTACATGACTGGGGACTGCATGCACCAGTAATTAGATCGGAACAAAACAGGACAGGGATTTTCACAGTGCTTTTCTATACAATGCCTGTAATCTATAGATAACATAACCGATTAGGTCAGGGGTTGATCTTTAACTACCAGGCCCAGGGTGTGGCGCCGGGCTGTCTGCCTGTGGATTTCATTTCTGCCTTTTAGTTTTTACTTCTTCTTTCTTTGGAGGCAGAAATTGGGCATAAGACAATATGAGGAGTGGTCTCCTCCCTTATACTAAAATAATGAAAAAAAAATCTTCTGGGTTTTCTTACATGATAGAGCATGCAAGGTGTCTTACCATTTAATAACACTTATTTCTGACAATATCATTAAACTCAGTATATAACAATCAATTTTCTGAGTTTGTCTGCTTTGTAAGCAACCCTGTAAGAAAGGATGTATTTCAGGTAGCGTTTTTGTTTCTTTGCTCTGAATGAAATTCTATATGGTATTGCATACATGATAAAAAAAATTTCTTCAAGTTTAAATCGTTATGATTGCTTTGTTTTATACCCCAAGCATTACATTTATGCTTGCCATTTTGAATGACAAGAATATGTAGCCAAAATTACTGGATGAAATACAAGAAACAAACAATCATGAGGTAAAATGTATATACATTATCACATGTGTAAACTCCCTATTGCGATTCATGCAGAACATCGCAGGTGTTGATAAACTGCTACATTTTTAAAATCAATTTTTTTCCTGAGGGTTTCAGAATCTAGCTAATAATTTGGAAGTGAGAAAATTTAGTACCCAACATCTGCTCTTTTCTAGTTAATTGTGCAAATTTGGCCAAAGACATCAATGCTCCAGGCCTTGATTTTCATATTTGTGGAATAAAGATAATATCTAACTCTGGGGGTTTCTGAGTGAATCAGTGATAATATATGTATATTAAACACAACACTTTAACTACAAGAAACAGAAAGTTTAAGACAAAAAAAAAGAAAGAAAACCTATTTCAAAACCAAAAAACAATTTTAAAAACCCATCAATGATTTTCTATATGTGGACTCAAACCATTATATTATCATTTCATCTTCTATACCTTTCTCTTTTTACATGGAGCCATGTTATCTCAAGATAACCATTCTCATAAAGTTAAAACTAAGATTACAGACAGCTCAGAGCTAATATTCTCATAAATTTCATAAATACAGAGGAAAGTTCCCTTCAAATAACTCCAATTGGAAAATTCTGGAGAAGAAACTTAATTGGTCCTGCTGATGCAGAATTTTCTTCTTGGTCACTTTGCAAGCCGGGGGCCTTGGGCCAGTAACACCCCACATGGGCCTCCCTCAGCCATGCTACCTGCTGCAGGAAATGGCCCGCCCACTTGGCCCGCCCAGGCTGGGTGGAGTCTGGCTTGCACTCCAGTTCCTAGCAAGAAAGAATTCAGGGCAAGTCCCTAGAGTAAAGTGCAAGCAACTTCCCCAACTTCCATGAGGATCAGCTGCTAACAGCTCACAGATTGCCCCTTTCTCTGGAAAATATGTCCCCCAGCTGCCAGTTACTTTACCTGGAGAGTTATGCGCATGCCCTGGAGGCAGTCCAAAGCCATGACTGATGAATGTGGTATATAAAGGGTTACTTTCTTGCCTTAGGCGGGCCAACACAACTAAGTGATTAGTGATTCAAAGACCTTCCCTTAGGGACTTGGCCAAGGTTGGACTTTATCGGAGACCACTTTCTTGCTCAGCACCTTCGCTTTCTCTGTCCTGCTTCAGTCCCTTCCTTATGGGCTTTTCTGTTTATGTATCACTTTCACAGGAATTCGGGTCTCACACTCAGCCTCTAGGGAGCCTAAGACCATGTTACAACGACATGTGATCAAAGTAACTTGCCGAATACTTTGAAAATATCAACTTAATCTCTCTGAGAAGCAATAAATCTCAGAAATGCAGACTTTTAAGAAAGAAGATCCACAGAATTGATAATAAGGAAAGCGATAAGGTGATAAGAAGGAAGGTACTACCACAAGCTTTAGGCACAGCCAGCCCTGAAGCATGAGATCAAAGATTAACAATTGCTGTTGGTTGGTATGTTGCTTGGCTGGTTTGATTGATCAGCTGCTTGAGAGGTGCCCATAATTCATCTCTCTTCCGTATTTGGGGGCAATAATTCATTGTGTGGGATGACATTCCCCATCTCAAAATGCCTGTGCAAAAGTGGGCAGTTCTTTCGCTGTCTAATCCAGAGACCAGGGCTAGATAATATAACCAGTCCTTGATCAAGCAGCCCTCTAATTCAGGACTTTGAAGTTAAAGTCAGTTACTAAAAGAGGTCATCCATGACAGTTACTGCAGAGTTTCTGCAGTGAGAGATAATGATAGTGCCCAGAGATTCCAGTAGTGTCTGGGAGCAATGGTATAGTGTCAATGAGAATCTTTAAAGCATTGCTGCTACTGTCTGAATTGTATGTTCTTCTGGTTTCTGTCTCCTCATTAAGCATACTCCTCCATTTTCGCATCAATTATACGAGCTCCCTATTTTTCACAATTAAGTCCCTTTTCAAAATAGTAGTTGCTCTCTCTTGTCTGAAGTGAAGAAAACTTATTTATACAATACCTATACAGATTTCCACAATGTCAAGTTTTTACAAAGTTGACACACTATACATTTACAAATATGAAGCAAAAACAGAATCATATAGATTAAGATATTAATTGATTATCAACAATGGGCTGAATGACTCTGGCAACTTTTATTCTATCTACTTTTTGTTGTCATGGTCGAAGTGCTCACCTGTTTGAGCACCTGTAATATACTACATACAAGGAGAAATGTACAATCAACAAGACCCTATCTTCATGCATCATCGAATTTTATACATTCCAAATAACTTAACAAATAAGTAAATAAGTGTTCACAATTTTTGGTGTTATGAATGCAAATATAGGGCAAATGATGAAGAGTAACATAGAGAACCTTACTCAGCCCAGGGAAGGATATTTCAGGGCAATCTCTCTGAGTTCCATGTCAGCTATGGCTTGATGCATAGGTAAAACTTATCCAAGGAGAGGAAACAAGAGGCTGAAGATTCCAAAGTGGAAAAGAGATGGGTGTTATCCCAGTAAATTAATTGGTGAGAGGCCAATGTGGCTTTCCCAGAGCAAGCAGGGGTTCAGTGGTTCACGATGAGCTATGGGGCTAAGCAAGAGTTTTAAAGGGCCTTATATATTTCCCTTATGTTTGTGAGAGACAATCCTCTATAAAACTCCTTTAAAGAACCACATAAGTAGGCTACTTTGAGTTAGGACTGTGGCCTCTGATAGAATTGAATGTAAATTTGAGTGGACAGACTGTCTTGACACCCAAATCATTGGGGATGTGGAGACAAAGTAGACTCTGGGCAGGTGTTAGTACTGAATCATCAGGAAAGGGTGGAGAGGCAAGAGAGAGTTTAGTCAGAGGGCAGATTCAAGAAACAGGGGCTCCTCCCTTTTAGACCAGCAGGCGGGAAGGAGGTCATGAGGAGGGGCTTGATTTCACATGGTGCACTGGACAAGGAAATGAGATCTGCTGGCCAAGAGTCAAAAGAGAGAGACAAGGCAAGGCAGGAATCGAGCCAGGGACTTAGGCAATGAAGATGTAAAATCCCAGGAGAGCAATGCCTTGCTGTAGAGAGCTACCTACTCAAGAGGTCTGCTACATGGGTACACTGGACAGCCTCAGCCCACAATGATTCACGTCAGCCTAAAAAGGGTTAATCTTGTCAGTGAGTAAAGTTTCCTGGTGGGTAGCTGAGTTTCTCCAGTCCCTAAATTCATTATTATAGTGTTCTTCCTCCCTTCTTATGTCTTATCTTTGCCTGCCTTATCTCATCTGGGTATCTGTGCCAGGGTTTTCACAGCAGAAAATTTGACACATACAAACACCACACACGCGTGCACACACACAGAACTGAAAAGCTGAGACACTGAGAATTGCCGACATATCTCAGGCTACTAACTGCTCTGCCAGGAACTTACAGAAAATAGAAACAAAATATTGATGAAGCCTGAATTTTAAGGAAAAATTAACATGTCTTGGTTTTCTGCTTAATTGTACTCTACACATCCCTGTTAATGTGCCATGTTGGGAAATTTGAAGCCGTCATTATCTCTGTATCAAAGAGATACAGCGTTGTGCAAAAAATAACAAATGTTAACAAATAAACTGAACATTCTAGAAAAAATTAATAAATGAGCATATTTGGGGAGAAATAAGAAAATAAGCTTATCAGTGATTAAAGTTGGAAGACAATAAGAGAAAGTAAACACATAATTTGTGAGAACTGAATTAAGAAAAACAATGATATTAATTGTAAATTGAACGTCAGAGAAAATATGTTGGCAGTGTGAACTAATTAAATTGTAGAATCTAATCTCCCAAGGGAAGGGGTGGACACTTCATCTAGCATATTAGAGGCAAAATTCTCACTGGCAGGAGTTAGGGTAAAAATGACCTAATAGGTCTTTTCCAACTCTGATTTCTATCATTTGGCTAGGGAAACCTAGCCAGGAGTTACACAATTAAGCATCTTTGTGGAAAAAAATAAACACAGAACTATCAGATAATGCAGATGCACCCCCACCCCTGAAAAAACATAAAAGCAACGATCACACCACCAAAAAAGCCACAGGATCCAAACCAGAATGGCCCAGAAGAACAATTCTTGACATGGACCATAGATAAATAGATTCATTCATTCCCCTAATTTTCTTAATCCTCAAATCTGAATGGACTAGGGTGGTGGGCTTTCAGGGGTGCTGGAAGGCAGGGGCTTTGCATAATCTTCCCCTGAAGGTTTGCTCTGTTTGGAAGAGGTTATCCTTTGAAGATGACTGGATAGGTTCCAGCAAGTTTTTTCCGACTTTCACAATCTTTTGCCCACTTTCCTTCACCCGTTCTTCTTGGCTCTACCCATCTCTGGGAAAAATGGGAAAACTATAAAACCTTAGATCTTTTCTTGAAGAATTGTGAGTAGAGCATTATATCCTAATAGGCTGTTGCCAAATCCAAACCCTATTCAAAGAAAATCCACTTTGAAAACGGAGTCTGTGGAGATGTGGACATTCCTGGGAAAATACATTTTCTCTTCTTACTTTTTGTTTTCTCTCTTTATTGGAGGGCTTAAAAGTTTTTTGGTTGCATTATTTGATTCAGGGCTTTCGTTATTCTGGCTTTTAGAAATTACCACCAATGGAGACAGAACAGAGTAGATTATACAAAAATGTCTGTGACTGTTTTGACTGGAAAAAAGACTCTTACTCAGGCAAACTGGGGAAATTAGAAGAAGAATAGCTTGGCGGTTTGTAGTTCGAGAACTAGCAACACTGAGTACCAACCCCAGTTCTGAGTCTTTTATTTCTCTCACTCTTGCCTTTATAAATGCCTATTTTGGGATTTTATCTCTGAATCATTGAAGTTAGGCAATCAGAAAAAAAAAAAACTGGCATGGATAGGTTTGACTTTGTATTTTCTCAAGAGAATTTAACAGCTGCAACCTTTTGGATAAATAACGTTCATTTTCTAGCCACAAAAGAACTTTTTTAAAGCCCGTGGAGTCCAGGATAATTACATTTTAAAGTCTACCTCTACTTGGCTTGCTTCTGTTAGACTTTCTAGCTCTGCTCAGCTCCTTAGTAGACTTCAAAGAGGAACAAACCTAGATGCAAAACTGCTTAAGGACAGTCACAATCCTAAGGGCATGTTTTGTGCAGGTATTGATAAACGAAGGGAAAGTCCAGCACAATAAAAATCTGGCTTTTCTGGTTCTTTCATATACTTCTTCTGAGGGGGGGGCGGGTATTTTTCACATTTTCTACAGTCAGTATTACTTAATTTACTCATTTTCACTCAACAAATATTTTTGAGCAGCTATTAGATACTAGGTGATCTAGACCCTGGAAATATAACATTGAAACAAAACAAAACAAAATGACATATTTTTTAAAAAAAAGAAATAAAAATAAACGTAACAATGGCATATACAAATACGAAACCAAGTTTATAGGAAATTAAGAAGAAGGGAAGATAGAGATAAAAGAAGGAAAAGAAGGAGAAGAATTCTTTCTGCAAGTCATTTTGTTTTTATTTGCAAAAGACCCAAAAACAGAAAGTTAAGGTGTTGATTTTATTTCCCTTAGAAAACTGAGTAAGTATCTTCCCACTTTAACTACTGGCTAATTTACATAAACCAAACTTTTTTTTTTTTCTGGAAAAATCTCATGGCAGTGATAACTTTTGTTTTTATAAATGAGCTTCTCCAGTTGTGTCATATATACGTGTCAATGCATATATTTTCTTTTTTAAAAAATATGAATTAAATGAATGAAGAGCAATTCATTTTAAGTGGAGGATTATGGATAATCCTATTTACTTTATGAGTTTTCTACAATCATTATTGCTGATTACATTTGATTTCAGTTCATCTCTACCTAATGATTGCATACACTTTAAGGAAGAAAACCCATTCATGTGAAATAGGCATAGTCCTGTTTTTGGAAGTTATATTTTAAGGAAAAAAAAAGCCCAGGTTAATCCTGGGAGACTTATTCAAAAAAGCAGTTGTTCAGTACAAGAATTTCTTTTGTATCATTTTAGAGTCTAAAATTGTAAGTCATGTGTATATGGCCTAGCAATTGAGTTTACTATTAATAAACAGGGTCAGGGTATTTGGTTCCAATATTCAATGAAAATTTTAAATAGTGAATAAAATTGATTTCATATTATTGATTTAAGTTTATTTTCACATCACTCTACAAAAACATGCAAGTAAACAGTAATGAATTTTCAGGTTATTTTAAGAGTCAAATGTGGCTGAAAGACTGAGATGAATTAAGAATTTTGTCCTTAAACTGTTGGCTTCAAATAGGAGACAATTTTAAGAAAATACTTAAAGCTGGCATACTAATGATCAAGAGTTGTAAGTTATATCATTTATTGAACTGTTACATTCAATGTAGATTGATTAAAGAAAGCTCAATTTAATTAAGCTATGCATAAAGGAATCTTCTTTAAATATTTTTTTCTGAAACACTTTTTTCTGAAAGGATAGCTTTGCATAAGCATATTTTGATAGAAGATACTTTGTTGAATTTCGCTTCAGGAAACAAACATAAAATTTTCTAATTATTGTCTTTTTTGTTGTTGGTTTTGCTTTTTTAATTGTAGTCACTAAAATATGATGCCACAAAACAATGTCATTTAATTCCTTACTCTCAAAATAATATATACACCTATTAATATATTTATCATTAAATCATCTTATAACTCTATCCCATGACACTTCTCAAAAAAGTCATGAAAACTGAAAAGTAATACAGACAGAAAGAAGAAACACGTATTTCTCAAAACACATAAAGCTCAAAATCCATTCTGTTCATATTAAATGTGATTTCTCTCAAGCGGGCCAAAACCTGCTATATTTAAGAATAACCACAAATCACGATTCTGATGTTTAATTTGATAGAATGAGAGTATAACTAGTGGTCGACTTATTAAAATTTTAACCACTTATTTCATATTGTTGAGCAAGTTACTCTGCCAATATTAAGCTAAATTTCTCATTTGGTTAAAGTCACTGCTTCCTTTTTGCACAGACAAAATCAATTAAATAAAATGCAAGGAAATAGATTACTTGAGTAAAAATGTGAAAAAAGAGACCGTATTATCTTTTATCTAACAACCACACAACGTAAGAATAAAAATCTAGATTTTGTTCTTTGTTGGACAAGACAGGGTTTAGTGACTCTGCAGAAATCACAGTGCAATTTATGTTTTCATCCCCATCCTACATTTTTAACACACTCCTGGTCACTAAGGCTCTGTTTGTGGCAGTATCTAATCTGAAAGCTATCTCTAAAGCAAAGCCCTTTCAGAAGCATTCTGATTTGCCATCTCTCCGTTGCAGCGAATGCTTCTTTGTCAGTCCTTCAGAGCTTGTAGCTGTCTTGATAGAGGCTGGGTCTCCATTTTCCAAGGGGAGTTTTCAGTGAACTGTAATCTATCTTTCCATTGGCTGAGTCTGTAAACCTTGGTGGGCTGGGTGGGTCCAAAAAAAAAAAAAAAAAAAAAAAAAAAAAAAAACAGGATGTTTTCTTTTTCCACTGTTTAAATCTCCTGTGAGTAATTCCCCACAGCTGTACATAAACACCCCCTTTCTGAGTGAGGGGAAAGAGGTCTCAGAACAGAACATCTCTCTCTGTTTATCAAATTAAAACAAATCATGGCAACAGCTTCTTAACTTTAACCAAAAGGGAGTCTCCTAGTCCTGATGTGTTTGTAGGGGCCTTAATTGTACTCCGGGGTTTCAGGCTAGAATTGAATTATCCAGAGTTCTCCTTTAAAGAGGAAAAAGGATAAGCAGAAGAAACAAGTTTTAAATTGCTGTGTGTAAACAAACTGGGATTCTTTTGCAGCTATTATGAGATTGTCCAACAATTAAATAGTTATAATTATATCCCCAAACAATGTTTGACTGGGCTGGTTGCCTAATCAGTGAAGCCGTATTTGCACGGCAGACTAAGCATATTATTGTTAAAATAAATGTTATTGAAAAAACAGCGCTAGGGAATACATGTCTGCCTACAGAGAAGTTGTGGTTATTTCCAAAGATGCCAAGAAATTCAGTGCCCACCATGCAGTGGATGTAAAATGACATCTATAGGACCAAATAGAAAACGTTTAGTCTTGTTTGCAAATCACCACTTATTGTTGGCGATTTTAAAACATCACCACACAGAATATTCTAGTTTTTGGACCCATTTCTTCTTCCAACCCCATCTGGCAGAGATGCTGAAACAAAGGTTAAGTGATTTTACAAGGTCATGCGTTAGTCGTATACTGTGAAGTCACAGACTTCTCTGCATAACCCCATCATTGTCCTTGTAATTACAGTAATTGATTTAAATTGTTTGACTTCATGCATAGATTGTGAAATCCTTGAGACTGTTTTATCTCTTAATATCCACAGCCTAGCACACTGCCTAGTTAGAGACAGTGTGTGTGTGTGTGTGTGTGTGTGTGTGACAGAACACATAGATAGAGGTAAAGGTAAGTATAATACTAAGTAATCATTGGTATCATTTGTAATCATGTTTATGAAGTAGAAATTAATGACTGAGTCAAACGCAGCACATAAATGGATGAGTGCTGATACTAACCTTGCATACCTAAACCTATGTAAATTTTGGAAGATTCTACCCCAAATGTTTCTAGTCTCTAGATTACCTTTGCAAATGAGAGGAAGAGAAGAAGAATTTAAATCTTACAATTAGAGAAAGTTTTTCAACAATTTTACCTGACCTGATAAGTTTGAAAATCACCTTTCTAAAATAATATTTGGCTAACTAAGGATATCAGGCAGGTCTTTATTATCTAGGGTAAATATAATTTTTTCCACAGAATCAACAGGAAAACTCTAATCTACAAAATTTTTAACGTGTACCTCTCTTTTAACTTATGACATTTATTTTCTCATTACCTTTTAACGGCATCATAAGCTTCAAATGGGGAAAAAAACCCTGAGACTTATACTTTTTCTGCATTTAACCAACATTTACTGGGCACTAGCTAAGATTTGACATCATGATGGAATGGACTAACAGTGAATAAGACATGGTTTCTGTACGATTACAATTTGACAGGTAATATTTATCTACAGTGCTACTACTTTTTTCCTTCTCCTTCTTTTTGAGATGAAGTCTCCCTCTGTCGCCCAGGCTGGAGTGCAGTGGCACGATCTCAGCTCACTGCAACCTCTGCCTCCTGGGTTCAAGCGATTCTCCTACCTCAGCCTCCCGAGTAGCTGGGATTACAGGCACCTGCCACCGTGCCCGGCTCATTTTTGTATGTTTAGTAGAGACGGCGTTTTACCATGTTGGCCTCGAGCTCCTGACCTCAAGTGATTTGCCTGTCTCAACTTCCCAAAGTGCTGGGATTACAGGTATGAGCCTCCGCGCCCAGCCATTTTTCTACAGGATCTAGTGTAGTGTGTCTCATAAAATAACTGCTCAAAATCCACTTGTTGAACAAGTGAATGAATGAAAAAATAAATAAATAAATTCAGAATTGAATGTATAATACCGCAACATTAAAACCCAATGAGATTCCCATTCTGGCATTGTTTCCTGGAAGTAAAAATGATTCTAAAAAATAATAAATCATAGTGGCAACTGAAAGTGCCTTCTAGTTTACAGCTGACAAAATGTTTTCACTTGCGTCATCTCATCTTTTCTTCATGTTGACCCATTGAGACAGAAAGTGCAGGTATTATAATAGCTTCATATTATAGATGAGCAAATTATCCCTTAACAAGCTTAATTAAACTAGTTGGAGTCAGCTCTTACAACTGAATTAGAATTCTTGCTGATGCAAGGTTGATGCTGAAATGCAAGATTCAATAGTTATATAGTAAACCCAAGAGCTGGGTTTAGAAGATAAAACTCAGGAGACAGAATTTACCACTTACTAAATAGGTTACCATTTCAAGCCACTTGACCATTTTGACCCCATTTTCTCATTTATAAATGAGGGTTGATGACTTCCACATCATAGAATTGTTGTAAACATTAAAAGAGCTGTTAGAATGCTTTTTTAGATTCTATAAGAGAATTTTGGTGAAGCTCCAAACCAAGAAGGATGCCTTCACTTTTGAATACATATTTCTGCCTAATGAATTCACTCTCTGTAAATTATGAGGCAAGGCAGGCTGGTGATTTAACCACAAGTGGTGGGGTTGTATTGGCTGTATATCCTCCCACCTCTCCCACTTATCAGCTGTGTGACTTGGTAAGTTGTTCAATCTGCCTGTGTCTCAATGCCCTCATCTATTAAATGGACATTTAAAATACCGTCTGTGGTACAGAATACTTGAAAGGAATGACTGGTACTTAAATATGTAAAGACAGCATCTGATATATAGTCAGCATTGAACAGATGGCTGATTTTTTTCAGGTTTATAGATCAGGAGCTGTGAGCTGGAATTTTTCTTAAGGTTTATCTGAAATTACCATTTGATAAAAAATGTCTTGAACACCTATTACATGCCAGTCACTGCTCTAGATATGGGGCAAACATTCTTGCACACAACTATTTATCTTTTTTATTTTCCTACTTTAGAAATAAAGGGAAAGGGAACTTTCTCCTCTCTGGGGCCTCAGAGGGCACAACTTAGTACCTTGAGGTAGGAAAAGAAGGGAAGCCCTTGTCAGCGTGGAGCGCTGTGATTAACCTCTGGAAATGCAGAGATCAGCCAGGCCAGGCCTCAACCGTGACAGTTCACATAGGTTAGAAGTTCACTTTTCCTTAATTGATCCCAGACTCTCATTAAGGACAGTCTTCGTTGGTGGTGGGCTTGCCAGGCAGGCTGCCCTAGGTGTCACATCAGATAACAATGGCTTCATTTTCCCCCTGGGCATGCTCAAGAAAGTGTACTCACTCAAGCTGTTCCTATTCTTCCTGGAGAAGTTTTTCCTCATTCATCAAATGACAAATCTAATACATCCACATTTGCCTAACTTGTTTATCTCGGGATAGGGGAGCCAGTAGTTCTGATTAGTTACTGGCCTTCTAAAAGGCAGAAGAGTCTATCTGGAAATTGGTCAGAGTCCAAAGTGTTATTAAAAATACATGAAATGGCTTAGAAAAATACCTCTATCTCACAAGGTTATACTAGGCATCAAGGTAGATAATGGACATTCAGTAACATGTTTGCTAATTAACCATTTTTTTAGATAAATATAGATTCATATGCAGTTAGAAGAAATAATACAGAAAGATCCTATGTACCCTTTACCTAGTATTCCACAGTGGTAACATCTTGCAAAATGATACCACAATATTACAGTCAGTGAATTGATGTTGATAAAATCCACCATTTTTATTCAGGTTGTATCAGTTTACCTGTACTCACTTGTCTCTGTGTGTGCATGTATATGTGTGTATGTATATGTGTACATTTAGTTCTATGCAATTTTATCACATGTGTGGGTTCATGTATCTACCATTACAGTCAAGATCCAAAACAATTCCATCATCACCACAGGATACCTCATGTTGACCTTTTGTTTTGTTTTGTTTTTTGTTTTTGAGACGGAGACGGAGTCTTGCACTGTTGCCCCAGCAGCTGGAGTGCAGTGGCACGATCTTGGCTCACTGCAACCTCCGCCTCCCAGATTCAAGCAATTCTCCTGCCTCAACCTCCCAAGTAGCTGGGATTACAGGATGTTGACCTTCTGATAACCACCCCTACCTACCTTTCCCAGTCCCACCTCAACTCCAGCCCTAACCCTGGCAACCCGATCTCTTCTCTATTTCTATAGTTTAGTCATTTAAAGAGTGTTACATAAATGTAATCATACAGTAATTCAAATTACCTGAAAGCATAAAGTATCAGTAGATATTATTATTATTTGTTGTAATTTTACTAACAACAATTATATATATTTTTTACAACCACCATATTTTTAGACAATTTAATTTTTTAAGCAGTCGGTTTTCTGGGGTGGGGGTTGGTGGGCCCATTATGCTGATTGCTATCTCGATTTGTCCTACTCCATGCAAGAACCAAGCCTCAACTGTGAAGAATACCTGGGCTATCAAGTCTTCTGACTTTGGCATAGGAGGATTTGGGTCGGAATCCCAGATGCAGTGTTCTCTAGATATGTGATATTAACCTTCATTTTTGAGGTCCAGCATAATCATTTGTAAGGTAGATACCCTCATGGACCTTATAGTGTTTTTATATGAATGACACATAGGAGACAGCAATCAGTATAATGCCTGGCACTCGCAAGCACTCAATAAGTATAAATTATTCAGACTTGGCCGGATGCGGTGGCTCATGCCTGTAATCCCAGCACTTTGGGAGGCTGAGGTGGGCAGATCACGAGGTCAGATCGAGACCATCCTGGCTAACACAGTGAAATCCCTTCTCTCCAAAAAATACAAAAAATTAGCCGGGCGTGGTGTCACGTGCCTATAGTCCCAGGTACTTGGGAGGCTGAGACAGGAGAATCGCTTGAACCCGGGAGGCGGAGGTTGCAGTGAGCCGAAATCGCGCCACTGCAATCCAGCCTGGGTGACAGATCGAGACTCCATCTCAAAAAAAAAAAAAAAAAATTATCCAGACTTAAGCAAGTCAAAGTGATGGGATTTATCAGAAAACATAATTCACGCCACATTCATGTTTATAGCTTCTTTTTCTCAAAGAGTTCCCTTTAGTTCTCCGAGGAAAATTAAATTTTGATACTCCTCCGTGGTTTCTGTTTTTATCTGTTCCCTTACAGGAATTGTTAAATGCAGTCTACTGAGAGATACATCATCAAACACAAGGATTTTTTCCTTCATTTCCATGTTGGATTGCCACTAAAATCATGGCTCATCAGGCATCCCAGTGTGTGGTTAGAAAGTTGTCCTTTGAGTGGGCCACAAGCTGATATTCTCATTTTGTGGTTGTGGTGGTGATTGTGTGCTCTATTCACTTTTGGGAAAAGTGTGTTAATAGTCTGTGTTTTTCTTATTGTGAATTTTTGAAATCACTTCCTCCTTTTCACTCTTAGTAGCTCACTCTGCCATAATGATCCTCAGCTTCTACAGAAATAATTATTTATGTTCTGCTAATTGAGGAAGCCATTTTTTCTTTGTGTATATTATGGTTTCATTTATTTGAGATTTTTATGAAGCCTCATTTCAATAATTAGGAAATGAACTCCACTTATTATAATGGTTACTTTTATGTGTCAACTTGATTAGGCCACAAGCTGTCCAGATATCTGGTCAAACATTATCCCGAGCGTTCCTGTGAGGCTGTTTTTAATATTTAAATTGGTAGACAGATGTGGGTGGGCCTAATGTGGATGGGCCTCACCCAATCATTTAAAGGTCTGAATAGAACAAAAATGCTGACCCGCCCCCAAGTTAAGAAAGAATTATTCCTGCCTGCCTTCAAATTGGCACATTAGTTTTTTCTGCCTTTCAACTTGAACTGAAACATGGGCTGTTTTTAAAGCTCCAGTCTGCTAGCCTTTGAACTGGAACGACACCATTGGCCTTCATGGTTATCCAGCATGCCAGCCAGCTCACCCTGAAGATCTTGGGAATTGTCAGCCACCATCATCCCATGGGCTGATTTCTTATAATAAAGCTGTCTCCACTCGTGGTCTGTTTCTCTGAAGAATCCTGGCTCATACAGATCTCTCTCTCTCTCTCTCTTTTTTGAGAAAGAGTCTCACTCTGTCACCCAGGCTGGAGGGCAGTGGTGCAATCTCAGCTCACTGCAACCTCTGCCTCCCGAGTTCAAGCGATTCTTGTGCCTCAGCCTCCCGAGTAGCTGCACCACCATGCCCAGCTAATTTTTGTATTTTTAGTAGAGACAGGGTTTCACCATGTTGGCCAGGCTGGTCTTGAACTCCTGACCTAAAGTGATCCTCCCTTCCTCGGCCTCCCAAAGTGCTGGTTTTACAGGCATGAGCCACCAGATATTTGATTTCATCTAATTCTCACAATAACTCTCTGAAATAGTTACTCTTGGATCTCTCTCAACTTTGAGGACCCTGGATCTCAGTGCTTTTGTGGCACTTACCCAAGATTACCCTCATGATAGAAGTCCACTATTTTTGCTTGGAATTGTCTGATTTCAGGGTCCATACTCTTTGCAAAAAGGGAGGTAAGTAGGCAGGGGTTATTATAAGCATCTTTAATTCCATAGCACCAAGTCAGGTGATTAGGTGAACTCTCTGCATTTACACACCATGTCAAGGAAGTGCATACATTTTGAGGATTATCTAAGGTATGAAAAACTTTGCTTCAGGAGCAAAAAGTATAAAATCAACTCTGGGCATTTATTTGCTACCCACTGAATTTCACAACTTTCAACATGCTATTCACTTTAGCAAACTAGCCTTAAATTATCACAACGGTATGATTTTTTTAAATGTTTATGACCTTTTTAAATTACCAAAACATGTTGTTTACATTTTTTACAGTGTTTAGACTACTGGACTTGTACTTTGTTTACAACTCTATCCTATTTTTATTTGCCTAGAAAACAACCACTTGTCTTTAAAAACATTTACTGCCCAGAGCCGGGTGCGGTGGCTCACGCCTGTAATCCCAGCACTTTGGGAGGCCAAGATGGGCAGATCACCTGAGGTCAGGAGTTCGAGACCAGCCTGACCCACACGGGGAAACCCCATCTCTACTAAAACTACAAAATTAGCTAGGCTTGGTGGTGCATGCCTATAATCCCAGCTACTTGGGAAGGCTGAGGCAGGAGAATGACTTGAACCTGGGAGGTGGAGGTTGCGGTGAGCAGAGATCGCGCCATTGCACTCCAGCCTCAGCAACAAGAGCAAAGCTCCATCTCAAAAAAACAAAAACAAAAAAACAAAAAACAACAACAAAAAATTTAATGCCAGGATCTAGATGTGTGCCTAGGCCATCTAAGTCTTGGATCTTCTCACTTTAATACATTTTTTAGGTAACTTCTGACAATGATTGCAATTGTCTCTCTCTCCCCATTTAGACTGTGAACTTCTTGAGAGTGTGAACCCAAAATATATGAGACAGGTCTCAGTCAATTTAGAAAGCTTATTTTGCCAAGGTTAAGGATGCACCTGTGACATAGCCTCATGAGGTCCTGGTGACATGTGCCCAAGGTGGTCATGGTACAGCTGGCTTTTATACATTTTAGGGAGACATGAAACATCAATCAATATGTGTAAGATGTACACAGGTTTGGTCCACTAAGGGGGGACAACTTGAAGTGGGGTTTTCCAGGTCAGAAGTAGGTAAGAGACAAAAGGTTGCATTCTTTTGAATCCTTGATCAGCCTTCCACTGAACACACCATTTAGTCTGGCTCACTAAATCTGCATTTTTACATAAGCAATAGGCAAAGGCAGCAATCAGATATGCATTTGTCTCAGGTAATCCTCAAAGGGATGACTTTGGGTTCTGTCTGTCTTTTGTCCACAAGGAATTTCCTTGTGGGCAAATAGTGAGGGAGGGATGTAACTTCTTACCTTTGTAGTCTAACTTATTTAGGAATAAAATGGGAGGCAGGTTTGCCTGACATAAACCCCACCTTGACTTTTCTCTTGGCTTAGTGATTTGGGGGTCCCAAGATTAATTTTCCTTGCACAAGAGCAAAGGTGGTGGCATTTTATTCAACTTTATTTACCAGTGCTTGGCATAATGCTGGCACACAGTGGATGCTTAGTTGAGAGTGTAAACGAATTTTTTTTTATTCTATTGATAACATATGTTGTACATAGTATTTCTAGGTTTCAGTGACAGAAAAAAAAGGCACAGTAATTCACAATTGAGACACACGTAATGTCTGAATGTAGACAACACATAGCAAAATTGATAGACAATGTACAGACACATAGAACATTTTACTGAACTTTATTGTGTAGCAGTCATTTTTAGAAAGGCTATTTGCTGAAGGGCATATATTTGATTAGAAAATTTAGCTAAGAATAAATGAGTCAAGTTTGTTCTAAGATTGATTTGAGCAGAATGTGTATGTTTTATGTTAAGTAGCATTCATCAAAACCAATAATGTTGCCAGATTTACAAATAGCCAACAGATTTTATGTGTTCAATGTCTCCTTTGAAATTGTTTAAGGCGTGTTAAGCACTCTTAGCTACATTTGTTAAATATGCAGGCTATTATAAATAAATCGTAATGCATCAATTTCTATGGATCTAGAATATGTTAATACTACAACAGGATGAGGAACATGTGAGCTTTCTCTGAAATGTATTTGGTTTGAGGTCAAAATGTTTGAAGGAAGAAGACATTGCATTACACTGTAGCTGAGAAGACAAAAGGCAGCAATTTGGGAAAAAGAAACTCAAGCAAGTGGTAACTGGGGTGGCTGGGAGGCAGTGAAGAAAAGAGATGTTTCTGAAAAATGAAAAGAAAGGAATATTCAGACAGCTGGCCAGGGAAATAAA
The DNA here is from genome assembly GCF_000001405.40 of Homo sapiens. Lineage (NCBI taxonomy): Eukaryota > Metazoa > Chordata > Mammalia > Primates > Hominidae > Homo > Homo sapiens. Next base: position 121,788,285 of record NC_000008.11, on the reverse strand, counting down.
ATTTTAAAACAGGCTTCTTAAAAAAAAAAATCAATATTGAAATTTCAGGGAAAGAGAGAAAAGTGCAATAAATCAGCAAACTAGCTTATTTTGTTGAGAGTGGAGAGAAACTTCTTTTAAGTTTTCATGAACGGTTTCAGGAAGATCAAGCTTTACTTGAATTACAGACCTTCAAAGATTCAGTGGGGAATAAGGACAAATGTGGCAGATATCTAAGAGAAGGAAACGTGTCTTTCATTAAAACCTTTCATATCACAAAGAACTATGTATTTTTTGACCTTGAAGTTGTTCAAGGATTACTATTTGCTGTGTAATTTAGTAAATGCTTTTATCCATCTCATAGAATCAAGAATATACCCAATGTGGAAACAAATACATTTGAATATATTTACAGTCCACATTTGCAGGGGTAAAGGGGGATGTCATCTATTCTTCTTTGATCATCCATTGTCATCTAACAATGTCCCCTAACATGTACTCAATAAATAAGTCAAGCACCATTTCAGAAGTTTCTATATGCATCTTTTTAGTTTATTAATTTATTTAGCATTGATTTTCTCTATATGCCAGACCTGCTGCTTGGCCCTGGAGATAATAAGGTATGTAAAACAGTATTCTGACCCAAGTAAAGAGATTCAAGGAGAGAAGATAGACCTCTGGTACAGTTTGGCTGTGTCCCCACCAAAATTTCATCTTGAATTGTAGTTCCCATACCCCCATGTGTCATGAGAGGGACTGGGTTGGGAGGTAACTGAATCACAGGGGTTATTTCCCCCATGTTTCTCATGATAGTAAGTTCTCCTGAGATCTGATGGTTTTATAAGGGGCTTCCTCCTTCACTTGGCTCTTATTTTTCCCTCTTCTGCCACCTTGTGAGGAAGGACATGTTTGCTTCCCCCTCTGCCCTGATTGTAAGTTTCCCGAGGCCTCCCCAGCCCTGCAGAACTGTGAGTCAATTAAACCTCTTTCCTTAATAAATTACCCAGTCTCAGGTATGGCGTTATAGCAGTGTGAGAATGGATTAATAAAGCCTCTAAGTAGATACCTGCACTAAAACATTAATGATTATTAAAAATAGAGGAGAGGGCCAGGTGCATTGGCTCACGCCTGTAATCCCTGCACTTTGGGAGGCCAAGGCAGGCCGTTCACCTGAGGTTAGGAGTTCAAGACCAGCCTAGCCAATCTGGCGAAACCCTGTCTCTACTAAAAATACAAAAATTAGCCAAGTGCAGGGGCATGCGTCTATAAACCCAACTCCTCGGGAGGCTGAGGCAGGAGAATTGCTTGAGCCCAGGAGGCAGAGGCTGCGGTGAGCCGAGATGGCGCCACGGCACTCCAGCCTGGGTGACAGAGCGAGAGTCCATCTCAAAAAAAAAAAAAAAATAGAGGAGAGAGACATTAGTTATATCTGCAGTAGTAGACGAACATGTACTCCAGGAGATTCTATTCAAACTGTGTCTTAAAGTGTGCATGCAATAGACTTAAATTAGAAAAAATTTGCCAAGCCTGTAACCCTGCTAGTCAACTCATCTAATGATATATAAAAGGAAAACCAAACAAATTATTGGAGGAGCATAATATGCTTAAAGTAACTTAAAATCAGCATTATATTTCCCCAGATATAATTATTATTTATTTCCTCTCAAATTATCTTGCATAGCTATGGTTTTATTGGACATATTAGACTACCCAACTGGAGACTGCATTTCTCATCCTCCTTTGCAGCTTAATACAGCCTTTAAAATGTAGGTGGATGTGTTGTTTGCAACTTTCATGTCACTTGCTTAAAGGATGCTGTTTGCCCTCTACTTGTCCTCTTTTTGGTCTTCCTGTGGGCTGAAACCTAGAGCAGAAAGTGACCCACCTTTGACCTGGGTTCCCTAAATGGCCCCTGGAGCAAAATAATCTGGACCACTGACTTGTACACTATTACATGAGAGAGAAAGAAATACATTGCTATTTTATTTAAGCCACTGTGTTTTGTACCTGTTTGATAGAGCAATATACTCTGTACCCTAATGAACACAGACATCTCTTTTCTCACTTGTCAGAAGTAAAAACTGAGTTTTAAAAGCAAAAACACACACTTTAGTTGCAGAAAGAATTCACACCTAAAACATAGGAGGGTACATTTTGAAGTTTGGAAGTCAGAGCTACATTCAAATGTCAGTTCTCACCATGTGATGATAATAGTATTTATTTCATGCCATTCTTGTGTTGAAAATTGAGTGTGGTACTAGGTATTTGATTCAATTTAATCTTCAGAAAAACCTAATGAACTAGCTACTATCCTCATTTTATAGTCAATGAACTCGAGGCTTAGAGTAGCTATGAGGTCACACCAGGTCATATACTTTGTAGTAGTAGTAGCAGACAGGATTTAATTCTAGATTGTTCTGGCTTATAAAGCTCTACTGTATCTCGCTTCATCCCATACTAGCTGAGGGCAAGGCTCAACCTTCTTATCTATAAACTGTCAATAACATTTACCTATTTATGAGGTTGCTGTGAGCACCAGGTAAGTCTATGTATATGATAGACTTGTAAGAGTCCTTTCAAATCCTAATAAATAGTAGGCACACAATAAACATTGGGTGTTTTTCTTCTCAATAGTCTGAGAGCTCATAGAATGAAGGAGAAATATCCCTTTAATAAACATTAGGATAAATCAGGAGAATGAGGAGAGCAGGTACAGAAACTGGAAGATTTAAAAGAAAAAAGAAAAGGCTGGGTGAGGTGTCTCACACCTGTTATCCCAGTGTTTGGGAGGCTAAGGTGGGCAGAACACTTGAGGCCAGGAGATCAAGACCAGTCTGGGCAACATAGCGAGACCTCATCTCCACAAAAAATAAGATAAAAATTAGCCAGGCATGGTGACAAACACTTGCAGTCCTAGCTATTCAGAGGCTGAGGCGGGAGGATCCCTTGAGCACAGGAATTCGAGGCTACAGTTAGCCATGATTGTGCCACTGTACTCCTGCCTGGGCAACAAAGTGAGATTCTTCCTCCCCCCAACAGAAAAAAAAATATAATAAAAATATGGATCAATAAGCCCAATAGTATTGAACCTTACAATGTTCTGTGAAATACAGTAATTACTTGATATATATTTTTTTCCTTTAATCCTCCTGATAGCTCTGTGAGGTTGGTCTTACTATTTTCCCTATTCTACAGATATGGCCAACGAACCCCAGCTGTTAAGTAACTCACTTAGTCACACAGATATTAAGCTATGCAGTGGCTTCTACTTGAACTGAGCATTATGTTTGTCCAAAGCCAATCTTTCAATCACCTCCCCATGCCAAACAACAGGACTGAAGAAGCTAAATGCTAGTCTTAGCCCATAACACTGTTTAGCTTTGAGCTTCAGAATACCCCCCAAATGCCCTGTCTCGTGCTCTTCAGCATTGAGGGTGATGATTTGCAGACTCCAGACCTTTCCCAGCTTGACCTCTCAGTGTCCTGCAGTAGCCAGGTGGGCTGTAGCTCCAGCTTCTCCCCTCCAGGGAGTGCTCCTGGGTGGCCAAGCAAGGCCTGTGGGCCTGCACAGCTGCCTTGCGTGTCGCCGTCCAAGCAGCTGGGCACGTGAGCTGCTCCAGCAGGCTGGAGTCAGATTGTGTAAACCTCTGTACGCTCCTGGCAGCTTTGGGACTGGCTGGGTCCCTTCAGGAAATGAAGGGGGAGCTCCAAGTAAGCTTGACAAGGGCTGCTCTGGGGCAGGAAGCAACAGACACTTGAACTCATTGAATTTCCAACTCCGGTTCCTTTCAAAGGAACATGCTGTGTTGTAATCTTCTACAAATGTACTCTTGTCTTCCATAGTGCTCTGGACACAGTATGTGCTCAGTGAAATTTTGCTGAGTGGATGGATGAGTGAATGAATAATTGAATGAAAGAAATGCAATCATGTTTGCTGTTTGGAGGGCACAATATTTACTTTATTTTTTTTAATTTTTTTTTTTTTTAAAACGGAGTTTTGCTCTTGTTGCCCAGGCTGGAATGCAATGGCGCGATCTCAGCTCACTGCAACCTCTGCCCTCCCTGGTTCAAGCGATTCTCCTGCCTCAGCCTCCCTAGTAGCTGGGATTACAGGCATGTACCACCATGCTCGGCTAATTTTTGTATTTTTAGTAAAGACAGGGTTTCACCATGTTGGTCAGGCTGGTCTCAAACTCCTGACCTCAGGTGATCCACCCACCTTGGCCTTTCCGAGTGCTGGGATTACAGGCATGAGCCACTGCACCTGGCCTATTTGGGGTTTTTCTTAACAAGCTCTTTGCAGCCAGTGACTTTGAGCTACTCTCCTCTTCCACAACAGCATCACTATTCCTCTTTTACAACCCCTCCCACCAGCTTCACTCTATCTGCCGTCTTCCAAATGCCTGACATTTTCTTCCTAAATTTTCTTCTCTTTATCCATAACATTTACCCTTTTTATGAGCTATGTTTCAAGATAATGCTAGGAAATAGCTAGTTATTTGATCAGAATAAAATGCAATTCTGATATGCTCCAGGATTCACCCTCCAAGAATATACGAATGAATTTTAACAGTAATCTTGCAGACAGTTCTTATCTCTGCTTATTTGGGGTACTATGACAAGCCAATACAAACATATTTTGCCAAAGATAGATTCTTACGACACCTTCAATCCACTACCTATATTTCTCCCTTACATTTAAGTCTGCCACTGTTTTGGAAGAGGAATCATAAATACACCTACGGTATGATGAACTTTACGAATATAAGTACATACACAATTATCATGCACATATGTCTACACAGATTTCCTGGTCATTGAATTATGCTAAGTTAAAGTATAGTTTCATCAGAAATTATGGATAAAATGCACACTCAAAGATGGATGGCTCTGAAAGTTCCATTCAGCATTTTGACTCTTATTCTTAACTCATAGAGAACACATGTAAAAAATCTTCGCAATGAAAAGAAATTTGGAAGACTATGTTGGAATCAAGTTTCCAAAAAATGTAGATGCAAAATTATTTTAATTTGTTTGTTCACAAATTTGTTTTATTGCATAGTGAAAATTAGCACATAATGTGTTAAATAGTAGAATAAAGGATGCCTTTTTTTTCTTCTTGTTTCTAGATATGCAGTTATGATAATAGTGATGCTGTTTTAAAAAAATTCTAACATTACCGATATATATAAAGTACACAGATATATATAAAGTATATATATATATACTTTATATATATATAAAGTACACAGATATATAGAAATATAGATATATATATATATGGAAAGTATATAGATATATAGAAAGTAAAGGGTAAAAACTCTACTCATCCTTCTATATTTTCCAGTCAGTTGATATATGTCCCTTGAGATTAGGTTGTAAGTTATTTTAAAAGAGTAAAGAAAACTTACTCCGTAAATATTTATTAAAGACATTCTATATGTCAGGCATTGATCTAGGAATATAAGAGTAGACAATTGGACAAAGACCCAACATCTTATGAAGCTTAGTTACTTTCTTTTTTCTGTTTTTTGTTTTTTATTTTTTATTTTTTTGACCTAGGGTCTTGCTATGTTGTCCAGGCTGGCCTCAAACTCCTGGGCTCAAGCAATCCTCCCACCTCAGCTTCCTCTGTAGCTGAGACTACAGGTATGCACCACCATGCCTGGCTTAGAGCCCACTTTCTTTAGAGAAAAATAGACACTAAGTAATAAATATAATAAAAAGGTAATGTATAATATATTAATAAGGAGTGGCTAAAACTATGGGAAACTAAACAATCAGTATTACAAGTAAGGGGCATGCTAGGTGTCAGGCCTCTGAGCCCAAGCTAAGCTATCATATCCCCTGTGACCTGCACGTACATATCCAGATGGCCTGAAGCAACTGAAGATCCACAAAAGAAGTGAAAATAGCCTTAACTGATGACATTCCACCATTGTGATTTGTTTCTGCCTCACCCTAACTGATCAATGTACTTTGTAATCCTCCCACCCTTAAGAAGGTTCTCTGTAATCCTCCCACCCTTAAGAAGGTTCTCTGTAATCCTCCCACCCTTAAGAAGGTTCTCTGTAATCCTCCCACCCTTAAGAAGGTTCTCTGTAATCCTCCCACCCTTAAGAAGGTTCTCTGTAATCCTCCCACCCTTAAGAAGGTTCTCTGTAATCCTCCCACCCTTAAGAAGGTTCTCTGTAATCCTCCCACCCTTAAGAAGGTTCTCTGTAATCCTCCCACCCTTAAGAAGGTTCTCTGTAATTCTCCCACCCTTAAGAAGGTTCTCTGTAATTCTCCCACCCTTAAGAAGGTTCTCTGTAATCCTCCCACCCTTAAGAAGTTTCTCTGTAATCCTCCCACCCTTAAGAAGGTTCTTTGTAATCCTCCCACCCTTAAGAAGGTTCTCTGTAATCCTCCCACCCTTAAGAAGGTTCTCTGTAATTCTCCCACCCTTAAGAAGGTTCTCTGTAATCCTCCCACCCTTAAGAAGGTTCTCTGTAATCCTCCCACCCTTAAGAAGGTTCTCTGTAATCCTCCCACCCTTAAGAAGGTTCTTTGTAATTCTCCCCACCCTTAAGAAGGTTCTTTGTAATCCTCCCACCCTTAAGAAGGTTCTCTGTAATTCTCCCACCCTTGAGGATGTACTTTGTGAGATCCACCCCCTGCCCACAAAACATTGCTCTTAACTCCACCGCCTATCCCCAAAACCTATAAGAACTAAAGATAATCCCACCACCTTTGCTGATTCTCTTTTTGGACTCAGCCTGCCTGTACCCAGGTGAAAGAAATAGCCTTGTTGCTCACACAAAGCCTATTTGGTGGTCTCTTTACACAGACGTGTGAGACACTAGGGATAAGTCTGGGAACATGGGTTGCGATTTTAAAACAGGGTGATTGAGGTAGGCTTCACTGAAACGGTGACATATAAAGAAAGACGTAAAGGAAGTGAGCGAGTTAGCCCCATGGATGTCTGGTATAAGATCATTCCAGATATATGAAATAGGCCTATGGTGGAATGGCTGGCATATTTTAGGGCCAGAAAAGAGACAGGCGGAGCAAGAGTGAGACTAGAAGAATAGAACAAGAATAGAAGTGCAAGGGGATAATAGGACACTAGATCATGGAAGCAATTGTGCTGCATTGTAGGAGCTTTGGCTTTAGTTTTGCATGAGGTGAGAGCCAGTGGAGGATTTGAGCAAACCAGTAAACATGATAATGACCTTTGTTTTAAGAAATTACTTTAACTGTAAATTGAGAACAGACTAAAGAGAGGCAAAGGAAAGGAGAACTGTTAAGAGCCTATTGCATAGAGGGGTGGTGTCATGGATCAGAGTGGTAGCAGTGGAGGTGTGAGACAACAGCAAATTCTGGATATACTTTGAAAGTAGTGGCTGGGAGTGGTGGCTCAAGCCTGTAATCCCAGCATTTTGGGAGGTTGAGGCAGGTGGATCACGAGGTCAGGAGATCGAGACCATCCTGGCTAACACGGTGAAACCCCATCTCTACTAAAAATACAAAAAATTAGCTGGGTGTGGTGGCGGGCGCCTGTAGTCCCAGCTACTTGGGAGGCTGAGGCAGGAGAATGGTGTGAACCCGGGAGGCGGAGCTTGCAGTGAGCTGAGATCGTGCCACTGCACTCCAGCCTGGGCGACAGAGCGAGACTCTGTCTCAAAAAAAAAAGAAAGTAGAACCAAAGAAAAAGATTCCCTCCTGAAATATTGAAAGCAGAACGTGAGAGAAAGAGAAGACTCAGGGACAATCCCAAGGTCTGAGAAAATGAAAGGGTAGCATTTGCACTAAGTATATTTTCCTGAAACTTATCTTGATTCACAATATATAATGAACATTATTCCATGTCCAGTCACATAGAAATACCTCATTTTAAACAGTTTCTTAGTGGTCTATTTTATGGTTATTCTCTAATTTATTTAACCAGTGTATGATTGCTCTCTTATTATTTTTCCTAATTTTCTTCTGTAAGGTTTTAGAATTACTTTTTTAAAAAATTTAATCTTGTTAATTTTTTTGAACAGACCAATGTAGTAGCCTAAATCAGCATTTAAAGAACTACTAGTGAATCTTTCAGAAATCTAGTTCATTAGCAAAATGAAACATTCATATATGTTCGTGCTACTTTATAATGCCTTTCAAGTGTTTCATTACTAGATCCACGTGTTCAATAATTTTTTTTTATTACGTTCACTGTGATCAGAACTTTGGAGAGAAATAGACTTCAATTCCATTCCTGGAGAAGTTCTGCACCCGAAAATGAAACACAGAGAGCTTTGTATAGAAAAGGGCCATGGCATAAGATAAGATAAATACGTAAGAAATGTATTCATATATTTATTATTCATATATTTATCTAATATTTAGAATAGGAGTTCATGGTAATTCTTAAGTTGTCTTACTTATGACATAAATATATAACTACATTCTTAGTCTGGCTAAGAATGGTGAGTTTATGCTATTCATCACTTATTAAAACAATGATTTAATCACTTATAAGTCCTGCCATTTATAGAAGTGGTAGGATTAATCATATAATCACATAAATTTATTTTTGGGGTTGTTTAGTTGTTTTGTAATTATTCAAGAGATATATCTATGTCACCAAAAAAAAATCTATTTACCTAGATGATAATTTTTAAATAAACATCAAATTTCTTACTTCTCTAGGTAAGGAAGAATAGACTAGTCTCTTGCTAGAAATCACCACAAAATGGCTTGACTGGTTCTATTAGTACAAGATGAACAGAAGGACCCTTCTCCAAATATTGAGCAAACCAAAGGCAGAAGACTAGGCCATGGTACGGGTGTTTGTACAAAGCCATAGAGATGCGTATGCATAACAGCCATAGAGATAGCGTACAGTTGATGTGTTTGTACCAGAATTCTGCAGAACTTAAGAGAAGACTTAAAGATGTGTTTGATTTAATCTCCAACACAGATAAAGGAAAAAATTTAGTAGTAGTTGGCAAAAAGTATGATCAATGCGAAAGGTACTGGACTGAAACTTCAAATTCAATTTTTCAACTTTTACGAGAATGATTGTATATATTACATACTTTCTAGCTTTTATTGATTGTTTTAATTTTTAGAAAAGTAATTGTATATTGTATGTTGTAAATTGTATATTTTGTTATATGCTAAAGAAACATTATCTATCCCTGTCATTTTAGCTTGAATTTTTAAAGATATAGAATTTTGTTTTGTTTTGTTTTTGAGACGGTGTTTTGCTCTGTTGCCCAGGCTGCAGTGCAGTAGCGCGATCTCCACTCACCGCAACCCCCGCCTCCCGGGCTCAAGCGATTCTCCTGCCTCAGCCTCTTGAGTAGCTGGAATTACAGGCGCATGCCACCATGCCTGGCTAATTTTTGTATTTTTAGTAGAATCGGGGTCTCCCCATGTTGGTTAGGCTGATCTCAAACTCCTTACCTCAGGTGATCTGCCCGCCTTGGCATCCCAAGTGCTGGGATTACAGGCGTGAGCCACTGCACTTGGCCTATTACAGAATTTTGTATTAAACTCTTTGAAATATAATGAATCAAGTTTAAGGGAGAAGTTTCCATTTTGCATTTAGATTTAAAAATGTAGAGGCCAGGCATGGTGCAATCCCAGCACTTTGAGAGGCCGAGGCGGGCGGATCAGGAGGTCAGGAGATCGAGACTATCCTGGCTAACATGGTGAAACCCCATCTCTACTAAAAATACAAAAAATTAGCTGGGCGTGGTGGCGGGCGCCTGTAGTCCCAGCTACTTGGGAGGCTGAGGCAGGAGAATGGTGTGAACCCGGGAGGCGGAGCTTGCAGTGAGCCGAGATCGTGCCACTGCACTCCAGCCTGGACAACAGAGCGAGACTCTGTCTCAAAATAAATAAATAAATAAATAAAATAAAATAAAAATGTAGAATGTTTGAGGTTATTTCACAATAGATAATATGCGTTAATATTAAAAAATCAAATATATGACAAAGCTCTTGGCTCTATTTTATATTCAACCTTGAAATAGTCCCATGCTACCTGTCTATTCAGTAAAAATAACAGTAGCAGTCATCGGGGGTAAGCATCTTTGTGTCAGTTATGTTTTAAATGCTGCATTTAAAATTCTGTTGGTCGTATCTATGGACATGCAACAAATAGGTGATGAGTAAAAAAAATTAGGAGAGAAACCCTTAGATGATATAGTTTGGCAAAAAAAAACTTTCATCAGGTGATTATATATGACAAAAATTTTCTTGATTTATGAAATTGTAAAAATTGCAACTGATTGCTTCTTTTCCATATCAAATTTTCTCTCCCAAAATGTGTCATTTGAATCAACCCAATATATCCAAATATAATCTTATAATCCAGTGAAGAATATAGAGGACAATATACAAAATAGATAATTATTAACTATTCATATTATATTACAGTTATGTATGGCATATTGCAAAGAGTATAGACTATGAAGCAAGAGACACCTGGATTCCAATTCCACTTACCAACTTCCTGACTTCAGGTGCGTTTACTTCCTCTCTTGGTACAAAGTTTCCATGGAAAATAAGAGAAACATGTCTATTGTAAGAACAGTGAAGATTCGAGGCTAGCACATAGGACTGTACATAGGTGTTCAATAAATAGTGGCAGTTTGGATTGGTGATTGTGTTGCTGAAAAAGCTAATCATCATCTGAAAATTAAATTTAAGAAATCCATTCTCCCAGCAAATAAAAATAATAAAAGGAAAATTTTGATTGTCCTGGTGGGTACATAAATGTTTTGCTTTATGAAGACAAAAAGCATACTATGAAATAAGTGGAATACATATTTTTCAAAATAAACTAGGCACAAAGTTTATTTAAAAAGAAGTACACAAGAAAACGGAAGAACATAGGAAGTAAAAGAGATAACCACATTTGGCTTTTACCTATGGGAACATTCTATGTGCACAGAAGAAAGCATAAAAATCAGCATTCTAGGAATATGTAACTATGTCTTTGGGAATACATCAAGAAAATGACTAAATTCTTGATGTATGTAATAAGTCTGCACTTAACTATAGCAATGTACCTTTGCTTTACTAGGATTTTTTTTTTTTTTTTTTTGAGATGGAATTTTGCTCTTGGTGCCCAGGCTGGGGTGCAATAGCACCATCTCGGCTCACAGCAACCTCCACCTCCCGGGTTCAAGCCATTATCCTGCCTCAGCCTCCAGAGTAGCTGGGATTACAGGCATGCGCCACCACGCCCGGCTAATTTTGTATTTTTAGTAGAGACGGGGTTTCTCCATGTTGGTCAGGCTGGTCTCGAACTCCGGACCTCAGGTGATCCACCCGCCTCCGCTTCCAAAAGTGCTGAGATTACAGGCATGAGCCACCACTCCTGGCCTACTAGGATTTTAATAAGATTATTCATTAAAGTGATGAAAGGACTACAGTAGTCCCCCTTTATCACTGCAGGATATGTTTCAAGACCCCCAGAAGATACCTGAAACCACAGATAGTGCCAAACCCTACATATACCATGTTTCTTCCTATGCATACATGCCTATGATAAAGTTTAATTTATAGATTAGGAACAATAAGAGATTAACAATAATAATAATGGTTTAGTTACAACAATATACTAAGTTATGTGTATGTGGTTTATATTTCTTAAAATATGTTATTGCACTATACTCACCCTTCTTCTTGTGATGATGTGAGATGATAAAATACCTAAGTGATGAGATGAAGTGAGGTGAAGGACGTAGGCATTGTGATGTAGTGTTAGGCTACTGCTGACCCACAGCCTTAGGCTACGATTGACCTTCTGACAGTACTTCACAGGAAGCATCATTTGCTTCAGGTGATCCTGAATCATTGAGCAAACATGATGTTGATGGTTGGATGACAAGAGCAGACAATGTCAGTGACTAATTGGCAGACAGCACATACAATGTAGATTTGCTGGACAAAGGGATGATTCACGTTCAGGGTGGGATGGAGCACGACAACGTGAGATTTCATCACGCTACCCAAAATGCCATGCAAGTCAAAACTCAGAAATCTAGAATTTTCTATTAAACATTTTCAGATGGTGGTTGACTGTGGGTAACTGAAACCGTAGGAAGTGAAACCGAGGAAAAAAGGAGACTACTGCATCTACCTATATGGAGAGCTGGCCTTTTGGGTCAAGTAGCAAAGATTTGATACGTCACTAATGGTATAATGATAAAGCAAGGAGTCACACCTTTTGTGTGTTTCTGGAATATTTTCAAACACTGGGATTTTGAATAGCATACATAAAAGAATTTACACTTAAAAACAAAGGACCAAAATCTATAAATGTATTCATTTACTTGCTTGTTCGCTGCTCAATATACATCACAATTTGAGCATAAATTTTTGTGGCTTTGGCAAGTAGTACTCTCTTATAGATTCATGAAACAAAATGTTTGCACCTTCTAACACTGACTTTTCCCATTCAGCTCTGTATTCCAGTGAACAAATATTGCCCTAATGGGATATATTCTAATTACAGCAAAAATAAATGCATCAAGTGGTAATAATTTGACAGTATATTTTTGAAGAATTCATGGCCCAATGATTAAGCACCACTATAGTAGAAAGTAAAATGTTTTTGCTTGTTTTTTAATAGATATGTTTTTTTCTATGTCTAGCTACTAGAAAAGTGAAGTTGAGGACTAAAGCAATTTATTTATCATTTAGATCAATCTTTCTGGATACAGGAGATGTGTTTTTTATGTATGTTTCAGTTTGAATGACAAACAATGTAAGAAATGGAAATCAACTATGTTAAAACATAAAAGATATCCATTTTCTACACACCAATAAGAAGAAATTTTTATTCACTTCAACTGTAATAAAGTCTGGTAATATTGTTTTCAGGCTTCTGTTAAGTTATAAGTTATTTATCTTGAAAGTAACTGAAAATTGGGCTTGGTGGCTCATGCCTGTAATCCCAGCACTTTGGAAGATCAAGGCAGGCATATCACTTGAGGTCAGAAGTTTGAGACCAGCCTGGCCAACATAGTGAAATCCCGTTTCTACTGAAAACACAAAAATTAGCTGGGCATGGTGGCACACGCCTGTAATCCCAGCTACTCGGGAGGCTGAGGCAGGAGAATCACTTGAACCCAGGAGGTGGAGGTTGCAGTGAGCCGAGATTGCGCCACTGAACTCCAGCCTGGATGACAGAGTGAGCCTCCATCTCAAAAAAAAAAAAAAAAAAAAAAAAAAAAAGAAAGTAACTGAGAAAGTGAGAAGTTGTAAATGAATAAATTCAAGTCTATGCCAAGTAAATCGAAGGTAATTAGATTGCTTGGACTGACTTAGTTTAAAAGTAAAAAGAAAGAGCACTTTTCATACAGAACATTTTCATAAGTGGATGGTGGGTAGGCTGTGAGCAGGCAGAGTAACCAATTACTGCCAGGATATCACAGTGAGGAGTGGAAGTGCTAAAATTCAAGGTCAAGTCTATCTGCCTACATTACACTCAATGGCTTTCCAAATTAACCAAATGATGTGATTAGCAAGAAAGGAGGGAAGCTAACATTTATTGAGTATCTGTCATTTACCATGTGCTTTCATTAATCAGTTAGTTAATAAAATGAATGATGATGGTGAAAATTTAAGTACAGATCAAAGAATTACTAAATAGGAAACACTTACATCTTTAAAAATCTGAAATTACTTAAGAGAAATCACAAGGGAAATCACTTAATATCTGAGGCTCCTCCAGCTTACTTCACCCTTCATAAATAAGACTATTAACTTAAAATTCCCCGCTTTCTTGGAAACCTAGTGCCTACAATTCCATGAAGGCTAATGGAGTATATATTATAACTTGTTTCACAATAGCTGCTTGCTTGGTGTAATGTTGATAAAACATCTGGACATTGGGCTTAATTTCTTTTTTTCTTTTTCTGTTTTTTTTTTGAGACAGAGTCTCGCTCTGTCGCCAAAGCTGGAGTGCAGTGGTGCGATCTTGGCTCACTGCAACCTCCGCCTCCCCATTTCAAGCGATTCCCCGCCTCAGCCTCCCGAGTAGCTGGGATTACAGGTAGGCGCCACTATGCCCAGCTAATTTTTTTTTTGTACTTTAGTAGAGACGGGGTTTCACCATGTTGGCCAGGATAGTCTGGATCTCCTGACCTCGTGATCTGCCGGCCTCAGCCTCCCAAAGTGCTGGGATTACTGGCATGATCCAGCACGCCCGGCCACCAATTTCTCTTTTTCTATCCATTGTTCTTTTAGGTTTTTACTTCCAATTCTGCTACATGACTGTGGATCCATGAAGAATGAAGAATGATTATTTACATGCTTTATTTCACATACATTGTTTGTTCTAATTCTTTCCTTCTTATCCAACACTTAGGCTCATGTAAAAGCATAAAAATTGACCTTTTCTCCCATTTTTAATATTTTAATTCGAAGGTATTAAACTTACATGCATAATCTCTTTCTTTCTATGTAGATGGAGGATATATTTCAGAATTATGTTTTACAGATAATTCTCCAAGATGTTCAGAACAATGAATCTTTAGTTATAAATTGAAAATCTTTAGTTATAAATTCAATTTAGTTATAAATTGAAATCAAGTGGCTTTTTTTTCTTTTTTTGAGATGGAGTCGCTCTGTCTCAAAGGCTGGAGTGCAATGGCGCGATCTCGGCTCACTGCAAGCTCTGCCTCCCGGGTTCACGCCATTCTCCTGCCTCAGCCCCTGAGTAGCTGGGACTACAGGTGCCCGCCACCACGCCCGGCTAATTTTGTTTTTGTATTTTTAGTAGAGATGGGGTTTCACCGTGTTAGTCAGGATGGTCTCGATCTCCTGACCTCGTGATCCACCCGCCTCGGCCTCCCAAAGTGCTGGATTACAGGCTTGAGCCACCGCGCCTGGCCATAAAACCCTCGAGTGGCTTTTTAATCACAGTTAGGATAAACCCAATCTCCTTATCATTATCCTCCCAAAGGTCCAAATGAGCTGGCACCTGTCTGTCTGACTTCATCTTAGAGCCACTCCCCGTCACGAAATGCTTTCCAAATCAGTGGTCTTTCAGTGTTTTCAACACGTCAAACCCATTCCTGCTTTAAGTCATTGGTTGTAGCTGTGTCCTCTGCCAAGAATGTTCTTCACATGGCTCTAATTCTTGTAATTCAGATCTGAGAGAGGCCTTCCCTAACTACCCAGTGACTACCTACTCATTCTTTCTCATATCCTCCTGTTTCAAGCTTCAGCACAGTGGTTTTTTTCTTTGTTTGCTTTGTTTATTTCTTATGGTCTGCTATGCTATTTCATACTAGAATTTAAGCTTCGCCACCATAGCCCTGGTGTCTAAAACACTCCTGGCACACAGTGGGCAAATGAATTAATGAGTGTTAAAGGGATTAGTACACATACGATGTTCCTTTGGCACAACACTGATTACTTTTTACCTTTCATTACGAAAAACTTCTAAATTTAGGCAAAAGAAGAAAGAATAAGTAATGAATCCCTAGATATCAATAAAACAGTTGCAAAAATTATCAACAGTTGCAGTACTAATATATAATTAGTACTTGAAAGGATGAATTCACCTTATAGTTCTATTCCCCATTGCATTTGTATTCCTGTTATTCATAATAATAGCATGCACTTATTATGAACACTTCTTTAAGGATTATCCATTTAAGACAAAACTTTCGGTTCAGTTACTGTTAAAAATAAATTTGAATAAGATCTCTGTCTTTACATAGATCACAATCTAGTAAGAAGGATTAAGACAGGAACGAAAAGAACAACAATGCTAGGTGGAAGTAGGAAGTGCTCAAAGGGAGGCTAAGAAAAATATAATAGTAGATGAAAGAAGAGGTTTGCTGTTTGTTTTTGTTTTGGTTTGTTTTTCAATTTGGAAGTAGATTGAGGAGGTTTTCTAAGAAGCAGTGGGTTTTTTAGTTAGGTCTTGAAGAGTAGATGTAATGTTAGCCATTGAAGGTATAAAGAATTATACTCTAAGGAGGAAGAGAAAAATCCACAAAAATAATAAAAGCAGGAAAGCAAATATATTTCTTCCTTTTTCTTTTTTTTTTTTTTGGTGGGGGGGATGGAATTTTGCTCTTGTCACCCAAGCTGGACTGCAATGCTGCGATCTCGGCTCACTGCAGCCTCTGTCTCCCAGGTTCAAGCGATTCTCATGCCTCAGCCTCCGAGCAGCTGGGATTACAGGGATGTAGCACCACGCCCAGCTAATTTTTGTATTTTTAGTAGAGATGGGGTTTCACCATGCTGGCCAGGCTGGTCTCGAACTCCTGACCTCAGGTGATCCACCTGCCTTGGCCTCCCAAAGCGCTGAGATTACAGATGTGAGCCACTGCACCCAGCCTAAGCAAATATATTTCTAGAAAGCTGCAAGTTGGGGTCTAGCACAGGTTGAATGCTTTAAAAAGTGGAAGAAAATACTGGAAAGCTGAGTTGAAATTAAGAGTTGCTTCTTTATTCAGAAGTAAATGGGGGTGTACTGAAGGCTGTTATGGAGGGAAATAACACTGTTAAAAGTAATCTAAAGGTGAAGGTAATAGTAATAGCAGCATACAGTATAAATAGAAATAGAATAGGCTGCAAAAGAAGTTAGCAGAGAATAATGTCACGACAGACCATGTGGCTGCTCTAAAATATGACTTAAATATTCATAGACATTTCTCTCATCTAGCAGTGAGTCTTTTGCCTTCTTCCTTCTAATCAGGGCAGCTTGTGACCATTTCAGCCAGAAGAGTATGGCAGAAGGATCCTGTGAGCCTTCCAAGAAAAGGTCATCAAAGGCCATGCAGCTTCAGCCTTATTCTCTAGGGACACTTGCTCTGCGGAAAGCCAGCAATCCTGTATGAATTCTGGCGAGCCTTGGATCATGCTGGAGAGGTGTTGTGTAGATGATCTAGTTGTCAGCACCAGCTGAGTTTCCTGGGCACAGTCAGCTATGTGAGCGCACTGTTTGCAAGGTCCAACCCAGTTGTATCTTTAGATGACTACGGCACCAAATGACAGAGTGACTCCAAGCACAAACTGTTCATCTGAGCCCTTCCTAAATACTTGACCTACAAAATCATGCGTAGAACAAAATGTTTCTTGTTTCATACCACTAAATGTTAAGAAGTCTCTAATAAGTAACAACAGACCAGGAAGTAAAAGTGAGTCTTGAATTGGGAGATTGGGAATTACAATGGTGAGGTGGGGGCAGATGTTAAGAGAGGCAGCTTGGAATGACAGGATTTAGTGACAGATTTGATGTGGGAAACACGACAAAGGGAGGAATCAAAGATATTCCCGTTTTCTGTCTAGGTAAATAATGGAATTTTAGCTCTATTAACTGAAATAGTTAATAACTAGAATTTCCCTATTTAATTGTTCACTCATTCAGTCAATCCTTCACTTTACAAATGGTTGAGTATGCAATGTGTGTTAGCATGCTACAAACTAGCAATACAAAGAAAAAAGATGTTGAGTCTTAGCCACAAAGAGCTTTCGGTCTAGAAGGGGAAACATGGACTGTAAGCTGTGGATTACACTCCAGCAAAGGGTCAGCTCAGGTGAAATGAGGACAAAAAGATGAATTTAAAAATGGGAGGTTCAATATCAGTGAAGATTTGTTCATGAAACTTCTGAGATTTTTCTCCTGAGAATCTGACCCATGCTTTTTGCATCACATTCCTCTAATCTGGGGGCACATAATTCTGGTAAATTAAGTAAATATTCTAGTCTAATTTCTTAGCCCAGTACTGCAGGCTCTCCAAAAGTATCTCTCTAGATGTGGTTCCCATAGTTTCCATTGACCTCTGTCACCAGTAATATTGAGCTGTTTATTGTCTCTCTAATATGTTGTGTTCACTACAGTCTCCAAAGCATTGCTCCCTGCCTGGTGCATTCTCTCCTCTTCTCTCTTCTCAAAGTCCAAACAGTCAAAGCCCAATTCAAATTATATCTCCTTGATGAGGTCATCACATTGCAATGTTTCTCCTCTTCCTGAGTTCCCACAGTACTTTGTGACTAGAATATTCATTGAGAACTTTTGCAGTGCTATTCTATCTAGATATAGATATAATATAATAGATAGATATAGGTATACTCTATATCTCTAAGTATGTTTTATCTCCCTAGCCAAATGCTTTTACAAGATAAAGACCAAAACTTGTATTTAAAAATCTATGCCTAGCACTATGAATTATACCTAGGAGCCATCTGACTGGTATTTCAAAGTCCTGATAATACTACTGACATTAATTCTGCTTCCCAGTATTTCAAATACTGCTTGTTGATAGTTGAAGCAAATCCATTGTTTAAATCTTATACAATCTTATAAAACCCAGTTTAAAATCTGATTTCCTTCATAAGTATTGCATTTTAATGGTTATGATTGGTCATTCGAGAATGGATTCTTTTTCCATTCTCTAATTTTTTGCATGTTTTCAGAAATTAAAAAAATATCTTATTGTTACCTGGATTACAAACAACCTGATTCTACAAATCTTGGATGTTAGAAAATAGAGACTCTGATATCTGGACCTAGTTTTCCCAAATCTTAACTCTTTTTATAGAGAACACAGAACTTCAAATAAAATTTTCTAATAAACAAATATTAATTTAGTTATAGTTTTTATTTAAGCCAAACCAAGGAGAGAATATAAACGGGATTAATCTCTTAAATTATTAGTTAGGGTTAAAAAATTTAACCATATATATACTACTTAAACATGTTATAATTTTCTAGGTCTAGAGCCAACACAGAAATTACCTAGTTCCATCAATAAGTTAAGGAAAATAAGGTAGATTGTTAGAGAAACATGTTATTTTCCCAAAGGTTGAGGAAACCCTGACAATCTGTACTGAGGGCTAAAGGTCTAGCAGCGGATGTGTTATTGAAGCCTCTCCTGGGAAACAAAACTAATTGACCCCGATAAAGTTCATGTTGACCAAAATGTTGGTTTATTTTGTGTGTGTCATCTTAAAAATAAAAAAACAAGACATGTTGCTTCTCACATTCCTATTATTTATTTGCCACATAGAGACAAAGAGCCACAAAATGACCTAGAGTGTAACTTTATTTGACTTTATTTTTTTAAGTTTTTCACCGTCCCAAGTTGGCTATGAAATTATGGTGAAATAAAATGTCAGGGTGTGGTCCCTTTGCCATTACACATTTTTTCATTACTTTCTACAGGAATAAGCCAGCAGGAGAGATAGGATACCACCCTAGGGTGACAGTAAGGAAGGTAACACACACTTCTCCACTTCACCTATCAACCCCACTGTGGCCAGACAGTGAGTTCCTAAAGGGTGGCTGGAGGCTTAAGGATCTCTGGACTTTTCTCCTGTGCTAAGTGTTTACAATCTGACCATGCTCCTACTTCTGTTTCACACAGGGAGTGAACGTTCTCTTGGAATAGTTAATATAATCCAGACATCACCATGATGATGTCTCACCCAGAGGAGAGGCAGTCCTCCCATTCATTCTGGCTGGGTGATTTCGCAACTGCAAGCACATGGGGGAGGTGGGTTACAAAGGTCTTCTTTCCGCCAAATATATTTGAATCAATTCCTTTACTATCTGTCTGGTGATTTGACTCTCTTATGAATAAACTAAAGTTCAAAATGTTATCCTTTTCCCCAGAGCAGTAATAAGAAAGTTTCATACCATGTAGAATGAGCAGATCATAAATAGTATTTTTAAAATAAAAATCCTAAACACATTGATGCATTTTGAAAGTTTCAAAATAGGTTTGAGTCTGCCAAAAGCAAGAAGTTTTATTTTTGTTTGATGCACCTCTTGGATCTGTCCAATGGGATGAAGATGTTCTAAGCCAATGTTTGTCAATGATTTTGATAATCACCAACAGAGCGGGAAAGTGAGGGTGTTTAGGGACAATTTGGTTGTTAATAACATTGGGAGCCAGATTGGAATGAATCTTCATCCTTCTCTCAACACATCCAGTAGTAGAAGGAATGTTTTCACTAAACACAGGGCCAAGAAATTGCAGAAATGGAGGAGTGAGGGGACAGAGAAGAAGGAAGCAAGGATGAGATGGAAAGATTGAAGATCTTGTCTTTGGCCAATTTATTATCAGTATGAGTCATTTCACATAATATAGGTTATAGCAAAAATTCCTTCATTGATATGGAAGTAAATGTCTACAATGGTAGATGACAACCCACAGTAATCTGAAATAATGAAGACCTCAGGTCTCTAGGGTAGAACACAGGGGCAGGGCAGGTTTATTGAAAGCAGAATATAGCCCTGCCAATTTGATTATTGGATTTTAGCAAATATTATCCCACAGATTATAGTCATGACTTATTCTCACTGAAATGCTATTGATATTTGAAAAATGTGATGCCTTAGACTCTTATCTACCATTGACAATTTAACCTCAGCTACACTATTGAATTATTCATATGTAGCACATAGAGAGGGTGGAGTTCAGAACTGGGGACTTAGTGGGTGTTCAGAGTTGGGAGTGAAAAAGTGTAACTGTCCCTTAGAGCTATGGGAGAGATAGATACACATGTGCAATGGACCATGGAAGGAGAGAGAAAGAAAAAAAAAATTGAGTGGAGGAAAAAGGAAGGAACAGCACCCACTAATTAACACAAGAAATAAGGGCTGGTTCTAGAATGTACATTCGATTGAATAGACACACAAACGTCATCTCTTAATTCATGTACAATTTTCCACCATGCCTAGGCTTCTGGGGCCCAGAATTAAGAACTGAGGAACAAGGAACACTGAGTTCATCAAGAACAAGAGCATTTCTGTTAGAAGATGGGAAATTTCTTTGTCAATTAGACTCATTTGAGCTCCCTTTCTGGATCTTACCTCCACCAGTGGCTTGTACTTGCAGGGATTGCCCAGGGTTTTGGCAACTGCTTTCTACCACTTTTCTGCTTGCAGAAGCACACTGGGCTTATTTGCTGTGGACCTGTTTTTCTCATAGTCAGAAACAAGGCCTGGGGGATTTCCTTCTGAGGTGTGATTACTATAGATCCCATCCTATAGTTGTTTGATTAAGGGAATGAAATGCATACAAACTGAAAATTCAGATTGTCCTGGATAATGCCTGCCCAGATCCAGGGCCTCATTTATGTTTCATATGGGCTTTTTAAAGCTAGAAACAGTCCTGTTGATTGAAGTGCTGTCCCAAAAATGTGCTATTCCACGGCTTCCCAAGCAGACTGAGTTCCCCTGGGGATGCAGGGTAGAAACAAAGGATTTAGCTTGGGAACACACTAGGTAGAAGTAAGTCTTTTTATCAAAGAGCTGACCCAGGTCTGTTTAGCTAGACATTCTGACAAAGAGATGAAAGGCATGTCAGATCTTAGTATCATCAATCCTATTGTACAGAGAATACATTGGCAGTAAAACGACAACATTGTACAATCCATACAGCTGGGAAGTGACAACGCCAGGATAAGAACCAGCTTTTTCACTTCTGGTTCATAATGACACAATGACACATAGCTATGCCTGTGTGTTGCAGGTAATATAACTTGGATATTTGACTTGCCTATGTTAGAAGGACAAGTATGTGTTCTCTGGTTTAATGATTTGTTCATGTTACCTAATTTCTGATTCTTGCTGCCTCTTAGATGTCTCTTAACAAAATAATTGAGGCAGTGCCAAGAAGTGGGCTGTACAGAGAAGCTACCTTATACTCACATTTTCCTCAGCACTTACTCACTTTCTTGTGACACAAAGCCAGGCATGTGATGTCACTGAATGCAATAACAGGGAAAAAGATGGAACCAATACAGTGAAGTTGGAAACTAACAGACTACAGGAATTTCTGGACAGACTGTATAATCAGAACATGGTTTATTGTATGTCTCCTCCTGGCTGTAGTTTTTTTTTCCCCCCTTGAATAAGTGTACAAAAGCTAAGACTAAAAAGAGGGAATCTCTCAAAGCTTTTCTTTACAGTTCAAATTTTATCTATTATATTAAATCTTTTTTTTTTTCTCTTGAGATGGAGTTTTGCTCTGTCGCCCAGGCTGGAGTGCAGTGGCGCAATCTTGGCTCATTGCAACCTCCGCCTCCCAGGTTCAAGCCATTCTCCTGCCTCAGGCTCCCAAGTAGCTGGGACTACAGGCATGTGCCACCAAGCCCGGCTAATTTTTTGTGTTTTTAGTAGAGACGGGGTTTCACCGTGTTAGCCTGGATGGTCTCGATCTCCTGACCTCATGATCCACCCGCCTCAGCCTCCCAAAGTGCTGCAATTACGGGAGTGAGCCACCACGCCTGGCCCTATATTAAATCATTTTTTACAGATCAATTGCAGTAATAGGATTAACTTCTTACTTTTGACTTAATGTTAAGAAGCTAAGGGATTAAAGCTAAAAGAAAAGCAGCCCTTTCCTATGACGAGGTCCTAGGATAGAAACCAAAGGAACTGATACATAGATAATGCAATATGATTAGTGCTCCTGTAGAAGTTACATACAGCATGGAGCACCTAGTTTAGAATGGGGGACAAAAGACAAAGGCTGGGATGTCGTTCTTAAAGAGAAGCTATCTAAGCAACTGGAAATTAGATTTTTAGGCAAGCTGAAGAAAGGAAAGTGTGTCTCTAAGCCAATGCAATAATATACAAGTTATATTGCCTTTGCACAGAAATGTGTAGCAAGTGTAGTAAGTAACCTCTATGACCAGAGTATAGGATTTAAGTGGAAAAGCAACAAGAGTTAAGCAGAATCTGGGTTTCCTCAAGGGCCAACTATGCATTCTCACCTTCCCAAGAGACTGTACTTAGTGATTGTAATTTAGATAATACTCAAAGGTACTGATATTTGGGGCAATAATCATTAAAAGAAGCAAACTATACAAAGAACATTAATCAACTCATTTGTTCTCAGAACAGCCTGTTATTATTGCTACTTTTTACAGGTGAGGAAACTGAGGCACAGCAGGGTAAAGAAAGTCATTCAGAGTAAATGATGAAGTCTTGACTCAAAACAGGTGTTGTAGTGCCAAAGAAGAACACATTATGTAAAAAATCTGCAACCAACTGCTATGAAAAAAAGAAAAGGACCCCACCCATAACATGAACTGCTCATGATTCTCAAACCAATAATTCATTTCTGGATTTTTTTACACATTCAAGGGAAAAAGTTTGAGTGTGACTTAGAGTTCTTTGTCCATCCTAATGAAATCACATTATTCTGTCTGAAGTAGGATGAAATGACATTATTGCCTTCTTTCCCCAACCAGCATCTATAAAGTGGCATAGATTTGCACATGGCTTGATTTTCAGGCAGAGATGAAAGAGAAAACATCAGTTATCTCGCATGGAAAAAGCAGTTATCTAAGAAAAGAAAGAATAAAAAAGATTTCCCAAGTCGCCGTTTGATTGGCCAATGTCCAGCTCAGAATGAAGTGCCCATTTTTCTGAAGAACAGGGATTGCTCACACCCAATTACTTACACCTTGTAAGTAAGCCTTCTTTTTCATAAGACATGAAATCAATCACTGAATGAAATCTTTGTAAGTTAGGGGTATAAACAGTCCAAGCTTGTAGCTGTTTGTGATTATAGCTAGCAAAATGAAAGATTGTTCAGTAGATATTAATAGTTAAAACGACAGAAGTGGGGGGGAAAAGAAGCAAGTTAATCTTGTTTAGGGCTTCCAGAATGAGGAAACCGACTTACGAGGAAGTCCTTGGATCTCAATGGGGATGCCCAGTCCTCTGTTATATTTGACCTTCAAAGCACTACCTTCATCTGGAACAGGTGTTGATGAACGGAGGCGAAAAACCTGACACTGCCTGGTATTTCTCTGCTTGAGAGGAAATGAAATTTCCCTTGATTTAGTTTCCTCTCTGATTCAGTTACCTTTTCCCCACTTACTGGACAGTACTGCTGAAACTATCTGATAGAGAATAAACGGTATCTCCTTTCTAAGAACAAAATCTGCTGAATATTAAAAGAATAACATTTGTGGCAGCCCTCCCAAGTAGAATTTTAAAAGGGTAGGATCCTAGGAAATTTACACTTAAAAGATTCTCTTGGCTCTTCCATGAAGCCTAATGCTTCATGGACCCCAAAGAAGATCACAGGGAGTTTCCTCTACATTTCGATAAGTGTGTTTCTAGAATAGGGATCAGTAAATAACAGCCCTGGGCTACATAAAGCCCTCTCCATGCTTCTGTATAGGCATAATATAACATCCATTCACTTTAAGAGAAAACATCAGTTATCTCATATGGAAAAAGCAGTTGTCTAAGAAGGAAAAAAATAAAAAAGATTTCCCAAATCACCATTTGGCTGGCCAATATCCAACTCAGAAGGAAGTGCTCATTTTCCTGAACAACAGGGATTGCTCACACCCAATTACTTCCATCTCATAAATAATCCTTTTTGTTCATAAGACACAAAACCAATCACTGTATATTATATATACATATACATATATGTATATAATCTATTCTTAGAGTTAGATTCTTAGATTTTGCTTAATTTCCCAGAACCTAGTATTGAAAAAGAATTAAAAAAAAATATTTCAATTCAAATTTCCACATGAATAAATAGTTTTACTGAAATCCTGCCATGCTCACTTGCTTATGTGTTATCTGAGGTTGCTTTTGTGTTACAGTGGCAGAGCTGACCAGTTGCTACATAGACCACATGGCCTGCAACACTCAAATATTTACTATCTTGCCCTTTATTGAAAACGTCTGTCAATCCCTGGTCTACAGCGTTAAGAAACTGAACTCAGTGAATGACCATCTTATTTTTCTAAAACTGCAGCCTATTAAAAGTTGAATATCTCTCAGAGGTATTTGCAAAAAATACAGTTCAGTCTGTATGGACCTTTTGGGAAGTAAAAGAGAACCATTTATTTCTGCTGAGTATGACTGAAACAAAATGAAAAGTCGCCTGAATAAATTCACCAGGTTTGGCACACTGTATTAAGTCAAATTAAATTCACCAGTGAGCTGCCAAATCACCACTAATTATTGTGCTGAACATAGGAAATCACAGTTTTTTTAGGTCAAAAATAATTAAGTATTGTCAATTTTATATGGTTCCTGTGATTTCATAAGATGCTCTACAAAGAAAGGAATTTGTTTTAAATATGCATTTTCATCAGCCTTCCTCTGTCAGGCATTGCACCTGATTTTCCTTAATTTCCCAGCACCTAGCATAATGAATGTATAGCATATGTTTGCTGACAACCTAGTAATCAAACAATAAGTTAAAGTTCCTTCTAAAAATTCTACATTTGGAATAACGTAGCAAAGAAAGGATACTAGGACTTGAAACTTTTAAGGGAGAAGTTCAATGCTAAGGTATTCCTTAGAACTTGGTGCCTTGCCCAGGACAGTTCAGAAGGTAAATTTGCTATAAGAATTGAAATCCTAGCACTTTGGGAGGCCAAGGCAGGAGGATCACTTGAACTCAAGAGTTCAAGATCAGCCTAGGCAACATAGCAAGACCCCCATCTCTACAAAAAAAATAAAAGAAAATTTTTTAATTGGCTGGGCATTGTGGTATGTGCCTGTAGTTCTGGCTACTTCAGAGGCTGAGGTGGGAGGATGACTTGAGCTTGGGAAGTCAAGGTGCAGTGAGCCATGATAGTGCCACTGCATTCCAGCCTTGGTGACAGAGCAAGACTCTGTCTCAAAAAAATAAGGAAAGAAAAAGAAAACAAAATTTCAATTCTCACCCCAGCATCTTACAATTTCTAGCACATGCAACTTCTAGCACTAGAACTGCTATGTAATTATTTCTCTTTTCAGTGAAAGAACAAAAAATTATATTAAGAATCCAATATCAAATCAATAACTTCTTGAAGTTAAACTATTTTTAAGAATTCCATAAAATACTTACTATCACAAAACTTGATCAAAACAGCAACATCTTTAGTTACAATGGATAAATAAATATTTTCCAACTGTTTTGCAATTGTTTCTTTCTTTTCATGACCCTTCTCTTTGTCTATAAACCTCTTGAAGGCAAAAGATATGCTTAACTTGCTAATCACTAACCTTTCAAGGTTTAATATTGCTTCTTGGGCATAAACATATATACACTGAATGAAGACAGAGAAAGAATCTCCCATAATTCAGATGACAGAAGCAGCCTTAAATTTTAACCACAGATCCAGATCTTTCCAAGCAAATTAGAATTATTCTTCATGTATGGCCATAAATAGGAGAAATATTTTAACAAAAAATGCAATATGGGATTGGGGAAGAGAGTGGATTCAATGGTATAAAAAGCCTGAAAAATATAAAACAGTCAATATTTCACAGAAATTTAAACTCCTTCCTTTAGGTAATCTCATTTATTATGTTTTATTTCTTAAGGTAACTATATTTGTTTCCTCTGGCTGTTGTAACAAATTACCACAAACTGAATTTCATTCTTTCATAGTTGGGGAGGGCAGAAGCATGAAATCAGCGTATAGGCGGGGCTGCACTCCTTCCAGAGACTGTAAGGAAGAATCCATTTCTGCCCCTTTCAGCTTCTGGTGACTGTCAGCATTCCTTGGCTTATGGCTGCATCTCTCTCTGCTCCATCTTTACATCATCTACTCCTCTGTATATCTTTGTCTAATCCCCTCTTTCTTATAAAAACATTTATGATCACATTTAGGATTTACCAAGACAATCCAGGATAAGCCCCTCCTGTCAGGATCTGTAACATCATCATATCTTTTGCTACATAATGTAACATTCACTTGTTTGCTATATAAGTTAATATTCACAGATTTTGCAGATTAGGAAGTGAATATATCTTTGTGGGACCATTTCTTCAACCTACCACAGTAATGATATTAAGCTGAAATATACCTTAAAATTACTTTTAAATTTTCTGGAAAAAAATCAAAGCTAGGGCAAAACACCCTTCACCTTGGTGCTAATTAAGATTATTTTAATATGAGATACATGATGGTCTTCTCCAAAATAGTTACTTTCTTGAGCTGCTAACTGCATTACAGAAAATAGATATGTAAATCCATGTGAACAAATAACAGCTTCTAAAGAGACACATTACCGAAGCCATATTTCCAAAAATTTAGAAAAATAACTAAATGAATTACTGAAGAAATTTATTAGTATTTTTTTCAATGGGTTCATTTCTTTTACCCACAAGAAAAGTCCAATAAAGTCCTTTCATTTGATTAAAAACAGACTCTAATAAAAGTGGGTTAGGATCACAGTGATAACCTATATTCGAGAACATGAACAAAAAGTGCCCTTGAAGGGAAAGGCTCACATGTGTTCACATCTGATACTGGGAAATAACTATATGATGTTGGGGAGTGATTACTACCAGCTGCAAGCAGGCACACCACACAATAATACCTCATCCGTACAACCGCTTGGAAAATTTCTTTCTTGTTCTCTCTCTTTCTCTCAAGGGTTTCATAAAATATGGCCAAATCTTCCTCCTCTTACTGAATATTGACCTTTTAAAATCCAGATATAATAAAAAGAAAGAGATTTTAAATTTTGAATGAACACAAAGAGAAAACACAGTTTACTTTGTCTTCATGAAAATAAGATTGACAAGATCTTCCTATTTCTCTTTTTTTTTTTTTTTTTTTTAGACGGAGTTTTGCTCTTGTTGCCCAGGCTGGAGTCCCATGGTGTAATCTCGGCTCACCACAACCTCCACCTTCTAGGTTCAGGCAATTCTCCTGCCTCAGCCTCACCAGTAGCTGGAATTACAGGCATGTGCCACCACACCCAGCTAATTTTGTATTTTTAGTAGAGACGGGGTTTCTCCATGTTGGTCAGGCTGGTCTCAAACTCCCGACCTCAGGTGATCCGCCCGCCTCGGCCTCCCAAAGTGCTGGGATTACAGGCATGAGCCACTGCGCCTGGCCGTAAGATCATGTTTCATTATGAAACATTTTCTATTGCTTTCCAATGGCACTGTTAGGCTTTTAATTTTTATGGCCTGGAAACCACCACTGAAATATAAGATAAACAGTTTGAGTTAAAGGTGTTGAGTTCTCAATAAAGCATCATTGAATACTAACTATAGTATCTTACCATTGGAAATAATCTGAAACATCAGAGTGACCATCCTCCTGAATTTCAGATATAGCAATGTCTGAATCACTTCTTCATAATAATTTATTTCCAGAATACCTGGTATATCCCTAGACCTGTGTTACCTTAGCTAGACTAGGGTTCCACAAAGGAATTTCTGGGTAAGAGGAGTAATAGGGAGAGAGTAGAGAAAGTTTGAGAAGCTCTTGGTCAACAGGAACACATCTTTTTATCTTTCAAATTATTAATGTCCCAGTAAGGTTTTTGTCTGAAGAAAATATTACCAGTTGAAACAAGAAAAAGAAAAGAACCAGCTTGGGCAACATGGCAAGACCTCATCCCTACAAAAAATTTAAAAATTAGCCAGGTGTGGTGGCGTGCCTGTGGTCTCCGCTCCTTGGAAAGCTGAGGTGAGAGGATCGCTTGAACTTGGGAGGTCAAAGCTGCAGGGAGCCATGATGGCGTCACTGCACTCCAGCCTGGGTGACAAAGTGAGACCCTGTCTCAAATAAAAAGGAAAGCAGTAAAGAAAGAAGGAGAGAGAAAAAGGAAGGAAGGAAGGAAGGAAGGAAGGAAGGAAGGAAGGAAGGAAAGAGAGAAAGAAAATAGAGAAAAGAAAAGAATATCACTACTCTAATTTTTTTAACAGGCAAGTTAAGAGAAGGAAAGATATGAGATACTATCAGTGTTGATATCAGTATGTTTTTTTTGTTGTTGTTTTTATCTAATGCAACTAAATGAAAATCATTGAAGGAAACAGAATTTTGTCAAAAACACTTATGTTATAAAATGACAACAGCAGAGGGAAGTAACTATGATTTTTTTTTTTTTTTAACCTCTAGCAAAATAGCTAAACAATGAATAGTCAATTAGTCAATGAGACAGAAGGTGATCTCTCTGCTTGGACATCACCATTCTCCACCATCACCATGTAGTGGATGTTCTTTCCCCTACACTTCCCTGCCCTGTTCTCCTATTTTCTTAGCAATGAAAAGGTTGATGAAACCTGCTTTATTCTTATTTGACATGGACTTCATACCACGCCTGAGGTTAATATACTGCAAAGCATTACCAATCAACAGGTTGAAGCACAAACGATTAAAAACAGAAAGATGACCCAACACTGCGAGAGGACAAACATCTGCAGGAACTGTGAACAGCAGTGCTGCAAGCCCCAGTTCTTGCTGAGGCTTAGAGCTTGACTGACATTCTCAGAGAAGAATTTGGTGCCCCCTAGAAACTGGACCTCCAGGCAAAGCCAAGAAACCAGTTCCCAAAAGTGCAGGGGGAAGTAGGACACTTCTTGACTCCAAGTTACCACGTGGACTAGAATGGAGAGCCCATTAGCAATGCCCAGCATGGACCAGGAATGGAAGGGCCTGTTGGAATATTCTGCTTTGTATCAGATCATATTAGGTTTTGCACAGCGCATAAGAAAGAAATGGCAGTAATCCCAATAGTGACAGAGACTGAACTTCTGCGCAGATCAGCAGAATGAGGACTCAGAATAAAAAATTTGACAAATCTTTAAACAATATAGTATGTCTTTTCTCACATTCTGAGACTGCTGGGAAAAATTCATACCTAGGTTAAAATGATGAGGTCATTTATCACTTTGATTATGTTGCCCCTTAGCCTTCATTTTCTCATTTTGGGGAGAAAAAAAAGGCACCACTTTCTTGGTTTCTTCCTATGGTGGAAAATACAGCTCATATTAAATGTTTTCATTTTCCATTGTTAAGATACTGTTTTGTCCAGTGGCTCCCAAATACGACTGACATTCACTATTACCTGGGGCAAAATGTTTAAAGCATATAATGCTGTGTGCCATCCTTAGATATTCTACTTCATTAGCTTTTATTCAAACCCAAAAATTGTGGTAAAGACAAATGTACTGAAATCTTTCATGCAAAATGGCTAAAGACAGGGGTTGTCAAAATTCTGATTCCATTGTTCATTGGTTAACTTGATATGATCTACATGCTTGGAGGCCTTTCAAAAGAAATCAGAAGAGAGGCGATGGACAGATCGATCACTGATTCAGCCTTTAAGTATGGCTAAAATCCTTTTGTTGCTTGTTTGTTTGTTTGTTTTTGTTTAAAGGAACGGTTCAGGAGCAAGATTATTCCATGAAAGGAGAACTATTTTCATAAAATGGAAATTGGCAATTTACCCATTGAAGTCTGGAAGAAACTCAGATGTCTACATTTCCACTGGGATGAATTCTGACAGCCAAGAGGAGGGAGTGCTGACAGTAAAAAAAACAACCTCCTGTTGCTGAGCAGGAGAGGAAGACGCCAGGTGGGACACAGACCCCCACAAAGGAAATTTGAGCAGTCTCCCAGCTTCCTTCGGGATAGAGAAAAATAGGAAACCTGGAGATGAGAAGGTAGGAAAAGGGAAATCTGAGCAGGTTTCTTAGCTGTCCTCCTTGTGGGGAAAGCAGGATTGAACTGGACAGACTGTAAAGCAGGAAGATTGACAATAAATGCTTATGTGTTTAAGGCACATTTAAACGATTAGAATGCTACAGAAACGTAATGATTCCTCTGAAATTACAGGTGTGTCTAAATGGAAATGAAACCAGGAGTTACCTCAAGTCACCATCATTCTAGAAAATTAAAATATTCAGTAAAATACTATTATGAAGGATAGTATGGCAGAAAAATAAAGTTTTAAACATTAAGCATAAGAACAAAGGAATATGCTGCCAAAAATGAAAACTCTTAAAGTTTTTTGAAGTGAAAGGCTTTATTGGCCCTCTTGTCATATCTGAGACTGAACTAGGAACAAAGAGTAATATTTACTTACACTGTTTTCTCTACTTTCTGTTTCTCTCTTTTCTGCGGTAAAAGGGGAAAATGAAATATCCTAAATTAAATATTTAGGAAGAGAAAAAAACTTAGAATAACATGGATTATGTTATTAATCCAGAATAACGTGGATTAATAATTATAATTTGAACAGTTGAAAGTATCTCAACTTAAAAATTAAAAAGCATGTAGCACATTCAGCAAGCAAGCCTCATATGTCCTGCCCTTTTCTAACTGCTTTACATGTACTCTTTATTTCAATCATGTCAGGTATTATTATACTCATTTTGCAAAATAAGAAACTGAAATTGAGCAATATTAAATAACTTTTTCAAATATATAGCACTAACAAGTGGTAAGTCTAAGACATGACATAAGGCTCTATGGCTCTAGTGGCATTCTTCAGCAATATATTCCTATTAAGCAGCATCACCTATCAAAAGCTGATTACATGTCAAAATATAGCAAAGATTCTGAAAAAAGGATTAAAAATGAATGTTTCTAAGATGTTAAATATACATATTACAAAACTCTTTCTAAGCCTCTCAGAGTATATTTATTCCCGTTAGGATGAAACCCTCACAAACTAGGTTATCTCACATCTAAACCCAGAGCAGATTAGTGACAGCAAATTAGCAGGATGTTTGGAGGGTTGTGTGAGAAAAGCAAAGACACTGATCAAATCAGAAAGAGTAACTGGTAGCCTAACCACAGGTAGATTATCACCTCACTTTCTTTTGGTTGCAAGTGTCAGAAGAGCTAATGAAACTCATTTAAACACAGAGAATCTATTGTTTCTTAACCCATGTATCTGTGAATCCCAATCATAGGGGGACTCCAGGGGCTCAAGCATGAAACCAGGATTCAATTTCTCTCCATCTTCATTTTCTGCTTCTAGGTGGTAACCTCAAGAATGGCTTGAATTGCATTTTTCAATTTTGATAAAAGCAGCAAGAAAAAGTCTCCCTCCTCACTGCCTTTACCACCCCCTCCCCTAAACCCCACACAAAAAATAAGCCTCAGTGGTTGTTCTTAACTCTAGTTGGCCCTGGGCAGAGATATGAAATAAAGACAATGGCCAAAAGAAAAAAAGGTTTGGGGTCAGGTAGGATGTGTACTTAATTGAAATATATAGACTGAGGTTTCAGGATGGTTGGTTCCTTTATTGGGGGTATTGATAAAAGAAAGAAAGAAAGAAAGAATTTCCATAAGAAGAAGAAATGAGAACTACAGATGAACCAAAAAGTTAATTTTTAAAACTACAAACATAAGAACAAAAAAGTTCAGCTAAATTTCTGTTATTAGAGAATGAAGGAGCTTTAAATAACTTCAAGCATGAATAGATAGACCTTAAACGCATTGTTTACCCTGAGTTTTCAAAAAGTTTAATGCTCTCAAGGTAAACATGGTATAAGCAGGAAGGTGGAAATAATGTAAAATTTAAATGGTTAGCATCTATATATTGTTGACTATGTACTAGGCACTGGACCCTCACAACAACCCTGTGAAGAAATACTTTGATAATTCCCATTTTACAGTGAAGATAATGTGAGAAACAGAGCCATTTTCCCAATGAGAGTGATTAACTTGTATAATTTAACAATAGGAGAGAATGGTGATTCAGACTCACAGGATTAATCCAGAAACTTTCCTTTGAAATACCATAAAACACTACCCTATACTGCATAAAATAGTTTATATATATTGTCACTGAATATTACTTTTGAAAAAAAAGTACTAAAACGGATAAATTGTAGTGTATTAATCCATTCCCACACTACTATAAAGAACTACCTGAGACTGGGTAATTTATGAAGAAAAGAGGTTTAATTGACTCACAGTCCACAGGCTTAACAGGAAGCATGACTGGGAGGCCTCAGGAAACTTACAATTAAGGCAGAAAGCAAAGGGGAAGCAAGGCACCCTCTTCACATGCCGGCAGGAGAGAGAGAGAGAGAGAGAGAGAGAGAGTCAACAAGGAAGTGCTACACACTTTTAAACAACCAGATGTCATGAGAACTCATTCACTATCATGAGAATAGCAAGTGGGAAGTTTGCCCCCATGATTCAATGACCTCCTACCAGGCCCCTCCTCCAACACATGGGGATTTCAATTTGACATGAGATTTTGGTGGGGAGACAGAGCCAAACCACATCATGTAGTCATATAAATTCTAAACCAACTTTCGTAAATGATTCCATACTTTGACAGCATATTTAATATAAGAGCTTACCATGAACTCTTTCACATATATTGTATTGTTACTCTTTGCACTCAGTTCCTTTGCCTTTGACATAGTTTTTGAGCATCTACTATGTACCAAGCATTATACTACACACTCAGGATATCAGGCTTGCAATCTGTTCTTACATTCCATTCTTGAATTTGTCTGGCATGAAATCTGTATTTCAAATTTAATATTTATAATAGTTCTATGAACTTATTAAATATCAAATCCTAAATATTAAAATAATAATAATAATATTCTCATGACTGCTGAGTAGGAAAGAAGAGAATTAGTCGCAGTAAAAAAGAATTAATTTTGTGTCAGAAAAAATATTGGATGCCAAAATATGTTAACAATTCAAGTTGTTAAATATCCATCAATCCATCAGTTACCCAATAGAAATTGGCAGGCATTTTTATTAGGCATTACTTAACAATTCTCTGAATTTTTATGTTCATGGTTAAGAATCTACTCATACAATGTGGAAAACAAGGACAGCAGAAATATTTCACAAAGATCTTTTATACAATTGAAGAAAACTTTTTATGCAGCTTAATAACAAATTGTGTTTAATACAGTAATTTATACATTTTTCTTCCTTTTGTCCTTGTCTGAAATTTTGTGGAGGATTTATGGAAGATGTCTTTACATGCATTTAATTCATTATTTTTTAAATAAGAAATAAGATAGACCAAAGAAACCTACTCACTTGTAAAGACAAAAAACATGGCAAAAATAGCTTTCTGTGACTTGAGTATTTAAGAAATATACTTGTATATGGCAATTGTTTGGGAGAAGGAAAGAAGATTCCACTGAAATTTATTTTACTCTAAATTTCCTTTGACTTTCTTCTATCTCTGAAGCCTAGGTTATTGTCTTTCCAAGGGCGTTTTCTTTTGCAATTAATAACAGCTTCATTATTTTTTCATGTTTCTGTTCTTATGCCAAGAACATCCTAGTTTTGTAATCAAACCTCCCTGAGTCTGGAGGCTCAAGAATTATTTCTTTTGCTTTATGAAAAGATTTCACCTTCAAGGCAGCACCCTCACATTGGGCTTTATAGATATACTAGTCCTAGAAAAAAGATAAATTGCCCCAGGCTTCCTATGAATAAATGCTAGCTATATTGAGAGAATTCCTTCACCAAATGAAATGCAGTGGGTAATAATGTGGACTCCGGAGTCAGAATTTCTGGGTTCAAATTCCACTATATCACTTAACAGTTGTGTGGCTTTAGGATTTTAACATTCCTGATTCTTAATCTTTTCATCCATACAACAACCTCGTGGAGGACCCTGTGCACCACATTTTCTACTTAGCACACTGCCTAGTACAGAGGAGATCATTAATTTAAGTATTATTATGGCTATCCTCAGTAACAATAATTATAAAATAACTGCTTAAACAAAGAGGATTTGGGGAGACTATGAAGATCCATTAAAAATGCGTAGGATTTCTACAATGGAAAATGGACTGTTGCAGGGTGGGAAAGAACAAAAGAGACAAGAAATACCAGCCAAGACATGAAGGTCAGAAAGAAATAACTAATCCATTGAGACTGGAACAGAAAACTCGTATTCTATTAGTGCTGGGAAGAAGATTGGAAACACATTTTTCCCCCAGTCAGGGATAGGTGGCCCTTCTGTGTGCACTTAAGGAAGACTTGATTTCCCTCATCACATTATAGACACATTGCAAAGACCTCACGCTTTAGAGCGAGAATGCCCAGGTTAAAATTCTGGACTGACTTTTGTGCAACCTGGGTGAAAACACACATACACAGACAAACACACATATGCACACACACACAACCTCTCCAAGTCTTAGCTTTTAACAGATACAGTGGGGATGATGCCATTTTGCACAGTTATTTTCATGGTTTAAAATAATAACAATATTAATGCAACAACAGCTACTATCTTTGAATAAGTACCAGGAATTGTGCTAAAGTCTTTGCATCCATATTTTATATAACATCCTCAATATCTATAGAGTAATGAATGAAGAGTGATTATGACACCAGAACTACATGTAGATTCAGGGGCCACAAACCGAGATAGCCAAGAAAAGCTATAAATTAAGAAAAACAGGACAGACTGCTTTGAGTTTCCATAGAACATAGAAAGTGAAGCTTAAAGCAAATTTTAACTAGATTTCTGAACAGGGGAATTCCAACTTATATCTAAATTACAATAATTTTTCTGTTACATTCCTCACAGCATTTTTATTAGGCCAAAAAATAATTCACTGAACAGTAGAAGACTCCTCAGCTTCAAACCCATAATTGGTCAATTAATCAAAAAGTCAGTTAAAGGGAAGAACAATACATAAATATTTAATGTAACTTTATGTAACAATACATAAATATTCTTTTTTTTTTTTTTTCTTTTTTTTGAGATGGAGTCTCGCTCTGTCACCCAGGCTGGAGTGCAGTGGCGCGATCTTGGCTCACTGCAAGCTCCGCCTCCTGGGTTCATGCCATTCTCCTGCCTTAGCCTCCTGAGTAGCTGGGACTACAGGCATCCGCCACCATGCCCGGCTAATTTTTTTGTATTTTTTAGTAGAGACGGGGTTTCACCGTGTTAGCCAGGATGGTCTCGATCTCCTGACTTCAGGTGATCTGCCCGCATTGGCCTCCCAAAGTCCTGTGATTACAGGCACGAGCCACCATGCCCGGCCAACAATACATAAATATTCTAACTTAAGACTTGTGAAAGTACATTTATTGATCAAACTTCTGAAGTCAGGCCAAGACATTTCTTAGTATGAGTCCACTGATTATGAATCTGTATGTCAGGTTTCTAAATCTAAATCTCTTTTATGAAAATCATACCCACAATGCATCTGTAATTTCCACATTTGCTTTCTTCAAGTCAGAGCAGAATCTGTGAAGACATCTGAGAAGCAACCTAAGTGCACAGAGTATATACAGATTGTAACACCTTTTTTTTCACACCTTTCTTGTCCATCCATATTCTATAACAATTTTTATGGTGTAAGCCATTCACGTTTTTGTAAAGCACACTGCTTATTTTTTCTTAGAAATAATTTTTTTGTGCTCATATTTAATAGATTTGATTAATATTTAAGTGAATGACATAATGACTCTAAAATGTAGTGACATAAACTGGTTTAGGTGACTCTTGATATGTATTCAACTCATTCAATGGGAATAGAAGTATGTGGACATACTAGAAAAGAGCCTGCTAATCATGAACTTTCAGGATACTGTGGGCTTCAGCCAGTATGGTCAATAGAGGGAAAGGATAATATCATTTAATCTAACAACTCTATTAAGAGGAAGTTGATTAGTATGTCGACTCTTTGTTAAAGAGTATTATTGCTCTTACATTAATAATATGAGAGAAGCTACCATATTTCCTTAGATCATTCTTCTATGATACGAATACACTTTAACACATTTGAATTTATACAAAGAAGAAAATGCCTAGTTTGCGGCTGGGTGCAGTGGCTCACGCCTGTAATCTCAGCACTTTTGGAGGCCAAAGCAGGTGGATCACTTGAGGTCTAGAGTTGGAGACCAGCCTGGGCAACGTGGTAAAACCCCATCTCTACTAAAAATACAAAAATTAGCTGGGAGTGGTGGCGGGCACTTGTAATCCCAGCTACTCAGGAGGCTGAGGCAGGAGAATCTCTTGAACCTGGGAGGTGGAGGTTGCAGTGAGCCGAGATCACGCCACTGCACTCCACTGTGGGTGACAGAGCAGGACTTTCTCTCTGAAAAAAAAAACAAAGCCTACTCGTATCAAAATAATCATTTAGACTTTAACAGCAAATTTGAAAGAAGCAGCTGTTCAAAATAAGTGTCCATCCTGAAAATTTACCTGATATGAACCTTACTTTGGGCATTCATTTTATTTGTGTTTCAATAGTGGCACAGCTCAGCCAATCAGAGAGATGGTTTGTTTTTATACCTCCCTTCATTTTTTAATTTCAAATCCTTATTTTTGATGTTGCCCAATGCTATGCAAAGAAACAAGATTTTCTCTATTCAATTCAAAGGCCTGAAAGAGAGAGTCTTCCCAGTTCACCTCCTATCAGATGTGTCTTGAGGATAGCAGGCAAGTCTAACAGGTAAATATTAATACATGGCAGAGTACCATTAGACTCAGACATTTGGGAGAACTAGGAGTCAACAACCAAATCTGTTCTGTATTTATAAACATTTACACTCCACTCCAATAAGTCCTCAAATCTTTTTTGTTTTCAGCAATGGAGTGATAGCCCTCATTCTCTAGATTGAGGAAAGGTCACACAAGAGATAAAACTTTCTGCTCCGGCAATGAAGAATTTGTAAATGTTCAAGGTAGGAAATTTCTCAGTCCTCCAAAAAGTGACAGAGTAAAATAACTCTGAAACTCTGAAATAACTCTGAAATTATTGGTTATTATTCCTCAAGAAATCTTTATAGCCAGGGTATGTTTATTTTCTTGCCTCCCATGGGGAATTATTTCAATAAATTTGCATTCAAATATGCTCCTTAGAATGATAACTCATAGATAAATAAAATGAGTGAGAAGTCAGAACTCCCTAAAATTGCTCATGGTCCATAGATGGAAGCTTTTTGTTTAGTGTGAGTAAGTTCTATTCATTCAGCTTTTGCAGAATTGGCCAACTTGTTTGTTAATGACTATTGTGTGTAAAAGCTGGCATTATTTCTTCAAACTTCACCCTACTTGAACATAAGTGAGAAGTATCTTTATTCCTGCCATATACGTGTCCTATGAACATGTCCACTGATCCTTAAATATGCCTTTGCATTTACCAGAAGAAAGAAGAAAACGAAGTAATATATATCAAGTACTAACCACGGCACTAGGCACCACATAAGCTCTTTATACATAAAGTATTCTTTCTAGAATAAAGCATTTCTAGTACCTGAACAACATATATTTTATAAAGTAAAATTTTATAGAGTATAAATAAATACTGTCAGTAAAAGAATATAATGTTTATTTAGTTTAGCACTGTAACAAAGCTTTGAATTATAAAGCTCTCCAGAGACAATAACTTTATTATTATTATTTTTTTACTGTGAAGGAAAGACTTTAATATACTACTATCAAATTCCTATGTACCCAAACCAGCAATGAAATACCTGGATATATAATATGCTACCTTGGGCAAAACATAAGAAAAAAAATACAATAGCTCTAAATTATTCATAACCTTCAAGGACAGGAAACCAGTATCTCTGAGAAGTGTGTTTATTTTAATACAATTGAATATTTCATCCCTCCTCCTCCCCCACAGTAATCAAAGCGAATATTTTATCATTATTACTTTTGGTATATAAAACTGAATTCCAGGAAGGTAAAAAAGTCTGACCTGGAAATATTACATAGAAAAAGGTTGAATTAACAAACACATTACATTTTTTAGTTTTTCCTCATACGTATACCTTGACATCTACTATCCGATAGCAGCACTGCTGGTTTTGAGTGAGTTTTTTTTGTTTGTTTGTTTTCTTCCAGAGGGAATGCAGTATGGCAGTATGATCTTTGGAACAAATTCAGAAGATAACAACAAATAACAGGAGAAAAACTTCTACACATATATTTTCCAAGGGCAATAAATAGGTAAGTATATAATTATGAAAAAATACGCCTCAACCACGCTTTTTAAAATTTCTCAAGGTTTACAGTTTTGTTTTTCTTATTAAAATCGAATGCACTGTCACTGCTATCTGTCCTGGGAATAACAGAGCCAATAGAGAGTTCTGTAGTGTATCTGGTTATTTTACTAATGTACACATATTCTAAGTTATAATCAAGATACTCACTAAATGTTTTCTATTAAAGTTTTATAAGGGAACAATAACTTTTGAATGGCATAGAGGAAAAAAAGAAGGATTATTCAGTAAAATAGAGATTTTTCAGTATGAACAACAGGTGGAGCAACAATACGAGAAAAATCTCAGTGCTCCCCTTCCCCCTCCTGCTTATTTGTCATCTGTGTTATCTTCATACCATTCACATTATGGTGTCACAAGAGAAATCAACAGAAAGTCTGACTAAGAATTGGATAATAAAACCACTAGCCATTTCTGCAATTTATAGTTCTGGTGTAAATGGTAATGTAACTACAAAGAAACCAGTTGCTAGGGAGTTGCTAAAATAAATTAAGAAAGGGGTCCTAATGATTAACTCAAGTATCTACATTCAACCAAGGAGGTGAGAAAACCCTTTGCTTGATGAGGAGCTAGCTGAAATGAGGGACCTGGAGTGAGTGGTTTGAAAAGTAAATAAACAAGTGAAAGGAATATGTCTTCCAAAGCAGATGTAGGACTTGACCCTACAGAGAAATGGGAATAGGTAGTTCAACCACATTGTTGCTTTTCCTTTTCTCACTGAGCATTCTTTCTTATGGTGCTGACAAGAAGTTCAATGCAGAACAAGAAAAACAAGCTGATGGAAGGTAAATGTAAATAGGCAGTGAGACAGAACTTCCCAACTCATGGATGAAGCAGGAAGATTTGCTGGCTTAGAGGTTACCGAAGGTTTTATAACCTGAAGACTAGGAGTTAAAAGATATTCTTAGAGGTTTCCTTTTAATCAAACCAAGTGCAGTGCTATAGGAAAGATACTCCATAAAGCTTAAGTGTTAGTCTTATTACATTTTCCTCCAAATAATTTAACAAACAAACATTTATGAAACTCAGTTTGGTACTGTTCTAGACACATTGGACACAGTAGTGAACAAAACTTCTTTTTTCATGTTTCATCCTGTGAGTGATAGAGAGACAATCTACAAGTAAATATATAATCAAAGGATGGTAGTAAGTGCCAGGAAGTAAAATAAAACATGGGGACTGGATTGAATGTGTAGAGATTAGAGTCAGAAGCTATATAATAGGAGGATTGTTGTCATTTTTGATGTTTGGTGATAGCTTCCAAGCCCCATCAGTTCCCCTTCTTTTTCTGCCTCCCATGTTTGGGTAAACTGATAAGAAAGTTGAGTTCCCCCTCCTTTGGCATGGCCTGCACAGCACTCGGGAGCCCTCGCCCCAGCCTTACCTCCCAATCATGATAAAAGACAAGCCGTTCCCCTTTCTCTGCTCTCTAAAGCCATTTTTGGACCTGCATGAGAGCTTAAATATTTAAAAGTGCATTAGAAGGATTCGGAGTAAAGAAAAAGAAGACACAAGAAAATAAAACATCAGAAAACTTGAAAATATGTCAACAGAAATTAATCAGAAACAATGGGAAATTTTTTTTTTTTTAGTGAACAGAGCCTAAATGACCCAAGGAATAATATCAAGCCTAACACATGGAATTAGAATCCGAGGAAGTAAGCAGAAACTATTAGGAGACAAAAATAAGTTTGAGGAAATAATGACCATAAATTATGCAAATTTGGTGAAAAATGTAAACCCACATATCCAAGAAGTTCAGTGAATCCAAAGCAGAATATATTAAGAAAAACACAATAAGCCACACATAAACAAAAATGACATTAAATACAGGAAACAATACTAAGGATAATACCTAACATACAAGACACAACACAAACAAGGAAAAAATAAAATAATATCAAAGTGCTGAAAGAAAAATAAGGTAATCTAAAATTCTTTAGTGAAAATGTCCTTTTAAAATAAGGTGAAATAAAAATATTTTCAGACAAATGATAGCTGAAAGAATTATCACAAATTGACCCCACTATGATAAATGCCAAAGGATGTTTTAGCTAAATAAAACTGATACATAGGCAAAGAAATATCTGATTGACATGAAGGAATTGAGGTAAAAGCAACACAAGTATTTGGATAAATACAAAAGTATATATATAATATATATTAATTCCTTAATTAAAAAAAGACAATTGACAGTTTAAGTATATGAAAATTAGACCAAAGATTTAAACTGACACTCCATCAAAGGCACACACAAATGGCCAATTGAACATATGAAAAATGTTCATTATCGTTTAGAGAATTGCATATTAAAGCCATAATGCAATATCACAACATAGGCACTAAAGTGGCTCAAATTATAAAGCCTGACAATTTCAAGTGTTGACAGGTTTTTGGGTAACTGGAACATTCACACGTTACTAGTGATAATGAAAAATTGTTCAACAAGTTTGATAAAGACTGATTTTTTTTGATAAAGTTAAATACATCTATCATATAACCCAACATTTCTACTCTTAAGTATTTAACTGAAAGAAAAGAAAATACGTGACCACAAGAAGTTTTGTACAAAAACGTATGGTGAGACTATATTTACATTTGTCCCAACTAGAAACAACTCAAAAGTTCATCAAAGAGAATGAATATACAAATTGTCATGTAGTTACCACAATGAAGCACTACTCAGCAATGAAAGGAACATACTACTGATATACACAAAAGCAAGGATTTTGAAAACATCATGCTGAGCAAGAGGAGTCAGAAACAAAGCATACTATGTATGAATTTATTTCTATGAAGTTTAAGAGCAGGCAGAAATAAACTATGGTGAAAAAAATCAGAAGAGTGGTGGAGCCTTATGGTAGAGAGAAAACTGACTGGAAATGTGTGTGAGCAAACTTTCTGAGAAAAGAGAAATGTTCTAAATTTTTTACGTTTGTTTTTATTGTGTAACAAACCATTATAAAACCTCATAACTTAAAGCAATGTTCACTTTATTTAACATACGTTTTTGTTGGTAAGCTAGGTAGTTTTTCTCCTCAGGACAATCCCAGTTAACCTTACATATCTCTCATACATCTGTGGTCATTGGGAGGCTGGATGATCTATGATCTAGAATGGCCCTTGTCATATATCTGGCTGTGGGTGGGCTCTGAACTCGGTTACCCTGGTCCTCCTCCATATGGCTTCTCATCCTCCAGCAGTCTAGCTCAGCCTCATTCACTTGTGAGTTTCAGGATTCCACACAGAACACGTTCCAATGCCCACGCGTTTTTCTTTTTCTTTTTCTTTTTTTTGAGATGGAGTTTCGCTCTTGTTGCCCAGGCTGGAGTGCAATGGCACGATCTCGGCTCACTGCAACCTCTGCCCCCCAGGTTCAAGCAACTCTGCTGCCTCAGCCTCCCGAGCAGCTGGGATTACAGGTGCCCACCACCACACCCGGCTAAATTTTTTGTATTTTTAGTAGAGATGGTGTTTCACTATGTTGGTCAGGCTGGTCTCGAACACCAGACCTCAGGTGATCCACCTGCCTTGGCCTCCCAAAGTGCTGGCATTACAGGCATGAGCCACTGTGCCCAGCCACCCATGCGTTTTTCAAATATTTACTTGCGTCATGTTTGTAAGTGTCCCATTGCCAAAGCAAAACATATGAACAAGCCTAGGATTCAATAGTGAAAAAATACATTCTGCCTTTTCAATCAATAAGCTGTAATATGTAGGGATGGAAAGAACTTGCAGCCCTTCAAACATTCAATCTATTCCAATCTTAATTAAAATGTTATTTATGTGATAGTATACACATTGCCCAAATGGATATTCAAAAATAGTGCATTTTACTGTATATAAGCTAATGCTAAATATAAAAAAAGAAGTATATATGTGCCTTGAGGTACAAGTACCAATATAGTGTGATTTGATATTTGGCTTGTCATTTTGCATTGTTTTGGAGGAAGAAGTAGATAAATACAACTTAATGGATTTAAATAATAAAGATGATTTATTGGCTTTTAAATGAAAAGACCATTTGTAGTTGCAGGTGTGGTTTGATCAATGCTCTAGCTCTACTGTTCTGCAATTCTCTCTTCTTGGCTTTTCTTCTGATGTCTTAGTAGGTGTTTTTCCCGGATTGGCATTTTTCATAATAGCAAAATGGCTACAATTATCTTAGGTCTTACATCTGCACATCATCCAGAAAAAGGTGTAAATTATCCTCCATTGACTAACAAACAAAAGCCAAGAGTTTCACTATGATTGGACCTAACTTAGATCCTAAGCCTAGAGAGTCACTGAAATAGGCCTGTGTTACAAGCTCATCTTTGAGCCAACCAGTGTTGCAAGGAGGAGAGGTCATGTCAACCTCCCCTACATTTAGAAGTAGGTTGGTTAACCCTGCCCTAACCTTATGGCAGCTACAGAGTGTATAAAGGGTGTAGTAGATGCTGTGGAGGCAACCAGATTTCACAAAGCAGATGAATTGGAGGAGTATGATAAGTAAGAAAAAATAATCAAAGTTGAGTAATCAGGAGGAAAAGAAAGAAAAAAAGGATTTTTTGGAGTTGGGTACAGTACTCAGAAAATGCTGATGGATTTACTTTACCGTTAGTTTCAATAAAATGATTTAATAGGGAAAATATAAAATATTGGAATGGTATGAGCTGTTATTTTTATGTGTATTTTCTGACACCTACGTAAAAGTCCCTTGTTGAGGCTGTCTTCATCCCATTACACCTGCCCTGCACCTGTTTGTTTCACTGTTACTATAGAGTTGCTCTGAGGAGAGCATCTGGACTTTGGATTATACTCACATTGGGACACTAACCTGGTTTATTCTCAACCTGTAGATTTAACATCTGTACAATATTTTACAAAGACCACTGCTGTGATGGAATGATCCTGAGACCTGGAAAACCAGGATATGATCTTGGAATCTACCTAGGGGAAAGACAATGTCCTCCTCTCAAATAATTATTTTTATCTTGTGACCCTTTGTGAGAGAAAATATGAGTCAGGCAGTGTGTTTGGAGACTCCCACATTCTCTGGTATATGTATGTCTGAACCTTACCCAGTTGAAAATCATCTCTTTGACTTAGCATTTGCCACCTGGGAATTCCAAGTTCCTATGAAAGAAGAAATAATACATGAAGCCTTAGCAGTCATTTCTACTTCAGTGTGAATGAGCTTAAAGGATCCGGATAAGCATGATAGGAGGGGTATGGGAGGAAGCTGAGAGTGTGAGGACAATGAGAAATCCTGAGCACTTTCAGCGAAGGAGGGCCACTAAGGGGAATATCCCTGAGAGTAAAGCTGTAGTAGCGAAGAAAAAAACTTATCTCAGCACTTTTTTTTTTTTTTTTTTTTTTTTAGATGGAATCTCACTCTATTGTCCAGGCTGGAGTACAGTGGCATGATCTTGGCTCACTTCAATCTCCACCTCCTGGGTTCAAGCGATTCTCCTGCCTCAGCCTTCTGAGTAGCTGGAATTACAGGC
This sequence comes from Homo sapiens, assembly GCF_000001405.40. Lineage (NCBI taxonomy): Eukaryota > Metazoa > Chordata > Mammalia > Primates > Hominidae > Homo > Homo sapiens. The sequence goes on along the minus strand of NC_000008.11, from coordinate 121,744,123 downwards.
ATGCCCCACCACACCTGGCTAGTTTTTGTATTTTTAGTAGAGATGGGGTTTCACCATGTTACCCAGGCCGGTCTCGGACTCCTGACCTCAAGTGATCCACTCTCCTCAGCCTCCTAAAATGCTGGGATTACAGGTGTGAGCCACCGTGCCCGGCCAATCTCAGCATTTTTAATGTGTGGAAGAGTTTGTATAAAGCATCACTGTTACATTGTCTTAGGAAAAGGAGACATCATGGAGGAGGGAAGGTGTTCTCAGTCTACGGCCCTACATCCTGTCTTGAATGTCTACTCTGACACTGTCTATGTGACCCCAACGCAATTTGTTCAATCTCTTTGGGCTTTCATTTTCCCCTTTGAAAATTGGAGATAATAACACCTATCTAACAACGTAATTGTGAGAATTAAAATGCAATGTATATGAATAAGCCTATGTAAAGCTAGTCTAATATCAGTCACACTCAAGCAACCATTGTCACAGTGGGTGGGGAGAAAGTGAATAAAATGATAAAAATAAGGAAGAAGTGTTTTCTTGTAACCAAAAATTTATTAAAAGAGAAAAGTTTAAAGAATTTATTAAGCATCTACTTTTATGCCCAACGACACGACATAACCTGGTTATATCATGGTCAGAAGTATAGGGAATCAGGCAAAGCTACATAGAGGAAATGGACCCCAGTTGCTGCTGAAAGGATGGTTAGATACAGAGGAATGTAGTGATGTGTCCTTAGCATTGCAGAGATCAGTAGAGCTGGATAGTAGAATGATCTGCTGGCAGAAACAACTAGTCCACTAAGGTCTTCATTTGCTTGCCAGAATAGCACCTGGCATTTTAGAAACACAGCCAGTGTGGCAACTGGGTTGATGTGTACAAAGTGAGCCAGATGTGACTCACTGATTCTATATAAGCCATGGGCTTTGAGGTCATAACTACTGCAGAACAAAGTGTAATCATAGTATCCAAGGGAGAAATACCAGGAGAGTCTAGTCATTTAGAGCTGAAAGACACGGCCATCATTTAAGTTATGATTCTCCTTTCCCGGAGGAAGAGCGCAAGTCCTGAGCAGGCATAGCTTCTCATGACTGTGCAGATTATGTAGCCGCAGATCTAGGGGAGCAGCCATTCCCAGGCTAGGTACTGCCCTAATCAGGACTTCCTGTAAAGTTGGAGTTTCAAAGGAAAGTTTCGCCATAAACAAAAGTATTTTTTTTTCTTCTGGTAATGAAGGACTTGGCATTGTCTGGGTTTTAATTTTCTCCTCAGTAAAATGAAGACGTTGAACTACAATGTCACTATAAACACTCTCCTTTGCTTCCTCATCACATTTTAATTATTTTTCATGTTCTTCTGAGCATTTTCTCCTAAATTGATTGTTGAACATTATTAAGACAGTCCTTGATCAGTGAAAATATGAGAAACAAATAATTAGAAAAATGAGAGAAATAGAAAAAAAATGAGGACGTATAATTAGCAGAGCGTACAATCTCATGCATAGTGACTTTGTGGTGACATGGAGAAAACCCTAAAGTCTCTTGTGAAAAAAAATTCCAACTACATAAAGCTATCTTCCTATAAAGCAAGGAACTGGCTAAAGTGGCATATCACCTTGAAAGTGTTCATAGGAAGAAAATAATATGAAGATAAAATCGATGTTATTAAACTGGTTGGATCACAGGACTCAGATCCTTCAATGTAGTTCTTCACTCGATAATATCTTTGTCTTCTTTCACTGCACAAAATAGTTAATGTCTGTCAGGTGCTTTCAACTCTCCAGAAGAAAAGCACTTAAATAGGAGGTGTCACTTTGAGCTGTGAGCTTTGACCTCCAAATCCAGGGAGGCTGGGTTTGAACTCAGGGAACTGGAAACTTGTTTGTTTTGCTTCACTGTTTCTTTCTAGTCATCTGATTTGCTGCTAATCTTGATAGTTCAGATCTGAAAGCAAATCTTTCTTATTTTTACTCATATCTCAAAAGATAGCTCTTTTTGTGTTAAATGAAGGTACTTCGATTATCTAAAGATTTTAGAGAGAAAAACAAAGCACAACTCATCATGTGTTCCGTGGATCTCCCTCTCTCTGCTCCCTACTGTTGCTGTGCTGTATTTGAAGCCATTTCCTTTCCCAGCAACTTCACTCTTATCTGAGATCTTGATCTTAACCAAACACCCTTACAAGAAACCAGGCAGCCTGATGTTTGATACCATTAGCCTCCGACCTCTGAAGAACTTCCTCAGAAGAGAGCCAATTATTCAACAACGTTTACAAAATTTGGTCATCTAGAGAGAACACGAAACCAAAAGAATAGGATAGGTTTTATGAACTTTGAAAAAGCAAAACATTTCTCTATTCAGTAGGGCTATGAAGAAAAAGGAGAAATGAAATGGAAGAAGCCTTTTGAAAAGTCAGGCTATTGTAAATTAAATATATTCTTATATCCACCCAACTCACCCAGACCCAACATCCCAACGTGTCTTCTTCAAGGTCTTAAAAAGCAGGAGATATAATAATATTTTGAAACAGATAATTTTAAAAAGTGTATACTAATACCTCTTCCTAATATAAAGTTTGCATAACGAGACTAAGCACAAAGAATTATCTGTAACAGTAAACATTCAGTTGATTTCAGATAACGAAAAGACATTAGGAAAAGTCATTGAGATATCAAACAGATGGCAGGACAACCTTGTGGTTAGAAAATTTGTTTAGACAAAATATAATTCCCTTATTGTGTTTTCTGTTCAGAAAGTTTAAAGTTTTTTTTTAAAGTTATAACAATCAAAACTTGATAGATATAAATGCTGAAATGTTTAAGCTAAGTAAGCAAGGTGGATAAAATGAACTCATTGGTCCATTGTCAGGATTTTTTTTGAGGAAGATTTTATAAGCAGATATGAGATGCAGAAAATAGAATTAACTGCAGCTAAAATCCCAGACAGTAAAATATGGAATTAGGTGGTAATTATCACTCCACACAGTAATTATCCCAACTGGAACAAGCTGCAAATTGACTCAACCAATTTTATCTTGTTCGGAGGTTGAGCTCATTAATTTCCTACCATTCTGTTGCCAAATGATAAAGAAAAATCCGAAACTGAACTAAAAGTTTTGAGCAACAGTGATAAAACATTTACTTTTTTTGTAACTCATTTCCTTATTCTAATAAATTCCTTTGAAAAAAACATTTTTTGTTAAAAATCAAAATGTAATAAGTTGCAGATGGCTGATAGAGTACTGTTCTAGCAGCCGCATCTCACACACAAGTGTTGGTATCCTGTGTCATCTAGGTTAGGTCATTTTTCATTAGAAAGATACTCCATAAAGAAAGAGGAAGACAAGAATATTTTAGAAGAATGTATTCATTGCAAGTCTTAAAAAGCAAACTTAGCCATGGACCTGGATAAAAGATTGGCTTCTATAAGGGATAAGAGTGTGTAGCACTAAGCAGATTAATGCACAGCCAATAAGTATTAAGCATCTAATAATACAAAATAATAGAAAGTAATACTAAATAATAAAATACCGGAATATAAAATACAGAATAACATAAAAATTAAAAAGAGATAGTTCCAACTGTCAAGGAATTGATAATCTAGTAGAAACCATACACGTTAATAGTGAGTTAATATAGCACGGTAAGTGCTATGCTACTGACTTGAAGAAAGTACTGTGGGCACAGAAAAAGCAAGTATTTGTTCTAGTTGAGAAATTCCACTAATGCATTTTCCACAGAATAGTGGTCCATTATAGTAACTATATTTTTTGACTTTAAAAGGCTTTTTTAGAGTTCAGAAATGTAAACTACTATTAATTGAGGGGTCGCTATTTGCAAAAAAGCGCAGCCTGTTCACAGCCTATCTCATAAAATTTACACGATGACTATAAAAGGTAGGCTTTATTTTCCACATTTTAGAGTTCATTTTAAGAAACTCAGAGATAAGACCAAAGTCACAAAGCTACTAAGAAGTAGTATTGGATATGTGATTCCAGATCTACTTGATCTTCGATTTGAATTTTCTGCCTTCTTGACCTAATTTTCTATTTAAACACAAACTCACTCATAAATAAACTTAAATCACAATGAAATAGAGTAGGATCGGGGTAAGGGATAAAGGAGAAAAGGGGACTTAAAAGAAAATTGTGAAGGCACCGATAATAAAATGTGTAACTTCCTAATTTTTCAGAGTGGCCTCTTCCACAGTTTTTAAGGGCAAATATATCTATATGGTAAGACAAATTCCATGGTCCAGAATACTCAAAATAGTGAACAGAAACCTCTGCTGAGCAAATGATATTTCCTTTTCTCCCAGATAGCTCTCAAGCCAAACACTGGAAAGGGACTGTCTGCTCTCCAAGCCTTTCTTCCATTAACAGAAATGTACTCCAAGAGAAATCTTTCTCTCATGGTTCTCAATTAAGTAAGGGGTGAAATTTGGGGAGCAACTGTCCCTAAGACACAACAAGTCATGCAGAATCAATCAGAGCATTTCCTTGGAGGTAACAGGCATGGCTGCTTTAAGGAAAGCTCAACCAGGGGTCACAGAATGTGCAGTGGAGAGAAATGAAGTGGCTCCAGGGGTGATATGGAAGGGGGGAGACAGAATTCATATGTATACATAATAATTAAACAAATCTCACTAACAATATCTTCATCACTGGCAAAACAATTATAATGGGATGGTTCCCTCCTTCCATCTGCACATGACTTGAGATATACTTCTGTGATATCATTTTCCTTTTCAAATACAGTTAACTACATCTCAATCAAACCACTGTTTTAGGGAAGAAAGAATACAGGGAAAGAGGAAACCTATTTTTCCTGTTGATTTTTGTTTTCTCCTGTAAAACAGGGCTATTAATAATCCCATAAATACTTAAGTGAGATGATCTACATTAAATGCTAGACACATGATTGGCATATAAACAGGTCTTCACACATAGAGGTAGCAATTGTTGGAATTGTTCTTTTATTGTAATTGCTATTATTAGCATGATATTTTGAAATAATTACATCATAATTAGCCCCTAGAAATTTAGTTAATCTAATTTCTTCACATGTAGATTACTCTTTCCTTTTGTTCTGGTTCCTACCCCTTTGTTTTGAAAATGTATTTCTGAAAATATTTTTCTGTTGAAAGTTGTTTTTCAAACACATTCTAAATTATCTGTAATATTTGCATCTTTTTCCATCTAGTCCCTTCTCATATTTTATCTTCTAACAAACCCTTCAGCTCCTTCCCCCAAGAAACCCCTGTTTTTCCCTACTTTCTTCTCCGTTTTCCCACGTTGGTTTCCGCAGTCACATCAGCACCTTTGACCACTGACAGCTAGCTAATCACTGTCCATTTCTCTGCTGATGGCTACCTGGCCTTGGGGGAACATTATGTCACAATGACATTGAGTTCTTTAGATGTTAACAAGTCAATCTGGAAACTCAAATCCTAAATTGAAAACATATTTCAGCAGAAATGAGATGCAGGTTTTCCTGAACATGTAGGGCTTGTTGGAACCACACAAGGTAGTGTCACTGTAGAGAAGAGAAAAAACAGAAAAAAGGAGTCTTGCTCCCCAAAGCTATGCCCAAATTCTTCCTTTCGGAGGCTTTCCCAATTGCTTACTTTTCTCCTTTTTCTTAGTCTAAGCAGTTTTAGCCTAGACTATTTTGGAAGGAAGGAATAATGAGGAAAGCTGGTGGGATAAGAGAAAATGCCTCATTGATATATGGACAGAAGAGCCCATATTTACATGGAGCACAGAACACTTCTTCCATATCCTGGCCCCAATGCATACACACCACAATCAGAACAGTTCATGACCTTTTCTGGGATGGCCCTCTTAGAAATAGTGTGCTTTCCAAAGAGTCAATCCTTGCCATGAGAACTGAAAAGTGCAAGCTGGTGTTTTTTCTCCCATTCCCTTAGAATTTAGACTTATGGAATCCTTCATCTACGGGGAGAGTTATGTGCTGGACCAGCTTCCCTTCTTGTAGATGTTTTATTCTGAATCCCTCTACTTGTATTGGCATTTGCTATTTTCAGCTTCCCCTTATCATAAATTTTCAGAACAAGAAAAAAATATAATTACCAAAAATAAGCCAGATTTCAAATTAGTAATCAAAATAACAACTAGGAGAATGTTCATCTCCTCCGCTGAGCCTCCTTGTTTCATTCATTAGAAATTAACTTCTGATTTGTTTAGCACATAGTTTTCCTATACTCACTATATCATCTACCATAATTCTCATCAAAAAACAGGCCTGTTGTAAGGATAATGACTTCTAGCAATAAAAATGGTAATAATAGCTAGCTGTTTCTATGTTCGAGGAATTTTTCTTAATGTTTATATTAGGATAATGTCAGCTGCTGTTAAGAAAGGGTCCCTAAAATTCACTAATTCAAGCAAAATAAGTTATTTCTCACACATGCAACACTACCCTCCTTGAGGTCATTTAAGGACCAGTGATCACAACTCTGATACCACGTTTAGGACAAAGCCTCTGTGTTTGCTGTCACCAACATCATGTCCTTCATCAGAAAGCAGAGTAAGTACAAAATCAAAACGTTTTTCTTCAGCAGGAGAGGAAGAACACAGCTACAGTTCTATTACTTAAGTAAAGGAGAGCATGGATTTTAGTAAACAGCTAGTTGTTTACATAACAGCAGTTTACATGGTATTATCTGAGTTAAATCTTCAAGCATAACCTTATGAAGAAGGATTAAGGAATATATATACCTGCAAACACATATCATAATGTCTAAAGTAACAATACAGATGTAATACACTGAAACTATTATTTTTAGTTTCTTGTTATTCGAAACATTTGATGGACTGTGAATAGATTGGATTTATATGATATGAGATATTGTGGTTGACGATGAGATTCCTAGATTTTTGTGGTTATTGTTAATCTTGAAAGTGAAAATACTGTGAATTTACAGTTGCAAATAGTTTTCTGCTTTTCAAGAAGCAGAAGGATGAATTTGGGAGCAGACTATTTCTTGAGTTGGGGGTAGAAATCAAAGCTTGAAAAAGCTTTTTAGTTATGTAACTATTTTTAAAAAATGTATTTTATTGTGCCTAGCTTTATTGTGCTTCACAGATACTGTGTGTTTTGCAAACTGAAGGTCTGTGATAACCCTGCATCAAGCAAGTCTATGGCCACCATTTTTTTTTTAACAGTATGTGCTCACTTCGTGTCTTTGTGTCACATTTTGGTAATTCTCACAATAATTCAAACTTTTTCATTATTGTTATATCTGTTATCAAAATCTGTGTTCAATGATCTTTGATTCTACTATTATAATTGTTTTGAGATGCCACAAACTATGCCCATAGAAGATAGTGAGTTTAATCGATAAATGTTTTATGTGTTCTGACTGCTCCACTGACCAGCTGTTTTCCTGTCCCCCTCTCTCCTTGGGTCTCTTTATTCCCTGAGGCACAACAATGTTAAAATTAGCCCAATTAAGAAGACTACAACGACTTCTGTTTTCAAATGAAAGAAAGAATAGCATATCTATCACTTTAAATCAAAAGCTAGAAATAATTAAGCTTAATGAGGAAAGAATGTCAAAAGCCGAGATAGGCCCAAACCTAGGCCTCTTGCACCAAACAGTTAATTAACCAAGTTGTGAATGCAAAGGAAAAGCTCTTGAAGAAAATTAATAATGCCACTCCAGCAAACACATGAATGATAAGAAAGTGAAATAGCCTTATTGATGATATGGAAAAAGGTTGAGTGCTCTGATAGAAGATCAAACCAGCCACAACATTTCCTTAAGCCAAAACATAATCAGGGCAAAGCCCTAGTTCTCTTTAATTCTATGAAGGTGAAGAAGCTGCAGAAGAGAAGTTGGAAGCTAGCAGAAGTTGGTTCATGAGATTTAAGGAGAGAAGCTATCTCCATAATATACAAGTGTAACTTAAGCAACCAGTGCTGATATAGAAGCTTCAGCAAGTCATCCAGAAGATCTAAGATTACTGATGAAAGTGGCTGCACTAAATAACCAATTTTCAATGTAGGTAAAACAAGCTTATGTTAGAAAAAGATGCTATCAAGGACTTTCATAGCTAGAGAGAAGTCAGTGCTTGGTTTCAAAGCTTCAAAAGACAACCTGACTTTTGTTAAGGGCTAATGCAGATGGTGACTTTAAGTTGAAGCCAATGCTCATTTACTGTTCTGAAAATCCTAGGGCCCTTAAGAATGTTACCAAATCTACTCTGCCTGTGCTCTATAAATGGAACAACAAACCACAGCACATCTGTTTACAGCGTGGCTTATTGATCATTTGGAGCCCACTGTTGAGATCCACTGCTCAGAAAAGAATATTCCTTTCAAAATATTAGTGCTCACTGACGATGTACCTGGTCAACTAAGAATTCAGATGGACATGTACAGGGAGATTAATGTTTTTGTGCATGCTAACACAACATCCATTCTGCAACCCATGAATCAAAGAGTAATTTCAACTTTCAAGTTTTATTATTTAAGAAATACATTTCATAAGGTTATAACTGTCATAGACAGTAATTCCTCTAATGGATCTAGGCAAAGTAAATTGAATACCTTCTGGAAATGATTCACCATTCTAGGTGCCATTAAGAACATTAGTGATTCACGGGAGGAAGTAAAAATATCAACATTAACAGGAGTTTGGAAGAAGTTGATACCAACCCTCATGGACGACGTTGAGGAGTTCAAGATTTCAGTGAAGGAAATAATGACAGATGTGGTTGTAATAGTAAGTAAACTAGAATTAAAAGTGGACCCTGAAGCTGTGACTGAATTGCTGCAATCTCACTATTAAACTTTAACATATGAAAATTGCTTCTTGTTGATAAGTAAAGAAATTGGTTTCTTGAGATGAAATCTACTCCTGGTAAACATGCTGTGAACACTGTTGAAATGACAATGAAAGATTTAAAATATTCCATAAACTTAGTTAATAAAAATGTGGTGGAATTTGAGAGGATTCACTCCAATTTTAAAAGAAGCTCTACTGTGGAAAACGTGCTACCAAACGATATCAAATACTACAGAAAAATCTTTTGTTAAAGGAAGAGCTCGTTGATAAGGCAGACTTCATTGTTTCTCATTTGAATAAATTGCCGACCCTCATGACTCGGCAGCCATTAACATCGAGGCAAGACCCTCCACCAACAAAAGGATTACAACTCATCAAAGGCTCAGATGACTGTCAGCATTTTTTAGCAAAAAACTATTTTTAAATTAAGGTATAGGCCGGGCGCGGTGGCTCACGCCTGTAATCCCAGCACTTTGGGAGGCCGAGGCGGGCAGATCACGAGGTCAGGAGATTGAGCCTATCCTGGCTAACACGGTGAAACCCTGTCTCTACTAAAAATGCAAAAAAAATTAGCCGGGCATGGTGGCGGCCGGCACCTGTAGTCTCAGCTACTGGAAGAGGCTAAGGCAGGAGAATGGCGTGAACCCGAGAGGCGGAGCTTGCAGTGAGCGGAGATAGCGCCACTGCACTCCAGCCTGGGCAACAGAGCCAGACTCCATCTCAAAAAAAAAAATAAAATAAAAAAAAATAAATTAAGGTATGTACATTTGTTTCTTAGATATAATGCTGTCGAGCACTTAAGAGACTATCGTGTAAACATAACTTTTATATGCACTGGGAAACCAAAAACTTAATGTGATTAGCTTTATTTTGATATTTGCCCTATTGCATTGGCCTGGAACTGAACTTGCAATATCTCTGAGGTATGTCTGTATTTCTCATAGCTTCATATTGAGTAGTGTGACAATGATACACGTTAAGTGATAGCAGACCTATATCTCTGCAGACTGTTTCCCTTAAAATGATAGTTTTTTGTTTTGTTTTGTTTTGTTTTGTTTTTTGAGACGGAGTCTCGCTCTGTCACCCAGGCTGGGGTGCAGTGGCGCGATCTCGGCTCACTGCAAGCTCCGCCTCCCAGGTTCACGCCATTCTCCTGCCTCAGCCTCTCCGAGTAGCTGGGACTACAGGCGCCCGCCACCACGCCTGACTAATTTTTTGTATTTTTAGTACAGAAGGGGTTTCACCGTGGTCTCGATCTCCTGACCTCGTGATCCGCCCGCCTTGGCCTCCCAAAGTGCTGGGATTACAAGCGTGAGCCACCGCACCCGGCCTTGATAGTTTTTTGTAAATGGCATTACATGGCCCAATGGCTTCATTTATTGCCCTTCATAAAGAAATGTGTCTGTACATATGTGTCTGTGGGACTCCATTACATCAGATCCCTGCTCCTGGCTTTACTGAATGGCAGTGCTTCTTATTCTAATGAAAACCGTTAATGCCTGGTAGTATAGGAATGAGTTTATACTATTCATATGTTATTTACATTTGAAATACAAAACCTTAACAAAATAAGCTAATGTTTCAGAGTAGAATTAGGGCTCTGTGCCTGCCAGCACAGAAAGGGTCCTGAGGGCAGGTGTAAAAATCCCTTAAAGCATACAAAATAGCCTTCTAGTAAAACTGGTCAGAGATTCTCAATCTATGGTGACTGTGACATGAATGATTCAGAGTACTCTTCTCCTGATTTTATCTTTAACCCAAGAGTGAACTAGCAGAAAAAAACAAGAATGAAAACAAATACTCAATGGCAAATAAAAATTTTAATAATGTCTCAAACTTATATAATAATTTATTCTTTTTTTTTTTTTTTCAGATGGAGTCTTGCTCTGTTGCCCAGCTTAGAGGGGAGCAGTGGCGTGATCTCGGCTCACTGCAGACTCCGCCTCCCGGGTTCAAGCAATTCTCTTGCCTCAGCCTCCCAAGTAGCTGGGATTACAGGTGCCCACCACTGCGCCCGGCTAATTTTTGTATTTTTCAGTAGAGTCGGGGTTTCACCATCCTGGCCAGGCTGGTCTCCAACTCCTCACCTCATGATCCACCCGCCTCGGCCTCCGAAAGTGCTGGGATTACAGGCATGAGCCACCATGCCCAGCCGAATAGTTTATTCTTTAAAAAAACTTCCACATACTCAATAAATATAATTTATTCATTTGCTAATCAATTATTATTGCACCTCCTACTTACTAAGGGTCGATTTTGTATGCTAAGGATATATCAGTGTACAAGATAGACATAGTCTTTGCTAGACCAGTAAGGCAGAGTTTTTAATAAATTGGGGAAAGGACACCCTATTTAATAAATGGTGCTGGGAAAACTGGATAGCCACATGTAGAATGAAACTGGATCCCTATCTCTCACCTTATTAAAAAAAAATCAACTCAAGATGGATCAAAGACAAATCTAAAGCCTGAATCCATAAAAATTCTAGAAAATAACCTTGGCAAAACTCTTCTGGACATTGGCCTAGGCAAAGGATTCATGACTAAAACCCAAAAGCAAATGCAACAACAACAAAAATAAATGAATGGGGCCTAATTAAACTAAAAATCTTCTGCAGAGCAAAAGAGATAATCATCAGAGTAAAGAGACAACCCACAGAATGGAGAAAATATTTGCAAAGCTATGCATCCAACAAAGGACTATTATCCAGTATCTACAAGGAACTCAAACAAACTAGCAATAAAAAAAACAAATAATCCCATAAAAAATGACATTAATATTTATCAAAAGAAGATATACAAATGGTCAACAAACATTTTAAAAAGCTCAGCATCACTGATCATCAGAGAAATGCATATTAAAACCACAGTGAGATACAACCTTACTCCTGCAAGAATGACCATTATTAAAAAGTCAAAAAAACAATAGATGTGTGTGTGGATGTGGTGAAAAGGGAACGCTTACACACTGCTGGTGGGAATGTAAATTAGTATAACCTCTTTGGAAAACAGTATGGAGATTCCTTAAAGAACTAAAGGTAGATCTGCCATTCAATCCAGCAATCCCACTACTAGGTATCTACCCAAAGGAAAAGAAATCATTATATGAAAAAGACACATGCACACCTATGTTTATTGCAGCACAATTCACAATTGCAAAGATATGAAATCAACCTAAGTGCCCATTGACTAACGAATGGATAAAGAAAATGTGGTATATATACACAATGAAATACTACTTAGCCATAAAAAAAAATGTTTTTTGAAGCAACTTGATTGGAGCTGGAGGCCATTATTCTAAGGGAAGTAACTCAGGAATGGAAAACCACATACTGTATGTTCTCGCTTGTAGGTTGGAGCTAAGCTATGAGTAGGCAAAGGCATACACAGTGATACAATGGACTTTGGAGACTCAGAAGGAAGAGGGTGGGAAATGGGTGTGGGATAAAAAACTACACATTGGGTAAAATGTACACTACTCAGGTGACAGTTGCACTAAAATCTCAGAATTCACCACTATATATAATAATTCATCCATGTAACCAAAAACCACTTGTACCACAAAATATATTAAAATTAATTTTAAACGTTATAAATACATAAAGTACTTATAACTTTTGATAAATCTTAGAAAATTAAAATGGTGGTGTTATAAGAATTACAAAGTGAAAAGATCTACTTTAGAAAGGATGAAAGTTCTATCATTTAAATAATGAAGGAAAATAATTTAGAGGGATGATGTGACTTGCCCATGGTCACATAGGCAGCTACAGGTAGAACAAGACCTAGATTCAAGATCCAGTCCACAAAGCAGAACAACGAAAAAGAGAAATAAGAATTTTCATGTTTGCATTTAATGATTTGAAAAATGCAAGACTTTTGCTACCTTTAAAACAGATGGAAAAAACAAAAAAACCCCAGCATCCTTTCACTTTCTATCATCTTAGACTAAGTGGGCCTTTGAATATGGGATGGGAACAAGAGGTCCCTCTCTCTCTTCACTGCAGTTAGCAGCAGCCAGTCTTCACAGAATGGGTATGATGGGATATCAGTGGATAATGACAGATCCATTTATTACTGCCCGTGGCTCTTTTCACTAGCTGAAATGTCATCAGCATAATTGTAGAAGTAATATTCTCTATTCAATGCAGCTAGAAGTCAAACACATTCCTTAAGGAATAGTTACCAAGCCTTTAATAATCCACTGTGGCTAGCTAGATAAGGGCTCCTATGCTAAAGAATGTCCAACCCACTGCCAGTCCAAAAGAAGCTCCCCAATTGTCCAATATTATCCTCTCTCTTCAGGGTTTTTGCTGATATTTAGTTAATGGGTTAAGACACGGTGAAAAAAAGAAAAAAAAAAGTTTCATCTCCTGTTGCCAAGCATCTTTACACAGAATGCTCAACTCAAATTCTACCTCTACTATGAAGTTTCTTGATCCCTGACTTGAAGGATCTACCCCTCTCTTCACCCTCAATCTCACCCATGCTTTCTGCTACTTATCATAACATTATTGAACTCTAGGGGGAAAAAAGAGAACTAAAAAAATCCTGCTAATATTAATTGAGCACAGGCCATTTGTTGCATGATTTTTACAAAACTCATTTAATCACATTATTTTGACTCTTTTTTTTTTTTTTTGAGACGGAGTCTCGCTGTGTCACCCAGGCTGGAGTGCAGTGGCATGATCTTGGCTCACTGCAAACTCCGCCTCCCGGGTTCACACCATTCTCCTGCCTCAGCCTCCTGAGTAGCTGTGACTACAGAGGCGCCCGCCACCATGCCGGGCTAATTTTTTCATATTTTTAATAGAGACAGCGTTTCACCATGTTAGCCAGGATGGTCTCGATCTCTTGAACTCGTGATCCGCCTGCCTCGGCCTCCCCAAGTGCTGGGATTCCAGGCATGAGCCACTGCGCCTGGCCTATTCTGACTCTTTAATCAGAGTAAATCATTGAGGTTGGTATTACAGGGTTGATAATAAAGGCGCTATTTATCAAACTTCCATCATTCAGTTCTAAGCACTTACTAGACTGCTTGTTTATACATATCACTACACAGTTTCATAAAGTGTGTTGTGTTCTCCCTACTTCTCAGATGAGGAGACTGCAGATCGTAAAAGATAAGCAAGTGTTTGAGATTACAAGGTGACCACTGACCCATACACTGGCTCACGTGATGCCTTTGTAAAAATTGAAAGCTCTGTGATAATTAATTTTATGTATCGACTTGACTGGGTTAAGAGATGCGCAGGTTGCTGGTAAAACATAATTTCTGGGTGTGTCTGTGATGGTGTTTCCACAAGAGATTAGCATTTGAATCAGCAGACTAAAGAAAGAAGATCTGCTCTCACCAATGTGCATGGGTATTACCCAACCCACTGATGACCAAGATAGAACAAAAAGATGGAGGAAGAGCAAATTATCTCTGTCTCTCTCCTTGAGATAGGACATCCATCTTTTCCTGCCCTTGTACATTGAAGCTTTTGGCTTTTAGACTCTGAGACTTACACTAGCACTCCTCAAACCACACCCCACCTTTAAGGCCTTCATCCTCAATCTGGGAGTTATGCTACCATCAGCTCTCCTAGTCCTTAAGCCTTCAGACTCAGGCTGAATTATACCACTGGCTTCCCTAGGTTTCCAGCTTATAAATGATATATCATGGGGCCTCTTGGCCTTCACAATTACATGAGCTAATTCCCATAATAAATCTCCTCTTATATATACAGATAATCCCCGATTTATGATGGTTCAACTTATGATTTTTTTTGACTTTACGATGGTGCAAACACAATACACATTCAGTAGGAACCATACTTTGAATTTTGAATTTTGATCTTTTCCCAGGCTAGCAATATGTGGGATGATACTCTCTCACGACGCTGGGCAGTGGCCAGGAGCCACAGCTCCTAGTCAGCCATGCTATTATGAGAGTAAACCACCAACACTTTACAGTGTACTGTGTCGCTACATGATTTTGCTCAAATGCAGGCTAATGTAAGTGTCCTAAGCATGTTTAAGGTAGGCTAGGCTAAGCTATGATGCTCTGAATTTCTGGCTTACAATGTTTTCAATTTACAGTATGTTTATAAAAATGTAACCCCGGCTGGGCGTGGTGGCTCACGCCTGTAATCCCAGCACTTTGGGAGGCCGAGGAGTCAGGAGTTCGGGACCAGCCTGGCCAATGTGGTGAAACCCCATCTCTACTAAAAATATAAAAATTAGCCAGGCATGGTGGTACATGCCTGTAATCCCAGCTACTCGGGAGGCTGAAGCAGGAGAATCGCTTGAACCCGGAGGTTGCAGCGTGCCAAGATCGCGCACTCCAGCCTAAGCGACAGAGCAAGGCTATGTCTCAAAAAAAGAAAAAAAGAAAAATTCTCAAAAAAAAAATAAAAGTAACCTCATTGTAACCCGAGGAGCATCTGAATATATCTATGTGTATCCTGTTGTTTCTCTTCCTCTAGAGAACCCTCATTAACACAGGAATTTGTACTTTAAAGTAGGGGTGCTGCTGTAACAAATACCCAAACTGCAGAAGCAGCTTTAGAACTGATTACAGGTAGATGCTAGAAGGTTTTTTTTTCTTTTTGGTTGTTTTTGTTTTTTGTTTGTTTGTTTGTTTTGAGACAGAGTCTGGCTCTGTTGTCTTGGTTGGGGTGCAATGGTGCGATCTCGGCACTCTGCAACCTCTGCCTCCCAGGCTCAAGCGATTCTCCTGCCTCTCTCTGTCCAGAGTACCTGGGATTACAGGCATGTGCCACTACTACCCAGCTAATTTTCGTATTTTTAGTGGAGACGGGGGGGTTTCACCATGTTGGCCAGGCTGGTCTCGAACTCCTGACCTCAGACGATCCACCTGCCTCGGCCTCCCAAAGTGCTAGGATTACAGGCATGAGCCACTGTACCCAGCCGCTAGAAGGCCTTTGAGATGTAGGTTAGAAAAAGCTTACAATGCCATGACCAGACTATTAAGGGCAATTTTGGTAAGGGCTAGGGGGAGAGGGAGAGCTGGAGAGAAAGCCTCAATCTTAGAAAATACCTAAGTAGTCATGAACAGAATGCCGGTAGTAATATGGACAATACAGGCCATTCTGATGGGGTCTCAGGGAGAAGAACATGTTACTGAAAACTAGAGGAAAGGTGATCCTTGTTATAAACTGGCAAAAGACTCGGCTGGCCTGTGTCCAAGTCTTAGTGTTTTGTGAAAAGTAGAACTTGCACATGAGCTTGTGAAGAGATAGAATTGTGACGAGATGAACTTGTGATGAGATAGAATTCTTAGTTAAAGAAATTTCTAAGCAAAGTGTTGAGGGTGGGTGGCTTGTCTTCTTGTGAATGCTTATAGTAAAAGCCAGGAAGAGAGAAACAATGTAAAGATGAACTTTTAATCAAAAGAAAAGCAGAACTTAAAAATGTGGATTATTAGCCCATCCATAATAGAAAAATCAATGACAAAGCCTGTTTAGTGGAGAACAAGCGTGTGGACAAGTGACCTTTTCGTAAGGAGGTGAATTTGGATCTGCCATCTAAACTGAAGCCAGGCTCTATTCTCCAACACAGTGGAAGAAGGAGCCCAAAGGTATTTCAGGGATGATTAAGGCTGCCTTTCCCAACCCAGACTGAGGGTGCAAGGGCCTCAAGGGCAAAACGATTTCTAAGCTCCACTCCCCACATTCCAGAGCAGTGCTCCCTGGCTGACCCAGGTTCCCCTACGTGTGGTTCCAGCGGGTCCTTGTGTGACGCGAGTTGCAGTGACCACAGTAAACCTTGGCAGTGTCTCAATGATGCCATCTCTGCCAGTTCACAGAATGCACAAGCCATGGGGGTATAGCTACCTCTACATAGTTTTCAAAGGATAGAGCCACCATGGCCTTGGGATGTAACCCCAGGCAGAGGGCTTCCTGCCTAGTGGAGTCGTGAGGGTGGAGCTCCCACCACCTCAGACCAGCAAAGCCACCACTGTGCAATTCCAACCTAGGAGAGCCACAGGCACTCGACTCCAATCAGTGAGAGCTACGGTAGGGGCTGAGCCCAGCAAAGCCACAGTGGTGGGGTCACCTGGAGACTTTGGGGCCCAGATCACAGCCCAGTGTGTCTGAAAGGCAGGACATCAAGTCAAATATTATTCTGAAGGTTTGAGATTTAATATTTTCCCCACTGGGCTTCAAATTTACTTGGGACCTGTCACTCCTTTATTCTTTCCTATTTCTCCCTTTTGGCATAGGAATGTCTATCCTGTGCCTCTCCCATTGTATGTTGGAAGCACACAACTTTGATTTCAGTTTTACAACTGGAGAACAATTGGCCTCAGGATGAGTTGTACTTTGAGTGTTACCCATATCTGATTTAGATAAATTTCAGATAAAATTTGGGACTTCGAATTTAAAGTTGGTGCTAGAATGAGTTAAAACTTTTGAAGCTATTGGGATGGAATTAATGCATTTTGCATGTAAGAAGGACATGAATTTGGGGGGCCAGGGGAGAAATGCTATGGTCTGAATGTTGTGTCCCCCATCATTTATATGTTGAAACCTAATCATCAATGTAATGATTTTAGGACACAGGGTCTTCGAGAAGTGATTAGATCATGAGGTCAGAGGTCTCATGAATGGGATTAGTGACCTTATAAAAGAGACCTCAGAGAGCTAGCTATTCCCTCCCCCCAGGTGAGGACACAGCAAGAAGGTGCTGTATATGATCCACAAACTGGCCCTCACCAGTCACTGAACCCACTGGCCCTGGGATCTTGGACTTCCCAGCCTCCAAAATTATGAGAAATAAATTTCTGTTGTTTATAAGCTAACCAGTCTATGGTATTTTTTTTCATCCCCCAAGGCTCCATCATTCGAATTTACAGTATATTGTTATAGCAGCCTGAACAGATTAAGATAAGGTCTCTCCAGGTGGATACAACCCAAAAACATATGGTTTAGGAAGTGATTGATAGTTCTGTGCTAATAAGAAAAATAAATCTATTTTTTCTTCCAAGTAGGAGCAGTTCCTATGCCAGGGTACTAGTTTAAATAGGAGAGAGCTGGATTTTAGAACTCACACACTTTCTGACACCCTTGGGCAGTGAATGTCTAGTACAACCACACCCACCAGCTCTGCAGGCATACAGAAGTAAAATGTACCAAAGCTGAAACTTGAACTCAAGTCTGTTGATTTAGAGCTTATGATCTTAGCTACAAAGCAACCATGCCTTTTGATGTGGTAGATTTCCACGTGCAAAGGACTCATTTCTTGAATGCAATTTAAATTGCCTGGAGGTCAAGAATCATATCCGGTGAGTCTCAGAATCCTAGCATGTAACTTTGTACTACAAAGCAACTCCGGATGCACCTGTGGCTGAATTGTCCGATACTCTGAGATGGTGTTAAGGGTAAGACAGCAAACCCCATTCTATCATCAGTCCCTAAGGGCCAGGGTGTAAGCAGCTAAGCAGCCAATTCTCCCCTGCACCTGCTTCAATCTCTTCTCTCTCCCCTCCAAACTGTAACAGAGCCAATGTCTATTTGTCCTTTGGAAGTAGTGTGCCCTGCTAGGAGTAAAATTTGGCACAGGCTGTGGCCTCAGCATAGTCATCTGCAACATGGACATTCAGTGTTAACTGATCCTCTCACAACATCATTAAATCAAATCTAGGGAGGGACAAATCCTCAGAATTAAAGAGACAAACCATGAAACAGATTCCAGATATCTGAGCCTCACTCTTGCTGTTCACTGCCTCTTCCAAGACTTCAGACACCAACTCCCTGAGGCTCTTCTGCCTTTCCAAACTCATTCAGCGCTCCAACTCTTTAACTTAGAGCTTTCCCTTTTGGGATTAGAGTGAAGTCTGGCCAGATTTACTCCACTGACTGCATGCTAAAAAATCTGGGAGAGGCGATTAAAGATACAGCACTGCAAACCCTTTCAGCAATCGTGAGCAGCTTAGACTTGTAGACTGCTAAGTAAGAAACTTAGAGATGTCCTGGTATAGGCTCTCCTATCTCAGACAAGGACACTGTAGGGCACAGGGGGCAGAGAAGTGCTGCTATCTCCCAACACCTACTGCTATGCTCTTTTCACACTTTTTTTCTTCAACTTGAAGTTTAACCCCAGGCAACTTATATTGCTCGATTTACATCCTTTTTACCTGCAGAGAAAACTTTTTAATGAAGCCTTGTTTTATTATTTTAGCCTGAAGCTATCTGCTCTGGTTTTTCTTGTAGCACAATAACATATCTTTTTAAAAACAGAATTTTAAAAATTACAGACATATCCTAGGACTGAGATCTAACAGACTTTTGGTGGGAGGTGGGGGGTGAGGGGAAGAGGCAAGTGTAATTCAAAATGGGCAGGAGTGCAGAGAGCTAAGAAATATCTTGGAACAAGATAGCTGGCTTTTTTCCCCCCAGATCTGCTCCAGACCTACTAAATCTGGCTGCCCTCCTGACCTGGATCTCAGGGTGGCATGGGCATTACCTCCTGTTATTCACAGATGAAGCCACATCTGAGTGTGAGGATGAAAACACTTCTGCTCATATGAACAGTTTGTGGTTCGAGGTTTGCAGACAGGAGATTTGTTTGTTTTGCTTCGGGCTTGGGGGTTTTGCACCCTCCCCCTGCCGCCTACTTCAGTCCCAAGTGACTCAGCAGGCTTCCTCAGCCAGGCCCAGCCTAAACACTGCCACTTGGCAGAGAGAGGGGGTGTTCCCCCAATTGCTCAGTGACCTGGCTGAACTGAAAAGAACAACCAGGCCCCCTCCCTTGCCCCCTGGGGAACAATGCAGGGAGCACAGCAGTATGCAGGCGAGTCATCCCTCTGCAAACAGGACTCCCCCACCCGAACCCTTCCCCTTGGCCGCACACTCCGCCCTCCTACAAAACACAACATGAAATGTGAAGAGCAGAGCTGGATGGTTAGTCTACTTTCCCTCGGGGCCCCACTAATCACAAACAAGGCCATGTGCGCATGGTACACGGGGATCCCTACATCTGCCCAGTGACGCAGACACAGCTGAGGTGGGGTGGATGCAGAAGCCACACAACAGCATGCTTGAGGTTTGGGTGGGGTGGCAGGTGGTCCCTAGGTTGGAAAGAGGCCAGGAGTCTCAGGCCATAAACATCCACTCCCAGTAAAGAGTGATTTTGCTGGTTCGTTGATTCAGTCCACAAACATGTGCTGGACACAGGGCTAGGTCCTAGAGAAATCAATGTTATAAAGGGTGGGAGCGGTGGTAAAGGGTGCTGTAAAATGTGTAAGCCATGGTCTCCATCCTCAGGGACCTCACGGTCCAACTGGAAAGACAAAAAACTCAGAAAAGGATGACAACTGACAACACAAGGTGATGAACCCTTTGAAAAGAGGTATATAAGCCCCTCCATTCCCCTTTGTCTTAAGTTGCTGATTTTAAAAAGCACTTTATTCTTGTCCTTCAGCAACACTGCACACACATGTAGGGGGTTCACTGAAGTCATGCCTTTTACTTGTGATGTGTTTCCCCACTCTCACCACCTAAATAATTAGAAATTATTCTTCCCAAATCATCTCAGGCCTGTCTTCATCCATGCAGTCTCCCTGACTCCTGTCACCAACCACGAGGATGGGCTAGGTGCCTCTATTTCATATTTCTTGTTCATACCTTTCTCATTGCCTATACATATTGTTTATTAAATGTTTATGAGTCTTTGTCTCCCACTAGACTAAAAGCTGCTTGAGAGCAGATAACTACAGCTTACTTACCTCAGTAGTCCTAGCTCTAGCACAGTATCTGATACATAATGGACAATCTAAATAAATGGCTATCAAATGTATAAGAATGGCAGTGGGAGAGACACCCCAAGGTGAGCCCCAGTGAGTCATATTATCTAATCCCCTCTTCTTGGGTGTATGTGGAACCTGCAACTTGCTTCTGACCAACAGAATATGAAAAAAGTGATGGAAGGTCACCTCTGACATCTGATATCTATATATGCCAATGGCTCATTTATCAATCTTGGCATTCAGATCTTTCAAATCCTTAAGAGTGTCTTTTTCTATGAGTTAATGAAAGACTAAAATTGCCAACCATGATGGTGTATTTGTCTAATTATTTTGTTAGTTAAATCTGTTTTTTCATGTGCTTTAAGGCTATGTCATTAGATGCATAAAAATTTAGGTGCTAAAATTTGGTATTGTTATATTTTCTGATTCAAGTGACCTCTTTATCATTATGAAATATTTCTGTTTTTCTCCAGTAGTAATCTTTGCTTTACAGCCGACTTTGTTGATACTAATACAGCTATGCCAAGTTTAATTTTTGAACATTATTTTTAAATCCAGTTTTATTAACTTTGATTTATAAAATAGGGTATTTTTATTTAATATAATTAATGACATATTTGCTTTTAAATCAACTCATTCCTGTTGGTTTTATATTTGTCTCATTTGTTCTCCATTCCTATTATTTTCTTTTTCTTGAATTTTTAAAAAAGTACTTGAATTATTAGTCTTTTCTGATTACCCATATTCCCTGTATTCAATTATTAATCAATTAATTATTATTATTTTGATGTGTACTATAGGAAAAATTTTTTTTTTTTTTTTTGAGACGAAGTTTTGCTCTTGTTGCCCAGGCTGGAGAGCAATGGTACGATCTTGGCTCACTGCAAACTCCGCCTCCCGGGTTCAAGCGATCTCCTGCCTCAGCCTTCTGAGTAGCTGGGATTACAGGCATGCGGCACCACACCCGGCTAATTTTGTATTTTTAGTAGAGATGGGGTTTCTCCATGTTGGTCAGGCTGGTCTCGAACTCCCAACCTCAGGTGATCTGCCCACCTTGGCCTCCCAAAGTGTTGGGATTACAGGCAGGAGCCACCGCACCTGGCTGGGAAATGTATTCTTATAACAGTCTACCTCAAATTTGTACTTTTACCAACTCCCAGACAAATGAAGAGTCAGTTGCCTATAAAAAAGAACTAAAAAAAAAAAAAAAAAACCCAACGGTGGGCTAATAACATGTTTATTGTTTCTTTCGCATAAAAGATATCCAGAAGTGTGCATTCTAGAGCTAATATGGGAATTTTATAAAGTCAGGAATTTTAGCATTTGGATATTATCTTAAAGTCACAGTTCCTAGAAAGCTAGCCAATAAATTCTGCTTTTATCTCATTGGCTAAAACTTAGTCACATGGCCACATCTCCCTAGGAGGCTGGGTGGGAATGTTTTTGTTTCTTTGTTTTCTTGTTTTCTTTTGTTTTTATAGCTGGGCACATTCCCCAGGATTCTCATTAGGAAGAAGGAGAGCATCAAAAAAGCAGGAGGCAAGGCAAGGGTTTTATGAGTCTGTGTCACATTATTAATCGAATATTTATGGCAACAAAAGAAATCCCACTCAACTCTGTTTCTAGATCTAACTGGTTTTAGGGCTTTTTTTTTTTTTTTTTAACATTTGATTCTCTGGTAGAAACAAATGTTTCTAATACAAAAACCTCAGGAGTCATCAGTATCTTAGGGCCACTTTGAATCTTAATTTATTAGTTTGGAGACTTCTGAAGTGTAATTCGTATGAATTTGATTCCCAGGCTTACATGAGGAATAGGTCTATAGTATAAATTCTCAGTGGATTTTTTTTTCTATACTGTATAGAGCTCAGTGGGAAAGATTTTTTTGTTATCAGCCTATGCTGGTGAGAAGATTTTTCCACTAGTTCAATTTTTACTTTGGATGCAGACCTTGGTGGGTTCAGAATCCAAATGAAGGATATCAGTCCCAACACCCAGTGAAGCATAGGCTCAAGGTTTCTCTCCCATCACTGGTTGTATATCAAAAACCAGTTACCCCATCCCCAAAACCCCAAAGAAATTGTAGTTGATGTCTGCCCAGCAACCTGGCTTTTTAGTGTTGCTTTGTTTTTAACCCCTGGGGGACATAACTTTACATTATTGTGAGCTTAGTGGTGCATTTAAAAGAAATGTTTGTTATATTTTATCCATTATTTATGGAATTTTTTATTAAAGTGTTTTTGAGTAACCTTGTCTGTCATAATTCTGTAACTGGAAGTCAAGAGTGCTTCTTTTAAAATGATTTATTGTCTATGTGAGCTTTTGAAGTTCATATCATAAACATCCAAATTCTGTAAATGGAATTTTGTGCCCTCATCAAAATGGGACCACCCTGACAGAGCCTTAAGTTCCCATTATGATTGTCAGTGTCCAAAGAACTCCATCCAGTTACACCAGTCCTCTCCTAGGCTGGAATCCAATTTTGGAGAGTCCTGGGAGCCCATTCCTGCCATGGCCTGTGTTTCTTCTCCACCCTTCTCTACCTATTAGGCCAAAATCTGATTGTAAAGTTGGACTGTGTTTTTATTTTTGCTATATAAAACCTCACACTCTTCTGGAGGAAATGGGATTTAGGTAGATAAAAACAGTACATGTCTTTTTTTTTTTTTTTTTTCCTGTGTATAGTCTTTTTGGTAATGCAAACCTCAACACTAAGTCTAGAGAACCCTGACCCAGTTTTTTCCTTTGACAATTACATAACTATGAACTGGCAGAACTGGAGTTCAAACCCAGAAGGACATTTTCTCTCCAGAACCAAAATTCGTAATTAACACAAGTTAATATTTTTCTCCTTTGTGTATTTTTTCTAATCATGCATACCCTTGACTCCTTACAGTTGATCCTCAGTTTTCTTCCTTTGGCTTCTAGTATTAACCTTTGACAAGACCAGAAGGAAAAGATACTCTAAATGACTTCCGAAGATATGTATCTGGTTTTAAAGTCCCTGTTGTTTTTCTACATATTTTTCCTCTGTGGTTTCTCAACTAAAGGTAGTGATGACAGCAGCAGCCCATCTAGAGTGGCCACTGCCAAGATGCCAGCTGCAGCGGGGAGGCGGGCCCAGGCCTCCCACTCCATGGAGCAGGCAGGAGCCCTGCCCACCTGGGCCTGAGCCTCCCACTCCATGGAGCAAGTAGGAGCCCTGCTCTCTCCAGGTGCCGCTACAGTTGCCCTCCCAGGTATAGGGCTTGGGTGTCTCTCCAATCTGCACCCTCGGGGGCCTGGGAAGGGCCCCCACACCTCCCATCCAGAGGCTCGGGGGTGTCTGCTCCCACTGCCTGGCCTCTCCCCACTCCCAGCACCCGCTCCAATCTCAGAGTGTGATTGGACTGAGGCTGGAAGCTGTTACAGCCAAGCAGGGTTTGTGCACACTCAGGGCAGCACTGACACGCTGGCTCCTTGCTGCCTCAGCCCCCTCTGGGCTTTTGGTGCTGACAAACGTGGAAGGGAAAGCTGAGTGTGGGCTGAGGGCAGCTCTGTGCTGACCTACTGGTGCCCCTTGGTGCGAGCAGCCTAGGTGCCATGCATGGCTGCCGCAGGCAGTCAGGCTCCTGGGCAGTAAGGCAGCAGGTCCCCAGCAAAGCCCCATCTTCAGGCCAGGGAAGGCCTGAAGCCTGGGGGCCAGGCTGCCAGTCCTGTGGAACAAAGGGGGAACTCATGGTGCTTTTTCCAGGGCCTGCCCATGACTGCCCATGGACCAATCAACACAGACTTCCTCCCTCTGAGGCCTGTGGAGAGAAGCAACCCACTCCAGGGCCTCCTCCTCTCTCCTGAGGGCTGAACACTCATTGGGACACCTTGGCTGCAGAAAGGAGCTACCCACAGTGGGTCTCTGAACTGTTCTACTGCTCTGTAAAGCTCCTCTTTGTTTTGCTTACTCTTCACTTGTCTGCGTGCCTCATTCTTCTTGGTCACAGGACAAGAACTTGGGACCTGCCAAATGGAGAGGCTAAAAGAGCTATAACACAAACAAGGCTGAAACACACCCCTTGCTCACCACGTTGCAGGCAAAGAGCGGGAGAGAAGAGCTGTGGCCCTTTGGGGACCCCAGACCTGGGAGCTCCCTGAGCCACGGCTGTGACCTCCTTTTTGAGGCCTGTGGTTCCTGGCATCTCCAAGTTTCCAGGCGCCACTCCATTTCCTGGTGACAGTCGGGGAAGCTGCTGGCAGTATACGTGGTCTAGCTGCAGCATCACAGAGACTTGGTGCCTGGGCTGGCACCTGGAGCCAGCACTGACTGTGCAGTGGGCCGACCCCACACTCAGTCGCTCACATACTTCTCGTTGCTTCACACCTGGCTCGCCCTTGGCACGCATGGGATCCAGGCCAGTAGCGTGAGCCGAGCGCAGCCTGCCAGGCTGAGTGGGTGGAACTAGTTAAGTGGGCCCGGGCAAAAGTCAAGCAAAGGTGCCACTGACCACAATTTCCAGCCAGAACAGTGACATCCCCAAAATCCCCTAACAGTAGATTATCACTTTTTTGGTAAAAGCTGCTGGAAAACATCTTGCTAAGATTCAATTCTAAGCAAAATGTCCGAGTCAACTTAGAAACTCCAAGAAATATTCAATTTACAATGGAAATGCTGAGTTCATCATTAGATTTTGCTCTATGAATAAAGCATCCTGAGCAACAGTATTTTTTAAAGCCCATAAACCACTTTGGTCTTAGTACTGCTAATCCTGTCTTTCAGTTTCTCACTTGCCAGGGCATAGCTTATAAAAAGTTACTCTTAAAGACAAGATGGAAGAAGCTCTTTGACAAAACATCCCATTCAGGGGATAAAAAGATCTTAAACCTTGAAAGGAAAGGATTATTTAGTCTGCCCTCATCAGTTTTCAGAGAAGAGAGGAGAGAATGAATCTGAGAGTGACGTGACTTGCCCAGTATTGCATCATGGCCACATGGCAAAGCTTCCTGCAAGGTCTAGAGGCCAGGTGGCCTGAGCGCAATCCAGTCTTCTTTCCACTTCCCCATGTTTTTAATCTCATTGAATTTGGCAGTTGTTTTAGCCTGTTTTTAAAGGTTCTGTGTAATCTGTGTTACCTTGCTGCTTGAACAAAGGAGCGATTTAAGGTGGTAATATACAGCACTAGAAAAAAAGTGGTATTACCTGTAGGTGGCTTGGGATTTATACCTCATTACCAACTTGGTCTCATTTATTCATTTATTCAATCAGTAAGAACTGCTCCACACACTCAGACCACAAATGCAGTCTCCATTCTTTTCATTGATTATGGAATAACAAAGAAACACAGGTATGTCTTCTTGGCAGGAAAGAGTCCAAGATCTTCTTGAGGCTTTACTTGGAATTCCCAAAGACTTCTAAAATTGCATACAGTCTAAAAGATAGGATCAACCAGGTTTCTACAGCCATGCCAAGCTAGAGATAAAGCTTTACCAGACCACAGCTGCTAATGAGTCTCAATATTCTCTGAAGTTGTGATGGAAAAAAATGGTTGGACAGAGTCACACATAAAAAGGGGCACCCACTTATTCAGATTCTAGAACTGAATACTATGGTCTTTAGAGAAGGATCCCACTCTCAATTACAAACCTACCCTCAGGTATTCTGGGAATGTGTTTGCAAGGCTGCAGTTTTTATGTTCAAATGCACAGAACCTCCAAATGAGCCAGCCACACTCCAGGATGCCTGGTCATTTATTTATTCACATAATCCATATTTATCCAGCATATGAGGCAAAATGAAAAAACTCGTAGTTTTTTGTATCTTTCTTCATGCCTGGCTTCTGGTTGCTGGGGTCAGAGACAAATATGGAGATGGGTATGAGTTAAATATTTGTAACTGGAATTAAATGATGTAATTAACTATGAATTATATAATTATAAAGTAATAGAATAAAATATCAACTGTCCAGTTCCCAATGACATGAGAGAGTATAGAGCTCTTTCAAAGAAAAAATAAACGCATTGACATCAAATATTTATAATAAAGCTAATAAGGTTACAACTAATGGTCCTGCTGTCCATGCCAAAAAATATAATTAATTGGGACCCCAAAATTAAAGGATGTGACCCAACCAAACTCACTTATAATTATAACTGGGAGATAAGCAAAATAAACCATTTATTTAAAGAAAAACTCAACTTTGCCCTCACTGCCCCCTGAAGATTTTAGCATAGTTCTACATTAGGGGAACAAATCCTGATACCACTTTCTTTCACTCACAAAGACAGAAGTGACAGAAGAAAAGAAGAAAAATAGTGTCATCTTCTGGATCCCTTCTTCCTGAAGGCTAACATGTAAGCTCATTGTTTAGCTAAGCACATTATTGAATCTTTGGATATGGAACAATGTGATGGCTAATTTTATACGTCAACATGACTGGACTACAGGGGGCCCAAATGTTTGGTTAAACACTATTTTGGGTGTGTCTGTGAGGGTGTTTCTAGATGAGATTAACATTTGAATCTGTTGACTGAGTAAACCAGATTGCCCTCACCAATGTGGGCGGCCCTCATCCAATCCACTGAAGGCCAGAAAAGATAAAAGACCAAGTAGGAAAGAATTCTCTCTCTGTCTATGTTAGAGCTTCCTTCTTTTGAAGGAAGAAGACATAATCAGTCTTCTTCCTTCAGACTGGAACTTACACTATCAACTCTCTCCTGGGTCTCCAGCTTGCCAACTGCAGATCTTGAGACTTCTTAGCCTCCATAATTATATGAGCCTATTCCTTGTTTTATATAATGAACTTAATATAAGATATGTTACATATATCTTATATTTTATATAAGATATGTTACATATATCTTATATTTTATATAAGATATGTTACATATATCTTATATTTTATATAAGATACATGTATCTTTTTTTTTGAGACAGTCTCGCTCTATCACCCAGGCTGGAGTGTAGTGGTGCAATCTCGGCTCACTGCATCCTCTACCTCCCAGGTTCAAGTCATTCTCATGCCTCAGCCTCCTGAGTAGCTGGGATTATCGGCATGCACCACTGTGCCTGGCTAATTTTTATAATTTTGGGTAGATACAGGATTTCACCATGTTGGCCAGGCTGGTCTCAAGCTCCTGGCCTCAAGAGATCCACCTGCCTTGGATATATGTATCTTCTTGGTTCTTTTTTTCTGGAAAACCCTGACTAATATACACAACCAGACACTTAGGGAAAGCAAAGTTACTCTCCATTTTAAAAAAGTGAGAGGAATTAGATTTCCAAGAAGGAGCTCAGGGAACGGGGCTCTGGCTAAGAAGAAAGTGAGGAGTCCTGCATAAAAGGAGCTTACACCAGTAAAGAGGCTATATCTATGGAGAAAGGTGGTGAATAAAAGTATTACATAGGTGAAAGAGCTTACAGGAGAGAGATATCTTGAGTGAACTGTTTGGTTTCTTGCCAATGGGAGGAGGGACAGCCTGTGATTCAATTCCCTTTGTGACCCTAAACTTTCAGTAACATCTGCTACTCACTCAGGTGTCTTATGGAAGTGGTCATTGGGAGGAATAATAGAAAACATACTATATTTCAGACCTATGCTGGCATTGCAAGTACCAGGCCCAGCTCTTACAGGCACAAGGGAAACACAATCTTCCAGATCTCAGCTTCTAAACATTAGCATACTGACATTTTGGACTGCATAGCTTTGTTGTGGGAATCTGTGTGTTGTTGAATATTTAACAGCAGCATATTCGTCCTCTATACATTAGATGACAGTATGACAGTATCACCTCCCCGTCTGGCAACAAAAAGTTCTCCAAACATTGCCAAATGTCCCTTGGGTGGAGGAAGAGAGTTCCACCTTCATTTCAGAACCTCTAGTCTAAAGAATATGTAGAAAGAGCTTTACAGAAGGGGAGATCTTACTTTAGGACAAACCTACCAGGGTCCAACCAATGGAAGGAAAGGCTAAAAATGCAAACCAGACCTCACTTTGAAGAGAAATATTTTCTTAGTCCCTCTTATGTATAAATAGCATACATTTATACTATTTATAATATAAATATACATTTATATTATATTATATATAAGTCCCTCTTATGTATAAATAAAGAATTGTCAAATTCTTTAAACTTTGCAAAAATTAGTAAAGGTTTCCCCGACAAATTTACAAATCACTACTGCATATAACATACTGGGAGGAGAAATGAACATATTATTTTATTTATTTTATCTGACATCCTAGCATTCTCCATAAGGTCAAACACAATAAAATCGCTAACAATAAATAGATAGATGACAGGAAGACAGGTAAATAAAATCCTTGGCTTGATTAATTATAATACTATTACTGGGAGGGGAAAGATTGGAGCAAATTAACCAAGTGGAAGGAGATCAGACTAGGTATTTGTATAGTTCACAGTAACAATAATATTGTTCAAATAATTTTTTTTTCTGTAGCTCTACTTTGTCACCAAAAAGTAAATAATTTGGACTAGGCAAATACCGAAATTTCTTCTGTTTGATAGGGGTCTTTAGTACTACTCAATCTGGATTGAGGAAAAATAAAACATTTTCCTGAATATAGAAAAAGGACATTCCTGGAGAAAAAATGTGTTTCCAACAGTTCAACCAGCCCTTGAGAAATGAAGGGAATGAGCAAGATAAAAAAGCCCATTTTTGCCTTGAGCTTGATGTTAAGAAACTTCTGCCAGAAATGAAAAGGACAGAACTGCAGAGGGTCAGGACGATAAAGATGTGAGCCATCTAGAAAGTTACTGCATCAACATAGTAATTCCTTTGTGCAGAAAAACCACATGAATTCTGTGATAATCATTTGTGAAAGAAAGAAAAATATGTTGTGTTTCAGAGAAGAGTGAAAGGCTTTCAGCTCAGCATCATAAAAGTCACTATTAGAAAAGGGAAAAATACAAATCCCAAAGCAACTATAAAACAACACCAATAACAAATAATGGTTCCTCCATAAATTTATCTTGATGGTTATACCTTGTGTTCTATCTCACAACAAACTGTCAGCAGCAAGACATGCAGACAGATGTAAGTTTTGAACTGTTTAACTCCACCTAAGAGTGAAATTAGACCACAGTTTCTGTCTTCAGTGAAACTTCACTGAAACTGATGCAGATCCCTCCTCTGTGATGTCATGGTTCTCTTCTCATCAGAGAATAATCTCAAATTCCTCTGTAACGCCCCTTGATTCTACAATTTTGGATGGAATTTTACACATAAAAATCACACAAGTGTGTTTACCTTCTCATAAAAAATCATTGTATAATTCACAGGGGCCCTTCCCTGCCCATGAAATAAGATAGCCTCCCTCTTCTCATTTGTATAGGTGCAGGATGGCAGAAGAGGCCCCACACAGTTTACAGAAAGGAAGCCAGTTGATGCCCTGAATGGAAAGTACATCACAATAATAAATCTACAAACAAACCATAAAATTAGAAGATGGTGAATAACTTAGGCAGAAGAGAACTTCCCATTAAAAAAGAGAGAGAGCTTCTCTGGGGTCTCCCATCTCTCTGGGAAGTAGTATGTGGCAGTGTTGTCTTCATTCCACTGACAGCAATGAATGAGAGGTCAAGAGTCAGTGGGTTTGAATCTGAGCTCTCTGGCTTCTAGGTTACTGCCACTCAGCCAGGACCTCTGTCCATTTGCCTGTGCAGTTGCCTCCCCATTGGCATTGGTCAAAAGAATATTCTGTGCCCCTTTCCAAGAACTGCAGTCAGACACCAGTGGTCTAAGACATATTCAGAGTTCTGGTCAGGTAAACTAGTTTCTTGTTCCAAGCCAGTAGGCATTCCCATGCTACAATTGCCAAGACTTATAGGAGAGGAGAGAGCGTTGGTCTAACCTATCCTCTTCTGAATGTAGAAGAATGTGTATTCTTTGGTCAGAAAGAGAGGGGGAGGGATCAAGAAAGACACAGTAAGAAAGAGAGGTTAAAAATAATGACAAGCATCTTATGAGATTTACAGTCTACAGCAATCTTTTGCATGCATATTTTCATTTTCCATGCCAGCACCATTTTTTTAAGATGTACTGTTTTTACACAGGAAAAAACATTAAGACTCAGAGGGGCTAAGAGGTTTATCCAAGTTGAGTGGAAAAACAAACAAAATATAAAAATTCCAAATCCTTGTTTTTTCTTGTTTCCTAGTACACAGGGACTTACAGATTTTGTGTGGAGATTAGTATTTTTGTAGGGTCTTCACTGGTCAGTTTTCTTAGGTGGACAGATAACCATTTTGCTGGATCCTATATCAATTCTGCCCTTTTCCTAACCAATTTCAATTCTTTCATTAGAGAAATGAAACAACTGACTGTCCCTCTTCTCTTCCCTGTCCTTGCTAGTGAGCCCCGACAAAGCAGGGAGGTGTGAAGTATCGATGAAGATGTGGAAGGTGTGTTGGCTCTTGTGCCCTAAGGAAACATGAATAAATGAGAGGATCACTTTCAACTGGTTGGCTTTGATTTGAGATCCCTATCTCTAGAGTTGGATTTCCCTTACTTATGTATCAATCATGCCCTAAATGGTCTACTTTGTCCCCAAAGTCTCCACTCCCTGAGCTGTCCATCTCATGTCACAATTTCTCTGTAATTATGTGATTTCTATATATCTTATCCACTCAACACCTTGGATACAAATCTTTCTATGACTGGGTCTGTGATGTTTACAGTGTGTGCCCTGATAACCACCTGCCTACTTGAACTTCTGCTGATTACCAGTTATCAGCTCATTGGTCAATTATCTTGTCAAATAATAAAAGAAATTGCTACCATTTATTGAGCATATGGGTGCCTTGTACTGTGCTAAGCACTTTACCTGAGTTATCGTATTTGCTTCTTAAAATATCCCTGTAAGGACCATGTATCTGGATCTCTGGATCTTGAATGTCTTTTACCCTTGGATTAGGAATGGGCGAATGAAAGAGTGATTTGTGAAAAAAAAAAAAATCTGTCAGACACAGATACCACTGATTCCACTTAAATACGGGCCAGCAGGATATGTCTTCAAATATGTAAAAGCAAAGAGATATGTGTTCAAAATAACTTGGCAGGAATATTTTATATAATGGAAAATGAAGGTCTATGTGTTTTAAATCCTTATAATGCATGTATAAAAACCATAAATCCTTAAATTGCCAACTAAATAAATGCTTCGTAGTGACTTGCCCCTTAATCATCCAGGAAAATTAGATAAGAACTAAGAAGTTATAAGAGCTCTTCCTTTGGGACGTATTGTTTCACTTTGGCAAAGTGATGTGAGGTCGTGGGAGGGAAAACAAAGTGAGTTTTTTCTGCTTAGGCAAACATGAAAGTAAAAACTATCACCAGTGATTTTTGAGGCAATTGAAGCCTCTATATTGAAATGCATTGGGAGTTTGTTATGCTATTAGAAAAATACACAGTCCATTTACTATTATTTAACCACATTAATCATTATGATGAAATATGTTGTGAGTTAATTCATGAATTTCATACTTAGACGATTACAGTGCTGCATGGGGTAATGATTTTAAGCAGTGATAGGTAAACTTTTTCCATTTTGGCAAAAATGAATAAGTACAGATTTTCCTCTGCAGGGGCCAGAGATTCTTGACACACCCAAACTTCTATAGACATATACCAGTAATGTGAAAATGGAATCCATCCATTATTACTTTAATGTTAACCTTCAGTTAAAAAAAAAATCTTCTACAAGGGTTTGACATCATTGCCTTGGCAATTATAAATTAAGCGGGGCAGAATTCTGCCTATTCTAGGGAATCTAAATTCTCAGAAATTTCACTATCCAAGCTTATGATCTCTCCAAACAATCAAATGTCAGTTTTGAAGGTCATTCCTTTTGCAGATGTCTTCTCACAATAGATGACAATGGGTATGGTGTTAATGGCTCAATGGTTCAACTAGGGTAGTGACTATATATAATTGCACATCACTGCACCCTACTCTGTAACACAGTACCTGGCACATAATAAAAGTTCCATATTTAATGACTATTCCAGGTCCTAATATCTGACACTAATTGCCTGTGTGATTTTGGGATAGTCATTTAATACATTAAGGGATTTGAACTTAAAGGGCACTAATATCTTTTCCAACTCTGATATTTTACTAGTCATTGACTGAAGTCCCTGGGTGTTCACCAGTTTACCATAATGACTACAGAGAAAAACAGTGTTCCTCCCAAAAACACTTAAAATGAAATAATCCCTATCTCCTTCATTCAACAAATTCATGACTGTTCCTCACGCAATCTATCATTTGCCAGAGGAAAAGCCATTGCTCATCTTTTATAAAAAGTTCAAAATCCAACCCATAATGAACTAACAGTTTCTTGTCCAACATAGGAAACACATTAACCTGATTTGATTCTGTTCCCATTTTGGTTCTCAGAATTTCAATCTCCTTTGGAACCTTTATTATTGCCATTTAATTAAACTAATCCCTCCCATACCTTTTAATTTGTTTAAACAAACAAAAAACACTCTTTTCTCTACCACTAGGAGGCAGTGTTTCAGTAGGTCTAAGCTAAACAAAGACTGATCAGCCCAGAACACTGAAGTGGAATTTGACTCCTCAAACCTGAAAGTTTCCCTTAGACTTTGGTTCTTCAAGAAATAGGGGAAATAACATCTTTCTCACCAAGAAATAACCAATACATATCTTTTCACCATTAAATCACTAATAGTCCTAAAAGATACATGCAAACTCCTGTTGGAATAATTTTTTTAAAAAGTCTCTGCAGTTTATAGTGCTATATTTGGGGTGTTCTTAATGTTTAATTTACTACTTACCCATTCAAAACAATTCGTCATGCCATTAATAACTTATCTATTATCATCAAATATTGAATGACACTTCTGTATTTTAAAGAATGTAACAAGTAATTAAAGGACAAATTCCTTTAATTCTTTAGAAAGTGCTTTAATTTTTAAGTGGAGGGTAGTAAGTTTTTAAGAAGGTCATAAGAAATGACAATGGGAAAGGAAAGGGCAGAGCATGTTCTTTAGTGCTAGGCCTATTTTACAGATTTATTGAAAACTCAAAGCAACTCCATGAAGTAAATATTATTATCCCTATTTACAAGACAGACAACTAAAGACAAGCTTTATTTAAGGTCAAATAATTAAGTGTCCAGGATTTCAATTAAGGCCTGTCTGATTCACCAATCTACTATACTAAGTTGTCTTCAAATAAAAACAACAACAGTAACAATAACAATAAGTGAACTATAAAGCAACCCAAAATTTGATACAACAGTCTTTCAATTCAGTGCTCTAATCTTGATCACAGTCTGGAAATTCATCATTAATGAACACAAAGTCACTACTTGGAAGCAGAGCCAGGCACTGATTGTACTTAGGCACTGGAAGAACAACACGCACTGCATATTCACCGAGAACGTGTTTTTTCTAATTTGCATTGTTTTTATTATTAGGGACTTATTTGATACTAGCCTTCCTAAGCCTCCTTTCCTTGATTCAAAAGGCCATCACCATTGCAGTCCTAAATTATTCTTTCCAAATAGTAAGAAAATCATGAAACCTCTTGTCGTACCTATGCCCAAAGCCTAAGCCCCAGGAAGATAATTTTAAAAGTAATTAGAGTAACAGTTCTCACCACAGGCTTTAGGCCCCCTGTCTTAAGCCCCACAGTTAAGAAACTTGAATACATGCAGGCTCGTGAGCTTTATTTTTATCAATTCCATTTTAATATTTTACTGACCATCACCTATGCCTAGGTTTTCATAATAGCAAGTAAAATGGCTGAATCTTTGCACACTCATAGAATTCTTCTTCTCAAACTATAGAAACTACGGTAAGGGATGTCTGCAAAGAGATATGATTGAAACCATCCTTGCCACTGGACTTCTTGCAACAAAGCAAACAAATTTTAAAAGTAATACAATTAACTGCCAAGATATTTCTCAAATATTCAAATGGAGGAGCAGTTTACCTTAACCTCAATTACCTTAATAGAATTAAGGGGTAGAATTCTTAGAAAGTATCTGTTAAGTGCTTAACATGTTCTTGTAGAATAATAATAAAGTTAGCTATTGCTCTAGTTGTCTCCCCACAGTTTTTGTGTACTAAGATGGGTAGAGAAAAATTATCAGTGCTTACTGAAAAATAGGAGCTCTAAAAATTTGGAAAGAGATTGTGAGCCTGCAATTAGATCATCAAGAAAATAACTGAAGTACATCTGGAGTGTTGGTGCATTTCCTCTCAGAGTACTAATAAAGCATCCAACAGACCTCTTAACAACACAGAACCTCACCATCATCATAGTGTAATCTTAAGGAAGAAAAGGTACATGCAAAGCTCCCAGTCCATGGAGGAAAGGATTGAGGGAAAGAGAAATAAAATAAATGGGGATGGGGTAAACTCAGCCCTGCTGTGAAACCCTTTACCCTCAGTAGGTGAGTGATCATTTGTAATCACATCCTTTTTGATTTGGACAGTTTCCAGTGACAAGTTAAAGAGGAGCACCTAGACCTGAAGGACAGGAATTGGAGGAAAAAAAAAAAAGGGAAAAACAAATAGCTTTTTGCAGGAAATACAAATACACATACACACACACCCCATTTCATGTAATGGTGATCGTGTTGCACATATTTATTGCAGAAAATGTAAAATGTGGATCAGTGTCTTAAGGTAAAGGAAATAAAGTTAAAGTACATTGCACACTTCTTTTTCAGGCTCTTCCCATACAGTCTTTTCCCACCTCCCTTGGCTGTTATAAAGAACACCAAAATAAAAAGATTACCGTCGACAGCCAAATCACTGCAGCCCCCAGTTGAGGACAATGAAAACCCTAGACTAATGTCTATGGGGAATCTCTGGAGTCATATGGTAGACTACCAGTTTTCGGGTGCTTAAATAGTCAATAAAAATGCCTATGACTTTTTTTTTCTTTCCAGGATAGTTCATTCTCATTATGCAAGATCATCCTAAGCTACTGCCAAATTAAATAGTCACCATAGTGCCTCCAATTTAAAAGCCAGAAAACATTTGCATTCTGATAAAATGGCTTCCATGGGATGAAGATCCTTTGACACCCACAATCCTCTAGCACTTTAAAGGCTGTTTGCTGAGAATCTTCTCTGACTTTGGGGCTCCCCTGTTTGCATTCTGTTAACAGTTTAGCAACTGGTCACAGCATAATTAGCCATTTGTTTCTTCAGCTAAGGGGCCAGTGGTGAATGTGGCTTCTAAGCCAAGAGCAGGGCCCCACCCTGAGCAAATCTGGCCTTAAAAATAGGCCTTCAAAAACCTACTTCTCAGTTGCCAAATGCCCTAACATAAACACTGCCCCTTTTTTGAAAGCAGGATGGATCAGAACTAGATCAGAGTATTATTGCTTTTGCCTTCAGTTCTAATCTTCCAATGAACAATGGGGGGGAAAAAAGGCCCAGACCAGAATGTATTGCTGACCAGCCTGTCAGAAACTGATGTTATCACAGAGCTGATACAATAAGAGAAGATTAGATTCAAATGTCCTTGGATATATATTTACTTACGTAGATAAACATTTTTATACTATATACATATTCACTTTCATGTAAATAAACATTTATATGTATGCATATATCTGAGAGAGACTTTACCGGAAAAATGTGAAAAACTATTTTAAGTGTTCTTTATCTAAAAAAAGACTAAATCATACACTACATTTCATCAAACGAAATTTTTTTAAGTGTTGTTTGTAAGCATTTGGAAAGGAAAGAAGCCTTTATTGTGACCAAATTATTTCTTTTTTATCCCCTCCATTTCTAATTTTATTTATTTACTGAACACATATAGCACTAATATGTGCCAGGTACTATTCTAAGCACTCTATAAATAATAACTTGTTTAATCATACAATGACCCTATGAAATATGTACTATTATTATCCTTACCTGACAGATGAGGACACTGAGTAGAGAGAGGTCAAGTAACTTGCCGAGGGTCACACAGCTACCAGCGGTCAAGCTGGAATTTGAGCCAGGCATCCCATCTGTGAAATCTGTGTTCTTCACTTTGCTTCCTCCCTAAGTGAAAATTAATCTCATTTTAAAATCTTCACAGATGAGGAAGTTAAGTTACATGTTTATATAACTAATCTATTTAACTCATGCCAAATCCAAACCAAAATATGGAAATAACTTATGCCAACTAAGGACAATAGCACTAACAAAGATATTTTCATAACACATTTATTTCTTTTAAAATTAACACCCTGGCCGGGTGCAGTGGCTCACGCCTGTAATCCCAGCACTTTGGGAGGCTGAGGCGGGCAGATCACGAGGTCAGGAGATAGAGACCATCCTGGCTAACACGGTGAAACCCCGTCTCTACTAAAAATACAAAAACTTAGTCGAGCGTGGTGGCACGCACCTGTAATTTCAGCTACTCAGGAGGCTGAGGCAGGAGAATGGCATGAACCTGGGAGGCGGAGCTTGCAGTGAGCCAAGATCGCACCACTGCACTACAGCCTGGGCGATAGAGCGAGACTCCGTCTCAATAAATAAATAAATAAATAAATAATAAATAATAAAATAAAATAATAAAATTAACACCCTGGCCAGGCATGGTAACTCACATCTATAATCCCAGCACTCTGGGAGCCAAAGTGGGAGGAGCACTTGAGGCCAGGAGTTCAAGGCCAGCCTGAGCAACACAGTGAGACCCCATCTTTACAAAAAATTAAAAAATAAAAATTAGCCAGGCATGGTAGCAGACCCCTAGAGTCCCAGCTACTCAGGAGGCTGAAGTGGGAGGATTGTTTGTGTCCAGGAGTTCAAGGCTGCAGTGAGCTACGACCGCAACACTGCAGTCCAGCCTGGGTAACAGAGCAAGATTCTGTCTCTAAAAATAAAGATGAAAATGAAAATAAATAAATTAAATTAAAACCAGCTCTCTTCAATCTTCCTATACTCTCTTTTTTAAAGAAAAAAA
The DNA here is from genome assembly GCF_000001405.40 of Homo sapiens. NCBI lineage: Eukaryota > Metazoa > Chordata > Mammalia > Primates > Hominidae > Homo > Homo sapiens. The sequence goes on along the minus strand of NC_000008.11, from coordinate 121,706,636 downwards.
ATTTAATTTTTTATTTTTTTTGAGATGGAGTCTCACTCTGTCACCCAGGCTGGAGTGCAATGGTGTGATCTCGGCTCACTGCAACCTCTGCCTCCAGGGTTCAGGCGCTTCTTCAGCCTCAGCCTCCCGAGTAGCTGGGATTACAGGCTCACAGCACTACGCCCAGTTAGTTTTTGTATTTTTAATAGAGATGGGGTTTCACCATGTTTGCCAGGCTGGTCTTGAACTTCTGACCTCAAGTGATCCACCTGCCTTGACCTCCCAAAGTGCTGGGATTACAGGTATGAGCCACCATACCCAGTCACAATCTTCCTATACACTCTAACTTGCATTTCCTGCATATATGGTGAGCAGCATAGCTCTCTGCATGCATCACCAGATGGTCCTCTAGACCTCTCTGTTCAACAGTTAGTACAGCTGAGTCACTTGGTACTTCATTCCCAATTAAGATTTACAAAGCATATTTAAAAGAGGAAAATCACACATTGGTTACCAGTTCATTGTAAAATGGTGCAAAAATCAGATTGATAATAAAATGTTTTATTAGGCACTTCCTTTTCATGTCTGCTATATTATAACTTGTCTTGATTTTAGATAAAAAGGCCCTTCTAGAAGCATCTATCTAAAGTCTATACAGGTTATGTTCATGCTGTTATAAAATTATAAAGTCTAGACATTAGAGTTTGCTGGGATTTGGCTTTAAACTATAAAATAAGAAAAAAAGATGATCTTGGCAAGGAAACAATGAGATAATATTCTCGATTTTCACAATATTCATTCATTTGTGTGTGTGTGTGTGTGTGTGTCTGTGTTGTAGAATTTCTGGAAAGAAGTTAAAACAACAATGACTAAATCTTGCTTGATGATGACAGTATTTAATTTATATTTATTAATGGCAATAGTAATAATGGACCTTATTTTAATGTCTTCAATCTGTCCCCATCTCTCAAACCATACCACCACCACCATAGTTCATGGTTTAACACTTCTCACTGTCTAATCTTGTCTCCTCCCCTATTTAAATTATGACTGATAGATTGATCTTTCTGGAACACATATGTCACTTTCTGCTTAAAATATTTCTGTGGTTCTCTAGTCTCTTGACGACCAAATTATAACTCCTTAGAGGAGTATTTGGGATTTCTACTACTTTATTACTACCATAGCCATGTTTCAACCTCTTATGTTTTGCAAAAGCATGCTTTCACATATGTGCTTTCCCATATGTTATTCCCCAACTTGAGACATCATACCCATATCCTATCCTCACCCAATCTGGCCAATTTCATCATTCTTCAGATACCATCTCTGGTATACGCCAAAGACTTTTTCTGATCTTTTTCTGATCTCTCTCCTTGTCTGACTTAGATGGCTTTCTGAAAGGTTATAATAGCACCATGTTCTTATCTCTATAATCCAGTCAATTACTTATCCTTTTGGAGAACATTAAAGACCTACATTATATGCTTAAGTGTCTATGCACTCCAGTAAATGTGAACTTTTTGAGGGAAGACGCATTTTAAAGCATTTTTCTTTCAATACCTCGCAACTAGCATGGTGCCTGGCACAGTGATCAATAAATGCAGAATAAATGGCCAAATTTCAAGAAATCACATATACATAAGAAAATGTTATGCAACCAACAAAATCACTGAACTGTGTATAATCCACTAGTCAAGGCTCTTCATAGAACAATGGCAGTCTTACGTATAGCCCTCTCAGGGTTTTGGTATCAATAAGAACTTACATACACAGCAATAAGATAGCCATGTGTGATGTTAATATTCACAAATAACTTTCATAAATAAAAGTGCAAGCATGTGTGCATTCAAAACTACATTAGTAACATCCAAATAAATTGTTACAAATCTTTTCAAAATATTTGGTAATTTTTTCCAGAAGTTCCATCCTCTTTTGCATTAGATGTTTAAATACCTTCAAGTAGACAATCTTTTTTTAAAACAACTTCTAATTAAAAAGTGAGGATAATTAGGCCAGGTGCAGTGGCTCAAGCCTGTAATACCAGCACTTTGGGAGGCCAACGTGGGCAGATCATGAGGTCAGGAGATGGAGACCATCCTGGCTAACATGGTGAAACCCCATCTCTACTAAAAATACAAAAAATTAGTCGGGCGTGGTGGCGGGCACCTGTAGTCCCAGCTACTCGGGAGGCTGAGGCAGGAGAATGGTGTGAACCTGGGAGGTGGAGCTTGCAGTGAGCGGAGATCGCACCACTGCACTCTAGCCTGGGCGACAGAGTAAGACTCCATCTCAAAAAAAAAAAAAAAAGTGAGGATAATTAATAATTCCAAAGATCACTATCTTTTAGAATCATTGTGCAAAGACGTCCTTAAAAGTTTGTAGCAGTAAATTAAGTAGAGTTAGCATTTTTGAAGATGACTGAGTTAAGCCTGTCCTACTATTTGTAATTAAAATTTCTTTGGTTGTGTGTTTGTTTATTCTCTGTTGTCCACATTAGATTGTAAGCTGCCAAAGAAGTACCTGAATTTCTTACTATAATCAGTCAGCACAAAGCAAATATGAAAGAAGTGTTTTAAAATCTTCCTTTCAGCTTCAACTTCTGAAGGAGATGATTAATTCATGGAAGAACAACATATGCTCATAAAACATCAAAACCACCTGATAAATTCACATATTTGAAGAATCAGAAATCTGCAGAAGCATCCAAAGAGAGAACCATTCAAGAGTGACTTGATGATCTTTAGCTCTCCTTGAAAGCATTTGCTGATCCTAGAAGGCACTATAGGTTAGAAATCTGGACTTGTCCCAGGAAGCATCCTACTGGGGGACAGAGAAACAAGGAGACCTTCAGGGAGTTGCATAGAACTAAAGTGCCAAAATTGGAGAATTAAAGGACATTAAGCACAGACTCTGTGTCCCTCTTATGACACTGCCATGTTTGGAGGTTATAGGGTCAGGATACCAGAAAGCTAAGCCAATTGCCTCTCAGAGACAGAGTAGAAATTATTATGACCACTCAGGGCTAAGAAGAAAAACACCTTCTAGGCTCCCAATTAGAAAGCACTGTAAGGCCAGGCTTTAATCAGAATTAGACTGCTTATTACTAAAATTGCAACTAGCCTCTCCCCACCTCAGTTTATAATTGGATCCCATTCCAACCCACATGCATATACACAATTGTCTATTTATCTAGCAGAGGAAAGAGCAAATTTTGTGTGGTGAAAGAAAACAACTAAAAATGCTAAAAATTTTAGCATTCAAACATTTTTAAGAAAATAAACAGGACTATATGATTGACATCCAAACACACACACACATACACACAAGCATATCCACAGATGATCCACACATTAGAATTAGCACAGATTTTGAAAGAACTATCACAAACAAAGTTTAAGACAGTAGATGAATTATCAAACTAATTAAAAGGTAGAAAATTTCAACAAATAGTAGTATATATAATTATAATTTACAAATATCACATGAACATTCTAGAAATTAAGGGCTATGGATAGGTGATAGAGTTTGGATATTTGTTCCCTCCAAATATCATGCTTAAATGTGATCTCCAGTGTAGGAACTGGGGCCTGGTAGAAGGTGTTTGGGTCATAGAAGTGGATCCCTCCCCTGAATGGCTTGGTGCCCTCCCCATGGTAATGAGTTCACACAAGATCTCATTGATAAAAATTCTGGAACCTCCCTGACCTCACTCCCTCTTTCACCATGCAAGGTGACTTCTCCCCATTCACCTTCTGCCACGAGTAAAAGTTTCCCAAGGCCTTACCAGAAGCCAAGCAGATGCTGGTGTCATGCTTGTACAGCCTGCAGAACCGTAAGCCAAATAAATCTCTTTTCTTTATAAATTACCCAGTCTCAGGTATTCCTTTATAGCAATGCAAAATGGATGAATGCAGTAGGCTCATCAGCAAGTAGACATACTTGTAAGACAAATAGCAAGTAGAAGATAAGACTAGTAATTTCAAAAACAGGTGAATAGAAAATATATACTTAAGTAAAGAAGGAAAGGAAGAAAAGGATGACAGGAAAAGAACAAAGTGTAAAAAATATATCAGACACATTTGAATGGTATAACACATGTGTAATAAGATTACAAGAAAGAAGAGATAGGAATGAGAGAGAAGCACCATTTGAAGAGCTAATCACTGATAATTTTCCAAAATTGATAAAAAAAAAAAAACCCAACTCACCAATTTCAGAAGCCTACTGAAGAGTATATAAAACACTGAAAGAGTACATAAAACACTTGGTCATATTGCAGCCAAACTACTGAAAACCAAGATAAAAATAAAAACGTTAAAAGAGCCAGAGGAAAAAAAGACAAATTTATTTCAAAATATACCCCAAAGCACTGACAGCTGACTTCAAAACAGAAATAACAGAAGCCAACAGACAATTGATTGACATTTTTACAGGGCTAAAAGAAAGTAACCATCAACTTAGAATTGTACACATAGGGGGAAAAAATTTCCAAAATGTGACTAAGATTAAAAACACTTTTGATTAACAAAACATGTCAAGTATTTAAAGCCAAAAGATTTTCACTGAAATAAATGTAAAAGAGTTTATCAGATGAAAGGAAAATTACACTTCATAGAAACAAAGAAGTTCAGAAAGGAAGGAAGAGCAATGGAAAAGGTGAATATGTATGCAAATATAAACAGATATTGACCTTATAAAGTGATATTTTGAATACCTCACTGAATTTAAAATATATGTAAAAATGAAATGCATGATAAAACATTGTAAATGGCAAGAAGGAATTCAGAGTTTAAAAGGTCTAAGGTTTTAGCAATATTGAGAAAATAGTAAAACTAACATTTTGTACTAGATTATAATAAGTTAAGAATTCATGTTATAATCACTAGCTAATCTCTAAAAATAATAAAATTATTTTATGAAAAACAGGTATATATTATAGGTAGAACAATTTGAGCAAAAAAGAAAGGAATTGAGTAATATGGTAATATAACCCCAAATATAAAAATCAATATCCATGAGTCCATACTAATATAAATAAGTGATTGAAAATGAGTAAAAGAGCCAACTATCTCATGAAGAAGAATTCCAAATAATTTATGTAGATACTTCACCCTCAAAAAGGTAGAGTATAACTCCCCATTCCTTAAGTGTGTGCTGCACATAGTGATTTCCTTCCAATAAATACAGTATGAAAATAGGGAAAAACTAACTTTACATTACAGAAAACCAACACTGCTTCAGTCCCATAATGAAAATGAACATCAACAACAATAAGTAATATTGACAGAATATACCTTTTATGTGAAATGAAAATGGTAGTTTACCTCTGTGGTCTTTCTCAAACAGATTAGCTCCAATAAAATCATGAGAAGACCATCAGACAAGTCCCAGGGAGGGGCATTGTATAAGATACTTGACTAGTACTCCTTAAAACTGTCTAAGTCCTTTTTATGCTCATTGAATACAAGTACAGTCTGAGAAACTGTCACAACCAAGAGAATCCTAAGTAGTCACGAATACTAACTGCAATGTGACACGAATGGATCCTGGAACAACAACAACAATACATTAGGTGAAAGCAAAACAAAGAAAATCTGAATCTATTTGGAGGTTAGTTAATAATAATCATTAATTGTAGCAAATACACCACACTCATATAAGGTGTTAGTAACATGGGGAAATGGAAGTAGGGGAAGTGAGAATGTTCTATACTGTCTTTGCAATTTTTTTCTGTAAATCTAAGACTGCTAGAAGTAAAAATTTTAGAAAAGGGTGATAGATGACAAAATACAATAATAAAACAATGTTTTATTAATTTAAAAGGAAAAGGAGAAAGCAATGAAGATGATTAAAATAGAAAAAATAGTGAGAAAAATTTAAAAATCCATGTTTATTATTTATTATATTAAATATAAATGGACTAAATCTACATTTTTAAAAAGCCCTAAAATTACCAAAATCAATTGTTAAATGCCTACTCTAGGCTTCTTGCAAAAAACAAACTTTAATTTCAAGTATAAAATACAGTTGAAAATAAAAGTATAGACATAAAGATACCATGCAAACACTAACCAAAAGAAAACTGATTTAGCATATCAATATTAAACAAAGTAGACATGAAGCCAAGAAGCATTATTAGATAAATAAATTTAGTAATGATAAAGGGTTTAATCTAATAGATATCAGTGTATATGACAAATAGCAATATCTGAGAATATGAAGACAGAATGGAAAAATAGAGAAAATCTAATCATAGAGACAGACTTTAATACACCACTCTAGGTAGCTGAGATGGCAAGATATATATGTTGTGAAGAACTGTTTTATTCATTTTAGGATGTTTAGTAGCATCCCTGGCTTCTACTCATTAAATGCTGGTAATGCTTCCCATTCCCCAATTATAGCAACTAAAACTGTCTCCAGATATTTAAAAATCTCTGTTAATTGAGAACCATTTACTACATATATATTTATACATATTACACACACACACACCACATATAAAGTTTATATGTAATATATTACATATAATATTGCATGAAATATGTAATATATATTGCATATAATATACATTATACTTATGTATATATGTATATACAGACATAAACATGTCTATATGTAGTATATATAAAATGTATACAGATCATATGTAATATATGTAATATATAATAATAATATATGTAATATGTAATAATATATTACATATAATATATACCCACATATGTATATATGCATGTATATACACAAACATATGTATATATACATAAACATATGTATTTGTATATATTAACACATATATATGTATACACACAAAAATACACTCACACACATACACACTGAATAATACAATAAACAAACTACATAATTTACATATTTAGCTGACATTCCTGCCAACAGGATAGAATTCACATAATTTTTGACTCTGCATAGAAGCTTAGACCAAGATACACTATATGTTGGATCATAAAGCCTCAACAAATATCAACAAATGAAAATAATTCAGAGTATATTCTTTGACCATAAAATTAACTTAGAAATAAATTATAAGCCATCAAAATATCTCCAACTACCTGGAAATGATGTACTTCTAAATGATCCATGAGTCAAACAAGAATTAACAATGAAAATTTAAAAATATTATAGCTGAATCATAAAGAAGGTATAATATAAAATAAATGTGATATGCTTTAAAAGTAATACACAGAGGGTAATATATAATCACAGAATGAAAATATTGTGGAAGAATAAATACTAAAATTAAATGATAAATATGCTTTTATCTCAAAAGGTTGTTAAATCAAATTAAATTTGGCCTAAATCTGCCTCTGTTTGCACTGAACTGTATCCTAATATAATTTGTAAATAAACTGCAGTCTAACTTGAGAGTATATTCTTGTAACAAGTAACTGACGCTTTGAGAATCACAGTAGGTGAGCTTTCAGCTAATCACAGCTGCAAATTGCTCATATGTGTTCAAATAAGGCAAATGTCAAGCTGTGACCAACTGAGCTATTTCTGTACGTCACTCTCTTTTCCTGCCTATAAATACTGGCTGCCCACATTGCTGGTGGTGCTCCCTGAGCCTTTATTAGTTCAGGGTGCTGCATAATTCATGAATGTTTCTTTGCTAAAATAAACTCTGCTAAATTCAATTTGTCTAAAGTTTTTCTTTTAACAAAGTCATAACAAAATTAAACCAAAATAATTTTTAAATAATAGCAATAAAAATGGGAATTAATGAAATGAAAACAAATGTGTAATAAAAAAACCCAGCAAAGCCTTTGATTAAAATGATTAATAAAACATATAAATACTTGGCAAAAATAAATAAGACACAAAGACAACATAAAATACCAACATCAGAAATGAAAAAAGCAACATCATTATTTGTAACAAAGGACTACTATTAACAATTTTAGCCAATGAATTTGATAATCTGGATTAAATTGACAAATCCCTTAAAAAACACAACTTTCTGAAACTGATACTATATATATTTAAATGTAAATTACATTAAATACACATTTATATTGTATATATTGATATACAATTACTAATTGTATTATATATTTATTAATAGTAAATACAAGATAATCAATATAATAATTAATATATTTCAATGTATATTAAATTTTTTGATTCTGTCATTGAAAACCTTCCTAAAACAAATGAAGATGAAACTATTTGTACTAGTTAATTCTTCCAAAAAATTAATAATAATACCAATTTTACACAAAATCTTCCAGAGAAAGAAAACAGAGGAAATACTTTCTAGCAATTTTTATAAACCCAGGATAATCTTTAAAGAAACTGAAATTTCAGACTAATCCCTCTCATTAATATAGTTATAAAAGTCCTAAATCAGACTCAGTGATATGTAAAATATGTAATATTTTTATCCAAATACCCTCAATAGTAGAACGAATCAATTGAGGTGTATTCACACATTAAAAATACTCTGTGTGAGAGTGAATGAACTACAACTACACTCAAGTAACAAATAAAATGCAGAATAAAGAAAATCAATCCCAAAAGAATTTACACGGAATTGTCCATTTATGTAATGTTTACGAGCAAAACTAATCTAAACTAATGATATTAGAGGTCAGGATATGAATTACCCTGAGAGAAGACAGTGACTAAATGGGGGTGTGGGCATGTCTTCTGGGGTATAGGTGATGTTGTTTCTTGAGCTCAGAATTGTTTGCATGAGTATATTCATGCTGTAAACATTTATCATGCTCTAGACTTTTGATGTGTGAATATTTCTGTATATATGTCATACTTCAATAAAAAGTTTGATTTTCTAATTCTTTTTACACAGCTTCTCTATTGCCAGAAAACTCTTAATATAACTGTGAAATACATTTTGATTTCTTTTTAGGTTCATACTTGAAGTTTCTTTGCTCCAATTCAGCATTAAAAATTCTTAGAGATTCTCTGCACCACATTGATGTAGGTATGAGTTTGGCTCTGCGATCGCTATTGAGCCACTTTAAAATTGTTCCCCAAGGTCTCTCTCTTATCTCTTTCCAACTCCCTCAGAAAACCGTTAGTGACATTGGAATCTAGGCAGTTGCACAACCCTTTTAATGTCAGTCTTGGAATGAAGACTTTATGCATCACTAGCTGTGTGCATGTATGGTGAGGTAAAATTAATATCCTCTGTGTTGTTTAGTCTATATTTCATTGGCTGGCTGCCTAGAATGACTAAGGAAACTGCCTGTAAAGTTACCCCTTCCCCTCAAAAGAAAAAAGAAAAGGCAAACTCTGGAATTATTTTTACCAAAGGGAAAATTAATAAATGACTTAAAAAAATAAACTAAAAGGAGAAAAGGGAGTCCTCATGCTCGTAGATTCCTTTTTTCTCAAAAGGAAAAGTACTTCATTCAGGCATAGTTGTAGTCAAGCCAAATTGTCACCACGCTCTGGTGATTTACAAATTGAGGGATGATATTCACAGGCAGTGCTTGTCTCACTTCAAATCTTAATGCAAAGTTAATTGTATATCCTGCGTTATGTTCTACAGCATTTCAAGTGATATTGATGACACTAATAATATTATGTAAGGCAATTCTCTGAAAATCCATGAATAGACCTTTTAATTAATCTGACCTTTGGAAGGGCTATGGTCCTATTATATACTGTAAAATAGCTCTGTGTAAATTAAGCTGTGCCTGTGTGTGTGTGTGTGTGTGTGTGTGTGCAGCTACTGTATACATACTCAATTACTAAATGTCAGGGAAAAGATTAAAATGTATTTTCCTCATAAACTGTTTCCAGTCATTGCAGTGCCTGAGGAGAAATGATTCCCTTTTCTACTGACCTCCCATATAGTTTCCAGAGACCTAAATTTTCTTCTTTTGGGAGGTTACATTTTGTATCTTGTGTACACTACAGCTTTAAAGAGAAAAGAAGCCTCCTTGATGTTTGGAAGAACGCTATACATGTTTTATTGTTTTATATCCTCTGATTATTGGCAGCAGTTTTGTTTGAGGTTTCTACTGTCCTCCTTTATCCATCAGATGCTTAGGGACACCTTTAACTGATGCAGCAAGCTTCAAATCTTAGCATGAGCTGTTTCAAAGAAGGTGCAATTTAGGAAGCATAGAGCTTAAAGGAAGAAGGTACATTACTGGAATTAGAAGTATAACAAGGAAAAATACATGTTTGTTATTTCACATTGAATGACATTTAGGTCTGCAATCTTCAATGCTGGAATGAGATATTTTGTTCAGACTGAACCTAAACATGTCAGACATTAAATACAATTTCCCTGCTCACTGAGACTAGATATACATGTAGGCTCTAGGAAACCATAACAAGCTGTTGCCTTTCTCTCTTGAGGTAGCCCTCCTGACTTCGCAGGCTGACTTCCCATGCTTATCTGATGGTTTACTCATATGTTCCCAATACTGGAAACACTTTGTTCCCTGCTGGTGTTTCCCCTTCTGGCTCTCCAGATGGTTTTTGATCTTACGTCTCGAAGGATCTCTCTTTTTCTTCTCTCTCCAGTGACCAATCTACAACTCAAGGGCAGATTGTTTTGTCCTTCCCTCCATTTAGAAACTCTTCACCGGCCTGCTGCCTCCTCAGTTTCTTGCAGTCTAGTCCTGCTTTGTGGGCTTTCAAGACTTACTGAGCAGCAATAGTGTAACAATGTGAGTTCTGATGCCAGCTGCCTGCATTCAAATCCTGGTCCTCTGCTTACTAAGACGGCAACTTCAGACAAGTTCCTTAACATCTCTTTGCCTAAATTTGTTCATCTATAAAATGAAGCTAATAATATCATATATCTGGAATTTTTGAATGGATTCAATGAAATAATACATGCAAAAGACTTAGAATGATGTTGTGTATATAGCAAGTAGTCAGTGAATATTGCCCTTTACCATTTGATCACCTTGGTCAATAATCCAAGAGCACCTAAGCTTATAATATTTTGAACTCTGTCAGTATAATCAAATCTAGTATGTAATATAGAGCATATGTTTATCCAAGAACAGTACAAATAACTTCAGGAATATTAAAGACTAACGATATAGAAAGTACATTTGGCAGGAACCATAATGACCAAAGTCTAAGAGTAGGAGGAGAGGGTAGCAAGAGAAATGGTGATCCTGACTGCTTTCTATCCTCTCCAATATCATCGTTCTAGCAGGAGACGGTGGCTCATGCCTGTAATCCCAGCACTTTGGGAGGCCGAGGTGGGAGGATCACTTGAGCTCAGGACTTGGAGACCAGCCTGGGCAACATAGTGAGATTTCATTCCTAGTAAAAATCAAAAAAATTAGCTTGGCATGGTGGCACACACCTGCAGTCCCTAGCTACTCACAGGCTGAGGTGGGAGGACTGCCTGAGCCTTTGAGGTCCAGGCTGCAGTGTACCATGACTGGGTCATTGCACTCCGGCCTGGGCAAAAGAGGAAGACCTGACTACTCTGTGACACAGTTATCTTATATATATGTGAAATAAAAATAATAAAATAATGTTATTATTCTGAGAATGATATCTAATAACTCAAAAGAAATACTCATGGCCTACATACCCCGATTCTTTTCTTAAAATATACTGTAAATATTTATTAAATTTTACTGTGCCATGTCTTGTGTGAGGGACTTAAGGTACTCAAGGGACTCAGAGTCTAGTAGCAGAGACACATGCCCTACTTTCCTACCCAATTTAATCCCAAATATAGTGTGATAGAGACTTATAGAAAAGTATGGAGGCTGGGCGTGGTGGCTCATGCCTGTAATCCCAGCACTTTGGGAGGCTGGGGCAGGCAGATCACTTGAGATCAGGAGTTCAAGACCAACCTGACCAACATGGTGAAACCCCGTTTCTACTAAAAATACAAAAAATTAGCTGGGCATGGTGGTGGGTGCCTGTAGTCCCAGCTATCTGGGAGGCTGAGGCAGGAGAATTGCTTGAACCTGGGAGGTGGAGGTTGTAATGAGTTGAGATTGCACCACTGAACTCCAGCCTGGGCCACAAAGTGAAACTCTATCTCAAAACAAAACAAAAAGGTATGGCGCAATAGGGAGTTAGGGAAGAATTTTTTATTCATACAAATTTATGACGTACATGTGCAATTTTGTTAAATGCGTAGGTTTTTTTCTTCTTTTCTTTTTTTTTTTTTTTTTTTGAGACAAGTCTTGCTCTGTCACCAGGCTGTAGTGCAGTGGCGCGATCTCGGCTCACTGCAACCTCCGCCTCCCGGTTCAAGCGATTCTCCTGCCTCAGCCTCCCGAGCAGCTGAGATTACAGGCAGGTACTACCACACCCAGCTAATTTTTGTATTTTTAGTAGAGACGGGGTTTCACCGTGTTGGCCAGGATGGTCTCAATCTCTTGACCTTGTGATCACCTGCCTTAGCCTCCCAAAATGCTGGGATTACAGGCGTGAGCCACTGGCGCCTGGCCATGTGTAGATTTTCATGGCGGTCAAGGCTTTTAGGGAATCCATCACCAAGTAATGTACATAGTACTAACTAATTTCTCATCATCCTCCCTCCTTCCGCACCCTCACCCTTCAAAGTCTCCATTATCTGTCATTCAACTCTCTGCACAAATGTGAACACATTTTATGGCACCCACTTATGGGTGAGAACATGCAATATTTGTCTTTCTGTGTCTGGCTTGTTTCATTTAAGTTAATAACCTCAATTTCCATCCATGTTGTTGAAAAAGACATGATTTTGTTCTTTCTTATGGCCGAATAATATTCCATGGATATATATGCCACATTTTCTATATCCATTCATCTGTTGATGAACATTTAGGTTGATTCCATATCGTTGCTATTGTGAAGGTGTTGTGATAAACATATGAGTGTAGGTATTATTTCGATGCATTGATTTCTTTTCCTTTGGGTAGATACCCAGTAGTGGGATTACTAGAATGAATGGTACTTCTATTTTTAGTTCTTTGAGAAATCTCTATATGGTTGTTCAGAGGAGCTGTACTAATTTACATGTCCACCAACAGTGTATTAGAGTTTTCTTTCCTCTATATTTTCATCATCATCTGTTATTTTTTGTCCTTTTGATAACAGACATTTTGACTGGGGTAAGATGATATTCCATTGTGGTTTTCACTTACATTTCTCTGATGATTAGGGATGCTGAGCATATTTCATATGCCTGTTGACCATTTGTAGGTCTTCTTTTGGAAAGAGTCTATTCGTGTCCTTTGCCCGATTTTTAATGGGATTATTATTATGATTTGTTGTTGCTGTTGTTGAATTAAGTTCTTTTATATTCTGGATATTAGTTCCCTGTTAGACAAATAGTTTGCAAATACTTTCTCCTATTCAGCAAGTTGTCTCCTCACTCTATTATTTCTTTTGTGGTGCAGCAGCTTTTAGTTTAATGTAGCCCCATTTGACTATTTTTTTTTCTGTTGCCTATGCTTTTGAAGTCTTAGTCATAAATGCTTTGCCTAGCCCATAGTCTACAAGGCTTTTCCCTAGGTTTTCTTCTCATACATATAGTTTCAGGTTTTACATTTAAGTCTTTAATTCATCTTGGGTTAATTTTTGCATATGGTGAGAGATAGGGGTCTAGTTTCATTCATCTGCATATAGCTATTCAAATTTCCCAGCATAATTTATTGAAGAAGATTTCCTTTCCCCAGTATATGTTATTATCAGCTTTGTCGAAGATCAGTTGGCTGTAAATATGTGGCTTGATTTCTGAGTTTTCTATTGTGTTCCATTGATCTATATGTCTATGTTTATAACAGTACCATGCTTTTTTGTTACTTTAGCCTTGTAATATAATTTAAAGTCAAGTAATGTGAGGCCTCCAGCTGTGTTCTTTTTGTTCAGGATTGCTTTGGCTGATCAAGCTCTTTTTTGGTTCCATATGAATTTCAGAATTTTTTTCTAATTCTTTGAAAAATGACATTGGTATTTTGATAGGGATTGCATTTAATCTGTAGGGCAGTATGGTTATTTATTTACTTTTGAAGAACGAGTCTCACTCTGTCACCCAGGCTGCAGTGTAGTGATGCGATCTTGGCTCACTGCAACCTCTGCCTCCCAGGTTCAAGCAATTCTACTGCCTTGGCCTCCCGAGTAGCTGGGATTACAGGCACATGCCACCAGGCCCGGCTAATTTTTGTATTTTTAGTAGCGACGCGGTTTCACCATGTTGGCCAGGCTGGTCTTAAACTCCTGACTTCAGGTGATCTGCCTGCCTCAGCCTTCCAAAGTGCTGGGATTATAGGCATGAGCCACCGTGCCTGGCCAGTAGGGTCATTTTAACGTTATTTCCAATCCATGAGCAAAGGATGTTTTTCCATTTTTTTGTGTCATATATTATCTCTTTAATCATTTTTATAGGTTTTTTTTGTAGAGATCTTTCATGGTTGTTTACTCCTAGGTATTTTTTGTAGATATTATAAACGTGATTGCCTTCTTGATTTCTTTCTAGCTAGGTTGTTACTGGTATATATACACACTACTGATTTTTGTACATTGATTTTGTATTCTGCAACTTTACTGAATTCATTTTGCAAACCAAAGAGTTATCTGGTGAAGACTTTAGGTTTTTCTAGATATAAGATCATATCATCAACAAAGAAGAAGAATTTGACTTCCCCTTTTACAATTTGGATGCCATTTATTTCTTTCTCTTACGTGATTGCTCTGGCTAGGACTTTTAGCACTATGTTGAATAGGAGTGGTGAAAGCGACCATCTTTGTCTTTTTTCAGTCCATAGAGAAAATGCGTTCAACTTTTCCCCAATCAGTATGATGTTAGTGGTGGGGTTGTTTTACATTACCTGTATTATTTTGAGATATGTTTCTTCTATGCCTAGTTTGCTAAGGGTTTTTATCACGAGGAGATGTTGAATTTTATCAAATTATTTTTCTGAATCTATTGACATGATCATATGGTTATTGTCCTTGATTCTGTTTATGTGAAGTATCACATTTATTGACTTATGTGTGTTAAACCATCCTTGCTTCCCTGGTATAAAACCTCATTGACCATAGTATATGTTTTTTTTTTGATGTGCTGTTGACAGGATTGCTATTTTGTTGAGGATTTTTACATCTATGGTCATCAGAGATAAAATAGTTTCTTTTCTTCTTGTGTTCTTGTCTGGTTTAGGTATCAGGGTGATACTGGCATCATAGCACAAGTTAGGAAAAGTTTCCTCCTCCTGGACATTCTGGAAAAGTTTTAGGAGGACTGGTATTACTTCTTCTTTGTACATTTGGTAGAATTTGGCTGTAAATCTATCTGATCCTGAGATTTTCTATGTTGGGAGATTTTTTATTACTGATTAAATCTCTCTGTTCATTATTGATCTGTTCAGGTTTTCTATTTCTTCCTGATTCAATCTTGGGAGGTAGTATGCTTCCAAGAGTTTATCCTCTAGGTTTTCTGGTTTGTGAGCATAGAGTTGTTCATAAGATCTTTTGTGTTTCTGTGGTAGGAGTTGTAACATCTCTTTTTTCATTTCTGATTTTGTTTACTTTGATCTGTTCTCTTCTTTACTTGGTTAGTTTAGCTAGCAGTTTATCTATTTTGTTTATTTTTTGAAGAACCAACTTTTCTTTTTGTTGATCCCTTGTACTGTTTTTGTTGTTGTTGCCTCTATCTAGTTCTGTTCTGATCATTATTTCACTTCTGCTAATTTTGGGTTTGGTTTGTTCCTTGAGGTGCATCATTAGATGGTTAGTTTTTTATTTTTATTTTACTTTAAGTTCTGGGATACATGTGCAAAATGTGCTGGTTTGTTATATAGGTATATAGATGGTTAGTTTTTAATCTTTCTACATTTTTGATGTAGGCATTTAATGTTATAAACTTCTTTCTTAGCACTGTTTTTGCTGTATCCCAGAAGTTTTGTTTGTTGTGTTTCCATTTCTGTTTGTTTCCAATTAAAAAAAAAAATTCATCTAAATCTCTTTGTAGGTCCAATAGTCATTCAGGAGCATGTTGTTTACTTTCCAGGTATTTCTATAGTTTCCAATGTTCCTCTGGGTATTCTTAGTGTTTTCATGTTGTGATCGGAGAAGATACTTGATATGGTTTTGGTTTTTTACATTTGTTGAGACTTATTTTGTGGCTTCAGATACGGTCTGTCTTAGAAAATGTTCCATGTGCTGATGAAAATAATGTATATTATGCACTTTTTGGGTAGAATGGTGTATGTTTGTTAGATCCATTTTGTCTAAAGCCCAGTTTAAAACCAATGTTTCTTTGCTAATTTTCTGTCTAGATGAACTGTCTCATGCTGTAAATGGGGTGTTGAAATACTATTTTGTATTGATGTCTCTCTCTCTCTTCAGTTCTAGTAATACTTGTTTTATGAATCTGAGTGCTTCAGTGTTGGATGCATATATATTTAGAATTGTTATAGCCTTTAGCTGAATTGATATTTTTATCATTATATAATGACCTTCTTTGTCTTTTTTTTTTTTTTTAACTTAAAGTCTGTTTTATCTGATATAAGCTTGTCCTGCTCACTTTTGGTCTCCATTTGCATGAAATATATTTTTCACCCCTTTACTTTCAGTCTAAAAGTGTCCCTATTGGTAAGATGAGTTTTGTAAGCAGCATAGAGTGGAATTATGTTTTTTTTTAATTTTGTTCAGCCAATTTATATATTTTAAGTGGAGCACTTAATCCGTTTATGTGCAAGGCTATTACTACTATGAGAGGTTTTGTTCCTTTCATATTGTTAATCATTTTCTATTTGTCTTATAAATTATTTCTTTTTCTCTTACAGTTTGTAATTGTGGTTTCAAATTCTGTAGTGGTGCCATTTGATGACTTTCTTTTCCTTCTTTGTGTGATTGTTTTACCAGTGAATTTTATACTTTCATGTGTTTACATGCTGATAAATGTCCTTTTGATTCCAAGCTTAGGACTACTTTGAGCATTTCTTTAGAGATGCTCTAGTGGTGACTAATTTCCTCAGCATTTGCTTATTTGGGACTTTATTTCTCCTTCACTTATGAAGGTTAATCTCACTGGATATCATATTCCTTACTGCCAGTATTTTCTTTCAGTATGTTTAATATATCATCCCATTCTCTTCTGGCCTATAGGGTTTCTGCTGAGAATGATGGAGTTTCCTTTGTAGATACTAGCTGCTTTTCTTTTGCTGTTTTTAGAGTTAACTCTTTCATTTTAACTTTAGACAGTCTAATTTTAAAATGCTGTGGTAAAGTCCTTTTTGCACAGTTCCTGGATATCTAAATCTCTTTCTAGACTTGGTAAGGTTTTATCTATCATTTATTAAATTGCTTTTCTAAATTTTTTATCTTTCTTCAGGTTGGGATAGTGATACTTCATAAATTCAGTCATTCTATGTTGTTTCAGATGCCTCAAAGTCTCTGTTCATTCTTTTTATTCATTTTTCTTTATTTTTGTGTAACTAGGTTATTTCAAAAAACCTGTCTTCAACTTCTAAAATTATTTCTTTCACTTGATCTAGTCTATTGTGGAAGCTTTCTAATGTATTTTGTATTTCCGTCAATGCATTATTTAGTGTCAGCGTTTCTGTTTCAGTTGTGGAATGCTCAGGACCCTGGATTTTGTGCTTTGTCTCCTAGTGGGAGCAAAGCCAGATGGAGCCAGCCTGGGTAGGCTTGTGCTCAGACCTCCCAATGGTGATTGCCTGTACCAGCGATAACAGACAAGGGAAGGACGATCATCAGGTACTTGGCAGAAAGCTCAGGTGAGGGGTGACAGTTGCTACACTGAAGTCCTAGCAAGGGGAAAGTGGGGCCATCCCCAGTGGCCACAGTCTAGAGCAGTATGTGGGATATATGAATCTCTCTCATGTTCTGGTCCTGATGGGGCTTGCTCCTCAGTCCTGGCTGTTGCAACAGACCTGGATTAACCATCAGACCCCACAGTCCATCGCTAGATCGCAACTCAGCCCTTGGCCATAGGAGCCCCTGCCCAGCTAGAGATCAAGCTTCCATGGCATCTGGAATCCTGCTGAAGTCTCAGGGGTGGGACCCACTTCCCAGCATCTGGTGGCTGCTGCCCACACCACAGTTCTGGCTGCAGAAGTTCACTCTGCCCTTGTGCCCAGTTCTGTAAGCAGTAGTCCAAGTTTCCCTAATGCCTAGGACCAGTACTATTAGATCACA
Organism: Homo sapiens; assembly: GCF_000001405.40. Classification (NCBI taxonomy): domain Eukaryota; kingdom Metazoa; phylum Chordata; class Mammalia; order Primates; family Hominidae; genus Homo; species Homo sapiens. Next base: position 121,688,534 of record NC_000008.11, on the reverse strand, counting down.
GGACAGTGCACAGTCTGTTAAAAATTTACAATAGAAAATGTACAATAGAAAATGTAAGCAGCTACAGCTGCTTAGGTTTCATAAAGGGAGTGGGACCTAAGGTATGTTCCCTCCCTAGGGCGGTTCCTTCTCATAGTCTCCCAGCAGTTCCCTAACTTAGTTTTAGGATTTGGGAGGGCCAAGATGCTCTCCCACGGCCTGGACTGCACAATCCTCCAGTGGGAATGTGGACCACTGAAAGACTCTCACTCACCCTCTCCCCAGATTAGAGAGTCACTCCCAACTCCTAGTTGTTTTTGGCCAAGCAGGCTGCCTGTTTTCCTTCTCCTTCCTCATTTTTGGTGTTTCCTGTTGCTTTTCTGTTGCATTTCTTTGTCCCTCTTGGATAATGTATTCAAAGTGTGATTGTCTACACACTATTTTGGTTGTTCTAAGTGGATGAGATGTGCTTGAAATGCCTCTCGTCAGCCATCTTGACCTCTATTCCTGACAACACTCATTCATTATCAGACTATAACTTTTTAATAATCAGTAGGATCTGTCTCTCCCCTTTACTCTTAGTATTACCATCATTATATCGGTCACAGGGATTGCGTTAGGGATGAGAAAGTTCCAAGCCATGCTAATGAGTTTAAATTCTGAAAATTTCTAAATAATTTTTGGAATAGAGGCAGCCAGTTTTCCATTGTGATAGGGAAATGCCTCTCACCATTTTGCTCCATATCTGAGGACAAGGGAGAGACTGTCTTCAAAAGAAGTCAACTGAGTCAAGTCAAGATAGGAAGGGAGAAACAGAATCCTAATAACATCACTCGAGTCTCTCAATCTAGCCATCACGAAGAAAACCCTAGGTGAAATTTGCCAGTACATAAACAAGAAATTTTTCTTTTCTTAAATAATTTTGAATTGGGTTTTCTGTCTCGAAGAGGGCTGCCTAATACAGAGACCTACTGATAAAAACAAAACAAAACAAAAACCTTTCCTTGCTTGATCTCTAAGCTTATTCTCTCTCTCTCTCTCTCTTTCCTCTCTCTGTGTCTCTCTCTCTCCCTGAAGTTTGTAGGATTCCTGTAGTAGCAAAACCCCTTTCCTGTTCTGTGACTTTGCTGATTTTTTCTCAGTTACTTTCCATCGCTAATACATAACTATGCCATCTTCTCTTGCCTATCTGCAGGTCTAGGGTATGAAAGCATTGGTGGACGATGCAGGAAGTGAGGATTTGGCAGACAGTCTCTGCTCTAAATCAGACACATACTTCTTATTAGTGCATTAATCACTTTGAGCATCTTATTGCTCACTTATCAATTATAATCACCTAGTTTGTTTCTCTTCTCTATGCTATCACCTGCCTATTCATAGAAGCTTGAGTAAGGTGTGTGAAGTAGTAAGATTCAGACAATAAGGATTATAGTGGCCAATACCCTAAGTTGTAGTATGTGAATGTTTTATAATGACACCTGGTATACAGATACGTCAAAGTGGCCATAATATGTTCCGAATCCTAAAACGAAGTGAAAACAAAACAAAACAAATAAACAGAAGTAGCAACTCGATCACAACAATTAGAATTTAATGCTCTGAAGAAATGATACGTTTTGAAAAATGAGTAAGGAAGGGTCTTTCAGAACAAGGATATCCAAATAGATTTTGTTGCATTTTTTCTACATCACAGTAGCTGCTTTAATTCTTACTTTAAACTAGGTAATCTAGAACAAGTCTCTGAGCATCAATTCAGCATATCTTCTAACATGCTTCTACAGAGTTAGCACACAACATTGCACTTAGAAGGCTATAAATCGATATGTTTAATTAGTTTATACTTTCATGAGTGAACATATGAATGGATGCTTATGATGTTTATTGTCTCCTGAAAAGTTATATACTCTCTCTCATTTTGTTTTCAATGATTCACAAGGTCTTTTTTCTTTTGTTTTTTTTTTACCAAGTTTTCCTAATCACAACTATCCAACGTGCCAAGAGAATACCTGACCCACTATTCTGATTTAATTTCTTTTTATGATGCAGATATTTATCCAGAGATTTTCTGGTCAAAAGTCACAACTTTATCATAAAGCTGATATGTGTATATCTGTCCATTCTCTAGCTGTCGTTCATTTTATAAAGATTATGCACACATATAAGTGATAAAACATGGCATATAGTTCTGATTTCATTGTTGCATATCAAGAAGTACATGGCACTCTGGGGCTGGGCGCGGCGGCTCACACCTGTAATCCCAGCACTTTGGGAGGCCGAGGCGGGTGGATCACGAGGTCAGGAGATCGAGACCATCCTGGCTAACATGGTGAAACCCCGTCTTTACTAAAAACACAAAAAATTAGCCGGGCATAGTGGCGGGTGCCTTTAGTCCCAGCTACTCGGGAGGCTGAGGCAAGAGAATGGCATGAACCTGAGAGGCAGAGCTTGCAGTGAGCCGAGATTGTGCCACTGCACTCCAGCCTGGGCAACAGTGCAAGACTCCGTCTCAAAAAAATAAAAAATAAAAAGAAGTACATGACACTCTGACATTACATACAAACAGCAACAACAACAACAACGATTCTTGGCCCCCTCTACCACTAGACATATAAAAGGTATATGAGAAGTGATTTGCTAAATTTTGATCAAAATTAGCTTTAACAGAATATGACATAATACCAAATAGGATATCATCTATCATTTTCTACATTACTCAAATATTCTACTTCCTTTTTCACTTAGAAAATTAAAGAAATATAATTTCTGTCTTTTCTTATATTTGTATGCCCTTCTCCTCTGTCGTCCAGCCCTAATTTGCTAAAGTGTACAAAATATAACTTACCTCTTTGTCCAAAATATGCTTACTATAAAAATAACAGCCAAGAGTCAAGATGCTTTTAGTGCCTATTTAATTCAGTGTCTATATTTTAAAGAGATTGGAATGGATTTTTAAAAAACAAAAACAAAACAAGTTGTTTAATATGCTCAAATTGGTTTTTGTCCCACTTTATTGTATAATATATATCTCGATCCTAATCTATTGTATCATTAAATGTACAACACTGAGCAAATCAATTTGTTTCTGAGATTCTCAATTTCCCCATCTAATAAATGAAGAATTTCTAAAAATGTCCTACTAGCTATATCTATGACCCTGAAATTTAGAAAAAAAAAAGTACTCTTTTTTTAAAAAAATGGTAATTTAACTATATCCTTTGACCCTAGTTAATTCCACTAATTTGAGAAATCAATCTAGCCTGAAGTAATAATCCAAATGAAAGCAAGAACTTGGCTGGGCACGGTGGCTCACGCCTGTAATCCCAGCACTTTGGAAGGCCGAGGCAGGTGGATCACGAGATCAGGAGATCGAGACCATCCTGGCTAACATGGTGAAATCCCGTCTCTACTAAAAGTACAAAAAATTAGCTGGGCATGGTGGTGGGGACCTGTAGTACCAGCTACTCGGGAGGCTGAGGCAGAATGGCATGAACCCGGGAGGCGGAGCTTGCAGTGAGCCGAGATCGCGCCACTGCACTCCAGCCTGGGCAACAGAGCAAGACTCTGTCTCAAAAAAAAAAAAAAAAAAAGAAAGCAAGCAAGAACTTACATGCACACAGATGTTTACCATATTGTTCTTTATAAAACCCCAAAAGAAGGAGGAAGGAAATATTTGAGGACAGGAGAATGGTTAATTGAATTAGGTGGCATCCTCAACAGAATATTTTACAGCTGTAAATGATATTTAAGAAACAACATACATTTTCTTATATTAATTGAGAAAAGCAGACTTTCATATTGTGTGTATTCTATGGTTTCATTGATGTGAAAATGTATATACATGCAGAAAATGGCTTGAAGGAATGATAGAGTTTATTCTATTTTATTAGAATGATGAGAAATATTTTTTAATAGTCCAGATCTTCTGTGATATTATTTTCATATAAAAAATTAGTTCCCAGTTTTTCTTCAAGGGGGATACTGTTTCCCTTTCTGAGAAGATAATCAATGACCCTCCAAGACTTGAGAGGAGTGACCTGAGTTTAGGAGATAGTAGAACCCACCTAGATCATGGTGAGTACTCTTGAGAAATCTAAATATGCAAATTAACTTGGTAATGGCTTTTGAATCTCTCTAGCTGATATTAGAAATGGAAAGAAGATATAATCCAAGCTCACAAGTTTACAGTTTGGAAGGGGAGACAGTTACACAATTAGCAAATCACATTATGGGCCATAAAATAAGAACTAAATTAGAGATGTATACATCACGCTGTAAGAGCAAAGAAATTTAAGAAGTGGTGGGGAGATTCTTTACAGAGAAGGGAGAATATGAAGGAATTATAGATAATACTGAAAAAAATTGGAGTGGAGTATGGGAAGGGCTTTACAGACAGAAGGAGTAGCACAAAGAAAGAAAAGGAGACTGAAACTGTCTTTATAGTATAAAACAATCAATAGTCCTGTGACTGCTCTAAGGAATCAAAAGGGAGAACCTAACTGTTAGCTAGACAAGAGTCTATTTGTGATAAGCCTTGTAATGTCATGTTAATTTAAAGTTTAGGCAATGAGTAGCCATAGACATTTTGAAAACCATGGACAGATCCCAGGAATTCAAGGTTGTTTAATATTTGAAAAACAATCAATGCAAAACCTCATTTATAATTACAATACAGAACAAAAACCACGTGATCATGTCAATAGACATAGAAAAGACATTTAACAGAATCTAACATCCTTTTATGATTTTAAAAAACATTCAGAAAACTAGAAATAGAAGAAAAAAATTTTAAATCTCATGAAGGACATGTAGGTTACTATTACACTTAATGAGAAAAGGTTGAAACTCTTCCCCTACAATCAGGAACAAGACATTGAAATCTGCCCTAGCTACTTCTATTCAACATTGTGTGGTGGGTCTAGCTGTAGAAATTAGGTAAGTAAAAGCAATACACAGCATCCCAAATGAAAGAAAGAAAGAAAACTATCTCTATTTGAATATGACTTGATCTTGTATACAGAATATTCTAAAGAATCCACTAAAAAATTACTCAAACTCATGAACTAATAATCAGAAAGGTTGTAGTATATAAAATCAATATACAATAATTACCTGTATTTCTCTGTGCTACCAATGAACAATACAAAATGAAATTAAAGAAAAAATTCTTTCATAATAGCATAAAAAATGATTAGGAAAAGACCTTAACAAAGTAGTGTAAGACTTGTATACTTAAAGCAACAAAACATTGTGTTGCAAGCAACTTTTAAATAAATGGAAAGACATCCTATGTTTAGGTATTGTAACATTTAATATTGAAAATGTAGAAATACTCAACAAGTTTATTTACAAATTTAACACAATCCCTATCAAAATCCCAGCTGGATTTTTTCAGAAATTGATAAACTGACCCTAAAATGTTTCTGGAAATCCGAAGAACCCAGAATAGCCAAAACCATGCTTACTAAGAAGGTCAAATTGAAGGACTCACACTTCCCAATTTCAAAATTTACTACAAAGCTATACTAATCAAGAATAGTGGTAATGGCACAAGAATAGCTATTTAAATAGAATGAATTAAAAGTCTACAAAAAAAGAAAAACAACAACACCACCTCACATTTGGTTACATTTTTGTTAGTTGACTTTTAACAATGGGTTATAAGATAATTCAATGGGAAACAAAGTCTTTGCAACAAATGGTGCTGGGACACCTGTATATCCACATGCAAAAGAATGGAGGAGAGCCTCTATGCCACACGTACACAAGAATTAATGTTGATTATGGATTTAATGTAAAAGCCAAAAATTATTAAATTTTAGAAGCCACCTTAGGAGTAAAATCTTTATGACCTTGGGTTTGGCAATATATTTTTGCATGCTACACCAAAAACATTAGCAACAAAAGAAAAATTAGATATATTTGGTTAAAAAAAATTTTGTGTTGCACACTGAAACATCATGATAGTGAAAAGACAACAAACGAAATGGGAGAAAACACTGGCAAAGCATATATTTGATGAGGAACTTGTATCCAGAATGTATAAGTGACTTGTAACCCAGTAATAAAATGACAAGTAGCCCAATTCTTAAAAGTTGGCAAAGGATCTGAATAGACATATCTCTAAAGAAGATATACAAATAAGCAACACATGCATGAAAAAATGCTCAACATCATTAATCTTTACATAATCCAAACCACAATGAGTTGAGTTACTTTTCCACATTCGTTGAGATGCCTCTAATCAAAAAGACAGATTAATATTAGAAAAGATATGAAGAAATTGGCCAGGTGCGGTGGCTCACACCTGTAATCCCAGCACTTTGGGAGGCCGAAGTGGGTGGATCACGAGATCAGGAGATTGAGACCATCCTGGCTAACACGGTGAAACCCCGTCTCTCCTAATAATAGAAAAAAATTAGCCGGGCGTGGTGGCGGGCGCATGTAGTCCCAGCTACTCAGGAGGCTGAGGCAGGAGAATGGCATGAACCTGGGAGGCGGAGCTTGCAGTGAGCGGAGATCGCGGCCACTGCACTCCAGCCTGGGCAATAGAGTGAGACTCCACCTCAAAAAAAACCAAAAAAACAAAAACAAACAAAAAAAAGATATGAAGAAATTAGAACCCTTGTACTTTGCAGGTGGAAATATAAAATGGTGCAGCTGCTTTGAAAAACAGCATTATTTTTGGTTTCTCAAAAGATTGAACATAAACTTCCCAGATAGCCCTGCAATTTCATTGGTATGTACTTACCCAAAAGAAAAGCTGCTTCCCAAAAAACCTGTACATGAATGTTCATAGTAGTATTATTCAAATAGTCAAAAACTGAAAACAACCCAAATGTTCAACTGATGAATGAATAAATAAAAGGTGGTATATGCAAGGCAGGGGACGGTGGCTCACACCTGTAATCCCAGCACTTTGGGAGGCCAAGGTGGACAGATCACTTGAGCTCGTAAGTTTGAGACCATCCTGGGTTACATGGCGAAACACTGTCCCTAAAAAAAATACTAAAATTAGCCTGGCATGGTGTTGCACACCTGTAGTCCCAGCTACTTGGGAGGCTGCGGGGATGGCTTGAGCCCAGGAGGCAGAGGTTGCAGTGAGCTGATATCATGCCACTGCACTCCAGCCTGGGCAATAGAGCCAGACCTTGCCTCAAAAAAAAAAAGGTGGCATATGCATACAATGAAATATACTTAGCAATAAAAAGTAATAAAGAATTGATACACGTTATAACATAGATGAATTCTGAAAACATGCTAAGTGAAAGAAATCAGTCACAAATGACTCATAATTGTATAATTCAATTTATATGAAATGTCCAGAATGGGAAAATCTACATAAAGTGAAGTAAATTAGTTTCCTAGGGCTGAAGGGAGGGAAGATTATGAAGGAGGGAGGGAGGGAGGAGGAAACTGCTAATGGGTATACAGCTTTTTTTAGGGGTGACAAAAATATTCGAAATTTAGATTGTGGTAGATGCTGCACCATCCTGTGAATACACTAAAGACTACTGAAAGTGTCCAGGGAATTGGATACTTTAAATGGGTTCTTTATATGGTATGTGAATTATACTTTAAGAAAGGTGTAATTTTTGTAATTTAATATATCAAATCATTCTGGAACTTAAATTCCATAAGGTATTCCTTTTTTTATTTTTATTTTTAGACAGAATCTCACTCTGTGGCCCAGGCTGGAGTGCAGTGGCATGATCTCAGCTCACTGCAACCTCCGCCTCCCAGGTACAAACGATTCTCACGCCTCAGCCTCCCAAGTAGCTGGGATTACAGGCACGCACCACTACGCCCAGCTAATTCTTCGTATTTGTGGTAGAGATGGGGTTTCGCCATGTTGTCCAGGCTTGTCTTGAACTCCTGAGGTCAGGCAATCCGCCCAACTCAGGCTCCCAAAGTGCTAGGAATACAGGTGTGAGCTACTGCGCCTGGCCTGGCCTCCATAAGGTATTCTTTAAAGCAATACAACAATCTTTAATGCCCATTTTATAAGGTGAGATATTACATGTTTTGCAATTATGCAAACTTAAAATGAAAATGTCTAGGTGTCAGTTTAGAAATCTGTGAAGGGATAAAAAAGTTTTTCCAAAATTCTTTTGTAGGTCGTGCCAGCAAATCCGTGTGAATGCCACTGGATTAAAAGAAGGAAGTTTAGTTGAATGGTTACTACCCTCATTCACAGGAGCAGTTATCGGCACTTCCACTGAGGCAATGGCAGTGGGAAAAGGAAGGCAAATATTTATTCACCCATCCATAAACTCATAAAAGTAGGTAATCAAGACATGCTTATTAAATAAACCTTGGAAGAAACAATGTCTGAAGCACTCCACAGTATATGGCTCATTATCCTACACAGAATATTGCCATAGGACAAGTTATTTCACGTTTAGAGCAGAAATGAAATGTGTACATTTTCACAAAATCGTAGATTTTCTTTTTAGTTTTTAACTTTCCCTCCTGCCTTAGCAATATTTCACTTTGTTCCCTAACAAGTTGTAAAGGAGACTGTTTAAAGATGGTTGTTACCTTATAGGTAGGATGTGGATGAGGAAAAAAAAAATGGGTCTCAAAGGAAAGGGACTAGATGATGGTTTTACTCAGATTATTTTTACATTGAATGTGTCAGTTCTCAAATATTGGAGACCCTGTAAGAAGAAAATTTATTTTAGAAGGGAGTGGAAGAGAGCCTTGCTATTATGACCTCTCTTGTTAGTCATGGGTAAACTCAAGGAATTTCTGACTACCCAGGGCCTACCTCTCCAATTGCAAGTCAGTGACAAAGCTCTGTTCTTCAAGAAAGCATATCAGGGGGACTTTGTTTAGGAAGTGAATCATCCCAGGGAATAGAGGTGTGGATATTGCTTTCTTAATGTGCAAGTAGGCTTGGCAAATCTGTCACTGAAGCTCTGGTATACTGCATGTCTGCTTATTTATGCTTATGACTAGCAATGCTAAGTTTTATCATTCAATCATTCACAAGGAGAGCTTAGTAGTTATTTGCATTAATGACAGGAAACATGTTATTTTAGTCAGAACGTGTGGTAAAGACTAGGATGAATTCCTGTCCCATTCTCCTAATCCCTTGCTACAGGTTTCTAAAATCCCATCATTAGAGAGCTATCCCTTTGGGCCAGGCTCCGTGGCTCATGCCTGTACTCCAAGCACTTTGAGAGGCTGAAGTGAGTGGAGCATTTGAGGTCAGGAGTTCAAGACCAGCCTGGCCAACATGGTGAAACCCTGTCTCTATTAAAAATACAAAGATTAGCCGGGTGGTAGTGATGCTCACCTGTAGTCCCAGCTATTTGGGAAGCTGAAGCAGGAGAACTGCTTGAGCCTGGGAGGTGGAGGTTGCAGTGAGCTGAGATCATGCCATTGCACTCCAGTCTAGGTGACAGAATGAGACCCTGTCTCGAAAAAAAAAAAAAAAGCCATCCATTCGTGTTTAAGAATAATTAGCCCCACTCCTAGCTTCAGCTTTACAAAGCCCTTGGGAGCCATTAATTCATTAGGCATCCCATAATCATTAGCACTATATGATACTAATCAATTAATCAATCAACTACAAACTCCTATTACTGACCACCAAGCATAAAGTTCAATCCTCATTCCTGCCTACAAAGAGTTTACAGTGTAACTGCAGAGAATAAATTACATAGAAAGCTATTGCTATAAAAATTCCTTTATGAGAGTAAAATACATAGGGAAAATATTAAAAGCTAGACTACCTAGAGACATGCTTTATCAATTCTTCCCTCTCTCATGAATTATCAGTTATTGTTTCTGTCTAGAAATATTTTTCTCATCTAAACAAATAACAAAAACCACCATCTTCCAGGATACTGCAGTCTCCTGAAGCACCACTTTGTTGTGATTTTATAGTATAAAATTTATAGAAAATGTAATCTATAATTCCCTTCAATCCACTTTTTCTAAAATTCACTCTAGTCAGATGATACAGCCCCCACCACGTTACCAAAATATCCAATGATCTGCACTGCCTTAAACCTAATCAATGATGATGTATTTAGCCTATTTGATTTATCAGTAGGCTTTGGATCAATGGTCACTCTCCCCTCTTTGAAATATTTTTCTAGCACAGCTTTTTAGGAAACCACACTTTCTTGGTTTTCCTAACTCAGTAACTGTACTTGGTTTTCTTTTTTTAGGTCCTCCTTATCTTGCAGATCTCTAAACACTGAATGCTGAAGGCTTAATCCTATCACTACTTCTGTTCTTTCTGCATCCATTTCTGGAAGATCCCATCCAATTTCATGACTTTCACTGCCATTTTTTGCTAACAACTTCCAAATTTATATGTCCCACTCAGTATGTTCAGAAGCAAACTCTAGGTCTTCTTTCCTAAACCTGTCCTAACCATCCTTTCTCTTGCTCAGGATAAATACCTTAAAGTCCTAATTGACTCATCTTGTCCTCTCGTATCCCACATCTGCTTTTCAATAAATCTGAATTGAACTACAGATTCAGGACAATCTCTTTCAAAATATTTCTAAGGTATCTTCCTGGATTGGCAAGTTGATTTTAAATTATTTATGAAAATGTAAAAGGTTAAGGGTAGCCAAGATTCTCAAAGAAAAAGAAAAATGTGAGGAGAATTTTCTACCACATATTGATTGTGATGGTTTATTTTATATCAGCTTGGCTTGGCTACGGTGCCCAGATGATCGGTCAAAGAAACACTAGTCTCGATATTGTTGTGAAGGTATTTTCTTAGATATTATTAACATTTACATTTGTAGACTTTCAATAAAGCAGATTATTCTCCATAATGTTTGTAAACCTCATCTAATCAGTTGAAGGCCTTAAGTTAAAAGGACTGAGGACTCCTAAGGAAGAAGAAATTCTGCCTTCAGACTGCCTTTCTACTTGAGACTACCACATCAGCTCTTCCCAGGATCTTGAATCTCTAGCCTGCCAGCCTGCCCTGCATATTTTAAACTTGCCAGCCCTCACAATTTCTTAAAATCTCTTGATAGATAGATATTTACACACACACACACACACACACACACACACACACACACAGTTGCTTCTATTTCTCTGGAAAACTCTAACTAATACACAAGACTTATTATAAAACTATGATATTTAAGATTGTGTGGTATTAGCACAGATAATTGTAAATAAACAATATCAAGTAGAACAGATAGTTCAAAAGTAAACTCATACATGTATGGATACTAAATATATGACAGAGATGAAATTATGGAACCACTGGAAAGAAAAGGCTTTTTAGTAAGTATGCTGGAGCAAGTTTAAACTCATATGACTGAAAATGACATTGAATCCCTATCTCATCCAATCAAAAAATCAATTTTCAATTTAACTGAAATCAATTTAGTCAATGTTCATAACTTATTGCCAAATATAAAAGGCAATCCTGTAAAACTTTTAGAAGGAAATATGGAAGACTATCTTTACCATCTTGGTGTAGAAAATTATTTCACAAAAAATTATCAAAAGACTTTTATTGAAGGGTAAAAGAATGATAAAGTTTATTAAGTTAAAATTAAGGGTCTCAATCATCATAAACTCCATTTTTAAAAGTGAAGAAATGGTTAGGTACAGTGGTTTACTCATTTACTCATTTACTCCTGTAATTCCAGCACTCTGGGAGGCCAAGGCAGAAGGATGGCTTGAGCCTGGGAATTTGAGACCAGACTGTGCAACATAGGGAGACTCTAGTTCTACTAAAAATAAATAAATAAATAAATAAATAAATAAATAAATAAAATAAAATGAAATAAAAATGAGCTGGGAATGGTGGCACACACCTGTAGTCCCAGCTATTCCAGAGCCCGAGGTGGGAGATTTGCTTGAGCCCAGGAGGTGGAGGCTGCGGAGAGCCATGTTTGCACGATTGCACTGTAGCCTGGGTGACAGAGTAAGACCCTCTCTCAAAAAAAGAAAGAAAAGCAAAAAAGGTTAGGGCACTCATGAGTTAAAGACTTTTGGTGAAAGTGCTACTACCCTGGCTGCAGAACAAGTGCATAACCCAGAGGCAAAGGGCTCTGCGCTGCTGAGCCTGCTCTTGTTTTTTCTGAGCTTCCCGAGTGGGGACCCAGGATCTTTCTCTCCCTGGCTGCTGCTGCCACTGGAGTCACCACCATGGTGGCACTGCCTCTGCAGGGCCACCTTCACCTCTGTTGCTTGCACCTATTCTTTCACCACTGTTTGCTTTGCCACCGCCACTACTGTAAGAGTTGTAGCCAGAAACCAGAATAAAGAAGAGAGTTTCTTATTTCCTCCTTCTGACTTTCAATCTTTTTCCGGTGCTTCCCAGAAAGAGCACTTTGAAAATACAGCTTACAGGATCCAAACTTCCCTAAAATACATAGCAGAGTACAGAATAAAGGGAATCAAGCTAAGAGCAAATTAATAAATAATTGGCATACTCTCTTAAAGCAAGTTCTTATCATTCTTTATTCCTCAAATTTCAACTGATTCCTTGACCCTGCCTCTGAGCCACTGTTGGTGCAGTTTCTTCCTTTTAGGAGTCCTTAGCCTTCTGCCTGTGAATTCCTACGATCCAGTATACCCTTCAAGTCCCCGTTCAGATAATGTTTTGGACATAACACGGTCCTCCCAATTTTGAAGATTATCTTTCCTGGCCCTGTTCACCCACTACATGTTCAGAGTGAACTCCTGTACATGCTAATTTAATACATAAATCTTCACAAAGAGGACTAAAAAAATAAGGCCTATTCTTTTAATGAGATTGAAGTCCCAGCTGGGCGTGGTGGTTCATACCTGTAATCTTAGCACTTTGGGAGGCCCAGGCAGGTGAATTGCCTCAGCTCAGGGGTTTGAGACCAGCCTGGGCAACATGGTAAAACCCTGTGTCTACTAAAAATACAAAAAAATTAGCTGGGCATGGTGGTGCAGCTACTGGGGAGACTGAGGCATGAGAATTGTTTGAAACCAGGAGGTGGAGGTTACAGTGAGCCAAGATCATGCCACTGCCCTGCAGCCTGGGCGAAAGAGTGAGAGTTTGTCTGAAAATAAATAAATAAATGTAAAAATAAAGTCCCTCTATATGGAGAATTAGAAAACCAAATAAGCAAATACAGTGTGTTAAGTTTTATGGCAGACGTATGAGTTATGATTAGGTTTGGCCATGTGAATGGAAAATAAATCTCAGGATCTCAAAATCACTAAATGAAGGGGAAAAGTCAAGCTGGGACTTGCTTAAGGCAAACCTGCCTCCCATTGTGTGCCTAAAAAAGATAGCCACGTACCTGTCTCACAATTTGCCCACAAGGAGACAGAGGACAGACAGAACTCAAAGTCATCCCTAGGCTCACTGAGATAAATGCATATCTGATTGCTTCCTTTAGAAAAGCTAATCAGAAACTCAAAAGAATGCAACTATTTGTCACTCATTTACCTGTGACCTGGAAGCCCTCTCCCCGCTTCGAGTTGTCTTGCCTTTCCAGACAGAACCAATGTACATTTTACCCATACTGATCGATGTCTCATATCTCCCTAAAATGTATAAAACCAAGCTGTGCCCCAACCATGTTGGGCACATGTCATCAGGACCACCTGAAGCTCTGTCATGGGCCCATCCTTAACCCTGGCAAAATAAACTTCCTAAACTGATTGAGACCTGTCAGATATTTGGGGTTCACAGCTGCACTTAAAAGAAAACCCAACATAACTTATAAAATATATAAATACATTTCTCTCTCATGTAAAAATTATTGCCAGTAGAATAGTTCTGGTCTGATAGGGCATCTCCACTAAGTTCTCAGGAATCTATAACACAGGCTGTTGAGGTGTTTAGTCCCATAGGAAATGGAAGATAGAAGCTAAGAGTCAAAGCATCACAGAGCTATGACGGACTTCAGATTTCTAATCCAACATTCGGTGTTACAGATGATGACATTCCTGTTTTTCTGCTCTGATATCCTCAATACATGGCTTCCATGCTCAAGGTCATCTCATAGACCAAGCTATAGTAGCTCGTGGATACCTAGCCAACACATCTCACAGGATAGGCCATCACAAGGAGGAACACAAAAGGGGAAGTCCTCCTCGCTGAGTCAGGTCCCTTTGGTGGCTCCCATACAGTACTTACACTCACATTTTATTGGCCAAAAATTAGTCACATGGCCACATGTAGTTGCAAAGGATACTGGGAAATATATTATTGTAGTATGTACAAAGTTACCCCAAATAAAATTGAAGTTCTGGTTCTAAAAAGAAGGGAAGAATGGATACCCATTGGCAACAGGCATCCTTGGCCACAAGCACAGTATTATGGGGTCAAAAACTCACATTGGGGAAGCCAGAGAAGGATTCCAAGAGGAAATGACTTCTGCACTCGTCCTAGTTCACCCTGATTGAGAATTACAGTATACATGTCTGTCTTCCCCACAAGACCGTGAGCCCTGAGAGCAGGCACTCTGTCCTCTTCATATCTATAACCTCTCAGAGGGGAGCTTTTTACAAAACAGAGCCTCAATTTATTTTTGATGAACTGAGATGAAGGCGATGAAGTTTTTGAAGAGGAAGAGGAGAAGGTGTGTCAGCATTGCTAAAACTCTTACTGTCTTTTATCTTCAGGGAAAAAAAATGCCTCAGGTTTCATATCACAAAGGGAGCTTACAAAAATAACTCTTTGAAACATTTGTAACCTTGTAACAATTAAAATGTCTTCTTACTAATGGCTGATCCACTTTTTACTCATCTCAATGAGCTAAAGTCCTTCCTCCCGCACTGTAACCCTAATCTCCACCCCAGCAGTCCTAACTCAGCCTGGAGCCTTAAAGAAAAGCCAAATTCAAACTCAGGTTAAATCATAGGCTTTATGTAGGTAGAAATAGTGACTCAGGTTTGCAGAAACCATGACTTGCCATCCTTTCACAGAACACAGCTCTTGGAATAGGTATGACTATAAAACCGACATTTGGACACAGGTCATTACAATAACAGATTCCCAGATGAATCACATTAACTATTTCCAGATTTATGGGGTTATCTAAAGTTGAAAATGGCAACCACCACTTAAAAGAGTTCAAAACCCAAACTAAGACAAGTCCTGACAACAGGGGGAAATTTAAGAGCAGCTGCTAACAGACCTTCTCTTATTTCATCCCATTTCTTTTAGCTGGTTTGAGATTATGCACAAAAAGAATATCTTTGTGAGATGACTACTGATTTATCCAGAAATGAAATCCAAGCTCTAACAGCTAGTTAACTTCCTATTTTGTTTCATTTTCTATGACTAAGAAATGATTCTCTATACAGATGTTAATTATAGCAAAGCTGATGGAAACTTGGCTGCCATGTTCAGACACTGACCAAGCCTGGATCTGGCTAGAGACCTGGTTCAGTTTGAACCCTAGATTATATCTTGACTCTCTGAAATGCCTCTTCCCACTTTCCAATTCCGAGACAGCTTGATAGAGGCATGCCACAGCTGCTTCAACTCCGACATTTTTGCATTATCAGTTGAGTGTGGAGGAGAGAAAGCAGACTGAACTCCTTCAGATTCTGCTTGGTAGATGTGGAGTCAGGCTGGAATGTAGATTTCTGAGGATCCCTAAAACGTGTTCTTAAGTGCTTTTCAACAAACGAGCTTCTTGGAGCTTTTTCTTATCTCTTGGGAATAAGAGATAATTTTTTCTATTATATTTCCGGTTTTCAAATGTGATGATTTGTGAGGAAGCTACAAAGCCACAAAGTCCAACTTACTGTTTAGGACAGTGGAACTATCAAACAGGACAAACTGATAAGCTCACAAAGTCAGGTAACCTAAAGATAACTAGGAGTTGCTCATTCATCTCTTCAGCATGAGAAACACTTTAAGCACAACATCTTGAGGGAGGAAAGAGACAAGCTGCCCTTAAGAACAGAAGATGCTCTTTTCTTTTGGTAGGTCTCCAAAAATCACCAGCCCAGAACCTAAAATCCATAACACCTAGGCTATTGAGGTGTTTAGTCCTGTAGGAAACAGAAGATAGAAGCTAAGAGTCAAACCATCACAGAGCTGTGATGGATTTTAGATTTCTAATCCAACATCCTTGTGTTACAGATGATTAAATCAAAACACAGAGAAATGTTTAAAATCTAGTCCCAATACAAATCACTAATGGAGAAGGATAGAGATCCAACACCAATTTCAGTACCTCAGGAAACCCAGCTATTTCTCGCCACTTTTAGCATAAACAAGGCTGCATGTCAACTGACGCACAATTTATCTGCTTTTGACTGGAATCACATCAGCTCAGTGTGGTCCATTGGTTTCTCATGGTAAGATGAAATAAGAATCAGATGACTATAAGATGGTCTAATGGAAAAAAAAAATATGAGTTTAATCTTGGCTCTATTAACCCTTAGCAAATTGGGCAAGCCACATAAAGTCTCTGAGCCACAGCTTTTTCATCTACAAAACAGAAGATGATTCTCACCTGAATTGAAAGGATTCCAGGTGAGGTATGAAAAGAAGTCAACATAGCATTTTGCCCTGTTCGTGCTCAACAAATAGTAATTATTGTTGCTGTTGTTGTTAAGTACCAGAAAGACAAATTGCAAAATTGAAGTTGAGAGGGTAACTCGCTGAATCCTTTCTCTACAGATTGCCAACTTTACAGAGAAACTGTTTTTTCCGTTTTTGAAGAAAGCCTAGCTTGTCTACCTGGGAGCTCTTATTCAAGCCTTCACTTAAGCTCTTGAATCCTCCAACGAAGTGCTGCTCAAACCTTCTTGTCCCGAATTACACTGTGTTCTTGGATACACTTGCATCCCACATACATTTATTGTGTTCTAAATGTTTCTGGGGTTGCTGTGGTTTCAAATACTTATTGCTAATCTGCAGCAGAAAGTTTTAACTAAGGTTACTAGTTAAAGGGAGGGAAGAGACATGATCATGACAGATTTTACTGTTTTATATATGGTCACAAGTTACCAATCAAACCTTATATTTTTCTTATTTATAAAATGGAATCATTATATACCCACCTCATGTTCTTCATATTTATAAAATAGGACCATTATATACCCACTTCATAAGCTTGTCATGAGAATTATAAAAACTAATACACGTTATAACATGTAGCTTTCAGTGTATCAGGTATTTAATACATACAATTATTCTTTATTCTCCAGGATGTCCTATCATAAACACTACATTACCATTAGTCTGGTTAGCTCATCCTATCATAGACACACAGATATTTTTACCTCTCTTTTCTCTGCTCTCTTTCCAGGCAGGTTTCTCCCCCTCTCCTTTTTAACTACTTAATCAGTTGCGATTAACGAACATTAAGATTCCTTTTATTACTGGCTTTTTGTTACTGGCTTTATTTCTCTTTATTACACTACCTGAACTAAACTGGTACATCATTGGGTACACAAGAAAAGGTCCCAGAGAGGACAGACTGTCAGTCTTAGTCATTTACATAATTCCACTGTTGAGCAAAAAGCCAGACATGTAATACACATTCAGTACATATGAAGAGTTAGGCATGTGACTTTAGAATCTGAAATCTTCTTGCTACCTTTGGACCTCAGACAGGTTACTTAACCTTTTTCATCTCGATTTCCTTATCTGGAAAATAGAGTTAACGGTGGAACCTTCCTCCCTGCTGTGTTGAGGATTGTGAACTGAAATTTATGGGAGGTCATTGTTTTGGGCTGAGCCCCAACAGAACGGACAAAATCAAAATGGAGCCACTTACGCTAAGATTCCACATCATCAGACCAAAACCACATTGTTTATCTGATCTTCTGAGAAATCAGGAGACAGATCATAGCCAAATTCCCACACAGGCCAGTTTTAGCCAGCATGAATGAGGAAATCCCCTCTGCTTTAACACTAATAAGGAAAATAACCAGAAATAACCTGATGTCAGCCAATCTGCTTCTTGTATTATGCATTTCCTTATTCCTGCTCAAGCTATCTGATAAAAACCAACCATTCTGCCATGTCCGTAGGAGTTCCTTATCTAAATCTTTAGAAGAAACGCTGCCCAGTGCATAAATAGCTAACAAAGGCCAATTAGATCTTTAAATTCAATTTGCTGAAATTTTGTGTGTGTAGTTTTTTTTTTTTTTTTTTTGCTTTCTTTCTTTCTCTCTCTTTTTTTTTTTTTTTTTTTTGAGACGGGGTCTTGCTCTGTCACCCAGGCTGGAGTGTAGTGGCATGATCACTGCTCACTGCAGCCACTAGCTCCCAGGCTCAACTAATCCTCCAACCTCAGCCTCAAAATCACCTGGGGCTACAGGCACATGCCACCATACCTGGCTAATTTTTAAATTTTTTGAAGACATAGGTCTCGTTGTGTTGCCCAGGCTGGTCTCGAACTCCTGGGCTCAAGTGATCCTCCCACTTTGGCCTCCCAAAGTGCTGGGATTAAAGGCATGAGCCACCATGCCCAGCCAAAATTTTGTTTTTTAATAAGATAAAATGTAAAATGCTTAGCAGGTTGCATATGTAAAAATTTTACATATTTATAGTCATTATAACTACATAACTCTTAAAGTATCACATATAATTGGCAGAAAATGCACAGGTAATTTGATATTATTTACCCTCTAGATCAAGGATTAGATGAGCTAGCTCAAGGCTTTTACAAAGAGGTTTAGATGGACAGCTCCCTCCTCTGACCCTTCACAAAAGGGCACCCCAGCCAAACCACACTTTCCTGTTTTGATAACAATGCCTTTGTACAGGCACTTTATTTCATTTTGAATGCCACTTCCTTTTCAACTTTTAGAAATCCTATCCTCCTTTCAAGATTCAAACTGAATACACAGATCATCATCATGTCTTCTGGATTCTCCAGCCACCTGCCTCCCACAGTCCCCTTCTCTCCCTTCTAAATACGTCTCCCCAACTTCCACTATTCCGTGACAACCTGCTCACACCTCCCTGGCAGCACTGAATATAACTACTTGGCTGGCTTCTATGGCTTATCTGTATTAGATTAGAGACTTCCTGTCAACCAAGTCATCTTCATTGTTTATCTCCCAGAGTAGAGAACACAGCAGGCCTCTGTTCCATTCCATTGGATACACTGGATTGATTTAGCTGGAATTGACAGCAGCTTGTGAAATCATTTGCCTTTGCTGTGTCTCACTGCCTTGTTAATTTGACAATTTAGTCTCATTACATCTTACTGGAAGTGTATTGTCAGTTTCGTTTCTAGAAATTTGTAGTTAAAACAATAAATAGGATTGAATGGGGTGGGGCTGACTTAAGAGTGATTATAAACGGATTTAAAAGCAGTATTGTAGAGACAGGCAAATCAGTACTAAGACTCCTCACCTTATTCTCGGTTTTGTAAAGTCTCTATTCTTTTTTAGGAGTGAGCTGATGAACTGAACACAAGTTTTGGTGTAATCAACAAGCTGCCTGGAATATGCATGAACTGCCCTAATTTTACAGATGCCTTTACTTCTGAAAGCATCTTCTGGGAGAGCTTAGCCTTTTCCCTAAGTTTGGATTTGAAAGCAAGCAGAATGGAAATAAGTCCGTGTTGTTCACATGTGCTTTAGTTTTTGTGCACTTAAAAGTTTTTAAAGAACTTTTTTAAAAAAAAACCTTCTAATATAAATCTTTTGTAAAAGTAATACTTAAAAGAAAATGTTTAATGATTTAAAAAAATCTTAGAGAAAAGAGCCTCCCATTACATTTTTTTTTTTCTTTTTCTGAGACGGAGTCTCACTCTGTCACTCAGGCTGGAGTGCAGTGGCGCAATCTCGGCTCCCTGCAACCTCCGTCTCCTGGGTTCACGCAACTCCCCTGCCTCAGCCTCCCGAGTAGCTGGGATTACAGGCACCCACCACCACGCCCAGCTAATTTTTGTATTTGTAGTAGAGATGGGGTTTCACCATGTTGGCTAGGTTCGTGGTCTTAAACTCCTGACCTGGTGATCCACCCACCTCGGGCCCCCAAAGTGCTGGGATTATAGGCGTGAACCACCACGCCCGGCCCTCCCATTACATTTCTAAAAAATATTTGCACAATTAAAATATCTATGTGGGCTGGGTGAAGTGGCTCATGCCTGTAATCCCAGCACTTTGGGAGGCCAAGGCGGGCAGTTCAAGACCAGGCTGGCCAACATGGTGAAACCCCGTCTCTAGGAAAAATACAAAAATTAGCAGGGTGTGGTGATGTGCAGGTGTAATCCCATCTACTCAGGAGACTGAGGCACGGATCCCTTGAACTCAGGAGGCAGAGGTTGCAGTGAGCTGATATTGCACCACTGCACTCCAGCCCAGGTGACAGAGCAAGATTCTGTCTCAAAACAAAGCAAAACAAAACTCCATGCACATTGGTATTATATTTTAATTTTTTTAAATGCATATGGACCTCCTTCTGATTTTTAATGTCTTGAAAGTAAACACTCTTATTCATTCCATATAAAGTAGTATTTTGAAATAATATCTCAATTGACATAAAATACATGTTACAATGAGAAAATTATGAGCCATATTAACATTGTGTGAATAATTGTAAATGAACTCATCACATTTTGAAAACGCCCCTTGAAGACTAGTGTATTTGTCTGTTCTTACACTTCTAATAAAGACATACCTAATGAGAGGTGACAGCATGCTGGCTGCCCTCACAGCCCTCGCTGGCTCTTGGCGCCTCCTCCGCCTTGGCGCCCACTCTGGCCGCGCTTGAGGGGCCCTTCAGCCCGCCGCTGCACTGTGGGAGCCCCTTTCTGGGCTGGCCAAGGCTGGAGCCGGCTCCCCCAGCTTGCGGGGAGGTGTAGAGCGAGAAGCGCGGGCGGGACCCGGGACTGCGCGCAGCGCTTGCGGGCCAGCGCGAGTTCCGGGTGGGCGTAGGCTTGGCGGGCCCCGCACTCAGAGCAGCCAGCCCGCAAGCCCCGGGCAGTGAGAGGCTTAGCACCTGGGTCAGCAGCTGCTGTGCTCGATTTCTTGATAGGCCTTAAGTGCCTCCGTGCAGGGCAGGACTCAGGACCTGCAGCCCGCCACGCCTGAGCCTCGTCGTCGCCCCCGCCCCGCCCCCGCCGGGGGCTCCTGCGCAGCCCCAGCCTCCCAGACAAGCGCCGCTCCCCGTTCCACGGCTCCCAGTCCCATCAACCGCCCAAGAGCTGAGGAGTGCAGGGGCCCAGCGCGGGACTGGCAGGCAGCTCCACCTGCAGCCCCGGTGTGTGATCTACTGGGTGAAGCCAGCTGGGCTCTTGAGTCTGGTGGGGACTTGGAGAATCTTTATGTCTAGCTAAGGGATTGTAAATACACCAATCAGCACTCTGTATCTAGCTCAAGGTTTGTAAACACACCAATCAGCACCCTGTGTCTAGCTCAGGTTTTGTGAATGCCCCAATCGGCACTCTGCATCTAGTTAATCTGGTGGGGACTTGGAGAATCTTTATGTCTAGCTAAGGGATTGTGAATGCACCAATTGGCACTCTCTATCTAGCTCAGGGTTTGTAAATACACCAATCAGCACTCTGTATCTAGCTAATCTAGTGGGGACATGGAGAACTCTTGTGTCTAGCTCAGGTTTTGTAAACACACGAATCAGCACCCTGTCAAAAGGGACCAATCAGCTCTCTGTAAAACAGACCAATCCACTCTCTGTAAAATGGACCAATCAGCAGGATGTGGGTAGGGCCAGATAAGAGAATAAAAGCAGGCTGCGCAAGCCAGCAGTGGCAAACTGCTCTGGTCCCCTTCCACTGTGGAAAGTTTGTTCTTTCGCTCTGCAGTAAATCTTGCTGCTGTTCAGTCTTTGGATCCACACTGCTTTTATGAGCTGTAACACTCACCGTGAAGGTCTGCAGCTTCACTCCTGAAACCAGCGAGACCATGAACCCACCGGGAGGAACGAACAACTCCAGACGCACCACCTTAAGAGCTGTAACACCGAGAAGGTCTGCAGCTTCACTCCTGAGCCAGCAAGACCACGAACCCACCAGAAGGAAGAAACTCCGTACACATCCGAATATCAGAAGGAACGAACTCCTGAAACGTCGCCTTTAAGAACTATAACACTCACTGCGAGGGTCCATGGCTTCATTCTTGAAGTCAGTGAGACCAAGAACCCACCAGACACACTAAGACTAGGTAATTTATAAAGGGAAGAGGTTTAATTGACTCACACTTCCACATCGCTGGGGAGACCTCACAATCATGGTAAAAGGTGAATGAGGAGCAAAGTCCTGTCTTACATGGTGGCAGGGAAGAGAGCTTGTACAGCGAGCTCTCATTTGTAAAAGCCTCAGATCTTATGAGACTTACTCACTACCAGGAGAACAGTATGGGAGAAACCACCCCCATGATTCAGTTATCTGCATGTGGCCCCGTCCTTGCCATGTGGGGATTATTACAATTCAAGGTGAGATTTGGCTGGGGACACAGCCAAACCATATTAACTAATGCACTGCATGAGTCTGTACCTCCTTTGAGGTCTAAAAATTAAGCAACTTTCTCAGGGTTATACAACTGAACGTATTCTCAGTCTCTCTATGCTTCCCAATTATCTGGGATACTATTGGTACCTCTCTCATAAAGTGGTCATGAGAATTAAAATAGAAAATGAGGCCTGGTGCAGTGGTTCACGCCTGTAATACCAGCACTTTGGGAGGCCAGGGTGGGCAGATCACGAGGTCAGGAGATTGAGACCATCCTGGCCAACATGGTGAAACCCTGTCTCTACTAAAATACAAAAAATTAGCCAGGTGTGGTGGTGCACGCCTGTAGTCCCAGCTACTTGCGAGGCTGAGGCAGGGGAATCGCTTGAACCCAGGAAGCAGAGGTTGCAGTGAGACAAGATTACAGCACTGCACTCCAGCCTGGTGGCAGAGCGAGAGTCCGTCTCAAAAAAAAAAAAAAAAGAAAATGCACATAAAAGGTTTAGCACACTGCCTGATTCCTACAAATACTCAATAAACATTTCTTTTTATTGCTAAAAGGTATGTTAAGTTTCCACACTTTTCTTGATGTAAAGATAAGAAATGGGTGCCGTCCTTTCTCCTTTATTTAGAAGAAACAAGCTGAAAGAATTAAAAATATCTTCTAACTATTGATGGCAGGAAGTTGGGCACTCAAAGCAAATAAAAATTATGTTTCTGAAACTGCAGTTAACCAAAACATTCTATTAATTTTGACACTTAAAAGGCTAAGGATTGTAATTCCCAAATGGAGTGTGGAGTCCTACATTGATCACATAAACTTCCAGCTTGGCGCTCAGGTGGCCTAAAGGTTATGAACCAGGAGGGTAGACAGCGGCTTTGAGATGGCTATCCTGGATCTGCAACTTGAACAACCATTTTTCACTGTCTCAATCGGCCTGCTTGTCTTCAAAGCCACTTCTATTTATTTTTCAAGAGTTCAAAAGTTACTTCCTCTCTGTGTTTTCTATTTGCCCCACACACTATCAGAAGGATGAATGACCCTGTCTCAGTGTTTCCACCGCGCTCTCTTAATATTTCCGTATTACCTACTCTGAACCTACTCTCTACCTCTATCTACTATATACTACTCCATACCTCCTGCACTCTAGACCTTCATCTACTGTATATCAGCTATGTCTATTCTATACCTACTTCTATCTACAATATGCCTCTATTAGTATAGAGATTAATGTGCTCTTTATTTATTTATTTTTTATTTGTTTGAAACAGATTCTCACTCTGTCACCCAGACTGGAGTGCAGTGGTGCGATCTCAACTCACTGCAACCTCCGCCTCCAGGGTTCAAGCAATTCTCATGCCTCGCCTCCTGAGTAGCTGGGATTATAGGTGTTTGCCACCATGCCTGGCTAATTTTTGTATTTTTAGTAGAGTCGGGGTTTCACCATGTTGGCCAGGCTGGTTTCGAACTCCTGACCTCAAGTGATCCGCCCTCCTCGGTCTCCCAAGGTGCTGGGATTACAGGCATGAGCCACCACATCTGGCCTCATTATTTATTTTCTAAACATGAAAGTAGGACTATTGTATCTGACCATGTTAATATGTATATTCTTATTAGATGATGTTTTGGAGATTCAACAAAGATTGTCTTTCCAGAAGCTGGAGGACCTAGGATTTAGGTTGTTCATTAATTGTGTCACCATGAGGAGGTTGCTTAATATTAGACCTTAGTTTCATTCATCCAAAATGTTAATTTGGACTATATATGCCCTGTGATCCCTTTCAGTTCCAGAACACTATGAGTTTGTAGCATTAAGTAAATTAAAATCTGCACTTTTGTTACCTCTCTATTTCAAGAGTTAGAAGACCAGGGCTCAGAGAATTTCAGCAATGTTAACCGGACTTAGCAAATACAGCCTGGCATTTTAGAGATGGGCTCTGGAATCAGAATGCCTAGGTTGGAGTTTCTCCTCCACCACTTGCTCTGTGATTTTAGGCAAGTTGCTTAAACTTTCTGTGCCTCTGTTTCATTATGTATAAAATGGGAATAATAAAGCATATCTATGGCATATAATCTTGATATAAAGATTAAACTAACACGTGCAAAGTGTTGATTCATTCACAAGTATCAAATGTTAGCTTCATCTTACCCTGATATCTCACACCAGTTTACAAGACAGTGGGTCCTGGAACTTAGTCTCCTTGCCACACAGACAGTGCTTTTGAAACTATACCACATGCTTTCTAATATGGTGGTTTAATTAATTATCAACATATACATATATACAGTGAGATTGAGCCTGCTATGTATGCAGCACGGTGCTAAGCACTTTACTCTGTAACTCTCACAATGATTTTAATGTGAATATTACAGGTCCACGATACCTTAGGTGCAATTTCAAAATCAAAGAAGCTCCAAACACCGAAAGCATTTCAAAATTAATTGGATGACTTGAACTCCCCTAGAGGCAAAATCTGCCTTGATTGACATAAAGCTATTTGTAGACATACTTTATTCCATTTAGTGTGAATATTTATCTAATTCACTACAGAAATATTAATAATATCTTTGGTTGTCTTTCTTTAGAAATTAGAGCCTTGTTCCGTTGCCCAGGCTGGAGTGCAGTGGCACAATCATAACTGCTGGCTGGAACTCCTCGCCTCAAGCGATCCTCCTGCCTCAACTTCCTGAGTAGCTGGGACTACAGCAGCAGGCCACCATGCCCTACTAATTTCTTTTTTTAATTTTCTTAGAGAGAGGGTCTCGCCATGTTACCTAGGCTGGTCTTGAACTCCTGGTCTCAAGCCATCCTCCTACCTCCCCAGCTTCTGGAGTAGCTGGGATTACAGATGAGAGCAATATCCTTTATAATGCAGTACTGTCCCAAATCACTTGAGAATGTTAATATGCATTAGTACATTGTTAGATAATTATATGATTTGGATCTGTGTCCCCACCCAAATTTCATGTTCAATTGTAATCCCCAATGTTGGAGGTAGGGCCTGGTGGGAGGTGATTGGATCATAGAGGCAGTTTCACATGAATGGCTTAGCACCATCCTTTTGGTGCTGTTCGTGCAATAATGAGTGAGTTCTCATAAGATCTGTTTTTTGAAAACTGTGTAGCATTTCCCCACCTTTCTCTCTTTCTTCTGCTCCAGCCGTGTGAAATGGCTGCTCCCACTTTACCTTCCACCATGATTGTAAGTTTCCTGAGGTCTCTTCAGAAGCCGAGCAAATGCCAGCATTATGCTTCCTGTATAGCCTGCTGAATCATGAGCCAATTAAACCTCTTTCTTTATAAATTACCCAGTCTCAGGTATTTCTTTTCAGCAATGTAAGAATGGACCGACACAGATGATATACAGTGTTTGCACCTCATTGACTTTCTATCGTTCAAAACTTCTACATTCTCTCTTTTCAGGATGAGGGAAATGTTTAATAACTGGGTTGTGGTGATAGCTATATACCTCTGTAAATTTACTGAAGATCAACTTAAAAACAAATACATTTTATGGTATGTAAACTATACCTTAATAATGCTATCTTCATAAGACCATTAAATTGGAAAACATATATAATTAATAATAATAAGGTTAATCAGGTACACTTGTAACCTTTCAAGTTTAGTATCACCACTGGCTGTGATGTTTAGTGTTTTTAGCCTGAAGTAGGGCTTAGCTGATACAAATACTTTAGTGCCATCCACCCAGGGTTTGAATTTGTAATGACATGAATGGGACTACTGTTACAATTTTCACAAAAGAGAAAAGAAAAGACAAATATTCTAAACAGAATAGTAAAAGGAACGTGAAAAATTAAGAAATTGAAGAAACAAAATAAGTCCAAATACCATCTCTTTCCTACTTTTCCCTGAGTTATCCCACTCCATCAGAATTCATTTTCTCCCTCTGAGCTTCCACAGAATTGTATGTCTCTATAATGAAATTGAATAACTCATTCCAGTCATCTGCATCTATTACACAGAATAGGGGCCTACCCTGTACAGCAAAGACAATTTGTACTTATTTTTACATTATTCATGGTGCCTAAAAAATGCGTAAGTAGGAGTTTAATAAACATCTAAATTATATTGAACCATTGTCTCAATAAAAGTTTGTACATAAAAATGTTTTTCTTCTAAATTCCAAAACACATCTGGGTTCCAATAGTTTTAATTAAGGCACAATAGATCATTATTATCACATCATTTTATAAAAGCAGAAACCAAAAGCTGGAAGTTTTAAGTTACTTGTTTAAAATGACACAGCAGTGACTGAGTGTGGTGGCTCGTGCCTATAATCCCAGCACTTTGGGAGGTAAAGGTGGGGGACTGCCTGAGCTCAGGAGTTCGAGACCAGCCTGGGCAACATGGCAAAACCTGTATCTACAAAAATACAAAAATTAGCTGGGTGAGGTGGTGTGCACCTATAGTCCCAGCTACTCAGGAGGCTGAGGTGAGAGGATTACTTGAGTCCAGGAGGCAGAGGTTGCAGTAAGCCACGATTGCACCACTGCACTCCAGCCTCAGTGACAGTGAGACCCTGCTCCAAAAGAAAAGAAAAAATAATAAAATGATGTGGCTATCCAACAGTGGAGCTGGTATTTCAATCTATGTCTAGCTCACTTAGAACCCAAATCTTTTATCTGCTTCTCTTGAAGATATTTGCAACTGTGAGTACAATATTAACAAATAAGTCATCATGATTTAAAAAAATTCTCTGTAATAAATTAGTGTTACACAAGTAAAATTTTCTAATAGAGTTGGAAAAATTTTTAAGTTTGGGGGGTCAGAACATTATTCGATTTACTTTCTTCCCTTCAGAACCTACCTGTTCTAAAGGAATACTCAAAAGTATTGAATTTTTATTATTTTTCTTTAACTACTCTCTTTAAACAGTAAGAATTGTGTTATTAATATGTGAGCTAAACAAAACAGTCAGAAATAGATAAGATAGTAAAGAAAACACACACAAAAGAAAATAAAAATGTTTATCATCAATTCTGTTTTTCTCTTTTTATAAAGCACTTTAACAAATTATCTCCTAAAGTCTATCTTAGCAAGATGAGTTGCGTCCCTTGCCACGATGAGAGGCCACAAGATGAACCATCAGATTTAAAAGGCAATAAATATACTGCAGTCCAGTTTCCTGGGAAAGATAAAATGTTTTGAATTTGACTTCCTCTCTATCCCTAAAATTACTTCGGAAAGAAAATACTGATGAAGTCCTCATTGATCTTTTTCCTTTGTATGTTTTGTTAGTTGTTTTTTTTCTCAGAAAGAAAAAAAAACTGGCTGTGAAAAGTTGTTGTTCATTAATGAAACTCAAAAAGTTGTCAAATCCCTTTGAAGTTTAAGACAGCATCTGTTCCAGTGTCCAAAGAGAGTAGAAAATTAACATCTCCATCACATGGGTTCGAATGTCAAGTTACTGCCACCCAGAAGTTGCAGGTGCGAGGATATAGTTTTGTTTTATAAAGCATATTTGTGTGTGTGTGTCTGTGTGTCTGTGTGTGTGCGTGTGTACAAAATAAGGACCAGGTCTCAAAAAAATTGATGTTTTTAAGTAACTTGCAAACATATTAATATTTATTAAGCTAAAATTGTCTTCAGGTGGATTTTTCTCAGTTATCTGTCAAAAACTATTTAGAGTTCAGTCAATAATGATCTGGGTCCTATCACAGAAAATGAAAACTTTCTAGTGGACAACTTCACTTTACCAGTTCAGCTAATTGAAAGAAATATATTTAATAGTGGGAAGTCAGATTTAAGCAGCATATAGAAGATGCCTATATCTCTTCTCTTTCTCAGTCAAGGTTTTTAAAAGTTCCATTCGAGTATTATAAAAATAATGATAAATATCATATTTTAATTTTTCTTTTTTTGAGACAGAGTCTCACTCTGTCGCCCAGGCCCAGGATGGAGTGCAATGGCACTATCTCAGCTCGCTGCAACCTCCACCTCCCGGGTTCAAGTGATTCTTGTGCCTCAGCCTCCAGAGTAGCTGGGATTACAGGCATGTGCCACCACACCTGGCTAATTTTATATAGAGATGGGGTTTTTAATAGAGATGGGGTTTTAATAGAGATGGGGTTTCTCCATGTTGGCCAGGCTGGTCTTGAACTCCTGGCTTCAAGATATCTATCTGTCTTGGCCTCCCAAAGTGCAGGGATTACAGGACTGAGCCACTGCACCTGGTCTCATATTTTAATTTTAACTTTATATATATATATTATATATATATGCATTAATTTGTCAGTATTTTTATATAGAGCTTTTTTTTCAGTTTTTTAAGGTATAAAGTTAGGTCATTTATTTGAGATCTTTCTTCTTTTGTAATGTAGACATTTATTACTATGAACTTCTCTAGTAGTACTCCTTTTCCTATATCCCGTAAGTTTTCGTAAGTTGTAGTTTCTTTTCATGGGTCTCAAGATATTTTCTAATTCTCTTTTTGATTTCTTATTTGACCCAATGATTATTGAAGACTGTGTTGCTTAATTTATACATATTTGTAAATTTTCCAGGTTTTTTTTTTTTTTTTTTGAGATGGAGTCTCACTCTGTCACCCAGGCTGGAGTACAGTGGTGGGATCTCCACTCACTGCAAGCTCCACCTCTTGGATTCACGCCATTCTCCTGCCTCAGCCTCCCAAGTAGCTAGGACTACAGGTGCCCGCCACCACGCCAGGCTAATTTTTTGTATTTTTAGTGGAGACGGGGTTTCACCGTGTTAGCCAGGATGGTCTCTATCTCCTGACCTCATGATCCACCCACCTTGGCCTCTCAAAGTGCTGGGATTACAGGCGTGAGCCACCGCATCCAGCCCAGTTTTCTTTCTTCTATTAATTTCCAGTTTCATTCCATTGTATTCATAAAAGATATTTGATATGACTTTAGTCTTTTCAAACGTATAAAGACTTGTTTTATGACCTAACATGTAGTATATCTTGGCGAAAGATCTGTGGGCACATGAGAAGAATGTGTATTCTGCTGCTGTTGGGTGTAATGTTCTGTACTTGTCATTTAGGTCCATTTAATCTATAATGTTATTTAAGACTTCTATTTCTTTATTAAAAGCCCAGGGCTGGACAGCTCCAGTGTTGAATTATTCCAAATATTTGAAGATAAATTAATGCCAATTCTTCTCAAACTCTTCTAATAAATTGAGGAGAAGGCAACACCTTCAAGCTCATTTTGTGAGGCATTACTCTGATACCAAACTTAAAGGAATCACAAGAAAAAAAAGGAACAACAACTATAGACAAATATCCCTGATGAATACAGATGCTAAAATAGCCAACAAAACATAGCAAACCAGCCAGGCATGTAATCCTCGCACTTTGGGAGGCCGAGGTGGGTGGAACACCTGAAGTCAGGAGTTCGAGGCCAGTCTGGCCAACATGGTGAAACCTCGTCTCTACTAAAAATATAAAAATTAGCCGGGCGTGCTGGCGTGCACCTGTAATCCCAGCTACTCGGGAGGCTGAGGCAGGAGAATCACTTGAACCTGGGAGGCAGAGGCTTCAGTGAGCCAAAATCATGCCACTGCACTCTAGCCTGGGTGACAGAGCAAGACTCTGTCTCAAAAAAACAAAAACAGAAACAAAAAAAAATAGCAAACCAAATCCCAAAATAAATTTAAAATATTATATACCATGATAAAGTAGGATTTATCCCTGGGATTCAAGGATAGCCCAACATACAAATATCAATTAATGTGATATACCACATTAACAGAATACAGAAAATAAACCACATGAGATAAATCATATCATCTCAATAGATTCAGAATAAATGTTTGACAAAATTCAACACCCTATCACAATAAAAAGTCTCGACAAAGTCGAACCAGAAGGAAATTACTTCAACTTAATAAAGGACATTGATGAAAAGCCCAAGCTATCACCATACTTACAGGTGAAAAACTGAAAGCTTTTCTTCTAAGATCATAAAAGATCAGGAACAAGCCGGGATGACTGCTCTTACCACTCCTATTTAAAATAGCACTACAAGTCTTAGCCAGAGCAATCAGGCAACAAACAAACAAATGGGAGCTAAATGATGAGAATTTATGGACACAAAGCGGGGAACAACAGACACTGGGGCCCACCTGAGGGTAGAGGGTGAGAGGAGGGAGGAAATCAGAAAAAAATAATGTAACTATGGGGTACCAGGCTTAGTATCTGGGTGACCAAATAATCTGTACAACAAACCCCTGTGACATGAGTTTACCCATATAACAAACCTGCACATGCACCCCTGAACCTAAAATCCTATATAACAAACCTGCACATGCACCCCTGAACCTAAAATCCTGTATAACAAACCTGCACATGCACCCCTGAACCTAAAATCCTATATAACAAACCTGCACATGCACCCCTGAACCTAAAATCCTATATAACAAACCTGCACATGCACCCCTGAACCTAAAATCCTGTATAACAAACCTGCACATGCACCCCTGAACCTAAAATCCTATATAACAAACCTGCACATGCACCCCTGAATCTAAAATCCTATATAACAAACCTGCACATGCACCCCTGAATCTAAAATCCTATATAACAAACCTGCACATGCACCCCTGAACCTAAAATCCTATATAACAAACCTGCACATGTACCCCTGAATCTAAAAGTTAAAAAAAAATACAAATCAGAAAGGAAGAAGTAAAATTGTTCCTGTTTGCAGATTATATGGTCTTATATATATAAACTAAAAACTCCATTAAAAAAACTGTTTAATAAATAAATTTAATATAATTGCAGGATATAAAATCAACAGCAAAAAATCAGTTGTCCTATATACTACCAATGCATTACGTGAAAAGGAAATTGCGGGGGCTGGGTGCGGTGGCTCACGCCTGTAATCACAGCACTTTGGGAGGCCGAGGTAGGTGGATCACGAGGTCAGGAGTTCAAGATCAGCCCCCCGCCCGGCCAGCCACCCCGTCCGGGAGGTGAGGGGCACCTCTGCCCGGCCGCCCCTACTGGGAAGTGAGGAGCCCCTCTACCCGGCCAGCCGCCCCATCCGGGAGGGAGGTGGGGGGTCAGCCCCCCGCCCGGCCAGCCGCCCCGTCCGGGAGGTGAGGGGCACCTCTGCCCGGCCGCCACTACCGGGAAGTGAGGAGCCCCTCTGCCAGGCCGCCACCCCATCTGGGAGGTGTACCCAACAGCTCATTGAGAACGGGCCATGATGACAATGGCGGTTTTGTGGAATAGAAAGGGGGGAAAGGTGGGGAAAAGATTGAGAAATCGGATGGTTGCCGTGTCTGTGTAGAAAGAAGTAGACATGGGAGACTTTTCATTTTGTTCTGTACTAAGAAAAATTCTTCTGCCTTGGGATCCTGTTGATCTGTGACCTTACCCCCAACCCTGTGCTCTCTGAAACATGTGCTGTGTCCACTCAGGGTTAAATGGATTAAGGGCGGTGCAAGATGTGCTTTGTTAAACAGATGCTTGAAGGCAGCAGGCTCGTTAAGAGTCATCACCACTCCCTAATCTCAAGTACCCAGGGACACAAACACTGCGGAAGGCCGCAGGGTCCTCTGCCTAGGAAAACCAGAGACCTTTGTTCACTTGTTTATCTGCTGACCTTCCCTCCACTATTGTCCTATGACCCTGCGAAATCCCCCCTCTGCGAGAAACACCCAAGAATGAGCAATAAAAAATAAATAAATAAATAAATAAAAAAGAAAAATACCAAAAAAAAAAAAAAATTTAAATGTAAGACCCAAAACTATAAAACTGGAAGGAAATTAAGAGAAAAAGCTTAGTTTTGAGGATGACATCATGGATATAGCACCAAAAGCACAGGTA
The DNA here is from genome assembly GCF_000001405.40 of Homo sapiens. Lineage (NCBI taxonomy): Eukaryota > Metazoa > Chordata > Mammalia > Primates > Hominidae > Homo > Homo sapiens. The sequence continues at coordinate 121,656,367 of NC_000008.11, read as the reverse complement.
AAAAAAAAAAAAAATAAATAAACATAGAATTACATCAAACTAAAAAGTTGCTTCATAGCAAAGGAAACTAACACAGTAAAAAGGCAACTTGTGGAACAGGAAAAAATATTTCTAAACCATATATCTGATAACGAGTTAATCTCCAAAATATAGAGAGAACTTCTACAACTCATTAGTAAAAAAACTAAAATGCCAATTAAAATATTAGCTAAGGACTTGAAGAGACATTTTTCCAAAGACATACAGGCTAACAACGATATGAAAAAAATGTTCAACATCACCATTCTCCAGGGAAATGCAAATCAAAACTATACAATAGCATCTCGTACCTGTCAGGATGGCTATTAACAAAAAACAAAAAACAAATATTGCAAAGATGTGGAGAAACTGGAATCCTTGCACACTGTTGTTGGGAATGAAAAATGTTGCAGCCACTATGAAAAGTAATATGGAGATTTTGCCAAAAAATTAAAACTATAATGTATTTCAGCAATCTTACGATTAGGTATTTATCCAAAAGAATTAAAATCAGAATTTTGGCCAGGCACAGTGGATCATGCCCATAATCCCAGCACTTTGGGAACCCAAGGTGGGAGGATCACTTGAGCCCAGGAGTTTGAAACCAGCCTAGGCAATGCAGTGAGACCCCATCTCTATAAATTGTTTGTTGTTGTTGTTGTTGTTGTTGTTGTTGTTTATTAGACAGGTGTGGTGATGCATGTCTGTAGTCTCAAGTACTCAGGGAGCCAAGGTGGGAGGATCCTTTGAGCCCAGGAGTTTGAAGCTGCACTGAACTATGTTTGTGCCACTGCTCCAGCCTGGGCAACAGCCTGTGCAAATGTAGAAATGGAAATCAGAAAGAACAAGCAGAAAACAAAAATTTAAATGGCAGGCTAAAGCCCTAATATAATAATAACATTAAATGTAAATGGTCTAAATATATTGATTAAAAGACACAGATAAGCACATTGGAATAAAAAACATGACACAAGTATATGTAGTCTATAAGAAACTCATTTCAAATATAATGATACAGGCATGTTGAAAATAAAAAGATGGAAAAAGATATACCATGCAAACATTGAAAGAAAACAGGAGTGACTGTATTAATATTACCTAAAATAGATTTCAGAGCAATGAAAATTACCATACACCAAGAAGTACATTATATAATAATAAAAAGGTCAATGTACCAAGAAAACAATAATTCTAAATATGTATGCATCAAACAACAGAACTGTAAAATCTGTGAAGGCAAAACTGGCAGAATTGAAAGGAGAAATAGACAAAGTCACAATTATAGTTAGAACTTCAACAATCTCTCTCAACAATTGAGAAAAGAACTAGAGAAAAAAATCAGCAAAATAATAGAACTCAAAAACATCAAAATAATAGAACTCAAAAACATCATTAACCAATAGGCTCTAATCAACATTTATAGAACACTCCATCCAGCAGGAGCAGAATATATTCAAGTACCCACAGAACATACACCTAGAGCCGGGGGCGGTGGCTCGCGCCTTTAATCCCAGCACTTTGGGAGGCTGAGGCAGGTGGATCACCTGAGGTCAGGAGTTCGAGACCAGCCTGGCCAACATGGTGATACCCCGTCACTACTAAAAATACAAAAATTAGTTGGCCATGGTGGTGCATGCCTGTAATCCCAGCTACTCGAGAGGCTGAGGCAGGAGAATCGCTTGAACCTGGGAGGCGGAGGTTGCAGTGAGCCAAGGCCGAGTCACTGCACTCCAGCCTGGGCAACACAGTGAGACTTCATCTCAAAAAAACAAACAAACAACAACAACAAAAAAACCCATACACCTAGAAAGACATATCGTGGTTCATAAAACAAACCTCAAAAAATTTAAAGGAATTGAAATTATAAAGAATCTGTTTTCTGACCACAATGAAATCAAACTAGAAATTGATAACAGAAAGAGCAGAAAGGCACCAAACATATGGAAACTAAACAATTACATTTTAAAATAATCCATGGGTCAAAGAGAAAGTATTAAAGTACACTTAAAAACACACTGAACTGAATGAAAACAAACAAAAAAAAAATCCCAGCATATCAAGATATGTGGGATATAGCTAAAACAGTGCTGAGAGGGAAATTTTTGGGCTACATACTTATATCAGAAAAGGGGAAATGTCTAAAAAGCTATGAGAATTTTAAAAAATACCTAGCTATTAATTTAGGTTTTCTTATATAGTCTTATAATCCTAGTTGCTATTTCATTCTACTACTACTAGTTTGCAACTGTATTTGACTATGAGACCAAAAAAAGATATTGCTAATTGGCAAAGTGAATAACAAATCAATAAGTATAAAAAACACATAAGCCTCTACTATGTAGTAGCAGTGGTAGAATAAGGTAACACTGATATTAAATTACTATCCTGGATTTCCTTTGGTGTATATTACCTGTCATTTCCAAATTTCTACTAGTTTTTTCTTAATTCATTATATTTTGTTTGCTTAAAAAAAAATCTGTTTGGTGAAAAAAAAAAATAGACTCATGAATGTATTGTATTTGTGTTAGCCAGAATAAAATTCTGTCTCTTGTTTCCAAGTAAGCTTGACACATTTATATTCATTGTAACTGCCATTATAATTGGATTTACTTTTACCTTCTGGTTTCATATATTCTATTTATCATACAATTATATTTGTGGAAACAAAAATGACATTTTAGATTTGTGCACTTCACATACCTCATACTGATGGCTCATATGATACTAATTTATGACCAGAAGACCTGTTTATAAATACTGAGGACCTAAACAAAAGAATGATACATGAGCTAGAGAGGGGAGATTGGATTTGAAAAATATTTAAAGGTAAAATTAAAATGATTTGATTGTTAATCGAATGAGGGAAGTAGCAGACGAGAAGCTAATCTCTAGCTGGGAAAACTTAGTAAATGTTGGCACTATACAATAAATGAAGTAAAGTTATACCAAAAATCCCATTCCTCTCTCTACAAGTACTGTCCCTTCAGGGCCCTCTCTGTGGGAATTTGGAATTACAATGAGCTATGATCACACCACTGCACTCCAACCTGGGCAACAGAGCGAGACCCTGTCTCTAAACAAAAAAAAATATATATATATATATACGTATGTATGTGTGTGTGTGTGTGTGTGTGTGTGTGTGTGTGTGTGTGTATTTTGTGTTATTTTTAATTTTTTTGAGATAGAGTCTCACTCTGTTGCCCAGGCTGGAGTGCAGTGGCGTGATCTCAGCTCACTGCAACCTCCACCTCCTGGGTTCAAGCAATTCTTCTGCCTCAGCCTCCTGAGTAGCTGGGACTACAAGTGTGTGCCACCATGCCCTGCTAATTTTTGTATTTTTAGTAGAGACAGGGTATCACCATGTTGGCCAGGCTGGTCTTGAATTCCTGACCTCAGGTGATCCATCTGCCTCAGCCTACCAAAGTGCTGGGATTACAGGCATGAGCCACCACGTGTGGCATGTATATATGTTTTAATATATGTGCATGTGTACATATATATGTGTGTAGGTGTACATATATGTGTATATGTGTATATATATATACACGTAGACACAAACATACATGCACATATGTTGCAAACTTGACATATATATACACATCAACCCAATAGCAAACTTGACATATATATGATTGTATATATGTATATATGACATATATATACACACACACAATTGCAAAATGATATATATATGTACACACACATAACTATAAAAGATGATGACTATGATGTGAAAGTTAGTCATGGAGTACTGTCAGAGCTAAGAGACAGAGAGATGAGTTAGAATACTGAAGTGGACAGAGATGGAAAAAGAGTAGTTTAGACAGAAAGAGTAGTTTGGGACTGAGAGGTATTGTAATGAAAATGTGCACTAACTTGTTTAATATCATGTACTGTAAACAAAAAAGTTTGCAATTAGGTTGGGAAGTTTAAGGTCAGATCAGACTAAAGAGTTTGGAGGACAGGAGTCCACAAAGAATGGTGCAAGGGGGCCTGATTGCTGGAGTTGTGGATGAGCTTCAATGTGCAAGCTAGGATTTTCAAGGCATGTGTGCAAAGTCCATCATGTTATGGGATGTGGCCGTAAGTGGAGAAAAAAGAGGCATGGGCTGACGGCCAGAGGCAGGAGACTGGTACCTGGGTGCTGGTGGCTGCTAGTATGTTCTCCTTGCACTGTGGTTCTGGCATAGTATGCTGAAGCATTTGAGAATTCTAAATTTCAAATTGGCCATGCAAAGTTTTTTGTCAAAGTAGGAAGAACTAATTTTGGCAAATATTTTGCCAACTTGTTTTCTAACTATTAGGCATTTAGGCATATGGCATATGAGCCACTGTTAGTATTCTTGTGCGGAGCCCTGCAAATGCTAATGACAAGACTTGTGCCTGGACTACAGTAAATGCTTAATAAACTTTTGGTGAATGAATATGCAGCAACAGTGAACATGATGGCTCAAAATAAGGAGAGATGGCCAAAAGTAGATCAAATTGGCCGGAATTTCCAAGAGGTGAAGTCTTCTGCTAGGGTTCTAATGTGATAGCAGTATAAATTCAGTTATTTGGAGGAGAGTTAATAAGTCATGTCTCAATTATTATATTTAGAATTTTTTTTATTTTATTTAGAAATTTGAATTGAATGAAAACATCAATAAAAACAAAGGTATCCTTTCTCTTTGCTCTAAAACAAAGGTGTAAAGACTCAGTTTTAGCTAACTATTTATTCTCAGACACTCCTAGAAACTTGTCAAAAGCCCTGGCACAAAAATTCAATTTGGCCTGAATCTCTGACCTACTACTGTGTGTGACCTGGATGGGTCGCTTGACCTCCTCGCACCTCAGATCATTCATTTGGAGGCATGCGATGAAGCAAGGGTATGCATGGAGTTTCACCGTGTTAGCCAGGATGGTCTCGATCTCCTGACCTCGTGATCCACCCACCTTGGCCTCCCAAAGTGCTGGGATTACAGGGGTGAGCCACCGCACCCAGCCAAAAACAACTATTTCGAAGAAATATTTTAAACTTGTCTTTTAAGCCTTTTGAACGTGGAGCTTCCTATTATTTAAGTAGACATGGTGAATAACGCGTATAGTAAATTCCTTCTAAACTACATACTTACAGCTGATACTTAATTAGTACTTTAAAGGGATTTTCTTTAGGAATTAAAAATCACATTTGTAGCTCGTAAGCCTTCAAGAAGTCTTGACCAGCTTTTTACAGTTTTGAATTCTGAGCATAATATAGAAGTATACAATAGCAGGAAGTCTACCAGAATAGAAGAAATTGAAAATCTTCATTGTAACCAAGGAGCAAGTTCTTAGGGATGAGTACACATGTCATCTTTCAACCTAACAGTGTTTTCAACAACACCCATAATTATGCAAACATTTGTATCTTGCTTATCAGAGCTTTCAAAGGATAATTTTATTTACTCCCCACAATGAACTTCTCTTACTACCATGTCTATTTCATAAAGAGAGAATATAAATACAGAGAAACTGAGGCTTAGAGAGATTGAGCAACTTTCCCAAGACCATGCAGATAGAAGTGTGAGGGTGCCCCAAATCGGTAGTTCAAGTCTAAAACCCTCAATTTTATACTTGATATTGTCTCACCTGTAACAGAAATCACTGGATTAATGTGCCAGCAGATAACCTATTGATTACATAAGCCTCAGGGTGTTCAAGACAAACATACTGTCATTAAAGAGAAAAAAAATTGGAATTTACAATCTTATTCTGCAAAAATAGGCATTGTTACTGTTTTGTTATCCAATTAGAGTTAAGGACACAAATATAACTTTAAAGAGGTATGTGTAAAAAGCTTAGGAAACTTGTGTTTTCATCTACAACACCCTCCAAAGTAGAAGTTCCCAAACTTCCGAGTTTGTATAAGAATGACCTGGGGAAGTTTTTTCAAAGTAGATATATTCCCAGAACCACTACTGTAAATTCTGATGAGTTAGGTCTGGGGTTTGGACACAAAATTTATATTTTTAACAGCAGCCAAATCATTGCAATGGAGGCCGCTCTCGGACCACTTTGAGAAGTACAGCTTTACATTCCTTTTCACCTCTGATTCTTGAAGCCACCTGGCTTTTCAAAACAAACAATTTGCTTAATTAGAAGCCTGATAAATTTGGTGTGAACAAACAACAGGTGCTGTTTGCAAGAGATGAGTCAGGAACAAAATCAAACTAGGTCCTGGTTCTCTGCCTACACATAATATATAGTTGGAATCATTGAACACTAAGTTCTCAATCCGGCACTGATCTGGATTGAACTTGGAAACCTTAAAATACTAGAAAGAAAATGCTATGAGAGAGAACACACCTATAATTCACAAAAATATAATGTATTTGGTAAGCTTCTCAATTGCTTGCTTTCATCCTCAAGTTACCCTGCTATGGCTTCCATGGTAGGCAGGATGTGACTAATACCTGGAGTTGCACTTCTTAATGGCATTATTAGGACTGCTAGTGACAGTACCAGCCCTGGAATTGGAATAATTGCATTATTAGGACTGATAGCGACAGTACCAGCCCTGGATTTGCAACTGGAATGATAATTCTACTAATTGGGTCTTGGAGCTAACACCTCTCTTGGATAAAGGTAGGAAGTCTCACTTTACTGAATTGGTTTAGGTCCCCTCCACCCCGACAAGGATTTCAGCCACCTGTGTGTGTGAACAACAGGCTTCGTAATTTGAAAACTTGGAATAGAGTTTGGATTTTCTTATTCTCCTAAAAAATATAAAATCAGGTGTCAATACCTGGGAAAAGGGAAATGTAATGGATTCTTGAAAAATCTTTTATTCCCAGTTTCTTAGCTTTCTCCCAAATGACTAAGATTTCTTTAGTTTGATATTCTCTCTCTCAAATTGATGCATCAAAAGAAAATTAGTGTAAATCATTAGAAAAAAATTAAAGTTGGCTTAACTTTTTTCTCCCTTTGTCTTCTTTTTAAATTTGTAAGTACTCTGAAGCTTGGGAACTTCTCCTTTAGGGATGTTGTAGATGAAAATACAAGTTTCCTAAGCTTTTTACTTTCTAATTAACTAGGAAGATTTTGGATTTCTTAGTCTTTCCAAAGACCGCACAATATTTCTATTGGACAAGAGGCTTTTTAATCTGTCCATGAACATGCCTGAGGGATGGCAGTTTGTAATGTCCCCAGAATTGTGAGAAAATTTTCAAATGCATATTTATTAATTTGGGAACAGAGTCACTTTTTATCCCAAATTATCAAAGAAGATTCTTTTATCTAGAAAAGCTGAACAACTACACGCTCTAATAAGAAACAAGTCAGTCTCCAGAAATTAAGCACATCTTTTTGGGGTTTAAAAAAGCTGGAGGCCAGGCGCAGTGGCTCACGCCTGTAATCCCAGCACTTTGGGAGGCCGAGGCAGGCGGATCACCTGAGGTCAAGAGTTCTAGACCAGCCTGGCCAAAATGGTGAAACCCCATCTCTACAAAAGTACCAAAAAAAAAAAAAATTAGCTGGGCATGATGGCAGGTGCCTGTAATCCCAGCTACTCAAGAGGCTAAGGCAGGAGAATCGCTTGAACCTGGGAGGCGGAGGTTGCGGTGACTTGAGATCGCGCCATTGCACTCCAGCCTGGCAACAAAAGCGAAACTCCATCTCAAAAAAAAATAAATAAACAAATAAATAAAAAGCTGGAAAGCTTGTTAAGCTTTTCAGGAATAAGATAAAATGCCATATGATTTCCAAGGAAGATTATTTCTATAATGTAGATCTTAATCTGTTTCCCCCATTGAGATTATTAGCAATTGCTATGGACACACACACATATTTTAAAATCTTATCTTTAGGGATTACAATTAAGGCCATTAAAATGTTAAAGGACGATTAGATTACAAACCTTCCCCTTGAGTAGCACTTTCTGCTATTGTTGTTTTGTCCTGTAAAGCACAAACTTTTCTTGACAGAAGTTGCTAACTTTTAAATTAAGGATAGTTTTGTCCTTTTCTATAATCTGGGTCCAGAAAAATACAACTGATAAACATGTTATTTAGGCTATGTAAGATAACTTTCTGCCCTTAGATCTGAAACACACATGAATCTGGAGATAATTCTTAAGATTTAAATTGTTCAATAATATGAAACTTTGCTCCTACATAATTATTCAGCGATATAATGTAAAGTTCAAAAATACAGGACTTTCTTTTTCAGTAAGTGATCCAGATGGCTATGTTTGATGATTTTGTTGTCAATCAGATCACAATTATTGACCTTAAATACTTTTGAATACCTACCTACCATTTAGGGTACAGCTTTAGTCATATAATATTTTAAAGCTAATTTCCTCATCTGTGGAAAGGACTATCGAGAGATGATTATAAAGAGTTTTCCATGACTTTTGGATTTTTGTTCCTTTCATTTCCACTTTGAAAATCCTTAAAAAATAACTCAAGCCAGGCGCAGTGGCTCACGCCTGTAATCCCAGCACTTTGGGAGGCCAAGGTGGGTAGATCACCTGAGGTCGGGAGTTCAAGACCAGCCTGACCAACATGGAGAAACCCTGTCTCTATTAAAAAATACAAAATTAGCCAGGTGTAGTGGCACATGCCTGTAATCCCAGCTACTCGGGAGGCTGAGGCAGGAGAATTGCTTGCACCCAGGAGGCAGAGGTTGCAGTGAGCCGAGATGGAGCCATTGCACTCCAGCCTGGGCAAAAAGAGTGAAACTCCATCTCAAAAAACAAACAAACAAAAAACTCAAATAATATTCAGGGTCTAATTTGAAAGGATCAAAGATTGACAAATTACTACTCTGATATAGTGAAATCTTCAAAAACTACAATGATAAATAAAATGATCTTCCTCTATCTATATCAATGAATCAATGAGTATTTTAATCTCTTCCAATCTGTTCATTCCAATTTCTTGAGTGTCTGATAAATGCTTAGATCTCCGTCTCTTCACATTTTAAAATCTAGTGACCATCATTAATACAGCCATACCATCTTCAAAATTTTCTCCGCATTAATTCTAGAGCCATGGGAGTTCAGCCTTGGAATTAACACTAAAAGGCAAGTAGTCCAATTTCTATGAGATGCTGGAAATCCCTTTGCCTCACGCAAACTGGAAATAGAAAACTAAATTTCAGGTTAATTCTTTCCCATCTTTACACAGTCAGACTCCATCATTTGCAGAGCTGAAATATGTTTGTTTTAATCCCCAGTGGTATACAGACAGTCTTGGGATCATAGGGCATATGCTAAATCTCACATGTGTATCCAAGGCATATAAGTTTCCCAGTGTCTCTTGCGTCCTCTGAATCTTCTGTGTCATACTAAACATTACTAGTTCCTATAGCCATGCATCGTGAAACAGAGTTGCTATCAATATTCCTGTTCTTATTGCTAGGTATCTTCTCAATGTGCAAAAGTTTGTCTATATTCTCAAAGTAAAACAATCAGATTTGTACACTACTGCATTTGGTATGCTTAATACAAACCAGTATTTTCTAATGTGGTTTGTAGATATTTGGGGGACCCTGAAGCCCTTTCAGGGCATCAAAATGATTTTAATATTAATTCTAAGGCATTTTAATCTTTCACTTTGTTGACATTTATATTGATGATGCAGAGACAATGATGGGCAAAACTGATAGTGCCTTAGCTGGAAAATCGTCAGTGGTAGCAAACTGTACTAGCAGTCATTCTCACATGCTTTACCCCCAAGCCCTCACTAGGAAATAAATGGCAAGTTTCATTTAAGAAGATCCTTGATAGAGCAGTAAATAGTTGTTTTTTGTTTTTTCTTTTTGAGATGGATTTCCGTTCTTGTTGCCCAGGCTGGAGTGCAATGGCGCGATCTTGGCTCATCACAACCTCCGCCTCCCGGGTTCAAGTGATGCTCCTGCCTCAGCCTCCCGAGTAGCTGGGATTACAGGCATGCACCACCATGCCCAGCTAATTTTGTATTTTTAGTAGATACGGGGTTTCTCCATGTTGGGCAGGCTGGTCTCGAACTCCCAATCTCAGGTGATCCACCCACCTCAGCCTCCCAAAATGCTGGGAATACAGGTGTGAGCCACCACGTACAGCCAATAGTTTTAATTTTATTAAATTTTAATCCTTGAGTATTTGGCTTTTTAACATTCTGTGTGAAGAAACAGAAAGGACACAGTAAAGAAGACATCTTTAGTCTGCTGCACACCCAGCTACCCTGGTTATCTGGAGGAAAAGCTTTCATGTGATTGAGTTGCAAGCCTTAACTAACTGGCCACTTTTATTATGGAACATAATTTTTACTTGAAAGAATAATTAATAGACAAACTACTATTATTCAAATGTGGGCATTTGGAAGCCTTTTTTTTTTTAATTGAATGAAGTGAACCTGTCACTACAATGCAAGCAACTGACAGTATTTATTGCTAATGATAATATGTGAGCTTTCAAGAGAAAACTAGAATTTTGGGGAACTTGTATTTGCCATGATGGGCATGACAGATTCTTAATATTTGAAGACACTGGATGAGATTGTGGTAATATTAATGATTGTGATCTTTTGGGTTATCAAAAATGAAATGTGTCAACATTTAGAAAATCTGCATAACTCATTGGACCTGGCCAGGCTCGGTGGCTCACGCTTGTAATTCCAGCACTTTTGGAGTCCAAGGCGGGCGGATCATGAGGTCAGGAGATCGAGACCATCTTGGCTAACAAGGTGAAACCCCGTTTCTACTAAAAATACAAAAAAAATTAGCCGGGTGTGGTGGCGGGTGCCTGTAGTCCCAGCTACTCGGGAGGCTGAGGCAGGAGAATGGCGTGAACCCAGGAGGCGGAGCTTGCAGTGAGCCGAGATCACACCACTACACTCCAGCTCTGGGTGATAGAGTGAGACTCCATCTCAAAAAAAAAAAAAATAATAATAATAATAAAATAAAAATTAAAAAAAATAATAACTCATTGGACCTGTATTTTTTAGATAATCAATACACAATATTACAAATTCATAAACGGTTATAAAAGATGCATTTAAAGTATAAAACAGAACAACAGATTTGAATGTGTTATCAGAGTACATAAACAGATTTTAATGTATTATCAGAGTACACAAAATTCACTCATACTGAGGAGACACTGACAGGCCTTGCTGGGCTTCCTCACTCAGTCAGCTAGCATTAGATTATGCCCTTTTTGTCCTATCCTATCTCTACACGGCTGCCCATTCTTTGTTAAACTTAAGCATAAAAACAGACAATTTCTTCTGTATCTTTGGGTCTTCATTCTAAAGGCCGCTGTGTATACACATTAAATAAATGTATATGCCTTTTATCCTATTAATCTACTTCATGTCAGTGATTTTCAGCAAATCTTCAGAGGGCCAAGCCCTGGGCCAATTCACAACATTGCAACTTATCAAGTTTTGATGTAGTATAAAGGAAGAATATCTAAAAAAGCCTGTGTAAATACTCTTCCATTTCCCAATTATATATGTGTATGACACCAGATTTTTTTTCATATACTTCAATCAAAACAACAATTGAATGCAAAAGCAAATAGGAGAATCCAGCTGTCTTCTATCAGCTAGACAGCAAAGAGATTTGCAAAAATGGAAAACTGCCACTTTTCTCACTTTAGGTTTTGAAAAATAGCTATTTTCGCAAAATGTTATTAAGTTGGTATGTAACTGCATTTATTATTACTTCAAATGACTTAAGTATTTTAACTTTTTAAGTCAGCTTTAATGTCTAATGTGGTAAATATTGATACATATAACATATAAACTTTTTTTGAGGTTCTCAATAATTAATAAGAGTATAAAGAGTTTCTTTACCAAAAGTTCTAGAACCACATATACAGAGGATTATGAAGGTACTAAATCCTTGTTCTGGATACTTTGTCTGTCAGACATATAAACATATGTTTTGTGCTGTGGGATGGAGGTCAGCAACAACATATTGCTAAGTCACATCTACTCAAGTAAAAACTACCATGTTTTCTCTGTTGCCTTGTACAGGTGAAAACATAACAGGTATGGGTTCCATAAGGTACATTTTAGGATGTCAAAACCTGAAAGGGATGGGTGAAAGGATGTCATCTTCTGATCCAAACAGCTCCTGTAAGATAGAAAGCTAAGGGTGAATTATCTAATGTTATTCAATTGGTTGTTGCCATAGCTTATTTGTGAAACTGGATCTTAATGTCTCTTAATTTGGTGCTTGTGAATCAGTACTCCATGACGGATAGTTGTAATTTTGGCCTGAGACTCAGAAAAGAAGTTGCATTAAATGTGAATGTCTGGGATATATTCATGGGCACTGACTAAGTCAATCTAAAAGAGTGAAGGGGCCAGGCAAAGTGGCTCACACCTATAATCCAAGCACTTTGGAAGGTAGAAGAAGAATTGCTTGAGCCCAGGAGTTTGAGACCAGTCTGGGCAACATAGTGAGACCCCATCTCTATAAAAAATAAAAATAAAAGAGTGAGGGGACAGTAGAAAGCTGAAGTAGGTCAAATAAGAGAACCTAGAATGAAACCATGGTTAATGCTCACCAAGAATAATTTAAGGAATAGAAGGCAAGGAAAGGAGTGCAGTACTAATGTTTTTCTGAATACCCACAATGTTGCAGGCACTGAGCTAAGCTCTTAATACAGTTTAACACATTATATCATCAAAACCACTTTGTAGCTATTTTCTCCATTTATCAACCAGAAAATGAAGATCCAGAGAGGTAAAATATGCTCCTGGGATCTCACAAACAGCAAACATCAAAGATAGGATTTGAATGTGAAGTCTCTCTCAAACTTGAAAGTTTGCTTTCAAATAACTTTCACCTCTGGCTTCACATTGTATTAGTCTCTTACCTCTTTCTTTGGGGTAGAGATGGGAGGATGACAGAAATGTGTAGCTGTATAATCAGTTTTTACATCCATTTGCAGTCAGAGAACATTTTACTTTTGTCTTATGGGTCATGAATTACAAGAGGCGAGAAACAACAAATGTGTTTTTCTATAATAAAGAAAACCAGTTTTAGTAAATGTGCTTCTTGCTTGAACTATTAGCACAGCACAGTTAAATGCTAGTAGGCAATAATAGGTATTCCCGCATTACGTGTCATATTCATGAAAGTTTAGAGCTGGAAGGTTAAGTGTCCCCCTGGGGCCTCACAGCTAGACACTTGGCACCCCACAATTTCCACTCTACCTCTAAATCAGTTTAATCCACGTTATATGTCAGAGTACAGAAGTTAGGTGATATATTTAAAATTATAGTTTAGCATTTGAAAACTACCAAAAAACTGAATCAGGAAGCTCGAGTCTGATTAAGTGGGATGAAATTGTGATCTGAAATTTAAGCCAGTCTCTCCAAGAGTTGAACCACCTAAGGCGGAGTTCAAACAAAGGCTGAAGCAGGAAGGTTTGCTGGGGGAAATCAGTGGGGTCCCCTGAGCAGCGTGAAGTCATCAGGCCAAGGTAATGCTTCCCAGAGGTGTAACCGCTGTGTGTGTGTGTGGCGTGGCGGGGGGGGGCGGGGGGAAGGGGGCGGAAACGCGCAGTACTTTGCAGGTCAGCCCCTGGGGACTGGGATGGCTGACTACCTGGTATTGCACTAAAATGCTTGACCCCTAATCACATCCCCCAACACTACACCTTGTGCGACGTGATGAAAGCATCATTTCCAGTTTATTCGACTTTTCTGTTTAGACTTATTCATTATAGCCCATATATGTGATAAGGACTAAGAACCCAGTCTTCAAGGTCCTGTCGAGTTCCAAAGAAGTCCACCCCTCAGAAGATCCTTGGAAGGGGAAGAAGGAAAAAAGAAAGAAAGAAAAATCTGTTTTACCCTATAACAATTTCAGCGCAATCTCCCAAGACCAAGTTGGTTAATTTGTAAAGTCACTCTCATTTTTTCCTCAACAGTGCCACCTACTGTCCATTTTCAGTCATCAGCAGGCTTGTTGGCAAGGTCCAAGAGAAAGAAAGGAGGCGGAGTGGTGGGGGGAGGAGTAACCAAAAAACGAACTCTACCCAGCCTTGGGGCATTGTGAAAACGACGAGGAAAGGCCATCTCCAAGCAAGACATATTTGTCCTCGTCAACTTTGCAGAAGGCTTGCAAAAAGCAAAAGCCAGTTAAGCCATTTCCTTCAAGATGGCTAAATATAAGTCCTCCAGAAAACAATTTTTATTATTTTATTTTTAATGCGCGCTGTTTGAGTATGTTTACGTTAGGGGACCAGATTGAGCAAAAATATACATATAATTACTTTTCTATGTTTTCCGCCCACCCACGGCAGAAACCTCTTTATGAGAAAGGCTTTGACACTTGACGTCAGCTCAGAAACTTTTGAGTTGGCGGGAAGAAAGGGTTAACAAGTGGTGGACCAGCGCGATCTTTTTAGAGTCCCAGCCGGCTGTCGAAGGCTCCAGGTACACACACACACGCACACACTTACACACACACACACACACGTGCACACACCCCTCCCAACTGTTCCTCCTTGGGTCGGTTACTTAGCTGAAGGGCACCATTTGGCTTTAAAACAAATTACTTCAGCGCCACAGGGAGTTTATCGCTTGGAGGGAACTTGTAACGCGGGAGTTCAGGGAAATCCAAGAGGCGAGGGCTCCCACCTCCGCCGCCAGAGGAAAGTAAGGAATCAGGTGGTGGCCCCCTATGTGTCTTGCATTTCTCTGCACACGTTAGCAATCAAGTTAATTGAATTCATTGGAGTTTAGAACCGGCCTGTAGCTCAGAGAAGGCTTTGAATGGCCAATTTCTCTCTCTCCCTCTCCCCCTCCCCGCCTCCCGCTCGCCCGCCCGCCCGCGCTCCCAGTTCCCTCCCCTCAGGGTTCCCCAGTCCACACCTCCCTCTCCACTTCCCTCACCCCCCCACTCCCTCCGCCGCCCTATTAAAACACCCACCAGCTCACTTGTTAAGACCCCCTTAAGTTGGAGGAGGCAGAAGGGCAACAACGGCGGGGAAGGAGAAGTCAAGACGTCTGGAAAGAATTACCCAGTCCTGGCTTCGAGCAGCCCATTGAACCAGAGACTTGAAACAGCCCCAGCCAAAGACTTTTCTCCCAATTCTGCGCTTCCTGGGTTCTGCTGAGTCTTCCACAGGCTTTTTTTTTTTTTTTTTTTTTTTTTAAGACGAAAAAGAGATTTTCTGTTATCGGGGGCAGAAAGACTGAAGCCCAAAAAAAAAAAAAAAAAAAAAAGAAAAGAAAAGAAAAAAGAAAAGTTAATTTATTTTTAAAGCATAATTTTTTTAAGAATTAGACTGAAGTGCAACGGAAACATAAAGAGAATATTAGTGAAATTATTTTTTAAAGTGGGGAAGAATCAAACATTTAAGACTCCCCTATCCTTTTTAAATGTTGTTTTTAAATTTCTTATTTTTTTTGGCCGGTCGTCTCAAATTCATCTGATCTCTTATTACCTCAATTTTGGAAACTGCCCGCCACCGACCCTCCGGGACCACACAGACAGGCTGAGGACGACTTTATGACCAAGAGCTGAACAAGGTACGTTACACTGGCGCGTTTTGGTGAAGGATGAAGGTCCTCCAACAGGCCAGGGAGAAGGAAGACATCCTTATAATTGTTTTAAAATTTTTAAGCCAGTTTCGATAGAAAAGTTGGAAGTTTAAAAATTTCCAACAGACTGAAGATCAGGGAATATTTCAGGTCACTGTCAGGCTTAGCAACATAGCCCTCTTTTCCCATTTCTGCGGCTCTCGCCAGAAATCCGCTGCCTTTCTGGGGACACAGGTAGCCTCTCTGCCTGGGAAAGGCTGCACGTCCTCAGATGTACTTTTCCATTTTGCATCTTCCGGAGCAGCAGAGGGGCTCCAGAGTTAGGAAACAAGAATTCCCAATGTAAGGAAAATGCATTCTGCACAGCCGCCCCACCCCTTCCCTTCTTTTTTTCCCACACACACACACACACACACACACTGTGGGGAGAAAAACTGGAATAGCCCAGCGCGTTTTACTTCTAAGTGAAAAAGTCGCTTCTTGCTGGGAATGCAAAGGGTTAAGCAATCTGGGCTTCCAGCTCCGACAAGCTGGGACCCTGGAGAAGGAGGGTCCTTCTCTACCTCCTCGCAGCTACCATCCCCTCTCGGCCACTCCCCCCTTTCCCGGGCCTCCCCTCCTTTGCACTTCCCGCACCCCATTAAAGTGTCAGGCTCGTCAGTCTGGGCTTACTCGGGCCAGGGGTCCCTGACGCAGGCGGTGGCACCCGCAGATAGGAGCGGGAGGAGGGCGCGCATCCCTCCTCTCCTCGCCGGGCCAGCCCGCCGGCCGCCCGGAGGCAGGGCGTGCGTGGGGACCGCGCGCTGCGCTTCGGCAGCTGCGGCGTCCCCAGAGCCAATTCCGACGTGGCACCGCGCACGCCGGCGCTTCTCTCCTCAGCTGCAGCTGGGGACACTGCCCGGTGGGAGATCTGGGGGCGCCGTCTCGAGCGCCCAGCCGATGAACGGGGCGAGGGGCCTGTGGGAGCTGGGGTGGAGGTGGGAGGGAAGCCAGAGGCTGGGTTGGGATGGATAATCAACACCTTGGGGGGAATTCGTCACGGCAGTTCCCGCCCAGCGTGAGCCAGGGCTCCGAAATGGGTCCCTGTGAACAGGAGGGCGGGTCTGAAAGGAGGGTCTGTATGAGGGTGAGAACCGGGAGGCGAAAGAGCCTTTTTCCTCTGACCACGGAAACGCAGCCGCGGGGGAACGGCGCTGAAAGGATAATTAAAGCTGCAAAGAGGCGCTGGGAGCACAGGGGCGGTGCCTGGGGAGGAGGACTTGCAAGACCTGTGTCCTATTACACAGTCTTAGGTGCCAGTTCCCCTAGCGCCTCTCCCTCCGTCCCCCAAACGTCCGCGCTGAATACTTGGACTCAAGGACACCGCGCGCCTCTGGGGCGAACGAGCTGCAGCAGCCCAGCTACGGGAGGGAACGTGTAGAAGCCCC
The DNA here is from genome assembly GCF_000001405.40 of Homo sapiens. Lineage (NCBI taxonomy): Eukaryota > Metazoa > Chordata > Mammalia > Primates > Hominidae > Homo > Homo sapiens. The sequence continues at coordinate 121,639,413 of NC_000008.11, read as the reverse complement.
ATCAGCCTCTCCCTGCCCACTCCCTCACCCTTGGGACCGTTGCTGCCTGTTGGGTCTCAGGAGCAATTGCCCAGAAACGCGACGCTGCTCCAACCCACGTGTCTGGGCTGGGATTGCCTTTGACGTCACACACGGGGGAGGTGTGACGCAATAGATAGGGAAGCCCCGATTGGCCACCAAGGGCTTCCCCCAACTGGAGGCCTGAGTATATATAGACCATCAGCTCAGTGTTAGAATAAAGAGAAGGAAGTTGGTAGATGGGCTTTGCTGAAGGAGTGAGGCCGCTTGTTAAGAGGGAGACAACTTCACTGCTCATTGTACATTCCAAGGCTTTGGCTCAGATTTCTCACTGCGGTTAAGGCATATGATAAGTACTTCTGGCGGTATTAAACCAGGTTATTATTTTTAAAAAAGGTTATTTTAAAAAGGTCAACACATATTTACATACACGATGCCAGGTTTAAAATTAAAATATGTATTTCCATAGATCCAAGTCCATCAACCTCTTTGTAGATACAATTTTTTTATAGTTCTATGACTTGAATTGAAAAGAACTTTTAAATTCCAAATTTTTATTTCCTTCCAATGTGTGCAAGTTGACTCATTCATTAAATTAGTTTTCACCACATTTTTCTAGAGCTTAATAAGGTTACAGTACAGCTGAGGTACTGTATTTTGAGTACCCATCATACTCCACCAAAAGTTTTCCCAATAGTTTGGCGATTCTTTTACATTTTCAATGACAATTTAACACTTTAAGTTACCTGTTGCGTTTATATATTATGTTTTGTATGTGTTTCCAATTCTGGGACAGATAATTCTGATTTTTAAGTGGACATTTCTAGAACAAAATATTGTAACTAAAGTATCATCCCCCCTATTTGTTTTTTCTTAGATATCACCTGAGTCGGGTAAATAGAAAAATATATTGTGGACGTGCTGACAAATGCATATTACCTGAGTTGCTTGTACTGTACCCGGAGTCGAATCCCTTTATCAAAGAAAGTTATGCAGTTTATAAAAATTCAAGGACTTAACAAATCAGTGACTAGCATTAAACTCTAAGGTCACTTTCCATAAAGCAAAGATATTTAGTCAGCTACCTTCCTGGAAATTGGGAATTGTGCAACAAGTGAATAAGAAACTGTTACTAGAAAGTAAGTTAGTTGGAACCACTCATTTTTGTTAGGTCTGTAGAATATAGCCCCATAGTATTGAATTTCATAAATACTTTCCCATACATGGTTTCCTTACTAGGTAAGATTTTTAAAAAAATTTTTTTCTTGAATTTTTAAACACTTACTTGTCACTGGTTCATTTATTTCCTGTTGTTGGCACTCTGGGGAAAGTCCTTTGTCTATGGATCAAGGTAGACATACCCTTTTTCAAAGCTATATTACACATTTACTTTCAAAGTCTAAGAACAAGTAGTTTGTTACATTACTAGCTTTCTGGCTCTTGTATGAAGTGTGATCCCTGAGTTAAAGTAATGAGAGGACAGAGCATAACCCCCATGTCTCCTTCTGGGTTCTCTTTTTATCCATGCAAACCCATGCCGTGTTTCTGTCAATGACAGAGTTGGTGGCAGCTGGTATGCCAACAGAGTGGAGGGACAGCTACCTGTAGAGAACTCATTTCCATCACCCCAACTTGGTATTTTATCCTTTCCCTTCTAGCAGCAATCTGTGTAGAGTATTATCCTACTGCATACAGCCTTAAATTATTTAAGCATATTTTGCTCATGCCTATAATTCCAGCACTTTGGGAGGCTGAGGAGGGCAGATCACCTGAGGTCAGAAGTTCAAGACCAGCCTGGCCAAAATGGTGAAACCCTGTCTCTACTAAAAATACAAAAATTAGCCAGGTGTGGTGGTGGCCACCTGTAATCCCAGCTACTGGGGAGGCTGAGGCAGGAGAATTTCTTGAACTCGGGAGGTGGAGGTTGTAGTGAGCCAAGATCTCACCACTCCACTCCAGCCTGGGTGACAGAGTGAGGCTCTATCTCAAAAAAAAAAAAAAAAAAGTCTATTTTGAATGGTAGTCATGTGGAGTTCATATATATACTGCCTTTCCCACCATCTAGGAGAATGTTACTGATGAGAGTCAATTAAATATAACAAGGCCACACTGTTAAATATTTTCTTATTTAAATTAAGTAAATTTATTAATGAATGCCTCTTAACTGAATACATCTGTACTGCAGATAATTAAAAAATGAGTTAAAAGTGTATTTAATGAAATTTTAAAATATACTGTAAGACAAAATATGATCTGGCCCATAAGAAACAACAGCTATTGTTTATCACATGTCTAGTATGTTTCAGGCACTCAACTAGATGGTTTACATACATATATCTAATCCTAATCTGCAAAGAAAGTTTTATAAGTAAAAGAACTTTGCCTCAGAAAAGTTAAGCAATTCACTCAAAGTGAATTAATAAGGGGTGTGGATGGAATTTAATCCAAGAATTCTTGGAATATAATGCCCTTGAATTGAATTCATGCTAATTTATGCTGCAGCTGCACTAGTCAAGTTTTATGGGGGTTCAAATTGAGAAGTCACATCTGATTGAAAGAGATCAGTAAAGATTTCCTAAAGAGACTTGGCGTTTGTGCTACATTTGGCTCTGTAGGTAGGGTTTTGACCTATAGATATAATTCCCAGGAGCCAATGTAGGTACATATAAAACTAAGATTCCATGTCAAGTCATTTGGTAATTTTTTTCCCCTACACTGTGAACTAAGTTTAGGATGGTGAAGTTCAGGAACCAGTAGAGCAGTTGGAAGAACACACATCCTAAAAATAATTTATTAATATAGATGGTGCAAAGGAAAAGAAATCTGAAACCTACAGTTCTGAACCCAGACACCGCTGGAGTGACAAGTCCTGTAAAAAAGGCTTGTATACTAACCCTGGAAGCTTGGCTCAAGGGTCTTTGCTAGGATAACTGCAGTGGGACTGGAGAGAAAAAGGCAGACTTCAAAGCCAGAGAGGAAGAGAAGGTCAGAAGGGGAGAAGGGAGGTTGGGAGGGGGAGTCGGGAGGGTTCATGATTTGTGTTCCAGGGGGTAATGTGCTGTAATGTGAAGACTGCTGCGGGGAGACTTCATTTGGGTCCTCCTATCTCAGATTTCTACGTAGGGACAGTAGCAGAGGGAATACACATCAGGGATGGGTATCAATGTGAATGAGGTCATGAAAGTCTTATTTTACTTTAACCTAGTGGTTGCCAAACTTTGTTATATAGCTGAATTGCTGGAGGAGATTTTAAAACTTGTGATGACCTGGGCACAGCCCATATCAATGAACTCAAAATGTGGGAGCCACAGATCAGTAAATTTTATGGCTTTGCAGGTAATTTGCATATATAGCAAAATTTGGGAACCACTACTTTTTAACCTTTTGTTCACCATACCTTCCTAATCCACTCAGCCAGCAGATAGCTACCACCTGACCTGAGTATGTCTGCTTAGAAGCAGATTTCTGTTATCCTTGCTAGTGTCACCAGCCTAGATAAATATTCCCAATTCTAATTATCATGCATATGATTTAAGGCCTATGGCCCCTTCTCCCATACAACATGAGTTTATGCATAAAGACAGCCTATGTTTTAGAACCAGTTCACGCCTTCATTAGATAAACATTCTTTAAATGTCTCATCATCTTTTGTGCCTTTGTGTGTTTAAATATTTGGCCAAAAGTTGAAAAGACACTGAACTTAGACTTCAGTGGATGAAGAGACGCAATGAATAAGAGGCGCAAGTGTACTTTACAACTTAAGTTCAAAGATATTAATTGAATTGTCCAAGGACACATGACTTATTCATAGAACCCTCAAGCGGTTTGTCTGAGCCAGGTTGCTAATATGAGGCAGAGTGCAGACTTGAATCCATTTCTTCTGATTCCCAGTCCTCCTATTCTTTTCATCATGCCATAGTTATTACTTGTTAACCCATAAGTAATGGGTTAAGTGGAAGGAGAGTCAGGGTTATTAGGTAGTTACTGGCAGGAAGCTAACATCACTAAGATCTAATTGTTGATAATTTCTTTTTAAAATATGTACTTAGATTCCTTTTTTAAATCTCATAATCTATTTTATGAGTCAATATGATTAGCTCCATTTTATAGATGGAGAAACTGAAGATGACAAGTGTTGTATAACTTGCTCAAGGTCATCCAGCCACTAAAAGGAAGAGCCAGGATTCTATCCCAACTCAGTCTGGTTCCAGAGGTCAAATTCTCTGAAATTGGTAGTAGATGGCAGAGCTGGGATTTGAACACTAGTATAACTGACTTCAAAATATTTGCTAATCTGGTTAATACTAGATAATTTATTTAGTTGAAGAGACAAGACATACATGCACACATGCTCATAAGTCACTGGAGCCAAAATATAAAGCAGCATATGGATTAATAGACAATAAACACTGTAAGGGTACTGGAATTCAAGATGATAAAAGTTGATGCCCCAAACTTGAACCCTGAGCTCATAAGATAGCTCAGATTGCAACTTACAATCCCTGTAAATGCTCTTGGGGACCATCTGCCTTTTCTATCTTTGCTTTCCAAAGGCCTTCTAGACCTGTTCTGGGACTCCCCATAACCATTACCTTTAGACATCTGGGTGAAAAATTATGGGGATGGTTTCTTAAAAAAAAAAAAAAGACTGTTTGAGGGGTACCCTTAAGGGCTTGGTTGTCTCTACTACATATTCATTGCCTCTGCAGTAAAGATTGGGGTAGGACCTGTGTCTGTAAGTCTACATTGACTGCCTGAGTCCAAATGGGCTTATTTATTTATTAAAAATGTATTTATTGAGTCCCTGCTATGTGCCAAGCCCTGGTTTTCATGCAAGGACAAACCAAATAATTGAACTACACAAGCTCCCCTGGCCATAGAGTATGTGCATGTGTACTCTCCGGCCATACATATATATATATGCTACTTAGAAAATCAAGCAGGTTAAGGGGAGAGAGCATGGCAGGGGGTGAAGAGAGGGCAAGGGTGGAGGAGTTGCTTTAGAAGGACAGATAAGCTAAGGCCTCCCAGAAGAGGTATCATCAGACCTAATTGTAGTCTTTCCCAGATGCTGACTCAATAAATTTGAATTCATTTCAGCTTCTTCCAGATCCAAAATGGAAGGACCACTTTATGAAAACTAGGGTAACTCTGGCCGGGCACGGTAGCACACACCTATAATCCCAGCACTTTGGGAGGCCGAGGCGGGTGGATCACCTGAGGTCAGGAGTTCGAGACCAGGTGGATCACCTGAGGTCAGGAGTTCCAGACCAGCCTGACCAACATGGAGAAACCCCGCATCTCATAAAAATACAAAATTAGCCAGGCGTGGTGGCACATGCCTGTAATCCCAGCTACTTGGGAGGCTGAGGCAGGAGAATCACTTGAACCCAGGAGGCGGAGGTTGCAGTGAGCCAAGATCGTGCCATTGCACTCCAACCTGGGCAACAAGAGGGAAATTCAGTCTCAAAAAAAAAAAAAAACCCAAAAAAACAAAAAACTAGGGTAACTCCATTGAACTCAATTCTCACTGTTGAACTGGGGCAGTGAGAGTAGATGTTACTCTCCTTTCATCCAACATTTCACTCTCTGCTTAATACAAAAAGGTCAAGGCAGAGGAAATGGCTTCGAGGTCCAGTGACCTGAAGAGTCCCACTGGGGTATATGAGCCAACGGCAAGGCTGTATATCTGCTCCACAGGTGGAAGAAGTGGGAACACTAGTGCCTTTTTTATGGTAACACAGGATTTTGGCTGTTGGCATTAGGAGCAGAATTGCTATTACATAGATGGAACCAGGCTCTTCCTTTGAAACAACCACTTTTCATGTCTCTTTAGGTCGTTTCCACATAGAAAATATATGAGCCCGAAATCTCAGTATTGGCTAGCCTTGTGTCTGTACTTGAGTGAGTGCCAATTTCCCATTTTCTATAACAGTAGGGAAACAATTTTCAGGCTGGGTGTGGTGGCTCATGCCTATAATCCCAGCACTTTGGAAGGCCAAGGCAGGCGGATCACCTGAGGTCAGGAGTTCAAGACCAGCCTGGCCAACACGGTGAAACCCATCTCTACTAAAATATAAAAATTACACAAGCATGGTTGTGCATGCCTGTAGTCCCAGCTACTCGGGAGACTGAGGCAGGAGAATCAATTGAACCTGGGAAGGGGAGGTTACAGTGAGCCAAGACTGCACCACTGCACTCCAGCATGGGAACCTGGGTGACAGAGCAAGACTCCATCTCAAAAAAAAAAAAAAAAAAAGGTAGGGAAACAATTTTCAAAGTTTGTTTCTAATCTTTCCTTATACGATGACATTTTATTAGCCAGAAACGAAAGAATGCCACCTATTTTGTCATGAGGATTCAAATATATTCAGCAAATTTATTGAGAATAATTATCTGGCCTTATGCCACTGTGTGGATCCAACTCCTAGTTTTTTGACTATAACAAGTTAATTAAATACCCAGAGTCTTGGTTTCTTTATTATATGCATAGTTATTTGTAACATGAGATTAATAATGTGCTTACCACCCAAAGTCATTAAGAGTAAATAAGATTATGCTTAAAAAAAGAAACTTGCCCCACTGCCTGAAACCTAATAAATGATGAATAAATGTTAGCCACCATTATAATAATGATGATGATGATGATGATGATGATGAGTAAATTTGCACTCATGCATTCAACAGATATTTACTGAACAGCAGCTATAAGCTGGGCAGTGTTTTATGTCCTTGGGACACGTTAGTGAAAACAGATTATATATCTCCATTGACTTTGTGGAGATATATATAATGATATACATTATAGTATAGCAAGCTGTTCTTTAACACTTGGTTTGGCCTAATTCTCTGGAGAACACAAGTTAGTAAATATTTGGTATCAATTAGTAGGCCAAAGTCTCATACTGGGGGAAAAATTAAAATTTTAATTTTAAATATTTAGAGAGTGTAGATTTCAAAATCATCTTTCTACCTAGTAGTAAGTACTTATAATTTAGGATTGAACTAACTCTATTTTCCAATTTAACTATACAGTCATATGTCTGACAAGGAGAGTATGCTTATGAAACAGAGTATTTGAATTGGGGATTGTCTCAGAAAGTCTAACACATGGTGCCCATATCAATGCAATTGCCCAGGGGAAATTATAAAGAAACACGTCCTATGTGTCACTCCCTGAGATCAATGTATTCCCTCAGCAAAGCTGGCTCTAAAATGTGCCTTTTGCCTTTTGGTCTGTACCAAGATGCTGTGTGTGCCATACTAGACAACACTGAGATATCTTGCAGAAATATAAAGGTTCACTTCTAGCCACGTTGCTGTGGTATGCTAGTAAAGTACTTTTCCCAAGCTTCAAAAGGACATTCTGTAGAGTCTTATGATGTAAGAGGGTGTTCCCACTTCAGCTGTGGCCAGCAGATGCTATGTCAACACTCTCTATGTCCACGTGTGCTGATAAAAGCAAGGAAAATGTGAATAATGGAAAAGAATGGCAGGCAGTTCTTTTGCTGGCTATGGTGATTTTAAACACAAGCTAAATACACACTTAAGCTTCTCCCTGGCAAAGTGATTTAGTCCCCTTGAAATTTTTCACTCTTGTGAGAATGACTCACGTCTTGGAAATGACAAGTTCCAAGTCTGGTGCTCCCAGCACCTTCAGGCATTGGTTAATGTACCATGTGGGAGTTTTCAGCATCCCCTCAGCTGTGTTAATTAACAAGAGATGCCGTACTTGCCTGCCTTTCACTGAAAACTCAGCATTTCACCATTCCCCAACAGTCTAAACTTTCCACTTGGGTTAAGGTTACATTTATCAGACTCCTGCATTACACGCTATGGTGTCCCATATAGTTGCTAGAAGTGGAACACCAATTTTCTTTTTGTTGTGTTTGCTTTTTCGCTTCCTGGTTAACTGATCCTTTAAGCTGCAATGCATTTCTGGTTTTTAAAAACACTTTCATAAACACTGTTCCATTTTGCTCCTCACCACAGTCCTGTGGGGTCTTTGACAAGTTCTGTTATTTCCATTTAACAACAATAAAAAAGAGACGTCCGCAAGCTAGAATCCTGATGTCCAGGGCACTTTGCATTATTTAAGTTATACTAGTGCAGTACACCAAGCCCCAAATGCATAATGGACAAACAAAAATCCAGAAATTATTTTGTGCCAACGTAAGAGTCCTTGGCAGGTATTCCTGTTTGGTGGGTGGCTCCCTTTCATATGGCAATCCAAGGACCAAGCTCCATCTATCTTGGGGCTTTCCAATTCCCTAAAACATTTTTAATATGTGTATCAAGCCTGTGGAAGGGCCAGAGAGATGAGAGGAGGTATATTCTCTTTCTTAAAAGATCTTACTGGAAGTGGCATATCTCAGATTTCCAAAGCCTGGAATGACTTGGCCATACCAAGTCTATGCTCAGGAAGGAAAGGTAACACAATTGGTAAGAAGCCACACTAAGGTTTCCCAAAAGTACAGTGCAGATCCCCTTAGGACCTTCTCAATGTACAATTGCAGGGAATAGCAGGTGACTGTGTGAATGGTGCCTCTTGGAGCTGAGCAACGTGGTGGCCATGCAGCTGTTGATAGCCTAGAGGATACTGTGTGAACAGTCAGTGTTAAGTTTGCATGTGGATTACGAAATTATAAATAGCACATCAAGCAAAAGATTTTGCAAAGGTAATTGCTTAGTCTAAGTTTCTATTTAAAATAAACTTATTTAGCTTTTAAAAATCAATTGAATTAAAGAAAAAGATTAAGCACTAAATACATGTAAATATGAGAAAAGCCCAAAAATGGATGCGAATGACTAAAGATGAAGATATTGCATTTATACCAATTATATCTTCTTTGATAGTTCATCCTTGGAAGAGGAGGAAAATAAAACTCCAGGAGGAAAGAAATGAAATAAAAAGGGTTGCCAACCACCACTTTAATGCTAAGCATTGGAAATGCTTTGGGAAATACAAATCCTTTGGGAAATACAAATGTTTTGGGAAAAATGGTCCTTTTGTCCTTGAGTTGTTTAAAACTTTTTTCAGGAGATAGACAAAATTTAGGGGTGACTGCAAAACTGACTATTACTGAGTGGAAACGTGTTTCAGGTCTAATGTGCTATGGCTTTTAACAGGATGGAAACTCACTTGCTGAAATAAATCATGATGTTATTTGTCCTTTAATGTATTCACTATTTCTACAAACATTTATTGTGTTTACTGTGTTCCAGTAAGGTTCATGATGCTCAGGATCTAATCATCTAGTATTCATGATGGCGGATGGAGGAGAGAGACTTTGGAACAAAGGAGTATAATTCAGAATTACGGGGCTTTAATAGACATCTATGCAGGGTACTTAGGGATGGAAGATTTTTAGTGTCAGTGAGGACTTCAAAAATACTCAATTCTAAAATCCCTCATTTAACAGATATTTTTACAAAACAACTGAGACCCAGAGAGGTATGGTGACTCACCCAAGGTCACACAGTTAGTTAATGAGCTAGTACTAGAACCCAGTATCCTGATCTCCAATCTCAGCTGGCTGCAGGGAAAGGATGTAAGTTGAAGAATACACATTGGAGGTGAGATTAAATTACACATGAGAAATTTAGCAAAATCTCCAGTGGATTTTTTTCACTGGCCAATATCAAGGGGTGAGGGGACTATATAGAAGAATGACTTCTTTGGGTGTTAGAAACTTCAGGGTCCCTGCCTGGCTATGACCACATATATATAGAGTACAGCCTTAGGCAAGTGATATAACACATTAAAGCAATGTATGCAGTATTTGTTTAAAACATTATGGCATTCAGTAGTATGCTGTACCATCATCTCATTTGACTCTTGAAATAACCCTCTGAGGTATGCTAGAAGGGCATCCTTATCCCTGTTTTGCAGATGAGCAAACTGAAGTGCAGAAAGTCACACAATGAGTTGGGCGAGAAATTGAGTGTTAAAACTCCTGAATGCTTCTAGTCCAATACTCTCCCCATGATACTAGGTATATAACAAGTGTGGGACAATCATGGTTAACCAAGAGTATCATCTGATTATATTACAGATGCATTGTGAGAGGTTTCTATGTATCCTGAGAATAATTGGAACCACACTCTTTGGAGTCTCTCTCCTCCTTGGAATCACAGCTGCTTATATTGTTGGCTACCAGTTTATCCAAACGGATAATTACTATTTCTCTTTTGGACTGTATGGTGCCTTTTTGGCATCACACCTCATCATCCAAAGCCTGTTTGCCTTTTTGGAGCACCGAAAAATGAAAAAATCCCTAGAAACCCCCATAAAGTTGAACAAAACAGTTGCCCTTTGCATCGCTGCCTATCAAGAAGATCCAGACTACTTAAGGAAATGTTTGCAATCTGTGAAAAGGCTAACCTACCCTGGGATTAAAGTTGTCATGGTCATAGATGGGAACTCAGAAGATGACCTTTACATGATGGACATCTTCAGTGAAGTCATGGGCAGAGACAAATCAGCCACTTATATCTGGAAGAACAACTTCCACGAAAAGGGTCCCGGTGAGACAGATGAGTCACATAAAGAAAGCTCGCAACACGTAACGCAATTGGTCTTGTCCAACAAAAGTATCTGCATCATGCAAAAATGGGGTGGAAAAAGAGAAGTCATGTACACAGCCTTCAGAGCACTGGGACGAAGTGTGGATTATGTACAGGTAGGTCTCCACATTCCTGCCAGGGCAAACATACATTTAAATAAAGCCGCTTTTGTATCTGTCCAGTCATATGCTATAGCCCATCCTTGTCCCTTCTGAACACAGTACTTCTTTCAGTTCATTTGAAAACAGCATGACTGTTGAAAGCACATTTTGAAAAAGGGAAAAAAAAACTTGTAAAACTGTTGAGACTATCTATGAACATGCTTAATTTGTGCTGTGTTATTGGTTAAAAATCAGGATTATTTTGACAGGAGACCCTTCCTTCCCTTCTCTCCCCCTCTTTTACCTTCTCTGCCCCCTTGGTTCTGCCAAGTCAAATCCAACATCATTTTCCACACTCTAAAACTCTCCAGCTTTGTAAGAAAATAGTGTCTGCCTGAGCAGAAGGGTCTTGAGAAAATCTGCAGGCTGAAGGGAGGCTATAAAATGTTTTTCACAGAGACTGCAAAATGAGGCAAAATGAGGGTGGTGAGAACAATTTTCATTTAAAAGAGAAAAAAAAAATTAAAATTGAGAGAAGGAAAAGGAAAACAAAAAATGAGAAAAAAAAATCTTCGAGCAAAAGCAAAGTAATGTTTATTTCACTCTCCAAACAGCATTACCTCACTCACTGCAACTTGACCTTTGAAAGCATTTGTGATGGTGTTTGCCTGCATGAAAATTAGACAGGCTGTGTCTCCCATTAATTTCCTGAAAGCTCACTATAGGGGTTCTCCTCTCCTGGTTCTCATTGAAGCTTCCTTCTTTAGAACATTAGTAGGGTCCCTGTGAGTTTCTAGTTTTAATTTTCTGCAGATACTTTATAATAATTAGATTTTGGCCATGATGGTATTGAGAGGGGAAAAATGTCTCCGGTTTAAGAAAGGCACTGGGATGTTCTTCCTCTCCTCTAGAATTTCTAGTGAAATTCTAGTTTTTAGAAGATGCATCCTATTCTTTAGGATCCTTTACTGCCACAGAGTCATGCCTAGTGGTTGTCAAGTAGTGAGATAGGAATGGACATTGGCTTTAGAGTCAGTTGACCAAAGTTCTAATCATAGAGATTACTAGCTGGTTGACCGTGGGCAAGACCACCTCTCTGAGTCTCAGTTTCTGGATAGAATAAATTAATGTGTTCCAAGTGTTTAGCAAAAGTTATTTATGATATTATCATTGATATAATTAAAGCTTTTTATATTAATATTGTTGTTTATTATCATTTAGTCCTTGCTCAAATTATAGTACCTGTCAATTGCCACCATATGACTAATTTCAGTTGATGTCTGAAGAGTTTAGAGACATTTCTTCATTATGTTAATCTCCCTTCTAGACAGCTGGGAGCATTTCTCTGTCAAGTTTCTCCTAATTTCTCAAAGGTAAAACTTCCAAGTTAAGGTAGTTTCAGTTATCTTTGGACATTTGGTATTTACATAGTACAACTTTGGGCTTAGATGAGAGGATAATAGGCTATTTTCAAAGGGAAAGGATGACTGAGAACTTATAGAGGATATGAAAAATGAAGTTCTGGACTTTAAATGAGAAAACATCTGTTTTGATATTTTGTCTTTAATTTTAGTTAAAACAATTGCTACATTTGTCATTTCTAATCAAGGCCTCATTGTTTGAGGGTTTTTTCTTCCTTTTCTTTAAACATGCTCCTCCCAAACCCTCTTCTCCCATCATTTTTGTTTTGAATTTTGTTTGTATCCTTGGCAACTTTATGCTGTGCCTGTCCAGGAAAAAAATAATACAAAATATGAAATATTAGAATAGGCCTCCTGCTAGAGCCCTAATCAGGCTTGAGAACTTTTCTTCCTCCAGGCTGAGATAGGGGAAGTCTCCAGATACACTGACCCGACCAGCAGCTTTTAACTAGGCCCTGATGCCTCCTGGGACTCTCAGCCAGTTCCAAACACTCACACAGGAGTACAAATCTCTTAGCATTCTGAAACTGGTAATTCCATCTTTTCATCCCTCAGTAAATCCCCTGATATTTAACCATGTGTGACCTATAAAAATGGCAATTTCCTAAGGTTCAATTCACAATACTAACCACTCCCATCCTCTATTCTAAGTGTCCCAGGATTTGAGAATTGCAAAGCAGAAACCACAGAAAGACAACTAAGGGAAAAGGGGTTTGAAGATGTTGGCTGCTAAGCATTACAAGTGATGGAACTTGGAGTGCAGGCTGGTTAGGGAAAGAAGGAAACAAAGTTCAGGTGGTAATACACAAGAGAAAATGGGGGCTGGGGAAGAAATTGACCATGCTTACAAACTTGCTGGAGAATTCTGCTTAACTGTGGAGAGAGATGGCCAAAAGGATTGGTTTCCAGTTGCAGCCGAATCCTTGGCACTCTTCAGCACTCTTTTCACTTGGTCTTGAATAGATGCCTTGCTTATTGCTCTCATAGCCTATTATTTCATACCTTCACCACTTTCCCAAAACCCTATCCAAACTCCTCTCTGCTTAACTACTAACAGATGACCTTGCCTCCTACTAAAGAGAAAGTCAAAAGTACTAATTCTGAATGCTGTCAAGATCATCTTTACTCTCTTCTTAAACTGTTTCAAGAGTATCCAACCTCACTTCTTGTCTCAAAGTTATTCTTTTGATCTAGCTCTTGAGACCACTGGGCCTGCTTCCTCTTGTCTCCTTGGGAATAAAGCTTTAACAGCTACCAGCTCTAACTCTGTCTCAGCTTTCATCTCCAGTCTTCTCTACCGACTGCTCTCTCGGCCCTGTAGCTGTTCAAATAATTAATGCTGACATAGAACAGTAAGGGAGTCACTAGTCACAGAGAAACCCAGTGTGGTAGCAAATTTATCTGATGATGCTGGTGGGTACTTTCAGAGATAAAGAAGATAGAAAACAGAGGAAGGGAAAAAATAAATTGAGAAAAGAAGTTAAAGAGGGCCAGTGTGGTGGCTGACGCCTGTAAGTCTAGTGCTTTAAGAGACCAAGGCAGAAGGATTGCTTAAGCCCAGGAGTTCGAGACCAACCTGAGCAACTTAGGGAGACCTCATCTCTACAAAAAAAAAAAAAAAAAAAAAAAAAATTAGCTGGACTTGGTGGTGCATGTCTCTGGTCCCAGCTACTCGGAAGGCTGAGGTAGGATTGCTAGAGCCTGGGAGGTCCAGGCTGTACTAAGCCATTATCATGCCAGCCTGGGTAACAGAGAAAGATCCTGTCTCAAAAAATGGAAAAAAAAAAAAAGTTGAAGGGAATGAATTTTTTTTAAGAGTGACAAAGATTTTCAAAATTCAGAATCAATGTATTTTCTAGAGAAACTTTGTTTTAAAAATGGATAGATTCTGACCTGTTCTGAGTATGGCTTAATGTTGGACAAAAGTTTGTACCTCTTTGAAATAGTGTTTATACTGGCTTTTTTATTTACAAAAGTAACACAGGCTTATGGCAGCATGTTTTAAAAGTATTAAAAAAGTACAATGAACAAAATTAAAATTATCTTAAACAAATACCCAACTGATTGACACTTTCCAATGTATATTTTTCTGTTTTTTCCCTTGTTTTTAGAACACTTTGGGATTATGTTAATGTTTTATATTTTTTAAGTAGTGTTATCAGAAAACGTAAAATATATTTGGATGTCTTTTTTTTTTTTTTTTTTTTTTTGAGACGGAGTCTCGCTCTTTCGCCCAGGCTGGACTGCAGTGGCGCTATCTTGGCTCACTGCAAGCTCCGCCTCCCGGGTTCATGCCATTCTCCTGCCTCAACCTCCCAAGTACCCGGGACTACAGGCGCCCGCTACCACGCCTGGCTAATTTTTTTTTGTATTTTTAGTAGAGATGGGGTTTCACCGTATTAGCCAGGATGGTCTCGACCTCCTGACCTCGTGATCCACCCGCCTCGGCCTCCCAAAGTGCTGGGATTACAGGCGTGAGCCACTGCGCCCAGCCGGATGTCTTGATTATATAATTGCTTTATTCCTGTCTCTTACTGAACATGCGTATTACCACTCACGTGGCCACCAGTCTATGAGACAAAGGAAAACATAAAACAGTATCCCCTGATGTCTGCATTAGGGACTTCCTAGGTAGAAAATATATAACAAATATGAACATCTTCTAAGCTGGAAGATTATCGGAGGAAATGTCACTATTGATTTAATATCACAGCATTCTACATATCCAGAATTCTTTGGGGAAAAATGTAAGGCTTTATTATTCCTAACAGTAGAGTTGACTGTGATTATTACTGGATTCTGTATTTGCAAATTTGTCTACTCAGTAAAACGTACTTGTAACCCTAAAATCAATAATTGCAGTCAGTAGGTGGTCATTTGCTGACAAGCACACAGTGGCAAAAAATTTGAGTCATCCAATGTGCATGTTCCAGCTGAGGTCAGACAAGGTGATGCTTTGGCTTCTTGTTTCAGCTTTTATACTGTAAACAATTATCCTCTTCATGGTCTCTTTAGTGCCACATTTTTCCCTTTTTTGTGCTTTTCCTTGGTGATGTAGCTCTTTAACATGGCCTTGAACTGTAATGCTGAAATGCTATCTAAGCACAAGAAGACTGTGATACACCTCATGGAGATGAATTTCCTTTAGGCATGAGATATCGTGCTGTTGGACATGAGTTCAATATTAATGAACCAACTATATGTATATTAAATAAGGTACATATAAACAGAAGCACAGATAAAACAAGATTATATGTTGTCAAAATGTTGTGGCCAGAGGTTCGGAGGAACCCAGCCCTGTGTTTCTGCTAGAAGCACATTTTCAGTATTTTCCAGTTCAGTGTTCCTGGCAACTTTATGTAATACAACTACCATAAATAATGATAATCAACTGCGTATGACATTTGACTGGTTCCTGTTTTGTTCTGTATAGAAAGCCTGAGCAACTGAAATATTCTGAGGGCCAGTATTGAGAATAGTAAGTTTATTTTTATCTTTCATTTTGGAGGTTAAGACTAAGAGCTCACTGAAATAAGAATGAGGAAATCTGAATTCTATACCCAACTTTGTTGTTTACCTGCTATGGTCCTGGCCTTAATGAATCATCAACTGAGGTAGTAGACCAGATGATCTCTAAGATGTCTTTCAGCTCAAGATTCTTAAGTCAGTATTGGTGTAATTCTTCTGACATCTTAATTATATCTAGCAAATACTGAAGCTCTGCTAGAGCAAGATCAAAAGAAAAAGGGATATCAGAATTTTCATTTGTTGGTTACTATCGTGTGTCTCACTCTCACTTTTAATCTGCCTTTTCCCCCCAGATTGCTTCTTGAATATAAATCTTGATTTAAGGGCACCATTATGAGCTTCCCTGATTCCCTTCTTTAGAATGAGAATTCCAAACATTTGGAATAAGGGTCCTTCATGGTTTAAGCCTTAGAGGTGACAGCATTTGGTTTCTCACTTTTCCAGCTGGCTCGTCACCTTTGTTTTGCACCTTTTATAACTTTCACTCATTTTCAACTTTGCTAAAAAGGAAAAGAGAATAACCAAATGACTCCTTTTTTTCACTTTAATAATTGGAAGAGATTGGCTGTCTGAAGGCAGGAATTATTTTATAATAATTTGGATAATTCATTCTACTAAGGAAGGCTTGTATATTCCTAATTCCTTTTAAGAAGAATTACAAAGAAGTACCAAACTGCACAGGTGTCTATAATGTAAAGGCTTTCTGTTGGCTAGATTTGAGATCCTGTACCATAAACCAAATTACTACAAGGGAAGAACCTCCTCCCCATCCCCCGTTCCTTTCGCAAAAGAAAGATGATGTTTTCATTGAGGACTATTTTTTTTTTTTCTGGAATGGTTTTACTCATTAATTTCAAAAAGCTTTTGTAGCTCTAAAATGTTTAGATTTTATGATTTTGTATTTGTTGCTTAATTTGAGGCTGCTTAACTTAGCTATATGTTTATATGTAAATTCTATTCATCTAGAATTCACATAAATAGAAAATCAAGATTAAAAAATAAAGTTATACAATCTTGATAAAGTCTTAGAAGTTTGTTGTAATATTATTAATGAACATGCACTAGAGCTTTGGATTGATTTTTTTTTTTTTTTGGTTGTATGAGAAATTTTAAATTGTATGTAATATTCCATCTTTATAAAGTCAACTTCTGTCCTCACTGTTTTGTTTCCCCCAAATCTTGCATGTATTGTGGCCCACTTTTTAGTATATATGAGTTCCATTTATTGAGCATTTACTGTGAGCTAGCCATTACTAACAGCTTTACATACATTATCTTATTAACACTAGTTAATTACAACAAACTTATGAGGTAGATGTGATTATCCATATTTTTCACCTACAGAATGGAAGCTTAGGAGGTAAGGAGTCTGTAGTGAAGAAACGAGTCCGAGTTTACATAGGTGGTTAATGGTGGATTGGGATCCAGATGAATTTGATTCCAAGGCCTTATATAGTACTTTTTTTGTTTGTTTGTTTCAGTAGTGTGTTTGCTCTGAGGTTGTACTGGTAGGAGTTCAGGGGGAATGGTAGCATCTTGTATTTACTAAGTAAGTATTTGTGGAATTTTTTGTTCCTGCCATTACCCCTTTTTACTAGAGAAATTGGGATGGGGGGGTGATGCAGAATTTCTATTTACTTTTGGGTTAAGTTGTGGGAGGAAGCAAGAACAAATGCTACACATTCTAGAGATAGTCTCATTGGGTGAAGGTTAAGATGAAGAGTCAAGGTTAAGATGAAGGGTGAAGGTTAAGATGAAGGGTTAAGCCTTACAAGCAGGAAAAAGGTGAAGCCTTTTTCAAAAGAGTTTTGATTTATTTTCAACCTGTTTCCTCATTGGAGGCAGCCAGAGTAATTAAGATTTCTCTCTTGCTGTGTTAGCTGTCAATGCCCTTTGAAGTGGTATGGGAGGAAGTGAGGAGATCCATCAGTCTGAAAAAAAAAGACATTAAAAGTAAAACATGGAGATTTGGCATTTTAGACTTGGATCAAGGCATCTGGTAGAATAGATAACAGTATTTCTACAGGAGATTTTTATTTAGATTGTTGTGAGATAAATTAACTTTAAGATTAGTGAGATAAATTAGAACAGACAGGAATGCTGTAGATGCTTCCAGATAAATTTGAGTTTGTTCATGTGGTAAGAGATTCTGTATATGTAATCAATTCCTATGTTCCTATTAGTGATTGTTGCTACTGAGCCATCTATTTGTGATAATTGACATAATCCTTTAGGTGTGGGTTTACTTAGAAAGTATAAAATATTGAAGACTATTACCTTATACTAATGGAAATACTTCTCTACAGTCCTTTGTAATTCACAAGGTACTTTTATTTGCAGTGTCTCACAAATGTCCCATGATGATGGCAAATGGCTCATTCAAGGTTATAGAAGTAGTAAGTTACAGGACTTCAGACTTTAAGGCTTCTTGATTTCATGGGTACTTGCTCTTGTAATAGGCAAAATCTTGGCTGAAGAAAATCTAATTTTTTAATATCCTACACTTCAGGCTCTTCCTAACACAGGGAGATGGAGACAGCTTTTGCAAAATCTACTAAATTAAAATTGGGCTTCAAACATATTTAATCTCAACTTCACTGTTATTTTTAAGAAAGCAGAACCTTCCCCGTGTAACCAGTTATTTTGAACCCAGGGTTGGCAAACTTTGCTTATAAAAGGCTAAATAGTAAATATTAGGCTTTGCAGGCTATATGGTCTCTGTTGTAACTAGTCAATTTTGCTGTTGCAGGGTGAAAAGCAGCCATAAATAGTAAGTAAATGAGCAGGCAAGGGTGGATGCATGCCTTTCTGAGCTTTCCTTTCTGATACAGCATGCATCCAATAAAACCTTATTTATGAACACTAAAATTTTAATTTTATATAATTCCCATGTGTCACAAAATATTCTTTTTTTGATTTTTTTTCAACTATTGAATAATGTGTAACCATTCTTGGCCCATGACCCATATCAAGACAGGTGGCAGGCTGGACTTGACCAGTAGGCCTTGGTTTGCCAATCCCTGTTTTAGATAGGGGGGAAATGGAGGGAATTAACTCTTGGCTGGAGTAGTGAGGCAGGAAGAGTGATGGTCTTATGCAATTTAGTGGATGATTCTGTGGTTAAGACTGAGGTGGCTGGTTCTTCTAAATAATGTCTTCTTGACATGTTTCATTTACTCAAAAGTTGGTGACTTGCTTCATTTCCATATCTCCTGGTGAGAAATCTTATAACTAGTGATCATGTGGTTTCAACGAATTACGCTGATACACTTAGTGTGGCCAAAAAGATGTTTCAGTTTGTTCTCTTTCCTGTGTGCAAATGCTGTCCTGTACTTTTTCCTTATGTGAGGTTCAGTTCTCCTTGAACTGGGGCATGTCTCCCACAGATTGTAATCCAGGGCTAAATAGTTGACATTCGTGAAATTGCATACTTGTTACCGATGAGTGAGGAGATGGCTAGAAAGCCTGTTCTTGCTGTATGGATTTTAAGAAGGGCTAAAATTATGCTCTTTACACCCTACTGAGTAAATTCCCTTGTGTCCATGAATACACATGCTTTCACAAACTGTCAAAGACCATGGCTTTCTAGCTGGCATTCTATCACCAAACAGCATCCAGTAGTTGAAAAATTTTAAAGCTGTTAAATCCCATGGTAATAAACCCTTTCCCAGGAGATTTCTGAGCTTTCCTTTCTGATACAGCTAAATTCACCATGTGAACAATCTCTCTCAGAGAACTTCTGGCACTTTGCTATTGGAAATTGGGAGGGGCAGGGACCAATTGAAATATGCAGAACATCATAAATTTGGTTCCAGTGTAGTCATTTCAAAGAGCCAGTTCTCCTGGCTTGCTTGTGCTCACAAGCAGACGGAGTTATTTGAACATTAACTCTGGATTGCCCTCTTCCTGTTGTTTTTAGTCTTATTTTAGCCTGGTTTTACCTTTTCCAGCTTGAGTCAACAGAGGTGGGTGTGGTAATAAACTCAGGATGCTGGAGGCTAAAGATGAGTTAGAATTTCTGCCTTCATGTTTTTCTAGCCTCATCACAGACCTCCTGCCCACCTGGTAGCCACATACAAACCAGGGATAGACAGGGCATGGGAGAGGCAAAACATCACTTTCGGGGGAATTCTTCTAGGTTCCGGAGGCTTGAGATGCTTGGATACAGACCCAGGTGTCAGTAAAATCCTGTTTTTTACAATGAAAAGCGAATGCCTAGCTTCTGCCTAATTTTTTTTTTCTTAAAATAAGTGAGACTATGCTGAACCTAAATGGAATGACAAAAAGACAGTCAATAGGGTTTCATTTAGAAAATGAGTTCTTCTAAATAAGGAGAATAAAGTTTTAAAAATTCAGAAGTTAACCCCAAAATTGCTATAATTAAACCTAGAAGGGTGATAGGTTCACCTTCTGATGCCCCATATACTCCACACATTATGATTTCCAATAATGCATTTAAATTGCTATTTTCACCAGCATTCTTCATTAACATGAAACCTTTTCAGAAAAAAAGCTAGTAGTAAAATTGAGGTAGATAATTTTATTTTTTATTTTATTTTACTATTTTTTTGAGATGGGGTCTTGTTGTGTTGCCCAGGCTGGTCTCAAACTCCTGGGCTCAAACAATCCCCCCGCCTTAGCTTCCCACTGCTCTTCCTAACACAGGTGTTAGCCACTGCACCCAGCCTAGATGCTTTTAAAAATGTTGGGATTCCTTAGTTACTAATGTGAAGGACTCATGCTACATGTATCTAACGTCTCCTTTAATTCTGAGACTTTATGCTTCTACTAATTGGTTAATTTCCTTTTTTTTTTTAAATTCAAAACTGGTATATCAAACACTATTTTCTGTGAGACAGGGTCTCACTTTGTTGCCCAGGCTGAAATACTATGTTTATAGAGTGGTTTGCAGGACTGTTAAATAATTTATTTTGATATTAAAAAAAATTGGCTAAATCTTGATTCAGTCCAACCAGTACAGTCTGACTTGATGGCAGAATAATGGGAATAGCAGATAATAAATACTCAGTCTCTGCCAATCATGCCATTCATTGTCTGAATGGGGATATCAAGCTGATTAATCACATGACAATTCTGATCAATTTATATTTGTTAGGACTTTGCTGCATTTAGCAGAAAATAATATGTCCAATTAGTAAATGTTGGAGGGATAGGGAGATGGGGACTTTTTTTTCCTACTTTTTTTCTATTTCTGATTTTCTCTGATCATATGGAGGAAGCTCCATTGGCAGGTATAACCCATCAGCCTTTTCCAGCTGTTTTCATTCCTTTCCTAAGAGAAAAGGAGTGACTTAATCTTATTAGTGAGTGTGGAAGGAATAAGGGGAAGCCCAGCTCTTTCTGCCCGGCTTTTGGGAGTGGGCACCCCCCCAGGAACAGGTATCAGCTGTACCTTTTGAAGGGACATACACTGTATCTGCAGGAGGCTAGTCCCACTGAGACCCTCTCTGGGACTGAGTAGTTCTGGGAATTACTCAGAATTATGAAGCCCACTTTTCCACATATAAAGCCCTATTCTCCATATCAGCTTTGTAAGCATACAGGTAATAGTTTGGTTTTCCATTTGCTTTATTATTTTTCTGTTTAACTTTTCAGTTGATTTGGAAATCAGTCTGAAAAGAAAAGCACAGTTTATAGCCCTGTGCCCTTGAGACTCCAATAGAAATATCTATTAGGAATACACAGTTATAAACTAATTCCAAAAATTTTCTTGAAGTTGTGGTTGGTCTAGTTTCGGACTTGCTTTTTTTTTTTTTGGCTCATAGAAAGATTGTGTTTAAAAACAACAATGGGCATTTCTAGAATAGCTTAAAGTGATTTATATCCACTTTTAAATTCAGAGGGCCAGATGAACACTTAATACTTTAGAATAAAAAGGTGTTGAAGGTCCTGCAAATCCCCTTCCTGATACAATGTCATTTGCTAAGCCCGGGTCATATGGACTTTAGAACTATACAATCTTTAGAACTACACTATTGCTTTAGAATTATACAATCCTATGTAGGAGAATTGCTCTCCTGTCATTTATTTGCCATATTAAAATGAAAGGTAAAATCATTACTAAATATGTCTCCCTTAAGAAAATGTCATAGAATTTTCTTATCATTCAGACCTGAAAGACAAAAAGGCCTAAAAGCCTTATTGAAGGTAACAAGAAAACATTTTTTTTTTTCTTAAACAGACCTCTAGGGGGACCAACCATTACAGTTTGCCAGGACTGGGGGTTACCTGGGATGTGAGACTTTCATTGACAAAATTGGGAGCATCTATGGCAAACTGGGACAAGTTGATCACGCTACAAGTCATACTTAGCACATCACTTCAGCTGTTCTACCCAGCAATGTCATTAACTTAAATATTGAGTTTGCTGAAAAATAGGCTCTTTGTATTGGCCATGATATAACAAGGCCTCTGTTATCATCATGATACTTGCTTACTGAGGCCTTGTGACAGTAAGATGAGGACACAGTATGTATGTGAAATTTTGACTACAGGGAATGTATTTATAGTTCTTCCTTTTCTTTAACTCATTTTTCATTTGCTTCTTTGCAGGTTTGTGATTCAGACACTATGCTTGACCCAGCCTCATCTGTGGAGATGGTAAAAGTTTTAGAAGAAGATCCCATGGTTGGAGGTGTTGGGGGAGATGTCCAGGTACATGGCTTCACTTTTTGTTTGTTTGTTTTGCATGAAATACTTTTAAGAGCACTTTTACTCATTGACTCATTGAACATACATTTATTAAACACTAACTCTGTGCCAGGTGTTGTTGTTGGTGCTTGAGACACATTAAAATGTGCCTTGGATCTGCTTCACTGCCTCTTTTCCTATGTAAATTGAAATATAATTTAGAACTTTCTTGCTTAGTCCTGGGGTATAACCCATTTCTGTAGTAGCTGATAAGTTATATGCAACTTAAAATAAATGTGTAATGATTTCCACCATATACCTTTGGGCCATAACTTAATATTTCATGTTCTGCTAAAAATTATTTCATTACAAGGATTAAGAAATAGAAGTATGAGCCGGGCGCAGTGGTTTATGCCTGTAATCCCAGCACTTTGGGAGGCCGAGGCAGGTGGATCACCTGAGGTCAGGAGTTCGAGACCAGCCTGATCAATATGGTGAAACCCCATCCCTACTAAAAATACAAAAATTAGCTGGGCGTGGTGGTGTGCGACTGTAGTCCCAGCTACTTGGGAGGCTGAGACAAGAGAATTCTTGGACCTGGGAGGTGGAGGTTGCAATGAGCCGAGATCATGCCACTGCACTTCAGCCTGGGTGATAGGGTAAGACCCAGTCTCAAAAAAAAAAAAGAAAAAGAAAAAGAAAAAAGAAATAGAAGTATGGTAAGAAATTGGTATATATCTTATACCTATATACCTAAAGGATGATCAATATGTGGTTGATTTAAAAAAAAATCTGAGTCAAAAAGGAATAATTAAAAAAAAACAGAGACTCAAGTTTATACTAGTGAGAAAGGCAAAGAATGGATAAGTGGTTTTCCAATATTGTCCATCATTTGTTATTGATGAAGAAACAATTAATGAAACAAATATCAATGGAGGTAATTTGACATTTGTGGGATGGAAAAATGTATATGTGAAAATATGTGAGGATTAATAAGATTCCCTTGCAAATAAATATGAGGTTAGATTTTAGCAAAAGGTAAGAAAGCACATGGAAAATAGACTTTAAAATTTAGATATTATCATGCTATATAACCCATTTTATATATGTAGTTTGATAGCAAAAGCAAAGAAATTACATTAGAAGGGACAAAGAAATAGCCTGGTGATTTTTAAAAAAAGGAGCTGGCAAAATTGAGACAGAGGAGAGAATGTAGAAATCTAGCCAAAAAAAGCTGATAATTTTCAATAGCCTTTATATAAAGCATTATTTCACGATTCAAATTTGCAGGAAGGCCATGGGAAACTCTCCTATTGCTGCTATTGCAAAAAAAGTGTGGATAAAGGAGAGGAAAAGTAATAGCCAAGGATAGGATCAGTTTGAAATTAACCAGCACAGGAGGAACTGGAACCTAAAAACATTCAAATCTTACGTGTTATGAAAGAGTGCCTGGGAAAAGAGTTTAGGGATTGAGATCTAAAGCCTAAAAAAAAAAAATCTCAATTTGGCCAGGCGCAGTGGGTCACGCCTGTAATCCCAGCACTTTGGGAGGCCGAGGAAGTCAGATCATCTGAGGTCAGGAGCAAGACCAGCCTGGCCAAAATGGCGAAACCCCGTCTCTACTAAAAATACAAAAATTAGCCAGGCCTGGTGGCGCGCACCTGTAGTCCCAGGTGAGGCAGGAGAATCATTTGAACCAGGAAGGCGGAGGTTGCAGTGAGCCCAAATCGCGCCACTGCACTCCAGTCTGGGTGACAGAGCGAGACTCCATCTCTAAATAAATAAATAAGTAAATATCTCAATATGATAACACAACAAACAGAATAAGAATAGCAGAAAGAGGGTAGAGGATGAAATAGAAAAAAATATTCACCATCAAAGAATCGCAACACATGCATACAGCATAACAAATAGTAACAGAATCAGAGAATCAGAGAAAACATAAAATAACCACGCCAAAAAGAGGAACGAAGCCAAAATGGGAGGATAAAATAACAAATATTACTCCAGGTAGTAACCTCAGGATGGAACAGGTTTTGCTGGAATTTTTAGCTAAAGCTTACCTATTACTTATGTTTTTCTTCTTGCAGATTTTAAACAAGTACGATTCCTGGATCTCATTCCTCAGCAGTGTAAGATATTGGATGGCTTTTAATATAGAAAGGGCCTGTCAGTCTTATTTTGGGTGTGTTCAGTGCATTAGTGGACCTCTGGGAATGTACAGAAACTCCTTGTTGCATGAGTTTGTGGAAGATTGGTACAATCAAGAATTTATGGGCAACCAATGTAGCTTTGGTGATGACAGGCATCTCACGAACCGGGTGCTGAGCCTGGGCTATGCAACAAAATACACAGCTCGATCTAAGTGCCTTACTGAAACACCTATAGAATATCTCAGATGGCTAAACCAGCAGACCCGTTGGAGCAAGTCCTACTTCCGAGAATGGCTGTACAATGCAATGTGGTTTCACAAACATCACTTGTGGATGACCTACGAAGCGATTATCACTGGATTCTTTCCTTTCTTTCTCATTGCCACAGTAATCCAGCTCTTCTACCGGGGTAAAATTTGGAACATTCTCCTCTTCTTGTTAACTGTCCAGCTAGTAGGTCTCATAAAATCATCTTTTGCCAGCTGCCTTAGAGGAAATATCGTCATGGTCTTCATGTCTCTCTACTCAGTGTTATACATGTCGAGTTTACTTCCCGCCAAGATGTTTGCAATTGCAACAATAAACAAAGCTGGGTGGGGCACATCAGGAAGGAAAACCATTGTTGTTAATTTCATAGGACTCATTCCAGTATCAGTTTGGTTTACAATCCTCCTGGGTGGTGTGATTTTCACCATTTATAAGGAGTCTAAAAGGCCATTTTCAGAATCCAAACAGACAGTTCTAATTGTTGGAACGTTGCTCTATGCATGCTATTGGGTCATGCTTTTGACGCTGTATGTAGTTCTCATCAATAAGTGTGGCAGGCGGAAGAAGGGACAACAATATGACATGGTGCTTGATGTATGATCTTCCATGTTTTGACGTTTGCAGTCACACACAACACCTTAGTTCCTCTAGGGGCTGTACAGTATTGTGGCATCAGATAATGCCACCAAAGGAGACATATCACTGCTGCTGGGACTTGAACAAAGACATTTATATGGGTTTATTTTCATTCTGCCAAAGTAAAACAATACATCAACAAGAAGAAACTCAGATTTAACCTGTTATTTCTATGAAAATGGGATGAATTCTTTGTTTATGCACTTTTTCCTTACTGTGCATCCGCCTGAAAGTGTTTTGCCCTATATACCTCACTAGCCATGCTTTATGTGGGTTATCATGGAAGAAAAGGATTTTGGAAACTCAAGGAAAAGTTCTTTCAACCTATACAACCTAACTTATGGACTGTTTTGATAGATGATAATTTTTTTTTTTTAGGAAGGATTTTCTTTTTAACTTTACCAAATGAAATGCCAAAGGAAGTTTTAAAGGCCGTTGGCTGTGCTGTATTTTGATATAATTGTACTGTGTTTTTAAATTTTGTATGCCAATCTTAAAGACAAATTTTGCATATTCTCTATTTTACTTTTCTGCCAAAATAAACCTGTTCTTCCTTTTTTAAAATAAAATAAGTTCTTAAAAAATTTATACTTAAAAAATCCTGCCCAAAATGTGAAGCTTGGTTGACTGATGTTCATGATAGAAAGAATAAAATGTTTCTCTCTCTCTACCTTTTAAAATTGAATAGTTTATTTCTGTGAAAGAAGTATTTAAACTTTCAATATTTTAACTTTTTGTTTTTATTTCTTTTAGAAAAGGCCAATATACCTATCACACTTTGGAAGTAAAAATACACACTTTCGTGTGTACCTAAAAAAAAAATCGTTGAAAATCAAGGCCAAAGGTAGTGCAATTTTTTCATTAAGATTTAAAAAAAAGGGAATGATAGTCTTTGAAAGAAAACAGTAGGCATCCAGCACTGGACAAAACATGGGTATCAAAGATGAATAATCTTTGGAGATTCTGGCAGTGTTTTCCCAGAACAAGTCAAGTGGAAAGTGGAGAAATTATCTGTATAATTTTGGACACATACAATGCAGTTTATCAAAGGTTTTGTTCTGTGGCCTGAATTTACTGGGTCCTACCTACACATTGAACATGTTTTGCCTGTCTTTTTTTTTTTTTTCAACTTGCCAGTTCACTTTACATGTTAGTATAATGTTTACACGGGTGAGTTGGATAAATTATAAAACATATAAATTCAAAATTGGCAGATAGAATCACCAAGTATCTATCCTCTTTTACTTTCAAATGAGGAATTTTGTTTTTCTGAATTACACAGATCATCACTTCCTATTTCCTGTTCTGGACCTGTATAAAAATGTCTACACAGTAGAAGTGACATCAAGGTTTAATAAGTATATCAATGATTGGCACATATAAAAATTGTTGAACCACATACTCTGAACTTGGCTAATTTAGTTACTGCAAGGCCTCCATTATCCAGTTTTATTTTTTACACGATTGACCTTGCCTTGTAGCTGGTGCTGTGTAGACCTGTGTTGAAAACACAATCGGAATATATGAATAATTGAATAAACAGCATTATGGTGAGGCAGAGACACATGGAGAAGTGTTAAAAAAAAAATGGGCTTCCTGCCTTTCTGCCTCTTTTTTATGCAGTCATCTATGTTACATCTATCCTGCCTAAGAAAAAGCTGCACATCCTACCTTCAGAGTACAAAAAGGTACATCTGAGACTCAAGACTCTCACTGATTGGAGAGCTTGTGGAAAACAAAACACACCATGCCAATAAATGAGATGAAAACTTGAGTTTGCCTTTTTAACTATTTATGTTCTAAGTTAAGCTTTGATAACATTCAAATGTCAAATTCTCTCATTCTTATAAAAAGTTGAATTAATTGCCTGTATTTATTTTAGCAATTATTCAATGTATTTCCAGTATAGGATGTATAGTATAATTAATTTTTTGTAAATAAAATATTTTTGATAAGATTATTGCCTTTTTTTCTAAGGGAAGGGGGAACTTTGTTTTCCTGATTATAATGGTATGAATTTAGGAAGGGGGGGTTTTAAAAAAAATGATGGTTGGTAAAAAAGAATATGTCATTTAATGTTACTTATTATTAGGTAGAAATCCCTAAAACTGGTGTGGTTTGAAAATCTGGAAAACCACAGAGAGAGGAGAGAGACTGCTTAATTATCATTACCCTTGTCTATAATCTTTTTCTTCTGCTTCCCTTGAAAGCAGCACAAATTTAGACAATTTTTTAAATTATAGTAACTTATAGCAGGAAAAAAAATCAAAGATATGCAGAAATATGATAAGCAAGCTTGTTTATTTCAGCATTATTCAGAAATAATAAAACCTTAACCTAAAATCAAATGATGAGGGCAATAATTAAATAAATCATGGCATTTCTAAAAAATGGGACATCATTAGCTATTGAACACAATGTTCTCAGAGAACACGTGGATTTTGGAGAAATGTCACATTAAAAAAATAACCATTTTGTACAGTAACATCCCAATTTTATAAAAGTGAAGATGTTTAAACATGATTATCTCTAATACTGGGAATGACTGATTTATATTCTGTATATGTTTTTGTATTTTCCAAATACTATAAATATGTTTTTATAATCAGGAAAAAAAAGACAATAAATATCATCTTTTTAAAAAGTGGGTTGGGACATCTAACAGCATTTTCTGATTAGAGGAACTTTGATAGTAATTATCTCATTTTACCTCTTATCCCTCAAATTCATCTTATTTCCCAGTTCTTTTGTGTTATCTGTTTTCTAAGAATCCTTCATTACTTTTGTACTGCTACATTATAAACTATAGCCACTGAACATTATTGTCAGATAATCCAGAAATATTGATGGTTCTAAACTTAATAATTCACTGATGAAGTCACTTGGTGACAGTCTTTTAATGTAAAGAGCCTTAAAGTATACATTTTAGGACTGGGCATGGTAACACACGCCTGTAACTCCAGCAGTGTGGGAGGATTGCTTGAGGCCAGGATTTTGAGACTAGCCTGGGCAACATGGCAGGACCCAGTCTCTACAAACAATTTTTTTTTTTAATTAGCCAGGTGTGGGCGTTGCCTGTGGTCCCAGCTACTCAGAAGGCTGAAGTGGGAGGATTGCTTTAGCCCCAGAGGTCGAGGAGGCTACAGTGAGCTGTGTTTGCAGTACTGCACTGCAGTCTCGGCAACAAGAATGAGAACTTATCTCAAAAACAAAACAAAACAAAACAAAACAAAAAAAACCCCCACAAAACTATTCTTAATTCACCAGCATTACCAAAACAGGCAACAAGCCAGATATATCCTGCAGCCCATAGTTAATGACCCCTGCTCTTTAGAAATCTGTGGACTTATCTGTACCATTAAGTACTCACACTGACACCTAATTTTTGAGCACATACTATGTTTTAGGCACTACCAGAAGCATGCTTTATAGATTAGTTATTATGTCAGTCCCAAGAAGTTCCATTATTATTACCATTTTAAGCGAGGAAGCTGAGTGAAGTTTAAAGAAATTTGGTAACTTAATATTATAAAGCCAGTACATTGTAGTGGTGGAATTTAGGTCCAGACATTATGACATCAAGCTTGCCCCTTCAACTAATGCTACTCAGTATTTCATCCACTGTCCGGCAGCATCAGCAGCATGTGGGAATTTATTAGAAATGCAAGTTCGTAGCTTTACCCCAGGCCTACTGAATCAAATTCTCTGGAGAATCTGTTTAATAAGATTCCCATCCAGGTGACTTTTAAACACATTAAAGTTTGAGAAGCATTGCCCTAATCTAGTATCTTATATTGTTCCCTTCAAACCGCATATCATTTCGAAGATAGTTATTCATTCAAATATTGTATTCTCCCATTGAACTTTTCTACTTTAATATAATTTATGGGTGTTGGCAGATATCTGGTTTTAACTAAGTTTATTAAGTACCTGTTATAGGCTGGGCACTGTGGCTCACGCCTGCAATCCCAGCACTTTGGGAGGCCGAGGTGGGTGGATCACTTGAGGTCAGGAGTTCGAGACCAGCCTGGCCAACATGGTGAAACCCCGTCTCTACTAAATATGCAAAAATTAGCCGGGCATGGGGACTTATGCCTGTAATCCCAGCTACTCTGGAGGCTGAGGCGCGAGAATCACTTGAACCCGGGAGGTGGAGGTTGCAATGAGTGGACATCATGCCACTGCACTCCAAACTAGGCAACAGAGTGAGACTCTGTCTCAAAAAAAGAAAAAAGTTCCTGTCACGGGCAAGAAATGAAGTGGTGTACACTGTGTCTATACTCAAAGAGCTTACAATTGAGTAAGAGGGATATTTACACTGTAAGTAAGAGGGTAATTACACTGGGATTTGATGTGAAATAGAATAATACTCTTTATACAGAGTGGCATGGGATGTAAAAAGAAGAAGGTGAACATGTACAATTAGCCTCATAACGGCAGGTTTTAAGATAGCCTGGTATTTAGGTTGATTCTTTAAAGACGTGCAAACTTGGATGGGAATTAATGATTTTTCAGGTAAAAGAACATGAATACAGCGATAGTGGTGTGCTTTTAATATGTTGTCCTTTAAACAGAATTAACATTTAATTAAAGTGGAAGTTGTAGTTAACCAAGAGTGGGACATGACTATAGATAGTAAATTTGAAGGCCGGGCATGGTGGCTCACGCCTGTAATCCCAGCACTTTGGGAGGCCGAGGCAGGCGGATCACCTTAGGTCAGGAGTTCGAGACCAGCTTGGCCAACACGGCGAAACTCCGTCTCTACTAAAAATACAAAAATTAGCCGGGCGTGGTGGCACATGCCTGTAGTCCCAGCTACTCAGGATGCTGAAGCCAGAGAATTGCTTGAACCCAGGAGGTGGAGGTTGCAGTGAGCCGAGTTCACGCCATTGCACTCCAGCCTGGGCAACAGAGCAAGACTGTCTCAAAAAAAAAAAAAAAAAAAAAAACAAGTAAATTTGAAGATGGACGATAGAAGACCATAACACAACTGGGAGAAATACTAGAATGAGATATTTACATTACTTTTGATAGATGACACACCCATGGAATTTTTGGACAGGGTTCTAACATTGTCATAAAATAAGGCACTTTATGATGTTTGGTTTCAAAGATCTCACAGAAACAATTGTGTTTATAATTACGATTTGGCCTGAGCATGCTTGTAATAAACTGGTATTTCTCTCCCAGGCACCTGACCACATTCATTGTATTTCTTCCAAGGCTGCCTCTTGCTTTACATTCTCAGGTCATCGCCTCTTGCCAATTACCCAAGCACTCTCTTCAGCTTTGTTTTGGTATAAGAAGCCCGCAACCAGCTAGTTATTATAGTCATTTGATCCCACCTTTGCCATGTCATTCAAATTCATCTCTCATCCTTGTTAAGACTTTTTAAATCTCTTACCTGAACTGTTGAAAATACCTCCTGATGGCTGGGCGCAGTGGCTCTCGCCTGTAATACCAACACTTTGGGAGGCCGAGGCGAGCAGATCACCTGAGCTCAGGAGTTCGAGACAAGCCTGGCCAACATGGCAAAAACCCGTCTCTACTAAAAATACAAAAATTACCTGGGCATGGTGGCATATGCCTGTAGTCCCAGCTACTGGGGAGGCTGAGGCAGGAGAATCGCTTGAACCAGGGAGGCAGAGGTTGCAGTGAGCCAAGATCACGCCACTGCACTCCAGCCTGGCACAGAGTGAGACTCTGTCTAAAAAAAAAAAAAAGAAAAAGAAAATACCTCCTGACTACCTTTCTATTCTCCATTTCTGTTTCATCCAATGGATTCTTTGCATTTCTGTTAAAATTATCATTCTAAGGCCCAATTCTGAATACAAAGATTTAACTTCACCTCATTGTCAACAAAAGCATTAAATATGTAAGAAATTATTCAAGACTGATGATTATCTATTTTCTCCCTTGCAGTCCTTTACTCCTATTTTTCATGTCCTACTAAACTAGATTTTTTTGCTCCCTCTTGAACACACTTTGCCCTTCTCCTCTGTTAGCATTTGCTCTCAATTTTAAATGGCTTTTCACCTTTGCCCTTCTCTTTTATCTTTGTGAGAGGGTATTTGCTCTCAATTTTAAATGGCTTTTCACTGTTCCCCCATTCTTATACCTACTTGTCAAAATTCTTCCATATTCTTCATTTTACTAGCATATCCTTTACCCAATACCTCAATTTAAAATGATTTATTTACCTTCACTCTTAGTGTTCTATTTTTATCTCTGTCATGCAGTCCAGACTTTCTTCTGTCTTGTTTTATGAATATTAGTGCACATGATAACAACCTGGTGGACGAAAAGGTTTCTGAGGCTAAGTCTATGTCTTTATCATTTTTGAATCCTCCATGGTAACTAGCATAGTCAGGTGTTCAATAAAATTAGGTTAATAGGCCAGGCGGTGGTTCACGCCTGTAATCCCAGCACTTTGGGAGGCTGAGGCGGGCAGATCACTTGAGGTCAGGAGTTCAAGACCAGCCTGGCCAATCTGGTGAAACCCCATCTCTACTAAAAATACAAAAAAAATAAATTAGCTGGGTGTGGTGGCGGGCTCCTGTAATCCCAGTTACTTGAGAGGCTGAGGCAGGAAAATGGCTTGAACCCAGGAGGCGGAGGTTGCAGTGAGCCAAGATCGTGCCACTGTACTCCAGCTTGGGTGACAGTCTCAAAAAAAAAAATGGTCAATAAGTAAATGAACACATGAAGGAACCAGGAAGGATGGATGGACCCAAGTAATAAATATTCTTTTAGGAAAGTTGGTAGTATTCCAGGCATTTGGCTGCAGGATAAGCAGAAATCAGAAATAAGATATCAGAAATAAGATATCAGATATCAGAATTAACAAATTTAATTAAAGTGGAGGTTGTAGTTAACCAAGAGTGGGACATGACTACAGACAGTAAATTTGAAGGCTGGGCATGGTGGCTCATGCCTGTAATCCCAGCACTTTGGGAGGCCGAGGCAGGCGAATCACCTGAGGTCAGGAGTTCAAGACCAGCTTGGCATAAGAAATATAGTCATGTAAGTGTGGGGATTTCTGTATGTGATGGGCCTTTCTTGTAGATTCATAAAGCTCATCAGCACATTAAAAGTTATCAGAAATAAGAAATTACACTTTCCTTCAAAAAGTTACTTAAAGGAACTCAAAGTAAGCCATGCTCTTACTTTACTGTGGTCGTTTCCAGAAGCTCTTCCTGACCCCACTTCCTCCCACTGCCACCTTTGTGTAGTGAATTCCTATCTACCCTTCAGCCTCAGCTCAATCCTCATTTCCTCGGGGAAGTCTTCCATGACTTCCATTGCCAGGTTTGTTTCTCTATTATATTCTCTTATGAAATTTCTTAGTGCTTATTTTTTAGTTTTGTTTCTATGACTCCTTGTTCTATGACTCCTTTGTTTCTATGACTCCTTGTTCAACATCTGTCTCTTTCAGTAAAGGATAAGCTGGATGATGAAAGGAACTGTGTGAGGCCGGGCACAGTGGCTCACGCCTGTAATCCCAGCACTTTGGGAGGCCGAGGTGGTGGATCACGAGGTCAGGAGATTGAGACCATCCTGGCTAACATGGTGAAACCCCATCTCTACCAAAAATACAAAAAAATTAGCTAGGTGTGGTGGCAGGTGCCTGTAGCCCCAGCTATTTGATAGGCCAAGGCAGGAGAATGGCATGAACCTGGGAGGTGGAGCTTGCAGTGAGCTGAGATCGCGCCACGGCACTCCAGCCTGGGCAACACAGCGAGACTCCATCTCCAAAAAAAAAAAAAAAAGAAAGAAAGAAAGAAAGGAACTGTGTAAAATCGTATCAGCATTGCATGCTCTGATCTGAGCACATAGTGTGTCACAGATTAGGAACTCAAAATAAATTTGTGAACAGAATAAAAGCATGAGGGAATAAAACTCCCAATACAGGTTGGGAAACGCCCACAGAGTCAGAGTTATTTTTTCTTTTAAGTCAAAATCTTAGCTTTTTAGCTATAAGGAACTCCTTCATCCCTCGGTCGACTTATAACTTACGATATGAAGAGAGGCTAGAGACAGAAATACATCAGTGTTGGAAAAGAAAAAAGTATGGGCAGGAGGCTGTTCTTCAGTTGTGAGAAAGGTGAAGTAGTAGAGTTCACTAGAATTTCTATAATGAGGATGCACAGATTCCCCCCACTCCAAAAATTGTTTTTTTAACTTACTAATTTAAATGCTAAGTGCTACATTTCCTATATTGTTTAATGGTTCATGTTTTTCTTTGACGTAATTTGGACAAGTACTGTTGACACATGTTCTCATATTATTTGGTTTCCTGGAATACCTAGCCTTCTCATTGAACAAAGGCATTTCTGATACAATGTTTTACCTTCAAATCATAAAATACTAATGTGTATTTTATATGCTATTAAGCTGTATTACAATGCAGTACATCTGAAGCTTTTCTTATACGTGCATATCATATACATTCATGAAATCATCTCTCTACATAGCTAACTCTACCTTGTCATTTATGACTCAATTTGATATCATTTTCACCAGAAGTCTCCCCTGACCCCCCGTCCCACCTGTATTGCATAGCATGTTTTCTTTACCCCGGTGATCTCTCTTCCACATGTAACATGGTGTGATCATCATCTTGTCCTAGATCCTGGTCTCCCCCACACCTAGCATAGGAGCTCCCCAAAAGCAGGAGTTCAGTAATCATGGGTTGGATCATGTTATTTGTTTCCATAGGAAAAAAAATTATTTACACTACAAGTGTATGCATATAAATATATATCCTTACTTTATATGATTTCATTCATTCATGCACTTATTTGATCTTCAACAAATATTTGTTAGGTGTCTACTATATACTAGGTTTTGCGCTTGGAAAAGGAAAAACTGTTGCTTCAGTCAGTGCTTGCAACATCAGTGCTCCAAGATATTGAAAGATCATTCATTAATTAAAAGAGTTCTAATCTCAGGCATGTTTAAGAAACACCACATTTTTAAAATTTTATTATTATACTTTAAGTTCTAGGATACATGTCCACAACGTGCAGGTTTGTTATATATGTATACATGTGCCATGTTGGTGTGCTGCACCCGTTAACTCATCATTTACATTAGGTATATCTCCTAATGCTATCTCTCCCAAGAAACGCCATATTTCTTCGCTGTATAAATTCTCAGAAACTTTTAATATGCTGATGAGCTTTATGAATCTACAAGAAAGGCCCATCACATACAGAAATCCCCACACTTACATGACTATGATACTCTTTCCACCGGGATGTTGGTTAACATCTGGATTAACATTATTATTCTGCAGAACATAGTTCAGGCGACACTGGCATATATTTTCTGACATCACAAGTTGAATTTGTTTTCTTTCTTTATTATACTTTAAGTTCTAGGGTACATGTGCACAACTTGCAGGTTTGTTACATATGCATACATGTGCCATGTTGGTGTGCTGCACCCATTAACTCGTCATTTACATTAGGTATATCTCCTAATGCTATCCCTCCCTGCCCCCGCTACCCTATGACAGGCCCCAGTGTGTGATGTTCCCCTTCCTGTGTCCAAATGTTCTCATGATAGACTGGATTAAGAAAAGTTTGTTTTCACTCAGAGCTTAACCTCCTACTTATTTGGGTAATCAGCTCCAGGTGTGGGGACCACAGGGTTAAGAGACAGAAACCTTCAGGTTCATTTGGCTTAGCCTACCAGCTACAGAAACAGGCTCTTCTCTAAAGAGTTCAACGTACCCACCTGTTGTCAGAAAGCTCTCCACACTATAGCTTAGGCAAATCTAAGTGATTTCTTTCAATTCTGCTTTTCAGGGCAACAAGGAGTTTAATCCTTTTATGTTGGGAAAATGTACAATTAGTGGGTTAGCTAGTCTTTGAAACAACTCTCGCAATATATGAGAGCACTGACGGAAAAGAAGCACTATTGCTTTATAAACCAAGGGAAAATTTGCTTTTTATTCTCTGTCTTAGATTGTGTTGATTGTTGAGTAACAAAATCAAATACAATCTTTTTTTTTTTTTAACGAGGTGAGGCTAGAATCACAGTATATATGCCTTACTCTCAGAATGAACAGAGGCACTGGTATGTCATATAAGTAAACAATTAGTCTCTCCAGACAACATGTAATGTGTCTCTAATTTAAAAAAAAATAGATGCAAGTATTACAAAAATAAAAATCCTGGAAAAAGGATCTTTGGGAATCAAAAATGAATGGCTGTTTTATGAAGCTATTAGTGGAATCATCGTAGGTGGATAACTTAAAAGCCATTTGGTCCAATTCAGCTGCTTCAAAGGTTTCAGGAATGAAGCAAGGTATAAAGAGAGAGAGTGGAAAAAGTAAGTACACTGCAAGTATCTTAAGTAAGTACACTGCAATCCATTTGATTTTTAGCTCCTGGGTTCTAACTTCACTACGGGTTACATACCCTGGAGCCAGCATCTGGCTCTCTTTCATCCAGATAAGTGTTTGAGGCCTGCTTTATAATGCAGAAAACCTCTAATTTGCAATTTCTGGGCAGCTTCTCTAATCTTAAACCTGACATATAGAGGCTATGCTTAAATCCATTCCCTTCAAAAGGAGTTGTAAATTATAAGCTTTCAGGATTACAGGTCTTTGATATTTAGATTTTAAATATAAGGCCACTCTGAGTAGTACAGTACAGTACCTGAAATATTCAGCTCCATTAGGAAATATCATAACATATAAAAAAAAGTGGAGATTCTAAAGTTCTTGCTCCAAAACAAATTGCTGCCATATTACCCATTTTGGAAGTGTATAAGGCCAGACAAGTTTGGAGCTCTGACTCACTGTATACTTGGGCTTTGGTTGCAGATTGACTTGCATTCAAACTGCTGCTCTGCTGTTTTTCAGTTGTATAAACTTGAGAAAACTACACCACCACTTTGAGCCTTAGTTTATCTGAATAATAAAGGAAATGACACTCATCTTTCAGAGTTATTGTGTAATCAAAATATCCTATGAAAAATACATAGGAAAAATACTTACCATGTCATAGGAGTTTAATAAAATTTTACTTTTTCCTTCTCTCATAAACAACTAACTTCATTAATATTCCTTTCTTCCTATGCTTTCTTTACTCATCAAAACACCACACTGAGGGCTTGGATATATAACTCAAATACTAAGCAATTTGACCTCTCAAAACTGATTTTTTTTTTTTTTTTGAGACAGAGTCTTACTCTGTCGCCAGGGATGGAGTGCAGTGGTGTGATCTCAGCTCACTGCAGCCTCTGCCTCCCGGGTTCAAGAGATTCTCCTGCCTCAGCCTCCCGAGTAGCTGAGATTACAGGTTCCCGCCACTATGCCCAGCTAATTTTTTGTATTTTTTGTAGAGACGGGGTTTCACCATGTTGGCCAGGCTGGTCTCGAACTCCTGACCTTGTGATCTGCCCACCTCAGCCTCCCAAAGTGCTGGGATTACAGGCATGAGCCACCGTGCCCATGCCTCAAAACTGCATGTTAAGTCACCCATTTCTAGGCTTCTATACAGTTTTTTTTTTTTTTTCTCAGCATAGGTGGCCACCCTCTTCAGACACAGAACTGTTAAACTCATGTAATTGTCTAGTATCTTCTGACATCCAGAATAACACTTAATACAGAAAATTTTACATCTGATAAAATAAGCACTTTGGAATGTCTAAAATATGGTAGGTGGGTCAGTAGGAAAAGCATGATGTTGGCATTAGTTGAATTTCAGTCCTGGCTTCACTGGGTTCTGGTTGACTCTTGGTGAATATCTCAATTTCTCAATTTGAAAAGTATAAGAGGTCCCCTGCTACAAACCTCATAGGGAGTCTATTGAGACTAAATAATAATATTAGTAATAATAATAGAAGGAAAAGGCCATTGAGAATTCAGAAAAACTCTGCACATTTGAGTTATGATGATTTGTTCTGAGCATTAGGACACATCAAGATTTTTACCTTACGAAGGTCAGATAAGGGCCTGAGTCCTGGTGGACTCTTCTCTTCATCACTTTCACCATGCTCAGACAAGCCACCAGCATCTTGTTTGTATTGTCAGACATCTATCCTTTCTCCCACTCTTGCACCTTTCTAACAGCCAGGGTGAGAGCATCTGACTCACCTGCTTAGAAGCCTTCAAACATCTTATCTTAGAATACCATATTCCACAAGGTCCAACATGATCTGCCTTCTGTATGTTTCCATGACTTCCTGTTGCACCTCTCTCCTTCTTCCTTATTACATTACACACTGGCATCCTTTCTGTTCCTCAGCCAAGACAAGCTTGTTCCCGCTTCAGGGGCCATTAACCATGGCTATGTATTTGCCTAAAGGGCTCTTCTCCAAGAACATAGCATGGTTGATTTCTTCTTGTTATTGAGCTCACCTCTTCAGAGAGTTATTTCCTGGCCATGCAGTCTAAAGTGACATCCTGTCCCCCACTCACTTTCTACCATATCATCATATTATTTTTCTCAAAGCATTGCTGTTGGAAATTAGTATATTTATTTATTTGTTTGCTTGATTATTGTCTCTTTGAGCACCCAGAGTATAAAATTCAGAGAACAGGGACATCTCAAAGAGCTCCAGAACATTGTTTGACATAAAGAAAATACTAATTGAATATGGCTGAATATATGCAGGTATAAAATATTGGTGCCAAATACCTCACTTTGATAAGCCTTGTTTCTGCTTACCTCAAATTGAATCATAAGACAGGCCACAGAGGACATCAAGGGTTTAAAGAATGGCTTATTTGTTATTTTAAAGTAGAAAAAGGAAGGCTTTTTTTCCCTTTCCCCGATATTCATTTCCACAAATTAACAATTTACCCTACAAGTTAGACCCAAGTATAATAAATACTTAAAAATGTATGGCTTAGTTATGTACAGACTGTGGAACTGGAGCTTTATCTGTTCTTTTTTAAAAATGTTTTAATCAATACTACATGAATGTTTATTTAAGCTCACACCCAGGATTTTAAATGTTGTAACTCTCTTTGATATCTGATAATATTTTTCAAGTTTGAGTATCTGGTGTGGAGAAGATACTGTAAGGAAAAGAAATACACTAATTTCGGGCCGGGTGCAGTGGCTCATGCCTGTAATCCCAGCACTTTGGGAAGCCAAAGCGGGAGGATCGCCTGAGGTCGGGAGTTTGAGACCAGTGTGACCAAAATGGAGAAACTCCGTCTCTACTAAAAATACAAAAAAATTAGCCAGGCGTGGTGGCACATGCTTGTAGTCCTAGCTACTCGGGAGGCTGAGGCAGGAGAATTGCTTGAACCTGGGAGGCGGAGGTTGCCATGAGCCAAGATCACGCCATTGCACTCCAGCCTGGGCAATAAGAGAGAAACTCTGTCTCAAAAAAAAAAAAAAAAAAAAGAAAAGAAATACACTAATTCTCTGTGTACTGATGGCCACAGTTACTGCTTGCTCATTTTTAAGCACTACCCGGGAGAAGTCCCACATCACTTTGCCAGTAATCTAGGCACCGGATGGTGATTTGTAGCCAGCAATAACCTTTTCTAAGTAGAATTTTGGCAGAAGGAACATAGAGATTAGCAAGTACAAAGAGAGCTGAGAACTTCCATTGACCTTCCAGGACCATGACGGAGGTTGCTTATGTTGCTATGACCCCCTTAGATGGCCAATTTCCAAACTGTTCAGAACATGACTTCTGGGCATATAGAGCTCATATCTCACTATATGGATAGAAGCCCAGCCTAAACAAGGTCTTATTAAGAAAGTGTCTCCACAGAAATTATAGTATCTGGCAAGGGACAAATCCAATGATGCCATAGGTATTTTCCATCTTTCCTTCCCATGCTTGAGTCATTTCCTTTCTAGAGCAGATAAAGGATAGTCTACAGACTGTGACTGGGTGAGAATCTATGTGTAAAGGTTAAAATATTTCTCCAGAATTGATCTAACCCAGCTGAGCTTCTGAAGTCAGATAAATACGGGTCCTCACAACTATAGCTTTATTCCCTCTTCCCTTCTACCATTGTGAATAAGAAAATAATTTATTTTTTTTCACTCTAAACCCACTGATAAAACAAATTAGTTTTTTTTTTTTTTTTTCTGTTTAAGTCAACAGATGTGAATGGTAGAGTGAAGGGAGGCTTAGATTTGGAGTAAACATTAGCTAGCAGCTGATCACTCTAATCCAAGCACTTCCTACTCAGGTGATTTGGTGATTTTGGTTAATTCATTTATTTAAGCTTCACTCACCTTATCTCATTGTCCTACAAAGCCCAGGTGAAACATCAACCTCTCCTGAGAAGCTTTTCTGGTGGTCACTAAGAGTCAGTAACTCCATTCTTTATTTCCAAACATCACTTGTATTTTCCAGTAATGCATTTAATACATTATATTTAATTATTCAAAACTTTCTCATGTTCCCTCTCTGATAGACTGTGATCTGCTCAACGCGGAAGTCTATGTCTTATTCATCTTTGTAAACATACTTTATCAACATGAAATGCTTTTTCACGGAGTGAAGGCTATATTTGTTGATCAAGTGAACGAGTGAGTGATCTTATCATTTATGATGGATTAGCAAAAAAATAGAAAAATGCTAAGTCAATAACAAGTAAATATCAAGTAGGTTGGGTGACTGCCAAATGACAAGCAATTTTAAATATATGATTTCATTTAATCCCGTCAAGCTTGTAAGTTAAGTATAAATAACCTCATTTTAAGATGAAGGAATTGACATTTGGAAGTATTAGATTTTCCCAAAGTCCATTAACACATAAAGGCAGAATTCAAAAAAGATTTATTCTTTTCATTCTGGCACTTTTTCCAATCTCCCATAACCATCTTTACAAATGCTTTCTTCAGGCCTGGAGTGGTGGCTCACACCTGTAATCCCAGCACTTTGGGAGGCCGAGGCGGGCGGATCACCTGAGGTCAGGAGTTTGAAACCAGCCTGGCCAACATGGAAAAACCCTGCCTCTACTAAAAATACAAACATTAGCTGGGTGCTGTGGTGGGTGCCTATTATCCCAGCTACTTAGGAGGCTGACGCAGGAGAATCTCTTGAACCCGGGAGGCAGAGGTTGCAGTGAGCCGAGATCGCACCACTGCACAGCCTGGGCAACAGAGCGAGACTCCATCTCAAAAAAAACAAACAGACAAACAAACAACCCCCCCCCACACACACACCAAAAAACAAATGCTTTCTTCAATAAATGCTACTAGCATTAAATTAAATCATATCTCAAAAAACACATTTTTACAGGGTATTAAAATAATGAAATTCATTTATGTTACTTTTCAATTATCAAACAACATACAGATCTATATATCTAACAATACGTGGCTTGGAAAATCTAAAAGTCTGCTGATGCATCTAAGATTAGTGTGGTTAAACACACTGGCTTTGAGCCAAGAGATGAATTATGATCCCAACTCTGCCATTTGTAAGATGTGAGACCCTGAGCAAGTTATGTAGGCTCAATGAGACTGATTTTCCTCGTCTTTAAGTAATTTATTTCTTGAATGCAACAGAGCAAAACTGACCAACCAAGGCAGAGAAGGGTTGTACTGAAGAGCAGAGATCAGAGAACCAGGCAGGAATATAAGAGGGTTGGAAATACTGTAGCTGTGGGTAATTAAAAGAGGATTCGTGTTCTGATTTGGGGGCTTTCCCATGTCTGCCGCCTACAGTGAATGAGCTTCAGCTGTGCTTCTGTCTTTGCGCTGTTCTGCACTCCTGATTCAAATTCTCACAAGGGAGATTCTGATTGGTTCAGCTTAGGTCACGTGCCCAACTTTTGCCTAAGGGAGGGCAGGACTCTTTAATAGCCATTGCTGTTAATTCTGTATACAGTAAAAAGGAGACAATTCTCCAAAAGGTAATAGGAGTCCTCTTACCAAAAAAAAAAGCTTTCAAAAAATGGGAGTCTCAAAACAACGAACATCTATAAAAAACTCCCTCACAGGATTAGTG
This sequence comes from Homo sapiens, assembly GCF_000001405.40. Classification (NCBI taxonomy): domain Eukaryota; kingdom Metazoa; phylum Chordata; class Mammalia; order Primates; family Hominidae; genus Homo; species Homo sapiens. The sequence continues at coordinate 121,598,130 of NC_000008.11, read as the reverse complement.
TGAAGATTAAGTGTGTTTTAGAAGATGTACGACAGTGTTGGCTAATAGTAAGTATTCGCAATTGTCTAATTTTTTAAATATTATGAATAGAAATATCTTTATTTTAGATAAATAATATATAGCACACTGATTGGAGCAGAATGCCTATGTGTGAAATTTGGTTGTTTCACCTACGGCCTGTGTTATCACTGGCAAGCTAAGTAAGCTCTCTGCTGCACTTTCTGCATTTGTCAAAGGTACCATAAAAGTATTAGTTTCAAGGATAATGAAGGTTATTTTAAGGGTCTATTGTGTAGAATAAATTTTTCCAAAACGTAGAGGCTTAAAACAAAAACAATTTATTCTTTCTCACAACAAATCAAGCCAAGTCTTGATCACAGTGATTTCTTAGCCAGGCGTCATCAGCATCATTTCTCTCTCTCCCCTCTCTGTGCTCTTTCCAGCAGAGTAGCTGAGTCGGAAAAAAACTATCCAAACTGTGTTTTTCCTCTGCTCTTACACCACAACAATCAACACAGTAGACTTCTGTGAACAAATGTGTGGAGGTTTTCCCACACACACCAAGCAGCGGACACCAGCTGGTGTTCTCTCATTCTTTCCAACACTTACCTACCTAGAGATAGTGTCAGATCCGACAGGTGGAAGACTCAGTCCCCAAGACTGCCCCCCCTCCCCCGACACCTGTCAAAATCCAGGCCTCCAGAACTTCTGACCTACCAGCTTTGAGTTGGGGTTCTCATGCCCCCCTCCCCTCTTTAGGTTCTATTAATTTGCTGGAGCAGCCCACAGAACTCAGGGAAACAATTATGTTGATCAGTGCATTACAAAGGATATCATAAAGGCTACAGATAAAGAGATATGTAGGGTGAGGTATGAGGGAAGGAGCACAGAGCTGCCACGCCCTCCCTGGATACCAGCCTCCAGAAACCTCCATGTGCTCAGCTATCCAGATGCTCTCTGAATCCAGGCTTTTTGGATTTTTTTGTTTTGTTTTGTGTTTTGAGATGGAGTCTCACTCTGTCGCCCAGGCTGGAGTGCAGTGGCGCAATCTCGGCTCACTGCAACCTCCGCCTCCTGGGTTCAAGGGATTCTCCTGGCTCAGCCTCCCGAGTAGCTGGGATTACAGGTGCCTGCCGCCGCACCTGGCTAATTTTTGTAGTTTTAGTAGAGACGAGGTTTCACCATCTTGGCCAGGCTGGTCTTGAACTCCTGACCTCGTGATCCACCCGCCTTGGTCTCCTAAAGTGCTGGGATTACAGACATGAGCCACCATGCCCAGCCATCTTCTTGGATTTTTAAGGAAATTTCATGATGTCAGCGTTCCTTCCTCCAGTGTATAGGGCGGGACTCTCTCTAGAGAGGGTCCTAAGATCCATACTCAGAAAAGTGGGAGAAGATTAGAGTCCTGTCTTGGGGCAGGTAAAAGGAAAATAGAGGAAGGTCAGAGTAATCCTGTTTTTTGAGGCCTAAGACACCCAACATTATAACAAAAGAACGTAACAAGGGCTGTGGGAGTTATGAGCCAGGAACTGTGGACAAAAACCTACAAATATATAATAACACCACAGTAGCCAAACTTCTTTACAGGGTAGCTTTGAGGGACTCTCAGAGGGGGACAGAAAATTTTAAGAGAAAAAGACCTAGTGCACAAGCAATTATTGAGCCTCTGAGTGTCTCAGGCTTGCTCCTGTACAGCTAACCAAATAAATTAATATGACCAAGTTCAGAATTGATGTGCAAGGACTACACACAGGATATGCATAGTTTAGGGTACAATAGTTCATTGACATGTTCAACAGTCTACCACAATAATTACATGAGATTTGTAAACAGCACTCAGTAAATGTTAGCTAGTGGCCCGAACCCTTTATTTTACAAAAGAGCAAAAAATAAAGATTTGTTACTGTTGTTAAATATTTTAAATAAAATTTAGTCAAGTCTTGATCATAGGGATTTCTCGGCTGTGTTTTTCTTTTTCTTTTCTTTTTTTTTGAGGATGGAGTTTTGCTCTGTAGCCCAGGCTGGAGTGCAGTGACGCCATCTAGGCTCACTGCAACCTCCACCTCCTGGGTTCAAGCTATTCTCTGCCTTAGCCTCCCGAGTAGCTGGGATTACAGGTGCCCACCACCACGCCTGGCTAATTTTTTGTATTTTTAGTAGAGATGGGGTTTCACGGTCTTGGCCAGGCTGATCTTGAACTCCTGACCTCGTGATCCACCCGCCTCGGCCTCCCAAAGTGCTGGGATTACAGGCGTGAGCCACTGCGCCCAGCCTCTTGGCTGTGTTTTTCTATTGAGTGCCCAAATTCACAATATTCTCCCTTGTTGGTTAAGGGATCTGTGCGTTTTAGACAGCAGACATTTAAATGGCAAGGCTAACGTTTTATAAGACTGTTACTTCAACAATTTCACTTCCGTAAGAAAACAAGCTGCAGGAGACACACTGTAGGGCCAAAAGGTTTCTCATTTAATGTGCTGTAGATCTGTTCAAAGATGTGAATGGCAATTAGACTGAGATTTGAAGTTTCACTTTACAAAGAACTAAAAGGATGTTTGGGGGCTGAATAATCTTAAGAGCAGGTGTTTACAATCATTCATTTGGATCATGAAAGAACCTCAGTGAGGAGCTTTGCTGGAGCTTTGAAATGCATCCTAATGAGTGAGGATGACAAATCCGGAAACTTACTCCCCTGTTGAGTTGATCTGAGCTGGGATTATTTAATATTGCTCATTCGCCATGTTTTCCAAATATGATTATTTTCAGTGTCAGATGTCTTAGTATTACTTTAGACTATAATTAGCTAGCAAATTTAATCCCTTTTGAATGTCTGGCACACAGTAGTGCTCCATGAATATTACGTTCCTTCTGTATCTCGACCCCAGCATATTATCAGAATTCCTTTGGTTTCAAGTTAGAGGAAACAAAGCACAAATAATTTATATAAAGAGAGTGTTGTGTAAATGCACCTGATAGCAGTAGCTTGAGCATACCCTGAAAATGATGCTGTATGGCAGAGGCATTTGAATGTGTGTTCTGAGCTAGGGAATCCAGGCGTGGCCAACCTGAGGATTCGATTCATTCCTTGTCCATGAGGAACATCTGAGCTCCTGTTTCTTCTTGTGGAACATGGGCCATACAGTGGATTGGGGCCCTGAGTTCTGGGATGCGTGAAGGTTGCCAGGTGGAGGTTGTTAAAGGGAGGGTGTCAAGTGAAAATACTATATAAACTGCATGCTGTTTGCAAGTGATTGCAGTTTCCCTGCCCAGCCTGCCGCCACTGGGCCATGCGATTATATCATCCAGCCTGCCACCACTGATCTGTAGGGAGGCAGATATGCGGTCCAGCCTGTGGCCAGTAGACAATTTCTGTGCATAAGGTGGTTCTCCTGTCCAGCTGCTGCCACTGGACTCTCTTTTCTGTATGTAAGCCCCTAATTAAACCCTATGTCTTGTTTGCTGGCTCTGCACCTCTTCTTTGGCCTGTTCAACCTGATGCCTTTCCTATTGAGGTTAATAGGACTTCAGCACAACAGAGGGAAATTTAAAGACATTGAAGAAGAAAGTGTGATTGGCCCACCTCAGCTCAATAACCCTCCCCATCCCCATCTGAGCAGATGTAGCCTATGATGTAGGAATACCCTCTTCTCCATGGGGGAGCAGAATCTATTATAGAAGATGAGGTAGGATGAGCAGACAATTGCATATATGTCAATTTCACATATTATCACAGACTCTATGGGTAAACCCACAGTCAGAAAAAAAAAGAACAAGAGTCTCTTGGTAAAGCAGTGCGTGTGACATCTAGAAAGCCAATTCCCTCTGTCTTCTGTTAATTCTACTCCTTACAGCACTCTAGCCCTGCAGATTTTGCCCAAATCCCTTCCTCCTATGTCAGGTGGATGCTATGCAGGGCAGCCCCTTGGATTACCTCTGATGCTGTGCTCTTGCTCAATTAAGGCTGCCATCTCTGCGTCCTTCTCAGTCGCTTTGCTCTTGCTGATGCTTCCTGTAGCCAATCATTCTGCTGTCACAGGCGCAGTCACCATGCTCTTTGTGTTCTTTTCTACGGGCTCTGCTGCTGCTCCCTTTTTATAACCCAAGAGTGTAGGTGGCAGCCCAAGTAGATTAAAAATGCCTTTTATAACACAGTTCAGGACTAAGGCCTTTTGTTGCCATTGCTTTTTTTTTTTTTTCCTGAAGTCTAGACATGAGCACCTGCAATAGTGCTAAATATTTATAGTGTACCTTGCATTCAGTATCCCAGGAAACAGACCCTGAGATGGAGACTCTTTTGCAGATGGCTTACTGTGAATTGCTTTTAGGAAAAACACCTTTAAGATAGTGAGGGAAGCAGTAACAGGCAGAAGAAAAAGTTGAGCTATGACACAGTTGCAACTGAGGCCTCAGCCTATCCCTCCGGGGTCCTAGAGATGAAATGGCCCTCTAGAGTTGTCTTAAATTTAGACAAGGGTGCTATGTCTTTGTACCCCACCTGTTGTAACAACTAGTAATTAGACAAAGGCTATTCTGGGGTGGAGAGCAGGGGAAAAAACTCAGCCTTGAACAACACAGTTCTCTTCAGCCCAGGGGAATTCCTGGGGAGTCATTCAACTGTCTTTTAAAAACACTCAAACTCTTAGCAGCTAGGGGAGTGAGTATCTCTGTCCTAAAGCAGGGCAATAGAAATTGCATCTAATATACTGTGCTCATCAGAAGTGCAAATTTGCTTGAACTCGAGAGGCAGAGGTTGCAGTGAGCCGAGATCGCACCACTGCACTCCAGCCTGGGCAACACTGAGAGACTCTGTCTCAAAAAAGAAAAAAAAAGTGCAAATTCTCCAGTGTTTAGAGTTTTTCAGTCAATAGATCCCAGATGGGCCTCAGGCATCTGTGCATCTTAACAGTGGCCCACGTGATTCTCACATATTTCATCTCATATATTCTCATATATAGTTTGTATCATATCTATATTTTGATAAAAATTGCTCTCACCTGAAAGAGAACTTCTCTTAATATTTTTTCTGTCTTCCTATTCTCAGACAGAATTTTCCTCTGTTCATCAGCAGATCTTCTCCTTATAAGATTTTCTAGGCTATCTCTGTATATTTAGGACTTTATCCAACATTCAAAAGTTTATAAACACAATGTCCATTTCATTCTTTTTTAAATTGTTTCTCGGCCATAATTTTTCCTACTTTTCTTTTCTCAAGAAGTTATATTATGATACTAATTTTTAATTACTCCAAAAGGCAACAAACCTAAAACTCCTTAACCTGCAACAAAATATGACATTTTGTAGCCAAGCCTTGGGAATAAATCTCAGGGTCTCCTGCAATTACTTCACTGAAACTCTTAGGTATACTTTAATAAAAATTTTGGGTGACATGATATTCTCAACCCTGCTCTGTAAAAATTTGTGCTATATCTCAAAAGTAAAGCATGGTACCTCCTGCTGTTTTCTTCAAAGCCAAGGTGTGGAGGGTTATTTGTGTCCATCTAGAATGCTTGTGCCAGGCTGAGAAGTCCAGAGTCATAACCTTTGGACTATGTAGGAGGGACCAGAGAGATTGTCATGCCATTGTTTTTTTTTTCTTTTCTTTTTTCTTTTTTCTTTTTTTGATTCAGTGTCTCACTCTGTCACCCAGGCTGGAGTGCAGTGGTGTGATCTCAGCTCACTGCAAACTCCACCTCCCAGGTTCAAACAATTCTCCCGCGTCAGCCTCCTGAGTAGCTGGAATTACAGGTGTCTGCCACAATGCCTAGCTAATTTTTGTATTTTTAGCAGAGGCGGGGTTTCACCATGTTGGCCAGGATCGTCTCGATCTCCTGACCTCGTGATCCACCCACTTTGGCCCCGCAAAGTGCGGGGATTACAGGCTGAGCCACTGCACCCGGCCGCCATTGTCATTCTTTATCTCCACATCCTCTTGAATTTCAGAGGAATAAACTAAGGATCATGAGGACCCTTGACTTGAACAACGATGCAAAGCAAATTGGTGCCATGGCCTAGACTTGAATTCAGGTTTTCTGAATACAAATCTAAGAATCCTTTCTATCAAACTAGGCAAGTTTAAACAAGGATAACTCAGAAGTACAACCAACCAAACATGGGCAAGTTCCCTCATTATAAAGCAGAAAAATCCTTTGTGGAGCAAGATAGATCAATCAATTCTCATCTCTCTTACTTCGGAAAAGTCAAGAAATTTCTTTCCTCCGACAAGACAAATCCTTTTTCTAAAAAAAGGTAATTTGAGAGTCAATAACGGGATGAATGGAATGATCACCTGTCATCCACAAAATATTTTTTGGGGGACTCAACGTTTTTTAAATTAAACTTTTAATTTTAAGATAATTGTAGATTTACATGCTGCTGGAAGAAATAATACAGAGAGATCCCATTCCCTTTACTTAGTTTTTGCCCTTCCCCCAATGGTAAAAACTTGCAAAATTTGAGTTATCATATAATAGGAAATGGACATTGACGCGATCTAATCTGCCATTTTTTTTTTTTTTTTAAGACAGAGTCTCGTTCTGTCACCCAGGCTGGAGTGCACAATCTCAGCTCACTGAAACCTCTGCTTCCCGGGTTCAAGTGATTCTCCTGCCTCAGCCTCCCAAGTAGCTGGGACTACAGGTGCACACCACTGTGCCTGGTTAATTTTTGTATTTTTAGTAGAGACTGAGTTTCACCATGTTGGCCAGGCTGGTCTTGAACTCCCGACCTCAGGTAATCCACCCGCCTCGGCTTTCCAAAGTGCTGAGATTCAGGTGTGAGCCACCCCGCCCAGCTGTAATCTACCAATCTTATTCAGACCTCCCCAGTTTTACTTTTTCGTGTGTGTGTGTGTGTCTTGTGTCTCTGTATATTTAGTTCTATAAAATTTTATCACACATATAAGTTTGTGTGTCTACCATCCCAGTCAAGGTGCAGAACAGTCTCAGCTCAAGAATCCATTGTGTTGCCTCTTTATTACCATATTCACCTCCCTAATACACTGACTCCCTAACTGTGGCAACAACACTTGCTACTGAGTAGACAAGAGACTGCAGAACGGCAAGTATGGGAGCAGGGGGACAACTTAGGAGGCTGTTGCTGCAATCTACTTGACAAATGATGATGGTCAGAGTAAGATGTTTGTATCAAAGTGGGGGAAACTAGATTTTGAATAAACTTTGAAGGTAGAATCAACAGTATTTCCTGACCTATTGCGTGAGGATTGTGAGAGAAAGAAATGAGTCAAAGATGATCCTAGGCCGAGTGCAGTGGCTTACGCCTGTAATCCCAGCACTTTGGGAGGCCGAGGCGGGCAGATCACAAGGTCGGGAGATCGAGACCATACTGGCAAACACGCTGAAACCCCGTCTCTACTAAAAATACAAAAAAAATTAGCCAGGCGTGGTGGCGGGCGCCTGTAGTCCCAGCTACTCGGGAGGCTGAGGCGGGAGAATGGCGTGAACCCGGGAGGTGGAGCTCGCAGTGAGCCGAGATCGCACCACTGCACTCCAGCCTGGGTGACAGAGCAAGACTCCACCAAAAAAAAAAAAAAAAAAAAAAAAAAGATGATCCTAAGATTTTGTTATGAGCAACTGGAAGGATGGAGTTGCTGTTAGTGGAGACAGGGCAGATCGTGGGGATTCTATTTTGGAGAGATGATCAGAGGTGTTGATTTTGAGATTTCCATTTGACATCCAGGTAGAGAACCATCTAACATTAAAACTGGGGAGATCTAAATAAGATTGGTAGATTGTATCAATGTCAATTTTCTGTTTGTGATACTGTACTACTGTGTTTTGCTAGTTTTTGCCATTGGGGGAATGTGGAAAATTGGGTAAGGGATACAAGATCTCTCTGTATTATTTCCTCCAATGACATGTTAATATATAATAATTTTAAAATGAAGAGTTTAACTTTAAAAATGTTGACTTCAACATTAGTAGGCAGTTGGAGTTTAGGAAATAGGTTGAAGCTGGGGACATAAATTTGGGGGTTATTTCTATAGGGACTGTGTAAAGTTATAGGATTATCTGAGACTATCAAAGCAATGAAGGTAGATGAAGAAAAATGAATTAGACCAGGCATGATGGCCCATGCTTGTAATCCTAGCACTTTGGGAGGCTGAGGTGGGTGAATTGCTTGAGCCTCGGAGTTTGAAACCAGCTGGGCAACATGGTGAAACTTCATCTCTACAAAAAATACAAAAGTTAGCCAGTTGTTGTGACATGCGCCTGTAGTCCCAGCTACTCAGGAGGCTGAGGTGGGAAGATCACTTGAGCTCAGGAGGCAAAGGTTGCAGTGAGCTGAGATAGAACCACTTCATGTCAGCCTGGGTGCCAGAGCTAGAACCTGTCCCAAAAAGAGAATAACCAATTGAGAAAGAAGGCTGGGATCTTTTTTGTTTTCTTTTTCTTGCTGACTTAACTATGTATTCAGTTCTATAATTCATTATCTTCTTATTTACATGTCTCTACTTTATGTATTTCTTACTTCCTGCATAAGACTAAAATTTACTTTGGGGAAATTTGTCCTCTTTTTGGTTGGGATATGTGTATCAGACTGTGTCCAACCAGAAAGAAACCACATAAATATTTAAACAGGAATCTTTTTTTTTTTTTGAGACGGAATTTCGCTCTTGTTGCCCAGGCTGGAGCGCAATGGCACAATCTCAGCTAACCACAACTTCTGCCTCCCGGGTTCAAGCAATTTTCCTGCCTCAGCCTCCTGAGTGGCTGGGATTACAGGCATGCGCCACCATGCCTGGCTAATTTTGTATTTTTAATAGAGACAGGGTTTCTCTGTGTTGGTCAGGCTGGTCTTGAACTCCCAATTTCAGGTGATCCGCCCACCTTGGCCTCCAGAAGTGCTGGGATTACAGGCATGAGCCACCATGCCCAGCCTAAACAGGGAAAAATTAATGTAAATAACTATTAGCTATAACTGGAGATTGGAATAATGAGGGATAGACTAGTAAAAGTTAAATAAAACTGTAAACAATAGACATTTCAGAGCAATCTCTCCTAAAGTCACATATAGAGCCCAAGAAAGAGCATTTCTCTCTCACCCACCAGGACCTGCTCTTATTGGAGAGGACATGACTGTGTTTCACTAAGTGGCTCAAAAGTCACCGTGATGCCATCCTATGGGACTTGCCAGAAATCACAATTCCAGAAGTTCCCAGAAATCTTTCCTCTAGGGTGCTCTAAAAAGCTGTTCACAGGAAAGTATCACCCCAAAGGCACCCCACTATGAAACCACCCAGCAGGCATGTTAGGGAAAGCTGCTAGATGATGAGTGTTGCTGGCTGACATGCACTGTAGGAGAAGGATACTAGAGAGCATGCTAGAGCCTGGTGCTGGAGAAACCACATGCTCTGTAGCAGCCAAATGCTGGAGAAGTTGCCTGTGCTGCAGAGTTGGGCACTGGAGAAGATGCTCACTGAAAACATGTAGCAATAAAAAAGTCCTGTATAGGGACCTTCCAAGAGGACCACACTGCAACCAGGAAGCCAATCTCCATCCTCCTGGAATGGCTCTACTGAGGCATAACACCCTCTACTGACAGAGCTTAATTATACCAGTCTGCAAAGAAAAAATATTTAGAGGTCCCACATCCATTTTCACAGAGCAGGAAAAAATGGGTGAATTTGGAGCTGATAGGCAATAAATCAGTGGCCAGTAAAGTATCTTATTCAGGAATAGTGCTAAGCACACCAACACTTAGATATTAGTATTGTTTAAAACTGTCATTGAAGGATGGGAAAAGAAAGGATAGGATTGAAGGATATGGGGAGAAAGGGAAAAGAAGGTACCCACTGAGAGGAGAGAATTGGAAGGGGGGTAAGAACAAGGAAGAGATCCTTGTTCTTCAAGTCACAGACGGCCTACCACTATTAATGACCAGGATTTCATAATAAAATTCCAAATATTCTTCTTTGTTCATCTTACGCATTAACATTGTGCACTCTTATGGTCATATTTTTCTGAGTAATTGTCCTGATATTTTAGAAGTTAAAAAGTCCTATAAAATTGATCATTAGTCAGGAATCAGGAAGAATTGTAAGAACTTTGCCTTGCTTGCTGTGTTTGCTTATATTATTATACTTCTCCCATGGGATTAGGGAAATTCCTTTGTAGGAGAGAGGCACTAAACTATCAATCATAAAAATATCATTTCAGGGTTCAAAGGAACATTGAGGCTTGGTACAGTGGCTCACGCCTGTAATCCCAGAACTTTGGGAGGCCGAGGCGGGCGGATCACCTGAGGTCAGGAGTTAGAGACCAGCCTGGCCGACGTGGTGAAACCCCGTCTCTACCGAAAATACAAAAATTAGCCAGGCGTGGTGGCTAGAGCCTGTAATCCCAGCTACTTGCGGGGCTGAGGCAGGAGAATCGCTTGAACACGGGAGTTGGAGGTTGCAGTGAGCAGAGATTGCGCCATTGCACTCCAGCCTGGGCAACAAGAGCGAAACTCCATCTCAAAAAAAAAAAAAAGAAACATTGAAACATTGAAAATATTTACTCTAATACCCATGTTTGAGGTTAAAAAAAGAAAAGAAAAGAAAAACTGAAACAGACAAGAAAAGGGGCTTGTAAAGGATATTTTGTAATCATAGGTCTTTATCAATTATATAGAGAGCTTTGGGAATAAAAGGTTAAATGAATGAGGTAATCTATAAAATCTTTATATATATATATACATACATGAGAGTCTTCTTAAACCAATTCTCATTAATGCCAAGCTGTTTTGTAGGCCTGAGACATGGTCGGAGCATCCTGAAAATGAGTTGCGTGTCAGAAGGCTAGAAGCAGTACACAAACATCAGTGCTAAGCCAGGTCTCTGAACAGAGAGCCAAACGGGCTGGTCCCTGCCTAGGAGTTGTGGAAAAAGGAGCCAGTGGAAGTAAGTGAGGCATGATCTGAGGAAGGGAGTAACGCTGTCTGTCTTAGCTCCTGCAGTCAAGAGTTCCATTTGTTCAGAGCTCACTGCTTAGGTAAAGGAGGTTTCTTAAAGATATCTAACAGTCTTCATTTTTGGAATAAAAATAAAGCTCTGGATTAAAAAAAAAAAAAATCAAGGAGCCATATGTAACACCTACAGCTTTCTGGAGGTTTAGCAGGGAAAACGGCGTTCTGGGACACCTAATTGAGTACCCGAAGCTCCTTATGACAAAGAGGAGGCTCCCTGGAAGCCTGCCCTCATTAAAAGATTGTTCCCAAACTTTAGGATTCCCCCAGGGCTTGCCATGATTGTTTTCATTTAGGCCTGGTGAGGCCCCCCAAGTAGAAGGCTTGGAGATTGCTTCTGAATCAACTCTGTCATGCAATACTCAGAGTGCCAGGTTTGGGGGAGGAGGGGTGGAAAGAAAAGAAGAAGAAAAGCAAAACAAGAAACACTCTTGAAGCCCAGAAAAGCTTGGCTCAAGCCTATGCACGTAATGAAAAATAACAAAGAGGAAAAAAGTGTGAGTGTGTTCTTATAAAATGTGGGGTCAGTGTTTTTATTTATCATCAAACTTCAGTATCAAAACTCAGCCACAGCTGTTGCTATATGCATTTGAGAGATACCTGGGAGGTGAGTACCTGGGTTGGGATTATGCGAATTGCTGCTTGATGTAGCTTTTTATTTCAACAACCTGGCTAATTACCCAGGCAGGGCAATCCATCCACTGGCTGTCTCTGACAGAGAGATAGATTCCACATTCAGTTGAGCAACTTAAACCACCCTGGGTGTCTAACTTCTACTCCCAACCCACACTCAGAACAAACTGTCCTCAGGTCCAGTCTACCAAACCCAAGAGAAAAGAGAAGGCAAAGCGTCATTTTTTTCTTTTCTTTAAAACTCCAGCTGAGCCCAGGCTTCAAAAGGCAAATGAGAGATTCCCATATCCCTGCTCTTGACCTTTTCTGCAATTCAATCCCCAGGATTTGAAGGGTTTTAAATCAGTGTGTCCCCACCCTGTTTGAAGAGTGTTTTAGAAATCTCCAGAGTTGTATTTCACTTTCTCTCCATCCCATAGAGATGTCCTGTGAGCCCCTATCAGTTGTGCTACCCACCCCCTTAGATTTAGATGGCATTGTGCCAGGTCTGCTATAGTTGATTGGTTTAGTGATTAAACTCTATTTAAATGTAGAGTATAGAGGTTTTGAATGCAAGCTGCAGAATTGAATTGCCTACAGTTAAATCTCAGTCCCCCTGTTTAAAGATTGCATAACCAAATCTAGTCAGCTAACTCCTCTGAGCTGGAGTTAAAAAGATGGAGATAAAAGATGGAGATAAAAGGGGAGACATTTGTTGAGTTCTTACTCTGTGAAATGTGTTCAAAGCCCTATATGCTTTCAATTCATTTAATCTTCATAATATTCCTATGAAATGGGTAATCTTATGATAATCATCACCCCACCTTATTGAAAATAACAGAACACAGGATGATGTAATAATATGCCCCAAATGACACAACTAGTACACAATGCAGCAAGGACTTAAACCCAGCAAGTTCAGCTCTAGTGAACCTAACCACTATGTCTAGGATCTAACTACTATATTTTATTGCTTCTTCCAGGTGGGTAGAAAAGAATAGTGCCTAACTCAAAGGGTTATGATGATGCTTAAATAAGCTCTAAATAAAATGTTTTTAGCACAATGCCTGGATCATCATAATCATTTAATAAAGGTTAGCTATAATTATTACTGATAAGAGTGATGCCACTTTGATAATTATAAGACTGTGATGATGGTAATAATGATGAAGTTTATCTAGACTTCTCAAGTATATGTCATTTTCTTGAGGGCAGAAATCTAGGAGCCAGGACAGTGGGGTATCTCATCACTTTGAGCTGATGATAATAGAATGAAACTCTCACCTCTTTAAACATAAAAACCTATTTAGGGCCTTACAGTTTTTGGGTGACTGTGTGAAAGTAAGGAAAGAAGAAAAAACAAAAAGGAAAAGAGCCAAAGCAAGAATATCTCTACCATGGCCGGGCATGGTGGCTCATGCCTGTAATCCCAGCACTTTGGGAGGCTGAGGTGGGCAGATCACCTGAGGTCAGGAGTTTGAGACCAGCCTGGTCACATGGCAAAACCCCGTCTCTACTAAAAATACAAAAATTAGCCAGGCGTGGGGGTGTGTGCCTATAGTCCCAGCTACTCAGGAGGCTGAGGCAGGAGAATCGCTTGAACCCAGGAGGTGGAGGTTGCAGTGACCCAGATGGTACCACTGCACTCCAGCCTGAGAGACAGAGTGAGACTCCTTCTCAAAAAAAAAAAAAAAAAAAAAAAAATCTCTACCCTCATTTCCCAAATATGACTCAAACCTCAGGACCTGTACCATGTGATTTCCACAACATGCTTGCTGGATGGGTATTATTTTACAATTTTACCAACTAAGAAACTGAGCATTAAGAAGGCTGAGATAAGTGCAGAGGTAACACCACCAAAGGATTACTTGACTGAGCCAAAGTGTAATCCAGGCCCATGGTGCCCTACCAAAGGTGGTACTCAGTCCTTGTTTGTGGAAAATAACTGAAATAAGCTGCATAGAGTTGTGAACCCAAAATATCTGAGACAGGTTTCAGTCGATTTAGAAAGTTTATTTTGCCAATTTTAAGGACTAGCCCGTGACACAGCCTCAGGAGGTCCTTAGGATATGTGCCCAAGGTGGTCGGGGTACAGTTTCAGAGAGACATGAGACATCAATGAATATGTGTAAATGTACATTGGTTCAGTCCTATGAGGCAGGACCTGGAAGTGGGGCCTGCCAGGTCAGAAGTAGATAAAAGACAAAAAAGGATGCATTCTTTTTTTTTTTTTTTTTTTTTTGAGACAGAGTCTCACTCTGTCGCCCAGGCTGGAGTGCAGTGGCGTGATCTTGGCTCACTGCAAGCTCCGCCTCCCGGGTTCATGCCATTCTCCCGCCTCAGCCTCCCGAGTAGCTGGGACTACAGGCGCCCGCCACCGCGCCCGGCTAATTTTTTGTATTTTTAGTAGAGACGGGGTTTCACCGTGTTAGCCGGGATGGACTCGTCTGTATCTCCTGACCTCGTGATCCACCCGCCTCGGGCTCCCAAAGTGCTGGGATTATAGGCGTGAGCCACCACGTGCCCGTGCCCGGCAGAATCTTTTGAGTCCTTGATCAGCCTTCCGCTGAATACACAATTCAGTCTGGCTCAGTGAATCTGCATTTCTACATAAACAATAGGGCAAAGGAAGCCATCAGATATGCATTTGTCTCAGGTGAGCCTCAGAGGAATGACTTTGAGTTCTTCTGTCCTTTGTCTACAAGGAATTTCCTTGTGGGCAAATTGTGAGGGAGGTATATAGCTTCTTTGTAGCCTGTCTTATTTAGGAATAAAATGGGAGGCAGGTTTGCCTGATGCAGTTTTCAGCTTGACGTTTCCCTTGGCTTGGTGATGTATTTTCCTTTTACAGAGTCCTCAAGGAAAGAATCACCCCTGCCTCCCCAAAGCATTCTCTTATTTGATAAACACTTATTTATTTATTTATTATTCATTCTGCTGCCCAGGCTGGAGTGCAGTGGTGCCATCTTGGCTCACTGCAACTTCCGCCTCCCGGGTTCAAGTGATTCTCCTGCCTCAACCTCTCAAGTAGCTGGGATTACAGGCATGTGCCACCTGGCTCGGCTAATTTTTGTATTTTTAGTGAAGATGGGATTTCACCATTTTGGCCAGGCTGGCGTCGAACTCCTGACCTTAAATGATCCGCCTGCCTTGGCCTCCCAAAGGGCTGAGATTACAGGCGTAAGGCAACTCACCTGGCCTGATAAACATTTATTGAGCGTCTTATATATACAAGGCATGGGTTGCCCACCAGCTTCCACAGGCCTTGTGTATCAGGCATTCAGAAAGCATCTGGTGGGTTAAAAGCAGAGTTCCAGAGCTGTTACAGCAGGTGGCAGCTGTCCCGGAAGACATTAAACAAGGACATGGACTCATAATTCCAAACAGTTGGGACTCTGTCATTTAAATATCCATCACCTCCTCTTTAGTCTTCTCTAGGTAAAAATAGCTCAGTTGCCAAGAAACCTGTAACTAGTAATAAGTTCTCTCTTATTAAACAGATGCACAAATTTGTAATTAAATGAAAATCTGAAAGATTGCTCTTCAAAGCTTCAACTTATGTTTGTATAATATAAGATGGACCCATCATAATACCATGTATGAAAACTATATTTTTATGTTTAAATAACATTAAATTTATTAATAATAAATATTAAGAGAATAACACACTGGTCACAGAAACTCAGGGACTAAATACTGTCTCTATCAATCTCATCACAGAGTCATGGCATCCCATGTTTCCCCAGAGATTGTATAGTTCAACATAGGTTGAGAAAATTGAGTTTGAGGCAAGGCCATCAATAGTCCTAAGTGAGCTAAGCCCAATGCACACTTGTATAGAGGTAAATGACTTTACATTCACAGGTTGTTATGGGTTGAATTTTGTTTCTCCCAAGGGATAAGCTAAAGTGTTGAAGGCCTAATGATCAGTACTTCAGAATGTGCACCTTATTTGGAAATAAGGGCCTTGAAGATCTAATTAAGATGGGGTCATTCCCTGGCTGGGCACCGTGGCTCATGCCTATAATCCTAGCACTTTGGGAGGCTGAGGCGGGTGGATCACGAGGTCAGGAGTTCAAGACCAGCCTGACCAACATGGTGAAACTCCGTCTCTACTAAAAATACAAAAATTAGCCAGGTGTGGTGGTGTGTGCCTGTAATCCCAGCTACTCAGGAGGCTGAGGCAGGAGAATCGCTTGAACCTGGGAGGTGGAGGTTTCAGTGAGCTGAAATCATGCCACTGCACTCCAGCCTGTGTGAAAGAGTGAGACTCCGTCTTAAAAAAAAAAAAAAAAAAGATGAGGTCATTCCCAAGCAGAGTAGGCCCTTAATCAGTATAATTGGGGTCCTTATAGGAAGAGGTGAGGGACGCAGGGAGAAGAAGGCCATGTGATGATGGAGGCAGGGATTGCAGTCTACAAGACAAGAATTGCCAGCAACCATGAGAGCTAGGAAGAGACAAGAGAGTATTCTCCCCCAGATCCATCAGATAATACACGGTCTTGCCAATACCATGATTTCAGACTTGAGCCTCCAGAACTGTTCAAAAATAAATTCTTGTTGTTTTAAACTACCCAATTTTTCATACTTTGTTACTGCATCCCTAGGAAGCTGTTACATTGGTCAGTCTCAGAATAAAGCCTGACTTAATTTAAGACACACAAAAAATCTCAGAGTCAGAGATGTTATACTTTATTAACCTAATTAATGTGTCTCATCTACTTGTCTTGCATCCCCAGTGCTAAATGAAAGTTCAGTGAAGGTAATGGCCAAGTTATGTAATCAACCAAGTGTCCGTCACCCAATGAGTGCATAAAGAAAATGTGATATATCTGTCTAGATACAGATACACGCTCACACAATGGAATACTATTCAGTCTTTACAAAGAGGACCTTGGCTCACTGCAACCTCCATCTCCCAGGTTCAAGCAATTCTCCTGTCTCAGCTTCCCAAGTAGCTGGAATTACAGGCATGTACCACCATGCCCGTCTAATTTTGTATTTTTAGTAGAGACGGGGTTTCACCATGTTAGTCAGGCTGGTCTCAAACTCCTGATCTCAGGTGATCCGCCTGCCTTGGCCTCCCAAAGTGCTGAGATTACAGGTGTGAGCCACTGTGCACAGCCTAGTAATTTACATTTCTAACAAGCTCTTAGGTAGGTGATGCTGTGGGGAACTGCACATAGTCTTTTGGATATTTGCTGATAGTTAAGATCAAACCTAGTCTTCACTCTGTGTGATATTCATTAAGACACATAACCTCTCTGAGCCTTGGTTTTCTAAAATGTAGGCTCCTCAGCTCATAGGATTATTGTGAAGGAAATGAGATAAAGCATGAAATACACTGTAGTTCATTCTTATTATTTTTGTTATTAGCTTGTTTGGAAAGTCACTTTAGCACATATGAGATCTGTTAGTGTGTCTCGCATAATAAAAAATATTAGCACATCCAAAATGCACATTTGCATTATAAGTATACCTGTCTGAAACAGGTAAATATTCTTTCATTTTGTGTGTGTGTGTGGGTGTGTTTGTGTAGTGGTGGTGATAAGATAGGCTGTTTGCTTCAGTGCATTAATTAATTTTCTAGCTAGTACAAGTAGCCTGGAAGACAGTGCATAGATCAGTTACTATCTAGGATTACTTTACAAAGTGAATAGTAACGGGGGCTGTGGCACAGAAAAATGAAATGAGGGCTAAGGTCATAGCGGTAGACAGGGGCACCCAAGCCTGAGAATCATATCTCCTAGCTCTCAACCCAGGGTCCCTTTCAACACACCAGGTAGTCCATTCTGTAACTCCCTTAAGAATCTTGACCAGCAAATTGAAACTGGACCCCTTTCTTACACCTTATACAAAAATTAATTCAAGATGGATTAAATTCTTAACCCAACACTATAAAAACCCTAGGAGAAAATCTAGGCAATACCATTCAGGACATAGGCACGGGAAAGATTTCGTGATGGAATCGCCAAAAGCAATTGCACCAAAAGCAAAAATTGACAAATAGGACCCAATTAAGGTAAAGAGCTTCTGCACAACAAAAGAAGCTATCATCAGAGTGAACAGACAATCTACAGAACGGGAGAACATTTTTGCAATCCATTTATCTGACAAAGGTCTAATATCCAGTCTACAAGGAACTTAAGCACATTTACAAGAAAAAAATCAAGCAACCTCATTCAACAGTGGACAAAGGACATGAACAGACACTTTTCAAAAGAAGACATTCATGTGGCCAACAAACATGAAGAAAAGCTCAACATCACTAATCATTAGAGAAATGCAAATCAAAACAACAGTGAGATACCATCTCATGCCAGTCAGAATGATGATTGAAAAACCAAGAAACAGGCTGGTTGCGGTGACTCACACCTGTAACCCCAGCACTTCGGGAGGCTGAGGCGGGCAGATCAGGAGGTCAGGAGTTCAAGACCAGCCTGGCCAACATGGTGAAACCCCATCTCCACTAAAATACAAAAAATTAGCCGGGCATGGTGGTGCGCATCCGTAGTCCCAGCTACTCCAGAGGCTGAGGCAGGGGAATCACCTGAACCTGGAAGGCAGAGGTTGCAGCGAGCTGAGGTTGCAGCAAGCTGAGATCAAGCCACTGCACTCCAGCCTGGAGACAGAGCAGGTCTCAAAAAAAAAAAAATCAAGAAATAATATATGCTGGCAAGGTTGCTGATACGGTTTGGCTGTGTTTCCACCCAAATCTCATCTTGAATTCCCACATGTTGTGGGAGGGACCCAGTGGGAAGTGGTTGAACCATGGGGTCAGGGCTTTCCTGTGCTGTTCTCCTGATGGTGAATGAGTCTCATGAGATGAGATGGTTTTAAAAAGAGGAGTTCCTCTGCACAAGTTCTACCTCTTTGCCTGCTGCCATCCATGTAAGACGTGACTTGCTTTTCCTCACCTTCTGCCATGATTGTGAGGCTTCCCCAGCCATGTGGAACTGTAAGTCCAGTTAAATCTCTTTCTTTTATAAATTGCCCAGTCTCGGGTGTGTCTTTATCAGCAGCGTGAAAATGGACTAATACAGTTGTAGAGAAAAAGGAACACTTTTACCTTGTTGGTGGGAGTGTAAATTAGTTCAACTATTGTGGAAAGACAGCATGGAAATTCCTTGAAGATCTAGAAGCAGAAATACCATTTGACCCAGCAGTCGAATTACTGGGTATGTACCCAAAAGAATATAAGTCATTCTCTCATAGAGATACATGCACGCATATGTTCATTGCAGCACTATTCACAATAGCAAAGACATGGAATCAATCCAAATGCCCATCAATAATAGACTGGATTTTAAAAAATGTGGTGCATATACACCATGGAATACTATGCAGCTGTTCATGTCCTTTGCAGGGACATGGACAGAGCTGGAAGCCATTATCCCCAGCAAACTAATGCAGGAATGGAAAACCAAACACCAAACATTCTCACTTGTAAGTTGGAGCTGAATAATGAGAAAACAGACACATGTAGGGGAACAACATACACTGGGGCCTGTTGCGGGGCAGGAGTAGGGAGAGCATCAGGAAGAATAGCTAATGGATGCTGGGCTTAATACCTAGGTGATGGGTTGATCTGTGCAGCAAACCACCATGGCACACATTTACCTATGTAACAAACCTGCACATCCTGCACATGTACCCCAGAATTTAAAATAAAAGTTGAAGAAAAAAAAAGAACCCTGACTAGCCAAAGATAACATGCTATGGAGGTTGCAGAAAAAGGGAATGCTTATTCTAGAATGCTTATACACTGTTGGTGGGAGTGTAAATTAGTTCAATCATTGTGGAAAACAGTGTGGCAATTCCTCAAAGAGCTGAAAATAGAACTACCGTTTGACCAGTAATCCCATTACTGGGCATATACCCAAAGGAATATAAATCATTATACCATAAAGACACATGTACTTGTATGTTCACTGCAGCATTATTCACAATAGCAAAGACATGCAATCAACCTAAATGCCCATCAGTGGTAGACTGGATAAAGCAAATATGATACATGTACACTATGGAATACTATGCAGCCATAAAAAAGAATGAGATCATGTCCTTTGCAGGAACGTGGATGTAGCTGGAGGCCATCATCCTTAGCAACTAATGCAGGAACAAACAGGAAACCAAATACCCCATGTTCTTACTTCTAAGTGGGAGCTAAATGATGAGAACACATGGACACTTGGAGGGGAACAACACACACTGGAGCATAATTTAGGGTGGGAAGACGGAGGGGATCAGAAAAAATAACTATTGGGTACCAGGCTGGGTGACAAGATAATCTGTACAACAAACTCCCATGAAATGAGTTTACCTATAGAACAAACCTGCACATATACCCTGAACCTGAAATAAAAGTTAAAAGAAAAAAAATAATTCAGACTCGTTTATACAACTGAGGCTGCTTGTAATTCCAACCAGCTCAGTGCTCATACCACCCCACTTGCTGAACCCTAAGTCAGAAACTACCCACTAACTTAGCTCCCCTGTCTCGAAAACCCACAGGGGAAACATTAATCTGGGGAAATTTTTAGATGTATATTTCTGTATCCAGTGTGTGACTTTATAGCATCACACACTATTTTAAAAAAACAGTTCCCTAGTCAAAACTTTTGTAATGGACCATAAATCAGGAGATTTGGGTTTTTCTAGGTCTGGCTCTGCCATTAAAATACTCTCTGATCCTGGGCAAGGCACCTCCCCTTTCTCTTCCTCATTTTTCATCTGTTAGAGTAGGACATTTGACTAGCTGGTTTCTAATGACCCTGTAAGCTCTAGGATTCTGAGTCTGATTTTACTAAAGAGACTTTCAAAAAAGGTTAATTCCTCCAACATTCTCCTACCTCACTAATTAATGGCAGAAATGAGGAGTAGGGAGAAACAAATGAATTTGGAATGTGATTCAGGTTCAAACTCTGGTTCCGCTAACCACTGGTAATGAAATATTGTCCAACTGATACACTTTCTACAAACTTTTGCTTTCTACTTTACAAAATGGATAAAATAATACCTCATAATTTTTCCCTTTTCTCTTGTATTGTTTTGTTTTGAGATGGAATCTCGCTCTATTGTCCTGGCTGGAGTGCAGTGGCATGATTTTGGCTCACTGCAACCTCTGCTTCCTGGGTTCAAGTGATTCTCCTGCCTCAGCCTCCCAAGTAACTGGGATTACAGGCACGTGCCACCATGCCCGACTAAAATTTTGTTATTTTTAGTAGAGACAGGGTTTCACCATGTTGGCCAAGTTGGTCTTGAACTCCTGACCTCAAGTGATTCACCTGCCTTGGCCTCCCAAAATGCTGGGATTACAGGTTGAGCCACTGTGCGCAGCCACCTCATAATTGTTTTCATAATTAAATACCGTAACATACAAAATGGACTGGTGTAAGGTAAATAGCCTGCTCCAACCCTTCTATAGCGCATCTTCCTGTTTTGCTCTATCTTCCTCCTTTCCTTCCTTTTGTCCTACATACTCACTCCCAGAATTCTCTTTCATAAGTATGACCTGGATATGTATTTTCTGAGTACTAAGAAAAATGTAGTACTATTATATTTAGTACTAGGTGGTACTAAATATTAGTTAAGGCAAAAAAATTTAGGCAAAAATTTGCCTAAATATTAGGTAGAATTTTTGGATCAATAGTTAGTCTTGAAAGGATAGTGTCTTATTTTTTTCCCCAGTCCAACTTTCTTGCTAAAATTGATCCTTGAACTTATTTTGTATTCTCCACTGTTTTTATATAAAGTATAGCAATTTTCTAGTGTCTGACAAGCCAACTCAATATCATACAAATGATCAGAAACCATTCAAATTTTCCAAGAAATGTTATATTCATTATCTCATTTGGGCCTCCTAAGAACATCCTTATGAGTATGCTACCGAGGGCCATTAGCTCCATTTTGCAATTAAGAAAACAGAAGCACAAAGAGATCAGAAAGAGAGCAGGTCTCAACCTTTAGCTCTATGTGTTTTTGTTTTTTGCCAAGTTCATTTCTGTTGGAGACTGATTAGCTACTCCCCAAAAACTCTTCCTCTTCTCCCGGGTACACAGATGGGCACCGTCCTTTGCAGTGAGGTGTGATCACATATTTGAGTTCTGGTCAATGGAATGTGAGTGGAAATGTTTGGCACTACTGGATCTAGTTCTAGAGAGCTTCTCAGTAAAATTTTCCATGCATTATAAATGTTCAATTTATTTATTACAGCAGTCAACATTACTATAACCCTTACAATAATTTCCTATTACTCCTATATCTCTTTTTCTTCCTTTCCTCAAAACATTCTGTACTTATGCCTTCCTTCCTCATGATTCTTTCCTCCTATGGAAGGCACTAACCTTCTACGAATCCTTCAAGGATGACATCATACGAGAATTATGTGCTCCATGATACCTCCCCCCAAAATCTCCTACAGCATTCTATTTCCAAATATATAACATCAACAATTGGTATCATGCATTTTGGTACTTGATTAAACTGGACAGTGTTGGTTATGTATATTAGGTTTCACCAAAATTAGATTGTCTTAATTTATCACATATCCAGTGATACCCCACGAGGTATTGCAAACGCAGCAAGAGCTTAATCAATTCCTGCTGATTAATTGAATGTTACAGGTTTAATGAGCAAAACTGAAAATATCTGACCATTGCCTGGCCATTCATTACATTGCAATGATTTACTGAGTACCTATTATGACTTTGGCATTGCTCTGGAAACTAAGACCAAAGTAACTATACTACTTCCTTATCTTCCCTTCAGGATAGTTTTTCGTTTAATTTTTCCACCCTAGAGCTTTTCTCCTAGGGTTGGCTGCTTTCTGTACATCAACAAGGAGTATCTGTGAGGTACATTGAATAGATTAGGCCTTAAATCCAGATAGTTTGAGGCTCAAATCCTGGTTCTCTCATTTACTTTCTGTGTAACTTGGGATAATATCCTTATTCTTTCTGTACTGCTGGTTCTGTCACAATAAAAGAAAAAGTAATATATAACTTACAAGGTTGGCGCAATGATAAAAATAACACACATAAATGCCTAAACCTAAATAAATAGAGCAAATGTTCAGAAAAACATTAGTTTCCTTTTAGCGTGGCCCAGTCATTTGAAAGAGGGAAGCCACCTTTCCCAATGGAACATACAGACATTCAGAGTGAAGTCTGAGGTGAAATAGGTGACCATCCTAGAGGACCTGTAGTCCCTCTGTGCCTTTTTTTTTTTTTTTTTGAGACAGAGTCTTACTCTGTTGCCCAGGCTGGAGTGCAGTGGCACAATCTCAGATCACTGCAACCTCCACCTGCCGAGTTCAAACAATTCTCCTGCCTCAGCCTCCCGAGTAACTGGGATTACAGGCGCTTGTCACCACACCTTGCTAATTTTTGTGTTTTTAGTAGAGATGGGGTTTCATCATGTTAGCCAGGCTGGTCTCGAACTCCCGACTTCAGGTGATCCGCCCACATCAGCCTCCCAAAGTGCTGGGATTGCAGGTGTGAGCCACTGTGCCCGGCCCCTCTGTGCCTTTTAAGAATTTCCCCAAGTTCCTCACTGGGACCTTTCCAGAGAAAAAATAAATTCAGAGAATCTGTGGGATCTCTTCTCCATTCAGGAGGAGGACAGAAGAAAACTGTTGATTTATTAGATGTGAGAGTTTGGAAAAAAGTGACATTATTCCTAATTCTTTGCATCTCTTGCTTATGTATTTAGTCCTATAGACTTAAAGGGCAAGTTAATAACAGTTCAAACTTAGTTCGTCCCTGTGTTATGATGATTTTGCAGTGTATGGATCTTCCATACTAGTAAATGAAATGATTTTATGCAATATGAAGACACAGCATTCAGGCTCTAAGAAGAGCCGCACAGGCCAGGATGGGGGAGACGTAGCTGAACAGCTGCACGTGTGAGAGGGATTAGTGATTTCAGTTGACTGCCAGCCCAACATGAGTCACTACTGTGTAGAGACTGCCAAGAGAATAATTTGATCTGGGGCTGAATTAACAGGACTGCAGTATCCAGACCAAAGGGAGTGATACTCCTGCTGTTTCGGCATGAATCAGACCACACCTAATGTCCCACAGTTCTTGTTTACCTCAAATACCCCATTTCTTTTAGTATTCTATACAAACAGGAGTTGATCGTATTATGGGAACAACTGTCTAATGCTTGCATGAGAAGGCTTTATCCTTTACCTTATCGCTACTGTAGAATTTAGCACAGAAGTTGTGTTGCTATTTTTTATGTTAAGAGACAGGGCCTCTCTATGTTTCCCAGAATGGTCTCAAACTCCTACACTCATGTGATTCTCCTGCCCCAGCCTAGTAGCTGGGACTATAGGTGTGCACCACTGCACCCACCTGACTGTGTTATTTTATGAGTGGATGTTTGCATCTGTGAGGGCTAGAAAAGTGTCCTCTTTTGTGTATCTGGTAGTAAACACAGGATAGAAAAGTTTCTGGTTCTATCTTTTTAAGGCAATATATTGGCTTCAAGAAGCAGTATCTACTATATTAACTTGGACGATGTAATCAAACAGACCTCAATTCAAATATTGGTTAAACTATTACGAACAAGAAAATTCATCAATTTCCCCTCTAACGCTTAGTTCTATGTTTGTGAGTTAGAGTAATTTTCCTACTACTCTCGGCCAGGCGTGGTGGCTCACGCCTGCAATCCCAGCACTTTGGGAGGCCGAGGCTGGTGGACCACAAGGTCAGGAGTTCGAGACCAGCCTGGCCAACATAGTGAAACCTTGTCTCTACTAAAAATACAAAAAATTAGCCAGGCGTGGTGGCAGGAGCCTGTAATGTTAGCTACTCACGAGGCTGAGGCAGGAGAATTGCTTGAACCTGGGAGGTGGAGTTTGCAGCGAGCCGCGATCGTGCCACTGCACACCAGCCCGGGCGACAGTGCAAGACTCCATCTCAAAGACAAACAAACAAACATACAAACAAACAAAAACTTCTCTCTACCCCACTAGGGACACAAAACTATGAATGTATAACATCTTTATCTCCTTTTTCACAAAGCAGTAAGCATTACATTGTGGGAGTTATGTTTCCATAATAAAACAATTTTGGAAGTGGGCTAAGTAAGGAACAGA
Source organism: Homo sapiens (assembly GCF_000001405.40). Taxonomy (NCBI): domain Eukaryota; kingdom Metazoa; phylum Chordata; class Mammalia; order Primates; family Hominidae; genus Homo; species Homo sapiens. The sequence continues at coordinate 121,573,451 of NC_000008.11, read as the reverse complement.
GCAAGGCAGAGATAGGACAAGCCCTGATCTCTGATTAGTGAAAACACTGGGGAAATTAGGTTTAGAGAAATAAATAATTAGGCACTAGGAATTAGAGAGAATCCCATTTCAAGTCAGAAAAGTTAAAACAAATGAGTGCATGCTTGGAAATGGGGTCCATATAAAACATATTAAACTCTCACTCCTACCCTCCCTTCTTGACCCAGCAATTAATCTGAACACAGGATTGAACTAACAGCCAAATGGGCAGTGAGAAAAGCCAAAGGCAATTTGCAGAGACTTGTTGTCAAACACCATGTCTGGATAGAATTTTCCTTCTTTCAAAATTAGTTTCAACAAAATAAGACAACAGTCCCAACATCAGAAACCGTAGGACCAATAAATATGCAGAAAGGGAAAAGTTCCGTTATTCTGAAGACTCACAGGAAGAACCCTCTTCTGAAATACATTTTATATAGCAGGCAAAGGGAAATTTTGACATAAAATTTTACAAGAATACAAGAGGCCTTTTATAAAATAGGAGCAAAGATTCTAGGGAAATGATACCTGAGAGAAAGAAGTAACACAATAGGGGAAAAAACCCCAAAATTACATAATAAGGAAAGGAGGTGAAATATACAAAGAAAATAAAGATAGCTGTATTAAAATGCATAGCAGTAGCAGTAGAGAGTAAAATAAACATTGGAGAGGTTTTAAATTTGTTTTATTTTGTTCATCTAAGTTTATGGGGTACAAGTGTCATTTTTAAAAAATTTTATTTTTCCGTAAGTGATTGGGGTACAGGTGGTATTTGGTTACATGAATAAGTTCTTTAGTGGTGATTTGTGAGATTTTGGTGCACCTATCAGCCAAGTAGTATACACTGCACCATATTTGTAGTCTTTTATCCCTTGACCCCTCCCACTCTTCCAAGTCCACAAAATCCATTTTATCATTCTTATGCCTTTGCGTCCTCATAGCTTAGCTCCCATATATCAGCGATAAGTTATGATGTTTGGTTTTCTATTCCTGAGTTACTTTACTTAGAATAATAGTCTCCAGTCTCATCCAGGTCATTGCAAATACCAGTGTAATTTTGTAAAATGGATATATGAGGAGTTTCTGACCAGGATAAATCAGTGATGAGCAGGACAAACATGAGAAAAGCTCATGGAAGAAAGAAAAAAAATGACAAAAGATGAAAGCAAGGGTAAACATGATGACTATGGAGGACAGAGAAAACAGAACTAGCCTAAGAATTACAGGTATTAACATTGAAAATAATATGATCTTAGATGAGTTGAAATCATCAATGACATAATTGAAGAAAAACTTCTTTGCTGATCAGCAGTTTTGAAAGAGATCATCATATTGTAAGAGAAAGTAATTTTAAAAAATCCTCACATATATACATCCTAAACAAGATTTTACATCTCCAAGATAAAGAGAAATAATGTTATCAGTCAATAGAATATTAGATTGAGGGAAGACTTCTCAGAAAAAAACATATTGTTAAAAGTCGGTGGAGATCCTGCAGCAAGATTTGATTTTTGAGAGGGGTAGACCATCTCTCATGTTTTCAAGAGGTAATTTTACATTTCTGCATTTTAAAAATAGTCTAGCCATAATTCTACACTTAAACTTCTAATTCATGTGCTTGCATATGTGACTTTTGTGAACAGAAATTTTTATGTATCATTTTTGTTTACTTGTAACTTTCTGATTACATGCTGCTTATATCTGTGTAGTCAGGTTAATAAAGTGACTACAAATTAAAAAAAAAAAAAAGTCTGGGCATGGTGGCTCACTCCTGTAACCCCAGCACATTGGGAGGCCAAGGCGGGCAGATCACTTGAGGTCAGGAGTTTGAGACCAGCCTGGCCAACATGGTGAAACCCCATCTCTACTAAAATTACAAAAAGTAGCCTGGCGTAGTGGCAACTGCCTGTAATCCCAGTTACTCAAGAGGCTGAGGCAGGAGAATTGCTTGAACCCGGGAGGCAGAGGTTATAGTGAGCCGAGATTGTACCACTGCACTCCGGCCTTGGCGACAGAGAGACATTCCGTCTCAAAAAAAAAAAAAAAAAACAACTTGGATTGTGTTATTGCTTATATATGTTTGGAATGTTGGCTACAAAAAAAGAAGTCTGTGGAGAAACTCTACCAAAAATGAGGAGGTTGGTAGTAGAATAACATGCTTGAGGAAAGTGGAGAAAAATTTGAAATTCCTACTGGAAGGAATGGGAGAGGAGCTTGTCTAGAGATGCATTACTTGAACCTACTTGAACACCCTGATTGAGTCGAATACACTTATAGTTTCCACAATACCGTATGCCTTCTTTTAAAAATACTTATGTATACCGTATTCTTTTTACAGTAGTCTCTGCATATCCGTGGTTTCACTTTCCTCAGTTTCAGTTACTAGAGGTCAAGAGCAGTCTGAAAATAACTGAGTACAGTATAATAGGATATTCTGAGAGACAGAGAGACCACATTCACATAGCTTTTAATACAGTATATTGTTATCATTATTTAATTTTATTATTAATTATTTTTGTTACTCTCTTCCTGTGTCTGATTTATAAATTATGCTTTATTATAGGTATGTATGTATAGGAAAAAACAGTACAATTGACCTTTTCACAACATGGATTTGAACTATGAGTCCATTTATATAGAGATGTTTTTCAGTAAATATATTGGAAAATTCTTTTGTACATGTGTGACAATTTGTGAAAAACTCACAAACCACACAGCCTAGAAATACCAAGAAAAAAAAAGAAAAAGGTAAATCATGAATTCATGAAATATATGTAGACGTTAGTCTATTTTATTATTTACTACTATAAAATATAAACAAATCTATTATAAAAACTTAAAATTTCTCCAAACTTAGCACACAAATACTTACAGATTGTATATGGCACCATCTGTAGTCCAGAGAAATATAAACAAACATAAAGATGCGGTATGAAATCATAAATGCTTACAATTAACTTGTAATATGTACTATAATACTGTAACAATTTTGTAGCCACCTCCTGTTACTATTGTGGTGAGCTTTAGTGTTGTGAGTAGCTGCTTAAAACAGCATGTGACACTAATCATCTCTGTGTGAGCCTTCTCTCTCTCCAGTAAATTGTGTATCACAGTAAAAAGTGATATCTTGTGGTACTCAAATATTTTTCATGGTGTTTAGTGCAATACTGTAAACCTTGAGTAACACCATGGGACCCATACAAAGTGCCACTAGTGACGCTGGAAGCACGTCAATTTTCTCTTTTTTATTTTCTCTTCCTTATGATTGTTATAATATTTTCTTTTCTGTAGCTTACTTAATGATAAGAATACAGTACTTAATACACATAACATACAAAATATGTGTTAATTGAGTCTTAATGTTATTGGTAAGGTTTCCAGCCAACTGTAGGCTGTTAGTAATTAAATTTTGGGGGAGTTTAAAGTTATACCTAGATTATTTACTGTGAGATCAGTGCCGCTAACCCCTGAGTTGCTCAAGGGTCAACTGTATATTTAGGGTTTAGTACTATTTAAAGTCTTGAGTGATAGAAAGCAAATCAGTGATTTTGGAGGCAGGGAGTAGAGAGAAACTGACTGCAAAGGGTGCTAAGAAAGCATTTGTAGTGATGGAAAAGTTTCACATTTTAACTGAGGTGGTGGTTACATGAATTTGTGCATTTGTCAAAGTTCACGAATGTGTATATGTTTGATGGGTGCTATTGCGTTTAAATTATATACTTTGTATTTTACAACACAATGTGAATCAAATTAATAGCAAAATCAAAATAGATTTAACATAGCAAAGATATTAATTATTTGCCTGTATTATTTACTCAAATAATTATTGAGTAAATTATTGAGTAAATTATTTATTGAGTAAAAAATTTATTTTCTAAAATGTCTTCAATAAACCTAAATTAGATGTGTAAATCAATTTTATTAGGAAGAATAGATATTTTGAAGAGTATTTGTCCTATGTAGGACCTGGTTTTTAGTGCAGGGCTAGAAAGTAGTGACCTCAGGAACCCTGGAGAATGCAACAGCTCTTTGGAGTGATTTATCACAACAGCCAGTGAAATATGGACAAAAAAAAGCTACGGTAGCTTTACTTTGTAGGTTAGACAACTTATGATATTTACATTTTTTTCTGTTTATTTACATCTTTTTACACTTCAATCTTTACTATAATTTTTCTGGAAATTCTTCCTCACTAAGTCCCAAACATTACCAGTATATACATCTTCATAGATTCTGTGAAAGATGAATTTGGCTCTAAAAATACTAACAAAAACAAAATGTACAAAAATCGGTCCTTTTGTGTTAGGTGCTTTAGAAGGAAGGAACATTATCTTCAATAAGTTATAGTTCAGATGAGGCAACAAAAGGCAAATGTAGAAGAAAAAGAGAGAGTTATGCATAAAAAGTGGCATCCACAAATCAGCAATGCCACCAGAAAGTTTTTAGAGGGATTAACAGGGGCAGAATTTGAAAGAAGTTTTGGGATTTGAGCAAGGTCTGGTTTACTGGAGAACAACGTCAAGCTGAGCAGACATTGATGGAACTGGGGCCCGCAGGGATAAAGAGATAAAGTTAGAGTGATAAGGTGGGGCACAGGTGTGTGAAAACCTTGTAGCCCCAAGACAGGATTTTTCCTTCTGAAAAGTCTGGAGAAAAAAAAAGTCTGGAGATAAATGCCAACACCAAGGTCTTATAGTACACACAGATATTTCAAAACATCATCTCATTTTACACTAATAACTAAAAAATAACACAGAATTATTAATAAAATAGCTAAAAGAAGAAATTCACTTGGAAGGTCAACCCCATATGACAGTAACGTGTATCTAGGGTTTACTGCATGCCAAGCACTATTCTAAGAGCCTTGGGTATGTTGAGTCATGTAATCTTTGCCACAATTTCATGTATATGCTATTATTGTTTCTACTGTAGGATTGAGGAGGTCGAAGTAAGAAACTTGCCCAGATTGTACTGCTTTTATGTATCATAGCTGTGATTCTATCCAGGAGAGAGACACTCTGCAGAGGTGAGAGGGGAACACCACTGAGGAGATTGCTTTGTAAGAGCCTCCAATCAGGTTAAATTTAAAGCTACTGTTTCAAAGAGGGGTGATGACCAGCCTGAACAGAGATTGCTCCAGGCAACACGTGAGAGGTGATGCCTTCTCTATGGCTAGGAGAATCCAGAGAAAACTCTTGTAGGATGATGGACAAAAGCAGGGAGAAAGAAAAAGTATTTCTCAAGTAGGAGTACTTGTGTCTAGACAGAGAAACCTGAAATTGAGAAAGTTTTGTGTTTTTTTTGAGATGTAGTGTCACTCTGTCACCAGGCTGAAGTGCAGTGGCACAATCTTGGCTCACTGCAACCTCTGCCTGCCAGGTTCAAGCAATTCTCCTGCTTCAGCCTCCCAAGTAGCTAGGACTACAGGCACACACCACCACACCCAGCTAATTTTTGTATTTTTAGTAGAGACAGGGTTTCGTTGGCCAGGATGGTCTTGATCTCTTGACCTCAGGTGATCTGCCCACCTGGGCCTCCAAAGTGCTGGGATTACAGGCATGAGCCACTGTACCTGGCCAAGAAAGTTTTTCTAAGTTATTTTTCATCAGGTCTGATTTGCATGATTTAATGTTTGTATCTTTGTTTGCTTTTCTACAAAAATAAAATTTTAAGTGGTTGCATGTGGGTGTGGAGCCATAGCTGACTTTTATTGGTCCTTAGTGGTTTTCGTATTCTCTAAATTTCTCCAGTGGCAATTGATTGCTTTTGTAATGAGAAAAATGATAAATATTATTAAACATAAGTAGGCAAGTTCAACTATGTGAAACAAATAAGAAAAAAATTATGCATAGACAAAACTGAGAAAAATATGTATTTTTTACTTTTCTACCTTTCCAATATCATCTAATTTTTCTATAATTATATATTGCATTTATAATAGAAAAAAACTTTAAAAAATAATGCATCCTTCCTCTAAAACGTATGCTTAAAAATTAGGAGAAAAATTGGTTTCCTGACGTTGTATTCTAATTTCAGACTCATTAAATATTATAATTGTAAATAACTTTTTGCTTCCCAGTATTGACTGAGATCCATACACCTGAATTGAAACAACTCCTTATCTGTATAGTAGAATAAGTTTCTAGGTTAACAATATGGTTTGGTTGTGTCCCCACCCAAATCTCATCTTGAGTTGTAGCTCCCATAATTCCCACATGTCATGGGAGGGACATGGTGGGAGGTAATTGAATCATGGGGGTGAGTCTTTCCATGCTGTTCTTGTGACAGTGAATACATCTCATGAGATCTGATGGCTTTATAAAGGGGAGTTCCTCTGCACATGCTCTCTTGCCTGCTGCCATGTAAGACGTGACTTTGCTCTTCATTCACCTTTCATCATGATTGTGAGTTCTCCCCAGCCATGTGGAACGGTGAGTCAATTAAACCTGTTTCCTTTGTAAATTAGGGCTTTGGGTATGTCTTTATCAGCAGCGTAAGAACAGACTAATAGTTATTCAAAAAGACTCATCATAATGGTGAGGAATACAAGGGGAAAACCAGACTATAAATCCGGACCCCAAGCCTCTTATATTATTTATTTATTTATTTATTGAGACGGAGTCTCACTCTATCGCCCAGGATGAAGTGCAGTGGCACGATCTTGGCTCACTGCAAGCTCTGCCTCCCGGGTTCACACCATTCTCCTGCTTCAGCCTCCCAAGTAGCTGAGACTACAGGCGCCTGCCACCACGCTCAGCTAATTTTTTGTATTTTTAGTAGAGACGGAGTTTCACCATGTTAGCCAGGATGTTCTGGATCACCTGACCTCATGATCCGCCCACCTCACCCTCCCAAAGTGCTGGGATTACAGGCTCTTATTTTATTTATTTTTATTTTTTTATTTTTTTTGAGATGGAGTCTCGCTCTGTCACCCAGGCTGGAGTGCAGTGGCATGATCTTGGCTTACTGCAAGCTCTGCCTCCTGGTTTCACACCATTCCTCTGCCTCAGCCTCCCGAGTAGCTGGGACTACAGGCACCCGCCAACATGCCTGGCTAATTTTTTGTATTTTTAGTAGAGATGGGGGTTTCACCGTGTCAGCCAGGATGGTCTTGATCTCCTGACCTCGTGATCCACCCACCTCAGCCTCCCAAAGTGCTGGGATTACAGGCGTGAGCCACCACGCCCAGCCCAGACCCCAAGTCTCTTATTTTAAAAATAAGTTTTCTTGTGTATATTTAAGATATACAATATGATATTATGGGATACATATAGATAGTACAAAAGGTTACTTTAGGGAAGCAAATTAATGTAGCCATAGTCTCACAGTTACCCATTTTTTTTGTTATTTTTGTGACAAGAGCATGCTAAAATCTACTTATTTAGCATGAATTCCAAATATAGTACAAGTTTATTACCTATAGTCTCATGTTGTACATTAGATCTTTAGATTTGTTTATCTCAAATATTTGCTACTTTTTATCCTCTGTCCTACATCTCCCCATTTCCTCTCCATTCCCTTTCTCCAGGCCTGTCACTGTTTTGTTCTCTCTGTATATTCAATTTTTAAAAATATTCTACATATAAATAAGATCATGCAATTTTTTTCTTTCTGTGTCTGGCTTATTTTACCTGGTATAATGTCCTCCACATTCATGTACATTGTGGCAAAATGTGAGTTCTCATTATTTTTCGGGGCTGAATGATATTCCATTGAGCATATGTGTGTGTGTGTGTGTGTGTGTGTGTGTGTGTGTGTATGTGTGTTCTATTTCTAATTTATTTAGAAACCTCCATACTATTTTTGTTTTCTTTTTTCTTTTTCTTTTTTTTTTTTTTGAGACAAAGTCTCACTCTGTCACCAGGCTGGAGTGCCTCAGCATACTACCACCTCCACCTCCTGCGTTCAAGTGATTCTCCTGCCTCCAAGTGATTCTCCTGCCTCAGCCTCTTGAGTAGCTGGGACTACAGGTGCCCGCCACCACGCCCAGCTAATTTTTGTATTTTTAGTAGAGACAGGGTTTCACCATGTTGGCCAGGATAGTCTTGATCTCTTGACCTCATGATCCTCCCACCTTGGCTTCCCAAAGTGCTGGGATTACAGGCATGAGCCACTGCACCTGGCCCTCCATACTGTTTTTCATAATGGCTGTACCAATCTACATTCTCACCAACAGTATACAAGAGTTCTCTTTTCTCCACATCTTCACCAAAATTTATCTTTTAACTTTGAAAATAACCATCCTAGTGGGTGTGAGGTGGCATCTCATAGTGGTTTTGACTGTATTTTATTGATGATTAATAATGTTGGGCACATTTTCATATGCCTGTTGGCCATTTTCATACCTTCTTTGAAGAATGTCTATTCAGGTTTTTTGCTCAGTTTTTATTCAGGTTGTTTTTCTACTGTTGAGTTGGTGAGTTCTTAATAAATTTTGGATATTAACCTCTTATCAGAGATATGGTTTGCAAATATTTTTTCCCAATCTGTAGTTTGCTCTTTTGTTTTGTTGGTTGTTCTCCTTGCTGTGCAAGGATGTAGTCTCACTTATTTGTTTTTGCTTTCTTGGCCTGAGTTTTTGGTACAGTATTCAAAAGAATCATTGCCAAGGCCAGTGTCCAGGTGCTCTTACTTATGTTCTCTTCTAAGAGTTTTACAGTTTCTATTCTTACATTTAAGTTTTTTAAAATCTATTTTGACTTTACTTTTGTGTATGGTGTAAAATAAGGGTCCAATTTCATTCTTTTGGATATAAAAATCCAGTTTTCCCAGCACAATTTATTGAAGAGATTATGCTTTTCCCATTTTGTTGTCTTAGTGTCCATGTCAAAAGTTAGTTGACCATATATGTTTGGATTTATTTCTGGGCCCTTTGTTCTGTTCCACTGGTCTATGTGTTTGTTTTTATGTCAGTACCATACTGTTTTCATTATTGCAGATTTAGAACATGATTTGAAATCAGGAAGTGTGGTGCTTCCAACTTTGCTTTTCTTTCTCAGAATTCTTTTGGCTATTCAGGGTCTTTCATGATGTCACAGGAATTTTAGGATTAGAAAATTCTGTGAATAATGCTATTGGGATTTTGATAGGGATTGTATTGGATTTGTATATTGCTCTGGGCAGTATGGGTATTTTAACAATATTATTTCTTCTGGTCCATGAGCATGGGATGTCTTTCAACTTGTTTGTGCCTTCTTTAATTTCTTTCATCAATATTTTATTATTTTCATTGTACAGATCTTTTACCTTTTTAGGTAAATTTATTCCTAAGTATTTTATTTTCTTTAAACTATTATAAATGAGATTTAAAAAAATTTCTTTTTAGTTAGGTCATTATTTGTGTATAGAAATTCTACTATATGTTGGTTTTGAGTCCTGCAACTTTAATGATTTTATTAGTTCTAACTGGTGTGTGTGTGTATAATTGTTGGGAATTTTTTTTTTACATGGAGGATCATGACATCTACAAATAGAGATAATTTTACTTCTTCCTTTCCAATTTGGATATTTTTCTTTCTTGTTTGATTGTTCTTGCTAATACTTCTAGTACTGTGTTGAACAGTACTAGAGTGGGCATCCTTACCTTTTACAGGATCTTAGCTTTCAGAGTTTTTTTCTCCATTGATTATAATGTTAGCCATGGGTATTTCATAAATGGCATTTATTATGTTGAAAATCTTTTCTTCTATACCTAAACTGTTGAGAGATTTTTCAAGAAAGGATGTTAGATTTTGTCAATGCTGTTTTGTGTCAATGGAGCTAATCATGTGGTTTTTATCTTTCATTCTATTAAATGTGATGTATCATATTGATTAATTTGTATATGTTAAGCCAGCATTTCATGCCAGGGCTAAATCCTATTTGATCATATGTAATATTTTTGACTTATTATTGGATCTGGTTTCCTAATATTTTATTGAGAATTCTTGCATCAATATGCATTAGAGAGATTGGTCTGTAGCTTTCTTTTCTTGTAATGTCTTTGTCTAGCTTAAGTATCAAGATGATGCTGGCCTCATAAAATGTGTTTGAAAGTATTTCCTCTAGCTCTATTTTTTGGCAGATTTTAAGAAGTATTGGTATTAATTCTTCTTTGAATGTTTGGTAGAATACAGCTAGGTAGCCATCTCAATTTGAGTTTTTCCTTATTGGGAAGTTTTAAAAAATTATTTCCTCAACCTTTTTATTTGTTACTGGTCTGTTAATTTTTTTACTTCTTTCTGACTCACTCTTGGTAGGTTGTATTTTTTTTAGGAATTTATCCATTTCCTCCAGGTTATCTAATTTTTTTATCATAAAATTATTCATAATGAAGCTGGACATGGTGGCTCACGCCTTTAATCCCAGCACTTTGGGAGGCTGAGGAGGGCAGATCATGAGGTCAGGAGATCGCGACCATCCTGGCTAAAAAATTAGCCAGGCATGGTGGTGGGTGCCTGTAGTCCCAGCTACACGGGAGGCTGAGGTAGGAGGATGGCATGAACCTGGGAGGCTGAGCTTTCAGTGAGCCGAGATCGTGCCACTGCACTCCAGCCTGGGTGACGGAGTGAGACTCCATCTCAAAAAAAAAAAAAATTACTCATAACATACCCTTATGATTCTTTTTATTTCTGAAGCATCTGTGTTAATTTCTTCACTATCCGTTTTTTAAAAATTTATTTTAGTCTTTTTTCTTGTTTTCTTAGACTAGCTAAAGGTTTGCCAATTTTGTTTGTTCAAAAAAGCAACTTAGTTTTGTTATTTATTTCTTTCATTTTTCTATTCTCTGATTTGTTTCTGTTCTGATTTTTATTACTTCTTCCCTTCTGCAAATTTTGGGTTTAGTTTGTTCTTTTTCTAGTTTCTTGCGATATAATGTTAGATTATTTATTTGGCATCTTTTATCTTCTTAAATATAGGTTTTTATCACTATAAACTTCACTTTTAGAATGGTCTTTGCTGTATTCCATAGGTTTTAGTATATTGTGTTTCCATTGGCATTTTTCTCAATATATCATTTAATTTACCTTTGGATTTTTCTTTGATACATTGGTTGTTCAGTAGCATGTTGCTTAAGTTCCACAAATTTGTGAGTTTTTCAATATTCCATTATTAATTTCCAGTTTCATGTAATTGTAATCTGAAACCATACTAGATATGATTTCAATCTTTCCCATAAATACCATTATTTTTATATCATAGCTGCTGTCAAAAATGTCCTTCCCTTTCTATCATGTGAGTCTTAAGTTCATTCAAGATTATGTCCTGCCCCCTGTAGCCTCTTCTGAGCATCTTGGTCTGCAATTTTCTTACTTCGTTTTTTTGGGGGGATTGTTTAGTTTTGAGATAGAGTCTCACTCTTGTCACCCAGGCTGGAGTGCAATGGCGCAGTCTCGGCTCACTGCAACCTCCACCTCCTGGGTTCAAGCGATTCTCCTGCCTCAGCCTCCCGAGTAGTTGGGACTACAGATGTGCACCACCACGCCTAGCTAATTTTTGTATTTTTTAGTAGAGACAGGGTTTCACCATGTTGGCCAGGCTGGTCTCAAACTCCTGACCTCAGGTGATCTGCCTGCCTTGGCCTCCCAAAGTGCTGGGATTACAGGCGTAAACCACCTTGCCCGGCCAAACTCCTCTGTTTTATCATACAAATTACTTCATGGTTGAAAGGTAAAGTGTGCTGTCAAAAAACAAGCAAGCAAACAAACAAACAAATTCTTCACCAAGGAGATCCAGTTTAAACTTTTTTGTGCGTGTACATTATTGACAAAGCTGACAGAATGTGACGTTTCTATAAAAGACCTGTGTCAATAATATACCTTGGGTTTAAAATAATCTCCTATGGTATGGTGTATCTTATTGCTTCCCAATAGAAATAGCTCACACCAGCTGTTTCTTTCCACTCCCATCAGCCTTAAATGAGTAAATATGAGACAAATGGCTGTTTAGTCATCTTGTTGGCATCTAAATTCTACATTGGTCTCCCTCAGTTAGAAAAATATTTGGTGTATCCTGGTTCAACCTGCTGCACTCACATTTACAGTCAGAAAACACAGTCCTCTTTCTTAAAATATCCTGAAATGAGTAATGCCAAAAAGCCAGGAATACTGTTGGCCAAAGGTTAATACAAACTCCAGCTTTTGTCCACTGTGCACTTAGTTTTCTTCCTTGGCAGTTCTTGACCCCCTTAAAAAGCAATGGCCTTCTTAGCAACACCTACCTGCCAGCAAAATTGCAATCTACAGTGTGTGTGTTTCATTTCACAGACACTAGAGAAGTTCAGCTTAACTTGGCGGGGCTTTGCTTAATGGTGGTGAGAAGATTCCAGACTCTTCTCCATGTACCTCTTCTTTGAAGTTGACAGCCTGTCCAGAATAAAGTGTATGGTATTTGCAGTCTGACAGTTGCAGTCTCAGATAAAATAAATAAACCTCATTTGGGCACTTTCTTTCTTCCTTATCTTCTGCCAGCAACAGCTATTTAGTGTGGCTCACATTTGTGGCTGTGTGAGGCTATGGAAAACCATGTCATCTGGCTAGAAAGGGGGATGGTTGTTTACATTATGATGGAAGACAGGATAGGATCGTTAAAATAAAGTCTCTGATTTCCTTCCTTTCTTTATCTAGTGAGACTAAAGCAGCTCTGCATAAACGGCTCTTCGTCTGGCTGCTGTGTCTGGTAGTTGGTCTGTCATCTGAATCAATTCTTTTCACTTAAATAGAGTACAGTAAGCTGTCTTTTTCTTATTGTAACCTTTTTTGGAAGACCCTCCCAATTCACATAAGCAAGGAGTAAATAGCCCCTTGTTACTAAGCTTGTAGCAATTATTTAAGGATTCGCATCTTACTGGAATTGTTTTCCCAATTTTTAAATAAAAGCATAAAAGCTAGTGATATTTTAAATCTCATGAATCTCAAATATGTTATGAAAAGGGATAGACTGTTATAACCACATAGTAAGACACTATTTTTCAAGCTGAAAAATAAAAAACACCTCCTTCCCCCCAACTCCAACCTGTGAGTCATACTTCTTTAGGCTATTAGAAGTTACATTGTGTGTGTGTGCATGTGTATAAATGTATGAATTGCTATGTGTGTGTGATCAGTGACTGGTTTGGAAGAGGGTGAAGGCAGTGGAATAAGAAGAGGCAAAATACTTTGAAGATTTTTAGAAAGGAATTTTAGGGAATCTGTTGATTGCTGTAAGGAGAGAGTGAGAACTTGTCACCTGTTGCAACAGTGACTGGGCCTGGAGATGTTATGACTTCTGTGATTTCATTCTGTAAACCTTTCCCGCCTCCCACCCCTCCCTATCTCTAGCAGTTGGTTTAATGACTCCTAGTCAACAGGCCCTACCATGAGCTATGTCCTGGGCATAGTCTCTAAACAGAGGCTGCTTTCTTGCCCTGTGGGACAGAGAAGAGTTCTAAAAAATAACTGGAGTGCTTTACCCAGCTCTTAGGATTATGTAAAGACAAGAGCTTCAATGCATCATTACATTTAGCAAATTAATGCAGTCAAAGCTGGAAAATGAAAGAATAATGATTTGTGAGTCTCAGTATGCCAATGTTTAATTCAACAGATAGTAATTGAGCACTTCCCAATATGTAGAATTGTGTTAAATATACATAAGCTATATTATGGGTAATATTTGTGTGTATTGCATACAATGAGCTTATTATAGAAAATACCTGTAATTCTATATTTTGTATTAGTATTTCATTATTTTCTAGCTAGACACACATGGAATGATCAGAAAGTAAAATGATTAAAATAAACTATCAGCTCCTGCCTTCCTCATTTTATTGAATAATCTTGATTATTCAATAATTCATTATTCAATATCAATAATTCATTATTCAATAATTCATTATTTCATTATTCACTATTCACTCTACTTGCTACAGTTTCAGCCCTGGGAAGATACAGCTGAGTCGGGGAGACATTAGCAGCCCTAATCTATCAGCAAGTACACATGCAAATGAGTTTTATTGTTTTATTTCAGGGTCTAGATTGCCTGGTCCTTAAAAGCTCATCCAGGAATTGTGTGCTTGAATTCATACAATTGGGTTTTTGTTGTTGTGGTTTTGTGTTGTTTTGTTTGAGGCAGATTCTCACTCTGTCACCCAGGCTGGAGTGCAGTCGCATGATCTTGGCTCACTGTAACCTCTGCCTCCCTGGTTCAAACGATTCTCCTGCCTCAGCCTCCCGAGTAGCTGAGACTACAGGCACAAGCCACCATGCCCCACTAATTTTTGTATTTTTAGTAGAGTTGGGGTTTCACCATGTTGGCCAGGCCGGTCTCGAACTCCTGACCTCAGGTGATCTGCCCGCCTCAGCCTCCCAAAGTACTGGGATTACAGGTGTGAGCCACTGCGCCTGGCCACAATTGAGTTTTTGACTCAGACCCTATATCCTTCTCTCTCTCTCTTTCTCTTTGTCTCTCTCTCTCTCTCACACACACACACACACACATACACACACACACACACACACACACTCTTTTCCTTGTTTCCATGTGAGACTTCCACTGTCACTGAGACCAGCCCAATTAACCGTTTCTCAGCACTCTGCCTATCTGCATTCTCTCGCCAGTACCCTTCCCTGTGGAGCTCAATGCTGTTCCTAGCCTACCCTCACCAACAATGATTTTGCTATCATTGGAATGATAATTAGAACCTATAACAGAATAACCTCTTCCATCTGGATGTGTTCTGCCCTTCTCCACATACCTTCCTGCATGGTGACAGCCATTCTACCCAAGGCTGAGACCACTGTACTTACCAGTAGAATGCCCTTTGAAATGCTGGCCATACTCCTTGTTGGTTTTCATAATTTTCTATTCTAACTTATTCTAGCATCTTTCTCATTCTCAACAGCCCTTTTCCTGAGAGCCTAGTTTGTTCTTGCCTGAGCCTGGGGTACCATAATTTTTAGAGGAGTTTACAGAAGGCAGTGATAGGGGAGGAGGAGGTGTCAGGGAGGACATGAGATTTGAGTTGGGCCTTGAAGAATGAGTGAGATTTGCTTTATTCTTCTTTTGAATTCCAAAGTCTTTCAAAAGCTGACAGAATTATAGTCCTATAAAATGTCAGGGCTAAAGGGAACTGTATGATCCTTATGTGAATCATTCTTCATGTCAGATGGTAAGATTTTAAAAGTTATCCAGATTAGAAGAAATTTATAAAAGAGGAGATAAGCTCCCAATGCTGGGGTAGTGAGCTGTTCGGATATGTCTTGGAGCAGAGCTGCCACGTGGTACAATGACAGTGCCATTGTCACATGCCTAGGTAAATGGAGCTTCCTGGAATAGGACCATGTGCAGCGTGCAGGACCATACCAATAAGAAACTCTCCAAGGGCGGGCACGGTGGCTCACACCTGTAATCCCAGCACTTTGGGAGGCTGAGGTGGGCGGGATCACCTGAGGTTGGGAGTTCAAGACCAGCCTGAACAACATGGAAAAACCCCGTTTCTACTAAAAATACAAAAATTAGCTGGGTGTGGTGGCACATGCTTGTAATCCCAGCTACTCTGGAGTTTGAGGCAGGAGAATCGCTTGAAACTGGGAGGCGGAGGTTGCGGTGAGCCAAGATCACGCCATTGCACTCCAGCCTGGACAAGAAAAGCAAAACTCCGTCTTAAAAAAAAAAGAAAAAAGAAAAAAAAAAGAAACTCTCCAAAGGTAAATTTCTTGAGAAGAGGGTCCATGTCATTCATATAGACATATTGATCTATATCTTATAATGTGCATTTTTAACAGCTATATGTTACTATTAATACTATGAGGATAGTGATACTTCAATGAACAAAAATTAAAGATTTTTTGCCAGCCAGAAATGTTGGCAGAGGTTTTACAAGGCCACAGATGATAGTTTCAATAGAAATAAAAAGAAACAGAAAATCCCTTATTTTTCTATATTTTAGGTAACTGGTTGCATTTATATAAATATTTCTCCTTCATGCTAATTTAGACAGGATTAAGTACAAACAGAATATGTGAAGAAAATGAGAACCCTTTCTTGGGAAACTTAAAATTTGATGCATTCTGTGTCTGTGGTAAAGTCATGATATAAAAATTTCTTTCTGTGGCTGTGCTGAGGCCTCTGGGACATCTGTGCTTAACTCATTCCTTTGTTTCTCAAGTTATTACTAGGCCTATTCCCAGAATGATTTACCAAGGATATTCCTGTTGCTCAGAATAAAAAGGCTGAAAATAGGTACATTACACTTCTTGTGTGAGACATCGTTCCAAACAAACAGCTGAAGCTCTGTTTAGACCACAGTCTTCAACAGTGCTGCTTACCTGCCTTGCTCACTCTGGTCAATAGTATGTTGACTACTAATATGCAGTCTGGGCCTCTTGATTTCCTAAATATACCCGACGGTTATTCTTATTTATCTATAACTAGAAACCTTATAAATAAAAGGTTAGTTGAAAAGACATAAACTGTGTATGTGTATAAAATAAGTTTTAAATAATACACATATGCCGGGCGCGGTGGCTCATGCCTGTAATCCCAGCACTTTGGGAAGCTGAAGCGGGTGGATCACCTGAGGTCAGGAGTTCGAGACCAGCCTGAACAACATGGAGAAAACCTGTCCCTACTAAAAATACAAAATTATCCAGGCATGGTGGTACATGACTGTAATCCCAGCTACTTGGGAGGCTGAGGGAGGGGAATCGCTTGAACCCAGGAGGCAGAGGTTGTGGTGAGCCGAGATTGTACCATTGCACTCCAGCCTGGGTAACGAGAGCAAAACTCCATCTCAAAAATAAAATAAAAATAAATATAAATAAATAATACACATGAATAAACACAGTAGGGTTTTGATATGAACTTCCAAGCCGTTCCCATTACTGTATTAATAGCATTGCCTTTTTAGCAAATGATTTTAGCAGGCACTGATGACCATTGCTCTAATAGTTTTCTGTCACCACTGTAACAAATGGCCACAAACTTAGCAGCTTTAACAATGAAGTGTATCTTACAGTTCTGTAGGTGAGATGCCCAACAAGAGTCTCACTGGACTAAAATCAAGGTGTCACCAGGGCCCATTTCTTTTTGGAGGCTCTAGGGGAGAATCTGTCTCCTTCTCCAGCTTCTAGAGGCTGCTCACAGTCCTTGGCTCATGACCTTTCCTCTGTCTCCAAAGCTAGTCATGTTGCATCCCTCTATTCCCTCTTCCCATAGTTACATTTTCTCCTGGCTGACTCTTTGTCAAGACCCTTGTGATTACATTCGTCCCATCTGAATATCATAGGATTTTCTTCCCGTCTTAAGGTTAGCGAATTAGCAATCAAAATTCCATCTGCGGCCTGGCGTGGTGGCTCATGCCTGTAATCCCAGTACTTTGGGAGGCTGAGGTGGGCGGGTCACCTGAGGTCAGGAGTTCGAGACCAGCCTGACCAACACGGTGAAACCCCGTCTCTACTAAAAAAAATACAAAATTAGCCGGGCGTGGTGGCGCATGTCTGTAATCCCAGCTACTCAGGAGGCTGAGGCAGGAGAATTGCTTGAACCCAGGAGGCAGAGGTTGCAGTGAGCTGAGATCGTGCCATTGCACTCCAGCCTGGGCAACAGAGCAAAACTCTGTCTTAAAAGAAAAAAAAAATTCCATCTGCAATCTTATTTCTCCTTTGTCAGGTAACCTAAGATAGTTTTGGGGGCTATAGACATCTTTGGGGGAAGATTACTCTGCCTACCAAAATTGCTTAGGTAAGTGGTTCTCAACTCATTGATTAGAATCACCATACCAATATGTGCTAAAACATACATTTGAGGACCCCAACCCCAAGGTTTCTGCTTTAGTAGGGATGAAGTGAGTCCTAAGGATTTGCATTTTACCGAGTTCCCAGAAGGTGGTGATGCCTCTGCGCAGGGAACCACACTTCAAAAATCACAATTCTATATCCATTATTTCATTAAGGGTTGCAAAATGATGATATTTTAATTCTATTGATAATTATATTTTGAAGTGAATTTCTGTTTCCACTGGAGTTACTAGATGAAATATCAGACACCCAGTTCAATTTGAGTTTTAGATAAATAAAGAATAACTTTGTAGTATTAGTTTGCCCCATGCAATATTTGGGACATACTTATACTAAAATGTTACTTTTGAAATCTGAAATTCACATTGAACCAAGCACCTTGAATTTCTATTGGGAAAATCTGGTGACTCTAGTATTCATCTGGAAGGGAAACACAGGGCTGCTTCTATCCGTGAATATTCCATGAAGGACAGAAATTTTGACATACCTTTTTTTGTTTAATCCTTCTTGCAGCCAAGTCAGCTGGCAATTCTCTACAAATCTTTTGCAGTGGAATTATAAATTCACATATTTTTCTCTCATTAATAGAGATTGAATGCCTAATAGGGTTGGTTAGATATCTTTGCTGGAGCTGTCAGAGAATTTAGTGATAAATGACATTGTAGTTTTCTTTTCATGAAATTTCTGCATCTTTCCTGTTAGGATTTTTCAATTACTTCCTTGGTAAGTGTCAATGTGATTATCCCCGGGAAAATGCTACACAGGCCAGTGCCCATTGCATGCCTCCCCTTCTCCTCCTTATTATTCAAGACAGTGTACCTCAGATTGTTTGTTTCTTGTAGCCAAAAGCCTCCCAACTCTTACAGAAGAGAGGCAGACCAGAAGAAAAAGATTGTTTCTGATTTCTACTTCCACCAATCTGGTTTTATCCTGCATTCAAGGAAATCTCAGTTTGGTAGATGAGACAAATATCTGGCCAGAGATTTCCAAACTTTCTCCATTCATGATGTCTTTAGTGTCATAATAAGTTTTTCATAACACTCATAGACTAAACGAAATACCTGAAAGTTGCCTTTATTAACTAGTTAGGTTCAGGAAACAGTATTTATTTATTTTTGAGACAGTTTCTCATTCTGTCTACCCAGGCTGAAGTGCAGTAACACAATCATGGCTCACTGCAGCCTCGACCTCCTGGGCGCAAGTGATCCTCCTACCTTGGCCTCCCAGACTGTTGGGATTACAGACTTAAGCCACCACATCTGGTCAGGTCCAGGCAAAGTAATACATATTTATATCCTAACAACTTAGTAGCCATTGGAACAGAAAAAGTAACACATACATTGAAAGAAAAAATACCATCTTAAGTGGCCACAATTACTTACTAATGAATGTAGTATGTACACCTGTCAGGCATAACACAGGTGGTCAAAACATGGAACCAGATTGGACATGACCATGCTCATTTCCTCTTCCACACTGATTTTTTTTGCTCAGTGTTTGTCCTTTAACACAGCAACCATGAAACACTCAGTTTATGTTGTCATTGAAAGTAATGTAGTGTAATCTAATGTTGAGCCTATGAACTACCTCAAGCAAGAGGTTTCTGCAGGGTCAGAGAGTAACACTATGCTTCCCTCAAAGTATAACAATATACTGTAGCACTCCTATGAGTTTGTTGGGGCAGCTCAGGATATCTGTATGCACACTTTGGAAACCGTGGATGTAAATAATGATTGCAATCCAAGCAGCACAAAGCCTGAAAAAGTTCAAATTTAAACTCTGTGATTTGATAGTTCTAGGACCTTACATAAGTTACTTAATGTCTCTAAATCTTGTTTTTCATATTAATATGATGAGGAGAACAATAATACGTCATTTGTTTTTCTGGTAGAAAATAAATACTCCACTGTCGCCTAGTTTTATTATCATTCTTTGTATTGATAGGATGATCAGAAAATATAGACCTAAGTCTATAAGACAAATTAGTTAATGCTCTCTGAAAAAGTGGTGATACCTGAATACCATTTTGAGGATAAAGAAAGCTAATTTAACTGAATAAATGTGGAAGAAGTGTGTAAGCAGAGGTGATGTATTTAGGGAAGCCTCTGGAGAGTAAATATGAGAATGGGGTATGGCAGGAGGTGAAGTATTTTCCTGGTTAAAATGACTGGTGTGGCAACAGAACTGTGCCCAGTGAGGTGTTATTGTTTGTTTGTTTGTTTGTTTGTTTTTTCTTCTTGAAGTAATTTTAGCTCTTTAATACCAAAAAAAAAAAAGGATGAAAATGGTCTTCGAAGAATCAAAGATCTTTAGAAGAACACCTGGATGGGGTCTTTAACGTAATTAAAATGACAAAAATTAGCATATAAGTTAATATTCAAAATCTTTAACAAATTCAAGTTATACCATTTCTTGTCTTTTTTTTCTTTTCTTTCTTCTTTTTTCTTTTCTTTTCTTTCTTTTTTTTTTTTTTGAGACACAGTTTTGCTCTGTCACCCAGGCTAGACTGCAGTGGTGCGATCAGGGCTCACCGTAGCCTTGAACTCCTGGGCTGAAGGGATCCTACTGCCTCAGCCACCTGAGTAGCTAAGACTACAGGTACATGCCACCACACCTGCTTTTTTTTTTTTTTTTTTTTAGTACAGACAAGATCTCGCTATGTTGCCCAGGCTGATCTTGACCTTCTGGCCTCAAGCAATCTTCCCACCTTAACCTCACAAAAGTGCTGGGAGTACAGGTGCGAGCCACCATGCCTAGCCCCAATTTCTAGTATGATATCACAGAGCTATTAATACCAAAATAATGTTTGGTATGGTTTTTATGTTGTTAGATTTTATTCACAGAGCATGTAACTTCAATAGTCGCACGGTTATTTTTCTGCCAGATAGCAAGGTATCTCATTTCTGTTGGCAATGAGGAAAATAAATTCATTCTATGAAATAGCATTAATGATAACACAACAAAAGCCAGCACTCTGTGAACATGTGATCTTCATAACAATAGTCTACAGTCTCACGGACTATGCTCCTTTTGCCATATAAACCACATCAAGTCACTTCCCTGGACTAAAAACCATGACTCTTAAAAGCCAAATAATTCTTTGTAGTCTAAGAGGCTCTTCATCACCTGGACCGTATTTACCACTCCAACTTCACCTCTTACTTCTTTCCCTGCTTCTTACTCTTTTTTGGGCACTCCAGTTCTCTTCCTATTTCACAAATACACGAAGGTTCATTCTCTTTGGGGCTTCTGCATTTGCTATTTCTTCTGTCTCAATGTTCTTGCCTTGATTTAGAAGAAGGACACCCACAAAAATGGTACCTGCTTAGAGAGGACTTTCTGAACCACACTATCTAAAACAGCTTGCCCTTATCGCATCACTCTCTCTTTTCTCACCTGCCTTATTACTTTTCTTTATAGCACTTAAAATATATTAATTATTATATATTTGTTGATTTATGCCCTCCCTTACTGGACTGTAAGCTGAGTCTATCTACTTATTTATTTATTTATTTATTTATTTGTTTGTTTTTTGAGACAGAGTCTTGCTCTGTCACCCAGGCTGGATTGCCGTGGCGCAATCTCGGCTCACTGCAACCTCCGCCCACCGGATTCAAGCAATTCTTCTTCCTCAGCCTCCTGAGTAGCTGGGATTACAGGCACATGCCACCATGCCCGGCTAATTTTTGTACTTTTAGTAGAGATGGGGTTTCACCATGTTGGTCAGGCTGGTCTCAAACTGCTGACCTCGTGATCCATCCGCCTCAGCCTCCCAAAATGCTGGGATTACAGGCGTGAGCCACCGGGCCCGGCCAGGAGTCTATCCTTTTTACTTTCTATTCCGGACTTTGAGAACAATATTTGACACATATATTAAGCACATCACAAATACTAGTAGCTCTGAAATTTAGCTCAATTCTGGCTCATTGCAGAATTCATACAGGCTTCATTCAACACTGCACTTTATTTTACACTGCTTAGTGTTGCTCTTCATGAAGGCATCCTCCCCACAAGGCTGCAAGCTTAAGGAGGGAAGGGGACCAAAACAGCTAATAAAATGCATTTCAAACACAAGCACAGATTTCATTTTGGAGATTTAAAAAATATTACATTGTTGTAGGGACAAGAATGTCCACCTTCACCTCTCTTATTTAACATAGTAATGGGAAATCTAGGTGCCACAGTAAGGCGATTAAAAAGGGCATTAAGATTGGAAAGGCAGAAAAAAACTTTTTTTTTTTTTTTTTTTTTTTTTGGTGGAGTTTCACTCTTGTCCAGGCTGGAGTGCAGTGGCGTGATCTCAACTCACTGCAACCTCCACCTCCTGGGTTCAAGCGATTCTCCTGCCTCAGCCTCCCGAGTATCTGGGATTACAGGCAGGCACCACCACGCCTGGCTAATTTTGTATTTTAAGTTATCAGACTGAAAACACAAAATATAATTCATAAAAGAAAAAATGATAAGTTGGACCTCATCTAAATGAATCATGTTTGTTCTGTAAAAGATCCTGTGAAGAGCTTAAAAGACAAGGTACAGACGGGGTGAAGATGTCTGTAAACCACATATCTAACAAAACTGTTTGTGTCCAAAACATATAAAGACCTCTCAAAACTTAGCATAAAAAACCCAATGTTATTAGAATATGTATTAGTTTGGTGCAAAAGTAATTGAGATTTTTGCCAAATTTCTTTTGCACCAAATTAATACAAATGGGCAAAATACAGATATTTCACAAAAGACGATATACTGAAGGCAAATAAGCATGGAAAATGATGTTCAATATCATTAACCATTAGAGAAATGCAAATTAAAGCCACAGTGAGATATCACTATACACCTATCAGAAAAGTACAAATAGAAAATAGTAATAACAAGAAATGCTGATAAAGATATGGATAAATTGAGTCACTTAAACATTGCTGGTGGGATTGTGAAATGATAAACCCACAGCCTCTCTGAAAAAGTGTGTGGCAGTTTTCTACAAAACTAAACATATGATTACCATATGGCTGAATAATTATACTGTTGGACATTTATCTCAGAGAAATGAAAACTGTAGTTCTACACAAAGGCCTCTAGATGAATGTTTATAGCAGCTTTATTCCTGATAGCCAAACACTAAAACAACCGAAATGCCCTTCAATGGGTGAATGGTTCAAGAAACTGTCATATATCTATACTATGGGATATTGCTTAGCATTTTATGCTGAATGAACTATTGATCTCTCAAGTGAATTATGTTGAGTTTAAAAATTGTGTAATTTTCTTGAAATTACACAATTATAGACATGAAGAACAAATTAGAAGTTGCTAGGAGGGAGGGTCAGGGAGGGGGAAAGGGGTGACTGGTTATAAGAGGAGCACTGGGTATCTCTGATGGAAATATTCAGTATCTTGACTGTAATGAAGTTCACATTAATCTACACATGTTTTGAAATACACATATGCTCACAAAGGAGTGCAGATAAAACAGGTAAAATCTGAATTAGGCAGAGAATTGCATCAATGTCAATTTCTTGGTTGTGTTACTGTATCATAGTTGTGCAAGATATTGCCATTGGCGGAGACTAGGTAAAGTGTATAGGAAATTTCTGTATTGTTTCATATGACTCCACGTGAATCTACAATTATCTCAAGTCAAAAAGTTAAAAAAAATGCATTTCCAAAAACCATAAAACAATGTTATGGGAGTTTGAGTGTGATGGAATAAACATTTTTTCCCCTATATTTTCTCCACTAGTTGGACACTGTTAGCCGTTGTTGACTTCTTAGACTATAGCAAAACCTCACAAATTTCAAATTATCAGATTTATGAGCATACTACAATTCTAAATTATAAAACATAAATTAGGGAGTATTCCCTAAAAAGTATCTGCTATAGTACTTTCAGCACTGTAGCAGATTTTGTGGAGCCCAGGTTTCAGTTACTTATTTTAATCTTTCTCACAGGTTTTTTCCCTCTAGCTAAGACAAAGATAAAATCTAAACTGTGTTCTGGGCCAATTGTTTAAATTTTGTGGCAGGTAAAGTTTTATTATTAAGGATTTTTAAATTATTCAATTGTCTTAAGATCTGTCATTTTAGACTCTAACTTATTCGGATACATTGCCCTCATAGTTGGTAATTATAGATACTAAAAACATTATTTTAAAATAAGGGCTTCTCATTTATAGACAGGATATCTCAGATAAAAATGTGGTTTCTGTACTGGATAACATTCTTTTATTTAGAACTAGGGGAAGATGTCTATGATTCTTTCACATTCAGGATCATTCCGACATGGCATTTCTTGGGCTTGGGCTGGTGTAGAGAAGTGAGCAGACCTATACCATATATGGACAAAGAGGACCCTGTGTTTGCTTAAGGCCCCAGATATAGCATTTCAAGGAAAGACTTAGTAACACCAGTTAATGTTCCCAAATCTTCTTTTCTTATAGTGATTATGAGTTTAGAAACCAGTATGAATATTCCATAATAGATACCAATATCTTTTCTTTGATAATAACAATAATAAGTACTATTGTTCTAAGTGCTTTGTATACATTTTCTTTATTCCTCATAATAACTACAAGGTAAATATCATCTCCGTTTTATACATGAGAAAGTTAGGGTCCTTGCCAAAGTTACACATTTTAAAGGACAGAGATAGAATTTTAATTCAGACTTAAGTCTGTTGTCAGTACTATTTGCACTACACAGTGCTGTGTTTATTTTATTAAACAAAAAACGTTTAAAAAGTTTTTGACAGAAATATGCTTGTGTGTTATGGGTTCCCTGAGCATCTGACTAAGTTCTGAAACAAATCACATATTACACAATTGATATTGTAATGCCAAGAGAGACTGAATGCTACGCTGTTAATGGATATAACCTGATTTATATAGTACTGGTGGCTCCTAACTAACATATTTAAGTTGTAATAGAAATCTTCAATGCCTGAACTCCAAAAAAGACAAAGACAATGCAGGATTCTTTTTGGAGGATATCACTTTGGGTCATGTATTTAGGGACCACTTAAATATATCTTCTTTGCCTATTTCTTAGCATTGATTGCAAAGAATGAAGACTTAGATTTCAAGGATCCTTGGATTCTGTTTTTTCTTCCCCTCTGCAGTGTTCTCAGGGGCTCTATACAAGTTGCTGGATATCCTGAATCTCAATTTCTCCCACTTAAAACCAGGAGAGTATTTGCTGTAAAGAAAGTGCTTTGCAGTCCTGTAATCAGGTACATAAACAGTCCAAAGTTCCTTTCTATTGGCACATTAATTTTGCTGTTTTGGTTGGGATGAGTGCATGTGGATCACAGTAGTTGATTCTGCCAGTTTTCTGTAGCACAGGCATATCATATCTTAAACATTTGGCCCCCATTGCAGCCCTTTCTCTAGACAGCACTTATTCAGAATACAGAAATGTATTCACTGATTTACCAAACAGCCAAAGACAGACAAGTGTGTTTCATACCCTGTGCTAACAGTTTGGGATACTAAGAAATATAATGCAGAGGTTTCCTGTTCAAGAATCTCTCAGTTGAGTGGGTGGGGACCAGATCATTACATAAGTTGTTAAGTGCTATCAGAGGCCATATGTAGAAAATGCATTTTGAAGCAAAGTATGTTTGAATAGCTGTGTATTCCGGGATATATTGCATTCTGAATTATTTTTAAAATATGAATATATCCCTCAGAGGTTAAGAGCATGAGCTTTAAGTTTGCTCAGACCAACCTTTTTTTAAATGTTAAACTTTTTATTGAAATATGTATATCATACATACATATAGAAAAGTGAGAATAATTCTAAGTGTACCATCAGATGGGTTTTTGGTTTGTTTGTTTATTTTTGTTTTTTGTTTTTTGAGACAGGATCTTGCTCTGTTTTCCAGGCTGGAGTGTAGTGGTGTGGTCACGCCTCACTGCTGCCTTGACTTCCTGAGCTCAAGTGATTCTTCCACCTCAGCCTCCAGAGTAACTGGGACTAAGGGCAGATGTCACCATACCTGGTTAATATCAATACTTTTATTTTTTTTTTTGTAGAGATGGGGTCTTCCTACGTTGCCCAGGCTGTTCTCAAAATCCTTGGCTCAAGCAGTCCTCTCGCCTCAACCTCACAAAGTGCTGGGATTACAGGCTTGAGCCACTGCATCCAGCCTGTTTTTTATAAAGTAAACATACTGGTGTAACCAGCCTCAAAATCAAGAACAGAAAATTATCAGCATCCCAGAGGCTCCCATTGCAGTTGCTGCCATGCCCCAAGGGTAACCACTATCCTAATTTGTAATAGCATAGGTTAATTTTATCTGTTTTTCAATTTTATATAATGAAATCATTATATATACATATATATACATATATTCTTTTTTGTTTATAGCTTCTTTCTCTTATTTTTGTGAGCTTTTTAATATTGTTAGACTTAGTTGCAATTTGTTCACTTTCATGCTGTAGTCTATTATTCCATTTAGTAAATTTATGCAGTTTTATCCATTCTACTGTTGATGGCATTTGAATAGTTCCAATTTGGGGCTATTACACATAATGCTGCTCTTAACATTATTGTATGAATCTCTTGGTCTATATACCCTGGAACAGAATTACTGGTATTCTTATGTTCATCTTTAGCAGATAAACATATATTTTCCTTTCTGGAGGTCTATATACCTTGGAATAAAACTATTTCTATGCTTTATTTTCAACTTTAATAAATACTATTGAAGGGTTTTCAAATGTAATTTGTATCAACTTACGTTACTCCCACTAGCAATGTTTGAGAGTTTTCTTAACCACACTTGGCATGGTCTGTATTTTTCAGTTTAGCCTTTTTAGTTGGTGTGTAGTACAGTGTTTTGGCACTTAGTTGGCATATGCCTTGGGCACAACATCCTTCTGTGTCTGAATTTGCTTGTCTGTAAAATAGGGTAAGTAAAATCACTTATGTCTTAAAGTTGTTTTTAGGAATAAATAGAATAATCTGTAATAAAGTTCTAGGTGCAATGCCAGGCACAGAGCACGCAGTCACACATATTCTATGCTACTTATCATTATCATTAGCAGCAGCACTATCATTGCTATCCGGAAGGATAATTGAGCAATTTAAACAAGAAAGCAGTTTTTTTAGACAAAATGACCAGCTTATGCAAAGGCAGAAAGCCAGGAAAGAGCCTGCTATGTTGGAGAAACACTGAAAAGTTTCCTCCTTCACTCATGGATGTTTGATCAGGGTGAGAGACAGAAATGTTTGGCTAGCAACTAACTCAATTGTTCTGTTGCAAAAGGAGGGTTATTAAGTGCCCGTTTTATTGAGCAGATTATGCATCTCAAATGAGAAGCAAATAGTCAGTTATTTGAAACAGTGTGCGTCATGGTGTCTGTTCCATAAGAATGAAGCCAGAACAGTGCGTGTACTGTGTGGAG
This sequence comes from Homo sapiens, assembly GCF_000001405.40. Taxonomy (NCBI): domain Eukaryota; kingdom Metazoa; phylum Chordata; class Mammalia; order Primates; family Hominidae; genus Homo; species Homo sapiens. The sequence continues at coordinate 121,546,276 of NC_000008.11, read as the reverse complement.
GACAGACCTGCTTTCTGTTTGACCAGCAGGGCTTTTTCTACTTTCCTTTTCAGATAAATGCATATTATTGGGAAATCCATGGAAAGCCCCTTTCTTTGTAGGTTAAAATATTTCCATGTGCCCTAGCTTGAAGAGTATCCCAGGCTGCTCCAATGGAATGTAGAATCATATTCTTGTCTCACTGGATTTCACCTCTGACTAGTGTGCCAGGCAGCCTGCAGCAAGAAGAGGCTTCCCAGACCAACATCCTATTATGTCCAGCTGTACTGAGCAGCTTGCCAGCAAAGCTCACGTACCCCAGCGCAGCTTCCCCAAATTGTCGCTGGATGGGCTTTGCATCTTGAAATTCTCTTGTTTTATGCCTTGGCACTGCTTTTAAGAGCAATAGACTCTCAAGCTCACTTTCTCTGCCTCCCTGTTTGGGGTTGGAGACTGTAGTCACTGGCTTGTGAGTGCTAAGAGTGAATGTTGGCTCTGGCTGGAAGGTCTTTATGTGGGAGGCTTGGAGGCCAATGTTACAGCAAAACATCTGCACAGATCTTTTCTTGCTTTTGCGATGCCGTGACCAACAATCTGGCATTATGCCAGCTGGTTGGCCTATTTCTGAGCATAGTGTGACACAGCTGTTTAAGGTTAATTTCCCAGAAACCAGAAAGAAAGCCCCGTCTTCAGGAAGAGAGGAAAGTGATCATGAACTTGGGAAAAGGACTTCTCTTTTTACTAGGCCAAGACCTTGGTGTTCTCAGGGTGGTCATGAAGAAAGAGAGAATGAGAACACTATGGTGTGCTGGCTAAAATTGTGTCAAAAAAATAGCATGGTTTGTATTTCTTTGGGTATAGGCCCGGTAATGGGCTTTCTGGGTCAAATGATATTTCTGGTTCCAGATCCTTGAGGAATCACCACACTGTCTTCCACGATGGTTAAACTAATTTACATACCCATGGACAGTATAAAAGTTCCTATTTCTCCACAGCCTCGCCAGCACCTGTTGTTTCTTGATTTTTTAATAATCACCATTTTGACTGACTTGAGATGGTATCTCATTGTGATTTTGATTTGCATTTCTCTAATGATCAGTGATGTTGAGCTTTTTTTCTTATGTTTGTCGGCCAAATAAATGTCTTCTTTTGAGAAGTGTCTGTGCATGTCCTTTGCCCACTTTTTGATGGGGTTGTTTTTTCTTGTAAATTTGCTTAAGTTCCTAGTAAATTCTGGATACTAGACCTTTGTCAGATGGGTAGATTGCAAAAATTTTCTCCCATTCTGTAGGTTGCCTGTTTGACAATTTAAATTTAGCATAACTTATTTGAGCAAAAAAAATGATTCATGAAGTAGGTAGCACTCTAAACCAGTAAAGATTCAGAGAGTTCCACCCAGTAACGTGGACAGGTGGTACTTAAAGAAAGAAAAAGAAAATGACACACAGAAATAGTCTCATCGGTTATGGCGTGGGTGTCTGCCTTATTTGGATATGTGTGAGCAGTTTGCAGCCTATGATTGGCTAAATACTTGGCTGCTATGATTGTTGGAGCTACATTATTTGTACAAAGAATATATTTTCAAGGTTGTAGTTTGCTTACACGTTAAGTTAGGCTACAGTTCACTATGTACATATCAGTGTTAGGCCAAATTTAATTTAATTTAACAAGCAGAAGGATTGGGATCCAACTACATCTCTCTGCCAATCAAGTCTATGGTCTTGGGCAAGTCACATGACCTTGCTTTGTTCTTCATCTGCAGCATTAGGAGAGTTATAGCTTCACATGGTTGGTGTAAGCATGGTTGGTGTGCTTCGTACTTGTAAAGCACACAGCAGTGGCTGGTGCAGAGTGAGAGTTTAATATTCAGTGCCTGTTATATTTTATGTTCCCTTCCTTTACCCCTTCCCCTTTGTTTGGCCAATGATTGTCAATTTTTGGCCCAGCTTTTCCTTTTTCCCGAGTCTTATTGAGGTATCTTTTCTGATTTATCCAATAGCAAATTTCACTGCCCTTATTCTTGCATTTATTTTGCCATATTGTAAAAGTAATTGTATATCTTTTTGTAAATGGACTTAGGTGTATCTTGCTGGCTTTGTATCTGTGTATTACTCATCACAATGCATGTCAAATGGTAAGCAGTCAACAAATAGTAAATTTTATTATTATTAGACACATAATATATCTGTTGAAGAAAAGAAAGCAGATTCTCCTAGATTTTCTCCAATGGCAGTAGACTCCCCTGTCCACCCACTGTACCCATGTAATCAGTCTCAGTACAGCATGCCACAAAGACTTAGAACAATGTTGGTATCTGATATTCTTGGATTCACTCCCTGCTCCTGTGACAGTCCATTGGTGGTCAATTCACCTGCCCATCTCAATACTTGGCTGCCCAAACTTATAACCTATTGAATCCATCAGCTGTTGCTGCATAACAGCTACCCCATATTGCATGTCTTTAGAAAAAATCGTGTATTTTTATAACCTACACAAGTATAGGTTGGCTGCAGGTTAGGTAATCTAAGCTGAGCTTGCTCATATATATGCAGGTTCTCTGTAGATTCTGTACTGGGCAGGACTTGGCTGGGGAACATTATCTGGAGTAGCTCTGCTCTATGTGTCTCTCATTCTCCTTTCAGCCTGTGGGCTAGTATGGGAATATTCTCCTCATGGAGATGGTAGAGTTCAGGAAGGCAAGTGGAGACAATAAAGGCTTTTAAAGGTCTAGGCTTAGAAATGTCACACTGTTATTTCTTCACTTTGTGTGTTCCCCAAAAATTCATACATTGGAATCCTAACCCCCAGTGTGATAGTGTTAGGAGACAGGGCTTTTGGGAGGTAATTAGGTCATTAGGGCTAAACACTTATGAGTGGGGTTAGTGTCTTTATAAGAAGCGACACAGGGTTTCCTTTCTGTATGTTTTCTGCCATGTGAAGATATAACAAGAAGGCTATTTGCAAATCAAGAATTGGGTCTCGCCAGACATCACATCTGTTCATGCCTTAATCTTGGGCTTCCTAGTCTCAAGAACTATGAAAATAAATTTCTGATGTTTAAGCCATCCCACCTCTGCTATTCTGTTATGGCAGCCTGAACTGACTAAGATAAGAATGAAAAGGCTGAGAGTGGTGGCTTATGCCTATAATCCCAGCACTTTGAGAGACTGAGGTGGAAGGATTGCTTGAGCCTAGGAGTTTCAGACCAGCCTGGGAAACATAGCAAGCCCTGTCTCTACAAAATAAAAAAAATTATCAGGGCGTGGTGGCAGAAACCTGTAGTTCCATCTACTCAGGAGGCTGAGGTGTGAGGATTGCTTGAGCCCAGGAGGTCGAGGCTGCAGTGAGTTGTGATTGTTCCACTGCACTCCAGCCTGGGTGACAGAGCAAGACCTTGTCTCTTAAGAAAAAAAAAAAAAAAGATACGAGACTTGCAAGGTCATTTGGCAAGGATCATGCTACTGGGGGAGAAAATATTGGAGCTAGCAAATGAGTCTACCACTTATACCATGATACGATTTGGCTGTGTCTCCACCCAAATCTCATCTCAAATTGTAGCTCCCATAATTCCCACAGGTTGTGGGAGGGACCAGGTGGGAGGTAATTGAATCATGAGGGCAGGTCTATCCCATGCTGTTCTTGTGACAGTGAATAAGTCTTATGAGATCTGATGGTTTTACAAAGGGGAGTTCCTCTGCACATGTTCTTGCCTGCTGCCATGTCAGACATGACTTTGCTCCTTCTTTGCCTTTCTCCATGATTGTGAGGCTTCCTCAGCCATGTGGAACTGTGAGTCAATTAAACCTCTTTCCTTTATAAATTACCTCGTCTCAGGTTGTCTTTAGTAGCAGTGTGAGAACAGACTAATATATACCATATATTTTCGTAGAACAGATAGAATCAGATAACTCATTCAAACTAAAATATAAGCACCCAATGAGAATTATGATGTGTTATATATTTCCTATCCTGTAAGAAATTAATCGCTGAGTTCTAAATGCTTAAGGAATTCAAGTCGTGGGATAAGGGACCTTTGCTTTTCTGAAATAATTAATCACCATATTAATGGTGGACATACAGCACAAGCTTAGCACTGAATCAAGCACTTCAGAGAATGCATGAGGGGAAACTTTATGGTTCATGATTTAAAGAAAAGGACAGATTTATCGTGAAGAAAAAGTTAAAAAATAAGCATTCACGATAAAGCAAATAACATAAGATGCAATAGAATTAAGGGACCATTTTGTAAAGTACCTACTGTATAATGGCCTCTGTAGTAAGTCCTGCATAGACTTTATCTTTATTTTTTACAACAAGATAAGGAGAGTCTGTTTTGACTCTGAGACTCGTACATGCTCTTTCTGAAATCAAATGTACCTGTTCAGTTCTCCTCAAAACTGTCAAGGTCATCAAAAACAAGGCATGGGCTGGGTGTGGTGCCTCACGCCTGTAATCCCAGCACTTTGGGAGGCTGAGGTGGCTGGATCACCTGAGGTCATGAGTTTGAGACTAGCCTGGCCAACATGGTGAAACCCTGTCTCTACTGAAAAAGAAAAAGAAAAAGAAAAAGAAAAAAAAAACTAGCCAGTGTGGTGATGCATGCCTATAATCTGAGCTACTCGGCAGGCTGAGGCAGGAGAATTGCTTGAGCCCGGGAGGTAGAGGTTGCAGTGAGCCGAGATGGTGCCATTGCACTCCAGCCTGGGCAACAAGCTACAAGAGTAAAACTCTGTCTCAAAACAAAACAAAAACAAGGCAACTATGAGAAACTGCCACAGCCAAGAGGAATCTAAAAAGACATAATGATTGGATTGAATGCCATAGGATATCCTTCTCAATGGGATACTGGAGTAGAAAAAGGTCATTAGATAAAAACTAAGGAAATCAGAATAGAAGATGGACTTTAGTTAATAATAATATATTAATATTTGTTCATTAATTGTACCAAATGTGCCATAATAATATAAATTGTTAATAACAGAATAAACTGTGTGTGGGGATATATAGAACCTCTGTAGCCTCTGTTCAGTTTTTCTCTAAATCTAAAACTTTTCTAAGAAATAGAGTTAATAAAAAACCTGATAAAATCTGAACAGACCTATAATAAGAAAATTGAATTAGTAATTAAATCACACAAATAAAATTAGAGTCTCACATAACAGCATTTGTAAATTCTGCCAAACATTTAAAGAATAATACCAACTCTTCACAAATTCTTTCAAAAAAGAGGGAGGATTATTTTTCAATTCATTCTACAAGGCTAGTATTACCCTCAAACCAAAACCAAAGACCTCATAAAAAACTATAGTCTACAGACTTTTCAAATATAGACACAAAGTCCCCAAAAAGTATTAGCAAACTGAATCCAGAAACATATTAAAATGATTATATACTATGGCCAAGTGAGATTTAACCAAGGAATTCAAGGTTGATTTAACATCTGAAAATCAATTTTGTAATATGTAATATGCTATATTAATAGAATAAAGAGCAGAACCATTCATCATCTCAATAGATGCAACAAAAAGCATTTAACAAGATCCAACACTCTTTCATGATTAAAAACACTCTATAAACTATGAATAGAACAGAACTTTCTTAATCTGATAAAGGGCATTTATTAAAAACCTACAGCTAGCATTATACTTAATAGTGAAAGACTGGATGCTTCCCCCCTAAAATGATGAAGAAGACAGCATTCTGCATAACACTAGAGATTCTACCCGGGAAATTAGGGAAGAAAAAGAAATAAAAGGCATTCAGATTGCAAAGTAAGGATTAAAATTACCTCCTCTTGCAAATGGCCTGCATTTTGTGTAGGTAATCCTAAGAGATACACCAAGAAGAATACATATTAGAACTAATAAAATGAGTTCAGCTAGATTGCAGAATATGAAATTAACAGGCATAAATGAATTATATTTCTACACAATAGCAATAACAATGCAAAAATAAAATTGAGAAAACAATCCCATTTATAATATTATTAAAAAACTAATATAATTAGTAATAAAATTAACAAAAATAGTGTAAGACTTACACTGAAAATTACAAAACACTGTTAAAAGGAATCTACATAAACAGAAAGATAGCCTATGTTTGTGGATTGGAAAATTTAATATTGTTAAAATGGCCATACTCTACAAATTAATCTAAATGTTCAAAGAAATCCCTATCAAAATCCAGCTTGCATTTTTTTCAGATATTGACAAGTGGATCCTAGTAGTCATATAGAAATACAAGGGAACCAAAATAGCCAAAACACTTTTGAATAAGAGCAAAATTGGAGGAATCATACTTCTTGATTGCAAAACTTACTGTAAAGCTGTGGTAATCCAGACAGTGTGGTACTTGCAGAAGACAGATATACACATAAATGGAATAGAATTGAGAGTTCAAAATAATACCTACATCTATGGTCTATTGATTTCTTTATATAGTTTGGATGCTTGTCTCCTCCCAATCTCATGTTGAAACGTAATTCCAGTGTTGGAAGTGGGGCCTGGTGGGAGACATTTGGACCATGGGGGGGATCCCTCATCAATGGCTTGGCACCATTCCCTTGGTGATGAGTGAGCTCTCACTCTGAGTTCACACACGACCTAGTTGTTTGAAAGTGTGTGGCACTTCCCCACTGTCTCTTGTTCCCATTCTCACCATGTGAGATGCCTGCTCCCCCTTTGCCTTCCACCATGATTGTAAGCTTCCTGAGGCCTCACCAGAAATGGATGCTAGCATCATGCTTGTACAGCCTGCTGAATTGTGAGCCAATTAAACCTCTTTTCTTTATATGTAACCCAGCCTCAGGTTTTTTTTTATAACAATGCAAATGGCCTAATACAGATGGAAAAACAAGGCAATATACAAATAATAATCCTTTCAATAAATGGTGCTGGGAGAACTGGATATCCACATGCAAAGAATGTAGTTAGACTCCTGCCTCAGAACATACACACAAATCAACTCAAAGTGGGTCCTAAATTTCAGTATAACAGCTAAAGTATAAAATTCTTAGGAGAATATTTGTGGCTAGGCTGAAGTTTTTCTTAGATATGACCCAAAAAGCAAAAGCAACAAAACAAAAAGAGAGACAAATTGAACTTTTTTTCTTTCTCCTCATAGTTTGATCAATTGCAGAAAGAGACCAAAGAATTAAAAACTTCTAATGTTAAAGTAACTCCAGCTGCTCTCTACAGACATAACCTGAAATTTCAGTAGCTTAATGCAATTGAAGTTTATTTCTTCTGCAATAAAGCCCCCAAAATGAGTGTTTATGAGAGATTTCTTCAATTATGTGATTTTGCAATCTATAATTTGTGGCTTCCAAGTTCACCTCACTTGTCTATTTCAAGCCAGAGGGGAAAGGAATATGGAGAGTCTCATAGGAGGTTTTGAGCTAGGCCTAGAGAGATGCATATTTCTTCTACTCACATTCCTTTGTTCATCTTATATTGCAAGAGAGAGGGTGAAATATAGTCTATCATATACACAAGAAAAGGAGAAATGGGTTTGGTGATCAGCTATCAGTTTCTACCATCCGTCCTATCATAAAATAGTCATTACATGCCTCACATGTTAGAGTTTAGGGATTAGAATAAAGGTAACAATGATAAGAGGAGCTAACATTTATTGAGTAATTATTCTGTAAGTGGCATGATGCTTGGTAATTTACAGGTATTATCACTATCAATCTTTACAATAGCTCCATGAGACAAGTACTTTGTTATCTATATTTTATCAGTGAAGAAACTGAAGGAAAGAGAGGCTAAGTACCCTGCTAAAGTTGTACAGCTGCTAATTGGTAGCTCCTGATTCAAACCTAGCTAATGTTGACTCAAAAACACAGGCTGTTTAAGATGATACTCCCTCCTAAGAAAGTAAGGGAAGCTGGAAAGAGATATGAGTAAGGAAACAAAGAGCTAGGTTGTGAGATATCAGAAAATCAAGGCCAGAACAGCTGGATCCTGATAGGGAAGTTGGTAGTAGGCATCATTAACGACAGCCAATAACAGAGAGATCCTCCTGTGCATTTCCAACAGGAGAACTGGTTGGATACAGGCTAAATGGAAACTCAAAGGTCATCTAACTTGGCATCTATATTTTACAGATGAGTTAACTTGCTAAGATCAATATGGCTGGCCATGTACTGAATGAGTACAAGGATCCAATTTTCTAGAGTCCCAGTCCTATTTTCTTATTATCACCCTACATTCCTCTTGTTACAATCATGTCAAAGAAAGCAGCACTGAGGGGCTTGCCAGCCTTCCTGGGCTTAGCCAGATTATCAGTGTGAGGTGCAGCATAATAATCTCCTATCCCTCAGCATTTTCTATAATTCACATTTACTTATTCAATAAACTGATGTGAAGTCAAGGATCTACTGCTTATCCCTATCTGAGGCAAGGGTATACATTTATGTTTAGTATTTCTCATCACTGAGATTGATCTTGGCTATGTAATATACATCAATTATTGAAAAACATTTCATAAACGGTCATTGTTCAAGTTAACATTGATGTCTTCTAAGTCCTTGAAGAACCTGTGGAGGTATAGCAATGAAAGACTTTGTCTGATGGTCCTCAGGGTCAGGACTGAATGGTCTCTATTTTTGGAAATGTTGACTCTTCTGTGTTTTATTACCCATTTTTTGAAGCCCTTTTGTGACTCTATGTTACTAATAACATTGAAATTCCCTAGGAAAACTCATCAGGTACTCAAGGATCAGACACTTTGTTGCATAGGATGGGGTATTAATTTCCTATTGCTGCTGTAATAAATTGCCACAAATTTACCACAAAATTAGTGGCTTAAGACAACACAAATTTACTGATTTGCAGTTCTGAAATTCAGAAGTCTAAAATCAAGGTGTTGGCAGGGTTGTGTTCCTCCTGGAGTCTTCAGGGTCAAATCCATTCCCTTGCCTATATCAGCTTCTCAAAGCTTCTTACACTCCTTGGCTCACAGACCCCTCCTCACAATATTCCAACCTGTTGCTTCTATTATCACATCTCCTACTACTCACTTTGATGCTCCAGCCTTCCTTTTATAAGAACCCTTGTTATTACATTGGGTCCACCCAGATAACCCAAGGTAATAGTCTGATCTCAAGATTTGTAAGCATGTCTACCCAGTTCCTTTTGTCATGCAAAGTATTAGCAAGTTCCACAGATTAGGATGTAGACATCTTTGGAGGACAGAGCTCATTATTCAGCCTACCACACATGGTCTAGACACACAGATTTACTTGCCATTTTCCAAACTTATTCCATCTTTTGCACCTTTAGCTCTCTGCTCACCTCATCTCTATCAGTTAACATTGAAAATCTGGCCTTTCCTATTGAACCATCAATTCCCTGTTCAAGCGTCACTCTCCCTACGAAGTCTTCTACTTTCTTCTTTCCTCTGAAACCCCAATGTTGAATTAATTCTTCCCTCCCTATCAAAGTGTGAGTCTCAATATTCTGCAGCACTTTGCTTTTACTCTCTCTTCCCAACTAGATTATACATTTCTTGAGGGCAGAAATTTTGTCTTACTGGTATTTGTATATCTAGCACCCAGCACAAAGCAATGACTAATAAAGGTTTATTGAATTTTTAGATAGATATATGGCTCATTATACAGATCGATATGTCAAATCTCTACTTGACTTGTTGTCCAAAGCTTTACCAGCAATGATTTAAAGCTTTAATGGCAGCTTGGAAAATGGTAATAAGGTTGTTTTAAATAGCATAGTTGTTGAGGCTACTTGTCTTCCATAGCTAATGTCATTGAGGGCTTTCATAGACCCATTTATTCCACAGGTTCACCTTGAAAACTAGCTCATGTCAACAAAGTGCTAGTACCTAAGTAAAATCAATTAAAGCAATTGCACACATATGAAAGTGACTGTGGTTGCAAAATCACTTCATAATTATTAATTTCCCCATAAGAATGACTTTCCTATTAAAGCTTTGGATTTCCTGTGAAAAGCCACATTCCCCTACAAACAGCTAGAGAAATTGCATCTTACATTAGCAGTATATCCTTCATTGTGTTGACCTTGTCATTTTTTTAAGTGGAAAGTTCAGATTCCTGGAGACTTCAATTATATAAAGTGACTCCCAGGTGGAGGTCATATCACCCCATTATGAATAAGCACACACAGGCATTAGTTTAAGCTTTCAGTGCTATAATACTTTCTTCATTTTGCCTAAGGTGACAGTTATTTGTAAGTTAATTCTATCTCCCTCTACTAGATGCCAGGTCACTGAAGACATATTCTCTGCCTTATTCACATCATTTGTGGTTAGCAGTTGTCTGGCACAGAGTAGAAAAGAAATATTGAAATAAATACTGAATTTTTTTTAAAGCTAGGTCCTCATACTCCTTTCCCCATCTAGTATATATTCCATGGGTACCTAATGGGGTTACCAACTTATCGCAGTTTGCCCTGTTCTTTCCTGGTTTTAGCACTGAAAGTTCTATGTCCTAAGAACCCCTTTCCCTTTCAGGCCTGGGCACTGTACTTCCTAAGTACTTGGCCAGTATAAACTCACAAGCTCAAATGCCTTCAGAGGCTGTCAGGGACTGAAAATGAGAGGTGACCTGGCTTAGGGTAAAGTGGAAACCTGTCAGAAGGCATTGAAAGATGAATAAATTGGGTCAAGGAGCTAAAGTCATTTGGTGGCTAGCATTGCAGCCTTGAGACAACAACGTCTGGCTAAAGTTAACTGAAGAAGGGGCAGGGATAATTCTACTGTGTATTTAACTCTGATTATTTTTCCCCCAAAACAAAAATGAAATGATTAAGTACCAAATCCTTATTAGAGCTGACAAGTCACTACCCTGAGATTATTAACAAGTTACTTAACATCTCTGGATCTCCATTTCCTTATATATGAAATTGAAATTTAAAAAGAAACCACTGGCTACACAGAATTTTGGGAATTGAATTAGATTTAAAACAAAGAAATGCTAGTTGTTTTTATTTTTTCAAAAAACAATATATGTATCCAAAGACACATTGGATGGGGAATTTGAAACCTGGTTTTTATCTCTGCTTGTATAACCTTGAGGAATTCATTTAACATCTCTGGGTCTCAGGTTTCTCATCGATAATATAAGCAGGCTGGATAGTTAATTGCTAGAGTGTAATATTATTAGGATTTGATTACCCAGAGATTACTTTACAGAAGGCAAAATCGGTGCTAGGGATTAAGAGCTCAGGCTTAGGGATTATAGACACCCAGGCTCCGATCCTGGCTCTGTCGTTTAAGAGATGTGTCACTTTGGGCAAATTCTTTAACCTCTTCATGTCTAACTTGCCTTATCAATAAAAATGAGGATAATTGTTCCCACCTCATGCGGTTGTTGACATCAAGAGGACCAGATAAAATAACTTATGTAAACAGATCACTATAGAAAATACAGGTAAATATCAGTTTATTACTATTATTAAAATCATCATGACTATTTAATATACAGAAATGAATCAAATATAGTTAAATAATGTTTTCAGTTTTGAAAACAGAATGTTATTGGGTTTGAATTTCAACACTTTCCATCAATTTCTTACAGTTTAGGCAAAATAAAAGGTTAACTCTTTTAACTACAGTGTTTTCAGTCTTCCCAGACTGTTTACAAAACTTTGTAGTCCTAGAAATAAAGTTGTCTCACAACTTTCTTTACTCTGGAGCCTCAAGCCCTCCTGTGGTTACAGAAGTTCATCTCCATAGGACGTAAGCTCCTTCTCTTCCAAAGTAAAAAGAAGAAAAAAGACTTCCTATGACTATTCTCCACCTGATCCCCTTCCAGATCATTTGCTCTTTCTCAAAGAAGCCAGAACATGCCAGAACATGCAACTCAATTTTGAATCAAAACCTAAGATTACACATTAATCTCTAAATGCTATCATTTTTCCTGATAATGGTACTAACACATTGAGTTCACTTACATACAGAACTGCCTCTGATTTTTTAAAGCCCATTTCCCCTTTTCTACAGCTGATGTAAAACACATTAAAACTGAATTTAATTTGGCATTTAACATAAAGGGTGTCTCTGTGTGTGTGTGTGTTTGTGTGTATGTGTGCGTGTGCGCACGCGTGTTTGTGTGGGTGCGTTGCCCAGTATTTCCTGCAATATCAACAGGTCTACTTTGAGACAGCATTTTAATTTTGTTTTTTTGTTGTTGTTGAAAACACTTAAGTGTTCCCAGCTGTTTAAGACTCAGAGATGCAGAGAAACCTTTCCATTTTAGGTGACCTTCATTAATGAAGTTCATTAATGGATCAAATATGTCTTCACCCTCCACAGGAGTTTCTTAAGAAACCAGCCATGTGTGCCCTGTGTCATGGACAAATCAACACCAAATTAAACTATTTTCACAACTGTAGGCTAATTATATAAGAACAGAGATGTGTTTACTATACTGTTGTCTTTGTGCCATGTGAAGGTCAAATGACATTGTATGGACAAAAGCTTCTCAGTGCTTAAAGACAACGGGTGGGAGACGGCAGTATCACAAGATATATGGCAGTCAGGAGTGCTAAGCTCAAAACAACTGTTCATAGCAATCAATAACATCGTCACATTGAAATGGTCATTCCAGGGCAAGATTGTCCATCAAAATCTTGCTCTGAAATACAACTTGATGTTATCCATGCTAATTGAAGTTGTTTTGATTTTTTGGCTTTATTTTTATTTAATTTATAAATTAATTTTGTTTTTGCAGTCATAAGAGAACTGCAAATATAGAAAATACATATCCAGTTTGATATTTGTGCATCTTTACATAACAAAATAGCGAGTGGATCACGAGGTCAGGAGATCAAGACCATCCTGACTAACACGGTGAAACCCCGTCTCTACTAAAGATAAAAAAAATTAGCCAGGCGTGGTGGCGGGAACCTGTAGTCCCCACTACTCGGTAGGCTGAGGCAGGAGAATGGCGTGAACCTGGGAGGCAGAGCTTGCAGTGAGCTGAGATTGCGCCACTGCACTCCAGCCTGGGCGACAGAGCGAGACTCCTTCTCGAAAAAAAAAAAAAAAGAATAATTTAAATCAACATTGGGGATCCAAAATATGTTTTTCCTTTTATATGTCTTATAATGTTAGACCTTACTTAAGTTTGAGAAACCCTAGTTTGAAGTGTCACTGAAAGGGCTAAGGAGGCAAATATTCATGAGTGATATAGAACAGAGCAGTGATTAAAGGCTTTAGTATCAGTCTTAATTGAATTACAGTCTGATTTCTATGCTAAATAATCATCATGGAACTTAACTTTTCTAAACCTTTGTTTTTCTAGGATAAAATGGGAATACAAAGAATAATCATCTAGAGCAGCTATGGTGATTCATTGAGATAGCCCTTATAAAGTGCTTTGCCCTTTAAGTGGCAGAATAGAGGTATAGTGAAGAATGGGAACTCCGGAGCAAGACAGTCTGGCTCAGATCCTAAGGATGCCGCTTGCTAATTGTATGGTAGGTTACTTGACCTCCTTGCACCTCAGTTTTCTCATCTGCAAAATAGGAATGATAATAGTGTCAACCTCATAGAGTTGATATAAAGAAAACTGAGTTAATTAATGCAAGGTACATAGGACATTGCATTAGTAAGCACACTATGTTTCTTCTTACTATTAGCACAGTGTTTGATACAATAGACCTTAAAAAAGTTTAGCTGATTTTAAGGCAGGCTTTAGCTTAATTTGGCACCACAACAAAATCTATTCCACGTACAGGGATTATGACCAAGGTCCTATGATCATCCAGGCTGAGAAAATTAAACATTAAAAGGCGGTCAAGCCTGAATCAGTGGGCAATAGAAGTAGATATGGTTAGATAGAAGTTGGGCCCACAAACATTGAGAAGATCAAAGCTGGGACTAAAGTCTGAGGTAGCAGGTATAATTTGAAATGAAACATGTGTTTTAGCATGAGCTTCAGATTTGTCCATAGTGGAGTCTCCTGGAAGAGAAGTCACCTCAAGAAAAGAGAATCAGAGAAATTAGGCTTTAGAAAGGAAAAGCTTTGAATGTCAACCCTTCTGGCTGCCCCACCCCAGTAAATATAGAGTCATGTCAGTGTTTTTGGAGAAGAGTGCTAGGGGGAATAATTGTAAAAAACGACTCTACAGAAAACTTTGAAAGTCACTGGGCCATGCTTTGGCATCCAAATAGAAATAAAGAAGTAACTGTAAGTTGGAACAATGCCTGCTTTGGTACCTTGGGGACTTCAGGGGAAGATGATGATATTCATCTCTGGAGACAAGGGCAGCAGATCCATTAGAGAGGAACCAGAGTAAAAGAGGAAACATGTCCAATATCACAGGCTATCTTGTTGAACTTGTACATGAGGATATCTGAGATACTACCCCAGGGTCCCCAGAACTTCCAGGCATAGACTTTCCTGGTGGTTGATCTGCATTGCAAGAGATGCAGAAGGACATGTAACTCTCAGAAATTATTCCCGGTACCTAAAAGTCAGTGAATTAATATATAAGAGTTGAATGAATGAGTAAAGGAACAGATGGGTCTGATCTGAGAGAGGATGTTGCAACTTTTTATTGTCTTCTAGATTAAAAAAAAAAAGTGCAAGCTTTCCAGGTGATTTGAACAGTCTTTCTAGACATTTAAAGAAGTAGAGACTTTTAGTGATTCACAATTCTTCAGACTCATCAGAGACAGTGGTGAGAGCAAGAGCTATAACTCTACATTTTATGAGCAGACTGTGGACTTAGTCATCAGCTGTGATTTCTCAGAGGCTTGCTGATTGTATCTTCTTTCACAACCCTGAGACGATCTTTTTTCAAGTCCTCCTCCTGAACCCTATCCTCTGCAAAAAAATGAAGTTCCAGAAATTATGTAATTGACAAAAATTAACAGAGTTATCTTAAATTTAGAATTAAGGTATGGTTGTCTAGGGAATAAGCTAGTTTCTGTTTATCATATTAGAAGCAATTAGTTATGACTTGAGCTTAAAGCTAAAACAGTGATACATTTTCCTTAGGTTAATTCTTTTCCCTCTAGGACTATTAAAAGATAATCAAAACATGCTACTAAAAAGACTTAAAATAAGGTAATGCCTGTACATGAAATGAATAAGCCATTTGATTGTGAACAAAAATATCTTCACTGGTATATTCATTTCCATTCATTGCAGCCTCTATTTATTGAGGACCTCCTGTGTTCTGTGTAGTGTTCGTTAGCCCATCGACTATTTATAATGGCCCTAGGATCTACGTATTCATAAGGCTACTTAACAAATTAGAAGATTGAAGCGAAGAGAGGTTTGCTAAGTTACTCATCTGTTCATTAAATAAATATTTATTGAGCAGTTAATCTATGTGTGTCACCGAGAATACAACTCTGAAAAAGACAGAGATGTTCTCTGCCTCTGTGGGGCTTTTAAATTATGAGAATTGGGAAGAAACATCTCCAGTGGCATTCAGTCAATAAGTGGCAGAGACAGGAATTAGAACTTCAAGCTCTAGGTTCTTTCCACTATCAGTGAAAATGTTGAGTCGGGACTTACTGGGATCCTAAGGAGACCTTGCCTTTGTTTTGCCTTTATTTTCACTTTTCTCCCCTCTTTCCCAGAATGTTTCTTTTAGTTTTATTAAGGGTGTTTTCCAGATGATTTCCTTCCCCTTCCCCCTGGCAAGCTGTTGTCATGAGTCACAAGCAAAACTGCCAATGGCTAATGGTTCCACCCTAGATCATCTCTGATTGACAGTGTTTCTTTAGTCCCTGTAGACCAGCAAAGGGGAACAATGCCTTAGGCTAAACACGTAGAATATTCTGAAAACATTTACTTCATGTAGACTGTGGGTAAGCCTCAGCAAGCTGTGGTAGAGTTGCGTAGAGGCCGGGCATGTTTCACGCAGCTTCCTGCTGCCGTCTGCCCATCGCTGCAAAGAGGAGAGCAAGCCCTTCAGAGGCCTGAGAAGAAGGTGGTTCCATAAACAGCTGGTTGAACTTCAAGCTAAAAAGGCACCTATAGGGTGGCTGCAGTTAACAGCAATATACTTTGTATTTCAAAAGAGCTAGAAGAGAAGACTTGAAATGTTTGAGGTGATAAATATCCTAATTACCTTAATTTGATCATTATACATTGTTTGCATGCACCAAAATATCACATATACCCTATAATTATGTACAACTATTATGTATACATTAAAAAATGATAAACAGGCATCTTCCCTAACAAAAAAGCACTAATATGCATTTTCTTATCTAGAACACTTACTGTTTGTAAGCCTTTTCCATACCCTTTTCATAATTTATTCTATTTCTCCTCCTGAACTCTATCCTCTGGAAAAAACATCTTCAAAATGACATTATGAGGTAAACAGATCAGTCTTCATTAACCACTTTACAAAGAACTAAACTCAAACCTGGAGGCTTAGGATTTTTTCCCAAGATTACAGATATTATAAAAAAAATAGAAGGATTCCTCAAACTGAGATCTTCTTACTCTAAGACCAGGAGTCTTTCAGTCGTTCTCAGGGCAATGCTGGACTAGCAGAATTACTTGGAAATGTATTAGAAATGCAAATTCTTGAGCTCCACAAAAGACGCACTGATCAGAAATTCTGAGGGAGTCCCTAGAAATCTGTGTTTGTACAGGCGTGTCAGATGCCCGCTAAAGTTTGAGAACCTATTGTGCTAATGGCTGCCTCCCAAATGAGGCTTAAGATTTTCTACTCATCACAGGCTATAAACTTGGAAGGCCTGAGATAATTGTTGGATCGGCCAACTATACTTTGACTTACCTGTTAATGGTGCCTGAAAAACACCAATATATTAATCTATTACATTAAAAATATCGTATAAAGCAGTTGGTCGCTAAAGGAGTCAGAGTAAAGCGATGGCATTTTTAATATAGGGATAGCCAATAGATTTGGTCCCAAGCTCAATATCTGAACTTTGGTTTGTAGCTATCTGGATTGTGCTGCTGAGAACTTCTGAGGTCACACCAGAAAGAAAATCTGTGATTAATTGGCGATATCTGCACAGTAAGAAGAGTGGGGCCCACATATTTGTCACACTTTGTCTAAGGAAAGAGAATATTATTACAATAGTTGTGGTATTTCAATGTCAGCTCAACCCTTACTTTTCTGGACGACCACAGGCAAACCAACAGTAATAAAACTAGTAACACTTTGTACCTTTACATGGATCTTTTGATTGAACCCATCTCAGGGCCTTGTGAGGGGGCAGAACTAAGATTGTTACTCTCAGTTGATAGTTGAGGAAAACTGAGATTGAGAACATTTAACATATGCCCAAAGTCGGCTATCGAGTTTTCAGGTGTAAAGTTCAAATTCTGGTCTCAGTTCTTTCTACCAAACTTGATGCTGTCTTTAAATTATTTGTGTTTCAATGTCCCCATTTGCAAAATGGCATATAACATACTTTCTGGTGTATTTCACAATAAGTTACTCATTTAAATACTCTGAAAAGTTAGAAGTGTCTATGAAATGTACATAAAAATATGTAGTATTTCACATATATGTTTCAGTGTTTTCTATATCAACCTAATGAGGGTTGAAGGCACAGATACTAAAGCAAAATAAATGTTTTGGTTAGATTCAAGTAGTTTTTTCTTAAAAGAGCTGATTTTGTCCTCTCGGAGACATCTGGAAATGTTTGGAGGCATGTTTGGCTGTCATAACTTGCGGAGAGGTATTGCTATTGGCATCTAATAGGTGGTGGTGGCGAATGCTGGTGAACCTCCTACCATGCACAGGACAACCCACATAGCAAAGAATTATCTGGTTGCAAACGTCAATTGTGGCAAGGTTGAGATTAAAGTCAATGAGAAACACATTGTTTAACCAGGGTTTTATTGTCATCACAGGGAGATAGTCCAAGGTTTCTCCATGAGCAAAGATTTGGATGTTCTATTCTCCCAAACGACTTGGTTTTCTCTAGTCCCAGTCAATAATATTCTCTCCAGTGCTCTTTTTGGCAAGACCCTGACTCTATCACTTTGTGCCCGTGTGACTTACATCTTACTTTGCTTGTTAGTTAAATAGGGATTATAGAACCTACCTCATAAAGCTAATGTGAAGATGAAATTAATGTGTGCTATGAAGCACTTAGAAAAGTCTCATACTATTAAGCTCATAGTAAGAGTTTAATAAATATTATAAACATTTTTAAAAAAGAAGTTTTGGAATACAACATTCTCCCTACAACATCTTCCCTGTGCTTACTGGGGTTTTCCTCCATTAATATGGAAGTCAATTATTTAAATTTAATGCATTAAAAGCCCCAATATTAATTTAAAATATCTAATGTCAAATATTTAACAATTAATTATATTTAATAACTATTAATAAGTATTCAATTTAACAAATATGTTTTAAAATTTCATTTACTTGAAAAGAAGGTCTATCTATATCCGGAGCATATTTTCATAATTGTCCATACCCATAATTCTCTTTCCTGTAAGGAAAAAAAGTGATAAATTTGTCATGGATTAAAAAAGGAAGGGAGGGAGAGAAGGAATCATTTCTCATGATCAGGAACAAATTATACTCTTTTCCTTTTACAGTTGCCTCCCACTCCCCAAACTAGAAAGAACTCGAGAAAGCCAAGGTATAATGGCTGTTTAACTAGATTATGAAATCCTAAATTTGTTTTTCCCAATCCTTTCATTTCTTCTAATATTTCCCCAGTGTGTGGCTGTGAAATGGGCTGCCCTTACATCAGACTCAAAACATGAGTAGGGCTAGGGAAGGTGGAATTCTACACCGACTTAGGATAAGAGCTGATAAAAATGTGGTTTTAAACCATCATTCTCAGCAAACTAACACAGGAACAGAAAACCAAACACTGCATGTTCTCATGCATAAGTGGGAGTTGAACAATGAGAACACATGGACACAGGGAGGGGAACATCACACACCGGGGCCTGTTGGTGAGTGGGGGGCTAGGGGAGGGATAGCATTAGGAGAAATACCTAACATAGATGATGGGTTTATGGGTGCAGCAAACCACCATGGTACGTGTATACCTATGTAACAAACCTGCACGTTCTGCACATGTATCCCAGAACTTAATGTATAATATAAAAAAATTATGGATTTGTATGAATATAAATTTACTAGTATCTGATTTGAACATGAAATTCCTTTGGTTTTCATATAATTTTATTAGACTAGCTACTGAAATCTGTTAAAAACATGTTTCCAGAATATCACTGTTAATTGGATAATACTGAGAAAGATTTTCCTAAACTGTATTTTGGTACATTTCCTCATTACTATAATCTTTTATCTACCCCAGCTATATCTAAGAGAATAATGTTTGCCTCAAGTCAGTCTGCTGATACACAGTCCTTTAAATAAATATTAGAAAATATTAAACTTCAGGTAGGAATTAAATGGAAGGATGTGAAGGGAGAAGGAGTCAGGTACCTCAGAGAAACTGTATGAAATAGTCATTGCTAGCTGTATCTTACAGATAAGCAAACTGAGGCCTAGTGAGATTAGAAAATAGGCAGCATCATACAGTGGCAGAGCCAGACCTAAAGCTCTAGTCTTTTGACTTCTAATTTAATGCTTGTTCTCGTTCCTAGCCACTCACGGTGGTATGATGTGGGTCATATATGTAGGTAAGATCTTACATACATATATGTATGTACATATTCATATGTACATATACATACATATTTGTATGTACATATGCATATATGTGTGTAAGATCACCACCAATATGATTCAGAAATTTACACTTTTATAATTTACTCCCAAAAGCAGAGAAATTTTCCATCAAAACTAAAAATGTGGGTGTCTACTTGTCGTCTGGGAGCCAGAGAACAGTGATATTTGGGTAAATGTCAGAGACAAAACAGGCTATTCATCAACTCTGTCATTTCAGACAAATTGAAATAGAGATAGAAGATATAGGAAGTGTTGGAAAAGTCTCATACTTTTATACTCATAGGCTTATTTGCATATGTGTATGTGTGTGCATGTGCATTGATATCTGTAAAAGCACCAGCTCAGGATATCTTTATTAGGCTTTGTCATATTGAAGGGACTAGCGGGAATAGATTTAGTTATTTCTTTGTTGACAAATAGAGATTTATGTTCTTTGGTTCTTTCTCAGATTTTAATGTCTGAATATCTGTTCTTGGAATTTTACATGTGGGAAATTTCAGTAAGGGTGGAGAAGGATAGTATTTATTTATTTATTTATTTATTTATTGAGATGGAGTTTTGCTCTTGTCGCCCAGGCTGGAGTGCAATGGCGCGATCTCAGCTCACTGCAACCTTCGCCTCCCGGGTTCAAGCGATTCTCCTGCCTCAGTCTCCCGAGTAGCTGGGATTACAGTGACCCACCACCACGCCTGGCTAATTTTTTTGTATTGTTATTAGAGACAGGGTTTCTCCATGTTGGTCAGGCTGGTCTCGAACTCCTGACCTCAGATGATCCACCTGCCTCGGCCTCCCAAAATTCTGGGATTACAGGCGTGAGTCACCGTGCCTGGCCAAAGCATTTAATCAATTTTTAAAGGTGGAAATAATTATTTCCCCCCCTTTTAAAAAAAGTTTCTTCAAGTTTTGCTGTTTCTTTTCCTGTAACTTCGGGCAAAAATCAAACTGCCAAATTCCAACTCAAAGCTGGTGATAATCTTCTGATCCTTGTCACCTCAATCTTGGTCTTCTGTGCTTTCTACAACCTGAGTTAAACCCCATATTATCTCACACCTGAATTGTTATACTAATCCTTCCTTTGGTCCATTGGATACCAATCTCCCTTCCAATGTACCTGTGTCCTATTAGCAGGCTACTCCCCAAAACATAAACCATTAAGTGATTCCTTAAAGTGTTTTGTAAATTATAAAGGACTAGGAAAGTACTATCCATGTTCTTTTGTGCTATAAACTTCCTTTGCTCAGATGCCTCTAAAGGCTCTTTATTACGTCTACACTCAAGCTAATTTATTCTTTCTTTTTTAAATAAGCATTTACTAGGCTTTTTATTAAAATAGAGAATGTATTTAGAAACAAAAATATCCCATAGTTTTACTGCGTAGATAACATCTGTTAACTTTGAATAAATAACTTTATTGACTTAGGAGAAACAAAAAACAACATGTGATAATAGATAATATTTTAGAAACTGAAAATGTGGCAGGCACTATTTTAACTGCTTTAGGTGAATTTATTCTTTTTTTTTTTCTAACAATCCTATGAATAAGGTACTTTTATTATCCCATTTTATAGTTGTAAACACTGAGGCACAAAGAGGTAACTAACTTACCTGCTTTTGTACCATAATTTGAACTCTGGCAAACTGGTGTCAAAGGCCGCACTTGTCATCATTGTGCTATATAGGAACATGGCTAGAAACTTCCAACTGTGCAGAAAATGTATAAGGCAGAAAGGAAACGTGTTCTTTCTTTCTTAGAGTCCTTCTTCCCAAAGGAAATTGCTATTAATAATTTTTTATATATGCTTTCAAAAGAAAGTTCATTCCAATTTATAATCTATTTTTATACAAAATGGATCATAACATACACTGTACCTTAACTTAGTCATGTAATAATATATTCTGTAAATATTTTTATTGTATCCTTTATTTTAGAAGCTGAACAGTACTCCTTCCTGTGTCCATACCAAAATTTATTGTCAGCCTTTTAGCAATGGGTATATTGGATTCTGTAAGTTTTGCTGGTTTTTTTTCTTTTTTCTTTTTTTCTTTTTTTTTTTCTAGAGACAAGGTCTCACTGTTGTCCTGGCTGGAGTGCGGTGGCACAATCATACCTCATGTTAACCTCAAACTCCTGGGCTCAGATGATTCTCCCCCTCAGCCTTCAAGTAGCTGGAACTACAGGCATGCACCACCACACCCGGCTCTAATATTTTTTACTTTTTATTTTTTGTAGAGACAGGGTTGCTCTGTGTTGCCCAGGCTAGTCTTGATCTCCTGGCCTTAAACAATTCTCCTGCCTCAGCCTCCTAAAGTATTGGGATTACAAACATGAGTCACAGTGCCCAGCCTCTAAGTTTTGCTACTATAAACTAAGTTAGAGTGAATATCTTTGAATATAGAGGTGATTGCACTTTTTGAATTATATTGGTAGGATAAATTTAAAACAGTAGAACTATTGTGTCAAATGTCATGATGAATTTTAGGTAGATATTAGCAAATTGCCCTTCGAAAAGGTCGTACTTATTTACACTCTCAAAAATAATGAGTTTTTTTTGTACTCTCATATACTCTTTAGCACTAGATTTTTTTCAAATGTTATATTTCCCCCAGTATGATAGATTAAAATTCGACTGACTTTTAATTTTTTTTTAATAATCTGACACCAGTTGATCTCTATCTCTGTCTCTCTATTGATTCCAATATGACTTTGTTTATTGGACTATTGGCGTGGTTCTTGTGGGAAGCTGAATAATGCTCCCTAAAGATATCCAGGTCCTAGTCCTTGGAACTTGCAAATGATAGTTTACATGGCAAAAAGAATCTTGCAAATGTGATCAAGTTAAAGATCTGGAGATGGGGGGATTGTCCTAGAAGATCCTGGTGGATCCTAAATGTCATCACAAGTGTCCCTGTGAGAGAAAAGCAGAGGTCGATCTGACTGCAGAAGTAGGAGATAGGATGATGAAAGTAAGAAGTCAAAGTGATGAGCCAGCCAAGGAATGCAGGGAGCTTCTGAAGCTAGAAAAGGCAAGAAAATGGATTCTCTCCCACAGCCTGCATAAGGAACTCACCCTGCCAACGCCTTGAAACTGATTCTAGACTTCTTGCCTCCAGAACTGCACAATAATAAACTGCATTATTTTAAGCCACCAAGTGTGCAGTCATATGTTACAGTAAGCAGAAGAAATTAATGCAATCCTTATTGCTCTTTGAGCCAATTAAAATCTTTGAGAATTTAAGTGTTAAGCCTTTCTTACAGTCTTTTTTTCTTTTCTTCTTTCTAAAATAGAGTAATGGAATCCTAGGAAATGGGACCTCAAACAGCTCTGCAGAGGTTGAAAACTATTTTACAGATGTGGGAATAGAGCCCATACATGGTTTTATGAGTTGCCCAAACCCAGCTCAGATTAGGATTTAGGCCTCCTGACTTCCAGCACAAAGACCTTTCCACTACATTTTCCTGCTTCCAGAAATTCACTGTTTCCCTCTTTTCTATTCCTTAACATTTGGTGCCACTTTATTGTATATTTTCCTCAAGCACAGGCATTAGAGCAGTAAAATACTCCAAAAGAGAATAATTTGGAATTTCACCTCTTATGAGAACTAGTATGACCAATCTGAGGTCAGACATAAGCTACTAAAATTAAAATAAATATTTGTAGTTTCACTAAAATAAAACGAATAAACATAACTATTCTATGACATTCACCCTCCCTTGACCTTAGACAAGTATTGACTGGTTATTTTCATTAACTATTTTTATTTTCTAAAATGTTTTAGAATCATCTTCCCTTTCCCTTTTCAGTTCCCTAAAAATATTTGTAGATTTACTTTTTGTTATTATAAACAAGCTTACAAGACACAGATATGTTATCAGAGTACTAATGCATGGCAATTATGTCTCATAGGAAAATTTAGTTGGGAAGACAAATTAAAATTCAACCTTTACTGAGTACTTGCTACTTGGTAACTCCTAGACCATCTACCAAAACACATAAAGACACTATTATTACACTGTCTTGATCCTTGTTTTAAAGTTACCTAGTGAGATAAGAATCAGAACAACTGTAAAAGGATATGCCAATACAGTAAGCCTGAAGCCTAAATATCCAAAAATAAAATTTACAGCTAATATTTATTGAGAAATTACTCTTTATTAGGAACTGTGCTAAAGTGCTTAATCCCAACAACAACTCTGTATGGTAAATATTTTCATCAACAGCATTTTTTGCATGAAAGCTGAGTGTGAAATGGGCTAATTACCTGATCCAATATCACACTGATATGATGGGTACAGCCTGGATTCATATCATACCTAGGGAGGCTGACCTCATTGCCAACACTCCTAACCACTGTGCACATTACCACTCAATAAAAAATTAGGTCATACTTGTCACAGGGCTTGGAGAGATCAAGTCTGAAGGCCAGGATCTTTCATGCAATACTGGATAGATAGTATCAAAGATTTGCATTTGATGCAACTTTTTCCAACATTTCATGCTGACATTCCCCTCCTCTGACTGGCAGATTAGTTTTTAGTTATGTTACTATCACTGACTTATAATACGTTATAATACGTTATAATCAACAAGTTTTGCCTCTATGTTTTTTCCTTATATGCCTTTTAAACATCTGAGCTCAGCAACTATATATTTAATTATTTATTTTTGCTTAATGCTGTTTTGGCAGTGTATGTATGTATGTATGTATGTATGTATGTATTTTGAGACAGAGTTTTGCTCTTCTTGCCCAGGCTGGAGTGTAATAACGCAATCTCAGTTCACCACAACCTCCGCCTCCCTGGTTCAAGCGATTCTCCCTGCCTCAGCCTTCTGAGTAGCTGGGATTACAGGCATGTGCCACCACGGCCGGCTAATTTTGTATTTTTAGTAGAGATGGGGTTTCTCCATGTTGGTTATAACCAACTCCCAGCCTCCCATGATCTGCCAGCCTCAGCCTCCCAAAGTGCTGGGATTACAGGCGTGAGCCACCGTGCCTGGCCGGCAGTGTTTTTATTTTACCCATTAAAATAGCTATACTGATTATCTTATTCTATTTTATAATAATATACTTTAGTAGAATGAATAATTCACTCTGGGAATTCCATGACAAGTATATTTTCAAATTGTTACTATTTTTTAATGCAGCCTGGTATATGCTCTTTCAGCAAAAAAATAGGGCATGTGAAATTGTTAAGTGAACTGCTGATTTATAAAGTATAGAAAAAACATTAAGGTAGTGCAATTCTTCTAAAAATTTAAAGAATTTTAAATGAAAAAAGATTAAATTATTTATTTGGCATGACTTAGGAGGACAAAATTAAGAAAAATAGATAGGAATTTTAGAGGGCTAGCAATTAGCACCTAACAGATAGGCTGTGTGTCATCTCTTGAATTGCCTGCACTTCTTTGTCAAACACCAGTTGACTATACTTGTGTAGATCTATTCCTGGGGTCTCTAGTCCATTCCGTTTATTTATTTGTCTGTTCCTTTGCCAAGACCATACTGTCTTGATTACCATAGTTTTATAGTAAGTCTCAAAATAAGGTAGTGTTATTCCTCTGACTTTATTCTTTAATATTGTGTTGTCTATTATGGATCCATCACTCTCCAGATAATCTTTAGAATCAGTTTGTCGACATCCACAAAACAAAATGCTGGGATTTTGATTAGAATTGCATTGAATCTATAAATGATGTTGAAAAGAACTGCCATCTTGACCATTATGTGCTTTCCTATCCATGAACATTAATTATCTCTCCACTTAGTTCTTTGATTCATTTCATCAGAATTGTATAGGTTTTTCTCATATATGTCTTATACATACTTTGTAAGATTTATACCTAAGTATTTCATTTTTGAGATGCTAATATAAACCATATTGTGTTTTTAATTTCAATTTCAAATTACACTTGTTCTTTTCTGGTATTTAGGAAAGCAATTGACTTTGATATCCTGCATTCTTGCTATAATGACTTATTAGTTCTAGGAGGTTTTCTGTTGTTTTTGTTGGTTCTTTGGGATTTTCTGTATAGACAATTGTGTCATCTGTGAACAAAGACAGTTTTATTTCTTCCTTCCCAGTCTGTATAAATTTTATTTCCTTTTCTTATTGCATTAGCTAGCTAGGATTTCCAATACAATGTTAAAAAGGAGTGGTGAGAGGGGACATTCTTGCCTCATTCTTGATCTTAGTAAGAAAGCTTCTAGTTTCCCACCCTTAAGTATGATGTTAGCTGTAGGTTTTTAAAGATGTTCTTTGTTGAGTTAAGGAAATTTCCTCTATTCCTAGTTTGTTAAGAGTCTCTTTTTCTTTTCTTCTTCTTTTTTTTTTAATCATGAATGGGTGTTGAACTTTGTCAAATGCTTTTTCTGCATCTATTGATATGATCATATGATTTGTTTTTTTTCAAGCTTCTGGTTGTGGTATATTACTTTATTTTCAAATATTGAACTACCTTGCCTACTAAGGAAAAATTCCACTTGGTTGTAGTGTGTAATTATTTTAATACATTGTTGAATTTATTTGCTAATATTCTCTTGAGGATTTTTGCATCTTTGTTCATAGAGACATGGGTCTGTAGTTTTGTTGTTATTGTTGTTTCTGTTTTCTTATAATGTCTGGTTTTGGAATTAAGGTAATGCCGGCCTCATGGAATGAATAAGAAAGTATTCCCTTTACTCTTATCTTCTGAAAGAGATTGCAGAAAATTAGTACAATTTCTTCCTTAAATGTTTGATAGAATTCACCAGTTAATCCATCTGGGTCTGGTGCTTTCTATTTTAGATGACTTTTAATATTGATTCAATGTCTTTAATAGATCTAAGCTTATTTTTATTGTCTATTTTTTCTTGTGTGAATTTTGACAGGTTGTGTCTTTCAATGAGTTGGTCCATTTTATCTAGGTTATTGAATTTGTGGGCATAGAGTTGTTCATATTATTTTAAAAATTATTATTTTAATGTCTATGGAATCTGTAACAATATTTCCCCCTTCATTTTTGATATTAGTAATTCAGATCTTTTCTCTTTTTTTCTTAGCTAACCTATATAGAAGCTTGTTGATTTTACTAATCTTTTTAAAGAACCCGCTTTTGAAAGATTAGTAAAATCAACAAGCTTCTAGATAGGTTAACAAAGAAAAAAAGAGAAAAGATCTGAATTACTAATATCCAAAATGAAGGGGGAAATATTGTTACAGATTCCATAGACATTAAAATAATAATTTTTAAAATAATATGAACAGTGGCAACAAAAGCCAAAATTGACAAATTGGATCTAATTAAACTAAAGAGCTTCTGCACAGCAAAGGAAACTACCATCAGAGTGAACAGGCAACCCACAAAATGGGAGAAAATTTTCGCAACCTACTCATCTGACAAAGGGCTAATATCCAGAATCTACAATGAACTCAAACAAATTTACAAGAAAAAAACAAACAACCCCATCAAAAAGTGGACGAAGGACATGAACAGACACTTCTCGAAAGAAGACAAAATGGTTTGGTTTATGCAGCCAAAAAACACATGAAAAAATGCTCACCATCACTGGCCATCAGAGAAATGCAAATCAAAACCACAGTGAGATACCATCTCACACCAGTTAGAATGGCAATCATTAAAAAGTCAGGAAACAACAGGTGCTGGAGAGGATGTGGAGAAATAGGAACACTTTTACACTGTTGGTGGGACTGTAAACTAGTTCAACCCTTGTGGAAGTCAGTGTGGCGATTCCTCAGGGATCTAGAACTAGAAATACCATTTGACCCAGCCATCCCATTACTGGGTATATACCCAAAGGACTATAAATCATGCTGCTATAAAGACACATGCACACATATGTTTATTGCGGCATTATTCACAATAGCAAAGACTTGGAACCAACCCCAATGTCCAACAATGATAGCCTGGATTAAGAAAATGTGGCACATATATACCATGGAATACTATGCAGCCATAAAAAATGATGAGTTCATATCCTTTGTAGGGACATGGATGAAATTGGAAATCATCATTCTCAGTAAACTATCGCAAGAACAAAAAACCAAACACCGCATATTCTCACTCATAGGTGGGAATTGAACAGTGAGAACACATGGACACAGGAAGGGGAACATCACACTCTGGGGACTGTTGTGGGGTGGGGGGAGGGGGGAGGGATAGCATTGGGAGATATACCTAATGCTAGATGACGAGTTAGTGGGTGCAGCGCACCAGCATGGCACATGTATACATATGTAACTAAACTGCACATTGTGCACCTGTACCCTAAAACTTAAAGTATTAAAAAAAAAAAAAGAACCCGCTTTTGGTTTTGTTGATTTTCTCAATTGACTTCCTGTTCTCAATTTTATTGACTTATGTTCTAATTATTATCACTTCTTTTTTTCTGCTTACTTTGAACCTAACTTGCTTTTTTTTTTTTTTTTTTGGTTTCCTAAGGTGGCATCTTAGAATGTTAATTTCAGATATTTCTTCTTCCTTAATAAATGCATCTAATGACATTAACTTTTCTCTATATGCTGCTTTTGCTGTGTCACACAAAACTTGATAAGTTGTATTTTTCTTTTTTGAGACAAGGTCTCACTCTGTTGCCCAGGCTGGAGTGTAGTGGCATGATCTCGACTCATTGCAACTGCCACCTCCTGGGCTCAAGCAATCCTCCTGCCTCAGCCTTCCCAGTAGCTGGAACTACAGGGGCTTGCCACCTTGCCCGCTAATTTTTTTTTTTTTTTTTTTTTGGTAGAGATGGGGTTTTGCCATTTGCCCAGGCTGATCTGGAACTCCTGGGGTCAAACGATCCACCTACGTTGACCTTCCAAAGTGCTGGGATTACAAATGTTAGCCACTGTTCCTGGCCTAAGTTGTATTTTTGTTTTTCATTTATTTCAAAACATTTTTTCAATGTTTTGGACATATATACCATCTAGATGTGTGTTGTTTAATCCTCAAGTGTTTGGGAATTTTCCAGTTATCTTCTTGCTTTCTAGTTTAATTCTGTATTGTCTGAGAACATACATTACATGATTCCTATTCCTATAAATTTGGTAAAGTGTGTTTTATGGCCCATAATGTCGTCTATCTTAGTGGATGTTTCAGGTGAGCTTGAGAAGAATGTGTATTATGTTTTTGTTGAATAAAGTAGTCTAAGGCTATCCATTATATTCCGTTGATTGATGGTGTTGTTGAGTTCTATAATGTCCTTACTGATTTTTTGCCTGCTGGATCTGTTTATATCTGATAAAGAGATGTTGAGGTCTCCAAGAATAATAATGAATTCATCTACTTCTCCTCACAGTTCTATCAGTTTTTGCCTCAGATATGTTGATGCTGTGTTGTTACGTCCAAACAATTAAGTGTTGCTATGTCTTCTTGGATAATTGATTTCTTTATCATTACATAATGCCTCTCTCTTCCTCATAACTTTTTTAGTCTGAAATCTGCTGCCTGAAATGGATATAGCTATTCCTCCTTACTTTTGATTAGTGTTAGTATAAAATATGTTTTTCTATATCTTTCCTTTTTTTTGTTTTTTTGAGACGGAGTCTCGCTCTGTCGCCAGGCTGGAGTGCAGTGGCACGATCTTAGCTCACTGTGACACCTGCCTACTGGGTTCAAGTGATTCTCCTGCCTCAGCCTCCTGAGTAGCTGGGACTACAGGCACACGCCACCATGCCCGGCTAATTTTTGTAATTTTAGTAGAGATGGGGTTTCACCATATTGGTCAGGCTGGTGTTGAACTCCTGACCTCGGGTGATCCACCCGCCTCGGCCTCCCAAAGTTCTGGGATTACAGGCGTGAGCCACCGCACCCAGTCTATATCTTTACTTTTAATCTATTTGTGTCTTTACATTTGAAGTGGGTTTATATTTAAAGTGGATATAGTCGGTTTTTGATTTTTGATACACTCTGACCATCTCTGCCTTTTAATCAGCATATTTAGGCCACTAATATTTAAGGTGATTATTAATATGTTGGATTAATATCTATTGTATTGCTACTGTTGTTTGTCACCTTACTTCTTTATTCCTGTTTTTGTCTTCCTCTCCTTTTTTACCTTTTATGGTTTTAATTGAGCATTTTATATAATCTCATTTTCTTTTGTTTCTCAGTTCTCAGTTCTCCTTTTTTATTTTAAACAAAACTTTTTTTAGTGGTTGCTCTAGAGTTTCCAACATATTTATAAGTATTCAAATCCAAGTCCACTTTCAAATAATACCTATAATAAGAAAATATTCCAATTCTTTCTGCTGTCCCTTGTATCTTGCTATCATTCATTTTACTTACTTATAAGCTATAATCACTGAATATATTGTTGCTATTATTTTAAACAAAATGTTATCTGACACATCAATTAAAAATGGAAAAAAAAGAAAGTTTTTATTTTTCCATTAGTTATTCCTTCTCTAATACTCCTCCTTTCTTATGTAGACTGCAGTTTCTTATATATATATTTTTCCTTTTCCCTGCAGAACTTAACAGCGTCTCTTGAAAGGCACGTCCACTGGAAACAAAGTTCCTCAATTTTCGTTTGTCTGAAAGTCTTTATTTCTCCTTCATTTTTTGAAGCACAGTTTAATAGAATACAAAATTGTAGGTTGGTGGGTTTTTTTTCTTTTAACTCTCAACATTTTAAAGATTTTACTTCGCTGTCTTGCTTGCATGATGATTTTAAATGCACCCAGGATTGTTTTAACCAGGTACTTAAATTGGGGTTCATAAGATCTCATTTTATTAAACCAATTTATAAGTGCCAAAGGCTTACTTTAATTTTAATTTATTATTGACTGTGTTAAAGAGTCAAAGCCCAATATTGGATATGTCAAGGCAATGAGTACTATGAGTAAAAACTGAGGCAAAGCTATGGGTAAAGTGGGCAGATCTATCCTCTGTTTTATATTTAGTAATTTTTTTAAGATTATAGGAGAACAGTGTTTAAATTTAGTGTAATTCCAGGTATAACTCTAATTTGAGGCCTAGTTCTAATTAAGTTATGATGTTTTTGTCAGTTGGTGCATTTTAGCAAATGCTAAAACTCACTTAAACCTATGTTGTAGACTCACAGAAGTTAGTCAATACACTTTTATCTGTTTTTAATAAAAACTATTTTAGTATATAAATTTTGTTGTATATTTGTTATATATAATTATTACATATAATTTGTTTTATATAGATTTTAATATATAAATTTTAGATTGTCAATTGAATCAAATTATGGACCTCTGTTTTAATTTAATTATGTATATAATTTATTATATATTTTTGTTGGTGGGGAGAGGGAGAGCATTAGGAAAAATAACTAATACATGCTGGGCTTAATACGTGCAACTTAATAGGTTGATAGGTGCAGCAAACCACCGTGGCACACGTTTACCTATGTAACAAACCTGCACAACCTGCACATGTACCCTGGAACTTAAAATAAAAATAAAAATTAATAAAGCATAAACATTATACACACACACACATATATAAAACTATATATATTATGTATTTGCCTTTTCTTTTCTCCCCTTACATCTAGGTTTTCTTTCCCTCTTTTACCTTTGTCTCCTTTTCCTTTTTGTTTTAGGCTTTTAGCCTCCTGAAACTGTGGGTTTTAGTTTCTGTTTCTGGTTGATAACTCACAATCAGCCTTCTAGGAGTTTACAGGAAAAGGAGGGAGGGGGAAAGGGCCCATTGGCTAGCCTCACTGGCAGCAGTTTTTGTTCTAGGTTTTCCAATCCACTTCTTTGACTTTTTTTTTCTTATTCTTAAACAAAATCTTTTAAAATGGGTATGTCTAGGAAGGCCAAATATTTTATATCTTTTTTTGGGCGGGAGTGGGCCGGGGTCATGTATTTTGGCTCTCTCTTACCATTGTTTTTTCTTTTTCTTTGAGTGTTTACCTGATACACTCCTGGTGGTCCTGAGTGGCCTCTGCAGTGAAAGGAGAGCAATCTCTTCCTCAGCCAGTAAGGCCAGTCATAGCATCAAGAATACAGGAAATAAGAGCACATAGCTAATATGACGGGCTCTGTGATGCTCTGGCATCATTTAAGGAATCTTCAGGGTGATGATAGTGGAGACTTTTAGAGAGTAAGCTACAAGTTACCCCAAGCATCCTATAAAATATTTTACAGTGAGAGAAGAAAGAAGGAACACAAGTAGAAGTTTAAGGAATCCTTGCAGGCCAACCCATAACTACGTTTCCAAATTATGTAACTTTGGCCAAGAAAATAGATCTGAAGTTTTAGGGGGTCTCTAATAATACCTTGGTGATGTTACAAAAGGTAGAAGATATATTATATAGAGTATATACAAAGTATATGGGATAAATATATATATAGGATATAATTGACCGTAATATCTTGGTGTATTCTTCAGGCCAAGCTGGCAGGACTGCAGTTATGCTGTTGAAGACTATGAACTGACACATTAGTAATGTATATGTAAGATGTGTGCTCTTTGTTTGTAGCCAAGGGGAAGGAGTGGCCATGTTTGGAGACATAGGACGGGCAAGAAGTGTGATGGAAAGCTGGAGTCGGGCAGTAAAAGAACGCACCGGGGAGTGAGTAGTACTATACCCATGGGTTGTGAGGTTGACTGATATAAAGCAGATGCCTATGTGGAAAAGCAATTATCTCCATTAATTGTTATAATGGCAGAGATTGTAATTAACCTTTATGAGATTTCCCCTTAGGCATGGGAGCATAGGGGTGTAATATTTCGGCAGAGAGCAAGGATTATGCAAGAATCGTGGGCTGAACAGATGGCAAGCTCAAGAAACATAGAATCCCTAGTATTAAAGGAAGAAAAGCACCAAGTGTCCTGGGTTCAGTTTGTGCCTTAGAAGAGGCAGTCCCCAGGCATTGCTGGGGCGGAGATTTTTAGTGTCCAGGGTAAAGTCATCTCTAATGGCAAGTTCTGGTGTCGAGACAATGCCATCTCCAACATTGAGCTCTCAAGCTAGGGTGATATGGTCTGGGATGAGGAGCTGTCTTTTTTTTTTTTTTTTTCTAAGTGTGTACCCACTCTAATTGATGTGGGTCTTGTTCTTATGGCTCTGTGGTATTATATATAATAAGGCTGAGGTTGAAGTTTCAGCATTATCCTGTAGGCAGGCTCTCTAATACTACAGGTTCTTTGCCTCAGTCCTTTGTTTGGTTGGTGATGGGTAAGCTGAGGAAAGTCTCCGTGTCTAGGACCATACTCTGTAGCATGTGGGTCTTTAAAGAAGTTGGGCCTCTGAACTGTAAACCAAGGAAAACACTTGGATCAGTAGTAAGACCAACAGTCAACAGAATGGTATGCAGCTGCACTTGCCAGGTTTTCTTTTGTTTTGTTTTTGGTAAAAATTTAGGCTTAAATATATCCTATATCAGATAAGCAGCTTCCTGGACATAAGACAATCTATAGTTAATGAATTCTAGAAGAGTAGGTCCAGTTGATCTGTTCTCTAGCCCTTATGGGATAGGGGCAAGAAGTAACATTTATAAAGAAATGGGGATATTCTCAAAGGTCCTGATATATAATGAGTCTTTCTATGTATGAAGGAAAAACACATCACCTTTAAGTATAGAAAAGACAATGGGATTTTTTTTTTTTTTTTGAGATGGTGTCTCACTCTGTAGCCCAGGCTGGAGTGCAGTGGCATGACCTTGGCTCACTGCAACCTCTGCTTCCCGGGTTCAAGTGATTCTCCTGCCTCAGCCTCCTTAGGAACTGGGATTACAGGCATGTGCCACCACGCTCAGCTAATTTTTGTGTATTTAGTAGAGACGGCATTTGGGAATGTTTTTAAAGTTGGTGGGAGGCACAAGTTGGCCAACGGGCCTTGAAATAAGAGGGGCTAACACATGGGAAAGATACCTTTAGGAGTTTATTTGCCAGATTGGAATTTGAAAAGTAATAGTTTGAGGAAACTGTCTTTCAGTATCTGAGACCCAGCAGAGACATTAAAATTCTATTGACTGACCTTTCCAAGAACCCAACACTGTATATTCTATTCTAAGAAGTGACACAAGTGCATTGATTACTCTCAGTAATGTCTATATTTTTGAAGGGGATAAGCAATGTCTCGATAAGGCTGTGGATGTGACTCTAGTATATGTAGAGATATGTGTGATTTTCATTCATATTTTCAGTATCCATGAAACAAGTAATCCCCCAAATTATTTACCCTGAAGGTGCCAGCTCTTAGGCACTGGCCCAACAGTGTGTAGTAATGTGAAGATGGGTCCATTTGTTGATCAGGGTCTTAGTGCTAAGATGATTGTCTGTGGTCAATTTTGTTGACACTTGGGTCCTGTCCTTCATCAGGGACATCTTGACTAAGGGATGGAAAGTAGCAATATTCTACTGAGCTTCATCAATCTTGTTATGATTGGCAATGACATTTGTATAGTTTATGAACTTCCATTGTTGTTTATTCAGTTAATTCCAAGGGCTCCCCAGATAGCCAGTGCATCTTGGGAGGGGTGTAGGGATCTCTTCCAGCAGCACGACACTTGGCAAGGGACTGAGGACAAGGTAGACCACCTCCTCCTGTAGGTGGAATATGCCAGAGCGCCTAGGTTTGGCTCCATCCTCTCTTAAGGAGGCCCTAATGACCATGCCAAGCTTTGTTTTTATGATCCAAAGCACACTGGGCAGCTGGATATGGAGGGTCAAAGGCTCAGGGTCTGCAAGAGCCTCTATTTCCAAGCCCGATATGTAGCTAGCAGTTGTTTCAATGATATATAGCACAAGACCAAAAGGGCCAGTTTCTCATATTAGAAGCCTTTGGGCAATTTATGGCCATCATAAGACTCCAGGAGGTGTGAAAAGAAATTGTCGAACCTCTTTAATAAAGGAGTCTCTGAGAGCATTGAACATGCATGCCTGTTGACTTCAATTTGGACAGATTTTAGAGCCTTTTGTTGGAGAAAGCACCATTTAAGGTAGGCTGATTTGTAAATAGCAGCAAGCATAAGTGAGATTAAATAAAACTTGTAGATGGGGAATATGTTGCTACCAAAACCCAAAAAGGACTGGTAGATGTTTGACTTGTATGTTCTTAAGAAATGTGCAAATTAACCTCCTTGGAGAAGAATGTCATTAGGTAACGTCATACCTGTCCTTCTTGAAAAAGGCAGATGCAATTGATATCTTGTCTGCAAAGATTGTGTTCAATAATAAAGCTGTCAAGGTATGCCGTGGATAGTCCAGCAATTGTGGGTTGTATCCCTTCAGAGATAAGGGCACTTTGAGGATGAGAGGCTGTTGAAATAGGCATTGAATAGATCAGCCAAATCTATAACAGCAAAATCTTTACTGGTTGCTTGGATAGAATCAGTGATAATAATATTGGATATTGAGTATGGGGATCTTGAGGGATGGGATCATAGCATTGAAACTGTAGCAATCTACTAGAAGGCCCCATTATTTTTTTGAGGTTTAGGAATAGGCAAAATTGGGCTGTCAAATAGAGAGTGGGATAATTACCTCTTTATTAATTAGGTTTTAAATAGTAAGTTTAATTATTGAAGGCCCAGTTTAACTTCTATTTGGACATATTAACTCATTTATTTATTTATTTATTTATTTAAGACGGAGTCTCACTCTGTCGCCCAGGCTGGAGTGTAGTGGCGCAATCTTGGCTCACTTTAACCTCCGCCTCCCGGGTTCGAGTGATTCTCTTTCCTCAGCCTCCTGAGTAGCTGGGATTACAGGCATCTGCCGCCACGCCTGGCTAATTTTTGTATTTTTAGTAGAGACGGGGTTTCACTTTTTTTTTTTTTTTTTGAGATGGAGTCTCACTCTGTCGCCCAGGCTGGAGTCCAGTGGTGTGATCTCGGCTGACTGCAACTCTGCCTCCCGGGTTCAAGTAATTCTCCTGCCTTGGCCTCCTGAGTAGTTTGGATTATAGGTGTGCACCACCACGCCTGGCTAATTTTTGTATTTTTTTAGTAGAGATGGGGTTTCACCCTCTTGGCCAGGCTGGTCTTGAACTCCTGACCTCGTGATCCACCCACCTTGGCCTCCCAAAGCGCTGGGATTACAGGCATGAGTCACTGTGCCTGGCCCCATATTAATTCTTTTAACTGGAAAGTCATATGGTCTCATTTTACTAAGCCAATTTAGAAGTGTGACTTACTTTAATTTCAATGTATTATTTATTAAGAGCATTTATGCCCGATTTGAGATTATTTGTGCCTAGTGGCTATTATGACTATGGAAAACTTAGGCAAGGCTACATTTAAAGTGAGGCACACTTATTTTTCCTCTATTTCACATCTAGTTACTTTTTAAAATTATAGGAAAAGGATGTTTAAATTTAGTGTGACTCCCGGTGTACTATAAGTTGAGCCCCGTATTTATTAAGTCTATAAAGCTTTGTCAATTTGTGCTTTTCAGCAAATACTAAATTTAACTTAGAACCTATTCTGCATAGGCATTAAAGCCAATCAGCACCCTTTTAATCTCTTTTTAGTGTAAATTATTTTAGTATATAGATATTATATTTTAATGCATTTGTTATGTATATTAGTATATATAAGTTGTTTAATGTGACTTTTACTATATAAATTTTTTATTATTAATTGAATCAAACTATAGTTTCCATTTCAATTTAATTATATGTAATTGATTATATATTTATATTTAATATGATATTTTATTTGTGCATATATAATTCATTTATTCACTTTTTCTTTTCTTCCCTGTGTCTAGTTTTTTTTTTCTTTTCTTTACCCACCACCTCTCCCTTGCTTTTTTTTTTTTTTTTTTCTGTTTTAGGCTTTTAGCTGCCTTATACAGGGTTTTTTTTTTTTTTTTGGTTTCTGTTTCTGGGTGATAACTCGCAGTATAAACCTACTAGGCAATTACAGGAAAAGAAAAAGGATTTCTACATATGGCTAGCCAGTTTTCCCAGCACCATTTATTAAATAGGGAATCCTTTCCCCATTGCTTGTTTTTCTCAGGTTTGTCAAAGATCAGATAGTTGTAGATATGCGGCGTTATTTCTGAGGGCTCTGTTCTGTTCCATTGATCTATATCTCTGTTTTGGTACCAGTACCATGCTGTTTTGGTTACTGTAGCCTTGTAGTATAGTTTGAAGTCAGGTAGCGTGATGCCTCCAGCTTTGTTCTTTTGGCTTAGGATTGACTTGGCGATGCGGGCTCTTTTTTGGTTCCATATGAACTTTAAAGTAGTTTTTTCCAATTCTGTGAAGAAAGGCATTGGTAGCTTGATGGGGATGGCATTGAATCTGTAAATTACCTTGGGCAGTATGGCCATTTTCACGATATTGATTCTTCCTACCCATGAGCATGGAATGTTCTTCGTTTGTATCCTCTTTTATTTCCTTGAGCAGCGGTTTGTAGTTCTCCTTGAAGAGGTCCTTCACATCCTTTGTAAGTTGGATTCCTAGGTATTTTATTCTCTTTGAAGCAATTGTGAATGGGAGTTGAAACTGGATCCCTTCCTTACACCTTATACAAAAATCAATTCAAGATGGATTAAAGACTTAAACGTTAGACCTAAAACCATAAAAACCCTAGAAGAAAACCTAGGCATTACCATTCAGGACATAGGCATGGGCAAGGACTTCATGTCTAAAACACCAAAAGCAATGGCAACAGAAGACAAAATTGACAAATGGGATCTAATTAAACTAAAGAGCTTCTGCACAGCAAAAGAAACTACCATCAGAGTGAACAGGAAACCTACAAAATGGGAGAAAATTTTCGCAACCTACTCATCTGACAAAGGGCTAATATCCAGAATCTACAATGAACTCAAAAAAATTTACAAGAAAAAAACAAACAACCCCATCAAAAAGTGGGCGAAGGACATGAACAGACACTTCTCAAAAGAAGACATTTATGCAGCCAAAAAACACATGAAAAAATGCTCACCATCACTGGCCATCAGAGAAATGCAAATAAAAACCACAATGAGATACCATCTCACACCAGTTAGAATGGCAATCATTAAAAAGTCAGGAAACAACAGGTGCTGGAGAGGATGTGGAGAAATAGGAACACTTTTACACTGTTGGTGGGACTGTAAACTAGTTCAACCATTGTGGAAGTCAGTGTGGCGATTCCTCAGGGATCTAGAACTAGAAATACCATTTGACACAGCCATCCCATTACTGGGTATATACCCAAAGGACTATAAATCATGCTGCTATAAAGACACATGCACACGTATGTTTATTGCAGCATTATTCACAATAGCAAAGACTTGGAACCAACCCCAATGTCCAACAATGATAGACTGGATTCAGAAAATGTGGCACATATACACCATGGAATACTATGCAGCCATAAAAAATGATGAGTTCATGTCCTTTGCAGGGACATGGATGAAACTGGAAATCATCATTCTCAGTAAACTATCGCAAGAACAAAAAACCAAACACCCCATATTCTCACTCATAGGTGGGAATTGAACAATGAGATCACATGGACACAGGAAGGGGAATATCACACTCTGGGGACTGTTGTGGGGTGGGGGAGGGGGGAGGGATAGCATTGGAAGATATAACTAATGCTAGATGACGAGTTAGTGGGTGCAGCACACCAGCATGGCACATGTATATGTATGTAACTAACCTGTACAATGTGCACATGTACCCTAAAACTTAAAGTATAATTAAAAAAATAAATAAATAAAAAAAGAAAAAAAAAAGAAAAAAAAAGAAAAAGGAGAGCAAGGGCTCAGAGGCCTGGCTTTCAGACAGCTTTTTAAAAAATTTTATTTTTTTTTCTAAATTTTTAAATCCAATTACCCCCCCCCTTTTTTTTTCCCCTAAAATCTTTTATTATAGAATGGCTTATATGTCTATGTGCTTACATTTTGTTTCCTTTTCTTTCTGTTTTTTGAAGTCTCTTGTCTGTTTTTGACCATTTATGTTTCCTTTAGTATTTACCTGATAAGCTCCTGATGACCCCAAGTGACCTCTGCTGTGAGCAGTGGCCTCACTTTCTAGGATGTCCCACTCAATCTCAGAGGGTCAGGGTTTCCATCAAGAGGGCAATAGCGGCATTAGCTTTCTCCTTCACATTTTCTGTTTGGAGTATGAGACCCTTAGCAGCACTTAAGACAGCCAATGCTCATTGATTAGGTACTTTTAAAATTAATTGAAACACCTGTTCAGAAAATTTGGGGGGGGTGGATGGCTGGATCCAGTTGTTCTTTTTCTTTCTCATTTTTTATTAAACATTGAGTGACTGGTCTACAGAGATAAGACATCCTGTATCACATTGGTTTGAGAGGCACATCTCAGTAACAAGAGGACGATAGCAGAGAAGTTTATGATCTCAACAGCAATATTTGCAGATTGCTGTGATCCCCTAAGGAGGAGTTCTAGGAATGGCCCATAGCACATGAGCCAGTGTGCAGGCAGTGCACTCCCACGACCCTGTGGAATGGAGGAAATTTGACTCAGCAAAGCTCAGAAGGAAAAGGGAAAGTGGTTTATACAATGCCCCCAGGAGCACATAACATCCTGGACATGAGGCACTTTTACATAAATGAGTCAGTTGGCCCACCAATTTTCAGTGCTACCACTGTTTAGTGGGTCAGTGAATCAGATTTGTCCTACTAGGCACTACAGGGTAATCACTCCTTATCTGCTTGGAGGGACCTTTTGGAGAAACTGACATACTCAATTATCTTACGGGTACTGTGTCCTGGACCCTGGATGCTCTGCCAACAGGGAGAAATATGTTGAGTTCCCCCAGGCCCTTAGTCCCAGATGTATCTTATGAAGCAGCTCAGGGAAGACTTTGCTTTCTAAGCTCCTCAATTTTAGGCTAGGAATTCATGGCAACACTTGACAAAAACAACACAATGCAGCAGCCATCAAGCAGCAAGTGCAACAACAACCAGCCATGCTTTCCCAGTGAGTGGCTGCTGTCTGTCAGATCCAGTTCGTAAACCAAGAGTAGCTTGAAGACATAACATCTCCCTCTGGTGTCAAACTCCCCTGTTCCAATTGTTTTAAAATAAACCCAGGGTTTGCATGGCATATGGTAAAACATGCAGACGTGGAAATGACTGTCATGAAGGAAGAAGTCTTGATACTCACAGATTTCTAGAAACAAGGCTACACAGGGAAGCACCAGGTTGGTCAAGAGGCAGAAAGAGAAAGGGGAACAAAATGAATCTGAGTCTTCATTGAGGTTTCAGCAAAAAGGGACAGGCAAGGTAGGGTAAGCAGGTTTAGGAGTGGTAGTTTGAATAATTCCAGCAGGCTCAGGGGTATAAAGACAGTATTAGTCTGTTCTCATGCTACTAATAAAGACATACGTGAAACTGGGTAATTTATAAGAAAAAGAGGTTTAATGGACTCACAGTTTCACATGGCTGGGGAGGCCTCACAGTCACGGTGGGAGGCAAAGGAGGAGCAAAGGCATGTCTTACATGGCGGCAGGCAAGAGAGTGTGTGCAGGGGAATTTCCGTTTTATAAAACCATTAGATCAGCCGGGCATGGTGGCTCATGACTGTAATCCCAGCACTTTGGAAGGCCGAGGCTGGCAGATCACAAGGACAGGAGATGGAGACCATCCTGGCTAACACGGTGTGAAACGCTGTCTCTACTAAAAATACAAAAAATTAGCCGGGCATGGTGGCAGGTGCCTGTAGTCCCAGCTACTCAGGAGGCTGAGGCAGGAGAATGGCGTGAACCTGGGAGGCGGAGCTTGCAGTGAGCCGAGATCGCGCCACTGCACTCCAGCCTGGGTGACAGAGCGAGACTCCGTCTCAAAAACAAACAAACAAAGAAACAAAAAAACAAACAAACAAAGAACCCATCAGATCTTGTGAGACTTATTCACTATCATGAGAACAGCATGGAAAAACCTACCTCCATTATTCAATTACCTCCCACCAGGTCCCTCGCATGACACATGGGGATTATGGAAGCTACAATTCAAGATGAGATTTGGATAGGCACAAACCAAACCATATCAAAGACTGACCTGAATTTTCCTTTTTTGAGTTCCACATGTCACCTTTTACCCACCTGGGCCAGGCACCAGATGACCTCCAGGCTCCTTACTTGTACAGCCTGGAACCAGAAATCATAGGTAGCAATTTTTAAAAAGATTATCATGGTAGACCTACTTGAATTGGCCTTGATTCAAAGGGGGCACAAAAATTAACATGAGGTTATATGAAGGAAGAGTGTTCTGGATAAAGGAAATAGACCCTGCACAAAGGCTGTTTGGAAGGGTAATTCCTGCCATATTCAAAGCAGCAAGGACACCAGTGTAGCTGGAGCAGAATGAACAAGTAAGAGATTTGTAACAGATAAAGTAGGAAAGGGAGCAGGGGCTAGATCATGTGCAGCCTTGTAGGCTGCTGTAGAGATTTTGGCTTTTACTCTGAATGAGATAGGAGGTGATGGGTTAAGGGGTTTCAGCAAAATGGGAAATGGGTTAAGGGGTATTGAGCAATTGAGTGATTGAAGGACATGATCCAATGGGCTGCTGAGCTAAGAACAGACCACAGAACAAGGGTAGAGGTAGGAAAACTATCAAGAGGCCATTGCAGCTGTCCAGGGCACAGGCGATGTTGGCTGGGACCAACATGTTAGTAATGATGGGTAGTAACAGGTGAGTAAGTTTAGGGTATATCTGGAGAGAGAACAAAGGATATTCTAAGATTTTTGGGGAGAACAACTGGATGGATGGCATTACCACCCACTGATGGGAGGCTATTCAGGAGGAGCAGGAGTGGGGATGGGGAAAGAGAGAGTTCAGTTTGGGGCATGGTGTTCTCAGTCACCAAAGACCTGAAGTATTCTATGTAATAAGATAGAGAAAATAAGAACATGAAGGTACACAAGCAGATAGAAAAGTTGGCAGGCAGATAAAATAAGTGAGAAAGAAAAGTAGTTCCCAGAAAATTATTTATTTAGGATTCTGTTAGAGAATTCATGCATATGGCAGAGAAATGAACAAGATCTAAAGGACTATGTGGCTCTAAACCTAAGCCAAACTATGGTGGCTGATTCTTTTAGTCTATAATTTTATAATTCCCAAAGATGTCACAGATACTGCCAAACAAAAATGTGATAGTTTCATAATTTCAGGATTAGTTGATCACCAAGGAATATATCAAGGAAAAGCTGCTCTAGATTCAATCCCTTTTAATATAAATTTGTATTCATTCCACTGCATCAATATGCACTTAAAAACATACTTTTTCTATAGGTAATTTCTTCCAATCTAATCATAGACTTGGATGCAAGGCAGATTCATAACCCCTCCCATATCTCTACTAACACTTATGTGTTCTTAATCCACAGACTGAGATTTAGAAGTGAATTCTTGTCACAAAGAAGTTCTAAAATGAAGGGAGTTCCAGAAGAAATTACTTGAAAGTTAGCTAAAGCAAATAGTCACTCTCTGTACAACTAACTAAAATCAACAACAATCAGGCAAGTGTGTTCAGCTAGGTACGTATTAATGCTTATTCTGTCCGCAAAAGACAAGTTGCCACTTAGTTGGCCGAAAGATTTATTTGTCATTATGAAATGCAGTATCTCAGCAGACACCCTACGGGTCAAGTCTTGATTGAGACTCTACTATCTGTCCCTATGCAATGAGAAAGCAGGAAGAATTATAATAGGACATGGTGGCAAAGGCTGATAGGTTATTTAACCATAACCTGATTCTACTGCTCCCCTGAAAGACCCTGTATTCCTCTCCACCTAAGTTATACTTCCATGCTCCTTCCTTTCCTCCTTTTGTCTCCTTCAGCATCATCTTCTAGAACCTTTGCTATTAGCCCAAACTGTACTAGACAAAAGGGATCACAAATGAATAGGACATTATCCCAACACTCCAGATCTAAAAAAAGGTAGAAAAAACTAGATTAGTCTGTTTCATTCATTCCTTTATTCAGTAAACTTATAATGAACAGTTACTATATTTTATACCATGTTATTGGAGGCAGAGTTGAATGAACACAGTCCTGGCCATTAGGGAGTTCACCCTCTATCAGGGGGAGTGGACATGTAAACTAAGGCATGGGGTATAACCTACA
This sequence comes from Homo sapiens, assembly GCF_000001405.40. NCBI lineage: Eukaryota > Metazoa > Chordata > Mammalia > Primates > Hominidae > Homo > Homo sapiens. The sequence goes on along the minus strand of NC_000008.11, from coordinate 121,503,629 downwards.
GCTTCCATGGTAGATGCACACACAAGGGCCTGTGGGCACAGCACAGAAGGAGTGTTCCTTTTAATTGGGAGCACTGAGATTTGAAAAGGGTTTCATGTAGGATGTGATGTCTAGGTTGCATCTCTAAAGGAAAGTAGGTAATTCGCAAGTGAGTGAACCAAGAGAAGCAGCTACAACATTTCCAAACACGACAGCTAGGGATTTTACAGGGCCTAATCCTGTAAGCAAAGGGGAATCATTTAAAAGCTTAGAGTAATGGAATCATATACCCAGATTTGTTGTTCAAAAATATCACTGAAGCAGATTAGTAGGTGATTTGAAGAGGGTAAGTCCACAGGTGAGGAGAGCAGTTAAGTGATTAATGCCGTATTTCAGGAGATGATGAATGCCTGTGTGAGGCAGTGATTGTGGAAATAGGTAAGAGAATGTTAAGAAGAACTCATCCTCCAATTAAATGTTAGGAGTAAAACCGGAAGTTATTTGAAATGACTTCTGTTTTAAGTGACTGGGTAAATGGTTATGTCAATCAAAGCAGAGAGCTCAAGAGGTTGTATAAACTTTGCAGGAAAGATAATGAGTTCATGTTGGGGTAAATACTTAAAAAATATCTGTTGATTATAAGCTAGACACTCTTTTAAGCAGTAGCTAACTGCTTCATAAAAGCAAGGGTTCAAGGAGACAGAAAATAAACTACAAATAAATGCATAAACAGGATCACGTTCGATAGTGAAAGCTGCAAGCAAATACTCCATGTAGAAATGTTCAGTAAGCATGCATCTGTGTATGGCAGGCAGGGAACCATGAGTATGTCTTGGCCGAGTTGCATGTCTATGAGTCAGCATCAGATCATAAGTGGCCATTGATGTGATAGTAGTGAATGAGAATTCCCAAGAAGAAGACAGAGGGAGCATAGAGGTTTGGGAAACAGCAACATATAAACAAAAGATAATAATACACGGCTAAAATGCCAGCATTGATATGCACGCCGTGCATAAATTGCTCTAAAAACTTTGAGGAAAGAGCTATTGATTGTGCTCACATTAGTTAGTGAAGGCTTTATCAGAGAGAAAATATCTGCATAGATGTGTTGAAGTCTTCTGAGCACTCAAGAAGATGAAGGGAAATCCAGGCAGAAGGATCCACATTACAAATGAAAGAGAGGGCATGGTGGGGAGAGAAGGTGGTCGGGAGGGACATACAGGTACTTTGATAAGGTGGGAGGATGTAGTCTATGAGTGAGTGTGTGGCAAGAAATGGAGCTGAAATCACAGGATAATCAGCTAAAGCCAGACCAGACCCAGATCTATAAGCTACTGCTATTGAATATGCACCACTCAAGTGCTATACTTTGTCCTCTGTGTTAATGTGACTTTGTGTTATGTTCTTATGTAACTTATGCTTTTTCTTTTTTTGTTTTAAAATCTTGCCTCCCTAGTGATCTGAATAGCTTTTTATGGACAGTGATCTTTGCTTCCTCTTTTAGTCCTCATTGCCTTTTCCCTCCTGCCTTACGTCATCTCCTTCCTCAGTTGACTTTGAGGCTGATAAAAAAAAAATTGAAAGAAATAATATATTTCTCAGGTCTTAAGAGACTCAGGCTTAGCATTCTTGCAACAAACTAGCAAAGATAAGGAGATGATTTTTGTGAGATTTTGGGGGGGATTCCTTTAGCTAAGGAATGCTTGTTTGACTAAACAGACAAGTAGGGCAATTGTTGATGGTGAGAAAGAAGGCTTGGCTTTAATTTTCTTCTAAAGTGGAACAAGACAAATAGCATATGTAGAGCTGTAACAGGAGGCAGTAATATTTAAGGGTTACATTTGACTAGAAATCTGATCCAGGATTGTGAGTGTGTGTGTGTATGTGTGTCTGTGTGTGTGTGTGTGTGTGATTTCTTTATGAGATCGACATGTCCAAGGATTGATACAGATAGAAACATTACATCTAAATACACTGCAATTTTTCACACTTAAACCTCTAATCACTAGTATAAAAGAAGGTTGAGAGGGGCTAGGTTTTATCCATAAAGTATTTTTCATCACTTTGGCATAGATCGTTCAGAAATAATTTAAAACAAAGTCAATGGAGCTGGAATTGTTAGTCTTACTTACAAAGAAATTCTCATGCTTTACACATGTCAACAGCAGGTACAGTTTCCTAAGAATGTTCTACCTTTGGATCTTTATCAAGCTCTTCTCCCTTAATTACCATATCTTGACAGTTTGTCATACATGAAAAAGGAGACATTGGGTAAGTTTTCACCATTTTGCAGTTTTGTGCCAATGACATTTCAACGTCTTCATCATCCTGCTAAACAAACAGAATATGTCACAACTGCCCAATAGCTGAACGCCCCCGCCCTATTGTCAACTCATTTTTTCCTTTTCTCCCATAAATACTTGCCTTAAATTTGCATTATTCAGGAAACTATCTAGATCAAGGCAACATTTTACAGATAAAGAAATTGAGACCCAGATGGATGAAAGGCATTACTCAAGATCACATAGTTATTTGTGTCAGAACAGGACAGACTAGGTAGCCTCATCCCAAGGCATTTCTCTTTCTTTTTCTTTACATTTTTATTTTATTTTATTTTATTTTTTTTATTTATTTATTTATTTATTTATTTATTTATTTATTTATTTAGAGATGGAGTCTCACTCTGTTGCCCAGGCTGGAGTACAGTGGCACGATCTCGGCTCACTGAAACCTCCGCCTTCCAGGTTCAGGCAATTCTCCTGTCTCAGCCTCCTGAGTAGCTGAGATTACAAGTATGTGCCACCATGTTTGGCTAATTTTTGTATTTTTAGCAGAGATGGGGGTTTCACCATATTGGCCAGGCTGGTCTCGAACTCCTGACCTCGTGATCTGCCTGCCTTGGCCTCCCAAAGTGCTGGGATTATAGGCGTGAGCCACTGTGCCCAGCCTTCTTTAAACTTTTAATTGACAAACAATAATTTTATATATTATGGGTTATAATTTTTTTGATAAATGTTTACATTATAGAATAATTAAATCAAGCTGATTAATAAATCTACCACCTCACATACTGATCTTTTTTGTGTGTTTGTGTGATGAAAATACTTAATATCTCCTCTTTTAGTAATTTTAAAATATATGTTATTTATTTCTTATTGTGACTATTCTGTGCACTCGATCACTAAAGCCATTCCTCTTGTATAACTGAAACTTTGTGCCCGTGATTAACATTTCCCTTTCCCCTGTCTGCCCCTCTTCCCCAGCCTCTGGTAGCTACTACTATACTCTCTACTTCTATGAGTTCAACTTTTTTAGATTCCTCATATAAGCGAGATTTCTCTTTCTGTAGCTTCATTCCTCCTCTGGCGCGAGCATGAATTGAGAGCTCTACGTGACACTATTTGCAAACAAGACTAGTATAGATACCCTTTTGTCAATATCCTCTTCTCTTTCACAACTCTGTCTTTTCAATACTTCCCTTTTTTTTTAATTCCCATTTAAAATTTTAGCACCAATACCTCTAGGGCTATCCCTTTTTTCAGGGAGCCTAGATAAGTAAGATTCAGAGCGGGTTGGCAGATGGCTGGGTAGATATGGTAGGCTATTGAGAAGAGGAAACAGATTTGAACAAGCTAACTTTCCCACCTGGAAGTTATTATTACAGCTGAAAAGATTCTCCTCTGAGGCAGAAACTGGCCTGGGAATGGGGGAGGTGGAAGAGGTGTCAGATTATCAGTGATTTCAATTTCCTTTTTTTAGGGAGAAGTTTGTACTTAGAAAATGAAATGCTAATACTTAGCTGGGCGCTCACAGAATCTTTCCCCTTGCCTCTGGCATAAGACAAGCTGAAGAGAGATATATGACAGTGTACTGGAAAGGGCTGGTCCTCTGTTGGCTCTGCCAACTCTCTCTGGATTTTCCCTTTGCAACTGGAGGAAGATGCCAAATGCATGCTTCTCTAGATGCCAAGAAGAAGCAATTTGCACAATGTCTCTTTCATGTTAAGATTACCCACTCTGTGCTATGAATATTGAGGAGAAAATATCCTGGAAATTAGTGGCAGTCTATGAGAGGATAACATATCCTCTGCAACCTCTTCCTTATTATGGGGGAATTGCAAGAACTCTGTGCTACACCAGAAATATATTACTGCCATTTTACCATTGCAACATTATAACATTACAACATTATTGCACTAGGTTATGGTTTAGGAAGGAGGTCTCTACAGAATGAGAAGGTCTTTTGTTCCAATCTTTCAGCCTTCTTTTTTTTTTTTTTTTTTGAGATGGAATATTTCTCTTTCCTCCAGGCTAGACTGCAGTGGCATGATCTCGGCCCACCGCAACCTCCATGTCCCAGGTTCAAGTGATTCTCCCGCCTCAGCCTCCCGAGTAGCTGGGACTACAGGCACATGCCACTATGCCCAGCTGATTTTTGTGTTTTTAGTGGAGATGGGGTTTCACCATGTTGAACTCCTGACCTCAAGTGCTCCACCAGCCTCAGCCTCCCAAAGTGCTGGGATTACAGGCATGAGCCACCATGTCTGGTTCCAATCTCCCTTCGGAACCCTCCCCATTTTGTCATTCCTCTGCCATATTGTCTTGCTGAATGTGGCATATCTCCAATATCTTCAGTGACAGGAAATTCACTACACATTGAAGCAGTTCACAACAGTTAATGACAGTTTTGATGGTTAAAATTCTCTATGTTTAGCCAAAATAGTGTAGATTTGACTCACTACTCTTCATTCATCATAGGGAAATTTATCTTCTGGAATTTGGATCCCATGTGTTTAGGAATGAGGAATAGGAAAGGTCTGCTATAATGTATATTTTCATTATTGTAAACACATCCTTAACAAATAATAAAAGTGAGCACAGTATCTAACTTTCTCTAAGAGGCATTAAGTACTCTCACTTGAAGGTTACATGTTACAAAGCTGTGTAAAAGTTAAAAATAAATAAATAAAATTTTAGCCCGTTAGAGGTTCCTGAATTCTAATCATCTGATGTATGGGTTCTCATTTAAAATTTCTGAAAAGAGAATGAGGATACATAATATAACCTTTTCTCCCTTTGCTTATATTTCATCCCAATAAAGATGCACAGTCCACTTTGGGAGGCCGCGGCGGGCGGGCGGATCACGAGGTCAGGAGATTGAGACCATCCTGGCTAACACGGTGAAACCCCATCTCTACTAAAAATACAAAAAATCAGCCAGGCGTGGTGGCAGGCGCCTGTAGTCCCAGCTACTCGGGAGCAGGGGAATGGCGTGAACCTGCGGGGCTTGCAGTGAGCTGAGATAATAGCGCCACTGAACTCCAGCCTGGGAGACAGAGCAAGACTCCGCCTCAAAAAAAAAAAAAAAGAAAAAAAGATGCACAGTCCTAGTATTTTGGGGATTATGAACCTGTTGCCGAAATGCTCTATTCTTTTCTTGCATGGCTCTATAGCGTATTTGCACCAAATAAACAAGGCAGCTACTTTTAACTTTTCAAAATAGTTTTATTGAGGTATAGCTGACATACACTAATTTGCATAAATTTAAAACATCTAATTTGATAAATTTTGACATATGTCTACATCCACAAACCCATCACTGCAATCAAGATAGTTTTCTCATTTTCCTCTGTGATCTCTCCCTCCAGACCTTACCACCTTATTCCTAACAACCAGGCAACAACTGATCTGCCTTTTGTTTCTAGAGATTGTTTTAAATTTTCTGGAATTCTATATATATGAAATCATACGATGTGTACTCTCTTTTTGGGGGTGTGTGTGACTTCTTTAACTCAACATAAATATTTTAAGATTTATGGCCTGGCGTGGTGGCTCACACCTGTAATCCCAGCACTTTGGGAGGCCGAGGTGGGTGGATCATGAGGTTAGGAGATCGAGACCATCCTGGCTAACACGGTGAAACCCCATCTCTACTAAAAATACAAAAAATTAGCCGGGCATGGTGGTGGGCGCCTGTAGTCCCAGCTACTTGGGAGGCTGAGTCAGGAGAATGGCGTGAACCCGGGAGGCAGAGCTTGCAGTGAGCCGAGATTGCGCCATTGCACTCCAGCCTGGGTGACAAAGAGACTCCATTTCAAAAAAAGAAAAAAAAAGATTTATTAACGTTGTTGTTTGTGTCAATAGTGTATTTTTATTGCTAAGTAGCATTTTGTTGCAAGGATATACTATTCACCTGTTGGTGGATGTTTATTTTTTTCCACTTTGGGGTTACTACAAATAAAGCTGCTGTTAACATTTGTGTACAATCTTTATATGGACTTATATTTTTATTTCTCCTCGATGAATACCTAGGAGTGAAATGGCTGAGTAATACTGTAGCAATATTACGTACTGAGTAGTCACTTGATTAAAATCACCCAGTCAAGTTAAGTGATGGCTTCTTCATGCTACGGTGACATAAATATTAGTAGGAAGTTAATTAAAAATTGTTGAATAAACAAATCAATTAATATTTTCTGGACAATTTGCATCTCATCTTCTTTATTTCAATCAAAAACTCAATAAACTTTATACAGTTGTTTATAAAGTAAACTCAAAAAGGTTCGGAAATTTACCTTCCATCACAAAGCTTACACACTGCAAAGGTAAGATTCAAAGCCACTAGTGTCTCCAGAACCATTACCCCTCCCCTACTTCATCTATCAATCTTTTCCATCATGTCTTTTTTTATGCTTCAGTGAGGTTTGTGGAGAAGAAGCATTTTTAGTCAGGTGGGTGGTATTTGTTTATTTTATTTTATTTTAAGTTCTAGGATACATGTGCAGAATGTGCAGGTTTGTTACATAGGTAAACTTGTACCATGGTCGTTTGCTGCACCTATCAACCCATCACATAGGTATTCAGCCTGGTATACAATAACTATTTTTCCTGATGTTTTCCCTCCTCTACCCACCCCCCAACAACAGGCCCCAGTGTGTGTTGTTCCCCTCCCTGTATCCATGTGTTCCTATTTTTTTTGGCTCCCACTTATAAGTGAGAATATGTGGTGTTTGGTTTTCTGTTCCTGTGTTAGTTTGCTGAGGATAACGGCTTCCAGCTCCATCCATATCCCTGCAAAGGACATGATCTTGTTCCTTTTTATGGCTACATAGTATTCCATGATGTATAGGTAGCACATTTTCTTTATCCGGTATATAATTGATGGGTGGATTCCATGTCTTTGCTATCGTGCTGCAATGAACATATGTGTGCATGTATCTTTATAATAGAATAATTTATATTCCTTTAATTATATACCCAGTAATGGGATTGCTGAGTCAAATGGTATTTCTGGTTCTAGGTCTTTGAGGAATGACCACACTGTCTTCCATAATGGTTGAACTAATTTACATACCCACCAACAGTGTACAAGTTCCTGTTTCTCTATAGCCTTGCCAGCATCTGTTTTTTCTTGACTTTTTAACGATTGCCATTCTGACTGGTGTGAGATGGTATCTCATTGTGGCTTTGATTTGCATTTCTCTAATGATCAGTGATGTTGAGCTTTTTTTCATATGTTTGTTGGTCGCCTGGTCGCATAAATGTCTTCTTTTTTTTTTTAGACAGTCTCACTCTGTTGCCCAGGCTGGAGTGCAGTGGTGCGATCTCAGCTCACAGCAACCTCTGCCTCCCGGGTTCAAGCGACTCTCCTGCCTCAGCCTCCTGAGTAGCTGAGGTTACAGGTGCCTGCCACCACGCCCGACTAATTTTTTTGTATTTTTAGTAGAGGCGGGGTCTCACCATATTGGCCAAGCTGGTCTCGAACTCCTGACCTCAAATGATCCACCCGCGTCAGCCTCCCAAAGTGCTGGGATTACAGCAGTGAGCCACTGCGCCCAGCCAATGTCTTTTTTTGAGCAGTGTCTGTTTATGTCCTTTGCTGTGGGTGGTATTTGAATAGGAGAAAAAAACAAAGGCCAAACATGTGAAAATAAAAAATCATGAGATGTATTTGGGAGACTGCAAAGAGATTAGCCTGCAAGAAGTGAAGATTTATATAGTGAATTAGTGGAGACTGAGCCTGGGATCCACATCCTACCCTACAGAAGTTACCACTTTTTCCTCTGAGACGGAGAGAACTGCTATATATTTCTGAGCAAATGTGTGACAGAATGAATTGAAGTAATCAAGCACATGGTCTGGATTGATTGAGGCAGAGTGGTGTCCACTGAAATGCCCACTGAAATCTCTGATTGTGTGGAAGTGAGAATTTGAAAATGAGGATGGCAAAAAGAATAGAAGGGAAGGTGCTGGTGTGAGAGGCCCTCAGAGAAGAAATGGCCAACATTTTGTGACTAATTAACTAATTGTTGAATTTTACCTTCATAACTTGCCCCTCTGTAATGGCAGATAAGCCTTATTTAGTCCTAAGGTTTAATCCGGGAAGTTGATCAGCATTATTTTCTTAGTTAAATAGAGAAAAAGTGTTGACCCACTTGTCTTTATTACTAGGTCCAGTATTGTAAGAATAAATGGGTCTTTTTAGGCGACCATGATCTTGTAGTAGTTTTCTTTCGGTCATACAAATAGAGATAAAAATATAAGATGATTGAAAGGGTCAACTGATTGTGAATAATCTCAAATAATTCTCTGCAAGATGCTGCTAAAAGAATTTTCAGATTGATATATTGACATTTTCTTCTTTGCTCCCCAAAGTACTGCTCACTAAATTTCAGTTATTGGAGGGTCTGCTATTGTTTGGTACCAGTTATTTGAAGTTTAGCAGCATGAGGTTTATGTTTAAAATGTGTGACTCATGTTTAACCTTGTCAGGTTTTAGATGAAAAGGGGAGTTCAGAAAACACTGGTGTGTAAACAATTGAAATAGCCTTCAAGGAAAAAAAATATGAGACTAAAAGAGCTGTCAAGCTGGGAAAGTCTTAAGAAGAATCTCTGGATAATGGTTTATAATATTATCTTTCCCTAAGGACCCAAGAAATGGAAAATATATTAGTTTTTCTATGAGTAGCTTTTGGCAAAGCACCATCAATGCACTTCGTTAAAAACATCTTGGTGCCTCAAACCTGCAGGCTGGAATATGTAATACATATGTTGAGGGTCTGATGGGGCGTTATGAAGAATTGATCTCTGGGAGACCCCATGAGAAAGATACAGAGACAGACTTTCCTGCATCCTTCCATGGGTTTCAAAAATCCAGTGAAAGAGTCATTTAACTGCCATGATGTTGGTTTCTATTTCCTACTTTCTTCCCTCCTCCACCCTCATTTTGCCCCCTGACCCTCCAGTTGAGGGGAAACATTCCTTATATCAGCCTGGAATTATGCAGTCATGGGTGCAATTGATTTCCATTCCCCAGTAAAGTCTTTGAGTCTGGAGCTCTGGGTCTGTGCCACAGTCAGAGTGGGTATAGTCTGAGGACAGCCTGGGTGCAGACAGAATAATTATTGAGTAAGTTTCATGTTGGAGACCATGAATTAAATCATCTACACAATTAATCTTTTCATTTTCTCAACAACCCTATGATGATTTGCCTCCATCATAGTCAAAGGAAAGGGTGCAGCATAACTTGTCGAAGCTTCTCCTATTAGTTTGAAGCAAGCAGATTTCTCTTACTCTGTAGCAGAAGCTATTGGAACCCCAGCTATAAACCCTCCTTCTCTGTGCAAGGCAGCCAGTGTCCTGCCTGAGAACTTCCAGTGGCAGCGCCAAGGTAGGCTGGGTGTTCTAGAGAGCATTCCCTGCACAAAGCAGACAACTGATGATGGATGATGGAGGTTGGCATATAAATACTCTGATTCCTCTACCCTTTGGATGGGAAAACTCTGAGACTCACATATTATTGATTTTCAGAGTCCCCCAGTGGGATTAAGTTCTTGTTATAGTGGTAACTGGGTTGATCATGCATTTGTTGTTGGCCATCTTCTCTGTATTACTTTCCCACCCCATTATTAGTGTTTCTTGCAATCAATTCTCACATAAATTACTGGACTTGTGGTAACTTTCCAAGGAAACCTAAACCAGGAAACACTATAAAGCCAAACATTTTCCTAAAGGCATTAGGGAAGATAACCTGTCAGACACGTTTATATGTGTTATGTTTCAGCAGCCTTTCTTAATCTTTCTCCTTCATTCTGGATCCCTCTGTTTCAATCCTTCAGGTGACCATGGCTTCCTGCCTCCAGATCTTTCCCCATCCTCATTTTTCTCCAACATTAAAAGATTTCTACTGCCATTGAAGCAAATCAACCTCAGACATGAGTGATTGATAGCTTTTCACTCTGTCAGATACATTTGCATTTCAAAATAACCTGCTTTTATCCAAACAGATCTCTAGTAAATGCTGGATAAGGGATTTAAGGTTCAATAGAACCAAAGGCCTTCTGGATTGGTGGTATGTAAAAGTCAAAGGAACTGAGGAAGGAAGCAGAAACTCCTTAAAGAAGCTGGGTAAGACATTATCAGGGAAATAACATATGATCTGGGCTTTGCAAGACAAATAGAACTGAATCAGGCTGTAAAGACAGGGAAACATGTTTGCAGTAGAAGGACTCTGTTTTTTAAATTTTTGAAATAATTTTAGATTTACCTAAGAATTTCAAAGACAATATAGAGAGCTCCTGTATGCCATTTACCCAGCTTTCCTTAATGTCAATATCTTATATTTCCATGATGCAGTTCATTAACAAATTAATAATGACAAAACACCATTAGCTACACTACAGACTTTATTCAGATTTCACTAGTTTTTCCAACAATGTCCTGTTTTCTCTTCTAGAATCAAGCCAGGAAACCACACTGCATTTAATCATTATGTTTCCTTAATCTCCTTCAGACTATGACAATTAATCAGTCTTTCAGAAGGATCCTTTAATTCTCACAATCCAAACAATGTGGGTTTTTCCAAATTATAAACCCATTCTATAGGTGAAAAAACTGGGTTTCAGAAATAAGAAGTGAATACTGAGGGTCACATTTAACTAGAACTAGGATAAGAACCTGTGTCTGCTGCCTAATCAGGAATCATTCTATCATGCCACATTTATATCTTTTCTCCTCTTCATTTGGACTCTTTCCCATCCCTTCTCTTCTATCATTTATTTTCTGATGTTTTCCTTTATCTGCTCACTTTCTCCATGTTTAAGGCTTCTTCCCTACCATATGTAGGATGAGCAGGCTGGGCAGGAGAAGAGATAATATCTTCTGGTTTATCACTTCTATGACTGCTAAGTTGGTCATAAGGCTAGTCTTGTCTGGCCTCAAACAGACTGGACTAGCAGAAACCTTGAATAAAACAGAAGTAGAGAGGAGTCTTGCTTTTTTATTGCAACAAAAGGAAGACATTATTTCAGGCCAGTGGAAGCTACAGGTCAGATGCCTTTCAATCATGAAGAGTTCTCTTTCACCACTGGTTACACATCTTCTTTCTCCCCCACGCCATTGAGCTTTTATTAATTTTGGCCCAGAGTTTTCCTTCTCAAAGTGGATGAAAGGCAAGGAACTGCTGCTCCCCACCTGGAGGGCTAGACCATAACTATGTCCTGGGGGAGAATGGCACATTTCCAAAATGACCATTGACAGCCAAAGCATTATAATACATATGGCCTTGTACCATGGGAGGATATAAATCATGTTTCACACCTGGCTCTGTCTGTTTATTAGGAGTTATTTGCAAAGCACTGTGCATACCCTTGTATTCTGTAGTTAATAGTGCTGTCCTTCCTGGAACAAATTTCCTCTAAAACTGAGATTGTAGAGGGTCACCATGAGCTTTATTTATGAATGCAGTTAGAAGACAAAGCCTGACCCAAGGAACTAATGCAGAAAAGCTCTTAGCACAATGGTAAATGGATTTAGAGACCCACACCCTCACACCGAAAGAGTACTTTTCAGAAGATACAGGGGGTCTATAAAACTGGAAAGCAGGCCATTTCAGCTAGATGTATGGATGACATCACTTTTTTGTGCCTGGGGCTTCTTGTTGCCATTTTCCGTTCTCTACTTCCCAGCCTGTGATAGACATGTGACTAGATGCTAATAGAACAGTAAGAGCCAGGCACAGTGGCTCATGCCTGTAATCCCAGGACTTTGGGAGGATGAGGTAGGCAGATTCCTTGAGCCCAGGAGTTCAAGACCAGCCTGGGCAACATGGTGAAAACCTGTTTTCACTAAAAATTCAAAAATTAGCTACATTTGGTGGGGTGCACCTGTAGTCCCAGCTACTCAGGAGGCTGAGGTGGGAGGATCACTTGATCCTGGGAGGCGGAGGTTGCAGTGAGCCCAGATGGCACCACTGCACTCCAGCCTGGGTGACAAAGTGCCTTAAAAATGGAAAAGTGAGTTCTCAAAGAGAATTAAAAGGTATGTGGGGGAGGTATGTGTGTGCTAGAGAACAGTGGCGGTGAAAGAAGTAGATCCTCTATTGAGGATTAGCCCTTAGAACTAACCTAGTTGGATCTTCCATTGAGAGAAAAGGAAACAGGTCTTAAGGGGGCACCGGCTTATTAGCCGGAAGCACAGTCAGAACTAGAACCAGTTTTTGTCTACATAATTGATCTCTCCTCTCTAGGAACTGTGCAACTGCAGTATCCCAGAGGTCAAGTCTTCTTCAAGCTCAGCCCAGTGAGATCTAAAATTGGGAACTTACCAGAAACTAGCAGAAAAGTATGGCAAAAAGGTGAGCATTCTCAATAATATTAGTCCTGTATATCCTTGCCAAGTTAAAGTATGTATTAGTATCCCTATGTAGTAGAAAGGTAAACTGTTTTATCCCAGGTTATACCAATAATTAATAGGACCAGGTATTGTGAGTAGAAGCTCATTGCTTATATTACTAAAATATTGTCTCTCTAATGTATATTATTACCTGCAAGCTCCATAAGGGAAACAAAATGTCTGTTTGGGTCATTGTCGTTTCTTTAGTACCAAAAACTATTGTTATAGCCTCCCACGGTTTTTTTTTTTCTTTTTTGTAGACCTTATCAGAGTAACACATTTATATGATTTGTGTGTCTATTTATTCAATGTCTAACTCTCTCAGGACACATTAAATATCTTGAGTTCATGGGTCAAATTTGTTTTGCTTCTCATTGTATCTCTAACACATAGCAGTGGGATTGCTGGATCATATGGTAGTCCTAGTTTTAGTTTTCTGAGGAACCTCCAAACTATTCTCCATAATGGTTGTACTAATTTACATTCCCACTAGCAGTGTATGAGGGTTCCCTTTTCTCCACATCCTCTTTAGCATTTGTTATGGCCTGTTTTTGGATAGAAGCCATTTTAAATTGGGTGAGATGGTATCTCATTGTAGTTTTGATTTGCATTTCTCTATGATCAATGATGTTGAGCACCTTTTCAAGTACCTGTTTGCCAAGTGTATGTCTTCTTTTGAGAAATGTCGACTCATATCTTTTGCTCATTTTTAAATCAGATGGTTAGATTTTTTTCCTGTAGAGTTGTTTGAGCTCCTCATGTATTCTGGTTATTTAACTCAATGTGATTCCATCTGTCCATTTTTGCTTTGGTTTCCTGTGCTTGTGGTATATTAGACAAGAAGTCTTTATCCAGATCAATGTCCTGGAGAGTTTTCCCAATGTTTTCTTTTATAGTTTCATGTTTGAGGCTTTAGATTTGGGCTTTTACTCCATTTTGATTTATTTTTGTATATGGATAGAGATAGTCTAATTTCATTTTTCTGCATGTGGATATCCAGTTTCCCAAGGACCATATACTAAAGAGATTGTACTTTCTCCAATGTATGCTCTTGGCATCTTATTGAAAATAAGTTCACCATAGATGTATAGATTTATTTATAGATTCTCTATTCTGTTCCATTGGTTTATGTGCTTTTATGCTAGTACCATGCTGTTTTAGTTACTATAGCTCTGCAGTATAATTTGAAGTCAGGTAATGTGATTCCTTCAGTTTTGTTCTTTTTGCTCCAAATAGCTTTGGTCATTTTGGGTCTTTTGTGGTTCCATATTAATTGTAGGATTATTTTTTCTATTTCTGTGAAGAATGTCATTGGTATTACAATAGGGATTGCATTGAATCTGTAGACTGCTTTGGGCAGTATGAACATTTTAACAACATTGATTCTTCCAGTTCATGAACACGGAATAATTTCCCATTTTTGGTGTCCTCTTCAATTTCTTTCATCAGTGTTTTATAGTTTTCATTGTAGAGATCTTTCACTTTGTTGGTTAATTCCTAGGTATTTAATTTAATTTGTAGCTATTGTAAACAGGATTAGTTTCTTGATTTTTTAGATTGCTCACTTTTGGCATATAAAAATGCTATTAATTTTTGTATGTTGATTTTGTATCCTGCAACCTTACTGAATTTATCAGTTCTAATAATTTTTTGGTAGAGTCTTTAGGTTTTTCCAAATATAAGATCATATCATCTGCAAACAAGGATAATTTGACTTCTTCCTTTTCAGTCTGGATGTCCTTTATCTTTCTCTTGTCTGATTGCTCTAGCTAGAACTTCCAGTACTATGTTGAATAACAGTAGTGCAAGAAGGCATCTTTTTTTTTTTTTTTTTGTTCCAGATCTTGGAGGGAAGGCTTTCAGTTTATCCCCATTCAGTCATTCAGTATGATATTAGCTGTGGGTCTGTCATATATGGCTTTTACTGTGTTGAGATATGTTCCTTCTATACCCAGTTTTTTGAGGGTTTTTATCATGAAGAGATGTTGAATTTTATCCAATGCTTTTCAGCGTCAATTGAAAGGAACATATAGTTTTTGCCCTTCATTCTGTTCATATGATGTATCACGTTGATTGATTGGTGTATGTTGAGCCATCCTTGCATCTGTGGGTTAAATCCCACTTGGTCATGATGAAGGATCTTTTAAACATGGTGTTAAATTCAGTTTGTTAGTATTTTTTTGAGGATTTTTGCATTAATGTTCTTCAGTGATATCGGCCTGTAGCTTTCTTTTCTTGGTGTGACTTTGTTTGGTTTTGGTATCAGGGCAGTACTGGCCTCATAGAATGAGTTTGGAAGTACTCCCTCCTTCTCCATTATTTTGGAATGGTTTGAGTAGGATTAGCATTAGTTCTTCTTTAAGCGTTTGGTAAAATTCAGCAGTGAAGCCATTGGGTTTTGCGTTTTCTTTGCTGGGAGAGTTTTTATTATGGCTTCTATTTCATTACTTGTTATTGGTCTGTTCAGGTTTTGGATTTCTTCATGGTTTAATCTTGGTAGGTAGTATGTATGTAGGGAATTTATATGTTTCTTCCAGATTTTCCCAGTTTTTTGGCATATACTTGCTCATAGTAGTCTCTAATGTTCCTTGGAATTTCTGCAGTGTCAGTTGTAATGTCTCTTTCTTCATCTCTGATTTTATTTATTTAGGTCTCTTCTCTTTCTTCCTTAGGTAGTCTGGCTAAAGGTTTGTCAATTTTGTTTATATTTGCAAAAAACTAGCTTGTTTCATTGATTTTTTTTTCATTTCAATTTCATTTATTTCTGCTCTGATCTTTATTGTCTTTTCTTATCCTAATTTTGAATTTGGTTTTCTCTTGCATTTCTACTTCTTTAAGATGCATCATTAGGTTGTTATTTAAAGTTTTTCTATTTTTTTGATGTAGGTACTTATTGCTATAAACTTTCCTCTGACTACTGCTTTTGCTGTATCCCATAGGTTTTGATTTGCTGTGTTCCTATGTTCTTTTTTTGTCAAGAAACTCTTAAATTTCCTTCTTATTTATCAATCCACCGTTCATAAGGAACATATTGTTTAATATCCATGTGTTTGTATAGTTTCCAAAATTCTTCCTGTTACTGATTTGTAGTTTTATTCCAATGTGATCAGAGAAGATATTTGATATAATTTTAATTAAAAAATTTTAAGACGAGTTTTGTGGCCTAATATATGGTCTACCATTGAGAATAATCCATGTGCTGACAAGAAGAATGCATACACTGTAGCCGTTGGATGACATGTTCTGTAAATATCTATTAGATCTATTTGGTCTATAGTGCAGATTAAGTCTGATGTATCTTTGTTGATTTTCTGTCTGAATGATCTGTTCATTGCTCAAAGTGGGGTATTGAAATCTCTAGCTATTATTTTATTGGGAGTCTAGCTCTCTCTTTAGTAACATTTGCTTTATATATATCTGGGTGCTTCAGTGTTGAATGCATCTATGTTTACCATCATTATATTCTCTTGCTGAATTGGCCCTTTCATCACTATATAATAAACTTATTTTTCTCTTTTTATACTTTTGTCTTGAAATCTGTTTTGTTAGATACAAATATAGCTACTCTTGTTTTTTTTTTTTTTTTTTTTGGTCTGGTTTCCATTTGCATGTAATGCCTTTTTTTTATTTTTTTGAGACAGGGTCTCACTCTGTCGCCCAGGCTGGAGTGCGGTGGCACGATATCGGGTCACTACAACCTCCACCTCCCAGGTTTAAGTGATTCTACTGCCTCAGCCTCCCAAGTAACTGGGATTATGGGTGTGTGCCACCATGCCTGGCTAATTTTTGTAATTTTAGTAGAGACAGGGTTTCATCATGTTGGCCAGGCTGGTCTCAAACTCCTGACCTCAGGTGATCCATCTGCCTCAGCCTCCCAAAGTGCTGGGATTACAGGCTTGAGCCACTGCGCCCGGCTGGGTCTTGGTTTTTAATACATTCAGCCACTTTGTCTCTTCATTGGAGAGTTTAGTCCATTTACATTCAATGTTATTAGTGACAAGTAAGAACTTACTCCTACTATTTGTATTGTTTTCTGATTGTACTGTGGTTTTCTTTTCCTTCTTTTCTTCCTTCCTGTCTTCCTTTTAGAGGAAGCGCTTTTCTATTGTGTTATGTTTTAATTTCTTGCTTTTTATTTTTTGTGTATCTGTTGCATGTTTTTGATTAGAGGCTATTATAAGGCTTGCAAATAATATGCTATAATCCAGTATTTTAAACTGATGACAACTTAACGTTGATTGCATAAACAAATTAACAAGCAAGCAAAGAGAAACCTAGTAAAAACTCTACACTTTAAGTCTGGCTTACCCCTTTTATCTATTTTTAGGTTTCTATTTATATCTTTTTACACTGTCTATGTCTTAAAACAGTGATTGTAGTTATTATTTTTGATAGGTTCATCTTTTAGTTCTTTTACTGAAGATATGAGTATTTTATATACCATGATTACAGTGTTATAATAGTATGTTTGTATGTGTGGTTACTCTTATCAGTGAGTTTTCCACCTTCAGACGATTTCTTACTGATCATTAACATACTTTTCTTTCAAATTAAAGAACTTCCTTGGCCGGGCACGGTGGCTCATGCCTGTAACCCCAGCACTTTGGGAGGCCGAGGCAGGCAAATCATGAAGTCAGGAGATCGAGACCATCCTGGCTAACACTGTGAAACCCCGTCTCTACTAAAAAATACAAAAAAATTAGCGGGGCATAATGGCGGGCGCCTGTAGTCCCAGCTACTCGGGAGGCTGAGGCAGGAGAGTGATGTGAACCTGGGAGGCGGAGCTTGCAGTGAGCCGAGATTGTGTCACTGCACTCCAGCCTCGGAAACAGAGTGAGACTCCGTCTTGAAAAAAAAGAAAAAAGAGGTGGACTCTCTTTCCCACTCCTTGTAACTTGATTTGTGGAATAGAGCAGAAGTGCTGTTGGAGTTTGGGGGCCTCAGATTCAAAAAGCCTTGTTACTTTTACCTTAAACTCTTGGAAGAGTTCCTTGAGTCAGTCACAAAAGCAGCCACTCTAGCCTTCAGGAGGATGAGAGGTTACGTAAAAGAGAACTAATATGCTCTGGTTAATAGTCAGCCAGCGTCAAAAGCCAGATATATGAGTGAGGCTATCTTCAAGCCCAGCTGACCACCCAGTTGAATGTAGCTTCTTGAATGAGCTCAGGCAAATCAACAAAGGAATAGGTCAGGCCCAGCCAACCAACAAAAGTAAGAGAAACGATAAATCATTGTTGTCTTAAGATACTAAGTTTTGAGGTGGTTTGTTATGTGGCAATAGTTAACTGCATAAAACTGATATGGTGAATAAAACAGAGTAAGAATCACAGGGATGGTAGAGATTGGCTATTTTATACAGATGGTTAGAAAAGTCCCACAGAGAAGAGTTTTCTGAACAGAGAAACAGCAAAGGCAAAGGCTGTGAAGCAGGAGCATGCTTGTACAGAGTGTGATGAGCTGTAAGGAGGTCAGTATATCTGCAATAAAGTGAGAGGGTAAGAGTGTTAAGATATAAGTGCAGAGAATAGGGAAAATGGAATGTCATTGGAGGGTTTTATCAAATATCTAGCTAGCAGTCTGCAAGAAACTCATAATAAAAAGAAGCCTGATATATGATCCCTGCCCAATATATAGGGGCAGGAGGGAGGAGAATAAAATTACTCTAACCCCTTATAGAAAGTATGTGAAAACACATATGAAAGTCCTGTGGGACAGAGGTCAGAGCAACTAAACTCTCCTGAGCTTGTCATACGGCTTCTTAATAAACTGAGAACTGGTGGATAGTGAGAGATAAGAGGAGTTTGTTCAATCACTGAGAGAATGAAGAGCATGCTAGGTAGAAAGAAAAGTATGTGAAAGAAAGCAGGCATGGGGTCAAGTATTCAAGTCAATGAGAGAGAGAAGAGCGTTTTGTAAAAATATGTTCTGTTGTGGATGCTTAAGGAGCAACTCTGTGGTTAAACAAGCTTGGCTCTAAGAATTTCTGTGTTGGACTTTAGCTCTGGGAGAAACAGGAACTGTGCCTCTCCTGTCTACCAGTGCGTAACTCCTGCTTAGCACAGTATAGAACACATATAAGGCACTCAGTCATTGTGGACTCACTAAACAAATTGGTTCAACTATGTTAATTAACTTTCCCAAAACTTATTAGACTACAAAATTTATCTCCCCCAGCTCATGCTATCCAGAATGCCTTGTAGTATATCTTAAAATACCTTTGGTTGGGCAAACTTTGAAGAATGCTGCCGAAGCCCAGGATTTTAGCTAGAGCACAAAGGATAGGTAATAAGAGGGAGAGCTAAGTTGGGCCGCTTTGGAAAGTCAAGGGTCTTAAGCTTTCTAATATCTGTTAATGAAAGCCATTTAAAAAACCAGTAGAATTACATGATAAAATCTATTTTCTTATAATAATAACTACTTGATGCATAGAGGATGGAAAGAGAAGTAATTGGAAACCTACGCACTAGCTAGAAGTTCCCGATTCATTCCAAGTGTGAGGTTATGAGGATGTAAACTAGGATGTTAGGCTGAAGATTATTTTGAAGTTCTGACTTTTTTGATATAATGCATATAAAAGTATTAGAAACGTAGGAACATATGATATTTATGTTTTAGTGAAAAGGGTAATTTGATAGCTGATGTCAGAACCAGATGTATTTATAGCCTTGCAGATTTTTATGTGTACCCACAAATATGTTAATTCTCCACTTTCAACATAGTTTTATTTGGCCTAGAGCAACTCGCAGAAATTTTTTTGGACCCTAGCAGCCAAATACTCAAGTAGTATCAGTAAAAGCCATATTATGAAAGTTTAAGGCATAAGTAACGACACAATAGCTGAAGGGGCAAAATTGGGCTTCAGAAGTTTTTGTCTGTTTGCATGAAAATTATGTGTGCGTGTGTGTTTATTTTGAATTCAATTATTTGTTAGCATTTGATTTAATTTTTTTCTTGTGTGCATTTTTAATTAAATAGAAACATGCTTCGCAATGTGATTTTTCTTTTTTTCTCTTAATACAAAATGGCATCTTTGCCAGTGAATATAGATCTATTTTAAAATTCTTATTTAAGAAATTATATTTAACAAAAATTATATATATTTATGGTGTACAATGTAAAGCCTTGATATATGTACACATTGTGAAATGGCTAAACCAAGCTATTTAACACATGTATTACTTCACATACTTATCTTTTTTTGATGACACACTTAAAATTGATTTTCAGTAATTTTCAAATATGTAATACATTGTTATTAACTATAGTCATCATAACGTACAACAGATCTCTTGAACTTATTCCTCCTATCTCACTGAAATTTTTGTATCCTTTGACCAACACCTCCTCAAATCTTCCAACCCTCAGCCTCTGGTACCCACCATTTTACTGTTTCTATGAGTTGGATTTTTTTACACTCCATATATAAATCAGGTCATGTTG
Source organism: Homo sapiens (assembly GCF_000001405.40). NCBI lineage: Eukaryota > Metazoa > Chordata > Mammalia > Primates > Hominidae > Homo > Homo sapiens. The sequence continues at coordinate 121,483,539 of NC_000008.11, read as the reverse complement.
TATTTGTCTTTCTGTGCCTGGCTTATTTCACTTAACATAGTATCCTCCAGGTTCAGCCATGCTGTCACATGATTTTCTCCTTTTAAAAGATTGCATAGTTTCCATTGTGTATATAGAGCCAGTTTTCTCTATCGATTCATCCATTAATGAACACTTAGGTTGATCTCATATCTTGGCTATTGTGAATAATACTGTAATGAATATGGGAGGGCAGATATCTCTTTGACATATTGTTTTATATCCTTTGACTATATACCCAGCAAAAGGATTGCTGAATTATATGGTAACTCTATTTTTAATTTTTTTGAGAAACCTCCATATTATTTTCCATAATGAGTGTACAAATTTACATTCCCACCACCAGTGTACAAGAGTTCTCTTTTGTCCACATTCTCTCCAACACTTGTTACCTTTTGTCTTTTTGATAATAGCCTGCCAGCATTTTAAAATGTAGAATTTAATATAAAACATATATTTTCAGGTTCTATTAAAATGTCAGATGCACCATTACTGGGCCAGTATTCCCACAAGAAAACAGTCCTGTCTCCAAATATTGCTTAGGCTCAGCTTAAAGGGACACAGGTGGCTTCTGTGGGTGTCTAGCCAATAATTAGGGGCTGTTTATATAGACTCTTCAAAAATGTTTCCTCTTTAACAGTAGAAGCGCATGAGCAATACTACTCTACAAATCACAGGCTACTTTGGTAAAATTTATTGATTAAAAGAGTGTATTGTTTTTGCTTATTTACTTAGTTTTTAAAAAGGAATATTTAGGCCGGGCACGGTGGCTCACGCCTGTAATCCCAGCACATTAGGAGGCTAAGGTGGATGGATCACAAGGTCAGTAGATTGAGACCATCGTGGCTAACATGGTGAAACCCTGTCTCTACTAAAAATACAAAAAATTAGCTGGGCGTGGTGGCGGGTGCCTGTAGTTCCAGCTACTCGGGAGGCTGAGGCAGGAGAGTGGCATGAACCCGAGAGGCGGAGCTTGCAGTGAGCCAGATCGCGCCACTGCACTCCAGCCTGGGTGACAGAGCGAGTTTCCGTCTCAAAAAAAAAAAAAAAAAAAAAAAAAAGAAAAGAGGAAATATTTAGAGAAATTAAATAATCTGGCCTCTTAATAAAATGTGTAAAATTTATGCACAGGAATAAATTTATTTCTTAAAACAAAACTATAATTTTGCTAATAGATGAGGGAAGAATTCATGAAGTATAGTAACAGTATATGGCTTGCAAGTCTAACTTTAGCCTGTGATTTATTTTTCTATATTTGCTAACATATTATAGCATACCATAGTATTTTAAAACAGTTTCAGGAACTGTGAGATTGAGTTCTAATTGAAATGCCCTAATAGATTTTTAGTTAGGGATAGTTTGATAGTAACTCACTCAACTCATTCAGACTAACTTAGGTAAAAAAGGGAATTTAGGCCGGGCGCGGGGGCTCACGCCTGTAATCCCAGCACTTTGGGAGGCCGAGGCAGGCGGATCACGAGGTCAGGAGATCGAGACCATCCTAGCTAACACGGTGAAACCCCGTCTCTACTAAAAATACAAAAAATTAGCCGGGCGAGGTGGCGGGAACCTGTAGTCCCAGCTACTCAGGAGGCTGAGGCAGGAGAATGGGTGAACCCCGGGGGGCGGAGCCTGCAGTGAGCCGAGATCGCGCCATTGCACTCCAGCCTGGGCAACTGCGAGACTCCATCTCAAAAAAAAAAAAATGAATTTATTGGAATAATCCAGAGGTATTTCACAGATCACAAAGGCAAGGAATATAGGTGGGTCTCATGAGACACAAAGCCTACCACCTAGAAAATTAGGAACCACAGTTCATCTCTTGAAAGCTTTGCTGTGAGCGTCTGCCTCGGTATGTTCTCTCTCTGTGTATAATTAATTTTATTCCCTGTCTGAACAGTGCCAAATAAAGCTTAATTAAAATTCTGCATTCCGATTCCAAATTTCTAAGGAATCTTACTGGTCCATTCTGGGTCAGGGCCATGCCAGAAGGCTCATGTTGCCCACAAACCTCCCACCTAGAACTGTGAGAACAGACTGTTGAGGTATATAAGTGAAAAGTATTCATTAAGAAGGGGCATGGGTGGAGGAAGAAGACAAATGGCATCTTTTGCTGTATGAGGACTTTTATAACCTGTAAAGAATGCACATGGTGTGATGTTTTAAGTTGGGTTTTATTTTGAAGTAAAAACAAATAAGGAAGTGGTCAAATATTCCTGTTGAATCATTGTGGTCCCGACTTTCTTGGAGTTCGTAAAACGTGTTTGGAACATTTTTACAATTCAAGACCCTTTTGTCTCCTTAATTCCAGTCATAGGTGAGTTTTATCATCTGTATATGGGTAGTAAAGAAGAAAAAAGAGAGACAAATAAGAGAGAGAGTGCATTTGTGTATGCGTGCACGCATGGGTGTATGCATGTGTGTGTGTGTGCGCGTGCGTGAATGCGTGTATGCGCGCGTGTGTGCGTGTATGCGTGTGTGTGTGCGTGGATGCATGTATGTGTGTGTGTGCATGCGTGTATGCATGTGTGCGTGTGTGTGTGTGTGTGTGTTTGTTTTTGGTCTTGTTTGGATAGTGTCATTCGGTCTTGTCTGGATAGTGAGAACAGATTCTCATCAGTAGTATTGGGGCGCTTTTTGCTTATGTATAATAAAGACTTTTGGAAATGCAGTCTTTTGTTCCCAGGGTTTTGACTTTCATCTGACTTCTATGTCTATCTTCTACGCATTTCTCTAGGTCTCAGACCTACAGAAAATACACATGATAAGAAAGAACCAGAATTACCCAAATAATTCCTTGTACTTCATATCATGCCATGACAGTGTGAGTGAATATAGTCTATTCAGAGGTTTTTTTTGCATCTCAGATTATTACAGACTTTTGTTTTAGCTAGCTCCACAGTGCCTTTGGCTTAATAGTCTCACCCTTGATTTAAAAAGTAAATAAGTAAGTAAAACTTGGTAATTGAAGGGTATTTGGTTCGTAATGCATGTTTTTAATTTGTACTGAGATGATTCAAGTAGGATTTCTTCATACTCAGTTATAGCCAAGAAGATTTTGGACTTCTTCTGTATCATTTCTAGATTAAGAGGTGGTGTCTTTTACTTAAGCAAATAATTTAAAACTTATTTAACTTGTGAGTGTGACTTTTGAGTGGGCTTTGCATTTGGCAAAACAAATAGTCCTGTCCACAGAGGGCAATGTGAAATTAAACAAGCCATAAAAGTTATGTGAAACACCCATCAGGAAACCCAATAATACAATTCTATCCCTGGGAATTGTAGGGTTCCCAGGATTGCAGATAAATGGAATCATATAAGTATCCTAGGAATGAGTAAAGGAGACACCATTTCCATCCTTCGTGACAATGCCCAACTCAAAACAAAGTTGCGCCAAAATGTTCTAAAAAAGCTATGAAGAAATATCCCAAGGCTCATTTTTATTGCTTTCCTGACTAGTGCTCAGTACTTTAATGACAGCACTTAACCAACTTTTGACTAGCAAAAAAAATGAAGGAAGAAGATCTAAAGAAATTCATAGTGTGTGCTCCCCAATAACATCTAAACTATCCATTTTATAATTTCACTTTCAGAGGATTAATACACACTATTTAGTATAGTGCTAAAATAATTCTACTCATAAAATTAGCTTGTTTATCTTTTGCTCAGTGAACAGTTTCTACAAATGGAATCACCAGACCTTAGCAAAGGTGAACCTCAAGTCTTAAAATTGAGACACAACTATAGGATTATAAAGCCTGTTGAAGGTTCCGTTGACTTACTATCTATCTGTGATTAACAGAGAGCGATTCCTAACTCATTTTTAAATCCATAATTAACCTAACTGTTAAGACCAAAGCTAACTTGTAATCTAATGTACTTCTTCACTTTTTAAAAGAATGTAACTTCTAACAAAAATTGAGGCCAGGAGCGGTGGCTCAGGCCTGTAATCCCAGCACTTTGGAATGCAGAGGCGGGCGGATCATGAGGTCAGGAGATGGAGACCATCCTGATGAACATAGTGAAACCCCGTCTCTACTAAAAATACAAAAATTAGCTGGGCATGGTGTTGCTTGCCTGTAATCCCAGCTACTCAGGAGGCTGAGGCAGGAGAATCGCTTGAACCCAGGAGGCGGAGGTTGCAGTGAGCCAAGATTGCACCACTGCCCTCCAGCCTGGTGACAGAGTGAGACTCCATCCACAAAAAAAAAAAAAAACCTGAAATTTATAAGACTTTAAGTGGCTGGAGCTAAATTCAATCTGACTTTATACTTTTCCAAAACATTTCTGGCTTGATCATCTTTATTACACTAAAGGACAACTAATCCACCAAGTATGCAGAATTGAGAGTGTCAAGGCTGATTTCTGCTGGTCTTTATGATAATTTTACCTTGAATGCATTATGAGAAGAGGGCTACAAATTCTTTAGACTCCAGTATATCAATAAAAAGACAGTCTTTCCTCTTATCCCTATAATCTGTCTGATCTAGTCATTTATATTCATAGATACAGTGACAGCAAAATTGAAAGTCAAAATAATTTTAGTAAAAAATTATTATATATAACAAAAAATCCAGCTTAAGCCTGGGCTTATTATTATATAAATTAGCATAAACTAATCTCAGCCATTAATTATTTTTAGCAAATAACAGAAGCTAGGTACTTAAAACATATAGAGGAAAATAACATGGTTCTCAACCTTGTGGAATTATAATTAGATGTTATGACAGAGGGAAAAAAGGGTGAAATCTCAGGAACAGCATGAGAAGTGCTAAAGTAAAAGACAAAATTCGGAGGAAGCATCATTTATTAAGTTCCTAATTATGGAGTCATCTTTAGTTGGAAATCTGAGGAAAACTCCTCTAGGTTTATTCCACCTGCAGCCCTGCAGAGTCTAGGCTGGAAATCAGAAACCCTGGGCAATAGTCTTGAGTCCACCGGGAAATGACTCTTTGTCCTTAAGAAAAATTATTTCCTCTTCTTGACCAACTTTTTGAGTTGCTATTGGGGTCAAGTGAGAAACCTATTTTGAAGGCACAGCCCCCTCCCATTCATTTCTTCATTCCAGTCTCTCACTTCTTATTTTCACTGTGGATGTGATTTTTATACTGGTTTCTTCATGGTGTATCAGAGAAAGTATAGTTCTACTAAATCTGTACTGTCTCCCTGGATTCTTAGCATAATTCTTATTTCAAAGTTAGTGCCCGGAACATTCTTTATCAGAACTGTTTTCACACTTGAGCATTACTGCTTAAGTGGCAGACAGTAAGCCTCATCAGGGAAGGAAACCAAGTCTATCTTTATCCTAGTGCCTGAACCCATGATAGATGCCTCATAAGAATAGGTTGACTGCCTGCCTGAATGGAGGAATGGAATAAATGACAGAAGATATTTTAGAGGCTATCACTCTCAGACACTAACTCAGTTCCCTGGAGGAAACTGTCTACACTGTGGCAGGACAGTGGCCCATTCCTATTGGAGTCACTTTAAGTTCAAATGGCAGATTGGGCCTGGGGTGAGAGTGAAGGCCCTGGAGAAGATAAAACAATTGATCATTTCTGTGCCAAGCACTACATGCATAATTGCATACAATTTTTACAGTAACCCAAGAGCTAGGTATTAGCTCACTTTCATGGCTATGAAAATCGAGGCTAGGAGAAGTTAAATAATTTACACAATGTCACATAACTGTAATCTATAAGATTTGACATCAGAACTGTGTCCTCTATGTCCATTTCCCAAACTGCATAATTGTGAGATGCTGGTGGCCATGGTTGAAAAAAATAACTGATGCTTAAATGCTGTATTATTTATTCCCCTCTTCTGCCACTGGAGAATCATAACGCCTGTGCGTATATTGTGGCAGATGTGGTTGATTGCCTTCCTAAAGCCATTCATTATCTTTTTTGTCCTCTTTCCTTTCTCTGTCTGAAAAAATACCGTTTAGAGCTAAGACAGATGATTAATAAAACGTTACAGGCTGTGAGAATTCCTACAAAAATTAAATCTATTTAACTTTGTCTAACCCTTGATTTCTAAACCGATTAGATCACAGCATGCTTTCCTTTTTCTTAATGAAGAACTTATTACTATTTCAGAAGATACTAGTTTCTCCCAGAAACTTTTTTTTTCAAGTGTTGATCAACACAATGCTTGATTAATGACAATGAAATTGTCTTTAACTTGAATATCTAAACCTGAAATGTTTGCTCCTGGCATAACATACAAAAAACCCTTTGCTCATAATTTTAATCCCAGTCAACAGACGAAGAGCAAAGGTAAAAATGCTTGACACATAAGGTGTTTGTTTTCATTCTTCTGTCAAACTCTATCTGGAGAACCAAAATGGAGAGAATAAGAAGTCAAAGGAAGGACCAAAAACTCCTTACAGATGCCTGGTCTCCTTATGGAATAAAGATGGAGCTGCTATCTCCACTTGATGCCACCAGCCCTCTTACCCACTGTTAAGCCGCATCATATACAAGCAGCTTTGTGGTCATTTCCTGAACAGATGCCAGGAGACCCCCACAGTTGATGTGAAAATGGTCTGTGAAACTGCTCCTTGGTGGCGACTTACTGCAAATTTTATTTATCCTGTATGGTGAGTTGTTTTATATGAAAAAATAGAAGCTTAGAAAAATTGACAAATGTGATCTAATTAAGCTAAAGAGCTTCTGCACAGCAAGAGAAACTATCAGCAGAACGAACAGATGACCTACAAAATGGGAGAAAATTTTTGCAAGGTATGCATCTGAGAAAGGTCTAATATCCAGCATCTATAAGGAACTTAAGTTTACAAGGAAAAAAACCCTGTTAAAAGTGGGTAAAGGATATGAACAGACACTTTTCAAAAGAAGATGTGCACATGGGCAACTATCATATGAAAAAAAGTTCAACATCACTATCATTAGGGAAATGCAAATCAAAACCACAGTGAGATACCATCTCACACCAGTCAGAATGGCTATTATTAAAAAGTCAAAAAATAACAGATTCTGGCAAGAGTGTGGAGAAAAAGGAACCCTTATACACTGTTGGTGGGAGTGTAAATTATTTCAACCATTGTGGAAGACAGTGTGGTGATTCACCAAAGAGCTAAAAACAGAAATACCATTCAACCCAGCTATCCTACTACTGGGCATATACCCCAAATAATATAAATCATTCTTTCATAAAGATGCATGCACATGTTCATTGCAGCACTATTCATGATAGCAAAGACATGGAATGAACCTAAATGCCCATCAATAGCCGACTGGACATAGAAAATGTAGTACATATACACCATGGAACGCTACTATGCAGCCATAAAAAGAACAATATTGTGTCTTTTGCAGGAACATGAATGGAGCTAAAGGCCATTATCATGAGAAAACTAACGCAGGAACAGAAAACCAAATACTGCATGTTCTCAGTTATAAGTGGGAGCTAAATGATGAGAACACATGGACGCATAGAGGGGGGAAAAACACACACTGGGGCCCATTAGAGGGTGGAGGGTGGGAAGAGGGAGAGGCTCAGGAAAAACAACTAATGGGTACTAGGCTTAATACCTGGGTGATGAAATAATCTGTACAACAAATTCTCATGACACAAGTTTACCTATATAACAAACCTGCACATGTACCCCTGAACTTAAAATAAAAGTTAAATTTAAAAAGTAGAAGCTTAGATTGTTGTTCCCAATGTAGGACCTCTCCCACATCTTCTGTATATTATGCACTCCTTATCTTGAAAGTGAAATTACACATTTTATTACAAATTGTTTTTCTCTGGCACTAGCTCAGCCCAATTTATCCTTAACAGTTTAACTGGTGCACTTTTTTTGTGTGTCACCAGTTAGGCAAATAAATTCCCACATTACAGTTTTCTCATATACCAGTTAACACAACTGAACAATACTTCCAGAACATTCATTCCTGAACTGAAATAGAGTCATCGCAAAGTCATATGGGTAAGATAAAGGAAAGTGGGAGTTTGGGAGGTCTCTGAGTTAAAGGTTGGTCCCCAGACTCCATAGCCACAGGAATTTCTCAGTTATAAACAGAGGACAGTTGTCATTTTATTTAGCTAAAGTGCAAACCAACGGGACACTGCAGACTGTAAACAGATCTTTAATAGTAAAACAAAAAAACGTTCCCAGTACTTTATCCAAGGGCTTGTTTCCAAGCCTGTTCTTCCCCCACACCCATAAGGAAAAAAAAATTCTAGATCTTATGATCTATGAATCTCATGTAATCTAAACTCTGATTAAAGCCATCCATTCGAGTTGCAGTCATAAACTTATTGTAAGTCAGTTAACTGCTTAAACGGGTGAGGCAGATTACTTCAATTTGAAACTTAGATGAATGTCAGTTTGCAATCAGGCAAGCTCATCTATATACATTTATATAATTTATCCTAAGCAATTTCAACTACAAGAAAGGATATTTTATAATCTTGTTATTATAATTTTAGATACTTCCTCTATTATCACTCTACTATCTTAGTTGGGTGGAGATGAGAGGAGAAATATCACTAAGCAATAATGGCATATTTATGAGCAAGAAATTGGCAAACATATCTTCAGTATTGCTCTTTGCCTTTCTACAGAGCAATAGTGGGAAAGTTATAGTTTCTTTTTTATTTTTTTGGCATGGAATTTATATGTGATGAATCAGACTATTACCAAAGTTTCATAGAAAATTTGGATGGAATGCAGGGAAATTCTGATAGGATATGATTTTTTAACTTACTAGTAGTGTTACTTTACTTTTCTGGCAAACCTAACCTCATTTATATACAGACTTGCCAAATGCTACTATTTTATGGGATTTAAGACAGTTACATCAATGCTTCAATGACTCTGACACCCTTGCACCTGTTTCACAGCATTTTTTTTTTATTTCTTCCAATTGTGTTCAAACTACTAACACAGAGAGCTGGTTTCTTGGGTGCTGTTCTGCAGAAAGTGAAAAGTACAATCTTTTGAATATCCTAGTGCGCTCTCTCTCTCTCTCTCTCTCTCTCTCTATATATATATATATATATATATATATATATAAATATATAATAGGGGATGACTATAGCTTGGATGTTTTGCAGTATTTTTATGATTGATAACACCTCAAGTTCATGGGTTTATCATACCTTATTTGTGATGACTTCTTTAGGGACAATATTTGGCTGAGCTGAGAATATCCAAGCAAAGCAGAAAAATAAGCCCATCAAACACCCTGTCTCTGAAAAGACAGTAACAGATGTTTCTCATCTTCAGATAACTCAGGGGAGGCTAACTAAAGGGTTTCCCATGTTTCCCAGATGCTGCATGCTATGTCTGGGTTCCCAGGATTCATCCAAATGAAGATGCACTGAGATTTTCTAATAGAAATTCCCCAGCTGAGAGACCGAGGGTAGGAATGAGGAAAATCAAAGAAAAGCGATTTGCATTTGAAATTCTAAGACATCCATGGGATGCTGCGTTTTTGAATTTAGGTCACTCTTGCATTTTTATAGTGTCCAGCAAAGGAGCCGGAAGAGTTCCATCAGCTGCTCTTAATATTCTCTTTTCCTTTAAAACTTTCCTAAATATTTTAGAAACAATAGGACGGGGAGAAAATGGCTGGAAGAACAAGGGGTGAGATCCAAAGTTAAGGAATCAAATTACTCAGTATTTCTTAACAATGCTACATCTCCATCTATTTCCAATAAACATTACATCTTTATACAAGCAGGGTGTAAGTATGAAAACACTGGTCCCTCAATAACTCACCTTGCTCATTTCATTGAATTGTTTCTCCATGGGTGTGTGCCTCCATATATATGAAGAGATAAGATTATTGAGTCTTACTGTGTAGCTCACTGTTCTAAGGGGTTTAAATGGATAAATGATTTAACATTTACAAGAGCTCTATGAAGGAGACATTATTATATTTTTCATTATGCAAATTAGGACATTAAGCCATAGAAGTTAAGCTACATATCCATTCACATGTCTAATAAATGGAGGCATCAAATTTTGAAACTAAGCAATCTAGCTTCAGAGGCCAAGTTCTGGAGCTCTATGGTGTGCTGCCTGATTCTAGATTTATAATGCATCTTCACACAGGATTATGTTTTCACTGAAATTGAATCTAAATAGGAATATATTGCAAGCCCAAGAAGCCGAAGAATGTTTTTCCAAGACCTATAAAATTTTGGGTGGGGGAAACTACACTACAGAAATATCTGTACGTCTCTCCCAGCTTTCTAATTCTAGGATTCTTGAATCATGTATTGTGGAACATCTGGATTACTCCAGATGCTGATGGGTATCCATAAACACCTTTTAATTACCTTGTGGAGATCACAGCTGTGATATACCAATGCAGCAGAGGAATGGTGTATGTAAGATCAGTTGTTATTTTTGGTTCAGCCTTTTACATCATCATCTGCACAAAATAAAGGAATATAAAATGAGTATGAAAACCCATTACATCATCCATCAAGGAAATTTGTATGATTGATGTAATCTACAAAGAACTCTCTTCAAGCACAAGGTTGCCATAGAGATTATACCTTCCAAACAACCACTTCTCAGCTACTGCTGTCAAGAGCTGTGATTCTGGATTTATCCTATTTGAGGGTCTTGGTCAGTATCCAAAGAACCACTGAGAAAGATTATTCTCTTGTGGAAGCACTTAGAATTGCCTTCCTTGGCACATTTTAAATTCAGGTCTGTAAAAGCTGCTCCCCTGTTAATTATAGCACAATCTAATAGATTAGAATTTTTCTATTCAACTGTCCCACAGGAGCCAGATGATGTTATTAGAAGAAAAGGACAACATGATACCACGATGAATTTATATATACAGTTGTATTGATCCACAGCTGATATAATTAACACAACCCACATATGCAAAAGGAAACTTTTTTTTTTTAAATTAACTCATGAGTTCCAATTTCTGCTCCTTAACAGAATAACTAATATCATCCTTTTTTGGAGTTTCTTAATTCAATCCAGTGACTTTTTGTGTAAATTCAGGATTGTGATCTCAGGTTCAGTTCCGTTCAAAGCTCTATCTCAGGCTTTCCTTTCTTTCCACTTGATCCCAATCCCAAATTCTCAAGAATGGAGCAGGAGGGGCAGAGACGGAGACTTCTCAAGCAAGAAGAGGGTAATTGCTTCCTGAGTGACCACTAGCTGATATTCTGAAGGTGTGATTCAATTCTCACTCTTATTGGCTTCATGGTGTAGACAGTGGTATTCAGGAGCTCCTCGGCCTCTGCCTGGCTGCGCTGAGAAGCTATTTCCGTTTCCACACAGCACTCTCCACTGTGCTCGTCTTCCTCAGACATTTTTAGCTATGGAACCAGCCAGCAATAATACCCTCCACATCCACTTGGGGAGACCGCACCTCTCCTGATCACGTGACATCCTGGGCCTGTGACTCAAGCCTTTTTGTCAACTAATCTACATGTATCTCTTTGGCAAGCAGGCACTTCTGAATTTCTCCCATGCCACTTGTGGGTTGTGATACTGGAAGTTCCTAGACATCCCATGCTTCCCTGTCTCCTCTGCTGTCTATCATGTGGCAGAGTCCCATTACACATCTGTTGGGCAGTCACTCATCATACTCCACCTGTGAAGAAAAAAAATATCAGCTTCCTCTACCCCGCTTATCCTCCCAACTTTAAGGGGATAGGTGGTTCTCAACTGCCTTCAGGCCCTGGGAATCTCATCTTCCAAAACTCTCCTCCCTCTTATGAATAAACTTTTTTCCCTCTAAGTCAGAGTTATGTATACTCCATCTGGCACAAGGAATGGCAGGAAGTGAAGGGAGACAGGAGAAGAAAAATACTGGGGAAAACCAAGCTCTCCTGGTTTGTCCTATCCTCTTTACTTTTTTCCAAGAATCTGCAAAATTTATGATAGCTGAAAAAGAAACACACTGTTTGATTCTTGAAGTAATTAGACTGTGCAAACTAAAGTTCTTGTGTAGGAATGACTCTTCTACACTCCCAGTGCTTCCTTCCATGTGGAGGGAGTTCTACTAATGTGACGTTCCTGGATTCTCTCCCGCCCTCTCATCTGCTGCTCCATTGCCCCATGGGGGAAGAGGAGAGACTTTCTTATTGGTAAATTTAGAAAGAATAAAGTAGACAAACTCAGTTCACTGTATTCATCTTTTCTCTTCCTGGGAGGCAGCCTGCCTATGAAGAACATGGGTTCTTGTTTATTCTCTGCTTGCTCCCAGAGGGGAGGCTGTGGTGTTCCAGAATGGTCTGTACCTGGATGGGGACACCTGCTTTAATTCTGGGCTCAGTATTGCTAAGTCTGTTTTCCCAAAGATGTTATTCACTGCCTGTCATATCAGCTTTGTTGGTAATAAAGACGATTTTTGCTGTCTCATCTGTCTTATTCTTATTTGTCAATTGATTCAGACTTTGGCCAGAGAAGAGTGTTACTGTTGGTTCTAATTTCCATAAATACTTTATGTATCATCCTTTCATACCATTAGTGTTCTTCTCTCTAGCTCTGTCTCCTCTCTCTCAAATCTAACCAAGAATGTGAAGACTTCAGGTCAAATTCTGGGTGTGCCACATGCAAATAATGTAACCCGAGACAGCTTATTTAGTCTCTAGGGCTTAGTTTTATCACCTATAAAGTGAAGATGTTAAGAATTTCTCCAAGAGATTATTGAGGAGATTCACTGGGACCATGTATAGAAATAGATCTCAACTGCTGCCCCTTCCCTTACTGTTGGCAGTTTTAGGTTGTGCTAAAAAAATTGATAACTCTTACATCTCATTTTCAGGTTTTAATTTTAAAAAGTACTCTGATATAGAACTATTTCTTCTCCAAATCACCACTTTCAGTAACATGCAAAATCAGATACCCACATACAAGTACTTTCAGTGCCTAGGGTGCTTCTTCTAACAACTACTTATAACTTGATGGATTTCTACAGGCATCCAATTCAGGAGCTTTTGTTTCTTTACTGAGGTATTTCCTCATTTTTTTAAGACTGGGATGTGGGTTTATAATGTTCCAACATCATATGTCTCAGCCAGAAACCAGGGAAGAAAAAAAATGAGTAAGTTGTCTGAGAACTCTATCCAAATTCTTGCTGGGCTTTGGAAACCTGAATATCCTTCCTTCTCAGTCTGAAGCAGAGACTGTGAGTATGGGAGGAAAATACAGCTAAACAATTTGGATCACCGTGAACTAAAATACTGTGTATACATGCTGAGCAAGGCTATTCTCTGACTTATGCTAAAGGGGAGGGGTACATAATCTCTGTCCTAATAGACAAGCAGAAATTAATCACTGCGACAAGAAAAAAGTTATTAAAGTGATATGGATAAGAGGAAACTTGGAAGAAACAAGGAAAATGTAGTGTTGAGAGATTCTCTATAACTTTAGATGAGCTATTGGATGCTGTATAAGTTACCTAATTTTCTTCAGAAAAATTACTCAGATGGCCTCAAGAGTTCTTTAGCAGTCAAGCTAGTCTGGGCAATGAATTATATCTGGGCAGCAGTTCAGTTTTTGCTTTAAGGACACGTACTCAGCAGAAGTAGCTTACTTTAGTTTTATGTATTTATTTTTATACAAGTAATCTGAGTTATGAAATTGAAACAGAAAGTAGAAAACAAGACCAATCATCATTTTCATCATCATAATCATCCCACTTTCCTATGATAACTACTGTTTATACTTTGTTCATTTTGCTACTGACTTTTCTTTCATTTGTGTATCTACATATGCAAATCTACACATATATTTATAGTAAACACACACAAATGAAATTACTTCTATAGCTATCAGAGTAGAATCGTAAATGCATTCTTATGTAAGCTGTTTTTTCATTTAACATTTTAAATATCATTCCATTCAGATTTATATTATTACTTTGTTGACTACTTTATTTCCTTTCTTGAATGTACCATAATTTTTTGACCAGTCTGTAATTGATGACATTGCTTTGAGTTTTAGCTAGAACTAAGATTACTGAGTTGAACATGCTTTTATATACAACTTTGCATAAATACTTGTCTAATTCATTATTTGATTTACATTCCTAGAATTGGAATTAATGGGTGGCAGGGAATGCATATTTTTATAGCTTCTCATACGTGTTGCCAAATTGTCCTCTAGAGAGATTGTACTAATTAATATTTCTAACAGCAGTATTTGAGAGCAGCCATTTCCCCAATCTCTGCCAAAACTGGATTTTCTCATTATTTTTATGCTTGAAAATCTGATACATCCTTTTAAAAAAATATCCTTTAAACAAAAGTCAGATAGTGACCACTGCAATCTAAACTCCTTGATCATAGGGTACTACAAAGTGTCCCATAAGAAACGTTTTGGAACAAAGAAAAAAATAAATATGCAAATTTGTCCACAAATCTCTTATATTAGTTATATCTCTTTAAAGAAATTCTTTTGTGAGAACTTTCCAGTGGAGAATTTTGTTTTAGAATGCAAAGATAGTCTGAATTTTGTCTACTAGTCAAAATACTAGTTCTGCATGATAAAAGACAGCAAAATAAAGCCAATATATTGAAACATTTTACATCCCACATTGTAACTTTTAGAAAGCAGTTTATATATTTGTTTGAATACCACTTGCAAAATTTGTGATTGGAATTAAATTAGTCATGAATTCATTATCTCAGTATTGTGAATACAGATTTGGACTGATAATTGGGAGACCTACTAGAAGTACCATTAAGAGGCAGTAATTATTAATCTGGTACCAAGATATTGTCACTATCTTTGTGACTTTGATCAACCCATGTATGTAACAGATTTATAGTTATGTGATATGGTTAAAGGAGAAGATACTTGAAACATATTTTTTCTAGAAGATAAGTAAAAAAAGGTGTAAAACATCTGCAGGTGTCTGTGTATAGTGTGAAATACAGTGTTTAATCTTATGAAGACAAGCAATGTGATAGTTAACATTTGGAATACCTACATCTGTAATTTCTGTGCCACAATATTCCAACATCATTATGCCTTTTAAACATTTTAATCTTTTAGCAAATCGTGTCATTAAAATAATATGTTTTTACCTTCAAACTTGCTGCAATACGTGGTAGAATCTTACAAAGACAGCCATAATAAACTATCATGCTTATTTGTTCCCTATTTTTTCAAAAATTTTTAATAATATAAATGACCTCAAATCACCATAGCAGAAACATACAAGGGAGAGGCTGGAAACAGGCATATGCTATGCCAGGAACTCCTGCTGAGCTACTTGATCAGTCAGCTTAAAATTTGCAAAGCAATGATGCAGTCCCTGCTTGCAAGTTCATGTGTGAGAACAAAAATCATTAGTTTCCATTTGCAAACAGCATAAGGAATCTCCTCTCTGACTCTTGTGGTTTAAAGGTAAACACACAATGGTGATGTTAGTGACCTGCCAGCTAGCGTACATTTTTTCATTTATCAAATCATTAAGTCATAGCTATGGAGAGAGGTTGGACTGTTGGTCCACTTAGGTCATTCCATTTCCCATCCCTGCTCCTCCTGACTTGTACAAAGCCATCCCCTCCCTCTTCTAACGGATTGCCCGGCTCCCTGAACGCCTGGCTTGCTGGCACCTGGCTGTGCCCATTAGTTCCCAGGCCTAATGGATCCTTGTTCATTTGATTTGGGATGACCCCACTAAACTTGAATGTTAGATAAATTCTTGTGTTCAGAACCATTGCTCAAGTGTGTACAGCATAATCAGAAATAGATCTATTAAGGACAATAAATCACCCAAAGTCACTCTTGACCTTATTTCTGGGCATTGTTTCACTATGTCCCCACTGGCTATGAAGCGGGGTTCTTCATTATTGTCCCTTTTTTTGTGGTAGATTGATTATAAAAACAACCTCAATTGTCCACATCTTCCTGTACTACACCCTTTGCAATGAGATTTTGGACTTCCTTTCTTTAAGCAGTGGAATCTATTTCTCCACTCCTTGGATCCGGCCCAGCTAGTTAGTGACTTTCTGTGACCAACACAAAGTGAAGGAAGTAAAGGTTTACCACTTCTAAGCCTAGGCCTCAAGTGGCTTTGCTCACCTTTGCTTTTTCTCTTGGAATTCTGCCATATCAACGTGGTCCAAGCCAGACAGCTGCTACATGAAAGATATGTAGAATAGAGATGAATTTTCCCAGATGTAGCCATCCAGCCTAGTTACCTACCCATTGACCTGGTGGCTAAAAGCAGATGCATGAGTGAGCCTTCATGAGACCAGAAGTACCACTGAACTGAGCCAAGTCCAAATTGCTAAACTTCAGAATCTTGAATGCTATTTTTAGTCACATCTTAGCAAAAGCTAACTGGTATATTTGTCCATGCTTAAAGCTACTCTTAATTTTCAAATAACAAGGAATAGTAAACGCAAGTCAAAAGGTCTCAGCAAAAGTTACAAACTCAGATGCCTCCAGGAGCCAGGAAAGTTATAAAATTGAGTACAACAGCAAAGTGTAGAAAAATTCACCAGCCTTATTAGTTTTCATTTTGCTATTTTTTATGCAAGTGTTTTATTACAGAAGATTTTAAACATGTGCAAAGTAAACCACATACTATAATAGGCTTTCATCCAGCCTCCATAACCACTAACCATGTGCCGTTTTTGTTTCAACTATAGTTCAACCCAAGTCCCCAACCCCATATTTTTTAAATTTATTTTTATTTTTATTTTTGAGATGGAGTCTTGCTCTGTCACCCAGGCTGGAGTGCAATGGCACGATCTTGGCTCACTGCAAGCTCCACCTGCCAGGTTCACACCATTCTCCTTCCTCAGCCTCCCGAGTAGCTGGGACTACAGGTGCACACCACCACGACCAGCTAATTTTTTTGTATTTTTAGTAGAGACGGGGTTTCACCAGGTTAGCCAGGATGGTCTCGATCTCCTGACCTTGTGATCTACCTGCTTCGGCATCCCAAAGTGCTGGGATTACAGGCGTGAGCCACCGTGCCCGGCCCATATTTTTTTTTAGTTCTTTTTTTAATGAAGTCATATACACATACATTCAAAGACACAAATCTCAACTGTACATTTTTGACAAATAAATGTACCCATATAACCTTCATACCTTTTAAAATATAATATTTTCATCATAGTTGGACAATTCTCTCATGTTCTTCCCCAGGAAAATGTTTCCTCTCCCAGTGGCTATCTCTATTTTTATTTTTTTCGTCAAGGCTCATTTTGCCTGAAATCATACAATATGTATTATTTTACGTTCAGCTGTCTTATTCGACACAGTATTTTTGAGATTCATCTATGGTGTGTGCTTCAGTAGTTTGTTTTTTGTATTGCTAAGTAGAATTCTGTTGCATGAATGTTAGGCTATTATGACTAAGGAGCTAAGAACATTCTTGTACAAATACTTTTTATATTTAACTTAATGCATTTATTAACATTTAACTGACACCTCTTTACATTTTTAGTGGTTGTTTTAGAAGTTATACGTATCTCTAACACTTCACACTCTATTTATAGTTAATATTGTACTATTTTAATAAGTGTAAAATATAAAAGCCTTGCTACAGAGCAGTTCCATTTACCTCCTTCTATTTTTTGTGCTTCTCTCATAAATTTTACATCTACACATAATAAATCCCACAATACCATGTTATAATTTTTGCTTTAAATAGTCATAGGTCTTTTAAAGAAATTATTAGAAAAAAGGTATTAATGAATATGTTAAATAGTCATAGGTCTTTTAAAGAAATTATTAGAAAAAAGGTATTAATGAATATGTCAGGGAAGGTATTTTAATGCTGTACCAATATACTGTTTGTCCTTTAAATTTAACCCACAATTTTGTATTTCCTTTTTTAAAAATAATTTCAACTTTTAATTTAGATTCAAGGGAGTACATGTGCAGGCTTTTTACACTGGCATATTGCATGATGCAGAGATTTGGAATATAAATGATCTTGTCATCCAGGTAGTGAGCATAGTACCCAATAGTTTTTCAACCCATACCCCACCTCCCTCCCTTCCTTCTCTAGTAGAGCCCATACTATAAAGCTACAGCCATTTGACCTTCGACAAAGTCAACAAAAATAAGCAATGAGGAAAGGACTTCCTATTCAATAAATGGTGTTAGAATAGCTGGTTATTCTATTTATTGAATAGGTTATTCCTATTCAATAAATGTTGTTAGAATAGTCATATGTGGAAGAATAAAACTGCATCCTTTCACTTAACCATATACAAAATTAATGCAAGATGGGTTAAAGATTTAAATGTCAGCAATCAAACTATAAGAATGCTAGAAGAAAACCTAGGAAACACCATTCTGGACATCAGTTTTGGGAAAGAATTTATGACTAAGTCCTCAAAAGCAATTGCAACAAAAACAAAAATTGACATGTGAGAACTAATTAAACTAAAGAGCTTCTGCACAGCAAAATAAACTATCAAAAGGGTAAACAGACAACCTACAATATGGGAGATAATTTTTGCAAACCATGCATCTGACAAAGGTCTAATATTCAGAATCAATAAGGACAATAAGGAACTTAACAAGCAAAAAACCATTAACCCCATTAAAAAGTAGGCAAAATACGGCTGGGTGCGGTGGCTCATGCCTCTAATCCCGGCACTTTGGGAGGCCGAGGTGGGCGGATCATGAGGTCAGGAGTTTGAGACCAGCCTGGCCAATATGGTGAAACCCTGTCTCTACTAAAAGTACAAAAATTAGCTGGGTGTGGTGGTGGGCACCTGTAATCCCAGCTACTTGGGAGGCTGACTCAGGAGAATTGCTTGAATCTGGGAGCCAGAGATGGTGCCACTGCACTCCAGCCTGGGCAACAGAGCAAGGCTCTGTCTCAAAAAAAAAAAAAAAAAAAGTAGGCAAAATACATGAACAGACACTTTGCAAAAGAAGAATCCAAGGGGCCAACAAGCATGAAAAAATGTTCCATGTCATTAATCATCAGAGAAATGCAAATCAAAACCACAATGAGATATCATCTTACACCAGTCACAATGGCTGTTATTAAAAAGTCAAAAAGTAACAGATATTGGCAGAGTTGTTGAGAAAACGGAATGCTTACACACTGTTGGTGGGAACGCAAGTTAGTTCAACCATTGTGGAAAGGAGATTGGAGATTTCTCAAAGAACTTAAAATAGAACTACCATTTGACCCAGCAATCCTATTTCTGGGAATATACCCAAAGGAATATAAATTGTTCTATTAAAAAAGAGACATGCACTTGTATGTTCATCACAGTACTATGCTCATTAGCAAAGACATGGAATCAACCTAGATGCTCATCAACAGTTGATTGGATAAAGAAAATGTGGCCCATATAAATCATGGAATGCTATGTGGCCATAAAAAGGAATAAAATCATTACTTTTGCAGCAACATGGATGCAGCTGGAGGCCATTGTCCTAAATGAATTAACACAGGAACAGAAAACTAAATACTGCACATTCTCATTTATAAGTGGGAGCTAAACACTGGTACTCATGGACATAAAAATGGCAATATTTTGCTACTTTTGATAAAATAGTTAAATCAGAACTATTTTCATATTCTTTTTACAAATTTTTATTTATATTTTATTGTGTACTTTAAGGCGTACAACATTATTAACAATATGATATTTTGACATGCACATACATAATAAAATTATTACTACAGTCATGCAAATTAGCATACCCATCACATGGTTACATTTTTGTGGGAAGGGCATCTAACATCTACTCTTTCAGTAATTTTTCAGGGTAAAATATTACTAACTACAGTCCTTTGGCTGTACATGAGATATTTAGACATATTGTATACTTTAATGCGCATCTCCTCATTTCTGCCCCGTCCCTGCCCCTAGAAATGATTATTTTACTTCCTGTTTGTATGTATATGACTTACTTTAGATTCCACATATAAGTGAGATCATGCACTATTTGACTTTCCGTGTCTGGCTAATTTTACCTACCATAATATCTCCAGGTTCATCCATGTTGTTTCAAGTGGCAGTTTTTGCTTTTTTTGTGGCTGAATAATATTGCATTGTGTGTGTGTGTACATATATATAATATATGTATGTACACACACATACGTACATACATACATACATAATTTATTCATCCATCAATGGACACTGAAGTTGTTTCCATATCTTAGCTATAGTGAATAATATTGCAATGAACATGGAAGTGCAGATATCTCTTTGACATACTGATTTCATTTCCTTTGGATATATACCCAGCAGAGAGACTCCTAGATCGTATGGTAGTTCTATTTTTGACATTTTGAGGAGCCTCCATACTATTTTCCATAATAGATCTTCCAGTTTGCATTTCTATCATTTTGCAAGGTTCCTTTTATTCCATATCTTTAATGTTTATTATCTCTTGTCTTCTTGCTAATGGCCATCCTAACAGGTGTGAGGTGTTATCTCATAGTAGTTTTGATTAGCATTTCCTCTGCTAATTAGTGATATTGAGCACCTTTTCTTATACCTGTTGATCATTTTTGTGTTTTCTTTAGGAAAGTGTCTATTCAGGTCCTTTGCCTATTTTTTAATCGAGTTATTTGTTTTTGTTTGTCTAACTGTTATTGAGTTGAGTGAGTTCCTTATTTTTTTTGGCTATTAACCCCTTATTTGATATATAATTTACAAATATTTTCTCCCAATTTGTAGGCTGCCTTCCCATTTTGTCAATTATTTCCTTTGCTGTGCAAAAGCTTTTAGATTTGATGTAGTCACACTTGTTTATTTTTGCTTTTTTTGTCTGACTTTCTTAGCCTGTTTAGTGTTGCTATGAAGGAATACCTGAGACTGGGCAATTTATAAAGAAAAAAGGTTTATTTGGCTCACAATTCTGATGTTTGAGAAAGTTCAAGATTGAGCATCTGTTGAGAGTCTCAGGCTGCTTCCACTCATAAAGAAGAGTGAAGGGGAGCCAGTGTGTACAAAGATCACATGGAAAGATAGGAAGCAAGTATGGCAGGAGGCACCAGGCTCTTCTTAACAACCATCTCTAGCAGGAAATAATACAGTGAGAACTCACTAACTCCCAAGGGAGAACATTAATCTGTTCATGAAGGATCTGCCCCCATCACCTCAATACCTCCCACTAGGCCTTACCTCCAATATGGGGAATCAAATTTCAACATGAACTTTGGAGAAGACAAATATATAAACTGTAGCACTGACCTTCCATGTGCTAAGTTAAAAAAAAAAAAAAGAAAAAAGCATTGCCAAGGCCAATGTTAAGGAGTTTTTCCCTTAGGTTGCCTTCTTGAAATTTTATATTTAATACATCCAGGTGTTATGTTTAGATCTTTAATCCATTTTAGTTGATTTTTGTATACAAAGTAAGATAAGGGTCCAGTTTTATTCTTTTCCAGGTGAATATCCAGTTTTCCCAACACTACTTTTTGAAGGGACTATCCTTTTCCCATTGTGTCTTCTTAGTGGCCGTATCAAAATTTACTTGACTGTCTATGTTTGTGTTTATTTCTGACCTCTATTTTGCTCTATTCACCAATGTGTATGTTTTTAATCCCAGTACCATGCTGTTTTGATTACTATAACTTTGTCATATAATTTCAAATCAGAAAGTGTGATGGCTCCAGGTTTGTTGTATTTTCTGAAGATTGCTTTAGCTATTTGGGATCTTTTGTGATTCTATACAAATTTTTGATTTTTTTTTCTATTTCTGTGAAAAATGCCATTAGAATATTGATAGGAATTGCATTGAATCTGTATATTGCTTTGGGTAGTATGAACATTTTAACAAAATTAATTCTTTCAATCAACAAACACGGGGTTTCTCTCCATTTATTTGTGTCTCAATTTCTTTCATCAGTGTTCTAGCTCATAGTTTTCAGTGCACAGATTTTTTACTTCCTTGGTTAAATACACTCCTGAGTATTTTATTCTTTTTGATGTTATCACAAATTGGGTTTTTAAATTTCTTTTTCAGATTGATTGTTATTGGTATAAAGAAATACAACTGATTTTTGTATATTGATTTTGTTTTCTAATACTTTACTGAGTTCATTTATTAGTTCTAACAGATATTTTTGTGAAATCTTTAGGGTCTTCTACATACAAAATCATGTCATCTTCAAAGAGGAATAATTTTTCTTCTTCCTTTCTAATTTGGATGCCTTTATTTCTATATTCTAAGAAAATCAACAGAGTAAATGTTATGATAAATCCCAACTGACACTGAGACTTACTGTTGCGGAGGCAATAAAGACTTTGGTGTGCTGAATAATCCACATTCTGTCTAAGATTGAGATTGTAGCTACTCAGTTACAGTTGTTAGAAGCTGTGTAGGATTGCAAGCTTGGTGTTACCAGAATCGTGCTTGTTAAAGAGAAACTAAAAACCTGCACTTTTATTATTAAATGTCTTGACTTTTTACTGTTGGATTACTTTGTAAAGAACATATGTGGGCCTGCATGTGATATATGTACTACCAAATTATAATTTCCAAGCTACAGTAATATGAGGTTTGTGGTGGGAATGTGCCTCTGAATGATGGAGAGATTAATTAGTAAAAGGTAAAGGCTAATTTTAGAAAAGAACTTGCATACTTATTCCAGAATAAAATCACTCCAGAAACTGATAAGACAGAGAACAAGGGAGAGGTAGAAGAGAGCTGAGGGAAGGGAGAGGGAGATAAAGCAGACTACACATCTAGAGGCTATAGGGAATGAGGGAAAAGAAGAATTTATTCCAATAAATTTCAGAGTAACACCTGTTCATATTTTGCTGTTAACATGCTCAATGATGAAGTTCTATTAGGTTTTTTTGTTTTGTTTTGTTTTTGTTTTTTTGTTGTTTTTTTTTTTGAGACAGAGTTTTACTCTTGTCGCCCAGGCTGGAGTGCAATGGTGTGATCTTGGCTCACTGCAACCTCTGCCTCCTGGGTTCAAGTGATTCTCCAGCCTCAGCCTCCCGAATAGCTGGGATTACAGGTGCCCACTACCACACCCGGCTAATTTTTGTATTTTTAGTAGAGATGAGGTTTTGCCATGTTGGCCAGGCTGGTCTCAAACTCCTGACCTCAGGTGATCCACCCACCTCAGCCTCCTAAAGTGTTGGGATTACAGGCGTGAGCCACTATGCCTGGCTGAGGTTCTATTAGTTTTATCTAAATTGATCACTGTATATAATAGTGAGCATGAAAAACATGTGGACTAAATTTGGGGGTACAAAAAATTAAATTTCTCTTTCACTAGTCTGGCCATGACCAAGATGGGAGGCAGATCAGAGAACAGATCTAAGAAGGGGACAGAAGAGCTTCTTCACACAGGAACATCTTGGCTGTAGCTGGATTGAAAAGGAACAACACAGTATTTGGGAAGGATTCCTAATCCCCAGAATAGTGGATACACCCCATTAGCAGAGATTATGGCATATATGCAACAGACAGAAGAGGCCAACTATAGCAAGAATTCTGCAACTGTGTGAGCTTCTCAAGATCTCGCCAATCCTTACTTCATTCATGCTGCTATAGGGTGTGTTATACAACAAAATGCCTACTGATCATGCCAACACCTATTTAAAATCCTTCAATGATTCCTCCAAACTTTTCCAAATAAAGCACCTTAGCTTAATATAGCACATGGAGCCTGCTCAGGCTGCAATAAACAGACTATTAGAGAATGACACAGTGTGTACATGGACAGACTTGCGGCTCACTGTGAGTCACTACTCTGGGCATCACTATCTTGTTTCTAATCATTGAAAGGATCCACGTGTGTCAGATATCAATATATAACAGCATTGCTGAGAGATGTAGTTATTACATTAAACCCAAAGCAAGAAAATAAGCAGGATGTGGAACTGGTCCTCTTCCAGAAAGGAAAATACAATCAGCTTTATGATTGGCTAAAAATAGTTTACCAGTGAAACTTGCCATTGATTTTTCCAGATTGTGAGTATTACTTTGAGCAGAGAAATTAAAGCAGCCCTGAGTTCTCACAAACTACCTTTGCCTTCTTTGTTAAGACATTAACCTGTTAGATTTGAGTTTCATCTGTGAAATAAAAAGATTGGTACAGGGCTATTTTTATAAGCATATTAATTTCAAAATGTATTGGGACTTGGAAAAGGTATACATTATATCTGTACAGCTTTTTATCTCCCTTATACTTCAATAAGTGGTTTAAAAAGAGAACTGGGATTCTACTTGAGGAATCATCATTTCCTTATTACCAAATGGCAATTATAGGATGGACTTTGAATACATTAAACAGTATAATAATAGTAGCTTGCGGCCGGGCGCGATGGCTCATGCCTGTGATCCCAAAACTTTGGGAGGCTGAGGTGGGCAGATCACGAGGTCAGGAGTTCGAGACCTGCCTGGCCAACATGGTGAAACCCTGTCTCTAATAAAAATACAAAAAAAATTAGCCAGGGATGGTGGCAGACCCCTGTAATCCCAGCTACTCGGGAGGCTGAGGCAGAAGAATTGCTTGAACCTGGGAGGCAGAGGTTGCAGTGAGCCAAGATCGCACCACTGCACTCTAGCCTGGGCAACAGAGTGAGACTCCATCTCAAAAGAAAAAATAATAGCTTTCAATTAGTAGTATTTTATTATTTGCAACTTCCAAAATGCAATGCTTTTGAAACAGACCCTATAGTCTCATAGACAGTTGTTTCTGGATAAACAGAAATTGACCCTTCTGGTCCTAAAGCTTGAAATTTAGATTTGTTTTATCTGAGTTCCTTCCTCAGGAAGTGACCTTCAGGCCTTTCAAAAAAAGTTTCAAAGAACTGAAACTCACCAGATCACCACATCCAGACAATGAGATGCCAGATCCCTCAGTCATCATGATTGCTTCCTTGCCCCATCCTAGTTCCTGTTTTCTTACACACTATTACATTTCTTCCTTGCTATATAGACTCCTAGTTTTAGTGGTTCGGGGGGATGGACTTGAGACTGATCTCTCATCTCCTCAGCTGCAGCACCCAATTAAAGCGTTCTTCCTTGGCAATACTTATCATCTCAGTCATTGGCTTTCTGTGCAGAGAGCAGCAGGACCTAGACTAAACCCCAGATGTTTTATTAACACTTTTAACCGTTTGCTTGACTTCTGACTAGGAAGATTCTAGAAAAACATGCTAATTTCTCAATGTTCCAGTAACCTCATGTGTTAACTTAGGCCAAACATGTCTTCCTTCCAAGAAATTGCAACAAATCACAAAAACAAGGTGTATTAGTCCATTCTCAAACTGCTAATAAAGACATTCTTGAGACTGGGTAATTTATAAAGGAAAGAGGTTTAATTGACTCACAGTTCCACAGGGCTGGGGAGGCCTCAGGAAACTTACAATCATGGCAGAAGAGGAAGCAAAAAAATCCTTCTTCACAGGGTGGCAGCAAGAAGTGCCGGGCAAAAGGGGGAAAAGCCTTTTACAAAACCATCAGATCTCAGGAGAACTCACTCATTATCACAAGAACAGCATGAGGATAATTGCCGCCATAAATAAACTACCTCCCACTGGATCCCTCCCATGACACTTGAGGATTATGGGGACTACAATTGAAGATGAGATTTGGGTGGGGACACAGCAAAACCATATCACAATGATAGTAGCATATATGGTTGGAGAGAAAACAGATGGACTGTAGGTGTGTGTGCGCGCGTATGTATGTATGTAACAGAAACAACAGTTGTCCTCTTTTCAGAATGTCCTTATACAGTGATTAAGTAAAACATCATATTTAAACTTCCAAGCACAGACCCAAGCACATAATACTCAGAAGCTGTTAACTATTGCTACTTCATAAAGAGAATTACCAAAGCAGAAGAGACTGGAAATTAAAGAAATGTAATTTAGAGAATAAGAGACAAGATACAATGAAAATTAAAGATGGATTAATACAAAGAAGGATGAAACATATCTTTCTTAGTAGAAAAATATGAAGAAACAAAGGAGTAAATGAGCTATCCTTATATGTGCCAATTTTCAGGTACTATTTAGATATTTAAATATAAATAGCCCACAAACATTTAAAATGTGATATTGGAATAAGGAGCAAGCTTAGAACTCTCAATATAGATATAGAACTAAGCTGTTTAAGGGCAGATGCCATATGAAGATGTGAAGGCAAAAAAAAAAAGTTAAGATTAAAAACTGAACCCTAATGCTTTGTGTTTATATCTATATTTAGGAAATAGAACAAGCAATAAAGCAAATACAGAAGGAGAACTAGCTATGTTGAAAATAATCCAATGTCTAACACACCCTCTGGCTCATAGGATGTTCACAAATAAATACTGATGGCTTAATTACGATTGCACTGCACAGAAAGCCAATCATGGAGACAATTATTATTGCCAAGGAAGACGGATTTAATAGGGTGCTGCATCCAAGGAGATGGGAGATCAGTCTCGAATCCATCTCCCTGACTGACTAAAATTAGGAGTTTATATAGCAGGGAAGAAATGTAACAATGTATAAGAAAACAAGAACTCAGATAAAACAAATGTAAGTTTCAGGCTTTAAGAAATTGACCAGAAGGGCCAATTCCTCTGTGTGTGTGTGTGTGTGTGTGTATGTATATATATATATATATATGTGTGTGTGTATATATATGTGTATATATGTGTGTGTATATATGTGTGTATATATGCGTGTGTATATATATGTGTGTATATGTGTGTGTATATAAATGTGTGTATATATGTGTGTGTGTATATATATGTGTATATATATATATGAAAAAATATGTCTATGGGAATATCAGGTTGGTTTCACTTGCAGGTAATCTTTAAAATTACCTCTTAGTATCAGAGGTCAATGACAACCTTTGGTTCTAAGAAGAAGCTGGTAGTTATTCAGAGGAGGCAATAAGAATAGACTATTTGAAGAAATTTGTCAGTGGGAAACAATAGAAAAAGAGAATGGTAATTTGCAGGATCATACAAGTCAGGACCATAAGAAAAGCCATAAAAAGGTTTTTCAAATAAAGATTTTCTGAATGTAATTATAGATATAAGAAGAATCCTTAAGGGTGAGAGAGATGATGATGGTTTATGAAACAGAACAGTTGACTGATGGACCAAGAAAGAAGGGAACTGGGATGGAATAAAAGACATAAGAAAAGCGTTTTTATGTCAAAAGTAGGAGGTCAACTTCTTCTGAAAAAGAATTTAAGAAGAACAAGATGAGTAAAGCTATAAAGGAAATGTGATATGAAGAGGGATGGTTAATTTTAAAAGCAGTTTTGACCTTGTCACTCATCTTTACAACTTTTCCATAGCTCTCCATCATCTTTGATAGGCTTGGAGGTTAGCGGGGGTGACTGCTATGGATCACAAGAGTAACTGAAGAGGCTGGAATAGAAAGTTAGTAGGGAATTGATATTTAGATTCAACTAAAATTTAATGTGTCTTTCCCTCTTATGCAGCAGAAACTTTCCCGTGCAGTAATTCTGTGAGGTGCGCAGGACTATCTGATCGTACAGAATACGAAATTTACTAATTGGCCAAATGATTTACTCCAGGTCATCCTGCTAGTTAGTTATAATGCAGATTTAAACGTGGTGTCCTGATTTCCAAGCCCTCTTTATTTTTAGAACAACAGACTTGTGTTGTAGCTTTGATGAGCTGCTATGTCTTATTGTGGTGTCACTGAGTCATTAAGATAGACAAGGCACTGGGTATTATGGACAACAACTAACAACCCCAGGTGTGGTCCTTCCTGCCCTCAATTTGCTAAGGCCATTTTTGTATAATGAAAAGAGAATGTAAGATGAAAAACAAAACAAACAACACTGTAGTTTGAGTTCTGGTTTGGTTCCT
The DNA here is from genome assembly GCF_000001405.40 of Homo sapiens. Classification (NCBI taxonomy): domain Eukaryota; kingdom Metazoa; phylum Chordata; class Mammalia; order Primates; family Hominidae; genus Homo; species Homo sapiens. The sequence continues at coordinate 121,455,754 of NC_000008.11, read as the reverse complement.
TATTTTCTACTTAATAAAAATAATCTTACTTATAATGTGGAGATGATCCCTTTGTTATGTAACTTTTTGTGTAGTACAAAGGCCAAATCAGATCATATAAATTAAATAAGGTAGTAATTAATGGAAGACTACATGTTAAATAATAGGCCAATTCATTACTGTGTCCTCAGCACTTACAACAAAGCTTGGGAGATAACAGATACTCAATAAATATTGTAAAATAAACTCATGAATACATACAGTGCAGGGTATACCATAATTATTTTGTATTGCTGTGTCGAAGCTTTCAAGGGCAGGGCAGTTTTGGGGCCCTAGACATTTGAAATAAATTCTCAAATTAAAATACCCTACCTTCCACATAAATTAAACATTTCTAATGCGTACATTTACTGTGTTTTCAATAGTATTTAAGTTGCAATGTAATTAATTCAAATTTTAGCAGGCAAACCTTATTCTTTCAGTGCCTGGTAGGAATTTTTTTCAGCGTTGATTAAGCTGAGACACTTATCCAAAAATAATAAAGCCACCCAAAATGAATACTTACTTAATCAAATACAGAAGTCAAGCATAATCGCTTTGTAAAATACTTTAACTTTTGGCTAATGTTATTTCCAAACCTTAGCTGATTTTTTTAACAGGTGATATTTGGATATTGAGATTAGAGGCTGTGAGAGCAAAAATTTAATTGTTTGAGGCAGAAAAAGTGCAATCTTGGTGAAAAGGATGACGTCTGTAAACTGCCCCACCCCCACCAAATTTTGTTAGTGGAGTAAACAAACTTAGTGCCCAGAATCCAGTGTTCCCAGACTTCAATTGTAGCAAAATCCTTCTGTTGTTATGGATCAAAATAAGAAGCTGCAACAGAGTTGCCACTCATGGGTAAAACTTGTCAGCTTTCCAAGAGTGGCTGCTGGCAAACAGCCCAGGGCAGCAGCAGGCTCTGGCAACTCCTAAACTCCAGCTGGGGCTGCAGCCTCAAAAGCTTGCAGAGTAATTAAAAATCATGACCTGCCCCCCCTCTGGAACATACACCTTGAGCGACTCTGTCTGAGGTCCCATGGGTAGTTATCTTCATCCCACCGTTTGGAATCCCGGAAATGTGTGAACCCAGGCAGTCGGCTGCAATGAGTGAACACAGTTACCACTTAGGAGAGAGAAAAAGAGGCCCATCAGATGCCTCAACTCTCTCCTGACTGCTAGCTGAAAGGGTTAGGAAGTGCAGGAATGGGCCGTCTTGATTTTGTCTCCTTTCAGAAATCTAGACAGCTTGCCTAGAAGGTAAGTGGGCTGTGCTGTGCTGTGATGTCAGCCTGATTTGTGTTCAGATCCCAGCTCTAACTTTCTAGCTCGGTGAACTTTAGTCAACCATTGTAAGAATCCATGTCGTCATGTATGAAATAAGGAACATGGTGCTGTCCACTTGGGGATACTGTGAGAATTAAGTAGGATATTCTATGTACAGCTTTTAGCACAGCATCTTGTATACAGAAAGTACACAATGAAAATGTAAAGAAGTGCGAGAGATGGGCAAATAGGGGTGAATGGGAAGAACTGCAGCAGGAACTTGTGTCGTGTGCATGGAGCATAACCGAGGCATGATTTGTCTTCCATACCAACAAGTTGATGAAATGACCATCTTGGGCATTTTTCAACTTCATTAAGGCAGGTTTGTTTCTACAAAAACTGCAAGAAATCATTTTGGCAAAGGCATGTAAAGGGATTTTTTTGTTGTTGTTGTTTCGTTTGTTTTTTGAGACAGAGTCTGGCTTTGTCACCCAGGCTGGAGTGCAGTGTTGCGATCTCGGCTCACTGCAACTTCCGCCTCCTGGGTTCAAGCGATTCTCCTGCCTCAGTCTCCTGAGTAGCTGGGATTACAGGTACGTGCCACAACGGCCGACTGATTTTTGTATTTTTAGTAGAGACAGGGTTTTATCACGTTGGCCAGGCTGGACTCGAACTCCTCACCTCAAGTGATCCACCTGCCTCAGCCTCCCAAAGTGCTGGGATTACACACGTGAGCCACTGCACCCGGCCGTAAAGAGATATTGTGAAGGAAAAATTCCTGGGACTGGAAATCTAGAATTCTGAATTCTAATTAAAATTTGACCATGAGAAATTCTGTAAACCTGGAGCACTTACTTAATTTCTGGGCCCAGGTTTTCTCTTCTGTCAAATGAAGCATTTGGAGTAGTTGGCTGATTTTCAGATTGTATTCTTCAGAGCCCTGAGATTGCAGGACTGTGCCTCCTAGTCACCTCTGGAAGGACGGGGAGGAGGAAAGAGAACTGATGGAGCTTTTCCTTTTGGGGGACTGAAAACAATGGCTTCTCTCTGATCTCTTTTGAGTATTGGTGACCCCTACTCTGTCTCTTTGAAAAGTGAGTACTCTTCAAGCAATGCCTGAGTAGCACCGGAATGGATAATGGCTGTGAGATTCTTTCTAGTTTTTTTAGAAAAGGAATCTTTGGCCAGGTGCGGTGGCTCACGACTGTAATCCCAGCACTTTGGGAGGCCGAGGCGGGCGGATCACCAGGTCAGGAGATGGAGACCATCCTGGCTAACACAGTGAAACCCTGTCTCTATTAAAAATACAAAAAATTAGCCGGGCGTGGTGGCAGGTGCCTGTAGTCCCCGCTACTCGGGAGGCTGAGGCAGGAGAATGGCGCGAACCCAGGAGTCGGAGCTTGCAGTGAGCCGAGATCTCGCCACCTGCACACCAGCCTGGGTGACAGAGCGAAACTCTATCTCACCAAAAAAAAAAAAAAAAAAGAAGAAAAAAAGTAATCTTTAATCGTAATCAGTTCTATAACTTGTGGGGGCCAGTTCAAAATAAAAATGTGAAACCCCTTTTTCAAAAAGTATTACAACAACTTTTTCATTTCTTTTGCAGCCTTGCCATGCCCCCTCCACTGGCCACCCCCTCACCTCATCATTATTTTCTACTTAATGTTATGTCCCCTTGGGGACAGGGATATTTGAGGGGAGTAGAGATCCTCACAGGTGCTCAGGTCCACATTCCATGACTTAGCAAGCAGAGCGTACACACCTGACTCTAAGCCACCCTGTACCCATACCCAGGCTCCCACTATGGGGGAAGCACTGCAGCGACTGCAAGTTAGAGGCCAGGGAGCAGAGAACACATCCTTGGGATACGTCCAAGGGAGGCCTGGGTGTCAGCTGGACCTGCAAGCCCCCTGGCTTATGCTCCTTGTCCTGCCAGATTTCGCTACACAACACCAATTCAAAGGTAACATTATTATGAATTTCAAGAGAGTGTCCACAGAGCGTTATACCCCAAGTCTTCTGAGAGTGGGATCTTACGTTGCTGCCTTAGTTGTATGTCCATGAAATTGACACTGGCCTTAATATCAATAACCTCAAAAGAATTGTTCTAAGCTAGTGGTTTGGGTCAGTTTTTGCAAATGACTAGACTATAGACACAAATGTGATTGGATTTTCTGAGTATTAGTTGAGTAGTATCAGTTTCAAAAAGGGCAAAACAAAACCACAAAAATCAAACAACATACACACACATACAAATAAACCATAAAACTACACACACACACACCCCTATTAACAGTAGGAGCAACTACTATTATTTGGGAAACCACTTAGTGTGGTTTAATTAAGATTAAGATAACCACCCCCCACCAACACCCACATTCTGAATTCTATAATTCTTCTTGGTTCTCTGTACAGAAGTTTTATGTCTCTCACTTTTTTCTCCCAAATTTTCTCAACTAACCACCCTCATGTTGTTTTCCTGTTCTCTCTAGGTTTTTGCTAGACAGCTACCTTGCTACCATCCTGTTTTCTTTCCTCGCTCTTCTCCAGTGAACTAAACAATCTGAAACCTGGTTTCTTTCACTGTGCCCTGACCCATCCTTTCCCAGGAACACACATCAATACAACTTGCCTTTGATCTATTGTTAAATTACTCCTTCATTAATCTCCTGGTTGATAGGCCAACCATTACAGAGTCACATTTGCCAATGTATACATTTACCTTGAACATTCAAGGAAGAAGGAAACCCCATGTGCCTGAAGTACAAATACAGATACAATTGCAGAGGAGGCTATTTTTCAAAACATGTCTTGTTTCAAGCAACACACATGCAAAAGCACACATGGGGAATACTAGTTATCTGCAAATAGGCTTATCAACCCTATCCAAATGGGAATAGACATTTATAGCTATTCAAAACTAAGAGACTTATTGGCTCTGACTTTAGATATATAGAATAAACAAATCCTGCTCAAACCAGTTCCAACTCAATCTCAGCCCTGAGATTAAAGCCTAAACTACTGATGTATCCCTCTATCTGAGTCACTAACAACTTATGTCAAAGTGTATGCAGATTTAAATTGTTAGGTGGAGGCAGGGAACCTGGAGGCTAAGGTTCTTTATACACTTCCAAGTATACTTTGCTTTCAAAGGGTATTTTATATACTTTTGCATTAGACCAGCATCATTTGGCCCAATTGCAGACAGGTCTCTTTGTTGGTATAAATAGGCTGGTTTCTATATAGGAGGCTTTATTTAATACTATATGCAGAAAATATTTTTAAAAAGGAATGCAATTCTTCATTTATTTTGTATATTGTATATAAATTTAATTTAAAAATTTTAAGTAAGGTAATATTGATATTAATAGAACTTCATTTTATTTGCATCATTTACAAAAATTTAACTTCCAGTTCAACCGACTGTGAAAATTTATGTTATTTAAAGTCAGTAGACCAATTGATATGCAAAGAAAATGGCCATTTTAAAATCAGGATTTGTTCTGCATTATTTTCAGTTTGGGATATCACAATGTTTTCAGAAATATATCTCATTCATAATAAGTGATGACTGAGTTTTGTGTATTTGTTATTTTATTGTTTTATTTTGTTTTTCTAAAGAGACTTTGCCTACTACTTAGAAGCAAAATGAATATATTTCACAGTGACTACTGAGCTCTCCACTGGATATTGAAATGTAAATGATTAAAGTTCTATACGTTCAGCCCAACATTTTAATAGAAATTGCTTTTTATTTCATAATAATCATCAGCATATATATATTTTAATAAAAATATGCGTAGTTTCTAAAACTTGATGGGTAGCAACATCTAAACATTTCCCTAGTCATAAAAAATTATAGGTAAAAACACATGGCTCTGCCCTGGTAAAAAGCATAGCACTTAACAGTGCCGCCAGGAAATTTTCATGAACCTCCGTATGTTGCAAATAGAAAGATCAATGGAAGGCTAAAGACTCTGGGAAACTCAAGCACTTTTTGTCTCTCCTATAGCAGTTAGCCTGAAAAGCATTTAAAAGGACAAGTGGCTCGTGAGGAGGCAGATGTAATTTCACTCTTCACCTTGAATATTTTACCTGTGTATGGATGGCTGAATTTGTCACAGTTTATAAACTGCTACATCTCACACGCAATTAAACAAGGAAATTGGCCTCTGCTGTATTTAAAAAGAGATTTTGTGGTTGCCTAACCCTGATTCATTGGCAGAATCTCCAAGGTGTCTACACCCTGTTTATCCTATATGGGAATGAACTTGAAGCTCTCTATATTGAAAACTGTATCTTAGATGTGAAGATTAAAAATGAGCAAGGCTAGTATTCTTTTCATTTAAAAAAATTTAATTGACAAATAATAATTGTATCTATGGGATACAATGTGGTATTTTTATATATGAATACAGTGTTAAATGATTAAATCAAGCTAATTAACATATCCATTACCTCACTTACCATGTTTATTAGTTATTTGAAATTTGCTCTCTTAGCAATTTTGAAATGCACAATATATTAACTATCATCACCACGCTGTGTAATATAGATAGATATAAAAAACTTATTCTATCTATCTAAAACTTTAGACTATTTGGCCTATAAGGCAGTATGAAGGAGCACTTAAGTGCCTGGACTTTGGTATTACATATGTTTTGTGTTTAGTCCTGACCTTGTAACTTGTAACTGTGTGACAATGCAAATTACTAACTTCTCTATGCTTCAGTTTTTTCAGCCATAAAATGAGGATAATAGTATTACTACCTCACAGACATCTTGTTAGTGTTAAGTGTACAGGGCCTGGCAAATGGTAAACCTATAGGAAAAGGTAACTATGGTTATTAATGTTATTTGCTCTTTTTCTTTTCCTTTTTATCTGATAATTCAGTGAGTGCGAGGTGTCTCTCAAAAGAAATAGGAAAGTCACTGTAGTTGCCTGTTTATTGTTCTTATGCTACCTCTTAATCACTCACAATAATCTTTACATATGATATAGTTTGGCATTGTCTTCACCCAAATCTCATCTTGAATTGTAGTTCCTCTATTCCCCACCTATTGTGGGAGGGATCAGGTGGAGATAATTGAATCATGGGGGTGGTTTCCCTCATCCGGTTCTCAGGATAGTGAGTTAGTTCTCATGGGATCTGATGGTTTTATAAGGGGCTTTCCCATTCGCTGGGCACCCATTCTTTTCCTTCCTGCTGCCATATGAAGGACATATTTGCTTCCCCTTCCACAATGATTGAAAGTTTCCTGAGGCCTCCCTAGCCCTGTGGAACAGTGAGCAATTAAACCTTTTTTCTTTATAAATTACCTAGTCTTGGGTAGTTCTTTATAGCAGCATGAGAATGGACTAATACAAGGTATACATCTAGACAAGTTCCTCTCTTTTTTCTTCTAAATACTTTATCCAATTGGTGAATTATTCTAATTTTCAATATGTACAAGAAACAATGAATATTTTACAGAGAATAGGAATAGTAGCACTTCAGAATCATGTTTCTAACTGTAGGTCCTGAAGTGTAAACCATAGTTTTTGTTATGATTGGCTCCAAGATGGGAGCTGGAGCATTGGATAATAAAGGCTGGCTTTAGGATCACAATGTTTTATGTCCAGAGATGAGTAACCACTTCTAGAATTACTGTCTCCAGAGCTATGCTATGTCTACTGCATTGCACAAGCAAAATGGGTGTCTTGCATCCTACTGCCCCTTTCCACACTTAATTCCATTTGGAATTCAATTCTATTGCCAATCACTGCTCTCAATTAGCAGAAAGAACTTAAGTCACATCTGGAACCCAGCTTTGTAGCCTCTGAGCCCAGAAGACACACCCAAAGGAGAATGGAAAGATATCAAGCAAGCCAATCTAAAGTTCGTGCAACTGCTTTAATAGAATCATTTCTCCTTTGCTTCAGCATTTTTTCACTGTTCATAGGAAGTATTACTTCATGTAAAATAATGTAGATGCTTATGAAATAAAAAGGAAAAATCCATAAGTTATTGAAATAAGATGTTTTATTTCCTGTTTATTTTCCTTTCAAGTTTCAGTGGCAGATAACAGATGAAGACTTTTCAGTTTTGCAGAAGGGGGCCCCAGCAGCTGTGGTGGGCATAGAAAAATAACAGATTATTTTGCAGAGCTATTTTGACAGATTGATAACTTCTGTGTGTAGGGATTCTGCAAATAAGATAAACAAAGATGAAAGTGAGAGAAAGTTGGATGGTTTAAAGAGTAAACATTACTAACTCTCTTCAATGGTGTATCTGTCATATGAAAAGCAATTGGTTTCTGCTCTAAATCCACAGTTCTCAAAACGTAGTGTGCATTACCTTATTCCAAGAAGCTTGTAACAATGCAAATCATTTGGCCCCATTGCAGATTTAGTAAATTGAAATATCCAAGAATTAGGGCCTAAGAATCTGCACTATAAAAGCACCTCAGAGCTTTAATATAAAGTAAAGTACCTGGGCACCAATTCAGATACTCCTTGGCTAGAGGTGATCGTTTATATTTTCAGAGAAGGAAATAATTGCTGCTGGTAGTGGGAAGAAGAATAGTATGCTAACACACTTTTTAATTTTTATTTTTCTCCAAAGAGGTGTGGGAGTAAATATGGCAAATGAAAACAGAATGTGAACAAATGGGAAGTGAGTTTATCTAGTGATTAGATGTTATTTAGGTTTTGTAACTTTAATCAAAAGTGGCACTCTCAAAGCTTTTCAGCTCAGTTTTTCTCCTCATAACAGGATAAGGTCATTTCCTACATAGGGAGGGAAAAACAACATTTTCTAGACTCCCTTCTCTGTACAAGATCCTTTCAACATGCCATTTTTATTTGACTTCATTCTCACCCTCAAGGAGCCATGTGTTTGATTCTAAGTTCTGGATGGCAGAAACTCCTTAGGCATCCCTTCTGGAAAAACTGAAGCATTTTTTCTGATTCTCATTGCAAACTCCCCTACACCACATGCCTTAGAGACCTAAAATCCCAAGGAACAGGCAACTGAAATCGTGAGTCTAGAAAAAAGCAAGAGAGAAGACACAGAGATAGAAGTGGTTGCCCCAGAAAATGCAAAACTGACCAGGTCTCTCAATGGCGCTCAGCACCTGGCTCATTACTGAGCTCTGGAGGTAGGACTGGCTGGCCCAAAACCAGTTTCCATCTCTCACCTACATGCCTCCTACAGGTAGCATGCTGCCCATGGAGAAATTGTCACTTCGACTTGGGCACCGCTCCTGAATCCTTATGAACATCTCCTCTTCAGTATCCCAAAGGCATCCAAGCTTAATATGTCCCAAACTTAATCAATGGCTTTTAAATACTCTTGAGCTTGTTCCTTATTCTGTCTCTGTATCTACCAAGAGTCCACTATAGAGCTAGTTGCATAAATCAGAAGCGTAAGACTCTTTCAACATCTCCCTGTCACTTTTCTGACATCCGCAGTCAGTCCATGCCAAGTCACTGGATTTTTACGTCTATATTTGACTTTCCCCCTCTATGTCAAACAACAAAAAGCTATTTCGAGCTATGATTTTCTTCCCCATAAGCTTCAGCAGCGGAATCTCAACTGGTTTCACTGCATCCTCTACTTGACCTTCTCCAACATTTTTTCTTAACCCACCAGCCAGAGTGACTTATTCAAGCATAAATCTGATTAACCCTCTCCCTTGTCTTAAAGCTATGTTTAGTGTCTTCTCATTGGTCTTAGGATAATGGGAAGGATTTGTGTCTTGCTGAAACTGAAACAGCCATATATAGTTTGGTCAGTCACTACCTGCTTCTTGAGACTCACTCTCACCACTCTTCCAGTTGAAGAGCCTCTCTAGGCATAAAGACCTTCTTCAGTTTTACAGACTCCTCGTTCTCAGTCATATCACAGGGTCTTAATGTATGCTGTTCTACCTGCCTGGAATCTTCTTCACTCCCACCTGACTCATTGCCTTTTACCTTCCTCAGATGTCAATTCCATTTCCTCAGAGAAGCCATGGCTGATTCACATTTTTACCAGGTGCATTCATGGCACCATGGTTCTCTCTGTGAAAGAACTTATCATAGCTGCAATTTTATATTTGTTTATGTTATGGTTCGACTAATAGCTGTGAAACCACTAGCAGATTCTCTCTCTCTCTTCTTTTTTTTTTTTTTTTGAGAGGGAGTCTCGCTCTGTCACCCAGTCTGGAGTGCAGTGGCGCCACCTTGGCTCACTGCAAGCTCTGCCTCCTGGGTTCACACCATTCTCCTGCCTCAGCCTCCCGAGTAGCTGGGACTACAGGTGCCCGCCACCACGCCTGGCTAATTTTTTGTATTTTTAGTAGAGACAGGGTTTCACCATGTTAGCCAGGATGGTCTCGAACTCCTGACCTTGTGATCCGCCCGCTTCAGCCTCCGAAAGTGCTGGGATTACAGGCGTGAGCCACTGCGCCTGGCCATAGATTCTCTTTTTAAAGGCAAAGATTATGCTTTCTATAGGGCTGGCACTATCTTGGGCAGATGGCAGAATTAAATGAATTGTTTTGAATTAATAAGTGTTAAAATGGGGTTCTGGAAATGTGCAAGGTTAAATTTTATATTTCTCCTGTCTCCCCAACTGTGCCCATTGAACAAGTAGTGCTGATCTAAAATGTGCTATGGAAAAGGAAGTAGATTCAAGTTTTTTCTTTTTTGGAGACAGAGTGTCACTCTGTCACCCAGGCTGGAGTGCAATAGCACGATCTCAGCTCACTGCAACCTCCGCTTCCTGGGTTCAAGCGATACTCCTGCCTCAGCCTCCCGAGTAGCTGGGAATACAGGCACCTACCACCATGCCTGTCTAATTGTTTTCTTGAATTTTTAGTAGAGATGGGGTTTCATCATGTTGGCTAGACTAGCCTCAAACTTCTGACCTCAGGTAATCCGTGCACCTCAGCCTACCAACGTGTTGGGATTACAGGCGTGAGGCACCACGCCAGGCTGATTGAAGTACTTTTTATTATCAGTGGCCCCCTGTTCCAAGAGAATTAGAGGTATGGGATGATGATCACAAAGCATATGCTATGATACAAGCAAATACTCCAACAGGTCTTTGGTTATGTCTCCAATGCCAAATGTCTGCATAAAACATTAAAAATTAATTGTCCATATGGTTACACATTTTACAGTTGGCCATTATGGTGATATTTATGCCTGGGTCTTTGTAAATTACATGAGCCCAATATTTTCCAATTATCTTGAAAGTTTCTCTTGTCAAAAATTATTAATGACCCTGTAGCTACTGACTTTTCATTTGTCCAGTAATTCTGAGACTATAGATATATAACAATTTTTACGTGCCAGATATTTATGTCAAATCTAATTCTCAAACAACAGCCCCAGCAAAATACTGTCCCTACTTTGCAAATGAAGAAACTGAGGTTCAAGATAATATAGATAGCAAGAGCAATGACTAGTATTACATTTAACTATATTTGATTCTAAGATTTATGTCAGTTTCTTCTCTTTTAATACCACATATCACCTCTAACTTATTTTTTAAGGAAGAGAAAATTAGAGAAAAATAATAATTTAAGAGAATTATGTTTTCTCTCTCTCCCATCCTCTTTTCCTGCCTCCCTTATTCCCTCTCCCTCTCTCTGTTTACTTAAATTTTCCAGCTTAGAGGATTCATGCAACATGTAAGTTCCATGAAGACAGGGAATCATCATTATCTTGAGCAAAAGGAGCCCTCACCAACACCAAGCATATCAGGGTATTTGCTTTGGAGTTAGCTGTGGATATATCTCAGAGCCTTCTCATTTGTTCTTAGAATTTCTCCTTTAAATTACTGGTGTACAAGAAAAAAATCTGTGAGAATCTTAGAAGTTTAGTGTACTCAGTTTCTTTTCTGAGTAGGATTAACTGAGGATTCCATTATTTTCCATGGGAAAGCATTCAATGGTCAAGTCAGGAAACTCAAGTTCTAATTACAGTATTGCAAAGCGGATTTGCTGAGAGGTCCTCAAATACTGTCTCTTCTAACTCTTTTAAATGACAAATGAGGAAAGCAAGAGGCAGAAAGGGAGGAGCCATTCTCAAGCTCACACAGCAAGTCCTACCATTCTCACCACCTGAGTCCTTTTTAGCACCAAAATATTTTTTTCAGAGAACAATTAGCAGGAAAAAAAAAAAAACCCTCGCTTTCTATTTAGTCACTACCATTCTTCAAGAAGCAGACTGCTGCAGTCCACACGATGCACTTCCTTTATTTTCAAATCCAAAGGTCTTTTTTCACAAAGGACTGAATTTATGATGGAGTATGAACTAATACAAGGCTTTGGGGCCATTAAAAAAAAATAACAAGTGTTCAACAGGATGTGTCTATGTAACAGAGTCAATTCAACCAGGTCCAAGTTGACCCATTGGCAATTTTTATGACAAATATCTCATTTTTCACCTTCCTCCAGATCTCAGAAAACATGTTTTAATAACATTTGCAAGTTCTGTCACACCAGGGGCCAACAGAAGCTGCAGTTCTGACTTGTTTGGCAGAGATCTCCCACCGAGATCTAGAGACCTACTTTCAGCTCCCTGAAGGGCCTTCTTTTTCCTGACTTTAATGTATTCGCCCCGTGTATACAACAGCTTGAAAGTATTACAGAGGCACGAAGCCAGGAAGGTGTCCCAAAGGTATTCTCTAGCTTTAGAAGACAGTCACTAAAGACCCTGAATGCCCCATGGAGACAATCACCTGCAAAATTCGCCTTTTTTTTGAGACAGAATTTTGCTCTTGTTGCCCAGGCTAGAGTGCAATGGTGCCACCTCGGCTCACTGCAACCTTCACCTTCCGGGTTCAAGCGAGTCTCCTGCCTCAACCTCCCGAATAGCTGGGATTACAAGCATGCGCCACCATGCCTGGCTAATTTTGTATTTTTAGTAGAGACAAAGTTTCTCCATGTTGGTCAGGCTGGTCTCGAACTCCCGACCTCAGGTGATCTGCCCACCTCGGCCTCCCAAAGTGCTGGGCATGAACCACTGCGCCTGGCCAAAATTCTACTTTTTAAGTGGGAATCAAAGTTCAGGCTCTCCTGCATTATAGGAGTAGGGGGGATTACAAAATTATGACTTCACAAGATCCCAGAATAGATAGGATTGTATTAGCTGTTTGTTGTGATATAGTGCTATGAACTCAGATACATGGAGGTCAAAACTCTGTCTACATCTGCGGTGGTAGTTCTGTCTACCATAGTGGTTCTCAGCAGGGGTGATTTTACCTCCTTGAAAACATCTGGCAATGACCAAAAATAGTTTCGGTTGTCACAGCTGGGAGTGAAGGTGCTACTAGCATTTCTTGGGAAGAGGCCAGGGATGCTGTTGATACGGAAGTGCTGGGAAGGGAAGAGCGTGGTCACTTTAAATGATACGGAAGTGGGGAAGGAAGTGCTGGGTAAAGGAGGCCGTGGTTCCTGGCTAGGGCTCTACCCTCACGGACCTAAGTCAGGACAGGCACTTCTGCCTTCGTGCCCAAATGTTGCATTTTCCAAGACCACCCTGGCCCGCCATGCCCCCATCCCGGGCCTATAAAAACCCGAGACCCAAGCAAGGCAGGGACAGAAGCTGCTGGACGGCGAGAGGAGCACATCAGCAAGAGAAGACACAAGCAGCTGGATGGCGAGAGGACACGGAGGGAACACGCCGGTGGAAGAGCACACAGACAGACAGACAGACACCGGAGCCCGGGCAGGCCATCAACTGGCGGGGCAAGGCGCAGTTTGGCGGGGCAGTCGGAGGAGAGCTGGGGCCACCGAGCAGCCCAACTCCAGGGAAAGACCATCACCCTTATGGCTCCTCGATCTGCTGAGAGCTACTTCCACTCAATAAAACTTTAAACTCATTTTCCAAGCTCACGTGTGATCAGATTCTTCTGGTACACCAAGGCACGAACCCCGGATACCGAAAACCTTCTGTCCTTGCGACAAGGTAGAGGGTCTAATTGAGCTAGTTAACACGAGCCGCCTATAGACGGCAAACTAAAAGAGCACCCTGTAACACATGCCCACTGGGGTTTCAGGAGCTGTAAACATTCACCCCCAGACACTGCCGTGGGGTCGGAGCCCCACAGCCTGCCCGTCTGTGTGCTCCCCTAGAGGTTTGAGCAGTGGGGCACTGAAGAAGCAAGCCACACCCCCATCGCATCCCCTGTGAAGGGGACAAGGGAACCTTTCCCGTTTTACTGCCAAACATCCTACCAGGCACAGGACAGCCCCCACACGACAAAGAATTATCTGGTTCAAAATTTCAATACTGACAGTGTTGAGAAACCCTTATAGGGTTAACCAGATAGGCAATAGATTGAAAAGATAATTCAATAAATTTAATTCCAGACAGAAGGCCCATGTTAAAATCCCTGTTTGAGATGTATAAATGTGGATACTTTTGATTTTAACCTTTCTTCCTCATTTTCTTCATCTATTAATAGGAATAATAGTACATGTAACATTCATAGCAAACAAAACATTCTGTGTAATAACGTTTGCAATCATAACTAGAGCAGTACAAAATATTTGATCCCAACTCCTCGCTCCTGCTCTACTTTTATAGTCTCCTGGGCAATGAAAATAATTTATAATTTGATACCTTGAGATATACTAAGTTTTAAATGCATTGTCTCTTTATTAGATAACAATTCTTTGAGTTAGATCTCATTATCTCCATTACATAGGAAAGGAAACTGAAGTACAAAGATACTAAATGACTTACCCAAATTTACAGTTAGTGAGTTGCATAGCCAGGGTTTGAACGTATTTATACATTAAAGCCCATTATTCTGTCCACTCTGTGGTGTGGATAGACTCCACATTTCTTTGGTTTACTTCTACCAGAGACACTTTGCACTTGTTTGTATTTGCCTCTATCACTGGTCTGTGAGATGCTCGGGGCAGGGACAATGTCTCAGTCACATGCACGTTCTTGTGCTCTGTGTATCACACCTTGAGGTTTTGAGCCATCCTGGGACATGGTGGCCACACTTAGCAGCCAATGAAGGGCCTATCTTTTTTCTATCAGAGACAGAAAAAACAATCACATGATTAGATTTACATATTTGAAAGCGTACTCTGGTAGCAATGAAGGGTTAATTGTGTTAAAAGGCAGAAAAGGCAGGCTGGAGCCAGTTAAAATTAATTATAGGACTGTCAAGCAGAAGAGGTACCTATGCCATCAAAGGCCATTAAGCAAGGTGCCACTAAACCCTTATGACAATCACATGTGGATTAACATCACATGTTTTAGAAACACAATTGTCATTTTACTTTATATTGTAAACAACTAACTTCGCTGCACTCCATTGTCCTGTTTTCTTAAAGGATTAGTTTCAACTCTTCTTTCCAAATTTTAGGAAAAGATAAAGAAATGCCACAGACCAGAAGAAAAAAATTCACAAATCACACATCTGATAAAGGATCATATCCAGTATATTTAAAGAGCTCCCCAAACTCAAAATTGAGAACAAATAATCCAATAAAAAATAGGTAAAACATTTGTACAGAAAGCTCACCCAAGATGTACTAATGGCAGTAAGCACCTTAAAGTTGCTCAACATCATTGGTTATCAAAGAACTGGAAAGTTAAACCACAATGTGCCACCACTACACACCTACTAGAATAACTAAAATAAAAAGACTGATCATACTAAGTGTTGATGAGGATGTGCAAAACTTGAACACTTATACACTGTTTCTGGGAATGTAAAATGGTAGAGCCACTTTGGAAAACAGTTTGACAGTTTCTTAAAAACTCAAATAAACACCTCACATATGATCCAGCCATTCCATTCCTAGGTATTTACTAAAGTAAAAGTATTTGTTCATACAAAGACATTTGCATGAATATACCTAACAGTTTACTTTGTCATAACCAAAAACTGGAAATGATTCAAATGTCCATCAACAGGTGAGTGGATAGCCAAATTGTACATATATGGAATGAATACTACTCAACAATAAAAAGAATGAATGCTTTACACATGAAACAATGTGGGTATATCTCAATATGCTAGGAAAGAAACCAGGCCAAAAAGAGTCCATACTGTATATTTCCATTGGTATAAAATTCTAGAAAAATGCCGACTAATCTATAGTGACAGAAAGCAGATCAGTGGTTTCTGGGGAGAAGAAGGGCGAGGGACTACAAAGGATCACAAAGAAATTTTGGGGGTGATGGATATACTTACAATCTTGATTGTGGTGATGGAACACATGGGTATATGCATATGTCACAATTTTAAAAATTGTACACTTCACATATGTGCGCTTTAATGCAGGCCACTTATACCTAAATAAAGCAGTTAAAACAAATCTGTACTTGCTAACTATTAAATTATAACTTTTATATACGCATATATGTATTTAGGGTAATATGTATCAACATATAGATTGTCTTTCTCTGACGTGTGGGAAGGTCTTTCTCTTTCCTTGAGTTCTTTAAAGGAAGAAACTTCTTTAAGACAATTTTTTCATAGGAGGAAACACTGTATCTTTTGCAATACTATTAGTAAAGATTGTTTTTCCACATTTGTTGGAGCTGACTTGGTATCTTGCTGAAATCTGTTGAAATCTGAGGGCGAATACAAAACTCTGATATTTGAAAATATCAGCTACCAAAAGCCTAGAGGGCATGTCATGACATAGCTTCATGATCTGTTATCAGAAGTAGAAAGCAACAACATGAAACACCTGTGTGCCCCTATGGGACAGTCGCTAGTATCCTTGCAGTGTCTCGATAGAATCACATGTATGCTAAGGTAAAAGATTCATTCTTTAAGAAAATGTTATCAGACAATCTTATTGTCATAATTATTGACATAATTATTGTTATACATTAATAATCAGATGGGATAAAAATTCTGGATTTGCAAAACCTAAAAATGTAACTAAGAAAAAAATACGTAAAATGTACATAAATATACATAAAACTTCTCCAATTTTACTAGTATCAGCAATATAAACATTTAGTGGTATTTATTACTATACAAAAATATTAGTACATATATTACTAAAAATATTTATAACACTAATATATTACTAATGCAAATTAGTAATATATATTACTAATGCAAATTAGTAATATATATTACTAATGCAAATTAGTAATATATATTACTAATGCAAATTAGTAATATATATTACTAATGCAAATTAGTAATATATATTACTAATGCAAATTAGTAATATATATTACTAATGCAAATTAGTAATATATATTACTAATGCAAATTAGTAATATATATTACTAATTGGTAATATGTTAGCAATATATATATAGTAATATATATTGCCATTAACTAAATATGTATTAACTAAATGCTAATTAGTAATATATTAGTAACACCAATAATGGGTTATTATGTGTATATAACAATATAATTATATCATAAACAATTTATATCATTAATATATTAGTTATTTTATATATTGGCTACTAATATTACTGTTAAATAATACTACTAATATTGATAAGAACAATAATAATAGCTACCATTTGATTATTACTATTTACAGAGTGTTATTACTCCTTTTATTTTATAAATGAGTGGGAAAGTACATTCAAAGAGGTTACACAACTGTCTCAAAAACACACAGCCAGTAAGTAGTGGATTTGGGATGCAAATTCAAGAAGTCTGATTCCAGATCCCAAGGTTTTAGCCTCATATTTGTCTGATGTGTCACTTGCGTCAATAAATCTGAATTTCTGGACAGTGAGAAAAACTAAATACAAAGTCAAACTTAAAAGTAACAAGGCATCCCAAATACCAAGTACTACATTTTTACCTTGGTCAGAAGGAAAAAGTGAGTTTTCTTTTAGTCATAGGAGGTCACACTAACAGTTGACCACACACTCTCATGCCTCAATACAATTATGCCTAATGTTTTCACTTACTTTTTGGACCAGAGCATGTTGGAGCCAGGGCAGCTGCCCCAGGCAGTCACTTAGAGGTACAAGCTCCTTGCACTGAGTAATTCCCTTATCTCCTATGTTCTCAGATTGTCTTCTGCATGGTCTACATCTGGCTGATAAATGAGAAAAGGTTGAGGGCAAAGAGGATTGCCTGAGTCTTCTTATGGGCCTGGCCTGGGTGTGATATTGATCACTCCTGTCCAGAAATCAGTTCCATAGTTCAACTGATTTTAAGGCCAGAGGGAAATGTGGTCTGTGTTTCTAGAGGGAAAATAAAATAGGACTTGGTAACTACACAGTAATTCTCTGCCATAAGTTTCTGTTGTATTTTCACATAGAATTGGATAGAGGACAAGCAGCTGACATCTGGAAGGACAAGAGCAGTTGAGTTCCTAAATGTTCAATGAGAACTGCTGAATCAGAACCCCTGAGTGAGGGAAGGTAATGAGCCCTTTTAAACTAGCATGCTGTGTGATTCTGTACACACACTGAAGATTGGGATCTATTGGCCTAGAAGTTATCAGGGCCCAAGCCAACTAAGCGTAACTAGTTGAAGATGAAGATGTTCATGCTAATTCTGAACCTTTAGGCCCCCATAACTTATACCCAACCTGATCTATAGTCATAAAAGCAAGGTAGTACCTCTGCCTCTGCTGAGGGATTCTACTTCAGAACCCAGGATAGGATGAGGTGAATTAGGCAGCCAGGGTTGAAAATCTAAGGAGGGATCCTCTTAAGTTCATTCAAGAGCAGACTTGGTATATGAAACATTACAAGAACCTTGCAGGAACTGAGAGTGAGTGTCCCCTTAAATTTTTTGTTCTAGGTAACACTTGCCTATCTTCATATCCAATCCAGTCCTCCTGACTTTGCTCCCAAGAGTTATCTTCTGCTCATGATATCATTCATTCAAACATGAAAATTTATTAAACAGATTATCTACTTATTTATCTATCTATTTCCAAAAAAAAATCAGTAGCTAGTGTGATCTAGTAATAGAATACAAGTTTAAAGCTGTATCTGTGTGTTTCCTTTACAGATTTCTATGGCTATATTTATAATGCCATTTGATGGGAATGTATGAATATGTATTGACAACTTTGTAGTTGCCATTAAATATCTATATTGTACTGAAGAATTCAGACAAAAGTGCAAGTAAATATATATTAATTAAATGATTATAAGTAGTGCCAAGTGATTGATGCTGGGAGAGAAAGTTGGGGATAGGGATTTACTTAGGTAGAGTGGCTCTGTAAGACTTTCCTGAGAAAGGGACACTTAAGCAGAGATCTGAAGCATGAGAATATTTAATAGATATCTTTTAATACTGATTGTCAATATTATAAGATATAGGATCATGTGAACACATTGCTAGGGTCACTTACAGTGCCCTAGAGTACATCTGCCTCTGGGTAGGGGAGGGGACATTTGCTTCTTTTCTGCTTAGAGGAGATGATTTTTCTAGACCTGGAAGATTTAATGGAGCAAAATATCATTTTGGAATCACAGGATGACACATCTTTGGGAGCACTGGGAAACTATATTCTTGATATGGTAACCAGGCTTTCTCAGAAGTCACAAGCAACAAACAGTGTGACCTACCACCCTAAAGTGGTAACTGCATTGGCAGGGCATCTAGTGGAAGATGAGGGGCGTTTACCGTGAAAGTGCATGAGTGAGTCATGAGAAGATTATAACAGAGATGAGACACCCCCTTCCTCCAGGCTTTCCCAGAAATTACTGGGGGACAGGTCTTTGTCCTCAACTATGAAATATGTTATTTCTGTTAATATCACTAAATTAATGCCTATGGGAAATTTGGGTAATGCTACTTTATTTTCAAATCCAAGAACCAATCTGCCGCTTGTACCAAATGAATATAGACAGTGACAAATGCCAGGAAGTTTCATTCACAACCCCATGTCAAACAGATGTTGTGCTCTGGATCCAATCATCTCCCAAAAGGCAGCCAGGCACCTGTCCAATGTTGGCCTTGGCCAAATATCGAACAAAGACCCAAACAAAGAATACGTAGTTTTGGCCTTATATATGACCAAGTTCTCATTCCTAAGTTCCTCAGCTACATGAAATACTGCCTAAATTAGCAAAGTTTGCAGATATAGTACCCAAGAAGCAACTGTGAGGCCAAATGCATCCCATCTGAATCTCCTGGAAAAATAGTATGTATGTCTGGCCTTCAGAAAGACCTGTCTTTCCTATCCTATTACTCACCAATAAAACGTGGTTCTGTTCTACTCTCTTTTCCTAAAAGGCAACCTAAAAATTATATTTCAAAATTTGTATTCTGCCAATCAAATTTTCATTGCCCTATCTTATTTACCAATCTATCCAATCCAACACTAGCCATTCCACCGTGAACTAGCCCCATTGTGTTTAGCTATTTGCCATTTTATTGGGTGAAGAACAAAGTTTCTACTTTTATATACACAGAGGTATCCCTAGAAATACTAAGAGGATAAAGAGGCAAGTGAGGGTGAAGAAAAGCAAAATTGTAGCAAGAGATATTTTTTTTCCTTCAGACTGAATTTTGATCTCATATTTTCCTTTCCACCAAATAGTCTAAGTTTTTCATCATCACAGTGCAACTACATTATCATTTGGTTAGCATCTACTGTAGGCCAGTCGTGTCACTTACATCATACCATTTGGTTTTCAGGACAATCTTGCTAAATAAATATAATTATTATATCCATTTCAGGAGGCCGAGGCGGACTGATCACTTGAGGTCAGCAGTTCGAGACCAGCCTGGCCAACATGGTGAAACCCCATCTCTACTAAAATTCAAAAATTAGCTGGGCGTGGTGGCAGGCACCTGTAATCCCAGCTACTCGGGGGCTGAGGCAGGAGAACTGCTTGAACCCTGAAGATGGAGGTTGCAGTGAGCCGAGATGGCACCACTGCACTCCAGCCCAGCCTGGGTGACAGAGTGAGACTCCATTTCAAAAATAAATAAATAAACAAATAAATAAATAAACAAAAAGGCATAAAGTAAGGCTCAGTGATTTTAAAAATTAAAAAAAATATACCTAGTAGGTTAGTAATGGTGGAGCTCCAGGGCTCTATACATACTGCAGCCTCTGGATTTTAATTCAGATAACTCAGCACTATCCAATGTTAGAATTGTTTGCTTTTTAATGTTGGCCAAGGGCAGGAAAAACATTTTAAAGAGATTTTAACTGAAAAGCAAGTATATAAATAAATAAGTTTCCTGCCTCATTCTGAGCCATATGCTGCCAGCACTAAGCTTCATTCTTTTTTATATTTCTTTAAAAAGGTCTTTCAAAAGCAGAAGAGACATGTGCAATCATAGATGTTCTGTAAAGATATACAATTTTAAGCTACCATTTATTTCTAGAGGATTTACTGAGTAATCTAAGCAATTTAAATATACTTCCTTCTCACAACAGCCCTATAAAATAAATATGACCCATTGTATAGAAGAAGGAATTGAGGTTTACAAACATTAAGTATTTTGTGCAAAGTAGCTAGAAGAAGTTTGAGAGAGTGAACTAATATTCGGGCCTGTCTGACCTGAAAATTTATTCACTGAACTATTACACTAAACTTCTTGCATTCATAAAATGACAGGTGTATCTTTCAAAGTTACTCTTTTTATTCTGGTTTAGAAGTTAAAACATTTCTCTCCTTTACTCACCTCCCAAACACTACCTAGTGCAGTATAGTCTGAGTATGGTGTTTGGAGCCAGGATGTGTGAATTTAATTCCCAGCTACAGCATTTACTAAATGCATGAACTCAAACAACTGAATTAACCCCTCCATCTCAGTTTTCTCTTCTGCAAAAGGGACATAGAACTAGTGTCTATGTCATAAGTTACTGTCAGGTTTTAATGACCTAGTATGTGGAAAGCACTAAGAAGAATGTATGATACACAGTAAGTACTATGTTAATGTTTGTAGAGAAGAATGTATGATGCATAGTATTATGTTAGTGTGTATATATAGAAAAATACATGATGCGGCTGGGCGCAGTGGCTCACACCTGTAATCCCAGCACTTTGGGAGGCTGAGGCAGGTGAATCACCTGAGGTTGGGAGTTCGAGACCAGCCTGACCAACATAGGGAAACCCCGTCTCTACTAAAAATATAAAAATTAGCTGGGCATGGTGGCACATGCCTGTAATCCCAGCTACTTTGGGGGCTGAGGCAGGAGGATCTCTTGAACCTGGGAGGCGGAGGTTGTAGTGAGCAGAGATCGTACCATTGCACTCCAGCCTGGGTGACAGAGTGAGACTCTGTCTCAAAAAAAAAAAAATGTTGATGATGTATTTCTTTAGAAAAGGAACAATAATGTAAAAAAACTCACTGATAGCAAACACTAAAAAAAAAAAAAAGAAATATATGATGCATAGTAACTACTATATTAGCGTTGTAAAGAATCTATCATACATAGTAAGGTCTGACTTCTTTTGCTTCCCCTCATCTCTCTTGGCATGCCCTACTCCATCTGTTACCTCAGTATCAGGTTGGTTTAGGCGTAGTCTGACAGTACCCACCTCAGCTATGACGTACATCTCTCACTTTCTGCCCTGGACATTCTCTGACATTATGGGGTGGTTCCGCTACTGGTACCTACCAGGAATTGTATCTGGAAGTGTGAGTGAATTATCTCCCCACGTGGCAACACCTAGCTAATGAGAAATGGGAGCAGGTGAATAAATGCCTCCCCTCTTCATCTCTCAAGAGAGACTCATTTCACGTGGGTCCTTGGGAGTTGAGGGGCATGGCAGTGGATAGAGCTCTTAGGATAATCAGTCCAAGCCTCTGGAACTTCATAAAGCGATATGCATTCCCATGCTTGCCCTGTGACAGTACTTTATTATTGATGCCAACATGCTTCTCACTCCGTTTTGTGTATTATACGGAGCTAGGTAAAACAGAAAGGCACAGAAACTAACCCCATTGTATCACATATTATATAGATGGAATCTTGTTTGCTTTGGCCTAATAGGAGCTAAGTAATTTGCCTCCAGTAAGAAGTCAGCTCAATTCAACAAATAAAATATGATGCATGAGAACTCAGTTGATGTGGGCTCTATTTCACTTCTATGTTTAATTAGTTCTGAGACCCTAGGAAAGATACTAAATCACTTTAAGTCCCAAATATCTTATTACAAAAAAATTGGTAGATGTTAGTTGATTTTTAGATTCTTTTCTTGTAAGATTAAAATTCTAATTATCAGTGCCTTTTCACAGCACTTCCTACACTGTACAAGTGATTTGGAGCATATATAAAGAAAATAAATTCAAGATTATTAAAAATCTTATAGTCAATCTTATTTGAAATGGATTTGATAACACTTTTATTCATGTATTTGCAATTTTTGTAAATTTAAAATAAATTTAACATAATTACAATATAAAAATAATCTAACCATTATCTATATGGTATACAGGCTATAGTTTGAAAAATTCTTCTTATAACAGCATTCTTATAATTTGATTCTTATACACCTCATAGTATTAATACTATTCATAGTTCCTATTTGGGGAAAAAGAAACTAAATTCAAAGTGACCCTATGATTTTCTTGCAGCTACATGTTTAGTAACTAGTGGGCACAGAGCTCTTTTCATTGAGAAACTTGTCTTTATAAAAACTGGTTTTCTACTAGAACCATAAAAAATAAATACTGAAAGCTAGGAATTTTAAATGTTTAACTAGACAGATGAAGATAAGATAAATATCAATATGGGAACCACTCTTATTTGTAGACATATGCATGCTTCTTGCTTGTCTATTAAAATCCTTGAGGTCAGAAATAAGTGTCATATTTAATGTTTTGTGTTCTCACTTCTGACTTGCACACAGTAAGTGCTAAATAATTAACAACCAGATATATGAATAATTAAGAGATAAATAGAGAATATGAGAATGAGAATTAAGTGTGTTTCCTTCAGGATTCCTTCTCTAACTCCCAAGCCCCAGTCAGGGCAAGGTGCTTCTCTGTTCTGACAATGCCGAGATCACGATGACATTTATCGTGGGATATTGGAATGCTCTCTTCTATGGCCATGTCTTGATAGCTTGAGAACTACATGAATGGAAGTATTGAGACTTAATTATCTATTTGCCCTGTGCCCCAAGCATGTGGTAAATACAAGAAATACGTGGTGAATCACCAAAGAAATGGACAAGAATAATTTGGAAGAGAGAGAACAATTTTGTAATTTGGGATTTATTAATATTGTGATGTTATTTGAAGCTGGGGATAGGAGTGGCATTAAAAACACAGGAACTAGACCTCAGGGAATGTTCAAAGTCAGGAGGAGAATGGAGAGGAGTCACTGTAGATAAACTGGGAGAACCACAAAACGTGGGATTATGCAAATATAGAAAAAGGTGGCAAACCATTCTCATGCTCTCTCCATTATGATGCACTTCTTTTACCTTATAAAAATTTATATTTGGCATGGATACTTAGAGTACCGCCTAAAGTTGTGATTTCATTTCATTTTGAGCTTGTATAGTCATAGCTGCCACCTCAGAGATGCTAAAGCAAGTGAGGCTCTGAAAATATGTAAGTTTGAATCTGAAATTTCTAATCTTTGCTGTGTGGGCTGGAGCAAATGCTTAGCCTGAATATGCTTCAGTTTTGTTTGTGCAGTGAAAACATTACCATTTTCCCTCATTGGGCTGTTGTGTGCAGTCACTAATAAAACACTGTGATAAAGCCCTTTGCAAATATGAAGTGCTATTGAAATGTAGAGTAATACACTGGACATCTTTGTTTTCCATCAGACACATCCCACGAGACGTTTCCTTCCTTCCAGAACATGTACACTCAATGAAGTGTCCATCTGGCAAGTAAGACTCTGCCAAAAGTGGAAAGGCAAATTATTATAAGGTAAACAGCTGAGTGCTAGTGTGCAAAGGTGGTAAAAGACTTGTAGTCCTGCCTCTCTATAAGGGTTAAGATAGGGATTAGGATGCATCAGAATGTACAATATACTCAGTATTTTCCCCAGGGAGAATGAAGGCAGGGAACATTTCTGGCTACCTGGGCCCCTTTGCCTTCCCTCTAAAAACATTACACTTGGCTAATGGAGCTGTAACTTTGTTTTGATTTCCTGAGTGGTCTTGAGTTACCTAATATCTGGCCTGCTTCCCTAGATGCATGCCTCTTAGATCTCTACAGTAAAATCATGCTTAAACCATTTTCATTAGGAACGGAATACTACACGATCATAAAGTACCCCATGAAATGCCTTGATTAGTAGAGATCAAAGGCTGAGCTTCATTAGTTTTGCTTTCTTTCCCCTCCTACTTTGCCTCTGTGTTAAACTGCATTAACCTGACTAAGCCAAGCTCTCCCAAGTTTGTACAATCTGGAAAAGATAACTTCTCCTGAGAAGTCTGGCTTTTCTTCGGAGCACATGGCTTGCAGGTTTTCTGTGGCTCAGGGTAGAGTCTTCAAGCTGTCTATTTGGTGGAGGGAACCAGCCCCTACTCCAAAAGTAGCATGGCTGTGGTTTCTTCTGTAATACCTTCTCTGGTTCAAAAAGACTTGGATTAACACTATGGCCAAAGGTTAGGAGTCTATGAACCTGGCTTTCCTCACCAACTGAGCCATTTCAAATGCAATCAAGGGCCAAATCCCTTAACAAAACTGTTCACCACAATGTGGCGGTAAAGGGTGCTCCGCTAAGGCAGACTTGAGTTTAAATTCTGGCTCCTTCACTTATCTCAGCTTCAGATTTCTCATATGTAAATTGGGATGTCAGTACTGACTTCACAGGATTGTTGTAAAGACTAAGTGAGATAATGATTACAAAACACCGAGCCCAGTGCCCAGCATACGAAAAGCACTCAAGAGATGGTGAGTGTATATACCCACCAAGTCAATGCACCCTTACAGTTCTAGAGAGGAGAAGAGCTGATGCAAACACTGTGACACACTATTTTCTGGAAAGTGTTTCCAATTGCTCAGCTCCAGCAGCCTCCAAATTTCTTTTGGATAAATACCCAAAAGTGAGGAATGGAAGACGTTTCCTTGGATTAGCTATTTGGAGCCAGGCAAACCTCAAACTTTCCCACAAGCACATAGAAAAGGATGTGTACTCTTGGTGTAAGTGCAAGAGACACAGTGGAAAATCTGGCTTTCTGCACTGTGGGGCTGAGACACACAGCATAGAGGCATGGTAAGCTTTTTCTTTTTACTCCATTTTTTAAACTGACAAATAAAAATTGCATATACTTGTTGTGTACAACATGGTATTTTGAAATATGTATAAGGATAAGGTTTTTTTTTCTATATAAATCTAAAGTAGAATTTGGCCATTTCACAGTGGAAAAGTGGAACCTCTTCGTGACATGTTGGTTGAAGTCTCATTTAACAGTATCAGTTCTTTCCCCCATCTCTGTAGTAGTCATAAATTTTCTATATTATGATAATAGTACAACAAAATAAAAGCAGCTGCTCTTATTATATTACCCAAATTTACTCTCACGCACTTTGTTCACTCTCTAGAGTACTTACTACCCTGTACTATTGAAGTGGGCATTTTCATTTTATTATTTGAAAAGACGAACTAAATGTGTCTACTCCCTTCACTTCCCATTCCCACTGCCCTAGATACTTGTGGAGAAACTGAAGTGAAATCTTACACTTATGCCTCCAAATCTCTCTCTCCCAGGAGGTAATTAACAGCATATCCAGTGGGACATCATTGAAGAGACACACCTGTGGCATACACCCTACAGGAGATTACAACAGAGGGAACCAAAGCTCCCAGAAGTTAACTAGTGCTTTTGTCCCTGGACTTCAAGACTTCACCTATAAAAATATAGCACAAGCTTGGCTTCCATTTATAAAGTGTAAGACCTTCATATTTTAAGCATATAAAACACTTAATGTTTCAATTATTAAGGATGATAGACTGCTTTCTGAGAATTTTTTAATATTATATTATAGATAATAGTTGTTTATCCATCAGTGCCCCAATAGACTTTGAACTTTTGAGGACCAGATGATATTTATCTTTGAATATTCAGCTTGCTATAGTGCCTAGCATATGAAAGGCAGTAAAATGTGTCCTGATCTACTGGCTGAATGAATACATGACTGAATGTAATCAATGTATAACTCAGCTACCTAAAGGCTTACTGTGAGGGTGAATTTTATGTGTCAACTTGACTGACCAACTGAGTGCCCAGATAATTTGGTTTAAACATGACCTCTGGATGTGTCTGTGAGGCCGTTTCTAAATGAGATTAACATTGGAATCAATAGGCTGAGTAAAGTAGATTGCTCTCTCCAAATGAGTGGTCTCCATCCAATGCACCGAAGGCTTGAATAGAAGAAAAGACTGAGTTTAAACAAAGTCCTTCTTTGTACTGACTGTCTTTGACCTGGGACATAGGTCATCTCTTGCCTCAGACTCAGACTTGAACTTTGACTGAAACTTACACTGTCAGCTCTCCTGGTTCACAGGTCTTCAAACCAGGGCTACAAATATACCATTGGTTCTTTTGGGTCTGGGCTTTGTAGCTTCAATAATTATGTGAGCCATTTTTTAATAATATCGAGTAGAAGAGATTATAATATTATATAAAAAATTAATAACATATATTAATAACATGTAATATTATCATATTAATAATACATAATATGTTATGATAATGTATTATATATCATATTATATAATTATTATATATGATATAATATATAATTCTATAATATATAATTCTATATAACATTTTAGATTGATATTACTGACTATATATTACTCTATTTATAGGACTATATATTACTACTATGTATAGTCCTATAGAATATATAGTCCTATATAAAGAGTAAGTCAGTAATATTAATACTAATTAGCAATATATAGTACTAAATATTACTAATATATAATCAATAATGTTAATCTATATATAGCATTTATAATAAATTATTAACATTCTTTTTGTTAGGCTAAAATAAATTTTTATTAAATGTTAGAAGAGATTTATACACCGTTCACAAATTCTTTACAAAGAATTGCCAATCCTTGTCCAATTTTGTGGTAGTCTCTATACAGATTTGGAAATTCTGCTGTGAAATAGGGTTTATAAGATATTCCTTTTAGAAAGCATCACAATGCTAATTTTAGGCAAAACAGTGTTTAAGACTGAAGTCTGCACAGAAGTGAAGTCAAACACCATTAGCCTTTATCCCAGTGACAAAATAATATAAAATAAACATTAAGCTGACTTACTAAGAAAACAATGAATAAATATTCTGTAAACTTCTCAAATTCACCTACAATTTTTGATTACTTTTAGAAGCAGTACTACTGCAAGATATCAACAACCACACTATGTACCCAAATAAAATGAGTGTTAAGAATAAAATATTATATAATTCTTTAATAGAATTATATAAGGTGTATATAAGTCCTGTTGTTTCTGATTCTCTGAAGAATTCTAATACTGTAACTTTATTGATTTGTTTGTAAACAGAATCATCCATAAGCTTATGTAATAAATTCATAACATTGTTTATTATTATATTGTGACTAATATTACAAACTCAGGCATGCCTATGTGTCTTTGAAAGATGATATTACAGTTGATGGCAATTTAATTGGAATTGCAGATCGAAGTCTTCATTTTTGGTTTCCTAGAAATTTGCTTTCTCACAAGTCACAGATTCAAGCCAATGTTTCTGAATCCTGTGGTGTTGCTGTGGTGGTTGCTCAGACACGCAGACCACTCACTTTCACTAAAACAGACAGGAAGGAAGAAAGTCGCAGTCCTTATCAACAAGAGGGCTACATCTCTATAAGACAGACTGAAACAAATCTGAGTAAGCAAGTGAACTCCTGTTGTTTAAGAGAGAGGTGTGCACGGTTTGCTTTGAAATTAATGATCCTCCCGCTTGGGGCAGGCTTGCTAGCACAATGGGCAGTGGTAGTGGTGTCAGCTGCCTCTAAGCTTACCCCATTATGCAGAGAGGGTTGGAAGAAGAAAAATAAAGTTCTTGGAAGGTAATGTGTTAGGCAACGCTTACGCACCAGGTTCTATATAAAGCATTTGAAAACACACTAATTTATGTAAGCCTTCTGATAACTTGAATTGTCTTTTTTTGCAAATTAGAAAAATGAGATTGAGAGAGATTAATTATATAATCTCATGGATCTGAGAAGAGAACAAGCCAGATTCAAATTCAAGGTTGATACCAAACGACAGATTCTTTCCACATCACCATTAAAGGGAGACAGGCAAGTGAAAGGGCCAAGGTACAACATTTAGAGTCAAAGACACCGAGGTTTAAATCCTGGCTCAACCAATTACTACCCAACGTATCTTTAGATAAGTTCTTGAGACACATCTTCTTCATCTGAAAATGCAAATAATGCTGTAAGTCATAGATCTGTTGGCAGAAAATAAGACATTTTCAAAGCACCATAAATACCAAATGATTTTGGCTTTAAAAGCGACCGCAGACTCAGCAATGACCTCAGCTGGACTGCTTTTCCCAGGTAGAGAGTATGCTGCCATGGAGTGACCTCATGCCTGATGCTCTAGCAGAGGCTGGTTGTGACAGAGTCAGTTTCTACACACCCCATGGTGTGTCAATAGCGCTGCTGTTGAAAGGAACATATTTGCAGGGGAATCTTGCCAAGAAGCAAACATTACAGTTTGTGCTCCTTGAAAACTGTAAAAATAAGATTAGATTAAAAGGACTCCAGGGGTTGTTTGGATCTCAGGAGGGAATGGAAGTTTGTAAGTATTTGAATGACTTAGTACATGTTCCACTATTGTCTTCTAAGACCTCTAAGGCTCCCTTTACCCCCATTGTCTTGATATCTTTTAGGATATCATAATAGGTGACCTACTTATTCATAAGTAATAATTTTTTTGTGTGTATACACAAAACTCTCTCCTCCAAAATTTATACATGTTATGAAATATCAAGGGAAATCTGGTGGAGGGAGAAGGAAACAACAGAGAAATTACAGAAAATTTTTACTAGTTTGTGGATATTTAAAGAATGGGCACATTCTTTGTCTTCTTTCATGTATCTTCACAGTGACTGATTTTTGAATTTTAAAATTATGACTAACAATGATTGGTAAATGTCCCTTTGAACATGATTGAATTTTATTGACTGCAGCTTCAAGCTACAATTCAGTAAACTGTTTCGGTAGCCAAGACTTCTTATTCCTAGGAGGTGTCACTTCTAGGAAATATAAACGGGAAAGCCAAGCCTCGTAAAGAAAAAAGAAAGAAAATACTAAAATATAAACTGCTCAAACATTAGATGCGATGAGAAGAAATCTTCCAGAAACTATCTCTTCTTTCACTGAATACTGATGGAACTAAATGTCTGTCTTACTCAATTACCAAATTATTTCAATTTAAATCCTCCATTATATTCAGAAAAAATATTAACATTGGTTATTCATGTAAACCTCACAACACCGTGAGAGCTTTTATTAACTCCCTTCTATGGATGAGGAATATGTGGTTCAGAGATTTTTAAAGATTTACCAAATCTACACTGGCAATAAATGTAAGGTTACAAACAGGCTTGTCAGTTTCCTAATTGCAAGTTCCCTTTCTTATTCCATGCCACCACCGTTCTGTTGTAGGATCTCTCTTATTTGTGCTTGTTTCATTTCCTTATTTAGATTCTAAGCTCTCAGAAAGTAGGCCAAGTCTTCACTTTTGTTGTATCCTCCCAATTGTCCAAAGTGATTGGTTCATGAGTATCTGTTGACTGATCTGTTTGATTAAAAAAAAGTCTTGCTATTTTCATGGTACAGACACATGTTTTGTTAGATTCGTACCTAAGTATTTCATTTCCTTTAGAACAGTTGTAAATGGTCTTGTGTGTTTAATTTCAGTTCCACATGTTTGTTTTTATTATAAAGAAATATAATTGAATTTTATGTTTTGATCTTGTATCCTATGACCCTGTTGAATTACCGTAGTTCTAGGAGGTTTATTTGTAGGGGAGTAGATTCCTTGGGATTTTCTATGTAAAAAATCATGTTATTCACCAGTAGTGACAGTTTTATTTCTCCCTTTCCCATCTGTATGCATTTTATTTCTTTGCCTTCCTTATTCCAATGGCTAGAACTTTCAGTACTTTGTTGAGTAAGAGTGATGACAGCAGGTGTCATTGCCTTGTTCCTAATCTTCAAGGACAGCTTCCTATTTTTCACCATTAAGATCGATGTTAGCTGTAGGAATTTTGCAGATTCTCTTCATAAACTTTAGGAAGTTCCCTTCAATTCCTAGTTTGCAATTATTTTTTTTCTACCATGAAATGGTGTTAGATTCTCTCAAATCCTTTTCCTGCATCAATTAATGTTATATTATTTTTCTTTTTAGCCTATTATTATGGCAGTATACATTGATAGATTTGTGAATGTTGACGGAGGCTTCATATTTAGAGAAAATCCCACTTAGTCATGGTGCATAATTCTTTTCATGCATTGCTGTATTTGGTTTGCTAATATTTTAAAGCATTTTGGGTCTAAGTGTATGAGATGTTGGTTGGTAGTTTTTGTTTCTTTTTTGACCATCTTTGTCTGCTTTTGATAATACTAGCCTTATTAAATGAAATGAGAAGTATTCCTACAGTTGATGATTTGTTGATTTGTATTCCCCTTCTCCTTCTCTCTATCAGTCTTATTGGATGTTAATCAATGCTGTTATTTTCAAGAACTGGATTTTTCCTTCATTGCTTTATTATTTTCATGTTTTAACATCATTGGTTTCTGTTCTTATTTTTATTTCCTTCCTTCTGTTTCTTTTGGGTTCATTGTGCTCTTCCTTTTTTTCTTCCTTTTTTTTTAGTTTTTTTTTTTCAGGTAGGAACTTAGATTATTTATTTGAGATATCTCCTCATTCTAATGTAAGGATTTAGTATTATAAAATTACCATTCAACATTGTTTTACCTGCATCCCACATGTTTTGATAGTTGCACTTTTACTTTCATTCAGTGCTATGTGTTAACTGTTAATAGTTCCATTGAGATTTCTTTTTTGGTTATTTAGAACTGTGTCATTTAATTTATAAGTATATAGAGATTTTCCTGTAATCTTTCTGTTACTGACTTCTAGTTTGATTCCATCATGGTCAGATAATGTACTGAGTGTTGTTCAATTATTTTAAATATATTGAGGCTTGTTTTATGACTCAAGATATTGTCTATCCTGATGAACATTCCATTGGAGTGTAGAAAAAAAGTGTATTCTGTTTTTGTTGGATGGAGTATTCTACATATGCTAAGTAATTGATGTTGACTGACTCTTTTTTTCAGATCTTCTATATTCATGCTAATTATCTGTCTAATAATTCTCTAAGTTGTGGAGCAAGAGGTGTTGAGGTCCACCAGCTACTATTGTAGACTTTTCTGTATTTCTTTTCAGCTCCATCAATTACTGCTTCATGTACTTTTGAGGCTCCATTGTTTAGGGCATACACATTTAGGATCATTATGTTTTCCCAGTGGATTATTTTTTTATTTTATCATTTTATTTTATTTTATTATTATTATACTTTAAGTTTTAGGGTACATGTGCACAATGTGCAGGTTAGTTACATATGTATACATGTGCCATGCTGGTGTGCTGCACCCATTAACTCGTCATTTGGCATTAGGTATATCTCCTAATGCTATCCCTCCCCCCTCCCTCCACCCCACAACAGTCACCAGAGTGTGATGTTCCCCTTCCTGTGTCCATGTGTTCTCATTGTTCAATTCCTACCTATGAGTGAGAACATGCGGTGTTTGGTTTTTTGTTCTTGCGAGAGTTTACTGAGAATGATGATTTCCAATTTCATCCATGTCCCTACAAAGGACATGAACTCATCATTTTTATGGCTGCATAGTATTCCATGGTGTATATGTGCCACATTTTCTTAATCTAGTCTATCATTGTTGGACATTGGGGTTGGTTCCAAGTCTTTGCTATTGTGAATAGTGCCACAATAAACATACGTGTGCATGTGTATTTATAGCAGCATGATTTATAGTCCTTTGGGTATATACCCAGTAATGGGATGGCTGGGTCAAATGGTATTTCTAGTTCTAGATCCCTGAGGAATCGCCATACTGACTTCCACAAGGGTTGAACTAGTTTACAGTCCCACCAACAGCGTAAAAGTGTTCCTATTTCTCCACATCCTCTCCAGCACCTGTTGTTTCCTGACTTTTTAATGATTGCCATTCTAACTGGTGTGAGATGGTATCTCATTGTGCTTTTGATTTGCATTTCTCTGATGGCCAGTGATGGTGAGCATTTTTTCATGTGTTTTTTGGCTGCATAAATGTCTTCTTTCGAGAAGTGTCTGTTCATGTCCTTCATCCACTTTTTGATGGGGTTGTTTTTTTCTTGTAAATTTGTTTGAGTTCATTGTAGATTCTGGATATTAGCCCTTTGTCAGATGAGTAGGTTGTAAAAATTTTCTCCCATTTTGTAGGTTGCCTGTTCACTCTGATGGTAGTTTCTTTTGCTGTGCAGATGCTCTTTAGTTTAATTAGATCCCATTTGTCAATTTTGTCTTTTGTTGCCATTGCTTTTGGTGTTTTAGACATGAAGTCCTTGCCCATGCCTATGTCCTGAATGGTAATGCCTAGGTTTTCTTCTAAGGTTTGTATGGTTTTAGGTCTAACGTTTAAGTCTTTAATCCATCTTGAATTAATTTTTGTATAAGGTGTAAGGAAGGGATCCAGTTTCAGCTTTCTACATATGACTAGCCAGTTTTCCCAGCACCATTTATTAAATAGGGAATCCCTTCCCCATTTCTTGTTTTTGTCAGGTTTGTCAAAGATCAGATAGTTGTAGATATGCGGCATTATTTCTGAGGGCTCTGTTCTGTTCCATTGATCTATATCTCTGTTTTGGTACCAGTACCATGCTGTTTTGGTTACTGTAGCCTTGTAGTATAGTTTGAAGTCAGGTAGCATGATGCCTCCAGCTTTGTTCTTTTGGCTTAGGATTGACTTGGGGATGCGGACTCTTTTTTGGTTCCATATGAACTTTAAAGTAGTTTTTTCCAATTCTGTGAAGAAAGTCATTGGTAGCTTGATGGGGATGGCATTGAATCTATAAATTACCTTGGGCAGTATGGCCATTTTCATGATATTGATTCTTCCTACCCATGAGGATGGAATGTTCTTCCATTTCTTTGTATCCTCTTTTATTTCATTGAGCAATGGTTTGTAGTTCTCCTTGAAGAGGTCCTTCACATCCCTTGTAAGTTGGATTCCTAGGTATTTTATTCTCTTTAAAGCAATTGTGAATGGGAGTTCACTCATGATTTGGCTCTCTGTTTGTCTGTTATTGGTGTATAAGAATGCTTGTGATTTTTGTACATTGAATTTGTATCCTGAGACTTTGCTGAAGTTGCTTATCAGCTTAAGGAGATTTTGGGCTGAGACAATGGGGTTTTCTAGATTTACAATCATGTCATCTGCAAACAGGGACAATTTGACTTCCTCTTTTTCTATTTGAATACCCTTTATTTCCTTCTCCTGCCTAATTGCCCTGGCCAGATCTTCCAACACTATGTTGAATAGGAGTGGTGAGAGAGGGCATCCCTGTCTTGTGCCAGTTTTCAAAGGGAATGCTTCCAGTTTTTGCCCATTCAGTATGATATTGGCTGTGGGTTTGTTATAGACAGCTCTTATTATTTTGAGATATGTCCCATCAATACCTAATTTATTGAGAGTTTTTAGCATGAAGGGTGTTGAATTTTGTCAAAGGCCTTTTCTGCATCTATTGAGATAATCATGTGGTTTTTGTCTTTGGTTCTGTTTATATGCTGGATTACATTTATTGATTTGCATATATTGAACCAGGCTTACATCCCAGGGATGAAGCCCACTTGATCATGGTGGATAAGCTTTTTGATGTGCTGCTGGATTCGGTTTGCCAGTATTTTATTGAAGATTTTTGCATCAATGTTCATCAAGGATATTGGTCTAAAATTCTCTTTTTTGGTTGTGTCTCTGCCCGGCTTCGGTATCAGGATGATGCTGGCCTCATAAAATGAGTTAGGGAGGATTCCCTCTTTTTCTATTGATTGGAATAGTTTCAGAAGGAATGGTACCAGTTCCTCCTTGTACCTCTGGGAGAATTCGGCTGTGAATCCATCTGGTCCTGGACTCTTTCTGGTTGGTAAGCTATTGATTATTGCCACAATTTCAGAGCCTGTTATTGGTCTATTCAGAGAGTCAACTTCTTCCTGGTTTAGTCTTGGGAGGGTGTATGTGTCCAGGAATTTATCCATTTCTTCTAGATTTTCTAGTTTATTTGCATAGAGGTGTTTGTAGTATTCTCTGATGGTAGTTTGTATTTCTGTGGGATTGGTGGTGATATCCCCTTTATCATTTTTTATTGCGTCTATTTGATTCTTCTCTCTTTTCTTCTTTATGAGTCTTGCTAGCGGTCTATCAATTTTGTTGATCCTTT
This sequence comes from Homo sapiens, assembly GCF_000001405.40. Lineage (NCBI taxonomy): Eukaryota > Metazoa > Chordata > Mammalia > Primates > Hominidae > Homo > Homo sapiens. The sequence continues at coordinate 121,421,100 of NC_000008.11, read as the reverse complement.
CAAAAAACCAGCTCCTGGATTCATTACTTTTTTGAAGGTTTTTTTTTTTGTCTCTATTTCCTTCAGTTCTGCTCTGATTTTAGTTATTTCTTGCCTTCTGCTAGCTTTTGAATGTGTTTGCTCTTGCTTTTCTAGTTCTTTTAATTGTGATGTTAGGGTGTCAATTTTGGATCTTTCCTGCTTTCTCTTGTGGGCATTTAGTGCTATAAATTTCCCTCTACACACTGCTTTGAATGCGTCCCAGAGATTCTGGTATGTTGTGTCTTCGTTCTCGTTGGTTTCGAAGAACATCTTTATTTCTGCCTTCATTTCGTTATGTACCCAGTAGTCATTCAGGAGCAGGTTGTTCAGTTTCCATGTAGTTGAGTGGTTTTGAGGGAGTTTCTTAATCCTGAGTTCTAGTTTGATTGCACTGTGGTCTGAGAGACAGTTTGTTATAATTTCTGTTCTTTTACATTTGCTGAGGAGAACTTTACTTCCAACTATGTGGTCAAGTTTGGAATAGGTGTGGTGTGGTGCTGAAAAGAATGTATATTCTGTTGATTTGGGGTGGAGAGTTCTGTAGATGTCTATTAGGTCCGCTTGGTGCAGAGCTGAGTTCAATTCCTGGGTATCCTTGTTAACTTTCTGTCTCATTGATCTGTCTAATGTTGACAGTGGGGTGTTAAAGTCTCCCATTATTATTGTGTGTGAGTCTAAGTTTCTTTGTAGGTCACTCAGGACTTGCTTTATGAATCTGGGTGCTCCTGTATTGGGTGCATATATATTTAGTATAGTTAGCTCTTCTTGTTGAATTGATCCCTTTACCATTATGTAATGGCCTTCTTTGTCTCTTTTGATCTTTGTTGGTTTAAAGTCTATTTTATCAGAGACTAGGATTGCAACCCCTCCCTTTTTTTGTTTTCCATTTGCTTAGTAGATCTTCCTCCATCCTTTTATTTTGAGCCTATGTGTGCCTCTGCACGTGAGATGGGTTTCCTGAATACAGCACACTGATGGGTCTTGACTCTTTATCCAATTTGCCAGTCTGTGTCTTTTAATTGGAGCATTTAGTCCATTTACATTTAAAGTTAATATTGTTATATGTGAATTTGATCCTGTCATTATGAAGTTAGCTGGTTATTTTGCTCGTTAGTTGATGCAGTTTCTTCCTAGCCTCAATGGTCTTTACAATTTGGCATGATTTTGCAGTGGCTGGTACTGGTTGTTCCTTTCCATGTTTAGTGCTTCCTTCAGGAGCTCTTTTAGGGCAGGCCTGGTGGTGACAAAATCTCTCAGCATTTTCTTGTCTGTAAAGTATTTTATTTCTCCTTCACTTATGAAGCTTAGTTTGGCTGGATATGAAATTCTGGGTTGAAAATTCTTGTCTTTAAGAATGTTGAATATTGGCCCCCACTCTCTTCTGGCTTGTAGAGTTTCTGCCGAGAGATCCGCTGTTAGTCTGATGGGCTTCCCTTTGAGGGTAACCCGACCTTTCTCTCTGGCTGCCCTTAACATTTTTCCTTCATTTCAACTTTGGTGAATCTGACAATTATGTGTCTTGGAGTTGCTCTTCTCGAGGAGTATCTTTGTGGTGTTCTCTGTATTTCCTGAATCTGAATGTTGGCCTGCCTTGCTAGATTGGGGAAGTTCTCCTGGATAATATCCTGCAGAGTGTTTTCCAACTTGGTTCCATTCTCCCCGTCACTTTCAGGTACACCAATCAGACATAGATTTGGTCTTTTCACATAGTCCCATATTTCTTGGAGGCTTTGTTCATTTCTTTTTATTCTTTTTTCTCTAAACTTCCCTTCTCACTTCACTTCATTCATTTCATCTTCCATCACTGATACCCTTTCTTCCAGTTGATCGCATCGGCTCCTGAGGCTTCTGCATTCTTCAAGTAGTTCTCAAGCCTTGGCTTTCAGCTCCATCAGCTCCTTTCAGCTCTTCTCTGTATTGGTTATTCTAGTTATACATACGTCTAAATTTTTTTCAAAAAGTTTTCAACTTCTTTGCCTTTGGTTTGAATTTCCTCCTGTAGCTCGGAGTAGTTTGATCGTCTGAAGCCTTCTTCTCTCAACTCGTGAAAGTCATTCTCCGTCCAGCTTTGTTCCATTGCTCGTGAGGAGCTGCGTTCCTTTGGAGGAGGAGAGGCACTCTGCTTTTTAGAGTTTCCAGTTTTTCTGCTCTGTTTTTTCCCGATCTTTGTGGTTTTATCTACTTTTGGTCTTTGATGATGGTGATGTACAGATGGGTTTTTGGTGTGGATGTCCTTTCTGTTTGTTAGTTTTCCTTCTAACAGACAGGACCCTCAGCTGCAGGTCTGTTGGAGTTTGCTAGAGGTCCACTCCAGACCCTGTTTGCCTGGGTACCAGCAGCGGTGGCTGCAGAACAGTGGATTTTCGTGAACCGCGAATGCTGCTGTCTGATCATTCCTCTGGAAGTTTTTGTCTCAGAAGAGTACCCGGCCGTGTGAGGTGTCAGTCTGCCCCAACTGGGGGGTGCCTCCCAGTTAGGCTGCTTGGGGGTCAGGGGTCAGGGACCCACTTGAGGAGGCAGTCTGCCCGTTCTCAGATCTCCAGCTGCGTGCTGGGAGAACCACTGCTCTCTTCAAAGCTGTCAGACAGGGACATTTAAGTCTGCAGAGTTTACTGCTGTCTTTTTGTTTGTCTGTACCCTGCCCCCAGAGGTGGATCCTACAGAGGCAGGCAGGCCTCCTTGAGCTGTGGTGGGCTCCACCCAGTTCGAGCTTCCCAGCTGCTTTGTTTACCTAAGCAAGCCTGGGCAATGGCGGGCACCCCTCCCCCAGCCTTGCTGCCACCTTGCAGTTTGATCTCAGACTGCTGTGCTAGCAGTCAGCGAGACTCCGAGACTCCATGGGCATAGGACCCTCTGAGCCAGGTGCGCGATATAATCTCCTGGTGCGCCGTTTTTTAAGCCCGTTGGAAAAGCGCAGTATTAGGGTGGGAGTGACCCGATTTTCCAGGTGCGGTCTGTCACTCCTTTCTTTGACTAGGAAAGGGAACTCCCTGACCCCTTGCGCTTCCCGAGTGAGGCAATGCCTCGCCCTGCTTCAGCTCGCATACGGTGCACTGCACCCACTGTCCTGCACCCACTGTCTGGCACTCCCTAGTGAGATGAACCCGGTACCTCAGATGGAAATACAGAAATCACCCATCTTCTGCATCGCTCATGCTGGGAGCTGTAGACCGGAGCTGTTCCTATTCAGCCATCTTGGCTCCCGCCCCCAGTGGATTATTTCTGTTATCACTGTGTGATGGTTGTCTTTGTCTATAGCATTTTTTTTGGTTCTGAGTCTACTTTATCTGATATATTTATAGCCACTCCTGCTTTCTTTGATGAATGTTTGCATGATATATCTTTTTTCATCCATCCTTTGTCTTCAACCTACCTATGTCATTGAATTTGAAGTGAGAACCTTTTAAACAGAATATAGTTTGGGGTCAAGTTTTTTTTAATCCACTCTCTTTTATCCCCTTTCCTTTACCCTGTAATTGGCATATGTGGACTATTTACATTTACATTGATGTATTAGGGCTCAAGTCTGCTATTTTACTATTTGCTTTCTTTCTGTTTCTTATTCCTTTATTCCTGCCTTGTCTTTTGTTGCTGAGAAATTCCTGTAAATGACCAAAATATTTTTTGAATCCCACTTAATCTGTTTATCTTATTTTTTAGTGTATTGCTTTGTGGTTGATTTTCTTGGTAGTTGCTCTGGGTATTACAATATGCCTATGTGACTTTGAATAAAGTATGAAAACCTTACATCTATTCAGGTACTTTTACCCTCCCATTTTAAAATATCACTGTTTTGAGTGTTACATGGTGCTATAATGTTTGTTTCAATCATCACATATGATCTGGAAAATTCATGAGGGAAAGGGTAGTCTATTGTGCTTACTCATATTTCTCAACTTTCTGTTATTCTTTCTTCATTCTAGATGCTCCAAATTATTTCTTTTCTCATTTTTTTGTTTGAAGAATTTTCTTTTGTCATTTTTTTAAGGGTAGGTCTGCTAGTGACAATTTTTTTTTTTAGTTTTTATTCATCTGAGAATAATTTCATTTACTCTTCATTGTTGAAGGACATGTTTTCTTGGATATAAAATTCTCAGTTCACAGGAGTTTTGGGTTTGTTTTTTTCAGAAGTGGAAAAATATTGTGTCAATGCCTGCTGGCCTCTATCAGTTCAGAGGAGAAATCTGCTGTCACTTGAATTGGTGTTCCCTTATAGACAATATGTTGTTTTTCTCTGGTTACTTTTAATTTTATTTCATTGCTTTTAGTTTTCAGAAATTTAATTATGATGTGTCTTGATGCTTCTTCAGATTTATCCTCTTTGGAGCTGTTTTTAGTCTTACCATTTCCATTTAATTCTTTATTATAACATAAATATTTGCTGAGATTTTATTACTCTTTTATGTGTTTAAGAGAATTAGTAACTGCTTGTTGAAACATTTTCATAAGGGGTGCTTTGAAATCCAAGTCAGATAATTTCAACATCTGATTTTTCTCACTATTTAATGTTATTTGATTGTGTTTTCTTATTAGGATTAGATTTTCCTGGTGCTTGATATAATGAGTAATGTCTTGGAACAGTTAAGCTACTATATATGTTAGGGGACTCTGTTAAAATTTTCATTTAGCAGTTAGTCACCCTGTTTTGGTTTAGCACATAAGCCCTGTTCTACTTTGTGAGCTATGGTTTCACGACAGCCTAATTTTCAGAGTCTTCTTGGTGCTATTTTGGTCTGCTTGTTTTATCCAGTGCCACTGTGGCTCCTACTGGTCCTTGCTGCTTTAGGAGAAGTTACTGGAAGTTACTGCTGCTTGGGCTGCCTGATGCCTCTAGGTTGAGGAAGGGAGTTTCTGTCCTGCAGGAACAAAGAGCCATTCCCAAGTGGGGTACTTGTTTTTGCTGACTCCCCATACTTGTGGGAGAAGAAAAATGTGTTTCCCAAGCTAGGGACATTTGTTGTGGCATAATTCCCATTGTTGATGCCCCTGGCTACAGAGTTCCTCTGGTTTGGGGAAGAGGTGTCAGGTCCAAGAGGAAGAAGTGTGCTTCCCAATGGCTGCTTATTGTCAGTGGAGCTTCCCATTCAGTCTCCTTGCCAGTTCTTCTAGATTCACCTGGTGTAGTTGGCAGAACTTGTATTCAGTAGGGTAAGAAACAGGCCTATCTCAACCACCTTGTGTTGCTATGTCGGTGGTTGTGAAATGTCCCGCCTGGATCACCTTCTGATATCATTTGGACAATTGCCCAAATTTCATGTTGAAATGTAATCCCTAAAGTGGAAGGTGGGGCCTGGTCAAAGGTGTTTGGAAAATGGGGCAGATCCCTCATGACTAGCCTGGGCCATCCCCTTGGTGATAAGTGAGCTCTCGCTCTAAATTCACGTGGAATTTGGTGATTTAAAAGTGTGTAGCATCTCCCCGTGAACTCTCTCTCTTACTTGCTCCAGTTCTCACCATATGATGTACCTGCTACCCCTTTGCCTTCTGCCATGAATGGAAGCTTCCTGAGGCCTCCTCAGAAACAGATGCCACTATGCTTCCTGTAAAGCCTGCAGAGCCTTGAGCCAATGAAACCTATTTTCTTATAAATTACCCAGCCTCAGGTATTTCTGAGGCTGGTTATAGGACACTCTTCTGTGGTGCTGTTTTTCTCGTGCTGGGATCCCTACCCAGACTGTGCTCTCCTTTCCACCTTTGAAAATTCTCCTTTGGTGTCTCTTGCATTATTTTCTGGATTTAGGGTTGTACTTAATGGGGAAAAACAGAAAGAGACAAGTCTATGCTATCTTAACATATAGCTTTATCTATGCTATATGTTAAGACTGGAAGTCTCACCTTCATTTTTAAAAACTTATTTTCACTGATGACGCACATTTAGAATTTTATCGATTCTGACCAGAAGTCTGCTGCCATTCTTATCTTTGTCCTCTGTATGTTTAGCATGTCTTTTTTCCTCTGACTAATTTAAGACGGGTTGTTTATAACGAATTTTAAGTAACTTGATAATGATGTGCTTTGGTGCAGTTTTCTTCACGTTTCTTGTGATTGGAATTCATTGAATTTCTTGGATCTGTGGATTTTTACTTTTCATCGAATTTTGAGAAATTGTGGCCCCCTATGTATTTAAACAAATTTTCTGGTCTCCTTCACAGTCTCTTTGGGAACTACAATTACATTTTTGAGAGCCTGCTTGCAGTTGTCCCACATTTCACTAATGGCTTGTATTTTTGTTTGTGTTTCAGTCTCTACTTCTCTTTGTGTTTCATTTTTGATAGTCTATACTGTTGTATTTTTACATTCATTAATCTTCTCCTTATGGTGTCTAAATACTTAATTCCATCCTGTATATCATTCATCTTAGTCACTGTATATTTTATGTATGTGTAGAATTTCTATTTGAATCTTTTATATCATTAATGTATCTCCTTAACATGTTCATAATTTTCTCTGCTTTCTTAAACATATGAAATATATTTGGCCGGGTGCAGTGGCTCACACCTGTAATCCCAGCACTTTGGGAGGCTGAGGCGGGCAGATCATGAGGTCAGGAGATCGAGACCATTCTGGGTAACACGGTGAAACCCCGTCTCTACTAAGAATACAAAAAAAAAAAAAAAATCAGATGGGCATAGTGGCAGGCGCCTGTAGTCCCAGTTACTTGGGAGGCTGAGGCAGGAGAATGGCATGAACCTGGGGAGGAGGAGCTTTCGGTAAGCCCAGATCAGGCCACTGCACTCCAGCCTGGGTGACACAGCAAGACTCCATCTCAAAAAAAAAAAAAAAAAAAAGACATATATTCACAATAACTGTTTCAATCTCCTTATCCACTAATTTTATCATCTGTATAATTTTGGGGTATGTTTCTATTGGTTGAACTTTTCTCTTGCTATGGGTTCTAATTTTTTTTTTTCTGCTTCTGTGGATATCTAGTCATTTTTACTGATACATTTTACTTTGCTGGGAACTAAGTTTCGCACGAGCTTCTGTCTTTTTGAACTTTGTTCTGGGACACAGTTAAGTTACTTAAAATATTTTATTTCTTTGTTAGGTAGAAACAGAGCAGCCTTAGGTCCATGACTAATTTTGTCCCAACTACTGAGACGACATTTCTGAGTACCCTACGTGATGCCTATTAATTATAAATGGCTTTTCCACATTACCTACCGAAAACTTGAAATATCCTTGATCCCATTTGGACTCCAGGGACTGTTTCTTTTAATTTTACCTGTGGTTCTTTCCCCAGTTGTTGGTAGTTTCCTTACACTTAAGCAATGATCAGCACTAAACTGAAGACTCAAATAACTCTGCAAATTTCTGATTCTCTATCTCTCCGCAACTCTCTCTTTACTGGTACTCTGCCCTGTGAATTTTAGGTACTTTATCCTGTGCTCTGAACTGTATTTAACCCAAGAAGACTTAATTCCAGTGCCTGTTTGGACACCCTTTCTTCCTGCATTCACTGGAAACTCTCCCATACATTAGAAAGGTAAGTTAGAGATGGTTCTCGTAGCCTCCCTTAAAGAGGAACAAGAAACTTGCCAAATAAATGGAGTGAACAAACTGCTCGACATTGCACAAATCTCATCTAGGACTTGTGGTTAAATTATCCCACAACAGGGATGAAGAAGAGCAGAAGAGAAAATACCCAAACTCATGCAAGTGGAGAAACTCATGATTAGGTTGACCTCTGTTTATTGTGATAGTAGAAGATACACCACTGGGTGGGAAGTTGAGATGCTAACGAGTCACATGATATATGTGCTAGCATGTACAGTCATTGCACATGTGCACTCAGGAGACCACCCACAACATGCTTAACAGCAATGCCCATCATCACCTTCTTATGAATAATCATATAAGCTTCCCATAAAGGAAATTTCCCCAGTGGCAGACGTGGCTGTCTCATTCTCCAGCAGCCTGCTCTGACCCACCTATCAGAGTATATTTTTGCTTTGCAATAAGCTCTTTCCCCTACTCTTACTTTGGACTCTCAAATTGTTTTTTGCAGCAAAGTCAAGAACCTGGACCAGCCTAAGGTACAAGATTAGGGCAATCAGCAGTCACCTTGTTTGTTTCCCTTTTTCCAGGGATCATTGTTCTGCGCAGCCTGCTGTAGGTCTGAAAATCATTCTTTTGTCTATCTTGACTATTTTCATAGTTGTTTAAGATAGAGGAAAAATATAGTTTCAGGTTTTTCTCATCCTGGTTGGATCTGGAAGTCCATTACTCTATATATGAATGGCATTGTGATGTTAAAAGTTGCATTCTGGTTATTATTTAATTGCTAAAATAGTTGGTTTCTTTTATTAATAAAATTAACAATATATTTTCTCTTTAACAGTGTTTTTAATGATGAAATAAGATACTCTTGTAAATTGCTAACCATTGTGTCTGATGTTTCAGTAAGAAGTAGACTTCATTCTGACACCAACAGGGACTATCTTTGTAATTTATTGTACACATAAAAATAACTAAAGTATAATTGGAATGTTTGTAACACGAAGAAATGATCCATGTTTGGCCGGGCGCAGTGGCTCACACCTGTAATCCCAGCACTTTGGGAGGCCGAGGTGGGCGGATCACAAGGTCAGGAGATCGAGACCATCCTGGCTAATGGTGAAACCCCGTCTCTACTAAAAATACAAATAATTAGCTGGGTGTGGTGGCGGGCACCTGTAGTCCCAGCTACTCGGGAGGCTGAGGCAGGAGAATGGTGTGAACCCGGGAGGCGGAGCTTGCAGTGAGCCGAGATCGTGCCACTGGACTCCAGCCCGGGCAGCAGTGCGAGACTCCTTCTCAGAAAAAAAAAAAAAAAAAAAAAAAAAGAAATTATGGTGGATGTTTGAAAGTCCACATAATCAAGTGGTTAAGATCGAACTCTGTTCAAGCAACCCAATAAGAAAATGTTAACTAATGTCAACGTTTTTCTGTGTCTCATTATAAATGAGCAAAAAATCTGAATAGATGTTTCTCAATAGAAGACATACAAATGGCAAACAGGTATATGAAAAGGTGCTCAACATCATGGATCATCAGAGAAAGGCAAATCAAAATTAAAATGAGATAACATCTCACCCCAGTAAAAATGACCTTTATCTAAAAGATAGACAATAATGAATGCTAGAGAGGATCTTGAGAAAAGGGAAGCTTCATATACTGTTGGTAGGAATGTAAATTAGTGTAGCCACTAGAGAGAACAGTATGAATGTTTCTCAAAAAACTAAAAATAAAACTACCATATGATCCAGTAATCCCACTGCTAGGTATAGACCCAAAAGAAAGGAAACAGTATATCAAAGAGATATCTGCAGTGCCCTCTCTATTGCAGCACTGTTCAGAATAGCCAAGACCTAGAAGCAACATAAGTGTACATCAACAGATGAATGGGGCGGGGCATGGTGGCTCACGCCTGTAATCCCTGCACTTTGGGAGGCCGAGGCGGACGGATCACGAGGTCAGGAGATCGAGACCATCCTGGCTAACACGGTGAAACCCCGTCTCTACTAAAAATACAAAAAATTAGCCGGGCGTGGTGGCGGGCACCTGTCGTCCCAGCTACTCAGGAGGCTGAGGCAGGAGAATGGCGTGAACCCAGGAGGCAGAGCTTGCAGTGAGCCGAGATCATGCCACTACACTCCAGCCTGGGCAACACAGTGAGACTCCGTCAAAAAAACAAAACAAAACAGATGAATGGATATGTAGTACATATATACGTAACGGAGTACCAATCAGCCATTAAAAAGTGAGATCCGGGCCAGGTGCGGTGGTTCACGCCTGTAATCCCAGCACTTTGGGTGGCTGAGACGGGTGGATCACGAGGTCAGAAGTTCGAGACCAGCCTGACCAACATGGTGAAACCCTGTCTCTACTAAAAATACAAAAATTAGCCAGGCGTGGTGGCGTGCGCCTGTAATCCCAGCTACTTGGGAGGCTGAGGCAGAAGAATCGCTTGAACTTGGGAGGTGGAGGTTGCAGTGAGCCGAGATCGCACCATTGCACTCCAGCCTGGCGACACAGCGAGACTCTTATCTAAAGAAAAAAAGTGAGATCCTGTCATGTACAACAACGTGGAGGAAACTGGATGACATTATGCTCTGTGAGATAAACCAGGAACAGAAGACAAACTTTGCATGTTCTCACTCATTTGTGGGAGCTAAACATTAAAACAGTTGAACTCATCATGATAGAGAGTACAAGGATGGTTAACAGAGGCTGGGAAGGGTAGTGGGGGCAGTGGAGTGGGGATGGTTAATGGGCATAAAAGTATAGTTAGATAAAATGGGTAAGATCTAGTCTTTGATAGCACAACAGGGTGACTACCTTCAACAATAATTTTTTTGTACATTTTTAAATAACTAAATGAGTGTAACTGGAATGTTTGTAACACAAAGAAATGATACGTTTTTGAGGTAATGAATACCCTATTTACCCTGAGTGATTATTATGCATTGTATGCCTGTAACAAAATATCTTATGTACATCATAAATATATATACCTACTATGTACCCATAATTTTTCTTTTAAAGATTGAGCTCTGGAGTCAGATTATATAGGCCCATGTTTTACTAGTTGGGTGACTTTGTACAAATTGCTTGATTTCTGTCTCAGTTTTCTCACCTGTAAATAAAAATAGCATTAGTTTCCATTTCATAGGATTGCTTTAACAGTAAGAATTATTATAGTTTCTGTACCTTGAACATTTCTTACACATAGGAAGAGATGAATAAGACGAGACACCCAAGGCTTAGAAAAGTCAAGCAACTCGCCCATGGTAACACACTTAGGGAGTGGAGGAAGTAGGCCTTGCACCCAGTTTTATTTGATTCCAAAGCCTGTGTTCTTTTTATTATTTTAGCAATTTTCAAACCTGAGTAATTAACAGATACCTTTTAAAAGAAACAAAAGTTATGTTTAATAAATACCAGTGTTGCCTTAAATGATTATTAGCATGTTGCTAAAATATGTGCAAATCAAAACCTGCTTATAACTCCTTATGCATGTAAATGACTTAAGCTATAACATTCAAACACATTTACTAATTCAATGCAGGTGAAAGATGCAACACAGTTAAATTCAGTTTTCTAACATTTATTTAATGTGATGGATGTTGTTGTTCTCTTGAAACTAAAAACCACTCACAAGTGAACATCATACTCACAGCTAAGGTTCAAGTTCTCTTGTGGTCATCATACCCATACATCTGTGTGCCATGAGATCTGTCAATTTTTCCACCACTTTGCTCTGTTCCAACCACTGCAAAACCCTAACATGATGTCACTTGGCCCTCACTTAGCAGAAATTCACTGTTTACACAGTAATTCTTCCTCCATTTTTTTTTCACTTAAGCCAATGATAAAGTAGAACTACTTGGGTATAACATACTCAAAAAAACAAACCAAAACACTATGAAGATTCTCCCATATAAGGGCAATGATTGATTTTGAGATTGCCATCGGGTGGTCAAAAATGTGCTTATGTAAATAGTTTTAGTTTACCATTGATATGAAATTCCTAAATTGAAAAATCTCATGAACCTTTGGGAATACGCCTGGGGATCCCCAGAGGACCAAAGATCCTAGTTTAGGAAATTCTGAGTTGTTCTATCTTGGCCTAACTGCTGTCTCCTCCTGCCTGGAAGAAGCTTTAGCTTATTCCACACTTGAATTATTAATAAAATAATGCTTGTGTCATGATGCTACCAAGTGGAACTGGCTAGAAGGAGGTAAGAAGCAAGACTGAATTACCTTCTCAAACTTTTATTTTTATTTATTTATTTTTTTGAGATGGAGTCTCCCTCTGTTGTCCAGGCTGGATGGAGTGCAGTGGCACAATCTCGACTCACTGCAACTTCCATCTCCTGGGTTCAAGCGATTCTCCTGCCTCAGCCTCCTGAGTAGCTGGGATTACAGGTGCGCACCACCACGCCTGACTAATTTTTGCATTTTTAGTAGAGACGGGGTTTCACCATGTTGGCCAGGCTGGTCTCAAGCTCCTGACGTCAACTGATCCACCTGCCTGGGGCTCGTGAAGTGCTGGGATTACAGGCATGAGCCACCATACCTGGCCTCAAACTTTTATATGACAGAAGGTGACAATGTTATTTCTGAAAACGTAGAGTTAATGATGTTAGAAAGGAATGATTTTCATTTATGGTTTCAGAAAAAGGTAGTCATGAACATGGATGACTCTTATTTCACTCACTTCAAGGAGACAATCAATAACTGATGCTTATCTAGCATGTTTTCATTTACAGAGAGCTTTCCCTCACTTGATTATCTTCCGTCTTTAGCCACACACAGATGAAGACCCTTCTCAAAGCAATAACCATAACCTGGGGGTTCCTGTTTAAATTATGTGTTCTAAACTCTAAGTTCTCTACTTTCTGCTGTACACCAAACCATCTTCCACAAAGACTATTGCTGCATGAACTCTCACCTGAGCACAAACAGGAGAAAATGCACCGTATACTCTACGTCATCCTGAGTTTCTCCCTTAAACTAAAAATATTCTTTATTTGGAGGCAAGGATGCCTGCATTTTCACAAAAGTTGTAACAAAATGTTAGGAGCAGGGGGCTCTGGAATTACATTCCATGTTCATCATTTACCAGCTCTGTGACAGTGGGAAAGCAATGTAAACTCTCTATACTGCAGTATCCTCCTCTGTAAAATAAAGATGATAGTGACCTTCTCATGGATTTATTTTAAAGATTAAATGTGTGTGGGAGGCATGAAATCCTAGGTTACAATCCAAGTATCCAAGTGATGGATACACTAAAAGCCCACACTTCACTCCATTGCAAATATCCGTGTAACACAACTGCACTCATCCCACTAAATATATTTTAAAAATTAAAAAATTAAAAATGTATTCATACCCCCTCCCCACAAACAGTTTGCTATCATATCTCTGTGTAGCATTAATATGTTTACTCTTGGTCAGATACTGTCTTTCACATGTTTTACACATTAAAGCAATTAATCCTCATCTTTGCATTAATCTTTTTTTTCCCCATTTGACAGATGGGGAAACTAAGGGACAGAGTAATTAAGCGGGTTATCTATACTCACACAGCAGGTAAGTAATGGAGGTGGAATTTGAACCCTGACCCAAAGCCTGTGTTCCAGAGTCTGTGCTTATTGGAAGGCTGTATACTCTCTCCATGATTGTAAGCTTTTATTATTGTAAGGAGAGCAAGAAATTCTCTTTAGTCTTCACATCTTGCCATATTTTCTCAACCGCTGTGGCCACGTTTTCAGAACTTCATCAGTTCTTTTTTTGAATACTGCAATATCACTCAAACTTCTTACTCTGCCTGTAGGTTGAGCCCCATTTGATGCATTCTCCACATTGCAGTCAGCATGATACATATTAATAGTATAATCACTCATTTTCCTCATAACAATGTTTCTGAGGTTAATCATCGTTTTCAAAATACTGCCATGATCTAAGCCCCGCTTTCCTTTCCAACCTCATCCCTTTCCGATTCCTTTCAGGTTAGACATTTTGGAAATCCAGAATAGTTGAAATTTCCTAAGTATACCATGCATTTTTTTATGCTTTGAAGTATTTTTTTCTGTTGATTTGATCATGTTTTTATGCATGGCTAAATCCTTTATACCCTTTAAACTCATTGTAAGCATCCTCTTCTACAGAATATTTTCTGGTATCTTCACTTGTACCTCCTGGATTCTAGATGTGATTATATTCATAATTACTAAGCAAGAATGGTATAGAAAGTATGCTGATTAAAAAAAAAAACTGCAGCCAAAGTCATATCAGTTACTATGCAGAACTGTCCTAGGGGGTCATGATATCAAACTTGCTTTGGGCAAATATTAAAGAGCAACTGAACCAAATATGGTCAGAATTCCTGCTGGAGTAATAGCAGTGCTGAGTGACCCCAGCTGTAGTTGTATTCATGTATTAAGAAATTTTTGTATAACGCTTTGTGATCAGCAAAACTCAGTAGATGTTTTCCTAAGACCTCCCCACCATTTTCTTCTCCCTAACCCCTATTTCTTGTTATTAAGCTCATGTTTGTCAAGAAAAATTTGGCCTCTGTGTATCTGATTCACTTACAGTTGACTCATCAAAATATTTTGTAAGAGAGGTTTGAAGTCCAAGAAGCCTCTTGAGCCTCCTTTGTGGATCTTTAAGACATTCTTTTCTGAGAACCAAGAGGTTGTTTCTGGCCAAATCCAAGTAAACGGAAACTCCAAATGACTTAGAACTGTTAAAGGGGTCAAAATATATGCATGAACATGCTCCCTTGTCCTTAGGTGATGTATCCATGCACGAAGAAGGTTTTCAATTTCCCCTGAAGGTAAAGTTGAGGAAGTGAGTAGTTGCATAACATGACCCAAGAAACCCTCCTTAAAATATTACATATTTCCCTGTGCCCTACTGGGATTTCCTTGTCCTTGGTGTCTCTGACATTTCAAAATCAGAAGGCACCACCTGCCAGACAACAGCTAATCTGAATTAAGGATTTCTGTCAGAATGACACTTGGCTTACTGCCAGCTAAGGTAGATCAGAGTCTTTCCTGCCAAGCCACCTGGATTCCTGTTTCCCGGCTGTACCAAGTAGACAGGCCCAGTGTATGCAGGAGCAAGCGAGCCTTAGAAAAGATAATGCAATCCATGTGTCCCACCATAAATATCTCTGTTTTTACTACATGGCCGCAAGTCATTTATTCAAAGATTGCAAATTTTATTTTAAAAGTACAACAAATAGTTCATTGTACAACTGACTTGGGCCCTTAATTAGAAACTGCGGTACTTCGCTCATTGTATATAATATTATAATGGCCCTTTTCTTCCATTATCCAAATGTTGTAGCTAATTTATTTTGTAAGATTGCTTATGCAGTACACTCAGAAGTACTGTGACTGTACAACTGACTGAATATAAACAATTATAGTCTCATTTGAGAAAAGAATTTTCAAGAGCATTTCATTAATAGTTCTTCTTGGCCACTTCCTCTAATCCTTACCAAACCACAGGATGTCCTAATTTGAAAACCTACCACAGCAAGAACAAAGCCCCTGTCTGGTAACTAAATGCTCTTGGAGGCTTCTTTTTTGGAAACTCATTATCAGTTCTCTGCCATTGCAAGTCACTAGAGGAAAATTATCTCACTGATTCAAAGCCAAAGAAATGGAATCCTCACCTCTTTAGATGTGCTGACACCACGACATCCTGATTTATCAACTCTGAGCCTTATTACCTTCTTGTACCATTTACTAACCCTTAAAAGAGAAAGGTTACTAACCCTTAAAAGAGAAAGATATGGCCACATATTCTCTGCCCTTAAATATCTGAAGGAGAACTAGAAATTCAGTTACCAAATGCGAAACAGCTGCATTTGTGATGTTTCCCTTCTTTATTTCATTTTCAGCCAGATGTTTGGAATCACATAGACAATAAGACAATATTTAATATTTCTAAAAAGAGTCTCAAACATATCATGACTCTTCAGATTGGGACCATGAGAAGACAAAGACATAGAAAGATATAATTGGAGCTTATGCAATCATGAAGGGTCTAAATAAGTTGAATATAAACTCATTCATAACTTTTCAGAATACCAGAAACATTGTCTGAAATTTGAGAGAGACTTCAAGCTACAAACAAAAGGACAACTCAGTTGAGAACAAACATATGGAACTTGTTACCCCAGAGGTACAAAATGAAGATACACATACTAATTCGAAAATATTCATGTACGTTCACAGATGATTGACGGAGATATTAAAGTAATGAAAATATTTTGGATACATTGCTAACTTTTTAATTTCTGTGTCAGAGAGGACAGTTCTGACTTTTAGAACACTTTCTGTATCCATACACAGTTTGTATCCATATGCTGGGTTGGTTGAAATCAGTGTGGCAATTGCTACTTGCATAGTATCTGCTTATAATTATTTGTTAAATGAATACTAATATTTAAAGTACATAAACTCTTGCATATGCATCCTTATTTTATCCTTTTTATAATCCTTTGATATTGAAATGAAGACGATTCCCAAGAAAACTGAAATGGAGGTAATATGTATAGTGAGGGACAATGGGAGAATAATTACAAATTCAAACTCTGGAGCCAGATCTGTTCAGAATCCCAGCTCTACAAATCACAAGGTTTAGCATTTTACACAAGTAAACTAAACCCTCCAAACCTTAGTTTCTTGATATGTAAAGTGAGACTAATGATAAAGTCTAAATCTAAGGTTGTCTGTGAGAATTAATGAGATATCTTATATAAAGTTTACTTACCAGTGCCCAGCACATAGCAAATGTTCAACAGTTGCTATTTAGAGTTAAGAAAAAAATTTGTTTGTCAATGTATTATGTTGTCTAATTATTCTACAGTACATAGCTGGTTCATTCTAGTACTGAGAATCAAACAGCATTCTTCTGACTAAGCCTTATGTTCTTTCCATATGCAGGGTTAATGCTGTTTGGTCAAAGACAAGCAGACTAAGTAGACTAAGAGTAGACTAAGAAGAAAGAAGCCTGGCATTTGGGGTCTGAATGAGTTGTCCCATACAATCACAAATATAAAGTCTATAACTCATTAAGTATTGTGTGTTTTAAATGGGCTTTTGTTTTCTTTATGATAAACATAGCCAATTTATTTTTGATTGATGGAAGTCAGCTATGTTTGAATTTACGAGCTCGCCACAATTTTCTTGGCAATGCCTGCCATTTATTAAATAGGGTCTATCCACAGTTATTAGTAATAACAAATATTTGCATTTATATTAGATGTTTTATGGTTAGAAGAGGATTAGACCAAATGATTTGGAGGAAGCATAATAGAAATGTTCTTTAATATCTATTCTTTAATGAGGCTTACATTGCCAAACAAGTTTAGCATGGGAAGTAATTAAGGTTCTTTCCAAGAAGTTTTACAAAATAAGCTAGGCAGTATATTTAAATAATAGAAGAAAAGATCTTCAATAACATTCTCTTCAGTAAAAAGCTGTCACCAAGAAATATTTTATCTACAACATAAATATTTGCTATTAAGTGTAGACTGTGTTTAGCCACAATTGATTTAATATTTCCTTCCCTCTCAATACAAAGTAAATAAGTTGATTGCGTAGTGCTGGGCAACTTGATCCCAATTGCTTGTCTTATCTTCACTACTACCACCTCCTTCTCTGCCACAACCATAGCACAGAACATGTATCCAGTGGTATAAAGCAAAAGAGAATATTATAGGGAAATCACAAGTGGGAACTGTGTCAGTTAATTCTTGCTGTGTCGTGATCGCCCCAAAACATTTTGACTTAAACAACAAAATATGTTATTTTTGATAATTCTGAGTCAGCTGAGCAGTTCTAGTCTGGGCCCACTTAACTGCTCAGCTGGGTCAAAATGTCATTACTCCTAGGTCTGGTGGTTGATTCCATACCAGTGGTAAAAGGCCATATGTCTCCCATTATCTCACAGCGTTGCCCAGTCTTGTTCACTTGGTGATGGTTGCAGTATTCCCAAGAGCAACAACCAGACAATTTCTGACAAACAAGTGATTTTCAAGGCTTTGTGTCACATTGTCCATTGTCCTGTTGGTCAAACAGGTCATAAAAGCAAGGTCAGATTTGAGAAGTGGTTAAATAAACTTCAACTCGTAGTGAGTTGCAAGGCCTCAATGCAAAGAATGGGATATTGAGAGGTGTGAAGAGTTGAAGTGATGTTTCCTTCCTACTACAGATATCTATGACACTGTTCTATGATAATTCTCTACCAGAGGTTGTCCTATACTTTATGAAGAAACTCCAAAATCTTTCTTTATTTCATTCTTTTAAAAATTCTCTGAGGAAGGTTAGCAATGAAGACATGTATTTAAATTCTAACCCTTATACAAATTAATTCCATGACTTTAGTCCAGTCGTTTAACATTTCATAATAGGTCGAATTAAATTATAACAGCTTCTATGTCATGGCACTGCTAAGAGAATTAAATTAGATAAAGTCATGTAAATTATTTATTAAAAATTCAAAATATTAGTTTTAAGCTTTAATTTATTCATTTAAAAATAATATATGAGCACTTATTACATTCCTATTAATATAGGATATTTCTAAGAAGCAGTTAAGAGAACCATATGGAGCCAAATTATCCGCACCTTATTCTACCTTTTATTTTGGAGTAAGTTACTTACTGTTTTGAACACTCTGATTTTTCCGCACCTGTGAAATAAGCATAAAAATAATTTTATCTACCTCATAAAATTGCTGGGAGAATTACATACAAATGCCTAGATAAATGTCTGGCACATCATCAATGTCCAACAAATGATAACAATTATTATTATGTCACAGCACTGGAGTAGACATTAGATATATTAAAAATTCATTAAATGTGTCCTCATGTATATTACAGTATATTGGAGGAGTAAGACACTGAAAAGGGAATAGGTCAATAAATAAAAAGTACAAATTGTGATTGGTGCAATGAATGAAAATAATACAGTGACAAGGTAACATAGAAATGAACTTCTGATCAAGTGGTAGCAGCAGTTCTCTCTGCAGAAATGATATACAAACTGGAAATTTAAGAATTCAAGAAATTTGAGATTTTTCAGAAAAGAAAAATTATGGTCAGAGGGGTAAAGCAACTTGCTCCAGGTTGTACAGGGGAGATGTCAACAGCCCGGAAAGATTCTAAGCAATAAATAATACAGCCTCTGCAAACCTTCCTGGCCCATGAGGACAGAAGTTGCTGGAATGAGTGAGCCTGACAGTCTCTCAGGATGCAAACTCCACTCCTCTGTGTGTTGCCCTCCTATTCAACTAATCCTATTTAGGAATCTTTAACCTGATGGCCAAACACAACAAAACAAAACAAACAACAACAACAACAACAAAAACCAACTCATTGATTCTGGCTTTTGAAATTAAAAGTCAGTAATTCTGTGTTTTGTTTTGGTTCACAATTCTACCATGTTAAATTTAAAAATATTCTTCAGACAAACATCACAGGCCAGGATAGCTTTTGATTGCCTTTTTAATTACAAATGCAATATTCTGTGATGTTTCCCTGAAGAATATTTTTAAATTTTGTAATTTTGTAATATCCTGTGGGATCGATCTTTTTTCTTTTTTTTTGAGACGGAGTCTAGGTCTCCTCACCCAGGCTGCAGTGCAGTGGCGTGATCTCGGCTCACTGCCACTGCCTCCTGGGTTCAAACAATTCTCTTGCCTCAGCCTCCTGAGTAGCTAGGATTACAGGCACGCGCCCTCATGCCTGGCTAATTTTTGTATTTTTAGTAGAGACGGATCTAACTTTTTGTATTTTTAGTAGAGAAGAGGTTTCACCATGTTGGCCAGGCTGGTCTCGAACTCCTGGCCTCAAGTGATTGCCCACCTGGGCCTCCCAAAGTGCTGGGATTACAGGCGAGAGCCACTGTACCCAGCCCGGTGGGATCCTGGAACAAAAAAAATAACATTATGTAAAAACTAAGGAAACTTGAATAAAAGATTAACTTTAGCTAATAATAATGTATTGATAATTGTTCAATACTTGTAGCAAATTTACCTATTAACATAGATGTTAATATTAGGGAAAATTGGCTGTGGGTTATATAACTCTCTGTACTATCATCTTAATTTTTCTATAAATCAAAATTTTCCAGAAATAAAAAAATTATTTTTGAAAAACAAGAAAGTATTTTTTAACCAAACAATAGTGAAAACACACATCAAAATTTTGGGGCCTGGAGTGGTGGCTCACGCCTATAATCCCAGCACTTTGGGAGGCTGAGGTGGCTGTATGACTTGAGGTCAGGAGTTCGAGACCAGCCTGGCCAACATAGTGAAACCCCATCTCTACTAAAAATACAAAAATTAGCTGGACATGGTAGTGCGCACCTGTAATTTGGAGGGTGAGGCAGGAGAATCACTTGAACCCAAGAGGCGGAGGTTGCAGTGAGCCGAGATCACATCACTGCACTTCAGCCTGGATGACAGAGTGAGACTCCCTCTCAAAAAAAAAAAAAAAAAAATTGTGGAATGTAGCTAGCTAAAGCAGTATTTAAAAGGAAGGAACCATATAGCTTTACAAACTTTTTAAAATAGAAAGATCTCAAATCAAAGACTTAAGATTCCACCCTAAGAAGCTAGAATTTAAAAAAAGGAGAATAACTCAAGGCAAGTAGAAGGAAGAAACTTATAAAGACAACAGCAAAAATCAATGAAAAAGAAAAGTCAGGACAAGTACGGGGGCTCATGCCTGTAATCCCAGCACTTTGGGAGGCTAAGGTGGGCGAATCACCTGAGGTCAGGAGTTCGAGACGAGCCTGGCCAAAGTGGCGAAACCCTGTCTCTACTAAAACTACAAAAATTAGCCTGGCATGGTGGTGGGCGCCCATAATCCCAGCTACTTGGGAGGCTGAGGCAGGAGAATTGTTTGCACCTGGGACATAGAGGGTGCAGTGAGCCGAGATAGTGCTACTGCACTCCAGCCTGGGCGACAAAGTGAGACTCTGTCTCGGGGGGAAAAAAAAGAAAAAAAGAAAAAAAGAAAAGAAAATTCATGTAATAGAGAAAATGAGAAAATTAACAAACCCGGCTGAACTCTCCTATCTTGTTTGCGGAAATACAAAATGAAGCAGCCTCTTTGGGAAAAGATCTGGCTATTTTTAGTTGTGTTAAGTATACACCTACCCTATAACTAAAACATTTTACTCCTAAATAGTTCCTCAAAAAATGCGAAATATATTTTCACAAAAAAGATTTGTAAAAAACTGTTCATTTCAATTTTATCATAGCCAAAAACTAGAAATGGCCTAAGTGCCAATCAATAGGTTAATGAATATAATGAATTATCACTAGGTAATGAGAAAGAATGGACTCAGGATACACACAATCTATGTTTCCATGTATTATCTCCTTCAATCTTCATAACAACTCTATGATGTATTATTATACCCCGCTATTTGAGATATGAGGAACAGAACCACAGAGTTGTTTAACTTGGTGAGATAGCTAGTGAGGGGTACCAGGACTCAAATAACTGCAAAATGCTTGCTGTTAAGCAACATATTATACTTCCTTATGTTCACCTAAAACAATCAAATGCATGGAGTGGGTGTAGTATCAAATGAGTATCTTGGAAAACTGTGTTATAAAATTTCCATCATCTACACATTGCTTCCAAGCAATCATAAATGCAGGGTGAAGACAATTCTGTAGAATAGAACTTTTTCACTTGCTCATAAATGCACAGACCTAGTCAGCCAAGGAAATGCCTAAGAAAGATTGCAATACTGTCAGTTGTTTTAACTTTGCTGCTACAACTACCAGAAAAAGACTGCAGGAAGAAGATGTGCTGGCAGACTGGCAGATTAGATATCAGAAGCCCAAGTTCTTATACCAGCATTGTGACGAGGTATCCAAGAAAGAGAAGACATATCACCTCTCTGGACTGCATCAATTGATTAAGGAGGCTGGACCTAATGAGCTTAAACTTTCCATTAAGTTAGATTCTGTGCCTGTCTTCCTAATAGATGGAATGCTACTTAAATTTTTTAAAAATTGTTATTGCCCATCTTTAATAACTCATTCATAATAAACTATCATCTACGAAAACATAGTTTACATAGAATACGAAGAGTTATTTACAATTCAATATCCAAGAAGTCTTTCCTTTATTGAGAGGTATTTGTTGCCAGGAGGTGATAAAAATAAGGACTAGCTTGGGAATCAGATATACCTGGTTCAGATCCTAGTTCTGAACTGCCTAGTCATATGAACCTGAGCAATGCACTTCCTCACTGTAACTCAGTATCCTCATCTGTAAAATGGTAATATATAAATGCATATCTCGATGACCTGTTTCTCACTCTGCCTGGGCAGCCATTGCCAAAGTCTTTCTCTGACCCATCCTTTCCCAAAGTAACTCCCGCTTGCTGCCAGGAAACTGCCCTTACTGTATCTTCAGTCCAGGTCCCAGCGCCTTCTATCTGCTTTAAGTTAGAAGGGTTCTAAGTGAGATGTAAAAGAACTTTATTAATAGTGTGTATAAAACCAGGTAGGCATATTGAAAGCAGGGAGATACACTGCAAACCCAGCAGGTGCAATCTTATTTGTAGCATCACATCTTTAAGAGTTAATGAATAATTTTAATTTAAAAACAAAAGAAATAAGAAATGGAAAACTTGTGTGTCCCACTACTGTTTCAAAATTGAGTAGAAAATTATTGTATTGCTACCTATAAAACAGGTACTATATATTATATATTACCTATGAAATAGGTAGCTATAAATTAGGTTCAAGAAAAGAATCCTAGCTTTCAAATGCTTAAACTATTTAGCTCATATCTCCTCCTCTTCTGTTGCAATTTGTGTTTGTTCTGCTGTTATAATGCTTATCTCTGTGGAAGTCATTTGGAATCCCTCTCCCTCCCTATTTCTCTCTCCCTGACTCTCCCCTGCCCTCCCTCTCCTGCTCTTTGTCTCTCTCTCTTTCTCTCTTTTTCTCCTTTCTCTACAACTGCAGTTTGAGCCTTTAAAAGGCTGATCCAATATTTGGTTCCTTGTTTTGTGTCCCACAAATTAGCACAGACTCAGTCATATAATAGGTGTTCAATCACTGTCCACTCATTTAAATTAATCATTATAAACAAACTTGCCACTGATATGGACCAAAGCCTTTTCCATCCAGAAGTTCCTTCTGAGAAACCCAGAGCATGGGGAAATGAGGACAGAGTAAGTAATCTAACCTAAAAGATTGTGAAGCTTCATGACATGCCCAGAATGCAACAGTCCAAATATGAATTCAGTTCTTTGTTTTTCTTTCTTTTTTTTTAAAATTGGCTTCAAAACTGACCATGAGTCATAGGCCAGACTGTCATACAAAGAGAACAATTTTTCATTCTCATATTTTCTTTTTACATTCTACACTGAAATCCAGAATGTCTTATCAATGGCTCACTGGAAAAAAATCATGCTAGAATATTATGGTAAAAAATCAAAATAAATAAATACATAAAAATACAAACATAAATGACGTTACTTAAAAAGTAAAACACTACAGGGTCTTAGCAGAACCTTCCAACATCTTAACTGAGACCCACACTCTGACATCCATACCCTTACACTCAGATTTGTATAGTACAAGAGAGACAATAGATATCATTTGGGTTAGATAGAGGATTTCAGCATGAATGGCCTAAGAAAGAATCAAGACATTGAATTTTTTGAATAGAATAAAATTTGTGACTCTATCTATCTATATGTATCTATGTATTTATGTATATTTTTCTACACTATTCAGTAGTACTAGTCATTAATAGCAATAATATAAGTAATATATTAGGTATACATTGTATGCAGGCACTGTACTCGGCCTTGCATATTATATTATTTAACCCTCAAAATGAATCTATGAACTAGAAAATTGAATCTAAAGAACACTAAATAAATTGTAAAAACTGTGCACATACAAAATAGGAAGGCAGTATTCAAACCTATAAATTCTAACTTCAGGGCCCCTGGTCCTAATCACAACAATATATTTAATAGATACAATAACATTTTACCCAAAGTATTGTAAAATCCAGATGCAAGTTTAGGAAATTCACTGTGTACATGAATACTATGAACATGGTTACTTCTTCTTTTTTAACATCAAGCTAGATGGACACTACAGCACAAAACCGTACCTGTTTTGTTTTTTTTTTTTAACAAAATTTGCCCGTGAATGGGCAGTCAAAAGCTGAAGCAACCTTGATTTTGATACCTGGGCAGAAAATAGCCTTACTGGCCAACAACTGCCCCATGCTTTATCCCTTATGGTTCCTCTCACTCCCTCCCTTAAACTTTTCATTAAAGAGATAATTCACCCAGGCTAATATCTAGGGCCATATTAGGACTTGAGGATACTTAAATTCTGAAAGAGTTATGGTACACCATGTAGTGAAAATAGTATCGAACTGAAAAAATAATATTTACACATAGGCAACAACAAACAGTTTGGTTTATTTTTCAAGCATTTCTGCATAAATGTTTTGGGATTAGTCCATTGTATCATCTTTTGTCCTTTCAGAGAGGTGCCCATCTGCTGGTTCCTAAAGCTGAGTCCTCAACCGTGGGGTGTACATACTCAGAGAATGTTCAAGATGCCCCATTGAGTTAAAGGAAGAAAATGTTAGAACTTCTACTTGTATTTATTTGTAATTATAAGTCAATTATTTTATACACATTTAAAATATAGATGGACATGGAAGATCTCATCCTAGCCCCGTATCAGATGGTCACATATTATTCACTCAACATCTGGAGGGAAGATTGGGATGTCCAAAATGTCTAGGGATTGGAAGTCGAATTTTCACTCATTTTTCTCTCTTGTAGTGTACAGCAATCATTTGTAGTTTACTTGTATTCACCTAAGTGAATTTATAAATTATATTATCTAGTTTTAAACAATTTAATGATAATAAAATGTGTAAGTGGTTTAAAATGTTTCTATTAAGAAATTTCAGATTGGAGATAACATTAACAATGCAAACCCAACAAAACTGAGAACATAGAGAATCTAACCATTTTAACAGAACAAGCTCCCTATTAGCCTTGCTGCAAAGTAAAAATAAGACGTTAACCTGAAAGCATTTAAAATTATTAGGGAGACTATTCAATCTATGGACTTATGTTTATTCTAATTAATTATGAAACTCTTCCTAAGGACATATTGTGCCTTGATGGTTTCTAAGTAAATAATAGTATGATGCCATCATGACTAAAAGGTAATTATTTAATTTCTCTAACAATTGTTTTTAAGATATAGTACTAAAACAAGTACTTTTCAAAATTTCCCTCAAGGTAAAATAAGTGCTTAGGAATCACTTTTGAAATTCCTTAATCTCAATTACAGAAATACTTATTTTGCCAGCTGGCTACAAAAATATGGTCAGAAGCTAAAATACACTCCTTGGTTGGACAAAAGAGTTTTAAGGCCCATAAAGCATAAAAAATATAGTTTTCAAATTATCTTCCCCCATTTGAATCTACATATCTTCATAAAGTAAATTTTTCAATAATCACAGCTTTTAAAGCCAGTTTTGAAATAAATAGAATTTAAACCCCGATCTTGGAATTTCTGTAATATAGTATATTAAACCAATATTTTTTAAAACCTTAAGCTTATTAATTTTTTTCCTCACACTAAGTTAATAAAAACATGTTAATAATATAGTAATAATATTTTCAAACTGATGGTGTTTGTCTTATTATATCTTTTTCTTGGACACATAAAACATCATTTTTCAGCCTCATTTGCAGTAAGATCTGGATCATTTGACTGAATTCTATTGAAATGTAAGCTGAAAAGTGGTGTATCATTTCTGAGCCTAGCTCTTAAAACTTCATGTGCAATATTTCAGATTTTACTTTCCTTTTTTAAAGTGACTTTGGAGGCAAATGTGGCAACATTATAAGATAAACTCATCCTGGAATTACAGGAGAGAAAATACCCTATGGAAGCACAACCCACCTTGGACTCTAATGTGAACAAGAAATAAACTTTACCATGATAAGCTAGTGAGAGCTCAGTATTGTTACCACAAGTGAGGCAATTCTACACAGACTAATGCAATTATTAATAGCATATTGAGATCCAATTTTTTTGTACCATTAAATATAATAAAAGTATTTATGTAATATTGTTTATTTCATCTTTTTGTCACAATTTTAAATTTCCATTTTCCATGTCTTATAATATATGTAATGTATTTCTACAGTAGTGTATCTATATATCTGTTTGGATTGCATGCTAAAGGTACTTTTTCTTGATAACCAAATAATAGAAAACATTTGGAGATAATTAACTTAAATATATGCTTTATAAACAAATTTTCATCACCAACTGCTTAAATAGCCATAGGATACCTTTAGACTTATTCTCACAAAACTATATAATATATTTAAGCTCTAAGCAACAAGAAATGAATGTCATTTACATCTTACATCCACACACCTCTCCTAATCTTTAGTTGATATGGGTCACCACACCCCAAACCAATGATTTACTAAAAGTAGAAAGTATTAGTACCAAGGAATTAAACCAGTTACTCTTTGTAGCTGAAGAGAGTATTCTTTAAAGCAATATGTCTGAGAAATACAATGATTAAATTTCATACGGAAAAAAGTTAAAAACAAGTAAACCCAAATTTTTATCTAGGATATATCTATGCATACACACACACACATGCATCTATATACATAGATAGATGTGCACATACACAAATGTGTGTATATGCTTAACATACATATATACGTACGGTGAGTATTTATTTTTTAGAGTCACACAAACTTTTTTTAATCTTAGAGCCTATTTGACTATCCAAACTGAAAGTAACTAGAAGTGAAATTAAAATGAACATTAACTACAGAACAAAATAAAGATCTTGGGCATCATTTTGTTGAATTAAATCAAGATCACATTCATTTCAATGTTTCAATAGAAATTTTCTGTTCTTAGGTACCAAAGCTAGAGAGTTAATTCTCTAGTTCTTAATACCTATACACATTGCAGATGTAGCTGGTAAGCTCAAAGAGAATGTCTTCCTGTGGGTTGTCTTCAAAATGTACTAATTTTGAGAAGTTTGTGACACTTAAAAGTAGGATTAAAAGCAGTAGGAGGCGTGGCCTTTGAAATATTTGAAACTGTTGACGGCTATGAGCTCCCTGGGACCTCGTGGCCATAATATCTCCTGTGTGCGCTGTTGGCCACATATCATACCATCTCTCACTCTATCGTTCAATCAAAAGTTTAGTCTTTCAGATCACTTTGTGAAAGTTTCAAATGCTTTTTAGAAACCCAAGGCCAACATTTCAACACCACAAAACCTCCACAAAAGTGGGGGAAGTGATGGCTCCCTCTCAACTCCAAGGAAAACCCTTCAAAATAGCTCATTTACTCATTATTTGTCAAGACAGTCATGCAATAGACAGAGTGTTTATGTTCCCCCCAAATTTGTATGTGATCCCTAATCCCTAATGTAATGGTATTTGGATATAGGGCCTTTGGGAGGCAATTAGGTCATAAGGGTAGAAACTTCATGAATTGGGATTAGTGCTCTCATAAGAAGAGACACGAGAGAGATGATCTCTTTCTCCACCATGTGAAGATACAGCAAGTAGTTGACAGTCTGCAAACCAGGAAGAGGGCCCTCCCAGAAACCTCATTGACCAGCACTTTGATCTTGGACTTCCTAGCCACCAGAACTGTGAGAAATAAATGTTTGATGCTTAATGTACATAGTTTGTGGTATTCAGCTATAGCAGCCTGAACTAAGACAAGAGGTGATTAAGCAACCCAACTCTTTTAACATAGCAAGCTACATGGATATGAAATTTGTGTTGTAAATGTCCTAGGCCAATAGCACCGTGTTATGAAATCTATTTTGTAACTCTGCCGTCATTACTTCTTGGGGGTAATTCAGTCCATATCAATACTGCTGGCAAGGTGAACTCTAAATCTCCCCTTCATCTCTCTTGGTCAGTGGAGTTGCTTATTGATTAGAGAGATGACATTTAGGGATGTCATGTATTATTAGTCAATGTAGAAATCTTTGTAATGCATAATGTAACTCAGGTCAAGGAAGGGATAAATGCTCTCTTGGAATAATAAGGTCATGGCTAATCATTCATAAGAACAAGTAACAAGTTTTCACACTAGAGTGCATGTGAATTTTTTATATCTTAGATTATTAGGGAAGATGTATGCTGTTTCAGAAAGACGTGGCAAGATGTGCTTGATTTTAGGTACTCTATAAAATATCAGTTGTAGCCCCAAGTGACTATTCACCTCATTTCACACTTGCCCCTGTATACAGGAACAGGATTCACAAATCATTGAGTTCAGCATGCTTCTCTGGCACTTACAGAACTGTGATGATTAAGCCAGGAAGGAATAGCCAAGAAAGCCACCGAGGCTGTGGCATTCTCAAAACAGGAAAATGTGTGTTAACATGGAATGAGAAGTTATTATTTGTACAAAAAAGAGGCATAGTCCTTAGGATTTGTCCTCCACACACCCCATACTTTGCTCCACTCCACATTCACACAACAGGTACAAGAGGGAGATTTAGTCAAAGGGAAAGAGAATTTCTGAACATGAGAATGATCCAGATAAACCTCTCAGACATATTTCCCACTCACACCAATCTCTCTAAGGTGGGGATCGGGGGAATAAAGATATTCTCAGGGAATGGGAAGAGAAAGGATGGCCAGATGGCTACACAGTGCAATAGATCTCTCCTACTTTAAAGGATTGACTGCTGAAGAAAAATAAAAAGATACATTGGCTTACACAAACTGCTATAGCAGATTTCCACAGATTGGGTGGTTTAAACAATGGAGATTTATTATCTCACAGTTCTGTAGGCTGGAAGTCCACAACCAAGGTGCCAGGAGGCAGGATTGGTTTCTGGTGGGGTATTTTTTCTTTTCTTTCCTTTCTTTTTTTAAAAAATTTTACTTTAAGTTCTGGGATACATGTGCAGAATGTGCAGGTTTGTTACACAGGTGTACATGAGCCATGGTGGTTTGCTGCACCTATCAACCTGTCATCTGGGTTTTAAGCCCCACATGCATTAGGTATTTGTCCTAATACTCTCTCTCCCTTTGCCTCCCACTCCCTGACTGGCCCGGGTGTGTGATGTTCCCCTCCCTGTGTCCATGTGTTCTCATTGTTCAACTCCCACTTATGTGTGAGAACATGTAGTGTTTGGTTTTCTGTTCCTGTGTTAGTTTGCTGAGAATGATGGTTTCCAGCTTCATCCATGTTCCTACAAAGGACATTAACTCATTCTTTTTTATGGCTGCATAGTATTTCATGGTGTATATGTGCCACATTTTCTTTATCAAGTCTATCATTGATGGGCATCTGGGTTGGTTCCAAGTCTTTGCTATTGTGAATAGTGCTGCAATAAACATACGTGTGCATATGTCTTTATAGTAGAATGATTTATAATCCTTTGGGTATATACCCAGTAATAGGATTGCTGGGTCAAATGGCATTTCTGGTTGTAGATCTTTGAGGAATCGCCACACTGTCTTCCTCATGGTTGAACTAATTTACACTCCCTGGTGGGGTAGTTTTTCTTGGCTTTCAGGGCACTGCCTTCTTGCTGTGTTCTCACATTGCCTTTCCTCTGTGTGAGTGCAGAGAGAGAGAGAAAGATCTCTGGTGTCTGTTTGTCTTCTTATAAGGGCATCAGCCCTATTGGATTAGGGCCCCACCCTATGACATCATTTACATTTAATTAGCCCTTTAGAGACTCTGTCTCCAAATACAGTCACTTTGATGGGTTAGGACTTTAACATATAAATTTTGAGGGGACTCAATTCTGTCCATAACAGGAGATATCATATGTAAAGAACCTAAAACCTTATAGAATAAAAGGGCAAAATAGCAAATGAAGCCAGGGGTGAAGTTATGCAAATACATGTATCTTGTAAGGTTCTGACCAAACCTACACTGGCTCAACTTTAATTCTGAACCCAATGGACAAGGCCAAGAGGTAAACATCATCAGTTATAGAGTCCACCATGTCAATAAACTCTTATTTGCTGCTCAGGAGAAACAAAGTTTTTCTTAGAGCCAAAGCCTGAAAGGTATTTTCTGTATTTCAATTATACGTTTAGAGTTAAAGTAAAGCCTGGCTTAATAACATTGTGTCTAATTATATTTTTTATTAGAAGTTTAGAGAATAAATGCAAATCAATTATTTAGTAAAAGTCATTCTATGAAACATAACGTAGGCCAATCACATTTAAAAAAACTTTCAATCAGTTAAACTTAACAATTTTTGTTTTGTTTCGTTTTGTTTTTTGTTTTTTTGTTTTTTTGAGATGGAGTCTCACTCTGTCACCTGGGTTGGAGTGCAGTGGCAACCTCTGACTCCTGGGTTCAAGCGATTCTCCTACCTCAGCCTCTGCAGTAGCTGGGACTACAGGTGTGCGCCACTATGCTAAGTTTTGTATTTTTAGTAGAGACGGAGTTTCACCATGTTGGTTGGCCAGGATGGTCTTGATCTCTTGACCCCATGATCCACCTGCCTCGGCCTCCCAAAGTGCTGGGATTACAGGCGTGAGCCACCGTGCTGGGTCGACAATTGTTATTTTATAGCTCTAAAATAAGTAATGAATAGTATGAAATTGATTTTCATTTTCTAACCTTTGCGTATTAGAAAGGTACATTACCATGTATACTTTTAACCAAAAGAAAATGCCAACATTTTCAGATAATATGGATACAAAGAGGCTTTTTCTTCGTATGTCTGTTCGCCATCCAAATGCTTAATTTTGTTTTTATTTACACATTTTAAAAGTTAGTTTGAGGACTTCAGAGCAACAACTGACTTACTTAAACCATATCTGAAATTCTTAGAGTTGTGTAAAAGGGTAAAGAAATAAATATATGGGTAAAATTATTTACCACAAACAGACTTCATCATAAGAAGGGATGACTGTATGGCCCACTAGTCCTGTTTGTAAATTAAAGCTTCTGAACTCAAGGATTGGCTACTGAAAAGAAAATGACTATTTCTGTGTTAGTTTAATAAACTCCAAATTAAAATGTTATGTCAGTTGTCATGTGTGCTTAAAACTTCAGTAACCAATAGGTACTGGTATAAAGGGTGATATTATGCACAAAATAGGCTTCTGAATATAACCCAGGGACCTCAGGAGGGTCTCTTTAACTTCAACATTTTACCATCTCTTTTTCAAAGGTAGTCATCTCAACATTTTATTACCTCTTTTTCAAAGGTATTCTTCTTCCCTGCCTATGAATGCTTTTATCAGTGAGTACATGGCTTCCTAGTCTTTTAACATTTAATTTCTATTTATTCAGCTAACAACTATCATCTTAAGATGCAGGGAAGTCGGCTGGGCACAGTGATGCATGCCTATAATCCCAGCACTTTGGGAGGCCGAGGCAGGAGGATCACGAGGTCAAGAGGTCAAGACCATCCTGGCCAACAAGGTGAAATCCCGACTCTACTAAAAATAGAAAAATTAGCTGGGCGTGGTGGTGGGTGCCTGTAGTCCCAGCTACTCAGGAGGCTGAGGCAGAAGGATCGCTTGAACCTGGGAGGCAGAGGTTGCTGTGAGTTGAGTTCGTGCCACTGTACTCCAGCCTGGCGACAGAGCTAGACTCCGTCAAAAAAAAAAAAAAATTGCGGGGAAATCCTTGAGTGTAAGACGGGCAATGGAGAATATGCACAGATGGTTCCAAAGTAAGTAAGCATTTCCCAAGTCTGCAGGATACCCCCATCAGAAAATTCAGACCCGAAGTGATGGATCAAGGCTTTCTTCAGTCCAGTCCCAAACTCTCTCTTCTCTCTGTTCTCTCTAAGTGAAATATCAGTTAGGAATTAACCTATTTGAATTTTCACCTCCAGAACATATATTAAATATTTCCACAGTCAGAATTTTCTTTGAAATTTTGATGTTAAAGACACTACTGCTGCTTTGTTACATTTTAGACTATTTCAATATTTCGTTGTTATTTAATCAATATGTGTTTACGTCTTGTCTCCTGAATGAGAATGAAACTCCTTCAGGGCAGTCATCTAGCTCACACATCTTTTAACTTGCTGTAAAAACTAAGAATGTTGTCTTGTACATAGAGAAACAACATGGCAGACAGGAGTAGGCTTGGGTGTTGGGATAGATTCTAATCCTCAGTCTGTTAGTCCAATCTCTAGTTATATGATTTCTGGCCACTGATTTAACTCTCTTGAGACATAATTATTATTCTAAGGACATACTGGGGTGTGTGGGAGAGTGGAGGTAGCTGACTGGCTACTAGTGAGAAACAGGTTCAGAGCAAACAGCTGATCCCATTTACATGGGTTTGAAGTTTTAGTGTTCTTGGCCTTGTTTGCAGAAACCTTTCTTCAGAGAACTTCAGCTTTCAATACCTTTAAGAAAATGCATTGAGAAGATCAAGGGAAGGATCACTATTAAGCTGAGTGCAAAACCCAAAGCTCACTTAGATATCCCCAGCTTATTTCACTATTCGATAGACTTATGTTCTTGGGCAACCACAGTTGTTTTTCCTGGCTCTCCCTCTCAAATATGCAGACAAATCCTCGATGGCAGTAACAGTTAGAGGAGAGTTTATAGCCAACACTGTTAAAGGGAAGTCAGCAATGTGAGTCCTGTTTACTGGTGCCAAACTGCATAGTCTGTCCAATATTAGGAAAAAAAATAGTTCAGCATTCAAGGCTTGCTGTTGATCACCATGAGTGATTTTATTCTTCTATGAATTGAACTTGTTTGTTGCAATGGTTAGGGTAGGGTTTGTCCAGAGTAATTTTGAAAAAAATAATGAATAGAGGTTGTTTTGTTTGTTTGTTTTAAGAGCTGCTTGTGCAAAGAGAGCATTATAGCTACTAACACACAGAAAGAGATTCTGTTAGGTACATTGGCAGGGCTGCTGGAAAAGTTGCAGACATTAAAAATGAAAAAAAAGTATAGAAGAGGTAGAATATGCTATACAATGGTACATTTTATATTGAACCGGTATAAATAACTGATAATAAATGGGAATTCTGTGAAAAGTCTTTATTTTTGTCTTCTGGACCCAGTCTTCCACACTCTTTCAGCCTTGGTCTTACAAATTCTCCCTTCCCCCACCATCATTTCAGCTGTTGTTTCCTGTTATAACTATGAGGGTTCTGCAATTATAGGTTAAATATGTTATGGTAGTTTAAGATTGGATTTTTTTCTTTCTGTAACTATTATGTTGTCATAGCAAAGGTCTTGTGTAATATGAGAACCATAATTTCAATTTCACAAAGAAAATAATGACTCTTCAAGCTGACTTAAAGAACTCAACAATTTAAATGAAGAGCAAGGAACCCCTACTTAGGTATGGAATACACCTGGAATATACTTGATTTGTATACATCTAAGGAAGTATGGATAAATGGTCATTCATCAATGTCCTATGTTATAATATAACCTCATCAGACTCAGCATTTGTGATGAAAGCATTTGTTTATCATTTCATATCATTAGGTCTTTTAACAATATGGAGACTGTTTTATTAGGAAGTTCAGAACTTTCTCCAGGATTCATAGAAAAATGCATTTCTTAATGCCTTGGTTTTAAAATTTCTTATGGAATTGGAATCAGTGGAATTTTCACAGCTGAAGCAACTGTCGTAAAAGAAACATAGTATACTCCTTGATAATCAATCCACTTTGTGTGCTGGAGGAATGAAAAATTAATGACTTTAGTGACAAATTATCATATTTGGAATTTATGGATATTTTGCCAAAAGTACTATCTATAGATGTAAAATAAAATAAAGCAAACCTTGCTTTTATTATGCACAGGATAACAAGGTTCAAATAATTTTTTGCCTCCCGTTTGTTTGGGGTACACAGACTGCAAAGAGATCTATTCTTTGAAGAACAATTTATTTTTTCTCACAACTCTGTGAGCTGAAGCGTGGTTCTCCTGGTCCTGCTTGGAATTGCTAGGGTAGTTGCTGTCAGATGGCAGCTGTATGGACTGGGCTGAAAGGTGCAAGGTGGCTTTATTCATATATCTGGTGGTTAATGCTCTCTGTCAGCTGAGGTACCTTAGGTCTTCTTATCTGGACTCCATCTGAAAGATCTCACTAGACAGTTGTCCGTCTTCCCATATCCTCTTCTTCTATATTATTTTGAAGTCTCTTATTCCTCAGGCTGCTTGGGATATTTTGTAACTTCTCTAGTCTGTTTCTTATCTAAAGGATGTAGATACCTAATCCTTTAAAAATTATTTTCCTCTAGCACTATGCTAGAGCCATTCTGTTTTTTTAGCTTTGTTTTTGCCACTTATTTTTATAACTTCTATCATCTTTGTGACCAGTTTGTATTTCTCATTTGTGTATATTCATACTTTGGAGTTAATCTGCAAAACAGAGTAACATAGCAAATTCTCCATAACAAAGTGTTTAATTTACATAGTCCTGAATTATGCACTGTGATTCTTTGCAGACGAACTTTTTAATTCTGTGCCCTATAACGGACTCTCTTTTATTTTGTTTGTTTCTTTTTTAATGTCAAATACATCTGTCTATTTTATTTTTAAATGTATACTTATTGATATCAACGAAAAACATCCTAGAGTTTTACTGTCTTCCTTATATGTTTTTTCCTCTCTTAATAGAGAAATATGATCCAATGATCCAACTCCAGAAAAACTCACTGGATCGAGGTGAACACAGCCTCTTTAAAGCTCTTGCCAATGAGCTGCTGGTCACTTTTTGCTGCTTGTCATTCAAGCACTTTGACACGGACCTGAAGCTATTATCACAAGTGCCTATTCCATACTTCATTCAACTTTTGGGAGTCTACCAATGGTGTACAGGACCGAATGTAATCAATATCCCAAGAAGCAAAAGAGATGCGCCTAGCAGAAGCATCTTGAAGGTGTACTGTATCTATCACCATGAAGTCTGCATTCCCATTTTTTTTTTTTTTTTTTTTTTGGCTTGGGAAGATAACTGCAAAAGTTTTTTTTTTTTTTTTAAGATCATGTTTCTAACTAGCAGGTATCATGAAAACCTCAAATTATTGAATAACAATAGAATTGTTAAACACTTTTAAAAAAGTCCTGTTAAGTAATATTTCCCCTAATCACAATTAAAGACAATAAATAAATGGAAATTACTTCTTTGAATTAATTGTAGTGAGATGTGGTTTATATGATCATCTTATCTGAACTTTATTGTTGCTGTTTATCTTTAAATTTCCTTGAATACACTCTGTCCATTTTCTCTTAAGTATAATTCATTTCTCAATTCTCAGTGAAAAATTTGGTTTAATTTATGATTAAAATAGCATGGATAATTAAATATATGCTTTTCATCTAGGGTCAAAATAGGTTGAGGAACAGTAAAAGGGAGAAATTTTAAAACTTGACTTAGTTTTGGTCTATTGCTTGGAAACTGCAAAACAACTTTATCTGGGGGAACTTACCAAGTATTTATTATTATTTATGTTTGTTTTTTTCGGAGTGACTTTTTTTGAAGAGAAACACAAGGATCTTATAACAATTTTCATATTTTCTTTTCTTTCTTTTTTTTTTTCCTTAAGACGGAGTCTCACTTTGTCGCCCAGGCTGGAATGCTGTGGCGCAATCTCAGCTCACTGCAAGCTCCGCCTCCCGGGTTGGCGCCATTCTCCTGCCTCAGCCTCCTGAGTAGCTGGGACTACAGGCGCCTGCCACCATGCCTGGCTAATTTTTTTTGTATTTTTAGTAGAAACGGGGTTTCACCGTGTTAGCCAGGATGGTCTCGATCTCCTGACCTTGTGATCCACCCGTCTCGGCCTCCCAAAGTGCTGGGATTACAGGCGTGAGCCAGCGCGCCTGGCCAACAATTTTCATATTTTCTCAGTGAAAAACTATTAAATATGCTAGTCTTTGGTTTGTGCTGCTATAACAAAATAGCACAAACTGCATAATTTATGAACAATAAAATTTGATTTGACACATAATTCTGGAGGCTGGGAAGTTTAAGATAAAAGTGCTGCATCTGGTGAGAGCTTTCTTGCTATGTCATAACATGGTGGAAGACATCACAATGGCAAAAGAGAGTGTACAGGAGCTGAATTCATTTTTATAACAAACTCCCACCGTAATGTCATTAATCCATTCATGAGCACACAGCCCTCATGAACTAATCACCTCTTTAACAGTTCACACTGTTGCATTGGGGGTTTAGTTTCTAACACAAGAACTTTGTGGGACACATTCAAACCGTAGCAGTTAGGACAAGGAAACTGATAGAAGGAGACATTAAGAGTATAGGAGAAAAACCAAACCAAACCAGACGTCAGCAGGACAAAGAAGAGAGTTTGAAATTCAGTGGTGACTGAGGTTGGAGGCTGCCCTAAGAATGAACAAAGCTCTAAGAGTGGATGGCCTCTCAGAGGTCACTTAGTCTCCAAATTGAGAAAAAAAAAGACCTTGGTTTCCTGAGGGATAATTGAACCGTTTCCACATCAGACTACACTGCCTCCTTGCAAGTTATATGACACTTTCATGCTAAGCACTGGCACACTTCTGAAGTCTAGGGTTGCCTTCAGGTCCTTAAATTTGGTGGGTGGTCAGTATTGTTTTACAGAAAGAGAAACAGAAGCTCCAAAGGGGTTAAGTGACTTGCAAAATGACAAGCAATACTTCAGAGGGCTGATTCTGAAACTCAGGGCTAATCTGCTTATTCAGATGTTCTTTAGAAAAAATAATTTTATTTATTTTCAAGAAAAATAGTTTTCTTATTTTCAAGAAATATTGTTAAGAAAAATAAGTGTGAAAGAGTTAAGTTCTATGTTTACAAGGGATTATAAAACAGAGCAATGATGACTTTGCACATAACTTCTCTAATTTAAAACGTGTGGGGGTTGCACATTTTAAAAAGCCAAATTAATAGTTTTCTCAAGTTTTTGAGGAATGATGTACTCGCGTGGAGAAATTTACCTATGACAATCATCAGTCCTATGACATCTGTTCTGGCCTGCAGAGCTGGTGAGTGAAGACACATTACTTATTATTCTACAAGAAAATTGGAAATATCCTAGCTTTGAGTTCTAATATTTCCAGATGGTAGAAATCGAAAGCAGGCTTCCTCTCTGCCTGCTCCTCCAAAGTTTTATGCAGCAGTAAATAAACTCTTATTTGCTTGTGCTACGTTTTATTGCAGA
Source organism: Homo sapiens (assembly GCF_000001405.40). Lineage (NCBI taxonomy): Eukaryota > Metazoa > Chordata > Mammalia > Primates > Hominidae > Homo > Homo sapiens. The sequence goes on along the minus strand of NC_000008.11, from coordinate 121,384,364 downwards.
GTACAGAAGGATTGAGGCAACTTATTTCTCAGGGAATGATTCTTGGCTGAGTGTACTTTTAACGTTGAGTTCTGTTTCTGTCTTAAAAAGGAAACACATAGCTCACAATTTTAGCCTCAAGAAAACTATAGAATTGTGTTGATTCTTTGGTTTTATTAACTTTTCCAATGAGACATTTCTAAAACTTGCAGAAAATGCTCTCAATTTCTTTTTCCACAGAATATGGTAGAAAAGTACAATGATATTTCTTCCCCATAATCTTTAAATATTAAAATTGCACTCATGTAAGTAAAAACTTAGTACATTAATTTTTCTTGCATATTGAGTAATGAATCTCATGGCAATTTTGGGAAATATCCTTGGAAATCTAAATTAACTCCAAAAAATGCTGACTTCTAGTTGGGAATGTGATCATAAAGGAAAAAAAATTGACAAATGAATTGGGGAGAAGTTTATTTTGTTTACAAATATTTAATTTCAACTCATTTTCCCACCTGTAATTTCTATCACGTGTATCAGTAGAAACTGTATTTCAGCCGTGGTCTTTACTGGATAGTGTTCCTGGGCCTTTCTTAATATACTGAGAAGAGACTATGTCCTGTTTATTCAGAAGAGCTGAAAAGAATCTGCTTATTAAACACCCAGAATATATGTAAAACCTGGTTCTAGAATATGACAAAATATAATAAAATTGTTTCATGCTGCATTATGTGTTCAACTCCTCCAACCTATCTTTGACATAAAAAATAGAAGGCAATATTGTTGCAGAATCATTTCAATGCTTTTTCCTTTTACCACTGTGCCTGCTGAAAGTAAAAAATTGTTTTCTGTATCTCCAAATGTGTGGATAATAAGTATTATAAAGAGCAAGAATATTCCCAGACCTGTGGGCTTGAGGTGCCTAATCTGGGGTGAAGCAAGAGTCAGTGTTTACCTGAGAATGGTACTTGGAAAAAATATTGATTATATTCATTAAGATTTAGCTATAAATATCCTCCTTCAGTAGGCAAGTGGGAGAGAAATGGGATAGGGACTACTGACTTGGGAGAGATGATAGAATCTGCTAACTTCTCTGGTTCGTTTCTGCAAACATATGCTGAGTGTCAATTGCATTCTAGGTATTGCCCTTGGCACCTCTATGCAGTGATGAAAATAACACAAAGACACAATACTTGATCAAGGAATGAAAGCCCCAATGTCGTTTGCTTTCAGTCCTTCTTAACTTGTGTCAGGGTTGTCCTCCTAGAAGCAGTGATTCTTGAAAGGTAAACATCAGACAGGAGATGAAGGGTGGAAAGGGGTTCAAGTAGAGAGGGCAACCTGCACAAAGGCACAGAAGTAGGAACATGGTGTATGCATAGAAGAGTAGTGCCTACAGGGAAGTCTAATTAATGTGGCATAAAATCCAGAAGCAAAGAATATGGGAAGTAACTGAAGAGGGAAGTAGAAGCCAGTTACCAGGGAGCTTAGATTGACCTTATGAGTGATGGCACAGGGGCATGGGAGACTTTAAGCAAGATCATCAAATGGTCAGATTTGCTTTTGGATGGGTCAGACTGCATTTTGTGCTCAACAGATTGGAATGGAACAATACTAGAGGCAGGCAGATCAATGAAGAGGTTGTTACAGAAGTCTAGGCACAAGATGATAGTGGCATTTGCCCTCATAGCACTTGTCACTGTCAAATAATTATTTTCTCATTCTGTACATATGCATTCAATGTTGTCTTCCTTATGGAAATAATAAGCACCACTGTGGTGGTGAATGTGACTTCTTCACTGTGATGCCCTCCAACATCTCACACATGCCTGACAGTGACTGATTACTGAATAATTGTTTACTAATGTAGGAGCTAGTGACCTGAATGAACACAATGGGACTAAGTTCAGAGCAAGGGTTAGGTTTTTTAAATATTCAAGAGGTAAATGTGCCAGGACTTGCCAACCCAAGTTGACAATGACATCTGGGTGCCCATATTTTTAAATTATTTATTTATTTATTTATTTATTTATTTATTTATTTATTTATTTATTTATTTTTGAGACAGGGTCTCACTCTTTCGCCCAGGCTGGAGTGCAGTGGCACAATCTCGGCTCACTGCAACCTCCACCTCCCAGTTCAAGTGATTTTCCCACCTCAGCCTCCCGAGTAGCTGGGATTACAGGCATGCACCACCACACCCAGCTAATTTTTGTATTTTTGGTAGAGATGGGGTTTCGCCATGTTTGTCAGCCTGGTCTCCAACTCCTGACCTCAAGTGATCTGCCTCCCTTGACCTCCCACAGTGTTGGGATTACAGGCATGAGCCACCGCACCCAGCCCTGGGTGTCTGTATTAATTAGACTGCATGAATCTCCAGGGCTACGCATAGCATAGTGTTAAAAATATTAACTATGAACTTCCTTTAGTTCAAATCCCAGCACTCTGACTCCCTAGGCATGTGTCCCTGAGTCAATGATTTAATCGATTTTGGCATTCAATGTTCTTTGGTTGGCTCAAATGCAAAATGAGAATGAATATAGTACCTGCCTTATCATGTCGTTCTGAAAATCACAGGAGTTAATGCGTGTAAAGCACTTAGAACAAAGCCTGGCAGACAGCATATGCTCAATGAAAAGCTCAGATTAAATTCTCATGAAGTCGTTAGTCACTAGTGACGGTTTCATTGCAGGGAGGTGATTTTGCTTTTAAATTTCAACCATACCACTTCATTTGATCTGCACTCCTCCCTGAAAGGTTTTACTGTCTTTATTTAACAAACGGCAAGTCAGAAGCTCCAAACGAAGTGGTGTGATAAAGTTCACACCGATTGTTATCGCCCAAACTAGCCTCAGAGCAGGGAGGCTTTGATCCTCCAATAGCGCTTTCTACTGAATATCTCCAAGGGAGAACTTACTGCTGGCTGTGCAGTTGTAAAGAGCTTAAAAGTTAACTTTTACCTATCTATAAAAACAAGATTGATAAATCATATCACACCTAAGACCCATTTAGCTAGTGTAGACATGCCTAGTTACCCGATTAAAACACTAAAGCTTTAGGAAAGTTCTTCAGACATGGGATTTTTGTTACAGTCCATTGAAGATCTCTCTTCCACAAATTTTAGTGAAAATGTTTTATATCTAAAGTTAATTTTAGGTAATTAATTTTGCTAACTATGAGTTCCTCCTTTACTTAAGATTCTCATTTATAGAGGTTTTCATCAGTTTACATCTTCAACTGGGAGAGTTTTGTGTTCACTAGGTACTAATTTTTATGTTGCTTTTCTTGTAGAGCATTAGAAAAAAATGAGAATAAAATATTGGAGAGAGAAAAATGGAGGGAAAGAGAATAGAAGAGCGGGGGTAACAGTTTTACATTTCAACTTTGGGAAAAATAAAGGAAATTAAATAAAAATTGTCCTGAGTCCTAGAAATGCCATTGAGAGCCTGTCTGGGAAGATGAACTGGGTATGAATGGAGGGAGCCTGATAGGGCTGCGACGTGTGCTCTGTGGCTTTCCAAAATCTGCTGGTCAGCAGAGTCAAAATGGGGAAAAGCATTTACCAACTAAATTCCAGCTATTGGTTTAAATCAAGGTCATCCAAAGGTTTATCTATCACAAGTTACTTTGATTTTCTAGGACGAATAAAGAAAGAATTTAAACAGGGTCCCAAAAGTGACAGTCGAAACTTTATAGAAAGTCTAAAAGGAATGGAATATATGGACAAGGAATCAAGCTCTGGAAGATATGCCTATGCTCTGTAGATCAGAACTGATTTCTAAAGGTTTGTTATCTGTCTGCTGGAGGAGAATAGACATTGAGAATAAGCTTTAAGAAAATTAATAGCTCGTCTTCCTCTTTCTGCCATCTTGGATCCTGTGGAGGCCTGCTGGGAACAGGACTTCTAAAAGGAAATATTATCTGGAAGCCTGTGGTCCAAGGCCATTTTTGCTGTCTATAAGTGGGGTCTCCAGAACCAAAGGGTGCACACATCTCTTCTTAAAATTGAAGGTGTTTATGCCTGAGATGAAACAGAATTCTATTTGGGCAAGAGATGTACTATGTATACAAAGCAAAGAACAACACAGTGACTCCTGGCAGCAAACCAAACAAAACCAGAGTAATCTGGGGAAAGGTAACTCAGGCCCATGGAAACAGTGGCATGGTTAGTGCCATATTCCGAAGCAATCTTCCTGCTTAGGCTATTGGACACAGAATCCAAGTGACACTGTACCCCTCAAGGATTTAAACTAGTGAAAAGTCAACAAGTAAAAGTGGATTTGTGCTCTTATAAAAAGAAAGAAAAAATATATATATAACAGTTTGTTTCTTTTGATTATAAAACATATTGACATAATTTGTATGTCTTTTTCTTTGTTGTTTTGTACCTTTTATATTTTACATTTCTAGTGATTCGTTCTTTTGTTTTACAAAAATATTGGTTAAGGATTGATTTGTGGATAAAAATGACCTTTTCCACGAATAGTTTGAGAAGTACTGGATGTTTTCTTTTCCCTACAAAATGTACCAAATTTACAACCATCTCATTAAAACTGTAGGAGAAGGAAATAGAAAAGTTTCTTCAAAGTAAAGCATAATACATGAAAATAAATTTTATATTGTCCAACATTCCTAATTTAAGATGGGCAAAATGTCATTGACAATTTTATTAGGTAATGTATTGAAAATGTATCCTTTTTATTTTGACATACATGAAATATATAAGGGCTTTCTTTGATAGTTGCAATTATGTTTCTATTTACTAATCATTGCTTTATCTTAAAATTATATAATTTTTTAACAGCAATTTGTTTTGCAACAATATGTTTGGGAATACAGCCCCTCAGTTGAGAGGAATATATAGCATTTTGTATTATCAAACTGTACCCTTGGGATAAGAGGTCCCATATATTAATTACCTACAAAGTAGTAGCACACTAATTCATTTGGATTTTTTCTGAACTTACTGGCTTTAAAAAGTATAGTAATGTTCATATTAAAGAAGACATTTCCTTCATTCTCTCCAGTGTTTTCAATGTCTGTAAACATTACTGTTTTGTTTCTTGTTAGGAGCTGTGAGGGAACTAGGCTTGGTGCTCAGTGATTTATTTCAAAAGAAAGACATATATATGAAAAATGTTCACCTCAGCTTTGAGGAAAGAACCTAAAACACTTTCCAATATTAGTAGTATTGAAATTAGACTTGGGCAAGTAGGATCCCTGTTTTTGGCTACCTCCAGGCGATGTGCTCACCCAGGGGACACACAACACACACACACACACACACACACACATACACACACACACACACACAACCTTTTAGATCACGCTCTGAATGAGGGACCCTGGGGTTCCCTGCCCCAAAGGCCAGAGCCTGCTTCCAGGCCTGTGTGGCCACCAGCCCTGAGTCTGTCATCTAGCAGGCTACTGGGTCACCAGGATGAGCACCATAGTCCCGGGGGGGAGGCCAAGGAGCATCTGTGAGGCGAGGGAAGTTGTGAATAGGGATTTGAAGTGCTAGAGGTAAAGGACTTGGTTAGTGGGTGGGAAAAAGTTTCTGACCCTATAATATTTAGCACAGAACTGCCTGTAGGATTGGCAAAGATCAAAAAGTGTTGTTACTGGTTGAAGGCTCACCAAAATATGTTACCAGTTGAAGGTGTCCAGGTTCTTGGCGTCTTGAACAAAGAACTGGACAAAATGCACAAACAAAGCAAGGAAAGAATGAAGCAACAAAAGCAGAGATTTATTGAAAATGAAAGTACACTCCATAAGGTGGGAGCAGGCCTCAGCGTAGGGGCTCACAAGCCCGGTTACAGAATTTCCTGGGGTCTAAATACCCTCTAGAGGTTTCCATCGGTTACTTGGTGTATGCCCTATGTAAATGAAAAGGATGAAGTAAAGTTACCAAGTCATTTACTCGGTGTACACCCTGTGTAAATGGAGAGGATATTTCCTGTCATAGCTGAAGTGTTTCCATTTGATTTAGTTCTAGTAAGTCAGCATGAATTGGCCTTATGTTCCCTGCCCACAGACCCTATTCTCCTGCTCAGTGTCACATAAGGGTTGAAAAAGATGACTGAAAACAAGCCTTCTCCAGCATTCATGGTAAACTATACATTGGCACAGCCTCTCTTAAGGGACACGTGGCAATACCAGGAAATGTTTTAAATTCACATCCCCGCTTATAGGACTTTATCCCACGGGTATACTCTAAATAATATATAAGAATGTCTTTCTTCATTGATTCATTTATTCAAAAAACTAACTTAATATATCCTATACTCCAGACACTATTTGGGTTTCCAGGAATATAGCAATGACAGAAAAATGAGGTTCCTGCCTTTAAGGAGATTATAGTTTAGTGGAGAAAGCAGATCATCAATAAATGAGTTAAGAAATAAATAGGGTGGGCATGGTGGCTCACACCTGTAATCCCAGCACTTTAAGAGACCCAGGAAGGAGGACTGCTTGAGCCCAGGAGTTTGAGACCAACCTAGGCAATGTTGTGAGACCCCATTTTGAAAAAGAAAAAAAATAAAAATAAAAATTAGCTGGGCATGGTGGCATGCACCTGTCGTCCCAGCTACTCAGGAGGCTGAGGTGGGAGAATTGCTTGAGCCTGGGAGGTCGAAGCTGCAGTGAGCCATGATGGTGCCACTGCACTCTAGCGTGGGTGACAGAAAAAGATGTTGTCTCAAAAAAAAAAAAAAAAAGAACTAAATGTAATTACATAAGCGTATAATATAAAGGGAATAGAGAGAAAGGAAATTGAAACACTGATTGGAGACATTATATGTATATACATATATATACACACACATTATATATATATAAAATATATTTACTAAAATAATGATATCATAGCAAAAAAGCAACAAACAACTTAAATATCCATTAATATGGGATCTATTGAAAAAACTAGGGTACAGCTAGGTAAATAATGATCTTTAGATGGCTGTTAAAAAATGAGGTAGAGCTTTCTGCATATGCTAATAAGACAATAGCTCCAACACAGAGAAAAAAAACACAAAATATTGTATATTGTGTATAATGTGCTTCATGTATTTAAAATAAAAGAATATACATGAATGTGTATATATGCGTACACACACAAACACAATACCCGTATGAGCACGGAGAGCAGAAACAGTTCAAAGTGGCTTCTTTGGCCAAATGGAGTGGGAAGTATGCTATTCATTAAAACCCCTTTGTCTGGTTTTAACTTTTTACCATATTTATTTGCTGCTTTTTAAACAAATGGTTGCTTTAAAGCCTCAGATTAGGTTAAAAAAGGAAGTGCTGAAATGCAGACCAAGTGGAATGAAACTCCAATCTGGGCATGTGAGTTGGTTGCAGAAAATAAAATGCTTTCTCTGGGTGAGGGAAGTGTGAGTGAGGGAGAGAACCCTAGGAGGTCGATAGCGATAAAACTCAATGAATGTATTTCCAGAGATACACCTGAAGTGTGGAGAAGCAGCTAAGCTAGTTTTAAAATAAGGATACTTGGTTTAGGATCTAATTAGAGTAAATTAAAATCACCCAAGGAGTCAGGATGGAGAAGTAGGACCGCTGTAGTGAAAGCCTGTGGTATGGTGCTGAGAACGGTTGGCATGGTCAAGGGCTGTTCACCATCTTCTCAACAAGCTGTGAGCCCAGAAAATAAGAATTGGACAGAAGCTCTGTTTCTAAGTTGCTGGGCTAGGTAGGCTGAGTGAGGCGGCAGAGGAGAGACGTAAGCCTTAGGATCAAGCGCCAGGAGTCCTTTTGCAGGCAGCATCCAGAGACAGTCCCTTTGAAGAGGCAGGAGAAGGAAGCCAGGTAGAGAGAATAAGGGATGCCAAGCAGAGCCCCAGGTTCAGAATGGTGGGTAAAAGGCAGACATGGAGTGGACCCCTGGGCCTCTGGGAACCTAAAGACCTGCTTGTGGGAAGAGTGAGATATCCGGGTCCCACACTGGTGCAGACAAAAGCATATGTTAGGAGGCTATGATTCAGCACCTGAACAGGGGCTCAAGGTACCTTTCACTTTCTGCAACTCAAGGTTGTGCCACTTTCTAAGCGTGTTATCCAGGGTTAGGCCAAAAGCAGAACAGCTGTAGGATGCCACTTGACAGAGGATTCAGGGTACCTGTAACAGGAAAAACCTATAGTGTGTGATAAAACACATGGAGGCTGAAGTCAGTCTTCTAGAGATCCAGCATCACTTCCCAGGTTCAGACCTCGGGCGAGCTATTTAACCTGTATAATTCTTAGCACCTTCATCTGTAAAATGGGATAGTCATGCTACCTACCTTATAGGGTGCTTTTGTCAACATTGAGATAATGTCCACAACATGTCTGGCATGTGGTAGGTGGTCAACAAATGTGATGGAAAGAAGAAGAAGGAGGAGTATGAGGGAGGAGGATAGGAAGGGGCAGAGAAGGAGGATGAGGAATAGCCACATTGTATAAGCCAGACAATATGTGCATGATATCACTTGTTTAATGCTAGCATCAACGTGAAAGTGAAATGTATTGGTCTCAATTCCTTAGTCATCTGACAGAAGCAGAAAGTACTAGAACTGTGGGTGAGTGGCAAGAAGAGGAAGCCAGCTGGAGTTCTTGCAATCTAGCCATCTAGCCAGTAGAAAGAAGCCACAAAATTATTATTCCTAGCTCTTTTCGCCCCATCCCACCCTCTACACTCTTGTTTCCCCTGACTGGGAAACACCTGTTATGTAATAATTCTCATGAATGTGGGAATATAGCTGTAGTTTTATGCATTGTATCCTTATTATCTATGACTATACAGAGCAGAAAACCAGCTGTGAGTTATCTTGATTAATCTTGCTAATTAGATTTTCTATTTCCTTTGATTGATTCCTGCTTTCCATTCCTTCAGAGCTGACACTGGGAAGTTTAGACCAGGAAATTGCAGCTGTATTCACATGCTATCATGCTTCGGGTACAGAGAGGCCCTCTATGCCCCATGAGTTCAGAAACCTAATTTCCATGTATATTAATCCTTACTTTGTACTGGAGGAAACTCAAGCTTTCTGCCTGTCTGCGTGTTCAGTGAGTACTCTGTTGCTTGTTGTGGTTTGAAGACACTGAGATAGGGTATTTTCTCATGGTACTCACTTGTCAAGACAAATTTCCTAGGGAATTATTCAATTGTAGGTTAGTTTTCTTTTGCGGCTGTAACAAATAACCACAAACTCATAAGTTTAAAAGAATGCAAATTTATTATTTCAGTTTCTGGTGGTCAAAATTTGGGTATAGTATGGGTTAGCTGGTTCTTTCCTCAGAGTCTCACAAGGCTGATTTCAAGGTATCAGCAGGGCTGTGATCCTTTCTGGAAACTCTGTAGATAAGTTCACTTCCAAATTAATTCACCGTGTTGGCAGAATACATGTAGTTGTAGAACTAAGAGGTTCCCATGATCTTGACAATTGTCAGCTGGGGACCATTCTCTTCTTTCAGGGGTGACACACACTCTTTGGCTTATGGCCCCTTACCACCATCTTCAAAGTCAGCAACGGCAAATCAGGTTAAGCTTCAGGTGTCTCTAAGCTCTCTCTCTGCCTCATCCCTCCTGCCTTCTTCTATCACATCTTTCTGCCCAGCCTTCAGTTCCACAGCTCAAAAATTTTAATTTTGCCATTTCTCCATACATTCAAGATCCAACAAATTAACAAGAGACTAAAACAGATGTGCAACTAGTTTCATCTTCAACTCAGTGCTACAGGTCACTTAGCATGCTGTGTACGGAAAGATACAAGTCTACAATGAGATTCAAGTCTACAGTGAGATGTAACCCACTAGGAGTATGTAGTAATGCTGTCTATGTGTACTTGGGAGGAGCTAGAGTAGGTAGGTGAAGAAGGAGGTCTCAGCATGTGTGTCAGGCAAAACCCACTAGGAGTATGTTGTCATGCTGTCTGTGTGTACTTGGGTGGAGCTAGAGTCAGTGGGTGAAGGAGGTCTCAGCATGTGTGTCATACATTTGCAGCACAGCACCTAACATACAACTATAATGTCCACAAATATCTCTGGAAACAGACCCAAATGTTTACATTCATAAAGCTCTGAATTCTCTTCTATATTGGAGATTCTTAGAAAATTAAATCAAAATAAGAAGGTTTCTCTAGTGATGCTGAGCAGCTATATAGCTTTTCTCTTGTATCTCACTGTTAGATTGTTTAGGTTGACACTTTTTTTTTTATCATTGTCTGTGCTATATAGTTATATGATGCAGATATAACCAGCTCACTAAACTACATTATGGCACCTTGATTGCAACTTTGGTATTCCCAGATCCCATTCTTAGAGTCACACTTGCATTTTACCCTTTTCTTCTGTGTACCCAACCAAAAGGTCTTCAGTTTTATTGTTCAGTCATCTATAATATATTTTACCCACACTTCCATCTGCTGTAATTCTTTAAGAGTTCATCTCAATGTCACCTTTTCTGAGAAGCTAGATGCAAATAATGGTAATAGTTACTATTTTTAAAATAAAGGGTAGGTCAGACACTAGTACCTTTACATGACGCATAGAATTTACTTTTTAATTAAGTTTATAAGGTATTATCATACCCATTTTTAATTTTTATTTATTTATTTATTTATTTTTGAGACAGTCTCGCTCTGTCGCCCAGGCTGGAGTGCAGTCGCGCGATCTCGGCTCACTGCAAGCTCTGCCTCTCGGGTTCACGCCATTCTCCTGCCTCAGCCTCCTGAGTAGGTGGGACTACAGGCGGGCGCCACCATGCCTGGCTAATTTTTTTTGTATTTTTAGTAGAGACGGGGTTTCACTGTGTTAGCCAGGTTGGTCTTGATCTCCTGACCTCGTGATCCATCCTTCTCGGCCTCCCAAAGTGCTGGGATTACGGGCGTGAGCCACTGTGCCCGGATTATTATACCCATTTTAAAGTGAAGAAACAGACTCAATGTGATTAACTCGTTTCTTAGAGAGCAAAGTTTGCAAATCCATGTTGGTTCAAACACAAATCTCTTGTTCTAAATTACGTTGCAATGATAAATTTCTCCGTGACTGTGGCTTCTTAGGTTTAAATCCATTCATTTCTTCATGACCCATCTCAAGGTCACTTTCTGCACAAACATTTGTAATTCCCCCAAGCACATCACTCCTAGATTTTAAACCTCTTCTTTCCTTATTTACTTCACTCCTGAAACCCTTGTCATTTCTCTTCTTGTATTATTTGCCCTTATTTTCTACATTCCTTGATGAGCTGTTTGTGACTTCCCTGAAGACCAGGACCAAGTCTCATTAACTTTATTTTGTTTAAAAGGCCCAGCATTCTACCTAATAAATGACCAATAAATAACTGAATTGATTAACGCTTCTCTGAGTGGATTTTCAAAGAGCCTGACATGAGAATGGCTCTGCTTATACTAGAAGAGTGTAGGGAAGGATGACTTAAATCATGTTTCAGTTACCTTTAATCTCTCTAATTGAGGCTTCAGCTTTGAAGCTAAATTCCAAAATGTTTAAAAGTGCATTACTGACTTCACACACTATCTTGGCTGTACGTCAATGCTCACCCACTGGGAGTATCAATCTTCCAAAGGCTAAAGCTAATGTTTGAGGGAGGAGCACCAGCAGTTAGTGGTGCCAAAAGATTCAGGCCTTGGGGATCTTCATAAAACAATCCACCCCTTTCTTAACACAGTGATGTTACCACTTGCTAATCAGTCAACAACTGGCCTCTGTAACAGAATTTCTCTAGATTCACACAGTTCATAAAAGCAGAAGCATCCACGGACTTTCCTTTACTAAGAACCATCTAGTTCCATGAAACTGTTTAGCTTTGGTACGGGAAATTATCACAGCCCTAAAGATGGGGAGATGGGGCTATGCTGCCATTTTCTTTTTATTATTGGAGGCAAAATTGAGAAAATAATATACTTCCGGATGTCATTTCAAAAACCTTTTCATACTAGGCAAACATATTTAATGGCTTGTATAATAACTCTTTTTATATATTTAGAATAATTCACAAGATGTTCCCCAAACTCTGTCCAAAATAAGAGAAGGCTCAGCTAGAAGAGACTCAAACATCAAAGAAAATTTGTGATCTCATGTAGCAGCATAGCCAATATACAGGGTCAGCGGTTCAACACCACCACCAAGGATTCAGGTTTTTAACAGCTCTTTACTCTACCTCTCTGAGCATGGTGGACTTTGTCCTCTAGCTCCTCTCCTGTAATCACAAGGTGAATCCTGCGACTTCCACCTTCATGTCTTCCTATAACCGAGTCAGAAAGGACGAAGGGGAAAAGAGGATATATCTTGTCTCTAAGTTCCTCATTAAAGGCAATGAATATTTTCTAGAAACGTACAGCAGAAGTCCTTCACTACTGAAGCCAGAGGAATTAATTACCATTATTGGAAGACTAATTGAGATTCACCTCCAGGAGCAAAAGATGATTTGTCTTCTCTAATCATATACCTGTATATACTGGAATAAATCCTGTTTCAGTAACTAGGCAGAGGGAATTAAATACATTATTCATTTTTACCCTTTACAATGGTCCAGCAAGGAAGGTTAGTGTGGTAGATATTGATGATGCTCACCAATATGTATGGTTCTCTTCCTTTTAGCCGCAGAAAGGGATTACAATTTCATGCCTCTTGAGTCAGGTCATGTACCTCCTTTTAGTCAGTGACATTTAAGTAAATATGACTGCTCCTGGGAGGTGAGTATTTAATGATTAATTGATAGCGTTCTCTTAGCTTGATGACATGTGGTGGTAGCTGGTGTTGAAATGGAGATACAAAGCTGAGCCACCTTATGAAAGACATCTCCCTTGGAGAGTCTTCCAGATAGATATACAGCGGAACATAAGCAAGTGAGAAATAAACCTGCACTGCTTTGAGCCACTGAGATTGTGTTTTTACAGCATAACAGCTTATGATTGCTACAGGTGGTCAAGTAGAATTATCTCCAATTTGTTTTTCTGATTCAGTTGGCCACAGAAATGATGTAAGTTACTCAGTTCTGCCTCCTAGTACAGCCCCATTCCAACTTATAATTATTTCAAGCACCATTAGTTCACACATCAGCTTTGAGTGTATTTGTCTAAATTCTTTAATATTATTTACTCTCATTCATGATATCTTTTAAAGTAGTATGTCATTTCGACCTACTTTCCTTTTAATGAATCTTTTTCTAAATGAGTACTTCCCCCTTAAATAGGTAAGATTACTTTTACTATAGAATATAGTAAGCTTGTCCAGCCTGTGGCCTGTGGGTCTCATGTGCCCCAGGATAGCTTTGAATGTGGCCCAACACAAATTCGTAAACTTTCTTAAAACATTATGAGATTTTTGGGGTGATTTTATTTAGTTCATCAGCTGTCGTTAGTGTTAGTGTATTTTATGAGTGGCCCAAGACAATTCTTCCTCTTCCAGTGTGGCCCCAGGAAGCCAAAAGATTGAACACCCCTCTGGAAACTTCCTCCACTCACATCAGCAAAGGCCAAGTGGGAAATTAAAACTTCCACACTTGTGATGCTGTAATGAGTTACCCAGCAGCTCCACCAGTGTGGGGTCAGAGAGTGCTGGGTAGGGATTGTCAGTGGAAACTCCTGGGGAACATGGATCCACTTGCACACCACAGTCATGAGGCATCTTGCTGCTTAGCCACTGAGGTGGTGTCACATGAGGCCTAGTAAAGAGTCAAGATTTCCACTATCACCTAGTGGTCCCTCATGGCCACTACCATAGTGGTGTCAGTGGAGGCCAGATGGGAATCAGGAATCCTCACCTCCGACCAGCAGTCATGAGGAATCCTCCTTCTTATGTGTGAGGCTGAGTGAGGAAAATGGATTTCTATCTCCACCTGGAAGTAACCATGTGCCACTCCTCTTCTGCAGCCAGGGTGGTATCAGAAAATGCCAGGTAAAACCAACGCTTCAAATGAAATCCAGAGTCTTATAATACAGACATTTTCAGATTCTAATACGAAATCACGGGGCATACTGAGAATCAGGAAGATCTGAAACCAAGTGAAAAAAGACAACTAATAGAGGCCAAGATAGAGATTACACAGATGATAGAACTATCTGACAGATGTTAAAGCAGCTATCATAAAAATGTTTCAATGAACAATGATAAATATGCTTGAGATAGAAAGTGAAATCCTCAGCAAAGAAACTGATTAGATAAAGAAGAACCAAAGTAATATTAAAATTGATATTAAAATTGACATATATAATAAATTCCAAATGTCCTCACTTTATGATAGGGTCACATACCAATAAACCTATCGTAAGTCAGCTTGGGAATGGTTTATCAGAACCTAGCCCCTTTGTAAGTGGAGGAGCATATTGAATGTGCATCATTTTGGCACAATTTAATCAAAAAATCCGAGACAGGAATTGTCTGTAAAGTATCAGTGGATGTGTTCTGCAACAGAATATAGGAGACAGAGGAAAAGAATCAGTAAACTGGAGGAAAGAACATTAGACATTACCTAATCTGAACAATAAATACATAGAAAATAGACTGAAAAGAAAATGAACATGGAGTCTCAAGGGTCTGTGGGACAATAGCAAAAGATAATACTGGCATCCCTGGAGTTTCAGAAAAAAAGGAAAAAGAGGGCATTATTTAAGAAGTACTAAAAGAAACTTCCCAAATTTGCCAAGACATAAACCAATAGACTCAAGAAACAAACGCCAAATAGAATAAACTCTGAGAAATCCATGCCTAGACACATTGTAATTAAACCTCTGGGAACTAAAGACAAGCAAATCTTGAAAGCAGTCAGAGAAAAATGACAACTTTCCTATAGGGAAAATAGAATTTGAATGACAGTGGAGCGGAATTCTCATTAGAAAGCATGGAGGTGACAAAGCCATGGCACAATGTTCTTCAAGTACCAAGAAATTCTGAATATGTCTTTCAGAAATGAAGTGGGAAATCAATACATTCTCAGACGAAGAAGAATAAGAGAATTTGTCACCAGTAGACCTGCAGAAGAAGAATGACTAAAGGATGGTATCTAAACAAAAACAAGCCAAAAGAGAAGAAACCTTGGAAGGGAGAAAGAACACTGTTAGCAAAACTATATGTAACTACAATAGATTTTTCTTCTCCTCTTGAATTTTCTAAAGTATGATTTCTAAATTATGCTGGTTGAAGCAAAAATTATAAAACTCTCTGCTGTGGTTCTAAATGTATACAAAGGAAATATTTAAGGAAATTATTTTATAAATTGGGGAATTAAAGGTAAATAAAGGTATAATTTCACAGGATGTAAAATGATGACACAAGTAGACTGTGATAAATTCATGTGTGTGTGTATATAAATATATATTATATATATATAGTAATACACAGATCAACCACTTAAAAATTGCACTATTTTGTGTATAAAAAATACATTCAAAAACAGTGTAGATGAATGAAAATGAGATTTTAGGAAATGTTCAGTTACTACAGGAAGATAGAAAAATTCAAACAGAGAAACACAAAAACAGAGAGAACAAACTGAAAACAAAAATAGTTGTGAATTACATTGTGAGACAATGATTCCCTTTTCAATTTCTTTCAAACTTCTGATCAAATCAGGCAGAAGCCTCAGTCTGGTGACAGGAGTCTTTCAAAATTCCCTGGCATTGCTAAACTCTCTTCTTTAACCCAGAGGAAGAAGATCTCAAATTCAGAGCCTGGGCAGGTGACAGCATTTAGCCAGAACTCTATAACACTGCTTGCACTGAGATTATTTTTAAAGTCACTTTTTTTGTGGCAATTGATATGTTTTCACACACAGGTGTTATACAATATTTCTTTTATGATAGAAAATACAAAATGATGGGTCAATATATGGAAAGAATGTTAAATTATAGTTCATATATTCAAAAAGAGCAAATATCAGGAAGATGGTATCCAAATGACTGAAATTGGTGAACTCATTTAGGCAAAGTGCCAGTCACTTTCCATCTTATCTACTTTAATGAAACATTTATTATACTAAATATTTATTATTATTATTATTATTATTATTACAATTTTGAGATGGAGTCTTGCTTTGTCACCGAGCCTGGAGTGCAGCGGCATGATCTCTGCTCACTGCAACCTCTGCCTCTCGGGTAAAAGCGATTCTCTGCCTCAGCTGGGAGTACAGGCGCCCACCACCATGTCCAGATAATTTTTGTATCTTTAGTAGAGACGGGGTTTTGCCATGTTGGCCAGGCTGGTCTTGATCTCCTGGCCTCAAGTGATCCACCCGCCTTGGCCTCCCAAACTGCTGGGATTATACGCATGAGCCACCATGTCCAGCCTTATTATTTGTTGAAGTACTTATTTAGCCCACTATAATGTGAGCTCCTTAAAATCAGGAAAGATGTCGATTTTGTTTCTTTAGCATTTGGCACTATATTTGTCACAACATTCTCAATGTTTGGTGAATGTTTGATTGAACAGCTCTAAAGGGAAGGCATAGAGAAATGAGTAAATTTGGCCCCTTTGTTACACTTTGTTTATGGTGGGCCAGGGAAATAAAAGTTGTAAATAATGTATTTGGTTGAACTTTTTTCTAATCATGTGTTTATGAATGCATTGGGGTAGTGGATATAAAACTAAAGGATGTGAAAATGGGTGGTGTGATATCATTTCATCAAATTCAACAACAAATATATGAGACTGCTGCCAGATATTTCAAATTCAGTTTTCAGTAAACTACATTTTGCTTTCAGGAAGATTAAAATTTTAGCATAGGCATGTGCCTACTTATTTGTTCTTGGGTTTTTGTTTTGTTTTGTTTTGTTTTTGGAGACAGAGTCTCACTCTATTGCCCAGGCTGGAGTGCCGTGGTGCAATCTCGGCTCACTGCAACCTCTGCCTCCGGGGTTCAAGTGATCCTCCTGCCTCAGCCTCCCAAGTAGCTGGAATTACAGGCATGCGCCACCATGTCTGGCTAATTTTTGTATTTTTGGTGACAGGGGTTTCACCATGTTGGCCAGGCTGGCCTTGAACCCCTGGCCTCAAGTGATCCGCCTGCTTTAGCCTCTCAAAGTGCTGGGATTACAGGCGTGTACCACTGCACATGGCCGTGCCCATTTACGTTACAATTTTTATCAACTACTTTACACCAGGATCTTAAATGTATTTTTTTGCCTTCAGATATGGGGTCTATTCTTGAGAAATACTGTCATAATTTTACAAAAATTATTATTAGCAAAGCTGAAAACAATTATTTATGTGTATGTTTGTATATATATTTGTATGCATGTATTTTATCTGTATACTTTAAGAATGTTAGAGCTCTTCTTTTAATCTTATTCTTTTTACCCACCTAACTAACTTGAAAAGCTGAAAGGTAATATCTCAAAGGCTCGGCTCCCATTTTTTCTGGAAATTACAGATTTTCTTGCACATGTAAAAAATGCTTGAGGAGGTGAATAGTCATTGTTTACGTGCACTCAATGAAACCTCACTTCTCTTGTGCATGTGTGTACATGTGTGTGTAAATAGCAAAGTTAAATTTATGACTTAGATTATATGGCAGGACTTTCTTACTTAAACTTATTATTACTCTCAGACACAAACAGTAACAGGGACTAATGATTAAATTTTCCAGATGTGTCCTGGACAGATATGCATTGGAAATAGATAAGAAACATAGAAGTTAGCATATTATCTTGCTGTACAAATAGCTATTGAGCAAGTGAAATCAGCTGCTTTTCCAAAATCTCCTATTTGAAATACTCCTGACATTGTTACATTTTTAGCAACCTCCTATTCAACAGATAAACACAAAGATAAATTTTGGGCTGTGCTTATTCAAATGATCACAGACTTGGAGTCTGTGGTCTCCCTGAAATTTACTGTATTGCTCTAAGAACTTTTTGATGTCTTAGAGAAACAAAATTGGTATTTTTTAGTTTTTAAATATTTTTAATTGATAATAATTATACATATTTATGGTATACATGGGATATTTTGATACATGCACACAATATATTATGTAATAATTAAATCAAGGTACTTAGGTTACTCATCACCTCATATATTTATCATTCATTTTTTAAATTTATTTTTTATTTTTTAATTTTTGTGGATACATAGTAGGTGTATATGTTTATGAGGTATATGTGATGTTTTTATACAGGCATGCAATGTGAAATAAGAACATCACAAAGAATGGGGTATTCTTCCCCTCAAGCATTTTTCCTTTGAGTTACAAATAATCCAATTACATTCAAGTTATTTTCAAATATACAACTAAGTTATTATATTATTAACTTTAGTCACCCTAATGCTGTATCAAATAGTAGTTCTTATTCATTCTTTATTTTTTGCACCCATTAACCAACCTCACCTCTCCCCACTCCCCTCCCCAGCCTCTGGTAACTATCCTCCTTCTCTCTATGTCCACGATTTCAATTGATATGATTTTTAGAATATTTCAAATCTTCTCTTCTATCTGTTTTGAAATATATAATACATTTTTATTAACTATAGTCACTCTACTCCACTATTTAATACTAGAACTTCTTCCTTTGGTCTATATTTATACTCATTCGCCGACCTCTCTTCATCCCCTACTCCCTACTCCGTTCCCAGCCTCTGGTAACTATTTTGAATATTTTTGAAGAATAAATTAAGAAATTAGCAATTCTTATATTTCACTAGTTTGAACTTATAAAGAACAAGGAAATCTTGTGATACAATTTATATCAGGAAGAAAAATGGTTCATCATGCCCTCCATCACATATTCTGGCAATGTCATATCCTCTTACTTCAAGGAACAATAGTTTGTTTCATCTTTCACACTAATACCCATTTCAGAAGAATGAAAGGCCATATTCGTGGGAAATGACATTTGAAAACTGGAAAAAAGGGAAGAGCATATTCATGAGGAGAGAATGATTCATTTTAGGGGTGTTGTTCTTTCCGATGCACAATAAATCAAAGTTAAATATAATTCATTTCTTCATTCAATAAACACTGAGTGAGAGTCCAATGTGTGGCAAGCTTTGGGTTGTCATAATTACTTTGGTGAATACAGAAAAAGTGTCTCCTCTCATAGGAGTACTTATATTTTAGTCAATGGAGTCAGATTATAAACAGGGAAAACTATAAGGTAATTTCACACGAGAAGTACTATAAGGACAATAAAAGAGAATGATAGAAAGTGACAAGGAGACAGAAGAAGTGACAGTTGTACTGAAGGTTAAGGAAGGTACTGTGGTCTGACTGTAGTAACTTATACCTGGGCGAGAGGACCCCCTGCCTTAGGCTCTGTGCTTTTGAGAGCCTGCATATTATAATACATATGCATACATACACGCATTTATTTAAAACACACAAAAATAAATGAATGCATGTCTAACTTTGCATCTATCATTGTAGGCACAGCATGGGCTTTAATTTTAAACTCCTACCCTCATGACTAATGGCATTCAGTTTCTTTTCTTTTTCTTTTCTTTTTTTTTTTTGAGACAGTCTTGCTCTGTAGGCCAAGCTGGAGTGCAGTGGCATGAACTGGGCTCACTGCAACCTCTGCCTTCCGGGCTGAAGCAGTTCTCCTGTCTCAGCCTCCTGAGTAGCTGGGATTACAGGCGTGTGCCACCATGCCCAGCTAATTTTTTTTTTGTATTTTTAGTAGAGACAGGGTTTCACCATGTTGGCCAGGCTGGTCTCGAACTCCTGACCTCAGGTAATCTGCCCGCCACGGCTTCCCAAACTGCTGGGATTACAAGCGTGAGCCACCGCACCCGGCCAGCATTCAGTTTCTAGGAAAAGGGTTCTCTATCTCTTTTGGCCCTATGTCCTCAAAAAAAGACAGTGGAGATTTGTGCATTGCTCATTGTTGATTTCAGAAGTGGACACCGTGTTGGAGTCTATAAAATATTTGAGCAGCTGACTTGCTTAGGTAAGAAAAAAGACAAATTTTTGTCAGTTAAAAACAAATGTCCAAATTCTCTGCATAGAAAAAGAATTATTTCCCTATACTACAATAGGTCCATTTTCTTGCTATATTTTTCTTCTAAATTTTGGAGAGCTATTTGCAAAAGCTCTAGAAAATTTAGAAGAAATTAAGAATCAGGATGGTATTTTGCAATATATAACTCATAACTATATAACTCATATATATATGAATTACATAGATGAGTGTGTATTTATACGTGTGTGTGTGTGTGTGTGTGTGTGTGTATGTAGGTTTAGATGTAATATGCATGGAATCTTATACCATTTCTTTATATTGGTAACTAGATGGTCATTGAACTTTAGAATTGCAAAAAGTTGTAGTTTTATTTAATATTTATTTAAATATATATTTAAAATACACAAGTGTTTATATAAATATATTTAAAATGTTATATAATTTTTATTTTAAATTGATCATTAGCCATTATTTGCTTCTTGTCTTTCTAATTTTAATAGATAATTTTAAATAGTGAAAAATCACTCTTTGAAAGCCTGACTATATTATTACTGATTTTTATTCTTTTTTACAATTTTGAAAGTATATTCACATATATTCAAATACTATATAATTCAAAAAATTGAATTTTATTTTTGATTCTTCTAATCATTACTATCAATATACTCCAAATTATGCAAACATATTAATTAAAACAATACAATGAATGATATTACTAAAGTGAAAGCAAGAAATTTAAATTTATGGAATTATTATACAAAAATTTATAAAGTATGTATGCCTTTATTCTATTACTCACCTAAACATTGCCAGCCCTTCATCTTGAACACTGTCACATGTGTAATAATAATTAGATTAGATTCACTTGTCTGATATTTCACCCACCTGAAATCAAATTAACTCTATAGGTCTACATATGTACAATTTAATTTCTTTGTTACAAAGCTATGTTTGGAAGATTAACATGATATAATACATTCCATTTAATAGTTTGTTAGCTGGTCATTTGGACATGATGTCTGTGGCTTTCCATGTATCCTCCTGTCCTAACCTCAAGGAATGCTTGGTGTGGGTCTGTCTGAAAGGCAATACATCAACCATGCCCTGTTTGAAGAGTGATGAGAGAAAGATGCTTGATATTAGAGAAACAGCAAGAATATGACTAAAGTCTGGATCACTGGGGAGAACAGAAAAAGGCCAAAATGAAATTATTATAATAATTCAGGTAAGATATGACAGCAGTTGGCACTGAAGTGGTAGCAATATACATGGAAAGAAGATAGAATTAGTAGGTATTTTGGAAATACTGTTAGCAGTATTGCTGAAAGATTCCATATGGGATATATATGAAGAACCAACTTGATTCTTAAGTACTGTTGTATGAATAAATGGGAAATAAACTAGAATAATGCATCCATTTACTGATACAGAAGAAATAATATGCTGAAGATTGTCTTACTATAACATGGGTATTACTGAGTAATATTTCATTATATAATTTTACTACAATTGGTTCATCCTTTGTCCTAATGGTAGGCATATGTTTCATTTCTCAAGAAATGGAATTTCTGAGTTAAAAGATTAATGCAATGAACTGTCAAAATAATTCTGCAAATTATTGTACAATTTAACTGTCACATCAGTTGTTCCAAATTTTCACGAAGGCTTGATATTGCCAGTTTTTACTTTCAGCTATCCTGTTGGGTGTGAAATGGTTTATCGTTTTATTTTATTTATTTTAATTTTATTTATTTATTTATTTTGAGATGGAGTCTTGCTCTGTCGCCCAGGCTGGAGTGCAGTGGTGCGACCTCCACTCACTGCAACCTCCACCTCCCAGGTTCAAGTGATTCTCCTGCCTCAGCCTCCCGAGTAGCTGGGACTACAGGCACGCACAACCATGCCCAGATAATTCTTGTATTTTTAGAAGAGACAGGGTTTCACCATGTTGGCTAGGCTGGTCTCATACTCCTGACCTCAGGTGATCTGCCCACCTTGGCCTCCCAAAGTGCTGGGATGCAGGTGTGAGCCACCATGCCCAGCCTATTGTTTTATTTTAATATGCATTTCCTAGATGATTAATAATGTTGAATACCTTTTTTTTTTTGCAGTTATAGGACATTCATGTATCCTCTCTGAGAAGTCATTCTTCAAGTATTTGGGCCAGTTTTTTTTTTTTATTGAGTTATTCTTTCTATTGTTGGTTTGTAGGCATTCTTTACATTTTCTGGATATGATCCTTTATCACATATTTGTCTTGCACTTTTTCTTTGCCCCAATCTGTGTAATGTGTTCTCATTTTTAAGAGTGTCTTTTGATGAGCAAAAGTTTTTAACTTAGATAAAATCCAACTTATCCTTTTAAAAAATACTTTATGCTTTTTATGTCCCATCTAATGAATATTTTCCAACTCCAAGGTCACAAATGCTTTCTCTCTCTTTCTTTTTCTTAGAAGCTTACAGTTTTGGCTTTTACACTTAGTTCTAGCATTTATTTCAAGTTAATTTTAATGTATTTTTGTAGTGGAGGTTGAAATATCTTATTTTTCCATATGGAGATTTATCCTTATTCCAGTAGCATTGGGTTGAGAAAACTATCATTTCCCTTTTAAATTTCTTGGCATCTTTCTCTTTTTTTTTTTGAGACAGAGTCTTGCTCTGTTGCCCAGGCTGGAGTGCAGTGGTGAAATCTCTACTTACTGCAAGCTCCGTCTCCCGGGTTCACGCCATTCTGTCTCAGTCTCCTAAGTAGCTGGGACTACAGGCACCTGCCACCACTCCTGGCTAATTATTTTTGTATTTTTAGTAGAGACGGGGTTTCACCATGTTAGCCAGGATGGTCTTGATCTTCTGACCTCGTGATCCACCTGCCTCTGCCTCCCAAAGTGCTGGGATTATAGGCGTGAGCCACTGTGCCCGGCCTCTTGGCATCTTTATAGAAATAAGTTGACCACATACGTTGAGATCTATTTCTAAACTTTCTATTCTCTTCTATTAAGCTAAAATTCTATTGTCTTGATTACTATAACTATATACTAATTTTTGAAACCAGGTAGTGTGATACGTCCAACTTTGTTCCTGTTTTCTGTTCTTTTGGTTATTCTCAAACCTGTTTTCCATATATATTTTTTTAATTGGCTTGTCAGTTCCTGCTTGTCAGTTCCTGGTACTGAATTGAATACTGAAAGATCTATCTGAAAAGGAATGACATCTTCATAATATTTAGTCTCCTGATCCACCAACATAGTATATTTTTCCATTCGTTTAAGTATTTTCAATTTTCTCTCAAAAAATGTGTTTTATAAGTTTCAGTGTTCTGGCCTTGCACATAGTCTTAAAATTTTATCCCTAAGTATTTTATACTTTTTCATGAAGTTGTGAATAACATTTAAAAATTTTGTTTTCTAATTGGTAACTATTATTATATAGAAATGCATTTGTTATTTGTTTTTTTTGTATATTTACCTTGTATCCTGTAACATTAATAAATTTGCTTATTTGTTCTGGTAGATTGTATGTGGATTTCCGAGAATTTTCTCTACACAAGATTATTTCATCTATGAATAAAGTTTTAATTTTATCTTTCTAATCTTTATTTATTTTGCCTGTTATTCTTGTCCTATTACATTGGCTAAAATCTATAGTACAATGTTGAATAAAAATAGTGCAAACAAACATCATTGCTTTTTCCCAATCTTTTGGGAAAAACACTCTATCTTTTTCTCTGTTAAGTACCATGTTAGCTTAAGATTCTTTTGCAGATCCCCTTTATAAGATTAATAAAGTTTCTTGTTATTGGTCTTTGCTGAGATATTTTATCATGGGTAGATGTGGACATTTTAAAAATGCTTTTTCTTCATCCAGTTGAAATGGTCATTTTGTTTTTCTATTTTTTAACCCCCCTGTTATTTGGGGAGTTGCATTAATTAAATTTTGACTATTAAGCAAAACTTGCATCCCTGGAATAACCCCAATTTGGCTGTGATATATTCCCCTTTAAAATTATTGCTAGGATTAATATGCTTATATTTATTTAAGAATATTTGCAACTGAGCTCATTAGAAATACTGGTCTGTGATTTTTCTTGCTTGTAATATCCTTGTCAGATTTGGTAATCTAGATTTGGCTGGAATTTTAAAAACTAGTTGGAAAGCATTCTGTACTGCTATATTTTCTAAAAGAATTTATCTAGAATTGATGTTATTTCTCCCTTAGATATTTTATAGAAAAACCAGAGAAACTCTCTGACATAGCAGTAGTAGCTTTATTTTAAAATCCCATTTTCAAAAATCAGAGGTAGAGCTATTCATATTTTTAATTTATTTTTGGATCAGGTTGGATGTCATATTCAAATAATTGCCTATTTAAACTAAGTTTTCAAGTGTATCAGCCTAAAATTCTTTATAAAGTTATTTTAACTTTTAAATATCTATAGGATCTGTAGTGATGTCTTTTTTATTGCCAAAAGTAAACATTTGTCTTCTGTCTTAACTAGTCTTATTTATTAAGATTTTTAAAATTTTTCAAAAAACTAATTTTGCCTTTTCAAAATGTCTCTTATTATTCTACCACTTTATCAATTTTGCTATTTGTTTAAAAGTATATTCTTCAGCTTGTGTAATTTCTATTAATTTAAGTTCAATGGTCTCTTCTTCTACAGTGGCCAATCTTCTGAAAATTCATCCAGTGAATTATTTATTTCTGATATTTTGTATTTTAATTTTATTGGTTTCACCAGATTGTTTTTCATACAAGCCTCCTTGTTTTCGACTACATCACAGCTAATTCTAGAATATATTACATGCCTTATCTATAAGAATTAACAGATAGTTGATATTGATTTAAGTCGGAAGTGGAGACGCTGACTGCTTTTATCAGTGTGTATTAGATATAAAACAAACAATAGTTCTTTTCTAATAATATATGTTATACTCTGTTCAGAAAGGAAGTGGGGCAAATAGCATTTTTACAATACTCATGTATTTTCAGGGTTGAATATACACAAACATATACCAAAAGGTGAAAAGCTAAATCAATTTTGAGAAAGAATAAAAATAAAACAACAAAAAAAGATCTTGCAGGATGTCAAAAACGTCTTTAGGCAATGATTTTTACAAACATCTGTTTCTAATATGAGATACAGCTTAAGAAATCACTTACATTAGCAACAAGAAGTTTTTTTCAAAAAAAAAACTTTTTGTGAAAAACTCATGTATGGCCCAACACATTACAAATAATGCAAGCCAGCCAGACCTAACATAAAGGGTAAGTATGCATTAAAGAGAAGATGATTAATTTCAATACAGGCTATAAATAAATAAAAACATCAAGATTTATTTAGTTTTTACCTAGTGGAACTCAAACTTGAATCCAGAGAAGTATCTGGAGAATTTATCATGCAGATTCCTGGGCCCCCTCAACACAGAGTATGATTCAGTGGTTCCAGAGAAAGTTCCAGGAATATTCACTTTTCACCAGCTCTCCAGGTTATTGTGAATCAGGGGTTCTCAAACCATATATCCTCCAACAATTGAGCCAGAGTAAATTGGTATAACTCCTTTTGGACAACTGTATGGCAGTATCTCCTAAAGCTAAATACACCCCATACCTGACAATTCAGCAATTCCACTTGTGATAAAAGTCAATATAATGGTTATATTTGATGGGAGGAGTATTGATCACGAGGAGCATGAAAAAGCCTCTCTTGATTTGGGTGATGGCTACATGAATATATATATTTTTTTAAATCACCAAGTTGTAAAAAGTTGCAGTGAACTATGGTAAAGCTAAAAATTATGCAATGAATAATATGTTTTTTAAAACTCTAGGAATATAAGGGTAAGATAGAAAATTCTAAATCACCCATCAGCATCTGGGAAAACCTTTATGATGAGTTTTAAGTCCTCGGTATGTGCTTATATAACTCCCTAAACTCTGCATTTATCGTAGTTATCATTGGTATATTTATTTATTTGTTTGTTTGTTTTTTGAGACAGAGTCTTGCTCTATTGCCCAGGCTGGAATGCAGTGGTGCGATCTCTGCTCACTGCAACCTCCACCTCCCTGGTTCAAGAGATTTTCCTGCCTCAGCCTCCCGAGTAGCTGGAATTACAGGTGCACTCCACCATGCCTGGCTAATTTTTGTAATTTTAGTATAGATGGGGTTTCATCATATTGGTCAGGCTGGTCTCGAACTCCTGACCTAGGTGATCCACCTGCCTCAGCCTCCCAAAGTGCTGGGATGACAGGTGTGAGCCACCGCGTCCAGCCATCATTGGTACATTTATATATAGAATATTATGTATGTAATTATTTATGTAATATTTCTTACTATCCAGCCTATACGCTATTAGGAATGAGACTGTGTTTTACTGTTCATGGCTTTGTTCCTATAATTGAGCCCAGTGTCTATCACATAGCATACATTCAAGAAATGTTTGAAGATGGGAGAGAGAAAAGGAGGGAGAGAGAGAAAAAGAGAGGGAGGGAGGGAGAGAGGGAGGCAGGTAGGAAGGAAAGGAAAGGAGTCTGAATGGACTTTTCCTCCAAATAATAGGGTGCTTAGGGATGGAAGTTGGAGGTTTGGGGGGAGTAAAGGGGATAAAGGTCTTATCAACTATTTCTAGATGGAAAAAAATAAACCAACATATCTCCATCTTTGTGCAAAATGTTAGTTCTTTTCTTTTAGAATAGGTCATTCATATTTACAAAAGTTGGCCATGCTTTTAAAATTTTTTTAAATTTTAATTTTTATGTCTGGGATCTAATCTGCCTACTTGCACATCGCTTAGAAATGGGTTGTGGGCAGCCCTGGCTGAACAATAGCTGCTGGGATTTCTAAATGCACAGGCAAAAGGCTCTGGGGAAGTAAGAAGCATGAATTTTATTAACCTAGAGAAAGCGACACTAATATTATTAATTCCTTTTGCTTGTAAAATGGGAGGATATAAAGGTGGTAAAAATAGTTTTGCCGGTCTATCTTCAAACGGGTAACTGGGAGGCTGGTAGGAATTTTCAATCATAATATAACAAAATCTAGAAACAAAAAAGTTCCTTTTCATTTGCACAGAGGCTCTGTTGAAGCTGAAATACTTGTGGGATATTAGGAATGAAAAATGTCAGCATGCACACTGCCCAGGCTTGCCTGGTTTATGGCTCCCACCTCGTGGCCGTCATTACTGCCCAGAAAAAGAAACTCTTTGTCCCTGGAGCATTACTTTTCAAAGACAAGAAACATCCAGAAGCGTCCTCTCACTTTGACATATAGGTCATGGCATTCAGAGAATAATGTGAGGAATCACCAAGTGCCAGCTCCTTGAATCATTGGGAG
The DNA here is from genome assembly GCF_000001405.40 of Homo sapiens. Lineage (NCBI taxonomy): Eukaryota > Metazoa > Chordata > Mammalia > Primates > Hominidae > Homo > Homo sapiens. The sequence continues at coordinate 121,357,153 of NC_000008.11, read as the reverse complement.
ATGAAGCTATTTAGTGTGGGTCCTGCTAAGCTTTTTTGCTCCTATGAATTTCCTTCCTTAATGGAAAGTCACTTTTTGAGTGAACAAGATTTGGATTCTTCAGTGGCTTGAAATGCAAGGCTTGTAAACAAATAAAAGGCCAAAAAGGGTGGTAGTTGGCAGGGGGAGAATATAGGAAATGAAGAGAGAGGGAAATGTCATTTAACATCTTAACCTAAAGCCTGTATTAGTGACCTGCGTGTGTGTGTGTGTGTTTTGCAATCCACAAGAGAAATACCAATCCTCTAATTCAAAGCTGAAATGATCCAGACTTTACAATGAGTGCATTTCCTCATTTTCTAGTAGATTGAGAGGCTTGTTGGATGGAGAAAGAACACCCACTAATTCCTACCCCAAACCCAAGAGAAAGACAAGACTGGCATGTGTATCCTGCCCTCTGTCAGGAATCCCCTTACATCTCCAGCCTCAAGTCAGGCCCAAGAGAGGAAAGATGAGTTTCTGGCACAGCTCTGGAAGCAGTGGTCTATTTCTTAGAGGTGAGGGTGCTGTAACCTCTGCTTTTTCAAAGCAAATCATTTTAAGCCCAACTTCGTGGTTTGTATTTATTAAAATAGTGGTACTGAAGGAGGACAATTGGTTCTTTTCCTGGATATCTTACATGAATTCCAGCCAAGTCATTTTGTTGAAGTCAGATCTAACCAGAGTTCCTGTGTACACTGTGCCTAAAATACACAGCAAACAAGAAAAGCAGATTGTTTTGCATGAGCTCAAGTCATGACTGACTCACATTGTCCGGCTTGAGGTGGCATGTACTTGTGACATGTGGTAGAGAATATGATCACCGTAAAACTTAAAAACTTTGAAATGAATTAAAGAGCTAATAAAGATACAGTGTTAGAACGAACAAGTGCACCCTAGGCACAAGCCCTGAACTGCACTGGGCATTTTTGTATGATTACCTTTAGACAGCCTCTTCTCCATGACTGAGCTTTTATGCCTTCTCTTTCCAAATATCTTGTTTTCTATGAGAAAGTAGAGACCAGGGTTTCCTTTCTGTTATCCTTCACATTACCTAACATATTAGCAAATATTGTGTACCGGCTACTGCTCTAAAATATTTAATGCCCCCTAAAACCTTATAAGGTGAAGTTCTTTGTTTAGTTTTATTTTTGATTGACAAACAATAATTGTGTATATTTATGGGGGACAAAGTGATATTTTAATACACATATACACCATGGAAAGAGCAAATCAGAGCAATAAAAATCAGGAAATCCTGCCATTGGCCACAACATGGATGAACCTAAAGGACGTTATATTAAGTGAAATACACCAGACACAAAGAGTCAAATGTCATATGATCTCACTTATATGTGGAATCTAAAAAAGTTGAAGTCATAGAAGTAGAGAGTGGATGGTGACTGCCAGAGGCGGGGTGGGATGGTGGACTGGGAAAGGGGAAAATTTTCATCCATATGTACTAAGTTGCAGTTAGACAGGAGGAAGAATCTCTGGTGTTCTATTGCACAGCAGGATGACTAATGTATTGCATATTTCTAAATAGCAGGTTAATAATGTATTGTATATTTTTAAATAGCTAAAAGATAGATGGTGAACTCTTGTTCCCTCTATCTAACAAGTTCATAGGACATAAATGGCAGAGCAAGTACTCAGCTCTAGGCACTCTGTCATCACAGTTTGCTCTAACAAATAAGCCATAACAAAGCTTGTCATCTTTTTCTATTAAAGCCACAATTACTTTTGCACTAACCTAATACTTTTCCCTTACTCATGTCATTAAAATCGCTCTTGAAAGTACAATGCATCTTCATATATATAGGCAAAGGGTATAGGTGTTGAGGTATCTTAAGTTACCTTTACCACCTCTCTGCCTAAGTGAAAATCGTTCATTCATTCATTCATTCATTCATTTTTTCATTCATATGCGAAGTCTCTTTGTAAAGAAGGTGTTACATGTTTTTCAGGTCTTATTAACTTGGGAAGTGAAGGAAAGATGACTGGATGACATTTAAATAAACAGCATTAAATCTGTTCTCTAAGTGGAAAAAAAGAATCGAAGTTGATAGGCTTAAGATAGCATAAGACATTCTGGGTTTAAATAAATAGTCATGGTATCTCTAGCAGGATTGGGGAGGTTCCCAAGGAGGAGCTTCCACTGATCTACTAGGGTAGGGAAGAAGAGGATCATGCTAGGAGAGAGAACCCTCCTCTTATTTTACCTAGTATCACAGGCAGAGAGAAGGTGGTATCTGGCTTTCAGAATATTCTCCTCCAGTGAAGCACTAAACAGAATGACTGGGGGTATCTGGTCTGGTGTAGTGCAACTTGGAGTTTTTCCATTCCTTAGAAGAGGTAGACATGTCCACGTAAAAGGAAGAGCACACTGCATGCTCACCATGCATAGATTTACATCCTGCTCACTTCTTCATGTATTAATTTCCCCTGTCTTTTTGTCTACTGACCTCACAGGCTATCTCCCGTCTCCATTTTCTAAATATTATCTCACTTCTACATTTTCTCTTGGCTCTTTTGTCTACCAAACTCAGCAATCTTCTTAGACAGAGTTTTCTTCTTTCTTTTTCAGCTCTGTGGTTTTACCAGGGACCCCTTGGGCAATACCTTTCCTGCCTTGATCTGATTAATTCCTCAGGATCTCTCCTCTCTGACTCTGTAGATGACCCCATTTAGTCCAACCCTGACTTACGGGTAGTGCCTAGGCAGTAAAACCTTGGGTAGAGGTTGGCCAAAATACGCTCAGTATTTATCAATTTCTAAATTTCTTATACAGGAATAATAAAGAAAGTACTCTCTTACACATCTAATTGAAAGCATTCAACAAAAATTGTGCAACTATTATGTCCCAAGTACTACATGAAGCTATAGGTAACAATGCTGAACAGGTTCCAGCTGATGGGAAGCTTACAGACTAGCATACTTGATCACTAGCAACCTCCAGTTACTCGCAACACTTTTAAACCATTTCTGAAAAGGCTTTATAAGAACTGGTGCTATAGAAATGACAACAATATTATTTTTATTTTGTTAAATTTTCTTTAGATCCAGAGAGACAGACTGGAGACAACAAATTTAATAGTAGAAAACTATACGGCAGCTTTTACTTCTAGTCATTGTAAAAAATATTGTGAGGCTCTTCTGGTCTTAAAAGTCTCAAATTAGGCCAGGTACAGTGGCTCATGACTGTAATCCCAGCACTTTGGGAGGCCAAGGTGGGCCGATCACCTGAGGTCAGGAGTTCGAGACCAGCCTGACCAACAAGGTGAAACCCCATCTCTACTAAAAATACAAAATTAGCTGGGCGTGGTGGCATATGCCTGTAATCCCAGCTACTTGGGAGGCTGAGGCAGGAGAATTGTTTGAACCCGGGAGGCAGAGGTTGCAGTGAGCTGAGATAGTGCCATTGCACTCCAGCCTGGGCAACAAGAGTGAAACACTGTCTCAAAAAAAAAAAAAAAAAAAAAAGTCTCAAATCAACATATGGCTTTCTCCTTTCCTCCATCATATCCATGCCTTGAATTAAAATGTGTTTTAAAATGTCTGATGAAAATACCGCTATTTACAGTTGGTTTAGTAAAGTTTAATTTTAACCAAATCTAATTTTACAAACCAAATTGAACTTTAAATGGTTATTTTAGGTTTATAATTTTATTCCCAACATAACGGCATAGCTGTGCTATTTGCTAAACTAATGTAAAAAAATAGAAACCTACGTAGATTTGCCTTATGAACTATCTGTCTTGCCTTGCATATTTTCTTGAAAAGAAACAAATAGACAAAAATGTAGGTCAGGGCATATAAAATGCTTAATTCCTTGACATTAGAAGTAGCTTTCAATTTTAGAAAAATCTATAGCTGTCACATAGGTTTTATGGAAATAGTGCAACATTTCTTTGACATTCTCGGTGAATCCAGTTTTTCACTAGGGTGAAGTGGGGGACACCTTGGTGTTTACTGAGTTTTTCATTTCTTTATCTCTGGCATGGAACAGGGTGACAGGCATGAGGCAGGTGTTCAGCAGATGCTGGCTTCCTTTCCCACAATCTGGTTAAGGCAGAAATTTGTTATGTTATACCTGCATATATCACAATACCATATTAAACACATTATACTAATAGAGGTACTTTTGAGTTCTAGATTTCTTTAATTACCTTTATTCTGTTTCTAGCTTTTCTGCTATCTTTATTTGAACAGTGCTAGGACTATGAAGACAATGGTAAATATATCTAGGAATCCTGTTCATTCATTGTCCTGCACTAGAAAATCCAAAAGTAGAGAAGAGGACAAGGAGGAGTCAGTAAGGAATAGGTCTTCCTTCACCTTTGCATAGATCTCCTCTGAGTCCTGGGGCATACAATGGCAGGCTCATTCTGTCTTGGATGAAATAATCAACATTTCTCTGGGATTTTGCCACTTCAGTTCCGGACTGCCTAATCTGTCATTTTCTCTCTCCCAAGCTCTTCCTTCATATTTCTACTCCAGTTCTGCTTTTTCTTACATTTCACCTTGGAATTTGTTTCCCACTAAGGAGCTTCTTACCCAATGTGTTTTTATAGCAATGCCAAAAGACCAATCAGATTCTTTCTAAAACTTGGTGCTCAGTAGCTATTAAACCCAATTTATCTCTGAAGAATTATGGTCTGCAGGGAAAAATCACACTGGATGCCTCTGCCTTTCCTTACTTCTGCATTTTTTGGAAGGCATATGGCCTGTTAGAGAGATAAAAAGAGAAGACTGAATTCAAATTGCGTTTCTCTCCTGAATTAGCTGGGCAAAGTCTAGGCAAGTTACCTAATGGCTTCTTGCATTCTTTTTTCAATAGTGCTGGTTCCTTGTGTCCCAAGATACGATTATTAAAATTTATAATATTGCATGGCTGTAAGATTCAAAGTGTGGTCTGGGCAGCCATATGTATCCTTGGGATCCTTTTATGGAAACTACAGGGACAAAAATATCCTTACAGTATTACTAAACCATGGTTTGCCTTTTCCACACTCATTCTCCTGTAAATGTACCAAGTATACAAAGTTCTTTAATTTCAGATTGCACATTGTAATTATCCTTTAAGAAAATAACATCTGTAGAGTTTTGATGTAGTACCAAGGAAGAACATCTACAATCTTCTGAATGGGCTATTAAAATATTCTTTCCTTTTCCAACTATGTCTGTGTGGGGCCAGATTTTTTTCATATACTTTAACCAAAACAACACCTTGCAACAGATTGAATACAGAAGCAGTTACAAGAATCCAGCTGTCTTCTATTAAACCAGGAATTAAAGACATTTGCAAAAATGTAAAACAATGCCACTCTTTTTACTAAACCTTTTTTGTTTTAAAAAATGTATTATTTATATATGTTATTTATGTTCACATATAATAAACTAGTATTTTTATTAGAAATAGATGAAGAAAATTTTTTAAATCTCAGTTTTTAAAAATGTTGGGCATACTAAATATCAATAGATACAATTTATATAAACAAACAATCTTTGGTTCCTTCATATTAAATATAGACGTAGTCCTGAACAAAAACCATGAGAACCACTGACATACGGAATAATTACACATAATTTATAATTTACATCATCCTCACATAATTATTAAGCAAATATGAAAGACCTGAGCTAATATTTTGCCCTAGAGAGCAAAAGGAGTTATTTTAATCTCTTTTTCTAATATCCTTCTAATGTCTTTCTACCACCTAATATTATCTAATATCATTGTATTCCTAATACCTTCTCATCTGTCAAATGTCTTCATTTAATTAAGTATATACGTGCAAACACACATAATAGGATTTTTGCCTGATTTGAATCTTTGTATTTTGTACCCCTAAATCTATTGAAATAAAAAAAAAGGAAAAGTAAATTAAAAAATATATTTAGTGATGTATTTCTTCCTTGGAGTCTAACTAGGAAATATTATTTTGAAAAACAGTAAGATTTGAATTTTTGTTCCTGAGCATTGAATTAGGCTTTTTATTCAGCTAACTTAGGAGGGCTGCTCACCATGCAGCAAAACTCACAATGAAAGTCATGCTTAAAAGCCCAATATGAGTAAATAAATAAATAAATCTTTATATGTAAAAAAACAAAATAAGCCAGTACAAAGACTCCAGATTTAATTACAAGAATAGGTCACTCAGTCTTTCTTGAGAAAAGCTCTGCAGCAAAAGAAAAAAAGAGAAGAGGTCACTCAGTTGTATTAAAGAAGGAGTTAGGGATAATTCTCTATAAATTCTCTGTCAATCTGATCTAATAATATATAATATATATTATTAGTGAGATATTGAGATGAAATTGCAAAACAGCTGTAGGAATAGGAAAAACTATCCCCTGTCACTTTTTAAAGGGAAATCCTTATATCGCCAATTGATTGGGAGAAGTAAAACAGAAGGGATAAGATTAGAACATATTCTATTTGTTTCTCTACTTTAAGTACTAAGCAAGTTCTGAAATAGCACCAGGTATTTGCAGAAGTAGAGTTCAGAAAAGAGGATCTTGGAGGAGGGAGATTTAAAAAGCACTGGAATTATAACAGAGGAATTTTACAGAACTGTAAAACTAGTCAGTAAAACTTTCTGAGAAGTCCTATTTGTCATATAAGCTGAGTGAAATGTAGTAAGGAACCTATTGGCATTCAGATGTCATGGATATGTTCTTGTTTTACACACACACACACATATATATATATACACACACGCACACACACACACACACACACACACACAGAGACATCCAAAAATTCCTACATCTTCATTGTTCAATTACTTATTTAGAAGTTATTGTACTCTCTCCTTCTATATAGCACAATGAAATTAATAGATTAAATATAGTACAAAATAGGAAAGTAGAATAGAACTGGAACCCAAAGTAGTGATCAAAGGACACAGCAGTTACCAGAATCCTAGGACTCAAGCCATTCGTCTATATTATTATAATATTGGCAACAGTTAACTGAGCAGGTGATATGTTTTAGGTACTTTGTACATGTTATCTTTCTTTCTTCTTATAGCTGACAAGCATCAAGTTTCATTATCCCTATTTCTCAGGTGAGGAAACTGAGGAAAAGAAATCTTTTGCAGCTTGCAGCAGCTCAAAGCATAGCTGTAAAGTGTTGGCCGTGAGCACTTAGTCACTGTACTATACTGTTCTTTATGGTCAAGTATCTGTAGCAGGAGCTGAGATGCAGTGGTAGGAGGTACCAGGGCCCTTACCTCAAAGAGCTCAGAGTCTCATATACTAGCCAGTTAACCAAATAACTGATTCAGACTACAATTTGTCCTGTAATCAAACTATAAATAATGAGTTTTAGGAAGAATGAAAAGAGACTAAATAATCCTTTAAAGCACACTGTGTTTTTATTTGCGTAGCTCGAGTACCTGCTATGAACGATGACAAGGCTATTGGAGAATATTCACAGCAATAGATATTTGAATTTGATTTTTATGAATAAATTCAATTTCCCTAGATAGAGAATGGGAGAGACCATTTCTTTTGGACATTAAGGATGGATAAAAATGCACATAACTACTACTAATAACCGAAAGGTAGTATTCCCTGAGTCACGGCTATGTGTGCAATGTTGTCCTAAGCATTTTATTTCTATTTTCTCATTTAACACTCACAATAAGGTAGGTAAGTACTATCATCACTCTTCATTCATAGACAGGAAATCTCAGGCTTGGCAACAATTGTTCACAGCCCAGGCTGTTAAAATCCAGCATCCATACCCTTAGCCACAGTGCTAAGCATTCTTTTGAGAACATCAAGGTTTCTTTCATTTTCTCTTTTCCTATTGACCCTCTAACCTCAACTCCGAGGTCCCACCATAGGGTTAAGTTGAATCTTGGCGTGCACAACCCCAGGAAGCACTAGTGCCCTCTCTTGCACATGGTATTAGATTTATTACATGTTAGTTATACTTTGGCTTGGATCCCTGCAGCTCTCCAACTGAAGGTGTTAGAATAGAATCAAGGATAGGGGAACCCCAGTAGTAGCAGGAGCAGAGCTGTTTAGTAACTGGAAACCAAACAAGCCATTTAGCTTTGAAGGCACAAGAAAGGCTTCATTTAGATACCAGGCAGAAAAGATCAAAGCTGAGGAATACAAACATGCCTGTTGTCTGAGTCAGGCAGCAAGTCACCAAAAGGGAGCCCACATCCTTTACTACAGAGCAGATGCAATACATCTGAGAGGTTACCATAAGCCAAATAAATACTGCCACAGAACCTCCCCTTGAAGTCTCATGGAAACAAAAGCACGAGCTTTCACCTGAAACAGAGAAGGGCTTGCTCTCTCTGCAGCTGGCACGTGGCCTTCTGCCCCATCATGTGTATCGTGTCTTAATGAAAATTGAACATCTACTAATAAAATTTCCTAAAAGCACCAAACCGCTTTACATATGTCTTTGAAGAAAACAAAAAAAAATTCATTCAAAACATTCCCTGGGCAATGATACATAAAGACTTCTTTGCAAATCACAACGGTTTCAAGTTGATAGTGAGCAACAAAGAGAAATACTGTGCTCTATGTAAGTGAACGTATAGCTCTCATAAATGAACAAAGTGAAAGGAAGCAGTGTTTTCACTTTTCTAGTCAGGAAACTTCTTGATTTAAGAGGGAATCATAAATGCATTCAACATCTACTATATGGCAAATGCTATTCTAGGTATTTTACATATATGATGGTATCTGATTGCTATTACAATCCTTTAAATTTAGTCTTAGGTCCATAGATGAGAGAGTATATTGAGTCTTTTTAAGATCATATAGCGAGTGGCAGAACTAAAACATGAACTTTCTTCTTCGTGGCAGTACTAGATTTTATTAAAAATTACTTCCTAATAAATTCTACCAGTTGACAAACTGAAACCTCAGTCTGAGAATTCCGTAAAAATTTATGAAAGTGACACAAAAGAAATTAACTGTAGAAATAAACTATTTCATTTGTTAAATTTGAAGGAAAAAAAGAGATGGATTTAGGACCTTAATAATTAAGGATTGTTAACAAAAGCAGGAGATTGAGCAAAAGAGCTCTCTGCTCCTTAAACTTCATTTAAAAACCACATTTCTTAGTGCACACTAGAGTGACCAGCTCATCCTTACTTGCCCAAGATGGTTCCAATCAGACACTTTGTTTTGTGCTGGAGATACACACTGAATAGGAATAGTTTGTTAGTCTATAATTAATTAGATGAGATGCAGGGGTGATGAGAGTGATGCAGTTGGTTATATGAGTTCATTAACAAGGGGCCCTTAATTGTCTTGGGAGTTTAGGGGCGCCATCCTATGGAAGTGACACATGAGAGGAAATGTGAAGGCTGAATAGGTATCAGTCAGATATAAAGGGGGTTGAGGTAGGGGATCCCTACAGGCAGAGAAAGAAGCAGGTACAAAGCAAATGGCAGAAGAGGAGTGGCTTTGGCCCGTAGAAGCAATTGGAGAAAATAATGATTGCAGGAATACAGAATGAGGATGAGCCAGTTGCTCAGGCGATACTCCCAGGTAGGCAGGGAAGACAATTCAAAGGCTTGCAGACTGAGTTAAAGGTTTGGGGTTTTGTCCTAAGAACAGAGACAAGCCTTCAAAGGGCATATTTCTGGGGTAAAAAGGTCACTGCACTGAGAAGAACAGAGTGAATGATAGGAGAACATTCAGCAGATGACTGCTGCAGGCCAGATGGAGGCCATAGTAGCCAGATTTGGTGGCCATAGGGGAGACTGAAAGAAGAGGGTGGACTATAAACACCTAGATAGGAAAACTGACGGCTTTCAGCAATAAATTCCACATGACCTGAAGTGGAGAAAAATGTCAAAGATAATGCCTGATGTTTCTAACTCTTGTATATAGATAGATGGCAGAAATTTATATAAGGTTTAGTTTTATAGCTTAATAATTTCTATGTCAGCTGTTTCAATAAAGATGTTCTTGCTTTTGTAATAATACCAGAAAATGAATGGATCTTTTCCCTTACAAAAGATTTGTAGGCCCCTGCTACCACCTGTTGACTGCGTACCTTAATGGTGGAGAGACAACACAGAAGGTTGAGGGACCTTAACTCATCAAACATCAAGTTATAAATTATAGTGCACACCACACATGAATGAGGATAAGTAAAGTACAAGGGGATAATTAACTTCAAAGTCCACTCAAGCTGAGTCTGGAGGCAGATCCATATGAATAAAAACTTTTAGAACAAATTCATTTTAACTAATCTTCATGACTTTGTAAGTGATAGGAATTATAGAAGCCCAATCTTTTTATTTATTTATTTATGGTTGGCATTTTACTGTTATTTTGCATATGCTTTGAAGACATGTTCTTTTTTTAAATTTTTTATTTCCATCGATTTTTGGGGAACAGGTGGTATTTGGTTACATGAATAAGTTCTTGAGTGATGATCTGTAGATTGTGATGCAACTATCACCTGAGTGGTATACACTGAACCCAATTTGTAGACTGAAGCACACTCTTTTTAGAATATTACTTTTTGAATAGTTTTCATAAGATACAACAAAATGATTCTGCAAATCTCTCTGCTCATCAGACTCTGCTACCATTAGTAAAATTATATGTTCACACAGCTTATAAAAGTATTTGCTTATGCTCACTAACTTTTTATCTCAACAATAGTATTATTATTATTTTTTCTATTACTGTAGTTTAATTCATGAAAAGTATAACTTACCACTATGTCTTTTTTTTATTATTATACTTTAAGTTTTAGGGTACATGTGCACAATGTGCAGGTTTGTTACATATGTATACATGTGCCATGTTGGTGTGCTGCACCCATTAACTCATCATTTACATTAGGTATATCTCCTAATGCTATCCCTCCCCGCTCCCCCCACCCCATAACAGGCCCTGGTGTGTGATGTTCCCCTTCCTGTGTCCATGTGTTCTCATTGTTCAATTCCCACCTATGAGTGAGAACATGCGGTGTTTGGTTTTTTGTCCTTGCGATAGTTTGCTGAGAAATAGTATTATTATTTTAAAAAGTAAAAGCTACTTTAAAATCATTTTCCCTCATCTCATGGTCAGATTGTCCGAAAAATATACTATAATTATATCAAATAACAACAATAAAAGTAACCATGCATATACAATATGCCCTCATATATAATAGATAATACATTAATAAAATATAATAAATAATATATTATAGGTATCAATGTATAATAGATAACATATAATATATGGCACATAATATATATCTACTATATAACAGAACACATAATATATAATTATTCATATTATGTTTTAAGATATTAAAGTACTAATAACACTCGTGATATATGCCTCATTTTATAATTTACAAAGTGATTTTACATGGAGCCTTTCACTGAGTCTTTAATTAGATGTAACTACCAGTGTGCCTTCTAACATAAGGAAGGAAATGGTGGCTAGGATTAGGTGGTCATAGTGAGTTTGAGAGTGAAAGATGGATGATGTAATATTTCTATAATGTATAATACATAGTACATAATATAGGATACATTATACATTGTATATTACATCATATGCATTCCCTTGTATTCTCCCACTGAATGTGCCTTCACACTGTGATGGAAGTATTACTGTGCCCTTTGAACAGAGGAAGAAAATGAAGTGGCTCAGTCACATGCCCAAATTCTCTCAACTAAATTATTGGGCAGGTTTAGGACTCACAACCAGCTTTGTAAAACTGCAATTCCAGTACTCTTTCTACCACATCACAGCTGCGTTAGATAACTGACTTTTGCTTTATAGTGTCTAACCAGTTTCTAACTGGCAGAGATGGTAATATGCCTGCCAATATCTGATTAAAAACGATTCAGCTAATAACATCCAGAAGCAGTCAAAAAGACATCGAAAGTGGTTCACGTGTAAGCCCTGAACAGGGAGATTGAAAAGTCCAGTAAGCATTTGCATGCAGAATCTTCCAGGCAAGGACCAGACTCCATAAGCCAGATTGTCAGGGCTGAACTGCATCTGGTACAAGTGGTTTTCGTCATTCTTTCCCTTTCAAGTAATATAAGGAGCAGCTATGTACTCCAGGCTCATGGAACCAGGACTGTCCTTGCAGATGGGAAGCAAGGAAGCAAGTGTTCTGGTCTCACAGCCTGGCAGGGTATACTCTTCTATGGGAAGCAAAGGTCACTAAGGTTTAATGATCTCCAAGGAGCCCACCCACTCAGAAGAACAAAGGCTTCTCTAGGTTCCTGACAGATGAGAGGAGAGGAATCACGTGCACACTGGGTTTTTGTACGTGTGTTGGGGTGAGGGGAGTGGGCTTAGCGTGACATCATTCCCTGACTTCACAGTTTAAGCACAGCTAACCCTCAAGAAAGCTAAAAGGTGTATTGAAGCACCCAGCAAATTCATGGGCCATAAAGGAAACATCATTTTTAACCTTGGTCCTTACTTTCACCCATGTGGTGCTCCCTTCTAACAGTAAAAAAGAAAAAGAAAAAAAAAAGGAAAAACGAATTGAATACACACACACGCATATGTTTATATGCATGTTTTTTGAAAAAAATTCCCCTCTTACTCTAACCTCTAAAAATGTAGATGATGGGCCAGGCGCAGTGGCTCATGCCTGTAATCCCAGCACTTTGGGAGGCCAAGGCGAGCAGATCGCCTGAGGTCAGGAGTTTGAGATCAGCCTGGTCAACATGGCGAAACCCCATCTCTACTAAAAATACAAAAATTAGCCGGGCATGATGATGGGCGCCTGGGGCACCTGTAATCCCCGCTACTAGGGAGGCTGAGACAGGGAGAATCGCTTGAACCCAGGAGGCAGAGGTTGTAGTGAGCAGAGATAGCACCACTGCACTCCAGCCTGGGTGACAGAGTGAGCCTCCGTCTCAAAAAGAAAAGTAGATGATGTATTTCTTTAGAAAAGGAATAATAATGTAAAAAACTCACTGATGGCAAACACTAACTTTGTTAAAGGTTATTGAGAGGATTAAGTAAACATTTTCTATAAAAAGGAGAGATGGCTTTGAGTTATAGCCTCTGGTTTGGTCCTGCCTGCCTCCATTCTATTTTCTTTCCCAGGAGTTCTCAAGGTATAGTCCCGAGATGTGCAACATGAGCATCACCTGAGAACTTGTTACAAATTGTTTTCTCAGGTCTCATCCAGACATAGCGAATCAGAAATCCTGGGAGTAAGGCTCAGCAAACCCTGGGTTAGCTAGCCCTTCCGGTGGTTCGGATGCATACTACAGTTTGAGAACTATTATGGTGAGTACTTTGTCTGAGTGTTTCTGCAAAAATATATATTTATATTACTTCCCAGCTCAGAACTAGATTTTAGCTACCCATTACTTTTAGGAAAAATTTTGAACTTTTCATGTGGCCTATCTTTTTTTTTTTTTCTGACATAAAACCTACATAACTCCCCTGTAATTATACAGAACTACTTACAGGTTCCTTAGACCTTTGGAAAGTCTAATCTTTCTGTTCGCAATGCTTTTCATTCCTGTCAGCTAGAAGAGTTGTACCCTTCTACATGAGGAAATAAGCATTACCACCTATGTGAAGACTGCTCTGAATCTGTAAGCACACATAAGCGCTACCAGTGACCTTGTTTCATACCTCCATTGTATTTTTTTATTATTTTAGCAATTTGTATAGGTCTCCTTCCCACTCCTTGAACCCTTTTAGGGCAGAGAGGGCATGTTTCATACATAACTATGACATCAGAGCTTTTCACTCTCCTTAGCACACAGTCAGTAATAGTCATTGCATAACTCAATAGATAATTGAATCGAAGCTAAGTGTGAAACACTAAAATTTCCACTAGGTAATTTATGGTTCTGGTGACATTAAGTTACACCTAATGAAATTATTGAACATTTGTTTCCACCAAGGATTACAGATCCTCTGTTTTTTCCAATTTTCTCAATCCCTTTTTATTCTTATTATTTATTTATTTATTTTTACAAATAACTCTCCTTTTTAACTATGCCTTGGGCTTGCCAGTTACACATAAAGGCTGTGATATCACCCATAAAGGGAGGTTATTTCTCTGAACCAGATTTTTTCCAACTACCAGATCCCTGTTTTTCATCCCCCCTTTGCCCCCTGCTGTTAATGTTTTCATGTAATCTTATACCACCAAGTAGAATCATGAGACTAATTACTTTAGGAAAATGGAGGGCCGGGACTGCCTAGAACAAGTGTTCCTTCATCAGCTTTGAGTCTTAAATTCTCTAGATTCTAAGCTACATGCGAGGGGTGACCTTGTTTTTATGTTCACTGCTCTGTCTTTGCAAGTAGAAGAGTGTCCAGCACATGGTATGTGCCTAAAACTTATTAAATGGATGAATGAATGCATGAAAGGTGATATCCTTGATTTCATTAGCATGACAAAAGTAATGATGTCTGAACTGTGTTGAGGAAGAAAGGATTTTCTAAACTTTCTTCTACTTTCTTTTGAATGCAACAAAAAGGCAGGCTCATTAGCCAGATTACAGTGCCAGGTATAAGAAGAAATTGATGATGACATACAGGAAATAGCTTAAAGCCTACACTTTGTGATCCCAATAAATTGTTTGGAAGACAAGGGAGAGAAAACAAAGGGAGATAGGTGATTGGAAGTTTTTTCCCGGGCTCCCTTGTGCTGGACAAAATCAGAGAGAGAAAAAATAGGCTAGAAAGGTTGGTTGTCAACCCAAAGGCAAAAGAGCCTCTGCCCTCCTTCTTTTTGGATGTTGGAAGGCAATCTTCTGGTAAGCTCTCCCCTCAGCAACCTGGAAGTAGTTGAACCAAATAGAGTGATTCACTGTGATTAGGGAAAGAGAAAATCTGAGCTTAGTTATACAGAACTATTTTCTAGGGTTGCCAGATTTAGCAAATGAAAATATAGAGCACCAGTTAGATTTGAGTTTTAGATCAATCAATGAGCCCTTTTTGGTTTGTTTGTTTGTTTGTTTGGTGCAAATATATCTCATGGAACATTTGGAACAAGTTTGCAGTAAAAAAAAGTTCAATGCACTTGCACCAAAAAAAAAGTTCAAAAAAGAACTCTAACATATTGCATACTACCTGAGCCACCTTAGTAGATAAATCATTTATTTTTCAACTATTTTTCATGCCAAGAAAAAGTTTACATACATAATGCATTCCATAGATAATGAATTCATGGCTTTCCATGGGGTCCCCATGAGGGTATGTAAAAGTTAGCTGAGAACTCTCTGGGGATCTCACCAGAGCATGACACAGCATACTGAGAGCCAAGGTAGGGCCAAATTCCTAGGAAAGATCAGTAAGTCCTGACCAAGACAAAGGAGAAAAGATCCCAAGTTATGCCAGCCTCATTAAGAAAGAGCAGTAGACTTCCTAAGAATGCTACCAGTTGCCCCTCAGCAGTGTCATCTGTTAAAGGAAAAACAACTGAAGCAGAGAACAATAAAAACCCAAGAGTCCAAAGAACCTGTGATAGCAACCTACCTTCAAGAAAGAACTCTCCATTTTGAAACAGTGTGGAGATTCCTTTAAAAAATTTAAAATAGAATTTCCATATGATCTAGCAATCTCACTTACTACTGAGTATATATCCCACGGAAATGAAATCAGTATGTTGTATGAGTATCTGCCCCCGCCCACCCCATATTCATTGCAGCATTATTCACAATAGCCAAAATATGGAATCAACTTGTCTCCGTGAGTGGACAAAGAAAACATGGTATACATGCACAATGAAATACTATTCAGACTCGTAAAAGAAGACGATTCTGTTATTTGTGTTAACATAGATGAATCTGGAGGACATTATGTTAAGTGAAATACACCAGAAACAAAAAGACAAATACAATATCATCTCTCTTAAGTGTATCTAAAAATGTTGAATTCACAGAAGTGGGAAGTAGAATGGTGGTTTCCAGGAGCTTTGGGAGAGGGAAAGGAATGGGGAGATGTTGGTCAAAGGGTAGAAAATTTCAGTTATACAGGAGAAATAAGTTCCGGAGGTCTATTGTACAGCATGGTGACTATAATTAATAATAAGGTATAATACACTTAAAAATTGTTAAGAGTAGATTTCAAATGTTTTTATCACAAATAAGTATGTGAAATGATTGATATGTTAGTTAACTTGATTTAATCATTCTACGAGGTAGATACGTATCAAAACATCAAGATGTATGCCACAAATGTATACATTTTTGCATCTGTCAACTTAGAAAATGAACCAAACTAAAATAAAACGTGCTTAGTAAGCCATCAAATAAAAAAGAATTCTCCATTCAGTTGCAATAAGTGCAGTTAACTGACAGCTTGCATAATGGATTAGGTATCACCTTTTTGAAACAAGAGAACACTCTTCCTGGGTAGCCCCTAGCAATGACTGAATGCAGCAGGGACTGGTTATTTCTGCCAAATGTGGGATCCTTCTAACAATCATTCTTTTCTCAAAAACTTGCTGTTGAATTGGCAGAGCCTTTGTCTTCCTGCCCAGGCCAGCATCCTTCCATCTTTCTTTTCAAGGTGTCATATGTCCAATCCTGCTTCCTCCACCTTTTCGTTTTCAACGGCTTTGCCTTGCAATAAATCCCTTGAACTCCTACTCTGGTTCAGCATCTACTTCCCAAAGGTTTCAACTAACACAATCATGTTATTTGCTGTGATGCTATTTAAATTTTCATCCTCCCATAATCACAATTGACTTCATGGAGAGAAAGAGAAGAACTCTAACATATTGCATATTACTTGTGTCACCTTAGTAGATAAATAGTTTATTTTTCAACTAATCAGACTGAGAATACCTGGCTGGAATAAATCTACCTGGAATAAATTGATCTCTCCAAGTCATCTACTCAACAGAATTTGGACTCATGGAGATCAGACTAGTTATACAGAAATTTTAAACTCACATTTTCTTTGTATATTTGATTGCAGTGTTGGGGAATTTACAACCTTGCCCCATCTACTTAAGATAGGGTCATAAAAGATTAATGAGATAGGAAAACAGAGGTTAGGGAGAGGTGGAAGAAGGAGATGAGTTACAGGGAGGAGAAGACAGGCAAACTTCATAAACATTTGAAATTTCAGTGTCTTTCAGGGGAGGATGCTTTACCTCTGACCCTTCATTAACTTCAGTGTTAATTTCTTATCTTGGGAAAACACTGATCAGATTGAGTTAAAAATCCCATCCTGTACTTAGTTCTGGGAAAATGACCAAATGTTATTTCCTAGCAGGTATCTAAAAAGGAGGAGGGGACTAACTTCCTGGTAGCTCTTACAGTGTGAAGGCTCATTTTCCTTCTGTCGACTAAACTTCTTAGAAGTGTAATATCCTCCCAGTAACACTTTATTGGGGCTGGGTTGCTACCCTTTCAAAAAGTTTTAGTTTCATCCCACCCAAAACAAGGCAAATTTCTTGAAACCAAAAATATTCTAGAATCTGAGCTCTTTAGCTAGCATCTCAGGGCACTTCATAAGCTCAACCTAACCCATCTTTGTCCCTAAAGGCTGGTTAAAGTGATTTCATACCTGTATTAAACCCTGTCTAAATCTCAAGTATATGACAAAGCTGCTTCAATATTTATATCTTCCTTGGTCAAATAGTCACAGATTCATCTCTCTGTTTGCATCATTATTGTATTTATTTTCTATTTTTTTCATTTATTATATACCTCCTTATATTTTGTAAACACTTTTTCTGCATAAGTATCTTATCTCATCAATACATATTAGATTTATGAAGGAAAGATCACATACTTTTTTCTAATGTCTAGTAAATGCTTTAAAGTAACTGTCAGGTGATGCTGGAAGTACTCTTGCCATCAAAACAATTATTGCAGGAAAATTGTAGGCATGAACGATCAAACTGGGGTCAAAGTTAAATAATGTCATTTTGTAATATATGAATACTGTGCTCCTGTGCTCTTATTCTTCAAATCAAAGAAGTTTAGAAAATGGACTTTAGCCAACTTGATTATGAACAACACTCTGGTCTCTGCTAGTGACAAACAATGAATATGAGGTGAGTCAGAGCTAGTTACTTCACCTATAACCTTACTCCAGTTATAATGAAACAGGGTCTCAGTCTAAATTCTGCCTCACATACAAAGCAATCCTTAGAAAGCAAGAACACAAACCACTCATACAACCTATTCTGTTGTCTCAGGGAAATCTCAGCTCACTGTCCTTTTAGGCACTATGATCACAAATTGTGAGAAAAGTTCCCTTAAAGCAGACAGCAATATTCTAGAAGCAGACATAACAACATTCCAGAAGCAGGACTCTGTCACCATGACAGCTGAATCAGACAACCAGAATCCTCCCGAATCCAAGGCTGGACAAGGGAATCTTTGGGGATTTAGATTAGGACATCTTTTCCAAGGGTGTAGGCCACAAACCCTCCCTGCATTTCTATTCATGCATGCGTGGGAAGTATCTTCTAAATAGGTTAGCCAGTACACATAGATTGAATATTTCTTATTTCCCTAAAAAGGACCCATTTTTGACATTTATCATTCTTGTCAGTAATCCACTATTTTTATCAATAAATGTCCCATTTCCAACATCCAGTCTATTAATTAGTGAAGTAGCAGTTATAGATCCAGATACAAGTAAAGCAGTTGAAGTAGCCACTTGTGAAGGCTAGGCTTCCTGAGGGTCAGGACCCAGCTCTGGATCTTGAAGAGCACATTCATTGACAATCTCTGGATTGTGCATTCTTTATTAAATACTAGAATCATTGTGTTACAGGCTAAACTAAATAATATGCATGTTCTTACACATAAGATCTGCTGAAGTACTTTAAAATAATTTACAGATATCATAACATTTCTGCTAATGTTTTTTTTTCAAACTAGGTCCTCCAGTGCCCTAGTTTAAGCTCCCCATCCTTACCCACTTGGGAGCCACTGTATCCTTAAAACAAAGCTACTTTTAAAAAAATTATTTGACTCTTTTTATTGGGCCTTCATGTAAGATTTTATTTGAAGGGCCAAAATGGTTACTGAAAAAAAAATGTTAGAACTAATTACTCTTCTATCCAGTACTGTTTTTTCTCGATGAGAGAACTGCCACCCAGAAGGTGTAGAGATAAACTTTGAGGTCAACTATGTGGTAGCAGAGATAGGCCCAGAATAGCATTTATAGTAGGAAAAAAATGGTACATAAGTACACAAGCGGCTGGGTGCAGTGGCTCATGCCTGTAATCCCACACTTTGGGAGGCCCAGGCAGAGGGATCGCTTGAACCTCAGAGGTCAAGGCTCCAGTGGGCTCTGATTGAGCCACTGCACTCCTACCTGGGCAACAGAGTGAGACCCTGTCTCACTAAAAAAAAAAAAAAAAAGAAGAAAGAAAGAAAGAAAAAGAGACATGAGAGTAGACACAAGATGTTTTAATAAAAGATAGAAGACCAGCAAAGTAAATGGTTTGCTGAATCAAAGTCTGTTAGTAAAGTGGGCCTGAAGGACCAACTGTGGTGTGTCTCTAGTATTTTGATACATCTTAAATTAGGTATATGTACAGCATCCGTTCCATAATTGTAACTGACCTGTATGATCATCTAAGTCGAGATGATGTGTTTACAAGAATAAATTCTCTGTCCTTGGTGCATGCAGAAGACTATATACTACAAGAAGCAAGGCTAGGGCCACCTGGAAAGCAAGATTTGAAGACATATTCTCTCAGTGACACCACCGCAGTTCCGTTTGACTAATTGGGTCACGGGCCTTTGACATTTTGATAGGCTGAGGGAGCAAGGGGTACTCTGGCGATATCTTTCTTCCCTTGCCCAGGGGTTCTTAAACCTCTGCTTTGGTGGACGCTTAGGAAAGGGAGAGGTTTCTGTAGTGGAAACTGCTGATTCCTTCTCTACTTTTCTTTGTATCCTGGAGGGTTTCCTACATGTCAAAAAATGTGAAAAGCCACAGACATTAAACTTGGACAGACAGTGGTATACAAACTTTTGTTTAGTGTAGTTAATAATCTTTGCCATCCCACTAATATTTTTCAATTGGCAAGTACTTCTATGGCACACAATCTAAACAACTTGTTAGATGTGGGGCAAAGAAGTAACTCAACATACAAAATTTGAGGACCTTGTACTATGTGTCAAACTAGTGGTTAACTCTATCTAAGCAAGAGTTCTTAACTTTTTCTAAGCTATGTTTTTGAGGACTAGTAAAACCCTCAGCTGTTTCCCCAGGACAATGCACACATGCTTCCAATTTTACCAACTATTCAGTTACATGTTGACCTCTCCAAAGTCCATCCACAGATAGTTCTCCCTCCCTCAGGTGGCCTCATTCTAAAGAATAGGCAGCCTGAGGCTACATGTCCACCAGGAATTCAGATGTTGTAGGTGGTAAGTAAATTCATTGAAAGGATTGAAATTAAAGGTATTATTGGAACAACAACAAAAAATAAATATGATGGTTGACTCACTGAAAGTGCTCTGTTAGAAGTTTCTTCTCTCCCACTTCCCATTGTGTTCCTGTGTAAAACTGCAAAGACTAAGAACACCCTACTACCTCTCAGTTAAAATTTCCTTGAGTTGTCCAGGCGCGGTGGCTCATGCCGGTAATCCTAGCACTTTGAGAGGCCAAGGTGGGTGGATCACCTGAGGTCGGGAGTTCAAGACTAGCCTGGCCAACATGGCAAAATACTGTCTCTACTAAGAATACAAAGATTAGCTGGGCCTGGTGGTGGGTGCCTGTAATCCCAGCTACTCCTGAGGCTGAGGCAGGAGAATCGCTTGAACCTGTGAGGCGGAGGTTGCGTGAGCCAAGATTGTGCCACTGCACTCCAGCCTGGGTGACAGAGGAGACAGTCTCAAAAAAAAAAAAAAAAAAATTCCTTGAATTAGCCCTCAGGCATATTTTGGCTTACATAAGGCTATTCTGATAATATAAAATAAACCACATGAAAGTAAAGTTATAAAGCTATTTGAATCACTTAATGACATATTTGTTTCTAGATTTCATTTTGAGTTTACCACGACCTTTCTCAGATTATGTAAAATGCTTTCCTAAAAAATGGTTGTAATTTACCACTTTACTAGGATTATAGTATTTTTCTTTTACTGTGTGATGTTGGTAAATTTTAGCAACCCCGAAGTCAGCTCATTATCATGTTGCCAGTTTAGATTTTAAAGGAGTACCTAGTGTAGGTTTCTTTGAGATCTCTAACACATAATCGACTATATTGTTTAACATTTCCACCTCTATGATGAAATGAGTGCACAAGGGAGAAGGTGAAAGTGAGAAAGGTCAGGGGAATAACGTTGAATCCATCTTACCACCAAATTACATCCATGTCTTAAGAAGCCTTGTTCCAATGTGGATTGGGTTTCCTCTGACCTACGGAGAAAAAATAAACAGAAATGTTTTTCAAAGAAAAGGAAAAAATTTCCAAGCTGTAAACATTTAATTGTAATACAATAACACAAGTTAATTTGCAAGTAAAAAACACATTTTAGTGATTTAAAAAAAAAATCGAACCTGGGAAACCACCCAAAGCTTTCCTCCAAAGAAAGTATTCTAGTGAAGCCTGAACGGCGCAAACACACCCTGTGATTATCACCAACTGGGAACTGTGGAAGCCCCTTAATGCCAAAGCATGAAAAAGCATTTTAGCAACACATGCCAGCTACTTGTTCCAAGCTATTTCACAAATTCAAAGAGGGCAGTTTACAAAAAGCATAGTACATACAGTGTTTGTTTCTATGTCATTTATTCTTTTAGATATTTATTTGAGCTCAAACCCACTGTGCTTATTGGATATAGCAGAAGCAGGGAAGGGACAGTTGTAACCTTTCCTTCTCAAAGCCATTATAAGGTCAGTTTTACCAAACCAGTTGTCTCTTATAAGAATAATTGACTTGAATGGTTTTACCGACTTTAAAAAATTTAACATAATGGCAGGACCCCCAAACTTACCTTGACGAACACTCTATTCCAGTGGAGAACATCCTATATGCCAGCTGGCTTGGGTGTGTTAAACTGTATACCATTATTACAATGCCTAGTTCTTTATAAGACCAAATAAAGATCCTGGTTCTAAATTATCATAGGTAAATATATGGACCATGCAGCATGAAGCCTGTATGTAGTTATAAATAAGATGACAATAGTACAATCTACAAAGCCCCAAACTCAAGATTTTATAGAACAGTCCTCATAATTAAGCTCAAACATTATTATTTATTGGTAGATGAAGTGCACCATCCTTGGCTTTCTTTGGTCAGTATTGGCCTGGCAGGAATGAAAAAAGAAATTGTTCTGGTAACATATAAAAATCTGACATCTTAAATAAACCTTTTAACTTCCCTAATCTTGAAAATAAATTTTTTTGGTGGGTAAGGAAGATGGCCGAATAGGAACAGCTCCGGTCTACAGCTCCCAGCGTGAGCGACGCAGAAGACGGGTGATTTCTGCATTTCCATCTGAGGTACCGGGTTCATCTCACTAGGGAGTGCCAGACAGTGGGCGCAGGTCAGTGGGTGCGCGCACCATGTGTGAGCCGAAGCAGGGCGAGGCATTGCCTCACTCGGGAAGCGCAAGGGGTCAGGGAGTTTCCCTTTCCTAGTCAAAGAAAGGGGTGACAGATGGCACCTGGAGAATCGAGTCACTCCCACCCGAATACTGCGCTTTTCCGACGGGCTTAAAAAACGGCGAACCACGAGATTATATCCTGCACCTGGCTCGGAGGGTCCTACGCCCACGGAGTCTCGCTGATTGCTAGCACAGCAGTCTGAGATCAAACTGCAAGGCGGCAGCGAGGCTGGGGGAGGGGCGCCCGCCATTGCCCAGGCTTGCTTAGGTAAACAAAGCAGCCCGGAAGCTGGAACTGGGTGGAGCCCACCACAGCTCAAGGAGGCCTGCTTGCCTCTGCAGGCTCCACCTCTGGGGGCAGGGCACAGACAAACAAAAAGACAGCAGTAACCTCTGCAGACTTAAATGTCCCTGTCGGACAGCTTTGAAGAGAGCAGTGGTTCTCCCAGCACGCAGCTGGAGATCTGAGAACGGGCAGACTGCCTCCTCAAGTGGGTCCCTGACCCCTGACCCCCGAGCAGCCTAACTGGGAGGCACCCCCCAGCAGGGGCACACTGACACCTCACACAGCCGGCCTGGTACTCCAACAGACCTGCAGCTGAGGGTCCTGTCTGTTAGAAGGAAAACTAACAAACAGAAAGGACATCCACACCAAAAACCCATCTGTACATCACCATCATCAAAGACCAAAAGTAGATAAAACCACAAAGATGGGGAAAAAAACAGAACAGAAAAACTGGAAACTCTAAAAAGCAGAGTGCCTCTCCTCCTCCAAAGGAACGCAATTCCTCACCAGCAACGGAACAAAGCTGGATGGAGAATGATTTTGACGAGCTGAGAGAAGAAGGCTTCAGACGATCAAATTACTCCGAGCTATGGGAGGACATTCAAACCAAAGGCAAAGAAGTTGAAAACTTTGAAAAAAATTTAGAAGAATGTATAACTAGAATAACCAATACAGAGTAGTGCTTAAAGGAGCTGATGGAGCTGAAAACCAAGGCTCGAGAACTACGTGAAGAATGCAGAAGCCTCAAGAGCCGATGCGATCAACTGGAAGAAAGGGTATCAGCGATGGAAGATGAAATGAATGAAATGAAGCGAGAAGGGAAGTTTAGAGAAAAAAGAATAAAAAGAAACGAGCAAAGCCTCCAAGAAATATGGGACTATGTGAAAAGACCAAATCTATGTCTGATTGGTGTACCTGAAAGTGACAGGGAGAATGGAACCAAGTTGGAAAACACTCTGCAGGATATTATCCAGGAGAACTTCCCCAATCTAGCAAGGCAGGCCAACATTCAGATTCAGGAAATACAGAGAACGCCACAAAGATACTCCTCGAGAAGAGCAACTCCAAGACACATAATTGTCAGATTCACCAAAGTTGAAATGAAGGAAAAAATGTTAAGGGCAGCCAGAGAGAAAGGTCGGGTTACCCTCAAAGGGAAGCCCATCAGACTAACAGTGGATCTCTCAGCAGAAACTCTACAAGCCAGAAGAGAGTGGGGGCCAATATTCAACATTCTTAAAGAAACGAATTTTCAACCCAGAATTTCATATCCAGCCAAACTAAGCTTCATAAGTGAAGGAGAAATAAAATACTTTACAGACAAGAAAATGCTGAGAGATTTTGTCACCACCAGGCCTGCCCTAAAAGAGCTCCTAAAGGAAGTGCTAAACATGGAAAGGAAAAACCAGCACCAGCCACTGCAAAATCATGCCAAAATGTAAAGACCATCGAGACTAGGAAGAAACTGCATCAACAAATGAGCAAAATCACCAGCTAACATCATAATGACAGGATCAAATTCACACATAACAATATTAACTTTAAATGTAAATGGACTAAATGCTCCAATTAAAAGACACAGACTGGAAAATTGGATAAAGAGTCAAGACCCATCAGTGTGCTGTATTCAGGAAACCCATCTCACGTTCAGAGACACACATAGGCTCAAAATAAAAGGATGGAGGAAGATCTACCAAGCAAATGGAAAACAAAAACAGGCAGGGGTTGCAATCCTAGTCTCTGATAAAACAGACTTTAAACCATCAAAGATCAAAAGAGACAAAGAAGGCCATTATATAATGGTAAAGGGATCAATTCAACAAGAAGAGCTAACTATCCTAAATATATATGCAACCAATACAGGAGCACCCAGATTCATAAAGCAAGTCCTGAGTGACCTACAAAGAGACTTAGACTCCCACACATTAATAATGGGAGACTTTAACACCCCACTGTCAACATTAGACAGATCAGTGAGACAGAAAGTCAACAATGATACCCAGGAATTGAACTCAGCTCTGCACCAAGTGGACCTAATAGACATCTACAGAACTCTCCACCCCAAATCAACAGAATATACATTTTTTTCAGCACCACACCACACCACACCTATTCCAAAATTGACCACATACTTGGAAGTAAAGCTCTCCTCAGCAAATGTAAAAGAACAGAAATTATAACAAACTATCTCTCAGACCACAGTGCAATCAAACTAGAATTCAGGATTAAGAATCTCACTCAAAACAGCTCAACTACATGGAAACTGAACAACCTGCTCCTGAATGACTATTGGGTACATAACGAAATGAAGGCAGAAATAAAGATGTTCTTTGAAACCAACGAGAACAAAGACACAACATAACAGAATCTCTGGGATGCATTCAGAGCAGTGCGTAGAGGGAAATTTATAGCACTAAATGCCCACAAGAGAAAGCAGGAAAGATCCAAAATTGACACCCTAACATCACAATTAAAAGAACTAGAAAAGCAAGAGCAAACACATTCAAAAGCCAGCAGAAGGCAAGAAATAACTAAAATCAGAGCAGAACTGAAGGAAATAGAGACACAAAAAACCCTTCAAAAATTAATGAATCCAGGAGCTGGTTTTTTGAAAGGATCAACAAAATTGATAAACCGCTAGCAAGACTAATAAAAAGAGAGAGAAGAATCGAATAGATGCAATAAAAAATGATAAAGGGGATATCACCACCGATCCCAGAGAAATACAAACTACCATCAGAGAATACTACAAACACCTCTATGCAAATAAACTAGAAAATCTAGAAGAAATGGATAAATTCCTCGACACATACACTCTCCCAAGACTAAACCAGGAAGAAGTTGAATCTCTGAATAGACCAATAACAGGATCTGAAATTGTGGCAATAATCAATAGCTTACCAACCAAAAAGAGTCCAGGATCAGATGGATTCACAGCCGAATTCTACCAGAAGTACAAGGAGGAACTAGTACCATTCGTTCTGAAACTATTCCAATCAATAGAAAAAGAAGGAATCCTCCCTAACTCATTTTATGAGGCCAGCATCATCCTGATACCGAAGCCGGGCAGAGACACAACCAAAAAAGAGAATTTTAGACCAATATCCTTGATGAACATTGATGCAAAAATCCTCAATAAAATACTGGCAAACCGAATCCAGCAGCACATCAAAAAGCTTATCCACCATGATCAAGTGGGCTTCATCCCTGGGATGCAAGGCTGGTTCAATATATGCAAATCAATAAATGTATTCCAGCATATAAACAGAACCAAAGACAAAAACCACATGATTATCTCAATAGATGCAGAAAAGGCCTTTGACAAAATTCAACAACCTTTCATGCTAAAAACTCTCAATAAATTAGGTGTTGATGGGACGTATCTCAAAATAATAAGAGCTATCTATGACAAACCCACAGCCAATATCATCCTGAATGGGCAAAAACTGGAAGCATTCCCTTTGAAAACTGGCACAAGACAGGGATGCCCTCTCTCACCACTCCTGTTCAACATAGTGTTGGAAGTTCTGGCCAGGGCAATGAGGCAGGAGAAGGAAATAAAGGGTATTCAATTAGGAAAAGAGGAAGTCAAATTGTCCCTGTTTGCAGACGACATGATTGTATATCTAGAAAACCCCATTGTCTCAGCCCAAAATCTCCTTAAGCTGATAAGCAACTTCAGCAAAGTCCCAGGATAAAAAATCAATGTACAAAAATCACAAGTATTCTTATACACCAACAACAGACAAACAGAGAGCCAAATCATAAGTGAACTCCCATTCACAATTGCTTCAAAGAAAATAAAATACCTAGGAATCCAACTTACAAGGGATGTGAAGGACCTCTTCAAGGAGAACTACAAACCACTGCTCAAGGAAATAAAAGAGGATACAAACAAATGGAAGAACATTCCATGCTCATGGGTAGGAAGAATCAATATCGTGAAAATGGCCATACTGCCCAAAGTAATTTACAGATTCAATGCCATCCCCATCAAGCTACCAATGACTTTCTTCACAGAATTGGAAAAAACTACTTTAAAGTTCATATGGAACCGAAAAAGAGCCCACATCGCCAACTCAATCCTAAGCCAAAAGAACAAAGCTGGAGGCATCACACTACCTGACTTCAAACTATACTACAAGGCTACAGTAACCAAAACAGCATGGTACTGGTACCAAAACAGAGATATAGACCAATGGAACAGAACAGAGCCCTCAGAAATAACACCATATATCTACAACTATCTGATCTTTGACAAACCTGACAAAAACAAGAAATGGGGAAAGGATTCCCTATTTAATAAATGGTGCTGGGAAAACTGGCTAGTCATATGTAGAAAGCTGAAACTGGATCCCTTCCTTACACCTTATACAAAAATTAATTCAAGATGGATTAAAGACTTAAACGTTAGACCTAAAACCATACAAACCTTAGAAGACTGCACCCAGGCTGGGTGAGGATTTGAACTGTACGCTTAGTTGCTATATCATTGTATAAAAAATTATTTAACTTCTGTCGGACATAGTTTTCTCATTTTATCGTACATAACACGTGGTATTTTTATGAGACTTTAAGGCAATATCAAGTACCTAGCTCAGGACTAGAAAAATAATGGGTATTCAATGTGGTATCATGGTAAATATCAAAGATTTGGGAATCAGTTTAAGTTCAAAGTCTTGTTCCACTATAAGTGTGTCTAAATCTTTGATTTTATAAATTGGGCATACTAGTAATAGACATTGAATAGGTTTCATTAGAAGGATTGAGTAAGATAATCTACATACAGCAGTTAGAAGAAACCTAGCACATAATAATTACTCTACTCATTAACTCAACAAGCATTTACTGAGCATCTACTACATGTGAGACAATTTTTGAAGAGCTGGGTATTAAACAGTGAAAGAGTAAAAAAAAAATCTTTATCTGTATAAGCATAATAATTTCCTATAAAGAAATACTACAAACAAGATAAGTAAAATTACTATTATGTAAAATACTAAAAAATTCTTATGGGCCGGGCACAGTGGCTCATGTTTGTAATCCTAGCATTTTGGGAGGCCAAGGCAGGCAGATCACGAGGTCAGGAGTTTGAGACCAGCCTGGCCAATATGGTGAAACCCCATCTCTACTAAAAAATACAAAAATTAGCCAGGCCTGGTGGCATGCACCTGTAGTCCCAGCTACTTGGGACGCTGAGGCAGGAGAATCCTTAGAACCTGGGAGGCAGGGGTTGCAGTGAGCTGAGATTGTGCCACTGCACTCCAGCCTGGCCACAAGAGCGAGCCTCCGTCTCAAAAAAAAAAAAAAAAAAAAATGCTTACGGGGACATTTTAAAATGGAGGCAAAGATAAGATAGTCAGAAGGCACTTACTAAAAGATGTCATTTGAGGAAAGAACTAAATGTTCACAGTTATTAATACTATTACTTTCCTTTATTTTTTATTTACTAATTTGTAATAGAATCCAGTAATCAGAACGAGAAGGAGAAAAATATATCAGCTACGATTAGTCAAGAAAATAGAAACCACTCAAGCTAGAAGGCACTTAATTCAGGGAACTAATTAGGTGCTTACGAAACCACTGACAGTATGAGGAAGTGAAGTTTAAGTTAAATTACTGTGTTTTTTTTTTCTTCAAGAAATTTGGATATTACAAGATTTTCTGGAAACCACTGCCAATGATCTCAGCTACCTACCATCCCAAAATGATAATTTTAGGGAGAACTCCTGGAAGTCACTGACAAAATCTCCTATTTGTGCACTACCTGCTAGTAGTAGGTAGTAAATGCAGGAGTAGTAACTGCTCCTACCTGCCCCTGGGAGAGGAGTTATATTAACTTCTCTTCTACCTTCAAAATTTAATGCAAATGAGTCTCACTAAAGGAATTTAAATCAGAGAACAGGCAGCAAGGGATTCGTAGTTTCTAGGCTTCCAGACCCTGCGACACAAAGGTGGCATAGGATGGAGTCTATGTAGATATCTATCAAAGAGAAAGAGAAGAAAAAACTGAAGGACAAACAAAACTGTTTATTATGCATTGGGCATTGTGCTAAATGTTCATTTACTCCCCACAAAAGCATTTTATTGTTGGTAAGTATATTATCTTCCTCTTTTCACAGATGAGGAAACTGGAACTTGAGTGGATTAATTTGTCCGAAGTCACACACTAAATAAGTTACAGATCTAAATTTTATTCCTGGGAAATATGATTTTAGGGCCTGCACTTTTAATCCTTTTGCTTTTATTTACCTATGTTCTTTATTCCTAGAGAAAGGGATAAAGAGTGTGGCTAATTATACAGTGGTCTAGATGAAATAACTAATTGTATTCATAGTATTTGTTGAGAAGGAGTTAGGGAAATTGCAATTTGAAAGGAAAAAGAGCTGGTTTTGAGGGTTACAAAGGAAGAGACAGAACTCAGTAAATATTGCCAAGAGGACAAGTGAAGAGACACACAAGGACATCCTGCTACGTATTTCTACAAATATTTTGAACTGTTCTTTTTTTCAGACAGGACCCATTTTCCAAAGTAAGGTCCACAGACACTTAGAATATCAGATCTAGAGGGAATCTTAGAAATCAATTCACCCTGAGAAATGAGACCACCAAGAGTTTCAAAGTACAGAAACTTGTTCCAGTTCTCACACATGCTGACATTAGTCAAGAGCTTTTTCTTTTAGACCACATTTTAGTCTGTTTTTAAAAAAATTGTTTAATATCTATAAATTTTTGTGTGTCTGGTGGTTAAAACGGTATAGCAGAAATCTTGTTGGCTATTCTTGGCTCATCCGCAAATTTGCTGGCAGCCGTGGCACGTCTCATTCACTTCATCCAAGGTTCCAGAAACTCCATGTTCCCATGTGCGGAGTAGGAGTCTTATTAATCTTCATTCAGAATTTTAAAGGGACTGGATCATGAGTTAATTTGTGTAAAGCACTCTGAGATTCTGGGATAAAATCCACTGCATAGGCCAAGAAAAGGGGCTATTTTTTTTCTGAATTATCAACCAATATTTGGAGAATGGTGGAGTCTAGATTCAACAAGGAATGCAAATGTTCTTCCTCGAAATCTTGCAGTCAATATTGGGACAATTTCAATATCCATGAAATTTTAAATATAATCATAAAGTGAGTTTGCCTCCAAAATTTTCCCAAGTAAGAAGCATTTTAAAATTACTTTTGGGATATTCTTATCTTGAGGCTGTGCTCTCCACTTAACTACATATTCCCATGCCATCTTTGGAAAACTAAATACTATAATTTGCTTCAGCCATGTTGTATTAAAATTTATTATTCAAAGAATAAGAACAAATAATCACTAAATATTCTTTCTGCTTTCAGAAGCACTGTGTTTCTTAAATTTATGGGTGGAAATCTAAGTGTGTGTTTAGTTTTGTTTACTAATCTTTGTCAATCTCCAGAGACTGAATATATTTATATTTATTCTGTTAGAGTAAACTCCATATTGGTCATTGCACTTCAGAATTAAATATGTTATTTTAGTTAGAGAAAAACACTTATCCTTAATAGAAAAAAAAACATTTATTTTTCTGCTCAGGAAAATAATCCAGAGGCCTAGAAACAAATGATTTTATGTAAGGTGGAATTTAGCAAATGCCCACATTAAAAATCATAGCAAAATTCTTAATTAGCTATCCTATGGTCCTCACCAGATTGTATTAGAAAATGTTCAAATAATTAAAATAACCTAATCTTAATAAACTATAATTGAAAAGGAGAGGCCAGGCGTGGTGGCTCATGCCTGTAATCCCAGCACTTTGGGAGGCCAAGGCAGGCAGATCACCTGAGGTCAGGAGCTCCAGACCAGCCTGACCAATATGATGAAACCCTTTCTCTACTAAAAATACAAAAATTAGCCAATGTGGTGGCATGCACCTGTAATCCCAGCTACTTGGGAGGCTGAGACAGGAGAGTCACTTGAACCTGGGAGGTGGAGGTTGCAGTGAGCTGAGATCACACCACTGCACTCCAGCCTGGGCAACAAGAGCAAAAGTCCGTCTCAAAAAAGAAAAAGAGAGAATGACATTTTTGCTTTAAATACAAATGATATTGGCTAACCTATCCCAAAACAACTTGGAGAATTCAGTTACTTGTGATTAAATTTGCCCGAAACATCTGCATAAATCAACCCATGGATATTACATCTTATTGGGCTTACTGGGCATCAACATCTAGCCGTCTGGGTTCTTTTCTCACTGTGCCACTAAAACTGATTTTGTCAAAGTCATCAACAGCATCTTGGAAAGTAATGGCTATCTTCTCACGAAAGGAACTCTCTCTTTGTTATTTCTCAGGATTCTGTCCTAAGCTCTCTTCTCAATTTATAAATTCCCCCTGGGCAAATTCATATATTCCTTTCACTTCAATCATGTATATTTCTCCAAATTTATTTATAGTACAGATATCTCTCCTGAGCATAAGACCTTTATATTCAAATATGTGTTATATATCTCCATTTGGATATCTGTGAAGAATCTCATATTCATTATATCCAAAATTGAACTCATTACTATCCCCCACAAACTGCCTCTTCTGTGTTCTGATTATCAGTGAATGCCATCCATCAATCTGTCAGTTGCTTAAGCCATAAATCTTGCTGTTTTCATTACTACCTTTTGCTCCTTTCTCAACACCTAAAACCAATTACCGCATCCTCCCAATGCTGTCTTCTAAACACTTTTTTAGTCTGTTCATGATTTCTACTACCTTTATTGTTCAGGCCACAATCACCTCTTCCTTGGAGTATGACAAAAAAAAAATTCCCAGTTATACTTTCCGTATTCAATCTCATCTTTCTCTGATTCATTCTTATAGTGAATTAAAATTATAATGTGGGCATGGATTTTTCCTGGTTAAAATTTCAAATCTATAAACTTCAAGATAAATTCCAAATTATTTAACATGGCATAGACTGTGTGAAAGGTGTAGTCAAACTGAATTTCCTTTTGGTTATTGATCAAGGCACACATGCTCTCTTGCACACTCCCTCTCTTCATCTGTCTATCTCTGGCACTCTGTCTCTTCCTCTCTTCTCTGAATAGTATGAGGCATCTTTGATTTCTCTTTTCTCTTCCTTCTCCAAACCCAAGTCCCATTGACTCAACATTTCAAATGATCATAAATATTACTACTTCTGTCTGTGCCAAGTCTGTGTTAAGTGTCCTTGCTTGAGTACTTCCATAGCATACTTCACTTCTACTAAAAGTGGTAGTGGTAAATATCACTCTTTGGTAAATATCCCTTTACTCTTCTGTGATCTCTAACTCACTGTAAACTCTTTAAGGCTTAGGGCCTTGTCTTGTTCAATGTTATTTACTTAGCACCTAGCTCTTTGCCAAGGCATACAATAAGTTAATAGGCATATTAACCATTAATATGTGGTTTAAAAATGGAAGGAGGAATAAAAGGAAGGAAGGGAGGAAGGGAGGAAGGGAGGGAGAGAAAGAGGGAGGGAGGGAGGGAAGATGACAATTAGCAAAGTCATATTGTTTATTTTTTAGAAAAACAAGTTATATTTTTCAACTTGAAAGATTCAAGAAAAAAGTTATTTCTGATATGAGTAGATACAAAGTTGGATAAAGATGCAGTGCATGTGTGAAAGACATTCAGCAGTAGGGAGAAAAAAACAGTGGAATTGGAAAGAAAAGTGAAAAAAATCCATCATTCAAAGCTTTTAGTCCATCCCACCTTCCTTTTCCTTGTGCCAACAGATATCATTGCCCTGAGTATTATGGAACATTTCTATCTCTAGCAGAAAGGCACTTAAAATGTTGCCTATGACATAAGAAAAAGAGTTGACTATCACTACAAAAATGTAACATGAGAATGAAAACAAAAATAAACCTAAATCTTAGCTAACCCAACAATTTATGGTGACATAAAACTGCTGCTCTGAGCCATTCATTATTCATTCATTTACCTACTTATTTACATATTAAGGTTAGTTGGTCTAAACTGTGGCATTCCAACTGCAAGGAGGATGCCCAGTTCTACATTTTAGCACTCAAATCAGTCAGGGGAACCTTCAAAGAAATTAAGATGCAGGCTAATTGAATTTTTTTATTTTACAAAGTTGATACATTACCAAAGCACAACTACCTCTGTGGAGAGGTGATTGAACAGTAAGTACTGAAGAAAATATGGCAGGATGCAATGCTTCGTAATCATGAATGGGGGAACATGATTCACTTTTTTTTTTTCCCAAACACAGTAAGCATGGGAAAAAAATCTGCAATTTGATTGCAAAGCAACGTCCATCCTCTTCTGTCTCCCTTTTCTCGCTGTAGTTCTTGTCCTAGGGAAGAAATGCCAGATGTGCAGTGACTCACAAGCAACGTGAGGTTACAGTTCTTCCTTGTCTTAAAAGACTAAACATTTCAAAGGCACATTTTTAATTGTGGCAAAACCATTTGAAACCACCCTCCTTAAAAATGACGTCTTTTCTTGTTTAACTTTTTTCCCTTAGACTCAGTGTAACTCAGACAGAGCTCTCGGAGTATTTGAAACTGAAAACACACACAA
Source organism: Homo sapiens (assembly GCF_000001405.40). Classification (NCBI taxonomy): domain Eukaryota; kingdom Metazoa; phylum Chordata; class Mammalia; order Primates; family Hominidae; genus Homo; species Homo sapiens. The sequence continues at coordinate 121,323,787 of NC_000008.11, read as the reverse complement.
AAAGGGGGCAATTTTGCAAACAATTCTGGGAAAGTCAGCCCAATTTATGCAAATATTTATAACTTTTATGTCCTTAGTTTCCTCTATTATGTCTCTCCACATATATTTCAGGATATTTGTCCAAAGGAACACTAAGTATTCTTTTTTATCTTCATTTTTCTGATTATATACATTATGAAGAACATTAAAGAAATTCTCAAATAAAAGTGACTTATCCCACTAGCTGGAAATAATTTTATTCTCAGACATTTCATCCATATATTTTAATGTAGTTAAGATTATAAAGCTCTCTATATAATTTTCACCCTTATTATTTTACCCTGAGTAATTTACATATCATTAAAATATCTTTAAACACATTATGTTTATTGCTAAGTTTTGATTTTTAGATGGTTCTCATTTTTTTGTTGTTGTTCTTTTGAGACGGAGTTTCCCTCTTGATGCCCAGGTTGGAGTGCAATTGCTCCATCTAGGCTCACTGCAACCTCTACCTCCCAGGTTCAAGTGATTCTCCTGCATCAGCCTTCTGAGTAGCTGGGATTACAGGCATGTGCCACCATGCCCAGCTAATTTTGTATTTTCAGTAGAGATGGGGTTTCTCCATGTTGGTCAGGCTGGTCTCAAACTCCTGACCTCAGGTGATCCGCCCACCTCAGCCTCCCAAAGTTCTGGGATTACAGGCGTGAGCCACTGCGCCCAGCCAATGTTTTTACTATTACAAATTATGCAGTCATCCGTTCTTGTACATTTCCTGAGCATTGAGTCATAGATGAGGAATTGCTGTATCAAAGAATATATATTATACATAATTTGAGGTGGTCGATTTCTATTTCTAAATAGCCTTTTAAAAGATGGTAAAAGTTGACTTTCTCACATACAATACATAAGAACAATCCCTCTCACTACATTTTAGAACACACAGGGCATTATTTGTTTACCTTTCAAATATGATGACCAAAACGTAATGTTCTTATTGTTTTAATTGGCTTTTTTGATGGATAGAATTATTGAAATTTTATATGGGTGTGTTATACATGCATATTTATAATATTATGTTTATATTTATCAGTTTCTACCAACTTGCATGACATATAAGCAGGTATGTCACTTATATGGTAAATTTATTTATCTTTCTGAGACTTCCCTTAGCATTCATGTTTCCACAAATGTAATCACAATCTTTCATTTGGTAGAGAACTCTACTCTGTATTTGAAGCCAGGTTCAAACAGGCCAGAAAAATGATCCTTCAAGAATTGATTCCTGACAGGACACACTAGAAATAGATCTATTTGGGCCTCTCTGTTCTCTGTATGCACAGCATTTACTCTCTCTGTATGCACAGCATTTACTCTAAATTTGTTCTAAAAAGCTAACCCATGATTTATGGAGCCATAGAAAGGGAAAGCCTTGGGAGGCCGAGGCGGGTGGATCACGAAGTCAAGAGATCGAGACCATCCTGGCCAACATGGTGAAACCTCGTCTCTACTAAAAATACAAAAATTAGTCGGGCGCAGTGGGGGGCGCCTGTAATCCCAGATCCTTGGGAGGCTGAGGCAGAAGAATCGCTTGAACCCAGGAGGCAGAGGTTGCAGTGAGCTGAGATCATGCCACTGCACTCCAGCCTAGGTGACAGAGCGAGACTCCATCTCAAAAAAAAAAAAAAAAAAAAAAAAGAAAGAAAAGAAAAGAAAGGGAAAGCCAGAGTTTATTAGTTAATTATTCTCCAAGGAGGTGTCAGCCAATGCCAAGAGAGGATGAGATCACTCTCATTTCCTATCTGGACTTTTGGATCAGTCCACTCTGTTCCTTTGAGGGGCAATAAGATAAGGAACTGGAGCATCCTGAAAGACTTCACTTGATAGCCATGTGACCCCTTGTTTATTGCTAAGTATGAGATCAGGAGGCCATATGGACTGACTTGGGGGTGATTTTTGAAAGGAATTATTAAAATGAGTTATAGTAAGTACAATGGATAAACACAAAGACATGAAAACTTGGACCCTTAATAATTCGATAATGTTTTGGACAGAGCTACAGCTAATAATACACATAGAGATACCAAAGAAGAAGCAAAAAGTGTTTTAAAATAGCAGAAGACACAGTACCATCAAACAAATGACAAGAAAAAACTCACAGCTTTCAACAGATTCTCCCAAAGGCTCAGCTGTCCAAATTCAGTACCACTAGACTAGAGAGAGTAATTGTTAGCATTGTCGACGTGTGCCAATGCTAGTCTAACCCCTCGTCCTTACAGTAGTAGCACCTGCAAGACCAGTGTTGAGAATGTCTAAGCCTTTCCTAGTTGCAGGACCCCTGCTGGACTCTTTCTGCTTGTTACAAACATTCAATCCCATTTCTCATACTTCAAGGGTGGATTCCCAGTTTCACCTCCTCCATCTCAGGAGCAAGAAATTAAAGCATAGTACCAGCTTCTTCCAAAAATGCTTTTCAGCTCAGCATTCTGAAGTTTTCTCTGACTGCACCCTAACCCACCAAGCTATTCTCAATGGTAAATTAATAGTAAGTGATAAACACTCATGATAAATGCCCATTGTTTATTTTTATTATATAACAGTCACCATTAATTTGCATCTACTACACACTAGGCATTATTGGTAGTAGTTTTTAAGAAATATAAATATATATTTACAATCTATAAAGTAATTATATTAGGCTTATAATTATTATTACTAGTTACTATTTATTTCATGCCTACTTTGTCCCAGACACTGGATTGAATGTGTTATTATAACAATGTTTATAACCCTCTCAACAACTCTACATGATAGGTATTAAAGTCATTTTTTAAATGATGAAACTAAGATTCAAAGAGGTGAACTAACTTATATATGAAGCACTTATTACATTGGTTGACACCTAGAAAACGCCCAAAGTTACCTATTTTATTATTAATGTTACATATTTTGCTATCGATATTAATTTTGGAAAGTCATGGGACATGTTGCTTGGATGGAGATTTGGCTAGGGAAGGTATGCCATATACAAAAAAATTAATGTTTGTACCTTTGAGCACCATTGTATTAATAATATTAATGGTGGCCGGGCATGGCGGCTCGCACCTGTAATCCCAGCACTTTGGGAGGCCGAGGCAGTGGATCATGAGGTCAGGAGTTCAAGACCAGCCTGGCCAACATGGTGAAACCCCGTCTCTATTAAAAATAAAAAAAATTAGCCAGGCATGGTGGCGAATGCCTGTAGTCCCAGCTACTTGGGAGGCTGAGGCAGGAGAATCACTTGAACCCGGGAGGCAGAGGCTCCAGTGAGCTGAGATTGCACCACTGCACTCCAGCCTGGGCAACAGAGCATGATTCTGTCTAAAAAAAAAAAGTATTATTGTTAATAACATTAAAATAATACTGATAATACCATTAATGATGTTACTAAGATATACTGTATTACATTAGTATATAGTGTATTAATACTATTATGTTAATAGTAATATTAATTTATAGTATTATTATATATTATATATAGTATATATAGTATATTATTAATAGTATTAATATATTAATGCAATGTGTTATACTAAAAAACTACTACTATTAATACTATTATATACTGTAACAATACTATTAATAAAATAGTTCAGTTTTAAGTACCTACTGTATGCCAAACAGACTAACATCTTTTTCAGTGTTTACTTTGTTTCAACCTTAAAAATCTCTGTGCAACAAATTATTGTGTTACTTCCTGATTTACAAATGAAGAAACAAAGGATAAGAGAGATGAATTATATAAGCTATATAGCTTGTAAGAATAGAGCCAGGATTAGAATGTTGGCCCTCTGATTTAAAAGCCTTAGTTCTTAATCATTGTGCATTTGAGCTAGAAGGAATCTTATATATCATTTTGTATTTACCTTATTTTACATATGAAGAAACTAGGACCCAATAAGGAAGTAAAACTGCCCATGATTACATAGCATTTATTGGTCTAACTAAAATTTGCTAATAATAATAGCAGCCAAAACTAATTGCCTGTTCATCGTACATAGTCATGATGCAAATATTATCTTATTTACAGCCCCAGTATCCAAGTAAATTAGGATCCCTAGAGCCGAGTTTTGACTATAAAGGAAACAAAAATTCAGAGAGGTTAAGTAACTTGAATAACTTCGGTAGCATCTCTCATTCAATGTCCTTTCCAGGTCATCATGATGGTTTCCATGTTTTCTCTGGGGATGTGCTGAATCCACCTCAGACCAATTGTTCAATTTTCAGAAATTTTGTAAGCTGGTGGTCAAACATAGCTATTATTTAAACCTATATTTTATAAACTAATGTTTTAATACATTACATTAAAAACAAAGTTAAGTCCTTTTGTACATTTTTTAGTGATTTTATTCACAATACTAATATTAACAGCATTAATAATAAAATTAATAAATAATAATGCCAATATCATATTACTGTTAACACTGTACATTTTACTAATATTAATATTAGTAATATTAATAACTTACTAATATTAATCATATTATTTACTATATATTATACTATTTTACCACATCTCTAAATCCTAACTATTGTACTACATTTTACTATTACCTAGTAATAAAATACCTAGGCAAAATACCTAGTAATGAAATTATGTGTCCATGGTATCTGCATGATCAGAACACTATGTATTGTTTGGTTTACTATGAGACATCCTCTCCCACTCTGCTTTTAATGATGTCATGTTAGTAGCTTGAAATTGGCCATGGGAGGATTATCTACACCACCTAAATGGGCAAATGCTACAAATCAGGGCATTTATCCGCCCCCGCCCTGCCCCCACATAATCAGTTACTAAAAAAAATTACTACTTCCATGGGTCATGAATATTAAAACAGAAGTCAAAAATGTTTTCCTGAATAAGTTAGGTCATATAAGGAAAACTCAAATTTGTGTTATACACAATCAAAGGATATAATATAGGTTCACTGAACTTTAAAAAATTAACTAGGTGATATGAGTAGTATCTTTTGAATACAAATACTTTAAAGTGACAATTCTCAGGAAATTCTAGCTGATATTCAAACTAAGAGGCTTTTAAGCATAACGAAACCTGTCTCTACCTCTCTATATCATGTAGTCAACTTATTGTAAGACAAAGGGTGGAAGGAAGATGATTCTAAATTTATACAATATACTGCAATGTAGAACCATGATCAACTACTATGGTTTGTATTGGTAGACTCCAACCTTACAAGGGACAAAATAGTGAAAGGTGATGCTAAACCTAAAAGTAAAAAAAAAAAAAAATGTCCATTCAAGTGTGAGAGAGTCCATTAATTAGTGGTGCACAGCCTAAGAGGTGGAAACCAGTCCGTGTGACTCACCCCAGACTTTGCCTGGCTTGGTAATGTGAAGCAAAGCATTTTACCCCGTGGGTCACTGGTTCAACCTGGCTTATATTGAGAGTAAATGAAAGCTGCTGGCAGAAGAAGGTGATTTAATGCTCTGAATGAAATGAAGTAGTTATCTCAGCTCAATCCTGAATGTTCTCCTATTCCTTTCTGTAATAGTTAGCAGTCATTAGCACCCTTGTTCGTTGACAGTTTTGGCAGAAAGGCCAAGATAATAATATGCCCAGAGATTAAAATCACATCTCACCTCGGTGGTCCCTCCAGAACAGAGCTGGAAAGGAAAATCTTGTTCTGCCACTTGTTCCCATTAGAGAACTTTAATTTCTAGTGTAATGTTTTTCTCAAAGAGCCTGGAGTCAAGAGTTCAAAAGAGCACTGGAGGGGAAAAAAAAATTGTAAAGCCTTCTGCTCTGTCATTTCCCTTTTGATTTTAGATAGGAAAATTCAACATTTCTAATGTCTCGCTCTTAAATCAAATTATTTGGAAGATATTTTCAGTAGGGGAAAATTTTGAACAGCTGAATTTTGTTTATGTTTGTAGGACCTATTTTGAAATTGTTAAGTTGGGACAATAATAAATTATAGTGTGGAATTTTAGAAGACCTCATAATGATAGAAAAGTGTAGCTGAGCAAAGTGACCTCTCTCAACTCTTTTAAATATTTAGATCCCTGGATAAAAGGCCAGGTGGTTGTCATAGAATCAGAGACTGGGACACAAGTCCAAGTGTCTAAGAGTGTGTTCACTTTAGTCCCTAGTCTACCATTTACCAGCACTCTGATCTTCAAATGATAGGCATGCTGAACTAGATGCACTCTGATTTCCTATAGTCCAGATCTGTTTTTAAGCAAATAAAATATTCTTACATTCATTTTACCAGTGAAGTACTTAAATGTGTTAATAGATTTAAAGTACTTGAAGCAAAGTCTGAAACATAATAACTCCTATTTAAATCTGTGTCCTTATATTATTAACATTATTATTATTATTTAAAGAATAAAATAAATTTCCCAAAGTAAATTGTAGAGGAAAAACTAAAACTCCAGGCCTAGACCTGTTTTATTTATTGATTTTTTTTTTTCATCAAAATACAGAAGATTAAGCTGTCACATGCAATAGGTCATCATTTCCCAAAATGTTGTTTTCAGGAACAATAATCCTTCAAGACACTCCTTTGTAAAATTATTCCTTGGATAAAAATATAATATGGGATACGCTGCCTACTATATCCCTTCTTAGAAAAAAAGAGTGCACATTAGCTTATTAAAGACTCTGAAGGTGGGTACAGTGGCTCAAGGCTACAATCCCAGTGACTCAGGAGGCTGAGGTAGGAAGATTGCTTGAGCCCGGGATTTTGAGGTTACAGTGAGCTATGATTACAGCACTGCCCTCCAGCCTGGGCAACAGAGTAAGACCCCATCTCAAAAAAGAAAAAAAAAAAAAGACTTTGAGTAGTCTTTCATGAAGTAAATCTATTCGACTGGGCATATGCTGTGGTTTAAATGTGTCCCTCCAACATTTATGTTGAAACTTCATCCTCAATGCAATAGTATTAAGAGGTAGGGCCTTTAGGAGATGATTAGTTCATGAGGGCTTTGTTCCCATGAATGGAATTGGTGCTCTTATAAAAGAGGCTAAGATAGCCTGTCTGGTCCTTTTGCCTTTCTACCTTTTCTAGCATGTGAAGATGCCAGAAAAAGATTCCATGGATGGAACAGGTTTTCATAAGTACCAGACCTGCTGGTGCTGTGATCTTGGACTTCCCAGCCTCCAGAATTGTGACAAATAATTTTATATTATATACAAATCACCCAGCCTAAGTTATTTCTGTTATTGTCACAGGACTAGACTAAGACAGCATAATTTGATATTCTCAAACTAATTTGACACAAACTTTATTAGCGCATAATATCTATATGGTTCTCCAAATGAACTATATAGGCCTCCTTTTCCAGATGTATAGAAATTAAATCTTGATCACAGCATTCAACCATTTATACCACTTTAGACAAGTACTTACTAGGTGCTGGACTCCATGCTAAACTCTTTATAGCCACTACCAATTTAATTCTTATAACTCTGGAGGTCAGTGCCTTCATCATATCTTTACAGAGAAGCAAGGGGAAGCTCATAGATATTTAGTAATTTGTACAAAATAATACAACTAGTATTTGATTGTAGGTTTGTCAGACTGCAGGACCTAGGCTTTTAACCTCTAAGCTCTTTGGAGTAACTATAAGTAAATGAGCAGATGCTTCCTGACTAGAGCTGGGGTGCGGGCTGAGGTTGGACGGAGTGCCCCACTGAGAGGAACCTTGAACAAATGCCTCCTAAGTGACCCCAGATGGTGGAGCTAAGACAGTGAGAAGGGGAAGGGGAAGCCAGAGTACAGATTCCCTATGTCACAGTCAGAGCCACTGAAGGGCAGGCTACCCTAGTAAGGAGTGAACATTCTTTCTGAGAATAGTATAAGTAGGAGTTGGATACACCTCCACTTTCATACATTTCTCCCCATCCATCAGCATGTGTGTTCTATGTATGTTTGCACTAAACTATTCAACCCTTTTCCTACATATGGACATTGGTATTGTTTGACATTTCTTATAATTTAAACATTCTGCAATTATTTTTCAAATGTAATAAACTGATTCTAAAGTTCATGTGGAAAAAAATGCAGGAATTGTAGGAAAGTCTTAAAACACAATAATGGTGATATTGTGAGGGCTTTGTTGCTTGTTAAACTTAATATAATGTTACTATGTTCAAAATAATAAAGCACTTTTTCAGGCATACACAAATAAATTAAGGAATAACATTCAAAACCAGAAAAAAATTCTATCTGTAGAATTCAATAGATGAAAAATCTGAGCCCTACAAGTCAATGAGGAAATGACAGATTTACCAAAAATTGGTTTTGGGAATGATTATTTATTAGAAGAAAATAAATGTAGTCAATTATGTGCCCATAGACAAACATGAATTCAAGACAAAAGTTCCAAACGTAAAAATAAAAGTATTAAAAGAAAAAAATATCTATGTGTATTAACTTGGGAAAGAGGGAAGCCTAGTAAAGAAGATGAAAACAAAAAGATGTAAAGGAAAAATAAAATATCAGAAGAACCTACAAGACAACAAACCAAAAATACCTTTGGATGGGAAGAAGCAACTTAACAAAATTAAAAGAAAAATTACAGGTTAGAAGAAAACATTTTCTACACAAATAAAACATGATTAATACTCTCAAGATACAAGTAGTTCTTCAAATTAGTAAAGAGAACATACAACTCAAAAAATTGATATTCAGGGAAATTATAACAAAAGCAGCAAGGAATGATGTTACCAAAATGACAGAGTAGGAGATGCCAGCCTTTATCACCTGACAATAAAACAAACATAGATAACCAGCCCAAAACCAAAATAACACTGAGAGGGCTCAAGGGCTCAATTAAGAAACTCCAGCAACATAGTGAGGCCAAAAATATGTAGAATATTCACATAGGAAGAATTTCTGATGAAATTAGCATATCTGAGATGCCAGGAGACATCTAGGAACAAAGAAGAAAGTTGGAGGATATTAGTATCAGCCATGTGGTGGAAATCAACATGATGCCCAGTGACCTGCTCCACAGAGGAGGATCTTTTGCCATTGAGCTAAGCAACAGCCTTTCCCACTGTTGAACCACAGAGATAGAGAGATACAGCTGCACATTCTTCCCCCATCAAGAAGCAGCCAGTATCAAGCCACTTCAGAAATAGAGTAACCACCTCTCCCAACCTCATGCATGCTGTAATTCTCAAGTCTTGGCCACCTCGAGAGTGCTCACACTCCAAACAGGCTCTGTGGCTGCACTAAACCTTCTCACATCTCAGAAGCTGGAGCCACAACCATAAGAAGTCGGTCCACATTCTGGGCCCTGAAGGCCCTGAAGGCCTATCTGAGTACCTCCAGGAAGCAGCTCAGCTAACGTAGAGAGCTAGGCCCTGCACTGATCCTGGAGCCACTATAAATCTGTGGATGCCTGTACTCCAGTTCTTGGCTCCCTGACCACTTTATAAGCACGTCACATACAGTTACCGATACAGTAGCCAGGTGCCTACATCAGTGACAGTACTGCCCCAGATTCCAGAGCTGTAGTCCCTCCATGCATGCCCATACTTTAAGCCTCAGCCTCATAGATGCTCCACAGATGCCACCCATCAGACTACTGCCAACAAGAGCAGGCCTACAGCAGGACGCAGTTCTAAGAGCGATCCACTCAGTCAGAACTTCCCCAGCGAAAGAAAAAGACATCAGGAAGACCTTAGTTGCTATTATCTCCAAAGACTCCAACAATTTTTTGCTGCCACTGCAGACATCCACAGCACTGATGCTGAGGATTCCTGTGATGGTTGCCAACAGCACCCTTAGCAGACAGATCTGCACAGAGACTACACAGTAGGCACCCCCAGTGTTTCCAGAACTTTTGCATCTCAACAAGGAGTGCCCTTGCACCCCACTGTAGGGGAACATCTTCCACAGTCAAACTAGTTTTTAAAGTCTGCAAGAGTTGACTGTTATACCATATGAGCAGACATCAATGTAAGTCAACAAGAAACATGAAAAAAAAAAAAAAAAACTAAGAAGACGTAACACCACACACACACACACAAACACAATCTCCCAATAGCTGATCCTAAGGAAATGAAAATATACAAAATACTTAAATAAATAATTCAAAATAACTGTTTAAGGAAGCTCAGCAAACTTTAAGAAAAATACAGACAAACAATTTTATAAATTCAGAAGACAGTAAACCACCAAAATGATAAAGTTAAAAGAAAGATTCAAATTATGAGAAAAACCCAGAAATTCTGGATTTTAAAAATACAATAAATGTAATAAGAAATGCCGTAGAGAGGTTGATAGCAGAATTGATCAAGCAGAAAAAAAAATCTGTGAACTTGAAGAGAGGTTATTTGAAAATATACTGTCAGAAGAGAAAAAACAATGAATAGGAATGAAGAAAGTTAGCAGGATTTATAGAACAGCATTAAAAGAACAAATATTCAAATTACAGGAGTTTAAAAAGGAGAAGAGAAAGACAAAGAGACAGAAAGATGGTTAAAAAAAATAACTGAACACTTTCCAATTTGGGGGAAAGATATAAATATCGAGGTACAGGAAAGTCAAGGGTCTCTAATCAGATTCAATCCAAACAAAACTACACCAAGATATAAGGAAACTATAAAAAATCAAAATAAAACTATACAAAATTACAAAATAATTTTAATGCCTAAAGCATCAAGAGAAAAGAAGCAAATTACATAAACAGGAATTTTAATAAGGCTAGCAGCAGATTTTTCAGCAGATATCTTAATGCTAGGAGAAAGTAGGATAATATATTCAAAGCAATGAAGGAGAAAAACAACTGCCAATTAAAAATACTGTACCTGTGTCTGGGCATGGTGACTCACACTGTGGGATTATACCTGTAATCCCAGCACTTTGGGGGACCGAGGTGGGCAGATTGTTTGAGCCCAGGAGTTTGAGACCAGTCTGAGTAACATGGCAAAATCCCACCTCTACAGAAAAGACAAAAATTAGCCAGGTGTGGTGGTGCTTGCTGGTAGTCCCAGCTACTTGGGAGGCCAAGGTGGGAAGATCAATTGAGACCAGGAGATTGAGGCTGCAATGAGCCATGCACTCCAGCCTGGGCAACACAGCAAGACCCTATCTCAAAAAAAAATAATGTACCTGGAAAGGCTGTCTTTCAGAAATAAAAGAGATAAATGATCTTTCCAGGCAAATAAAAGCTGAAGGAGTTTGTCACCATCAGACCTGTTTAATTGGAAAAAATAAAGGGAGTTCTTCAAGCTGAAAGAAAAAGATTAGTAACTCTAAAACATATTAACGTATAAACTCACTAGTAAAAGTAAATACTCAGTAACATTCAGAATTATCTGATACTTTAACAGTGGTGTGTAAATTGCTTATATCTTTAGTATGAAGGTTAAAAGACAAAACTATTAAAAACAATAATAGCTACAACAACTGATTAAGGGATGGATATACAATGTAAAAAGATGTAAATTGTGACAACAAAAACATAAAATATGGGTGAAAAAAGTATAGTTATTTTATTCAATAGAAGTTAATTTGTTATTAGCTTAAAATAGCTTCTCATAAGTACAAGCTATTGTATATAATTATCATGGTAGCCATAAAGCAAAACCTGTAATAGATACATGAATGATTTTTTAAAAAGTAAAGAATGAAAGCATGCCACTACAGAAAATCATCTAATCACAAAGGAAGATAACAAGAGATGAATAAAGGAGCAAAGGATCTATAAAACAACCAGAAATTAACTAACAAATGGCAGTAGTAAGTTCTTACCTATCAATAATTACCTGGAATATAAGTGAATTAAATTATCCAATCAAAAGACATAGAGCTGAATGGACCAAAAACCATGACCCAATTCTATGCTGCCTACAAGAGACTCACTTCTCTTTCAAGGACACATATAAATTAAAAGTGAAAGAATGGACAAAGATATTCCATGAAAGTAGAAACCAAAAGAGAAGAAATACTTATATTGAATAAAATAGATTTTAAGTCAAAAACTAAAATGAGAAAAAGAAAATTATTTTTTATATATATATTATATAGTGATAAAAGCATCTATTCATCAAGAGGATATAACAATTTTAAACATATGTGCCCAACATTGGATCACCTAAATAAATAAAGCAAATATTAATTGATCTGAAGAGGGACAAAGACTATAATACAACATTACAAGGAGTCTTCAATAGCTCACTTTCAAAAAATGGACAGATAATCTTAACAGAAAATCAATTAAAAAAAACATTTGATATGAACTACAATTGGACCAAATAGACCTAACAAAAATATACAGAAATGTCATTCAATAGCAACAGAGTACACATTCCTTTGAAGCACATACAGAGCATCACACACACAAATTAGTATATTTTCTTCATGATGTTAGCTGAACATCTACTGAGAACACATGGACACACAGAGAACAGCACACACTGGAGCCTATCAGAGGGTGGAACTGGGAGGAAGGAGAGGATCAGGAAAAATAACTAATGGATACTAGGCATAATAGCTGGGTGGTGAAATAATCTCTACAACAAACCCCCATGACACAAGTTTACTTATGTAACAAACCTGCACATGTATCTCTGAACCTTAAAAAAAAAACAGTAGATTTTCTATACATTAATAATGAACTATCTAAAACAGAAATCAAGAAAATAATCCCATTTAAAATAGCAACAAACAAATAAAATATTCAGAAATAAATTTAACAAGGGAAGTGAAAAATCTGTACACTGCAAATTATAAGACATTGATAAAAGAAATTGAAGAAGACACAAATAAATGGGAAGGTATCCTGGGTTGATGGATTGGAAGAATTACTATTGTTAAAATGTCTACACTACCCAAAGCCATATACACTTTCAATGAAGAAAATGTACAGGATCTCTATCAAAATTCCAATGATATTTTTCACAGAAATATAAAAACAAATCCTAAAGTTCATACGGGAACATGAAAGACCCCAACTATCCAAAGCAATCTTGAGTAAAAAGAACACAGTCAGAGGATCACACTACTTGATTTCAAAATCTATTACAAAGCTATAGTAATCAGAACAGCCTGCTACTGTCCTAGAATCAGACATATAGGCCAATGGAAGAGAATAGAAAGCCCAGAAATATATCCACACATTTATGGTAGTTGAGTTTTGACAAAGATTTTCAATAATACACAACAGCAAAATAACAATCTCTTCAAACTGTATATCCACATGTAACAAAAAAAAAACCCTTCATCTCCCACTGTATGAAAAAAAATCAACTCAAAATGGATAAAAAGTTAAGTATAAGCCCCGAAATAGTAAAACTACTAGAAGAAAAGATAGGGAAAATCTCTGTGGCATGGTCTGGGCAATGATTTTTTAGATATGATCTCAAAGGCAGAGACAACAAAAGGAAAAAATAGACAAAAGGGATTACATCGTCTAAAAAACCTCTGAGCAGCAAAGTAAACAAGAGTGAAGATGTAACCTATGGAACGACAGAATATATTTGCAGACCATATATCTGATCAGGGGTTAATATCCAAAACGTATAAGGAATTCAGCTCAAAAGTAAGAAAACAGATAACCCAATTAAAAAATGAACAAAGAGATTGAATAGACATTCCTCAAAAGAAGACATACAAATGGCCATCAGTTATATGAAAAAGTGTTCAACATTACTATTTGTCAGGGAAATACAAGTTAAAATAACAATGAGATATCACCTCGTATCTGTTAGAATGGCTATTTTCCAAGAAACGAAAGATAAATGTTGGCAAGGATGTGGAGCAAAAGGAACACTTGTAGGTTGTTGGTAGAAATGTAAAGTAGCGGCGGGGCACGGTGGCTCACGCCTGTAATCCCAGCACTTTGGGAAGCCGAGGTGGGCGGATCACGAGGGCAGGAGATCGAGACCATCCTGGCTAACACGGTGAAACCCCGTCTCTACTAAAAACTACAAAAAATTAGCCGGGCGTAGTGGCGGGCGCCTGTAGTCCCAGCTACTCGGGAGGCTGAGGCAGGAGAATAGCGTGAACTCGGGAGGCGGAGCTTGCAGTGAGCCGAGATCTTGCCAGTGCACTCCAGCCTGGGCGACGGAGCGAGACTCCGTCTCAAAAAAAGAAAAGAAAAAAAGAAATGGAAGGTAGCACAGCCATTATGAAAAACAGCCTGAAGTCTCCTCAAAAAACTAAAAAGAGAACTAGTATATATTTCAGCACTCCCACTAATGGGCATATATCCAAGGATATGAAATCAGTATGTTGAAGAGATATAGATACCTGCTCTCCCATGTTCACTGCAACATTATTCACCATAGTCAAGGTATGGAATCAATTTAAGTGTCCATGTACGGATGAAGAGACGAAGAAAATGTGGTATACATACACAATAGAATACCGTTCAGCCTTTAAAAAGAAGGGAATCCTGTTATTTGTGATAGTGGACATTATATTAAGTGAAACAAGTCAGGCACAGGAAAGCAGATATTATATGATCTCAGTTACATGTGGAATCTAAACAATTGAACTCACAGAAACAGAGATTGAAAATGGTGATTACCAGAGGCTGGGAAATGGGAGAATTGGAGAGATATTGGTCAAAGGACACAAAATTTCAGTTACACTGGAGAAATAAGTGTAAGAAAACTATTGTACATCATGGTGACTGACAACAATATAGTATATGTTTGTTAATTGCTAACAGAATAAATTTTAAATGTCACCACAAAAAACCATTATTTGAATTAATATACATATATTAAATAGCTTGATTTAGCCAATGTATACACATATCAAAACATCATGTAAGATACCATAACTATGTACTATTTTCATCAATTAAAAATAAAATTAAATAAACAAACAATAAATAATAAAAACAACAACACAATAAAACGTTTGCCCCTTCATATTGTCAAACATTTAAGATCATGTTAACACAAAATGCCCACGAGATTGTGAGGAAACAGCACTCTTATACACTAATGATGAGTCTGGCAATTTCTACACATTTTGAAATGTAAATCTACCTATATTTATTAAACTATAAGCATGCATATCATTTGATCTAGCATTCCACTTCTGGAAACTTTCATTTTCAGAAAATAAACTCATAAATGTAGAATGATATTCTTTTCAAACAGAATTTTGGTTTATCAGGTCCTGTATAAAAAAGATAAATACTCAGAAAAGTATGAGCCAGTTTGAGCCTATTTGAGCTCCCACACTTCAATGTACTTTCCATTTGATGTTTCCATTTCTCTGGATAAGAAAACCATAAGAGAAAAAAAATGTCCACAAAGTAGAGCCTGTACTTTCTTTACTTAATGGAAAAGCTAGTGAGAAAGGAGCTAAAAAAAAAAAAACAAAAGCTAAGCAAGACCAAATGAAGGTGTGGGGGACTCAGGCAGGAAGCCATGGGTAAACAAATGAGTAAAGTAATTCTGCCCCCCCAAGGTTTGCAACTTAGTGGGATGCAAAGACAAGTGCACATATTAAGCAGGGGATACACAAAAGATTGCAGTGGTATAGTGGAAGAGCAATCACAGGACAAATACAAGCAAATCTCAGGGTTAAATCCTCAGCAGTTTAATTTCCCAGTATTTATCATTGAAGATATATAATAAAGGTCAATCCAATTTTTGGTCTTACTTTGTATAAACATAAAAATAAAAATAGTTTCAATGTTCAGCCACACAGTGTTTTAGACCTGGGTATTAACTACATCTGTATAAGCTGAAGGGAAGAAGATCAAGAAACACACACACACACACCCACGCACACAATTGTGCACATTTCTTAACTACTACCACCCCTCGTGGTGTCAAAAGGAAAGCATTATCTTTCTTAGAATTTTCTAGAAAAATAGGAAATATATACACACCAAACAACCTGGTTTAAAACCAGTTTCTCCTATACAATATTTTAGTTTGATCTCCAATTCTCCAATTTCTCTTCAAAAAACCAAATTACCTAATGATTATTGAATAAAAAAGTGGCACCAAATGTATTGCAGTGCTTTTATAAATGCAGTTGATCAAATACTTATTGAATAACTGTATTTCATGCATTTTGTTAGGCATTAAGGGAGAAACATGGAGAAATATATGATACATTTTATCATATAATATCAAAAAAGAGTAATATCAAAAAAAGAGTATAATATAAAAAAAGAGTAATATCAGAATAGAGTCATATATCCACATCTGCTGATTTCTGACAAAGGAGGAATTGAGGAGTTGGGACTCAGAGTTGTCAAGATCTAAAAATAAATTTGCCCCCTTATTACTGTAATATGTCTGCTTTGGCACTTTGCTCCATATGTATTTTTTAGGGACATAAGACACATTATTGTTTTCTAAGAGACGTAAGACAGCATGTGTCCCTCTCCTTGCCAAAAAACACATTTTCTACAGTTCTCAGTCTTTTACATGATTTACTGGTCACAAATAATGGTAACAAAACAGCTGCTCTTTATTGAGTGTTTACTGGGTGTCAGGCGCTATGCTGAGCATTTATATAAGTGGCCTTCTCCAGTTTTCATGACAACGCTGTGAGGTATGTATTTTTGTTATTTTATAGATTAGGAAACCTGTAGGCTCAAAGTTATTAATAACTTGGGAAAGATGTTACTATACCACATGGCAGAGATGGTTCTTAGACCCGTGTGTGTTGAACTCCAAAGCACATTGTTATTCTACTGCCTAAAGACAGAACTTTTGGGAATATAGAAGTCTTATAATTTTTGCTACAATATTCACTTCTCCACTTTATGACATCTTTTTGTTGTTGTTACTTTTTTCTGCCTGACAGGGCCTACAGATCAGAATTAATTTGCATGACTATTTCATTTAGGAGTCAAGAAACTAAATATTGGCCAGGCACAGTGGCTCACACCTGTAATCCCAGCACTTTGGGAGGCTGAGGCAGGTGGACCACTTGAAGTCAGGAGTTTGAGGCCAGCCTGGCCAACATGGTGCAACACTGTCTCTACCAAAAATACAGCAAATTAGCCAGATATGGTGGTGTGCACCTGTGATCTCAGCTACTTAGGAGGCTGAGGCAGGAGAATCATTTGAATCCGGGAGGCGGAGGTTGCAGTGAGCTGAGATCATGCCACTGCACTCCAGCCTGGGCAACAGAGCGAGACTTCATCACAAAAAAAAAAAAAAAAAAAAAAAAAAAAAAAGAAAAGGAAAGAAAGAAGCTAAATATCACCTACTGTTATTTTGCTTCTAGAGAATCTAGCATTCAAAAATGCTATTGTATGTACAGGAATGTAAAGTGAAAATAACTCAAAATTGGTAAATACAGGTCTTCTGTTAAGAAAGATTTGATTTGCCTTTGTCCCTGTTTCTGCAAAAGTAAGAGGGCATGGAATGCCTAGGCTGGTTTTGATGTCTATTAGATAGATTTCTCCTGAGAAGCTGGGATAATCTCTTATATTTATATAGTGGCTATCATATCCCTGGCACTTAGCAATTGTCAGAAAGTGATTAGATAAGAGAACCTGAAGAGATTAGTGTAATATAACCCAGACTTCAATGCATCTGTTCTCTGTTGGCCTTCGAAGTCAGGCCTACATGCCATTTTTTCACTGTAAATCCAAGAGTAAATGTAGGTTTCTATACTATGATTTGTTTTTCTATTCAGTTGGTTTTAATACTGTCATCTTGGTGTGTGGATCTTCTTTGCCACACAGTGTTTAAACACTAGATTCTCCTTTCTTTTGTAACTTCAGTATCATAAAATGAAGGCTCGTCAATTACATACCAAAGGTTGACCATTATTGAGGTGGACCTCTATCTTAACTCACTTTTTTAAAAGAAAATAAATGATTAATTAATCTATTCTCCTAATCCCCAGACTCCACATTTTTCCAGAACACTCCATTTCTCTTCAACCCACTCCATTATTCTTAAGTCCATAGGACTTGGGGCAAAAAGGATGCTTAGTGATTGGTTGTAAATATTGGGATAAAAAGCAAGCCTTTTTCACATCCCTTTGATTATTTTTACAGATTGCACAATGTTCCTTTTTAAAGACTGTTAACGTTTCTTAAAAGCCCCAGAATGATTGCTGATACTAATCCTAATGCATATCTAAGCATATTGGCCTCTTGGCTGGGTTTCAGTGTTTGAAATTGAATGCACATTGAACCCTACCAGTTCCCCTTCTTGCTCTCCTATTCTTTTATATACCCATCCACACATACACACAGTTTTTTGGTCTTAACATGGCCTGTAAGGTTCAAAGCATGTCATCAAAATACTTAGGCACAGTTCTTCACCACTACCACCTTTCCTTAATGTCAAATGAATACCTTGCCTTTCATAGGCTTTTCTTACAAAGATAATAAATATATACACACCACACACTTGGCTTACAACCAGTTTCTCCAATACACTATTCAGTTTGATCTCCAATTTATTATCATCTCAATCCATATAGCCCTTCCTATCTGAAACAATGTCTTTGATGAAAGGTTTGATATGAGTTCTGAATTCTAATAATATTCTAATCCTTACTTCCAACTTACTTATTCTTTCACATGGCCCATCTCTTTATTTTCATTATATATATGAGGTATTTTGTTATTAATCAAAGAAGAGTTACTAAGTTACTAAGAGGAATACAGAATTATTATTAGAGTTACTAAGAGGAATATAAAATCATTAAAAAGAGATTATTCTGAAAATTCTTTAATCTGCATAGACACCTCCCCCAAAACACACACACACACATGCACACACACAGCCTCTGCATTTTCCTTTTAAGACTGAAAAATGGAAGAATACTAGAATCATAAAATTTCTTTTGTTGTCTTCACAGTACATTTCCTTGATTGGCTTGAGTTGTCTCTTAAAATTGAAATTTCTTAATTAAATACATGGAGTTTTAAAATATAGAAGTACAATACACTAAGCAAAGTAATATTAACTGGTGTTTTTATATGGCTTTTGTCTTATATTAAAATTTTTGCCCTTAAAGATCCAGGAAAGAACTAAGGTCATAGTGGAAATATTTTTAGAAGAGGGTGGGTTGCAAGATGTTTAAAACTCTGATATGTAATAGAACTTCATTGTGAAGAACATAACTTTATTTCATTTTGTATTTTAATCCAGAGACAGATGATAGTATTCTCTTGAAGACTAGGCCTTTCTTGTCAACATGGTCCTGGCTGAACAAGCATGCCAAATTGGTCACATAACCTAATTTCAGCAGCCTTCTAAAGCTACTAGTAGTTTTGTAAGATTTTTCCCTGAAGATCTCTGCTTTCCCTTCTGCCTAGTTAAGATGAAAAGAGAAATTCATGTGTTTGCAGTCCTAGTAAGTGGAGAAATCACTAGTGCAAATCAAGGAGGTCAGAACAAAGAAATTCAGATTCACAGACCTGGTTTGAATGAGGAAAAGAGTCTATTTATTTTGCAACTTCTCTGTATTAGATGTAAGCTCCATGTGATGTTAACTTCGTGGAAGAAGAACATTGATTTAAAGGAAACCATATATTAGTTTTTAAATTTGTGTGTCTGCAAATCTTCAGGAATCTTGTTTAACTTCAGAAAAGAGAACACTAATTGTCTTTTTCATCAGCGATTACTTAGGTTGTCATTTAAGTTGTCATGGAAGTTATTTAAGTTGTCATTTAAGTTATCAGTTCAGTTATCAGTTCCATATTTTCAGTGATATAATCTCAAATTTGTCCTTTCAGGAGTTCCAAATTTAAGGTTAATTTTGCAGTAAGTTGTCCTACCAAAACCTGCATTGTCCAGAGGGCAGTTCAGATTTAATTATTTTATAAGATTAACAGTAAGAAAAAGGTATGACCATAACATCGTATACGACTCACACCAACTTTGAATGTAAAAAATGAAACATCAAAAATGGATCACAGAGAAGGAAAAGAGAGTCAATGTAGGAACATAACTGAGAGTGGACACCCTACTGGAAAAAAATGATAACACAGTGTTCAGGTTTTTTATTCCTAATAATTAATTTAATAAAGTACTGTGTTAAGTATAGAAACCACAACCATGACACAATTGAAAATTTCTGTTGTTTGTCAAAGGTCCTTGGCTGAGTGAATTGGTCAAGTCACTCAGGTTTTGTCTACCAACTAGAGTGTAAGCTCCTGTAGGTCAGAAATTACAGTAATTTTTCTGCACACCTTTCAGAAGGTGCTCAAAAGATACTCTCTGCCTCACAGAGTCCTAAAACGGCCCTGCCAAATCCTTCTTCACTCAAGTCCCTAGACACACTCTTGATTGGGAGCAGAGGGCAAATTGGACATCAAAGAGTTGCTAAAGGCTTTTCGGCTGTGGAAGGCCGAGGAGCTGATGATTCTTTGATCTCCACTTCCCCCTACACACACTGCTCCCACACATACCTCACAGCTTCTTCCTTCAGGTCCCACCCTTCATCTCTGCTCTTCTCAGCTTCACTCACAGAAGACCCCCTGACATTCTGGTCCACATTAAGGAACAAAACTAAACAACAGTGCAAACAATCAAATTTCTAATCCAGACAAGTTGCTCTTATAGCCTTTAGCTCCCTTGTCTGAATAAAGAAAACATTTGGTGAGTTCTTTTAAATCTCAGTAAAAAAATCAAGAGCAGTTTTTATTCTCATTTAATACACAACCCAAATTCTATTGCTAGTGCTATCTTCATTCAGCTCACCTCTTGAAGAACTAAAAGGGAACATTTCTAGGAACCTAATCTGAAGTTTAAATCCCACAAGCTGTACAATTCTTGAAAACCAAATTTTTAAAATTAAAATTTAAGCCTGTTCTAAATGAATCTGTCCTAACAATGCAGAATTTCATTAACTGCAATGTAAAAGCACATGGATGGCTTATTTTGGGAACAAACTGATAGAATTATGGTCTGAAAGTGTCTCAATGTTAAACTCTCTTACATACTCAAACACACAATGAGAATAATTGGAAATAAACATCAACTTCATCAGAACAGGTGTGGTTCTTAATGTACTATTGTCTTAAATGTATATGATGTTTTCAAACATACATTAATGAAAGGGAATATATAATACTAGCTTTAATGTTTTAAGTTTCAACTGCCTAGAGAAAGGGAACTGAACCCAATGACCTTCTGGGGGCTCTGTGTGGGAAGGTCAACCAGGTCCTGGAATCAGCAGATTGTGTCAACACTAGACTGAGCCCCTAAATGAAAGCTTGCATACTGCATCATTCAAGTCTATTTTGCTAAATGGTAGTTACATCGCCTAAGTCATCCATACACGTCTCCAAAGTTCAGGCATTGATCACTCAATTTTAATTCAACGAGCACGTTTGGATACTTTCTGTATGTCAAGTTCTATGATTGAAATGCTGTTAAATATAAGAAAGAATATAGCAAAATTGAGAAATCGATTCCCAAATTATATTTACAACAGCAGTTTCATCTTTTGAGTTTTTCTATATCACATGAGAATTGAAGGTTCATAGAAGACTCATGGTAGGTGATTAGTTCTTCCTGACCAATCTAGGGAGAAAATGGAAAGTGGTGAAGAATGGAGATTTACAGACCTGGACCTAATTCTAGGCAGGTAGACATTTTGAATCAGATTTAAAAAATAGTTTTTCCATTTCTAAGTGAGTAAAAAGTCGCTTCATTTGTTCCTTCTTAACTATTCTTCTACCCTTAAGCCATTAAAAGATGGATGTTTACCAAAATTCTACTTTTGTCTATTTTGTCTGTTTTGCAGCTAATGTATTTAGAATGTCTAGAGAAGTTCCTGGCACACAGTAGGTCCTAAAAGGTATTCTTGGAATACATAAACAAATCAACATTAACTTCAGAGCCAACTATTATTATTTTTGTTATGGGTTTTACTTTCTCATTAGGCTCAATGTTTGGGTTCTATATCTGATTCCTTTTTCATTTTTCTCCATATATCCTATGATCAACAGGTTCTAGCTTTGATTCACCAATGACTCTCATAGCCTTCCTTTGAATTCTTTTTTTTTTTTTTTTTTTTTTTTTTTGAGATGGAGTCTCACTCTGTCACCCAGGCTGGAGTGCAGTGGCACAATCTCAGCTCACTGCAACCTCTGCCTCCTGGGTTGGAGTGATTCTCCTGCCTCAGCCTTCTGAGTAGCTGGGACTACAGGCGCATGCCACCACACCTGGCTAAATTTTGTATTTTTAGTAGAGACAGGGTTTCACTGTGTTAGCCAGGATGGTCTCGATCTCCTGACTTCGTGATCCATCTGCCTCTGCCTCCCAAAGTGGTGGGATTACAGGTGTGAGCCACCACGCCCAGCCCCTAAATGCTATGTGTACTGCCAGAAGCCTACTTAACTTTCTGTTCTTTCTTGTCCGTGGAACACAGTAGCCTCCTGCCTGGTTTCCTTTTCTCTAGTCTTTCTTTTTCATAACTCATTTTATCCTCTATTGCATTCCTAAAACATAGCCTTGGCCATGTGATGGCAATTCATTAATTTATTCAACAAGTATTTATTAGGAGTTAGATGTATGCCAAGCAAGGATTGAAAAGAATGAAAAGGGTCTTCCTTTATGAAGCTTCTATTTCTACCTCATTCGTCTTATAACCCCTCATTGTGTACAAAGTAGTGACTAGACTACTACATTGACATCAAAACTCTCCACAATCTGACCTCGTCAAACTTTCAAGCCTTCATTCCCATTAAAGCCCTTTCTGTATTCATGTACTCGTCAAATCAGACTAAGCCCATGAATGATTAATGTTGTCCCATATCTCTGAGTTCATACTGGCTTATCTCTGGGTAATAGACTCTTCCCCTCTCTATCCTATAAGAATCTTACACATATCTGACTTTGCCACCTTCATGAAACCTCCCTGGATTTGCCTCATTTCTTTGGAAACAATCTTCTTTTCTTTGCATTTGTTTTTGCCTCTCTAAGGATACTTTCACATAATAATGTGTATGCTATTTATCAGTTTACGTGTCTTACCTACCATAATACATTAGAACTTCCTCAAGGTCAGAGGCACTGCTTTTGTTTTGGACTCCCTACAGCAACTGGTACAATGCCTCATACTTGGGCACTCAGTGAATGTTTGTTGAATAGAAAAAAATATAGAATATCTTATAACTCCTTCACTTTATATTATACTCATTTTCAAATTAGTGTTAATACTTCACCTTTGAGTAAATATCACAACATCCCAATTCACATATCCTGAAAGGCAATAATTATAGCGTGGTTAAGAATCCAAGTTTTGGCCAGGCACGGTGGCTCACACCTGTAATCCCAGCACTTTGAGAGGCCAAGGTGAGCAAATCACTAGGTCAGGAGTTCAAGACCAGCCTGGCCAACATGGTGAAACCCCATCTCTACTAAAAATATGAAAAATTAGCTGGGCGTAGTGGTGGGTGCCTGTAATCCCAGCTACTTGGGAGGCTGAGGCAGGAGAATTGCTTGAACCCGGGAGGCAGAGGTTGCAGTGAGCCGAGATCGTGCCACTGCACTCCAGCCCGGGTGACAGAGTGAGACTCCGTCTCAAAAAAAAAAAAAAAAAAAAAAGAATCCAAGTTTTGTAAATCAAAAAAATTTCAGATTTATTCTGGCTTCATTGCTCATTATGTATCTTGAACAATTTATTTAACTTCTATGTGCCTTATTTTCCCCATTAGTAAAGATGGGCAAACAATAGCTAACTCACAGAGTTACTCAATACCTAAAATATGATAATGAATATATGACAACTGGCACAGTATCTGACACTTATTTAGTAATTGTATTTATTATCACTGCAAAAACAGAGCATCTGATTATCTCTTCACTCATCATCGGTCTCCTTCCTCGCATTGTTCTTATTCCTGTTTCCATGATTGTGTCCCCACTCTATCCTATCCCTCCTCTCTGTCCCCTCCTCAAACAAACAAACAAACAAACAAACAGACAAACCTTTCTTTTGCTCCTATTTAAGGCATATGTATCCAGTAGAAGCCACTTCAAGTCTTACCTTCTTCATAAAGTCATCTTGGCTTTTTCAGCCCATATCTAGTTTGCACTTCTGTGAACTATCATAATACTCAGGATATTATGTCACACATTCCACATCTTCCTATATACACTCTGCTGTTAGTTACTTATTTTAGCATATTTATTTGGCATATCTATTATCTACATATCTATAGATACATCGATTTCTATATCTATCTGTTTATCTTGAACTCTTCATTACATTTAGCACAATGCTTTATATAGTGGGAAGTATACATTAGACTTAGGAACAAGAGATGTTAGTTACAAAAAGCTGGATTTGAACTCTGACTGCTATTTTTAGAAAAACAGGTGATCATAGAAAAGCTATTTAACCTTTTTGAGCCTCATATTTCTTCATATAGGCAATGGAATTATAACGCTTACATTACTGGATAGCTGCTATGATTACAGTAGAAAATACATGTGAGTACTTAACACAGTATCTGAAATCTAGTAGAAACTTCATAAATAGAACTCGCAATCATGTGTTCATCACTGTTTCTACTATTACCAGTTAATTAATTCCTAAACTCTCATAAAACAGATACTCAGTGAAGCCATAAACCCCATTTTAACTGAAAACAACTGAATTTGTTGTATGCTCTCTCTTGCATTCTCTGTCTCTGTCTCTCTCTATATCTGTAGATTTCCTAAATACTTCATTACATATTTCCTTCTCTATTTTTTTCAGTAAGTCCACGAGGTTTTCAATTTACTTTGTAATGAGAATAAAAGCAAAAAAAAAAAAAAAAAGAAAAGAAAAAAACTGAAATGAATTACCTTGTGTCTGGCCTTAATTTAAAAATCATTTTGTCAAAGTGGAAGTGTTTAGAAGGACAAAGTCATTTTTTTCCATCAATAGATTTCAGTAAATCTGTCCTGAAAAATGAAACGTTTTAAAAGCAACTAAAGTTTATTATTGGTTTAGAATCTTTTTTCTATGTTTACTAAGAATATTTGAGACAGGACTCAAAGACATTTTAATGCCCAGATCTTATGTGGAGCAATAATAACATCTTAGCCCTGAAAATGCCACATTGTTGGTTTTCCACTGTGGAACTGAATGAATGCAAAGATGGTGTTTACTTGCCTTGAATATGTCTAAAGCCAGACCAAGCAGTATATGAAGAAAGAAACTGGTGTCTTCAGTTTTCAACTGTGGCTCATTAAGAACGCAGGGATAAATTTGCTCTGTGAAAAAATTAGCTCACATTTAAATCCATGGCTGTGTTATTGCAGAAGGTATAAGAAATGCTTTACGGGCCGGAAAACCTGGACAGATGCCAGTTCAAATTACCCCCTGTAAGGATCCTGTGATTCTCAACTTTCAGACAATAAGATCCTGTGATTCTGAACTTTTAAACAGTAAGTTGCAGCCAAACAGAGCTTATTACGTCCCTTGATTAGCAAGTGCAAAAGTATCTTTGTTTGAGATATATTTGATATTATGTCATATTTCTTTTATGTTACTCTATTGGTCACAAACTTTCAAAGTCTCCCATTTAGGGCTGATTTCTTCACTCTTCCATAACTCATTCAAAAAATGACTTGCAGCTTTTTATGTATTTTTATGTATTAGATAACTAGGAAAATATCACCATAATATTTCTGTAATTACAATCTTATCATGAAAACAATTCTGAATACGGCCAACTAAGAAGACTTTGCATTGAAGTTCATCTCTACTTTTTAGTAGCGACATTATCATAATCAGTTTATTTGTTCAATATGAGTTTTATTTTCCTTATTTGTTGATGAGCCATCAGACAATACTGCAAGGCAGCATTAGGGTGAGTGCCAAATGAAAACTCTAAGAACAGAAGTAGGTAAAAGAGGGAATACCATCTGCTAGTGCACTTTAAGAAGGTTTCAAAAAGAGGGAAGAATCGGGTGGGCGCGGTGGCTCATGCCTGTAATCCCAGCACTTTGGGAGGCCAAGGTGGGTGGATCACCTGAGGTCAGGAGTTTGAGACCAGCCTGACCAACATGGAGAAACCCTGTCTCTACTAAAAATACAAAAAAAATTAGCCAGGTGTGGTGGTGCATGCCTGTAATCCCAGCTACTCGGGAGGCTGAGGCAGGAGAATCGCTTGAACCTGGAGGCGATTCTGGAGGTGGAGGTTGCGGTGAGCTGAGATCATGCCACTGCACTCCAGCCTGGGCAACAAAAGTGAAACTCTGTCTCAAACAACAACAACAACAACAACAACAAAGGAGGAATCTGAGTGGGATTTGGAAATAAGAATATGAATAGATTTCATCACTGGAAAAGAGAGGGCAAAGAGTGAAAGTGAAGCTCAGTTGAAACTAACTCTGGCTGGCTAACGACGTGAATTCAAGTAAGAGATTGGAAAGGCATTTAAAACCTTGAATATTAGGCTAGAAGTATGGTTTTTGTTCACAAAGATCACAGATTTTAAATTCAGAAATACCTTAATTTGGATCTTGGCTTTGCCAGTTTCCAAAGACCTGAACTTACATAAGTTATTTGGCCAGTATGAGTATCAGTTTCCCAAGCTGTAGCGTAAGGATAATAATAACCTTCAGGCTGGGTGCGGTGGCTCATGCCCATAACCCCAACATTTTGGGAGGTCAAGACAAGAGGATTGCTTAAGCTCAGGAGTTTGAGACCACACTGGGCAACATAGTGAAACCTTGTCTGTACAAAAAAAAGAAAAAAAAATTAAATTATCTGGGTGTAGTGGCATGTACCTCTTGTCCCAACTACTTAGGAGGCTGAAGTGGGAGGATCACTTGAGCCCAGGAGTTTGAGGCTGCAGTTGCAGTGAGCCTTGATTACTCTACTGCACTCCAGCCTGGGCAACAGAGCAGGACCCTATCTCAGTAATAATAATAAAATAATAATAAACTTTCAAAAATGCTGAAAGAATTTTAAAAACATGTAATATTTTTCTCATATTATATGCAGAATATATTGGTTGGTTCATGTGGGCCCTCCACTAGTTCATGCCCCAGACCTATCTTCTCTTTCTTGCTTTGCTTTGTGCCCAAGGAGGCTGGCTTCTGTGGACTTCATCACTGGGTGCCCACACCCCCTGGTTTCTGGCTGGGCTTGGCCAATGGAAGGCACTGGTAGAAGATTTAAGGGTGGGAAGAGGTACAATCTGTGGTATTTCTTCCCCACTTCCTCCATGTTAAGGCACTGGTTGGTTGTATCCTTCCATGACATCAGTTCCTGTAGTATAGGGGCTTTTCCATGGCTTCAGATCTTACTGGGCTCTGGTAACATAATTTATTCTCTCTACCTAGGCAGTTTCCCTTGATGCCAGTCTCTGGTTGTCTCAGCATCTTTCATTGTTTCCCTTATCTTGTCCATACTTTAGAAGAAGTTATTTTATTAAAGCCCCTTATTCTGCTTCCTGCTGAGACCCTGATGGTATACATTGGATATGTCTTAATTCCATTCTTATCATTCTAATGACAATGGGAGCCACCAGAATATGGACACAACATGATACAAACCGTACTTCAGGATGTTTAAGGATGGTGTGATATATAGGAGCACCTCTAAAAAAGAAGTAGAGTAATACTAACAATAATTTTAATATACAAATGAAAATTCTAGCTAATTGTTCCATGGGCCAGGGAAAGAGTAGTAACCACAAAACTGCAAAGTAAGTGATGAGTAAACTCACCTCTTAATGAGAGGTCATCATTACCAAACACGGTGAGCAATGAGAGAAAATAACTAACAATGAATCCAAAGATGGTCTATTTGTTGTCTTATCAAATGCTTGATTTTTACCCAGCTATTTACCAATTAAATCAAACCTAACATCTTCTTAACTACTCGTCAATATTTCAATTTGTGTGAGAAGAGTGACTTGATACTTCTTATTGACTTTTATTACTTAAGTAGGCCCAAAAGAGAAAGAAGGCAACTATAAAAGAAAGGACAGATGGATAAACTGGTATATACAGTTATCACAGGGATGATTCACATTGTAACATACAATCCCAAGTCCTGGTATCCAAAAACCTGATCAATTCTCACTGCCATATTAATAGTCTTATAAAACATATTGTGTTTAATAATGTGTTATAAAATGATCCAAAATAACCCTATGAGTTAAAACTTTTTTCACCAATTTTAAGATGAAGAAGCTAAGGATAATGAAAGTAAAGCTATCTCTTTATCTACACTTGTGTGTTTTTGTTCTGTGTTCTTTCATATATATACATATATATATATAAATATACTTTTTTTCTGTTATAAAAGCTCTGCTCAAAAAAATTTGAAAACAGAAAAACATGAAGAAAAATTAAAATGGCCATAGTCTGCTCTGAATGATTTGGTGAATTTTTCTGTATTTTTGTGTAAAAAGAAATATATAGATCCCTAAAATATATAAGCACATCTACACACATATGTGAATACATGCCTATATTTAAATAATTAAAATCATACTGTAATAAACATTTTATAGTACTTTTTATTACTTGATATCATAGCTCAAGTCATTTTTAAAAATCCATGCATTTTATTCTGTGCCAGGTATTGACCTAAACACTGACTTGACTCTAATCACAGAGTCTAGAAATAGCAGATCTAAGAAATGGAAAGATAATTATGAACACAAATCCTATGTTCTTTCTCGTATCTTACAAATACCTTCCAGTCTGGCTCTCCCTATCCCCACTCCTTAAACTGGTAAGGACTTGCTTAATGCCAATCTTTTGAACTATGGGCTTCTTGTTGACCAAGGGTGTTTCTACATTACTTATACTTTGTTAATGATCATTACCCTCCTCTTCCCCCACTCCACATACCTGCACCACACTAAGTATCTGATCATCACTAATTATAATCCTTGGAGAATTTGATATTATTTTCCCCTGAAGCTTGTTACTACTTATCCCTCACGTGGAGGCCTACACCTATCTGTTTATGAGACAGTTTTAATTTAAAAAATAAATGTTTTTCCCCATCTAATTATTTGCTTAGGCCTAACACTGTCAGATTTCATATGCAATGACCAAGTAATCAAACATGGTTGGGGCCATTGGGTGTGAGATGTTGTGCCGACTGTCTCAAATTCGACTAATAAGTTTTTCTCTTCTGTGGCATTCAGACTCTGGCTCCTCAGAAAGCATTATTACAGGAATATATTATAACAGTTTGGCTTTTTTGCATAACTACAATTGTATACTTCTAATGCATATATAGAGAAGACAGAACACCAACATTAACTGGCAAGACTGCATAGAAATGGGGGAACCAGGGAAAGGAGGCCTTTAAAAAGATAAGAGAATAAAAGATAAAACGCTCGCTAGCTGTGTCATGTCAACACCATTTCTTTCTAATGAGCTATGACATTTAAACTATAGCACCTGGAAAATCGTAAACACACAGTAAGAATCACCTATAAATTATCTCTGAATGCTAGCTATTTCTAAAAATGCAATTTATTTTCGTATCAACATCACACTTTAGATAAAATATAAAACCTTGAGAAAGAAATAAATGTCACTCCTAATCACATCATCTGGGATAAAAGAATGATTATCATTTTTGCATATTTCTTTTAAAAATATATATACATTCACTGTAACATAATCTAAGAAATGTAGACGTATAATGTTTGCATCCTTTTAATACCTATTTCAAGTCACAAATATTGACTGTTGGGGGACAAGTGACAGGGTCAGTTAATGACATAGTGTCCAAAATACACTCCAAAGAACCACAGAATGAGATGCACTGGGCAGAGAACTTCACAGATCTGTGTTGTGTGTTTGTTGAACTTTCCCACAAGAACATCAGGTTATAGCTATGGATCTAAGACTAAGAATATATCCCTACACTCAAACTCTCCCTGCCCATTTGTGCCCCTCCCTCTTTGAGGTAAAAATAACAGTAGAGAATCCTTTCACCTGGGTTGAATCTTGGTCTTAGGTAACATTATAAAGAACATTATAAAGAACTCTCTGAAGTGTAGTGGCACAGACTTGGCTTTGAGCCTCATTTTAGACATAAAAATCTTAACACTTTTCTCTTTTTTTTCAGCAAATGTGTTTAGCAACCCTTGTAAGAGTATGTAAATTGAATTTGACTAAGGTTAAGCATAGGACAAATTTAACTTTAATTATTAACTGACTGAAATCTTAGGCTATTTATATATCATCTAAAAATAAGCATTGACATGTTTCTCAATGGTATGATATAGCATAATAATGAATATGACTCTAACATAGTTACCTCTTATGTGCTGCATGACTTTAGTTAATTTGCCCACCTCATTGTGCTTAGGGTTGCTGACTTGAGAAATAGGACAATAATATTACCTAGCTCATAGGACTGGTGTGGATTCAGGTAACACATATATTGTAAATGCATTTTATATTTGTACATATAATACAGATTATATGTGTATGTGCGTGTGTATATATATATATATATATATATATATATATATATATATATAAAACTTCAACAGTGTGTGGCACAAGGTCATCACTACATAAATATGACTAAATATTTCATTATTTTTATAATTATTGCCCCCTTTACTTAGTAATATCCTTTCTTCATCCTTTTATTCTGTGAAATATAAAATAAATGAAACCCTCAATACAATCTAGGAGTTCCCAATACTCATTTTTATATTGGATCATAAATCCCTTCATGATATTGTTTTACTTATATCAGAGTTACATGGTGACAGTTCCATTGGTTATCAAATAGCTTTTTACCCTGTCTTCTTCCTTGCTTGAAGAAAGCCAATACTGATCACACAGCTCTTCCCGCTTGTACTTGGAAAGGTGACATTTCACTGCCCAGGTGTTGAATCATGGCCAGTCTAATTCAATCATCGTTAATTCAGTTGACTAGATTAGTGACTGGTCTGGTGAATGCCATGTGGCCAAACTCTGGTTAATGAAAATGAAGGAGAAGCCTGCTGTGGGAGTGAAGAGGGCTTAAAGGTTTCCTCCATAATAAAAAGGGATCATGTGTGAAAACGTGCTTTTTCTACATTGTCTTCTGTTGTGAAGTCTGGAACATATAATAAAGAAGTTTTCTTTTTTTGAAGTTCGTCTTTCCCGCTCTCCTATAAGTTTCTTGAAATGAGGAACGGTAACTTATTCACACTGGTAACGCCACTGTGTATTCTTCCACCACAACCCTAAATATGGTATTTGAGGCTCAAATGACTGGAATCCCCTTTTGGAAGCCTTCACAGATACCCAATAGTGTGAATATCTTCTTCCTCTGTGTTCCCTCTATATTCTGTTCATATTTGAATAGTAGTTGGGTACCAAAGTGGATCAAGTGCTGGCTCTAGAAACAAATTGCCTGTGTTTAAATATGGATTCACCCAATTTTCTTTTCTTGTCTATACCTCCATTTCCTATTCTCCAAAATAAGGCCATCTATAGACTATCATTTAGGATTCATGTGAAGATGACGTGTATCAACTATTATCAATCATTTTAAATCATGCCTGACATACAGTAAAATCTTATTAAATTTGAGTTATAATAATTCCGTTATGACACCTATATCATTTTAATTCAATTAATTGTTTACACATCTGTTTCCTCTGACTAAATTGTGAGAGTCAATTGAGCTGGGATTCTTTGTTTTCCATTTCCCCACTAGCTAGCAAAGTACCTGGTGCATAGTAGGTGTTCTGAGAATGTTTCCTTAGCTGAGGCGTGAAAAACAGGAAGGAAGAAAAGCAAAAAGGAAGGAAGGAAGAAAGGAAGCAAGGAAGGAAGGAAGGAAGGAGGGAGGGAGAAAAGGAAGAAAGGAAGAAAGGAAGGAGGGAAGGAAGGAGGGAGGGAGGGAGGGAAGAAAGGAAGGAAGGAAGAAAGGAAGGAGGGAAGGAATGAGGGAAGAAAGGAAGGAAGGAAAGAAGGAAGGAAGGGAGGGAGGGAAAGAAGGAAGGGAGGGAGGGAAGAAAGGAAGGAATTAAAGAAGATAAAATGTTTGTATTGTTTTTGTGTTCCTTTTTCCCTTGGGATGGGGGAGAATTTAATGGTCTGTAAAGTTAATCTGGTTACCAGTTTCTACCCAGTGTCTTAGAGCCCAAATCTGTCCTGATCCTCTCAAAGCCACCTATTGAGAAGGCTTAGTTAGCTATGAAGGCCTGTCATTTCTCTACTGTACAAATGATGCTTTCAGCTGGACCATGCCATCATGAGACAATGATCTCTATATTAGGGTTGTGCAAAACCCAGGGACATAGTGAGCCATCTGAGGCCTGTGACAACATCTCCACTGTTTGGGCCCCACAGCCAGTCCGGAGCCTCAGAGGAATTGATTATACTAAAGAGACTGGCCCTCCACAGAGCATAGAATTCTCCCTGACACAACAGGCCACACAAAATGATCATATTCATGAGGGCCACACAATCTTACTTGTCTGAGTCTGAGAGCTCACCCCCCACCTGGATGCTTAAGCATTTGGTTTATAGCCTTTTAGACACTTCATAACAGAAACTTGAGGATCAGCCAGACTCCTCTCACAGGAAGTAGTTATCAAGCAAGTTCCCCAACACATCAAAACAACGAGAATAGATCGGGCTTGGTGGATTTACAGTGAGCTATCTAGTCTTTTGATATTGTTTAAAATTGTTTGGGAATATTTGAAAGCAAATTCCAGAGTTGTGGCCTAGTTCAGGAATGCAAGCAAGCCCATGAAAGCCCATCAGTTAGAAAACATATTCCTTTGTTGTTCTGATACTGGTGGAAATGACAGCTTCTTAATTGTGTAAAGCTGAGTATCTTTGCACAAATCAAAGAGAACAAGTACCTTTTTGAAGATAATTGCAACTCAGATTTCTGTAGAGTATCTGCAGTAATTTTTCATTCCTTGCTATTTCGTCTACATTCTTCTCACAATCCTGGCATTACCCTAGCTAATTCCAACCTTCCTCAACGAAAATCAGTTCCCTGTTCTGATCTCAGTTTAAGTTATTTATCTTTTTTAATGTTTCCAAACCATCCTGTTCTATTCCTACAATGTAATTACAATTTGTAATTGAATTTATAATCTGGGTGTTTGTTTAAAATCTCTCTCTTCTGGCCAGGTGCAGTGGCTCACATCTGTAATCCCAGCACTTTGGGAAGCTGAGGCAGGTGGATCACTTGAGGTCAGAAGTTCAAGACCAGCCTGGCCAACAGGGTGAAACCCTGTCTCTACTAAAAATACAAAACTTAGGCGGGTAAGGTGGCACGCTCCTGTATTGAACCTGGAAGGCGGAGGCTGCAGTGAGCCAAGATTGTGCCACTGCACTCCAGCGTGAGCGACCGTCTCAAAAAATAAATAAATAAAATAAAAATTAAATTTATCTCTTCTACTATTGCCCTGAGAACCCCGCCACAAATAAAGATCACATGGAAGTCTTTCTAAAATAAAAATTCCTGGATGCCATACTAGAACTTCAGAATCATAATATCAAGAGGTTGGTCACAGGCATTTTTAATTGACACTAAAGTTTACAGACCATTTTAATGAAGCTTAAGCTTTCTGAAGGCAGAAGTCATGTTAACTGTGCTGAACTCTGTTATTCCAGTGCCTGGCACATACAAATTCATAACAAATTCTTTTTAAGTAAATAAAATGAAAATTTTAGTATTAAAAAGACAATTATTGTTTTTAGAGAGAAACTGAAAGACAAAAATTGAAGCATGCTGCAATGACACACATATTTAAACCTAAAAATAAAGAAGTTTTTTTTGTAAATACACTTTACTGCATGTAAAAGGACTTAAAACCGTCTAAGCTGAAATTCCTGGGTTTTGGTCAAGAAGATAATATAGCGGGAAATAAATTGATTTTGCAACCCTGTGGACCTGACTCTGACACTCATTAGCTATGTGACTTGCCAATTTATTTGAGCTTTAGTACTGGCATTTTCATCTATAAAAATAATAGCTATGTTAAAATGTAATTGCGAGTGCAGGATTAACATAAGAAAATATAAACATAGAGCTGGCATTACACAGGGATTTAAAGAACAGTCAATGAATGATAGTATTTTCCTGCCTGATTCCTTGGTTTAAGCAAATTGTTTGAAAAACAACCAGGGAACACTTTGGCAAGTAGTCAGCATCTCTCTGCCCTTTAGTCATCATTCTTAGTAATGTTTAGGAAGCGCTGCAGGTCTTAATTGAAATAAAACAAGTAATGAATCCAGCCCTGAACTTGAATTGGCAGAATGTGTTTTCTTGATTATCTCCATTTTAGGAATATGCATGGTTTAAAACTCAATGTGCAAAAGATCTGATTTGAAATCTGAGACTGGGGCTGGGAAGATTCAACCGCAGAGAGAATTTTTGGGTGGGGATTGAAATCTCTTGCTAATTTGTGATGACGTTTTCTTGAAAACCAGAAGAGACTTCATTTACAAAAGAGCGAGAAAGAGAGCAACCAACAGGCAAATTCAAAACTGCAAGAAATTCCATTTTATCTATATTTTAATAATTTAAATATGAATAATATACAGCACTGGTGAAGGAATAGAGAAGAAATGAATTTTTTTCCCCCTTGCTTAATTCCTTGGAGAAGACATTCTAATTGTTTTAGCTCTTTTACTGGGAGGGAAAAAACAAAAAAAGATGAGACTTGAAAGGCATAAGAAAGCTTTGGCAACTACATCTTTTCCAGCTGTGTTAACAAACTTCTGTGAAACAGATGGGTAACTGGCTAAAACCCTCTAACTGCCAACTCTCTTAATCAATGACACTTCCCAGCACTGTGAAATCTATAGTAAAATTAACCCTCCCGTCACTGTTTCAGGAATATCTGGGGTTTGTGAGGTCTTCTTCACTTTCACTACAGCTATTAAAAGGAAACTCATTTAAATAGCCCTTATCCTTTCTTGGTGAAATTTCCTCTTTTCTTTGTAGATACTGATAGCAAAGTCAGTTATAGAGCTTTTCTTAACGAATTCCTGTCACTTTGGAAATGGATGCTCTCTGCACTGACATATACTTTAGATGTTAAGTAACACTTACTTCATTATAGGTACTTGCTAAGTAAGAGAAATTATAATGCTCACAATAGACACGTTTCTTTTTTCTTTTTCTTTTTTTCTTTTTTTTTTGAGATGGAGTCTCGCTCTGTGGCCCAGGCTGGAGTGCAGTGTCACAAACTTGGCTCACTGCAACCACTGCCTCCCAGGTTCAAGTGATTCTCCTGCCTCAGCCTCCCTAGTAGCTGGGATTACAGGCATCTGCCACCACGCCCAGCTAATTTTTTTTTTTTTTTGGTATTTTTAGTAGAGACGGGGTTTTACGGTGTTAGCCAGGATGGTCTTCATCTCCTGACCTCATGATCCACCCTCCTTGGCCTCCTAAAGTGCTGGGATCACAGGCATGAGCCACTGCACCCGGCCTGAATATATAGGTATTATGTAACAATTTTCATAAATATTCAAGTACAAATGATTGTTAATAATTCAATATGTAGGCTTCCCATTCTTTCTCTTTTGGTGGAATTCCCTGTCTTTCTAATCTCACCTCAGCACATGGTGAGATTAAGGGATGATGTATTATATATGCAGCAGTTGCACACATTGTTGTTTAGTTCATAATTATCTGTACATTACACTGTGGGAGAGGCTTTAATGTGAATATACTGGAACTGAAACTGGAACTTGGAAGAAAAATTGGGTGACCAACTTGTCACCATTTGCCCAGGATTGTCCTGGTTTTAAAATTGAAAGTCTAGCATCCTGAGAACCTTCTTGGTCCTAGGCAAACTGGGATACTTGTTCACCAAAATTAATGATGGTAGCATCTTTGTTTTGTAAAACTTAAAAATTGAAGGCCAAGTTAATGTAGTTATGAGTATTTGTCCCAAATAAAGTATCAGAAAGTTAAACGTAGAATGAATGCTTACTTGAGTAACTGTAAGATTCATTTCAGTTTGAGTTGATAACTAGAAAGTAAATCCTATTTAACTATTCTATTAGAAAATGCTACTATCTTCATAAACATTCCTATTTTATTTCCCTGTTGAGTTTTTCATACTTAAAAGCAGAAATTGTGAAGTGACATTCCTAATGTCCAGAGTTTCTGACCACGTTTCAACAAATACCTGGGGTTAATAATTATTAAAATAAATGCTGCTTTTCCCTTCTTAAGGAAGATTCAACCACAGAAAGGGATTTCACTGGGCATGTTTAGGTGGCTTCCTATAACCTTACCTCCAGACTTTTATCTAGAACCAGTGATATCTCGTTCCTCCTACTAGTACCTGGTTCTCTAAGCTTAGTTTCTTTAGTATTAATGGTCTTGTAAGTAATTATCCTCTATTTAAAAACTAAGCAAAGCTGATTCAGAATTTCGAGATAATAATGTTAGAGTTTTGTGTGAATAGATATCCAACAGATTTTATCTCTTATCTTTGTAGTATGACTAAAAAGTAATTATTAATCCTATTTGGCAGGTGAGAAAACTCAGAGATAGAATTTGAACTCTGGTCTTATTACATTAATACTAAAAGCAGACAGTAGTGAATTCCAAGGTTGCTTATGACAAACATAGAAAATTTGAGTCACCAAAAATTCTTTTTATCATAGAACTGTCTCTCCTCTCCCAGCCACACTTTAGCTGTCAGACCTAATGAAATGAATTGCCAGGTAACGAGAGGCCAAGAAATCATTTTGGATCTATAATTTTAAATGGGTTAGAAATGGTCACACTGTTTGAAGGACATGAGTCTGTGTTTTAGTGAAACCCTTCAGGGGGAATCTGGTTTTCTTATGAGTTGTTGCAAGAACCTTCCATACTTTATCAGTTCATGAACTCCTTAAGTCTTGTTTTATAATAGTGTAGGCTAGTTGGCAGGTTAGTTAGCCATCCACTGTCAAAACTTCGCTCACAAGAATCCTCATAATTCAGTAGTGTTCACTCCTACCTCTGCATCAGGAAGATCTGCAGAAATTTGAAAACAAAAACAAGTTCTTGGACCTATCCCAGAGCTACCAGACCTATTGAGTTTAGAGGTGCCCGTTACAGTTTCAAAAGAATCAGTGGTGATTCTGATGCCTACTTAAAGTTAAGGGCTGATGAATGCTTCATGAAATACATAGTTTTATACTAAATAAGAATCTGGAAGTGAAGTCCATGATATATTTAGATGATTTAATTTATATTCATATTAGAGGTCATTTGGCCTAATTTGTCAGCTGTCTACATCATCTGGTTCGCTCCTGTCACTCTTATTTCCATTCCTCTTCATCATCTTAAAATACTCTGGATGCTCTGTGAAAATCAAAAGAGGTTACTTCATTCTTGAAGTAGAACTCAACAGCTTCTTCCTTCTTAGCAAAGAAAGCAAGGAGATTGTCTTCAGTGAATGGAAGGGCAGTGGGTGGTGAAAATGTGCAGGGGGCAGCGATTCTGGGTCCTTACTCAGCTGTAAGAGCTGGAACTCAGCCAGGAGGGAAATTTGCTAATGTTCCGGATTTGACCGATGAGCCCTGTGTGGGCAGGGAGGGATATCCGTATTTAAATACTGTGGCTTTCCTTGTACGCAGCCTTTAAACACAAACACGGTACTCAGAAGCTCAGCAGAGAAATCCCACTTTAGAATTTAAATTCAGAACAGGAGCTTTAACTTAACTCTTGCGTAAAAGCAGAAATTCAGTTATATTGTCATCACATTCTAACTATGGCTGGAGAAATGTCTTTTGATGCTATGTAGTTATCAAATGTAAATCAATCAAAGCAGTGCATAAATTACTAGTCCTAAGGCATCACTCTGATAAGATAATGTTCAAGAGAAATAATGAGAATAATAATAATATTATGTGAATAATAATGGTATTAACACCTAATATTCCCCAAATCCTTACTGTGGTAGCCCTTGTTCTAAACACTTTATGTGCATTATATCAGTTTTTCTGATTACTATATGGAGTTAATATTACTATCTCCATCATAAATATGAGGATCTTGAGACTCAGAGAGTTCAAGACACTTATCGCTAAGGTCACACAACAGGGGATAGTCAGAGACAAGATTCAAACACAAATTTATCTCACTTAAAATGTGTGTAACTTTATTTCTTTCACTTGCTTCCAAAAGATCATGTTTTAGCAATCATGAATATCAAGGAAATAGCTCAAAAACTTACTGCAATGCTGAGAGAATTTTCAGTATGAAGAATTTTCTTAGAACTCACCCAAGATAGAGTTATTATGAAATTACCAGAAAGACCTGTCACTGGCCATTCAGAAACATGGAACCCAAGAGAATATTATACCTCGAGTCTTGCATGTTATTAAACTCTCAGTTATTCAGCTATTATTCATTTTCTATGTGGGTTCCAACACTAAGCAATCATTTTCTTCCAGCCTTTTTTTTCCCTCTAAGAGATAACCTCTCAATTTGAAGGGGAGTATGTTTTTCAAGTCAGCTTTTTATGTCTGTGTGAGATTACTTGCATCGTCTCAGTTCTCTAATAAACAGAATTAATAGTATTGGGATGAGCTTCTAACAAATTCCAAACAATATGCTTCTCTGCACAATAACTCTTCTCTGACAGCTCACCAAGATGGTGCATTTAACGGTTCCATAAATTTGTGTAATGGTAAACAAATGACTAATAAATGTCTGGATGTTCAATGAAAACATTCAAATGAACATACTGCAGAAATAAATAAATGGCCATTAAAAGCTTAACTGCCATACATGTTAACTGGGAAATTATAGTGGTTTGGGAAAATATACAGATGGACCAGTTATTAATGATTGTGCTTTTTAAAATGGATGCTTATTCAGCAACATAAATAGGACCTAAGTCCACAGAGGAAGTCTCTCAGCTTCTGGCAATAGCTATAATAACCTTATAATAATCAAATAATAAAACCACAAACTTCCAGTGAGTTTCATCAAGTTGTTTATTCTGCCCCTTTAATTCCTCTGGGCTATAATTTTTAAAAGTGTGTTTTATATCTCTACTGGAGCCAATTCAAGATGTTCCCCTGACAATAAGTTTCACTGCTTTAGAAGTTTAATAAATATGTATTGAATAATAATATGTCTCCCCCCTTGCCATCATTTAATCCGCTGTCACATCTAAATTCTCTATCAACACTCTTATATCCATGTATGTCCAGTACACCAGATCAGTGCCCTATCCCTGCTCACCAAAGAATTTTTGATAGTCTTGTAACTGATGCACTCCTTTCTTCTTCTTTATTTATTTTCAACTTTTAGACTCAGGAAGTACATGTACAGTTTTGTTACCCAGGTATGTTGCATGATGCTGAGGTTTGGGTTATGAATGATCCTGTCACCCAGGTTGTGAGCATGATACCCAATAATTAGTTTTGGGTCCTTGCCCCTGCTTCCTCTCCCCTCTAGTAGTCTCCAGTGTCTATGGTTGCCATCTTTATGTCCATGTATTCCCGATGTTTAGTTCTCACTTATAAGTGAGAACATGGGGTATTTGATTTTCTGTTCCAGTGTTAATTCGCTTAGGATAACGGCCTCCAGGGATGCACTCCTTTCCTAAATCCTTCTCCTAATGCATCCTCTTGTTAGCCTTCCTAGGTTAAATCTCTAATCCCATTTCTTCCCTGCTCAGAAATCACCAAAGGTTTAAGACAGATTAAAATTCTAAATCCTTAGTCTGAAATAAAATATCTTTCATAATCCAGCTCTAAACTATTTTTATGGGGAAATTAGGAGTCTTTAGGTTGTGAGAGGCCTACTTCAAAGTGGCTTAAGATGAAAGAAAGAGAGAGACGGGAGAAGATGGGAGAAAAGGAGAAGACGGGAGAGAAGGAGAGATGCAGGTAGGGAGGAAGGGAGAAAGGAAGGAAGGAATGAAAGAAGAAGGACAGAGAGTTCATTTAATTTATTAATTTCAGCGTTGGCCTCAGCCACAGCCAGGTCCAAGTGCTTTAGTGACGTCACGGATGATCTTGCCCTCCTTCCTTTGGTGAGGCTTCTTCAACTGTCCTGGCTTTGTTTGCAGGAAGCCTCGCCAAAGGAGAGGGAAAAAAAAATGGCTGCCAGCCCCTCCAGCTCCAGATCCCATCCATAGAGCAACCCAAGGGGAAGTGGTGCTTCTTGTAAAATCATGCCAACAAAATCCCAAGTCTGGTAGTCTTTCTCTGAACCAATCACTGTTGCCAGGGAGAAGAAGCACACCAGATGTTCAGGCCTAAATCAGTTACTTATCTTTAGAAACTGGTATTGGATTAGCCTTCCACACATTAGAAGGGCTGAGAGTAGCTAGGGATGGTTTTCCAATGAGGTACTGTTGATATTATGAAGATATGGGTCTTGGTCAAGGAAAAGCAACAGATATCCATTATATTTTTCTATCTTTCTTTCCTCCAACTTTACCTCATACTTATTGTGGGGGGTC
Organism: Homo sapiens; assembly: GCF_000001405.40. Taxonomy (NCBI): domain Eukaryota; kingdom Metazoa; phylum Chordata; class Mammalia; order Primates; family Hominidae; genus Homo; species Homo sapiens. The sequence goes on along the minus strand of NC_000008.11, from coordinate 121,283,470 downwards.
AAGCCAAACAAAAGTATCCATTGTTCTCTATCATCTTCTGTCAGTGTTTCCTTTCTTTATGCTGCTTTCTCTGGAATTCTAAATTTGTCAATGATAAATTAAGGATTAAACAAAAAGTTAAAATGCTAAATGTGACTGAGTTTCTAATAGGGTTACTAGACAAGATACACGATGCCCAAATAACTTTTTGGTATAAGTGTGTTCCAAATATTGCATGGGATTACACTAAGTATTTGCTGTTTATCTGAAATTCTAACTTAACCAAGTGTCCTGTATTTTTATTTGCTAAACCTTAGCATATTACTTTCTAAGAAAGTATATAGATTTTTCCAAATTTCTTTAACCATGAGATTTATTTTTTTTCCATAAAGTGTCCTGCATGAGTATTGCATAAAAGTTGCTTCAGGAGAAGCTACAGTATCCCACATTTCAATATGAATAAAAATGTAGCACTCTACTCCCTGTCCAGTCTCTTAACTGCATGTGTATTTTTCTTAGCCTCTGCCCTGTGGAATAAAACCATTTGCACTGATTAAAGGGTTGGAAGAAAAAGGAAGGAGAGACTTGACATGCAAAAGATACTGCCCAGAAATGAAATTAATGACTTGTGAGCAATACAAACAAAATTGGGGATTATCTCATACATTTGCCCCTGAATTGGCAATCATGACTAAGGCTGATGAAAAAAAAATAATACTCCTAAAATGCAGGGACAATTATATTATTTTAAAATGACACTTCTTGTGCAATTGAAGTGTTCATACTTCTTTATTTTATGCATAACATTGAAAGCAGAGACCCACTAGCCACCTCTTAAACCATAAACTGTCATGTCAAAAAGATTCACTAAAGGCTATTTGCACATGTCATTTTAACTATCCTATAAACTAAAAGTGTGCATATGTGTGTGTGCATATGAAAAAGACTAAAGAGATCTTCCCAAAGTTGTCACTAAGAAAGATATTTGTTTAAAAGAACACTGTTATGTGAGGTTTATCCTTGAACATTTTTCTCTACATTATTGAAGTTACTTAATATCGTATCTGGAAATGGAAATATCTGAAAAGAAATGTCATTCATTGTGGAAGGCAAGAAGCAGAAATCTGAGATAAATATGCCTCTGTTAAACAGAAGCAGGCAAAATTACTGAGGGAAAGAAACCAGACATCCCCTGGTGCTCTTTCAGACAATAATTTATAAATGCCAATGCTATCATCAAATAAATAAGAAAATATACATTCAATTGAGTTATGCACATTAAATGGAAAAGGGAGAATGTGGTATAATTAAATTGTAAGAAAAAACACATCCTTTGGCATTTTAGTTCCCTGTTTTGATTAGTAAACTCTCCTTGGTAGATAAATGTTGAGGTGACCTCTATGATTCTTCTGGGCTCCTGAAGCTCCTTGATTCTAAGAAAAGAATCACTTAAATAGCTGGATACAACCGTGTAATAGGAGCTTTGAAAGTGATAGTGGGTAGAAATGCTTGCTGTAAGAATGATCAATTTTAGAAGACCTTGCTCCCTCAACTTCCCTCTTTGCCCTATAGGCTGTGTGTTCTATTTACCACCTGCTCCTGGCCATGCCCTTCAGTGGACTGCTTTGGTTTCTCTTGAAATGATTGTTATTGTTGGGAAACTTCTAATGTGATTACAAATAAAGACAACTTAGCAAGCTTTTGACGGCCACTTTTTTCCCTTTGGAAAGACTTATTCTAATTTATCTATATTTTAATGTTCCTCTACCACTATAGAATACTAGGTGCTTCATCCTTTCATTAATTACCATTCCGAGGAAGAAACAAAGTTATTTGAAAAAACAAAATCTTGTATAGAGGGACAATTACATCTTAGCGAAGAGCTTTCAAAAGTAGGATATAAGGAACTATGCTTCAAAGAGTCATAGAATAGGAGGAAGTCTCCCCTCCATTAATTTTGCACTTGATACAAAAATTTTCTAACAGACCACAAAGTCCACAAGGGCAGGAATTATGTCTGTATCATCACCAGTAGCATCATTCTTGGTAAAAAGTTGGCACTAAATACAATTTTCTTACATGAGTTAATGAATGAATGAATGACATGGAACCTGAAATTTTTTTTATAACACAATAGATTTAAAGAAATTGGTTTTGTAAAGAAATAGCTTTAATACATTTAAGTAATTGTTGGTTATCTATGTTGTGAATTAGCAAAAACTTTTTTTTTAACTCCATTTCTTTCATTGTTTCCAACTCTCAATTCGTCTGCTTCTAATTGGCATTTCTAAGAAAGAAAACACAAAGGCATACATGTTCTCAATATAATCTCCCACCAATCATGCTGCCTTGAAACTTTTTTCTGGAATACTTAAAGCAAACAATTACTAAAAGTATTATTCCATATTTCAAATATAACTACACGAGTTGCCACAATCAATACCTTTATTTTTCATAGTGTCAAAAAAGTTTTTGCTAACATGCTAACATTAATGCATGTGCACATGTTTATTTGTAGGAATATTCAAATGAACGTCATTGAGTGATGAAATTAATACACATTGGAATTAATGCTACTTTGGCTGATCCATATCAATCTTTCCCTAGTCACTGAATTTTGGTTTTAGCATTATCACTTTTGTTTGAAAAAAATTAAAATATTACTTTATTAGAAGAATTCTACTTCATAAACATTAGCTATAATACTGTGGTTAGTATCAGAGAAAATAATTTTTATGCTTTGTGGAAATCTGCAAACTATTAATTTAAGCAGATCTTAAGACTATTTATAAACCATTATAAATAAAATATATAAATATTATCAATAGATTTTATTTTTTCAGTGTACCATCTATTTTCATTTGTGGAAAAAAAAGGTCTGGTAATGTCGACATCTATTTTGGAGAATTTGAGGAAATACTAAAGTACGACACTGAGGTACAGAGAAAGTACCTCTCTAAAATCCAATTGCATTCTAGTATTTTTGCAACAAGGTTTATGTCTTTAAAACGAATTGGTGTATTATATTTATCATATATTGGCATATATTTATTACATATTTTCATATGTTATTTATTAGCAGATGGCATGTGTTATTTATGTTTCTTTTTTATTTTAAGAAATATTTGCTGGCTGTCTGGCATAGAAGCTCAATGATGTAAACCATAGACATAAAAGACTGCCTAGAAAGGCCAGGTACGGTGGCTCAAGCCTGTAATCCCAGCAATTTGGGAGGCTGAGGTGGGCAGATCACCTGAGGTCAAAAGTTCGAGACCACCCTGGCCAACATGATGAAACATTGTCTCTACTAAAAATACAAAAATTGGCTGGGCATGGTGGTGTGCACCTGTAATCCCAGCTACTAGGGAGGCTGAGGCAGGATAATTGCTTGAACTGGAGAGGTGGAGGTTGTAGTGAGCTGAGATTTTGCCACTGCACTCCAGCCTGGGCAACAGAGCAGGACTCCATCTCAAAAAAAAAAAAAAAAAAAAAAAAAAGAAAGACTGCCCAGAACATAACTTCACATTTCCTTTTAGTAAAGAAAACAGAGCTTAAAAGTTTTAAATTTTAAAATCTCCAAATTTGTCTAATGGGGGTAAATAAAAATGAAGCAGAAAACAACCATCACCACCAAAAAATAATAACAGTAAACCAGCTGTATGCTGTGTTATAATAAGCAACTCAATAATGGAAATATTTGGAGTCCCTCTGACCTGGATTAAATTACTGCTTTCCCATTTATGTCTGTGTGACAGTGGATAAATTATTTATCTCTCAGAGATTAAGTCTCCTCATCTGTAAAACAGAAATATGAATGTCTATCTCACCACAATTGTGAAAATTAAATTGGATAATAAATATAAAGTGTCTGACTTTGGGACCCTCCCCATCATTCTGCCACTCAAATTATGTAATGAATTTAATTTTTTACAATGCTCATTTTACTGAAATGAATAAATACCATTAAACATAGAGTTACCATGTGACTCAACAATTCCAGTCCTAGGTGTATACCCAAGACAATAGAAAATATATTTTCACATGAAAACTTTTATGTAAATGTTCATACATTATTCATAATAATCAAAAAGCAGGAGAAACTCAAATGTCCATCAACTGATGAATGGATAAATAAAATGTAGTATTTCCATACAATAGAATATTTTTCAGCAATACAAAAATGAAGTACTGCAACATGCCACAACATAGATAAACCTTGACAATATTACACTGCATAAAAGAATAGACTCAAAAGACCGCATACTTTATGATTCTATTTGCATGTAATGTCCAGAATAGGCAAATTCTAGAGACAGAAAGTAGATTAGCAGCTGCCAAGGGGCAAGTAGAAAGTGAATGCCAGCGCAACAAAGTCTCAGGATACAAAATCAATGTGCAAAAATCACAAGCATTCTTACACACCAATAACAGACAAAAAGAAAGCCAAATCATGAGTGAACTCCCATTCACAATGGCTTTTAAAGAGAATAAAATACCTAGGGATCCAACTTACAAGGGATGTGAAGGACCTCTTCAAGGAGAACTACAAACCACTGCTCAATGAAATAAAAGAGGACACAAACAAATGGAAGAACATTTCATGCTCATGGATAGGAAGAATCAATATTGTGAAAATGGCCATACTGCCCAAGGTAATTTATAGATTTAATGCCATCCCCATCAAGCTACCAATGACTTTCTTCACAGAATTGGAAAAAACTACTTTAAAGTTCATATTGGAACCAAAAAAGAGCCTGCATTGCCAAGACAATCCTAAGCCAAAAGAACAAAGCTGGAGGCATCATGCCACCTGACTTCAAACTATACTACAAGGCTATAGTAACCAAAACAGCATGGTACTGGTACCAAAACAGAGATATAGACCAATGGAACAGAACAGAGCCCTCAGAAATAATACCACACATCTACAACTATCTGATCTTTGACAAACCTGAGAAAAACAAGAAATGGGGGAAGGATTCCCTATTTAATAAATGGTGCTGGGAAAACTGGCTAGCCATATGTAGAAAGCTGAAACTGGATCCCTTCCTTACACCTTATACAAAAATTAATTCAAGATGGATTAAAGACTTAAATCTTAGACCTAAAACCATAAAAACCCTAGAAGAAAACCTAGGCAATACCATTTAGGACATAGGCATGGGCAAGGACTTCATGTCTAAAACACCAAAAGCAATGGCAACAAAAGCCAAAATTGACAAATGGGATCTAATTAAACTAAAGAGCTTCTGCACAGTAAAAGAAACTACCATCAGAGTGAACAGGCAACCTACAGAATGGGAGAAAATTTTTGAAATCTACTCATCTGACAAAGGGCTAATATCCAGAATCTACAAAGAAATCAAACAAATTTACAAGAAAACAAAAAAACAACCCCATCAAAAAGTGGGCGAAGGATATGAACAGACACTTCTCAAAAGAAGACATTTATGCAGCCAACAGACACATGAAAAAATGCTCATCATCACTGGCCATCAGAGAAATGCAAATCAAAACCACAATGAGATACCATCTCACACCAGTTAGAATGGCAATCATTAAAAAGTCAGGAAACAACAGGTGCTGGAGAGGATGTGGAGAAATAGGAACACTTTTACACTGTTGGTGGGACTGTAAACTGGTTCAACCATTGTGGAAGACAGTGTGGCAATTCCTCAAGGATCTAGAACTAGAAATACCATTTGACCCAGCAATCCCATTACTGGGTATATACCCAAAGGATTATAAATCATGCTGCTATAAAGACACATGCACACGTATGTTTATTGCAGCACTATTCACAATAGCAAAGACTTGGAACCAACCCAAATGTCCATCAATGATAGACTGGATTAAGAAAATGTGGCATATATACACCATGGAATACTATGCAGCCATAAAAAAGGATGAGTTCATGTCCTTTGTAGGGACATGGATGAAGCTGGAAACCATCATTCTCAGCAAACTATTTCAGGGACAAAAAACCAAACACTGCATGTTCTCACTGATAGGTGGAAATTGAACAATGAGAACACATGGACACAAGAAGGGGAACATCACACACCAGGGCCTGTTGTGGGTTGGGAGGAGCGGGGAGGGATAGCATTAGGAGATATACCTAATGAAAATGATGAGTTAATGGGTGCAGCACACCAACGTGGCACATGTATACATATGTAACAAACATGCACGTTGTGTACATGTACCCTAGAACTTAAAGTATAATAAAAAAAAAAAAAAAAGAAGAAGAGAGGGAAGTGCATGTGGGTATAAAAGACCAACATGAGGGATCCTGGCAATGATGGAATTGTTCTGTATCTTGGCTATATCAATATCAATATCCTGGTTGTGATACTGTACTACAGTTTTATAGAATGTTACCATTGGGGGAAACTGGGTAAAGGGTACAGGAGATCTCTCTGTATTTTTTTTTATAACTGCATATGAATCTATGGTTATTTCAAAATAAAAGTTTTAATTAAAAACACACACATACAAAAATAAAATTAAAGAAAAAAAGTGAATGCCAGTGGGATCAGGATTTCTTTCTTGGGTGATGGAAATGTTCTGATCACACCTCAGCTCTATAGACAATATGTTATTTGTGGTGAATATTATTAATATTCACAGCAAATAATCATTTTAAAATCTGCATTCAACAAAGCCGACCAGGGGATTCAAAAACCATGCAACAACAGGTATTTCTTAAAATTTCCTTTTTAAAAAAAAAATCCATCAGGAAAAAATTACAGTTATTAGTTAGTCTTTTCTCCATAGATATATTCAGCAAAGCATAAGTCACCTCTCAAATCACACAGTCATCTGAAACTAAATAAAATCATGTAATGCAAAAGCAGATAGGAGTAGCTTCTTTGGAGACAAAAAGGGCACTTCTTTCACCTTTGCATGAAAATGTTCCAAAATAAGGAGATGACTCAACTTGCGTCTCTTGAAACATTTTTCTCAACCCCAAATGTCACATATCATTTCCTTTGTCCAAGACCCCGACATGGGCAGATAATAGGGAAACCTGAAAGCCTTAGTAAGTGCCTGCGTCTGCCTGCTTCACTGGAAGCTATCCTGTGGTTGGGGGAAGCTTTGCCCGTTAAAACGAAGAAGAAAATGTACCATCTTTCACTCAATCGTTTCTGTAACCCTGTGAGGTAGATGTTCCTGTTTCATGTATGAGCGAAGAACTCAGAGATGGGATATTACCTGCCAAAAAACACCTAGTTAGGAGCTGTCAAAGGCAATATTCAGACCCACGCCAGACTAGAAGGAATAGCTTCTCCCCACAGCACTGTTGTTAAGGTAATTAGGTTTAATCGTATAGCTGATAAGGAGAAGAATCATTATAAAGTGGTGGCCAAGAGGATAGACTGAGAATCAGACTGCCTGGATTTGAAATCTTCTTTGCCATTTTCTACTTGAGAACTTAATTTCCAGTGCCTCAATTTCGTCATCTTGTAGAACAGGCCTAATGATGCGTTTCTCTCATAGGGCTGTTATAAGGATAAAATTCATTCATTCATTCATATGAATGAAAATCATACGTTCACATATATGTTGAATGAATTTATTTTTGATATATATTTGAATATATTTTACTGAGCACCTATAACGTGTGAGGAACTATTTTAGGCTTTATTAGGAATAAAGTGGTAGCCAAAAGAAAGAAAAAGGGCTAAGATTCTTAGATTCCTATTCTCCTTTTTTCAGCACTTTAATGGTAGAAGGCATACAATAAATAAATACAATATGTAGTGTATTAGATGTCAATAGGTGCTGTTAACAGAGAAGACTTACGGAGGAAAGGGGTAAGACATGAAAAGTACGGTAGCATAGGTAATGAAAGTAACAGGGTGCCTGTCAGAGTCAAATTAGAAAATGTTACTGTAATTAAGAACAGAAAGGCCTGTTTCAAATTTGGCACACAAGAGCACATCCATAACCTTATGATGCCACTGATTCCAGGACAAAAAACAAACAAAACCAAAACACTGTGCAGAGAGACAACTACAAAGGATGAATTGGGGTGGCTTCTGCCTTTCGATTGGATCCAGAGAAAAGTCCTTCCAGGAGTGACACAGGTCAATTCTTCAAAAAGCTGGCCCCTGAGTGTTCTCAGATTGTGAGCTCTTAATTTCCAAAGTTATCTTCGGATAGTACTAGAGGGAAGAGAAGAAAGGCTGGACATTCACCTGGGCAAAGCTCACCTCTCCAGCAAGTTATTCCTATTGGCTCTGTCAATATTGGGGCACTGGGTAGAGGTATCTTGATGGCATTTCCTAAGCTCTTATACTCTCAAGAGGGTGTAGGTACCGCTAGGTTAACTTCTGACTATAAACTTGTTTTGCTGCTGCATTGGTTACTCTCTAGCTGAAAAACAACAACAACAAAACATCAGAGGGTTATTCAGCAAACAGGGTGCCATGTAGATTTCTTCTTTCTTTCAGTAGGAATTAGGAAGAGAGCATATAGCTTGAAGGAGGAAACAGGAACTCTTAAGAAGCAGTTTTCAAACTGAGATGCACATTGAAATAATCTGGGCAATTTCAAATTAGTTCAGCCACTATAGAAAGCCGTTTGGAGATTTCTCAAAAATAGTCTGCAAACTCTTTTTCAAAGAATTTATACAGAACTACCATTAGACCAAGCAATCCCATTACTGGATATGTAGCCAAAGAAACATAAATTATTCCATCAAAAAGGCGTATGCACTTGTACATTCATTACAGCATTATTGATAATAGCAAAGACAAGAATTAACCTAGATGCTCATCAATGGTGGACTAGATAAATAAAATGTGGTATATACATATTATGGAATACTATGCAACCCCGAAAAATGGAATTATGTCCTTTGCAGTGACATGGATACAGCTGGAGGCCATTATGCTAAGTGAATAAAACAGGAACAGAAAATTACATACCACATGTTCTCACTTATAAGTGGGAGCTAAACGTTGAGTACACACGGACACAAAGAGGGGAACAATGAACATTGGGGCCTACATGAGAGTGGAAGGTGGTAGGAGGGTGAGGGTCAAAAAACTACCTATTGGGTACTGTGCTCACTGACTGGTGACAAAATCATTTGCACACCAAACCCCAGTGACCTGCAATTTACCCATGTAACAAACCTGCACTTGTACCCTCTGAATGTAAAATAAAAGTTGAAAAAGAAAAAAAAAATACAGTGATACTTGGGTTTTCTCCCCAAAGATTCTGATTTAATTGGTCATGAATGTGGCCTGGACACTGGATTTTTGTCAGAACTCCCAAGGTTATCGTTGTGGGTAACCAAGACTGAAAATCACTGATCTGGAATAAAGATTAAATGAACACCTGTGGTAGAAGACAACTTTAACTTGTTAATGGATGAAAGATTTAGACAGCAAGTAATGTCCAGTAAAGCAAGGGGAGGATAGAGAGGGAAGTTCCTGCAAACTAATGTAAGAACAATTAAGATAAAGAAACCTTAGCTGCATGGAAATGCAGTGATTACATTAATGCAAATCTTCCTTTATGTATTTTAAATAACCACGATGGTTGGTTTGCATATGCATGATTGTTTTAATACATTCTTCTTTAAAAAAATTAACGCTACTGAGTGCAATATTTTTTTGACACATTTAACCATAAGTGGCAGATAGAATAACACCTCTCCTGTCCCCAAGATATTCATGTCTAATCCCTGGAACTCGTGAGCATGTTTTCTTACATGGCAAAAGGGACTCCGTAGATGTGATTAAGTGTTTTAACATATGGAGATTATTCAGGATTATCTAGGTGGGCCAAATGTAGTGTCTTTGCATGAAGGAGACGAGCAGGTCAAAGTCAGAAAAAGGAGATGTGACGATGAAAGCAGGGGATAGAGTGACACCTCTCAAAGTGGAAGAAGGGCTGCGAGGCCAAGGAATGCAGGTGGCCTCTAGAAGCTGAAAAAGGCAAGAAAATGGATTATCTGCTGGAGACTTTACAAGGGATGCAGCCCTACTGACACCTTGAATTGAGCCCTGTAAGGCTCATTTTGGACTTCTGATCAACAAAATGTAAGATAATAAATGTGTTGTTTTAAGCCACAAGGTTTGTGGTGCTTTCTTACAGCTATAATAGGAAACAAATATCCCATGCCTTTAGAAAGACCCGCTCTTTATGGACTACAAAGCTATCACTATACTTCCAAAAAAGCATCCACCTATTTTGTAGCTAATAATTTAATTGCAAGCATAATACTCAGGAGGAAATAGACAAAAGACGTGCTAGCTTAGCCAGGCAACCCTATAAAATGCTGGCAGAAGTCCAAACATCTTAGTTATTGTAGAAAAGCTCAGGACTTGGATTTAATGGAGCTACTTAAGATAAAATACACCTGGAAACAAATTCTGGGTCATTATTGTTAACTTACCAAACATGCTAAATCTCCTGCAGGTATTAGGACCATAGCAGAAGAGCTCTGTACTACTGTCTCTCAAACACCTTCACAGTGGAATTCCTTGAGGAGCTCTTAAATATTTCAATGCCTAGGCTACACCCCAGACAAATTAAATCTGAAATGCTAGGGGTGGGACTGAGAAATCTCTGTTTTAACAAGTCCTCCCTAGGAATGGTTCTCATCATTAATGACTTTACTGATCACTTCAGGATGTTTTTAAAGATATCCAAGGTCTGTGTTTTTAACAAACACCCAGGTGATGCCAGTGACAATGACTTTGAATGGCAAGGTTATGTAATGCCTTTTTTTTTTCCCATGAATCTTTCCCCAGTTAACCAGTAACTCAGAAAGTGTTTAAATCAAAAGCTTATAGATCATTGTATTGGAGTTGCCGGTGGAAAGGCAAGCATCACTGTATTTAGCTCTGCTTTTCTTTGTCTATTTTGCATATTGCCTAATCTTAAAATCATCAGTTTTTAGCTCCCAGATACTCATTACAACTAAAAGGCAAGAATTTTTTTTTTTAATCTTACATGATGCTGGGGCATATAGCATTGGAGAATCTCCAACTTATTTTTCTGTTCATTTGGTTCTCTCTCCCTCAGTATATTGAACAGAGTTTTTATTAATAAAACAAAACTCATTCATTGTATTCCAAGTGACAATACATAATACAGGAAATGAAAAGCTTATACAAACATTGGATGGCTGGGGAAGCTGCTGCCTGATTTCCTGACATCAAGAAGTATCAGATGTAAGAGAAGATGTAGCTAATATTCTCTGGTGCCTGTGGAGCCCATGTGTGTGATCCCCAGGAATCTGCTGAGAATCAGCTATGAATTTCAGGACCCTCAGGAGAGTTCCCCTCAATATCTGCTTCCTACAGCATCAAAGCACCACTGCACTGCTCTCCTCTACTCTCTGCCCATGTATCTCTTTGCAATTGCAGCTACATGGAGTTAGCCTCTATGGAGAAACAGAAGAGGAAGAAGATGTAATTCTTTTCCTCCAGGCTTTCCCAGTTTAAGACAGGTGTCAGACACACACAAGTAACTACGATAGACAGACTTAAAGTTCACTACTTGTGATGGTTAATTTTATGTGTCAACTTGATTGGCTTAAGGGATGCCCAGATAGCTGGTTGAACATTATTTCTGGGTATGTCTGTGAGGACACTTCTGGAAGAGTTTAGCAATGTGAATCGGTAAATTGAGTAAGATCTGTTCTCACCAATGTGGGCAGGCATCATCCAATTCATTGAGGGCCTGAATAGAACAAAAAGGCAGAGGAAGGGTGAATTCTCATGCTCTCTCTTTAAGCTGGGGCATCATCTCCTCCTCTCTTTGGACATCAGAGGTCTCGGTTCTCAGGCCTGAGGACTCCAGGACTTACACCAGAGGGTCACACCCTCTAGTTTTCAGACAGCAGATCTTGGGACCTCTTAATCTCCATAATTGCATAAGTCGATTCCCATAATAAAGTTATTGATATCTCTATCTATGTATCTTTATATATCCTATTGATTCTATTTTTTTTGAAAAACCCAACTAATTCACCCCTGTTAAACTCTAGCTCAAAGGCTTAAAAAGCTACGCATGTCAAAAAGAAAGCATCAGGCATTATGTAAGACACCGGATGTCATTCAGATTTGACTAATTCGAGATCTTATGAAACACTGCATTTTATCAGGTCATCTACTACCATCCTCCTATTTCTTTAAAAGTACAAGAAACTGAGCTCATCAAAAATACTGAAACAGAAAAAAGAAAACAAACAAAGCATTTAGGTTTAGGCAAAGGCTTAGGTCCACAGTGTTTATCCAGAATCTCATCTTAGTCAATATTAAATCATACACTGCGAGTGTTCAGAGTACCCACAAATAGAGCAGGGATTATGCAGCTGCAGAGCAGCATGTACAAGTTTTTCTTTTACTCAATATGTGTGTATTGTACATTTATAAAAATAATAATAGCTACCACTATTTAGTATATCACTTTTTACCCACATTACTTCATTTTTTACTTCACACTCTAAAAGTTATCTATCTATATGTCTATAGAGCCTGTGATGTTGCCCTAAGCTATAGTTGTCTCACATAACATATGAAAAAGTTCTAGTGTACATTTATCATGCATGTTGTTATTCTTAACAACAACAAATAAAAAACTATTCATAAATTATGTTACTAAGTACATTATTTACATATTTTATTGTATTTAACACCTCTATTCAAATTTTTATATAGGCTGTATTGATTTTTCTTCTAAGTAATTTATTATTTTTAAAATGCTGTTTTTAATGGACAAATCATAATTGTATACATTTACGGATACAATGTAATATTTTGATATACATGCACAGTATGAAATGATTAAACCAAGCTAATGTATTCATCAGCTTGCTCACCTATCTTTTTTTTTATAACAATGAAACATTTGAAATTTACTCTTTTAGTTACTTTGGCATACTTTTTGTAATATTTAAATTATTTTACTTCATAATGAAGTAAAATAGCATTTAGTGTTGCTCAGAATATCCAGCTCCTTGCTGGGATTGGACAAATGATTACTAACAATAACTCTCAAATAACTTACTATTATTATTCTTACTATTATTTATTGATAATAAATGGGTAGTTTTCTTTCAGCCAATGAAACATGAGACACTATATGAGCAGATTCTCAAACAGCTTTTATTTAAGTTTGATCATCTTGTTTTTTAGAAAGTCTTTCAAATGTAAAAAGAGGTTAATCTTTTTATTCAAAAGTCTCAAGGAGAAAAACAGCCCCGAGAATGTGAGTTTTCTCTGCAGTAGAGGTATTGCAGAATTTAGTGTTTTGGAGGGATTTCTGTGAAATGAACGAGCATCTCTTTAGATTGAAGTTTATAACATAGCCTCCTTGCAGTGAGAATGTTTTCATGCTTCCCAGCTGTTCCAAAACTCAAGCTACAAAATACAGTAACAGATGGGAAGAGCCCCTCAAGAGCATCTTTGGACTTACCAGAGTTAACGTGTCTCCATGCTAAACCTGCCTGTTTGTAAATTCAGGACCGGTTCTCCTAGAGTTAAAGAAGCTTAGGATGCTATTAAAAATGAGTGCACCATGGAGGATTCATTGGAAAAAAACTATTATATTTAATTAAGTATTCTGGTTATCTAAGCCTCCCACTCACACAGTAAAAGTGGTTTTTGGAAGCTTCAATGGCCAATAATGGGCTTGTAGTTGGAAAAATAAATGAAGTCCAAATGCTTTTTGGAAACAGAGGATTAAGCCCATAGTTGTTGACTATGTTGAGACATTCACCACTCCAAAGAAAGAGAGTAAGGTAAACAACACAGATGAGTGTCAATACAAACAGCAAATTGGTGATCAAGATGGCATGCACAGGCTAAACAGAGCCCTTGTCCTCTGAATCTAATTATGTTCAAATAGTTCTTTTTTTTTTGCTTTTTTTTCTTGAGACGGAGTCTCGCTCTGTCGCCCAGGCTGGAGCGCAGGGGCGCGATCTTGGCTCACCGCAAGCTCCGCCTCCCGGGTTCACACCGTTCTCCTGCCTCAGCTTCCTGAGTAGCTGGGACTACAGGTGCCCGCCACCACGCCCAGCTAATTTTTTGTGTTTTTAGTAGAGATGAGGTTTCACCATGTTAGCCAGGATAGTCTCAATCTCCTGACCTCGTGATCCGCCCCGCTTGGGCTCCCAAAGTCGAATAGTTCTTAAGGGAAAACAATGGAAATCCAGACTAGATAAACTGAAGTGGTGTGGAAGTTTTGCAAAGTTGCAGAGGTTTCTAAAAAATGGGTATTCTGATTCATATTTAAAGGCAAGGATACCAACTTTGCAATGAACTATATAACTGAACTCAGAAACAGGATCTAATAAATAAGCACTTTCATCTTTGGTTTCCTGTTTTCTTCATTTTAAAATTATGTTCTGATTTTCATGGTCTATAGAAAATCCACACTTTATAATACCATATCATTTACCATTTGGCAGTACTTTTTTTTCGTGGCTATTGGTGTTATCTTCATGGTCAATCAATGTTTGTGTAAATTCTCCATAAGAACAGGAAGACTGTATTTGTTTTCCTCTCAAAAGCAAAACGGCAGACATTTGGTACCTATCTAAATTCATCCTGATGCAAATCAGAGGTTTTCACAATATTAAACTTTCACAATCCCTTGTAAAGAAAGAACATAGATAACATCTGCATCTCTGTGTATGTTGTGCACTTACTCCTCTCCTCCTCTCCTCTTAGCTTTTTTCCCGTTAGGCTCCTATAGCATAAAAGAGACTCATATTCTACATTTTCCTGACGGGATTGTGACAATTGGCTATTGTAAGACAAACTGACCGAAGCTTTAAATTCTGTCTTGGATTTTCCAGTATGTGAGATAACACAAATAATCAAATGCAGAAATCAGTACATTATTATCAGAAAAAAAGTTCTAAACATACACACACAAATTATTCTAATAAAATAATTTGTTAGGTGCATGCAATAGATAAACTAGTGCAGTAGTTCCCAGCCTTAAGTGTGCATCAATAATACCTGGAGGGCCTGTTAAACCACAGATTGTTTCATCCCACCGCAAGAATTTGATTCAGAACTGGGGTTGGTCTTGAGAATTTGCATTTTTAACACATTTCCAGGTGATGCTGATGCTGCTTGTCTGGGTACCAGACTCTGAGAGCTATTTTTCTATATAAACACTCTAGTGCTCCACATCCCTTCTTCAAGGCCAGTGCACCCATTCTGCACCCCCCAGGTGCTGGTAGTATTGGCTGCTGGCCACTCACAGCTGTGATGCTTATTGGAAATTGCTCTCAGGCTCAGTGAATGACCTCTTCCAAGGTTATAAACCTTCCCAGAGTTTACCATGCAGCAAATTACTGGCTGAAGGAGGGATACAAAGGCTTTGCGAACTTACTTCAATTTGCGATCAATCAGCTGACAGCTCAGTTTCAATTGTGTTGCGGGCAAGATTTTTTTTCTGTTTCTTCTTACCTTACTGCCTTATAGGTATGTCTCCCAAGACCACTCCCCAATCAACTTTTGCACAAAACTCCCTGTTTCAGAGGAATCCATTATAAGCCAATATCAAATAATATTTTGCTCCAAGATTATTTGAATTGTTGCTCTGGGTAAACACAGTCCAAGTGTCCCAGGAGATACATTGACCCCTCTGCTTTCTAACATCATGGAAAATTATGTGTTTGACCATCTAGTCTGAGAAACATATTATTCAACTTTATGTTGTCTGATCAGTTTCTATCTTATACCCCAGAACTCCTCTTATGCATTAAGAAAAGACTCAATAAAATAATAAAACATGTAAAAGAACTTACACTGTTTCAAAACACAGCTTTCCCTACTCAAATAGTCTTCCTGTTAATAAGTTGATGGTTAAGAATTGTCATAGGCTGAAATTTTCTTCCTGTTAACTCAGAACTCAAAGCTACTGGTAATGACCAAAAAAGCTGAATATACTCTTCTAAAACACAAAACCCCTGTTAGCCTTTTGCTGATCTTCTTGTTTTTCCCTATACTATACAATGTATTTGACGATAATAAGGTATTTTACTCATGGGAATAGAAAAGCATAATAAGGTTATAGGAAAAGGATAACACAATTTAAAAAAATAAAACATCAACTAAAAAATACAGCTAATCTCAGCGTCAAAGTCTTTCTTGATTTACATCTTTTAAAGCTATATTAGGTTTTCCTTGTGTATAATTCAGATTAACTGGAAACATACTATTCCTAGATGGAAACTGGCAGTGTCTGGAAAGAAATAGTCAGAAAAATGGAGATGTAGAAGACATGAGAATGAAGAAGCAGTGACTTGAGGTCAAGTAGTTGCTCTGACTTATCCTATTTGTTTCTGCGGGACCTTGAATTTAATAACTACTGGGCAGTTGGTGTCTGTGGTGAACTAAATGTCAGCAACTCACAAGAGCCTGCTGTATTTGGATGTAGGACCCTCTCCATTCAACACAGCTCTGGGTGAATGTGCTTTGTCAAATGCACATATCAAGAAGAAGAAGGGGCAAGACCATGGCACAGATCTGGATGTCACTTCAGCTAAGTGAAGTGCTTTCTGTCCTATCTGGCACTCCTAAATCTCTGCCCTTTGCCATGCTATATGTTTCCTAATAGCTGGCACTCCATAGGAAGCCTTTGTCAATGCAAATGGAAGCAGGCAAAATGCTCTGTATGATATAAAGAGGACAGCTCACAAGAGGGAGGCAAATATTGGGCTAGGTCCTGCCTACTACTGGCACTGACTATGGAAAGGCAGCCAAGGCTAGAGTGATTTAGATCAAACAACTATCATGATCAGAAGTATGGGATGTGTGGCTATGAGACTTGTGATTCTCTCACTGTCTATGCCAGTTCAGGAGACACAGCACTTGTAACCCAGTAGAGAGTCACTGAAACTGAGAGCAGGTGTCATCTCTCAAATAAGGTAACATGTAATTGATATATACACTCATCAAAAGACAAGTCACCTTGAAACTGAGCATGATATTTCATAGATTACTTCAAGACCCAGCTGATATTTGTTGAGAATCAATTAACCACTAGGAATTTTAGAAAAGAGTAAGACACAGGGTATGATTTCAAGGAACTTATATCTCAGTAAGGGAAATAAGACAAGACCAAATAATCATATTACAAGGCAGAACTGGATAAGAAAATTACAAGAGTGTAGAAGTTAAAATAAAAGCAAAGTCATCCCCAGGAAAAAAAGTTGTATCTTATAGGTAATGCTTGATTTCTAGGATTAATCATTAGTTATAAGTCTACCCACCTATTCATACACACAACACACATTCACTGAGCATTTAGCATGTACAGGCTGCCGTGCCAAACCTACAGATGTAATAATGTTAGAGTAAAACAACATGCACTAGAATCAGTGTTTGTTCCCATCTGAGGCAAAGTATAATCTCAATAGTTCATTGAAATTGATAAAATGCCCCTGACTAATATAGTACACCCAACATGGAATGAGCTATCCTGGAAATATTTCTTAAATATTCTTTAAAATTCAAGTTGTTGGAAAGCAGGTAAATTTTAGTAGACATCCATAATCTGTACCCTTTGTGTAAATAGGTCATAATATAAAGTGGGTCTTCTTCCCGATACTGTTAGTCAGAGATAAATAAGAATAAGGAATATCACTTGCAGTTACTTTTTATGCAAGAATCCATGCTAGATAATAGTAATTACCAACATTTATTTGTGGTAAGAATTATTGTCTGCATTCTCCATCTAAGCTAAGACTCAGAGAAGTTAAGTAACTTGCAAAAGCGTATCTAGTCAGAAAGAAAGAAGGCGGGGTGCAAATGTCTGTCTATCTGCTCTCTGGCGAGCTGATGCCAATACCCCACAGTGTGGTGTTGCTGCTGTCCCAGCCTCTTCCACTGTCTTCATCAGGGATTTGGTGATTTCTATTCTCCTGAACTAACTTTACATACAACTAGTACAGACTTAGCCCACTGTTTTTGTCTGCCGACACCCCTCATTTTTATATGCGAGCTTTAGATATAAAGAATGGGAACCTTATTTGCAAAGACTGTATTCAAAATACTTAATATGTACTATGGCTCAACACTTAGTTAATCAGAAGAATGCCTGATCAATCAGAAGAGATACTAGCAATAAACCACCAGCGCAGCCATACTCACATAAACATCAGCTCAATATCAACCATGCGTGGTATACATCTATATTAAGGTTACATTTCCCATTTAGGAAACATCTTACATAGACATTTCACTTTGCCTATTTCATGAAACCATTATGAGCTATTACAGACCTCCAAGTGTACACCTCTTATCATATGTTTATCTTTATGTTGTCTTGAACATATGGAGATGTTTTATTGGGAGGGGATAATATATTTATCTTAAATGGGCTACCCCATCTATGGGTATGCACACATTGCTCCAGAAACGTAAAAATAGCTGAACTGCAAATAAACAGCATGGGCCAAAAATTTACTAAACTGCATTAAACAATGGATGCCCAGCATTATAGATGAAGTCACAGGTTTTTGATGATATACTGTATAACAAAGCAGCTGGGTACAGCTTTTTCCAAACCTTAGTTTGTTCATCATACCAAAGGGAATTAATTAATAGTATTATTAGAAGCTAAAATTAGTTTTGGGGGAGGGGAGAAGGGGGTACGAAAAAGTATATAAATATGTCATGTGCCTGCCACTATATTAAAAAGTTCTTATTTAAGTCTTACAACAATATCATTGCATCTATTTTTTTTTCAGATAAGAAAACAGGGGCACTGGGAGGTAGCAGAACAAAGATTTAAGACCAAGGAGTCTAGTGCCCATGTTCTTAACCACAATGATTTACTATTTACCACATTTAGAAGCTACAAAGTCATGATGTATGTGTTTTCAAAATGATCACTCTGGTCAAAATTCTTTAATAACTCCCCATTGCAACAAGGAAAAAAATACTTCCTATCTTAAATAAAGGTTCTTTAAAATGTAGCACCGGCCATTTATTCAGCCTCAACTCTGTGCTTTATTTCCAGATCTTCCTACGACAGTTATCTCAAACGCCTTTTCCTCCACGAAGTTCCCCTGGCTGCCTCCATCAAGACATATTTAGGGGTTCTTTTTCCATGTTCCCATTGTGCCTTGTGTATATTACCTGAATTTAGCATTTACCATGCTATACATTTATTTTCCATTTACATGTCTGCCTTTTCAGAATACCCTGTCCTCCCTGAGGGAAAGAACTATCTCTGTCTTTATGCCTTGAGGATAGTAGACAGCTAGTAAATATTTATAGAATATAAGATTGGATGATCAATTAATAAATTACACTAGTAAGTATCATTTCTGCCAATAGTAACAGAAAACTCAATCCAAACTGGCTTAAATAATAAAGAAAATATTTCACTTCATATAAAAAGCATATGGCAGAAAAGGGGTCTTTGGTTTCATGCAGGAGCTTGTTGATATTACCAGTTTCTTTCTTGCTCTCTTTTCTTTTCCTTGGGTATCATCAACGTCAACCTAAGGCTGACCTCTCCAAGTAGTCACAGTATGGCTGTCCATAATTTTCAGAGAAACATACATGCTTTTGTGTATCCAGAAAAAAATAGCATATTCTCTTAGCTCAAGTAATAGAATGCCTAGCTTCATCCTGATGGAAATGACCTAGATTTGGCCAGAAAAATGCTTTGTCCTAGTTGATTTAAGCCAGCCCCAAATGTCCAACCCTAACCACAAGCATTGTACCAAGGGAGATAGGATTAGCCCAGAACCAGTGGTGAGCCCCTCCCACCAGTATGTACTGGTGAGTAACCTACCCTACCATATGGTTGCTATATAATGAGGAAGGGGTGGCATGAATGCAAGGGGGCAGTTGAAGTCTATGGCATGCATGAATGGACTTCTCTACTCTGAAAAGATGCATACGCTCATTTTTAATAGTTGTCTTAGTCTGTTTATACTGCCATAACACAATACCTGAGACTGTGTAATTTATTATGAACAGAAATTTATTTCTTACAGTTCTAGAGGCTGGGAAGTCTAAGATCAAGGGACCAGCATCTGACAAGGACCTCTTGCTTCATCATCCCATGGTGAAAGGTGCAAGGATCCAGAGAGTGAGAGAGATAAAAGGGGGCAAAACTCATCCTTTTATAAGGAAACTACTCTGGCAATAACAAATCTATTAATCTATTCGCAAGGGCAGACCCCTCATGACGTAATCACCCTTTAAAGTTCCCACCTCTTAATACTGTTACAATGGCAATTACATTTAAATATGAGTTTGGGAGGGGGCATTTAAACCATAGCAGTAGTGTAGTAACCTGATATCGTCCTACTAACATTTCAAAATTGTCTACTGGACAATGATATCTGACAGTCAGTCTCCTGATGCTGCAGTCTGCTTTCTTGTTGTGATACTATCAGTTCCTCTGCAGCTCTGTAGGCTACAGAAAATCTCCAGAATCTCCACTTCACTGACAAGTAATCTCAAACCAGCAGCCTTAGCAACCGACCCAACCACCCCAAATCAGAAGAGATCCAAATTTTCTAGGGGGTGTCTGGGACGTACAGGAAGTTGTTATTAACCAAATGACTCACATGCTGAATCACAAAACAAGAACCATTTGGGGAAAGTCGCCCCTCTTGGCTGTAACTCCAGAGTGTGTTTCCAGTTAAGTTGACATCCTGAGGCCTCTTTTTGAGAAAAAGCGCGGCACTGGCCAACATCATCATAGTAGCGTCACCAGGGGCTGAATGATAATGGCACACAATCCAAGGATTCCTCCACCCTTTTTAGTTTTATGCCCTTGAAGCTCCCAGGGATACAATCTCTGGGAAATCCCAGACAGAGACTAGGGAATTTTCCATGTGCCAGGAACCCAAATTTTCTATGTAAGTTTCAAGGAAAGGCCAGCGATTCTCCACACGAATGGCATTTGAAACACCCCTCACAGAAAGTGGATAGCCAGTTATTTCATTTACTTTCTCTTTCCTAGTAATTTTCATGTGAATTTTTACCATCCTAAAGATGGATATTTATCTGTGCTGTGATTTAAATATTCTGATGTTTAGAGTGATAAAAGAAATTTTAGCTCAATGAAAGGAAAAACTTAGGAGATTAAGCTAACATTAAAGGCTCAAAGTTGAATGTTTTAATTTTTTATCCAGATTTACTGTTCCATGACATAGTGACTATTCAATATTTTCTACTTCAAACATATCCACCAAGAATTCTCCAAGTGCATCAGCTATCTCATTATTTCCCCATCCATTCATTTATCTATGTTTTCATTTAGTTAGCACATACTTATTGAAGGTCTTTTATGTGCCACATGCAGGCATATCCACAAAGGGTACTTTCACCAACCAAGTGGCTTGATTCCTGACCTCATGAAACCATGTCTAAAGCCCTGCTCCTCCTCCCATTGTGTGAAGGAGCTCTTCCTCCATTTAGTCTGAGAAGGGGGCCTTTTGGAGAGGAGGACTCTAATTGTGAGTTAGGCATCTGTGTTACTGCCATAGCGACCATAGTTTCCTGTTGGATCATGTCCAGTTCTCAGGGAACGAAAGTTCTCCTGACTGTAAGTATCTCAAGGGCAGGGGTCATCTCTACTTAATACTCATGTCCAGCAGAGTACCTAACACCAAGAAGGTATATAATAAATGATGCATACACCCAAGGAAATTCAGGCAAAGATGATAAGGTAATTTGCTACCTGCAATATAGTTCCATTCTCTGCTTTGTTTACATCCCTGGCTAGGGTTCTTCCTAATGGTTTAGACTTAGAGCTGTATCTCCCACAAACTGGACTATCTTGATGCATGCATCATTATGGCACACAGACATCGACACTGTTTGCCTTAATTCTGTCACAGACTCCATTTAAAGGTATATGTTTGAGTGAGTCAAATTATTTTAACTATATTCCAGCCACCTCAAACATCTATCGTTGAGCCTCACAGATGCTTTTGCCTCTTTTTCAGTTCTTCTTTGCCCCAGATTAAATTGGTTTTCTCCACACTTGATCATGGTAAGTATTTACTAGCCCAATACAGAAAGACTCAGAACGTATCCTCGTTTGAAGATTCAGCTGCTCTTGGAAGGAGGAGCAAGCTAGGGAAAAAGGGAAGGGCAAAGAGAGTTGAGTTTTTTTTTTCTCTCTCCATAGAGCAGGGACTTTTACAATGCACGACAGTGTGTGAACAGAGCTGCGTGCTGTGATACCATTTAGTAATAATGGATGACTTGTGCTGCCCAGACTTAACAGGCCAGTGAGCAACATCAGGCTGCAGATGGAGTGCTCTGAGACTGCCATGCATTAAAAAAGGATAAAAAATAAAATTGTCTATGGCTATTGTCGACATATTTACCCCTTGTTTAGGGATTCCCATGGCAACAAAAACTGTTACCACTAGTGGAGGTGGGTGTGCTTCTTGCTCAGGAATGAACCCTATTTGCATGCAACTTCCCCCTCTAGTGACGATGTGGTGAATGGCAGGGCTTTTCATAGTTTGCTTTGGCATCAAGCTCTCACCGCCATATGTTATGGCTCTTAACTCCAAAAGCATAATATTGTTATATTAAATTAGCATGACTTATTTTTTGAGGAGCCTTCTAAAACTTCATTATTATGGTCTTAATTCTTACTTTCAAAGGTTTTGTTTTGTTTTCATATTTTAAACTAAACCTAGAAAATATCCAAGTTTCTGGCTTGAGCCAAGCTCTTCTCTATGGCCTGCTTGTGTCTCACATTTAGAAACCAGATAAGCAAAACAACTAACATGGAAAGGGTGGTTAGGATCTCTGAAGCCACTGTTCTTTCCTTTCTGGAAGAGGTGCTGGTATACAGTTCTAATCTTAGGGATCTTTCAGGCATGCTATTATTGTGTCTCTGCCCTGTCCCCCACAACCTTTCTCTCCCCAGCTGTCACTTATGATGACATCCAGATTTAGAACTCATATACAGACCACCCGGAAGCTCCAGATTCTTCAGGGGCAAAACCTCTACACAAAATAGTACACATGGAAGTGGTCACAGAAGGATTAAAACAATCTCTACTACATCCCCAAACTCCTCAATAACCTTATGGAATCTACAGAAGGCCCTGACCTTTGAAGAAATCACAACTCAAGTCTTATCCCCTCATTTCCTCATTTTCTTCTTCTTCTGAGATTTTATAGACCTTTCTTTGGGTATTATAAGCTGCCTTGTCCTGTTAATATTCTTTATATGAAAATTGGTCAAGTGTTTGCAACCCTGATATAAATTCCTTGGGAACAAATACCTTCTTTGGAATGTTTAAATTACTTATTTAGTTTTGACGGTTGGTGGAATTTTTTTTTCTGCACACAACTTGTTGAAGCAATATTTGCATAGAGAGGCATTAGCCAATGGGGAATTCATGTTTCTGGTGTGATGCAGATCTCTGGAGGGTTGGTCCAGACATACTGCCCTGAGACATTGATACTGAGCAAGAAAAAAAGGGAAGGGAACTCTATCTCTATTGAACTAGCAGTGTCTCTGTTTATTATAAAATAATTCATTAATCATAGTTCCTACTATATCCCTATGTGGTCGCTATAATCCTCACTTTGTAGATAGGAAAACTGAGCCTCAGAAAGATTAATTAACAAACTGGATGTTACAGTGTTACCAACTGATGCTGACAGGTTTCAGATAAAAGTCTTCCTCTTGTATTTCATTGACTTCAAAAGAGAAGGTTTCAAACTTTTAATGAAGAGAAACTACTTTTGATATTTCTGGTATTTTGAATCCTCTAAGAAAAAAAAATGGGATGTTCTCAAAGAGCAGGTTACTAAAGTCTGAAAACGGATAATGGTTAGCATACTTCCCTTTCTACTGGAAATCAACCCTAAAAGAAAGTATAGAAAATAAGCACCAGTAGATACCTAGGTAAGGCTTGAAGATTAACTGATATTTCCAGGCCTTTGTATAGTAGACTCTTGATCAAGAACTGAGGTCCCATTATGTCTTCCCCAAAACACTAGTATATGATGTTTTTCTCTGTAAGAAGAAGGTGAGATCAAAACTATTTGAGAATCCTGCATGTGAAAATTCAGAATGTGTTCAGAGGAGTACTGCAGTTTAATAATTAAGGAAAAAAATAAAAGCTGTTTAGCTTTGCTAAACTTCGAATTTTCCAAACACAAATAATCAAAGCTCCTATGTGTTTGATAAAAGCCTACCAGGCTACATCTGTGAAAATAAATTTGGTAACATTGATCTTGAAGCAAGTACATGAAAGTTCTAGGCAAACAAGGAACACCCCAAAACTTGGACTTAGAAGTTGCGGACCTTAACATAAGGAAATGCTACGAAAGAAATTAGACATGACAACCACAACCAGCTTGGATATAATTTAAATAATTTATATAAGGATTCACTTGGTCAAAGAATCATGTTTTGTTTTATGAAGTTTAATAAAGAAAAGGTAGAACTTCATCTTAAGTTGTGGTCTTGTTGACCACATTTTGTTAATTTACGTTAAGTGCAAGAGGCATTTTTGTACTAACTGTTCTCAAAGTCAAAGGGTACATTTCAAAAAATTCAGCCTTGGTAATCTCCTTTGGTACTTGCATTTTAAAAAGTTCCCACTGTGGAACCATCCTTGTTTCTCCATCATTCTCCTTCTTTTTCTTCTTCCCCATCTTCTCCTCACATCCATCCCTGAATCACACCTACAATTTTGGTCTGTTTCATGTCTAAAAGAATGGGCTTAATTTTTCTCAGTGCTCATGTCAAAATTTCTCTACTTTTTTACTCCTCTCTATATTTTTTCATTGTTTTGTTTTCTGCAAGATTTCCCATTTTGGTGGTGGTGGCAACCTTGACAAGATTTTTGTGTTATCAAAACTATTTGAATTTTATCTCCAATAATTACTAAGTAGAAGACCTTGAGCAAGCAGTGTAGTATTTTTTAGTTTTTTTAATCTGTGAAGTAAACTTATAAAAATTTTTAAACATTTTAGAAATGCATTATACACATTTAAATATTAATCTTATGTCTACATAAAATGCAATGTTCCAGTAGGCTGGCACATAGTAAATGCCTAGTAAGTATTAATTTTCTCTTCAGGGCTTAGAATTGTTTAGCATACTAAATTATTTTGTTATTTGTTTATAATCACTCAGTGAAGAAGATTGAAGAAAATGGAGGTTCTATTTGATGATGCAGGGGACTCCATAGACCCAACGAATAGTATAGCCAGGACTAAATGTAAATAAAAAGCTTGTCATCAGGCAAGCTACTCCTTCTGTCTTTACATCTCACAGTTTCATCCTGAATTTCCAGTGGAATATACTACATAATGTACTCATGCCTATAGTTTAGTTCTCTTCTTTGATTGAAGTCTGTTGAGAGTCCCCAGGATATAAACCTAGGTTGTTACCTGTACAACACCCACCACATCCTCCCAGTCCACCAAGATCAGCCAACTATAAACTAGAGAAATGATTTTGGTGGCTTTTATTGGAGATTTCAGTCTACAAATGGAGGGGAAATTCATGGATTACAGGTAACAACACGTTTGGAAGAGGCGAATGGTTAATTCCAAAGAAGAACCATGTATTTCAGATCATCTTTTATTCAAGAAAATTTAAAGTTTCTCCACTTCTTTCAAAGACTCTGGGGATTTTTTATTTGCATGGGGAATTGCCAGTGTTTAAAAAGTCTACATAAGGGTGTCTTTGTAACAAAAATAAGCATCATGAAGTCTGAAGATATGCAACTCTTGTTTATCATTAATGAAGGAAGTCATGTTGAAGAATTCAAGCAAGGCAATCAGAAGAGAAGCATATTATAAGATGAACTGATTACTATCAACCTATAAATCTTCTTTTCCCCTTAACTTCTTCAACCCATGACCACTCCACCCCTGGCCCCACCATGCTTTCTTGTTATGGTCCAGAAAGCATATTTAACAAGGACAAGAAAGCAGTGATCCTGTTAACTTAACCAAAGTCCCCTTATTCTTATGTTTTAATCCTTGCTCAGCCATTCAATTCTGAGGTGACCTCTGGCATTTTTAGGAAAGGGGATTATGGTGCTGATGTAGTAAAGGACTGCTAATTACTCTTTTAAAAGCACTTTGAAACTATAGGGGGAAGATAAGTACTTGGCTGTAATAGGCTTGATCCTCATTTTTCTTCCACAGATTGCCATTTGCCAACAACTTGAATTAAGTCTATAATTAGAGAAATATAAAAATATTATAGTCTATAATTAGAGAAATGTAAAAATATTATAGCAGATTTAGTTTCACCTGTTGATCTACTAATTCAGCATTTATTGAACATCTGTTATCTGTGAAGGCACTATTTTGAAGCTTTAGTGATATTAAAAGATGGATTTGCAGCAACCCAGCTATCAATTCACTTGGTGTCTGTGAAAGGCTTCAGGCTGGTAAACAAATGGTTGCAATTTAATAGATAGGAGAGCATCCAGGACGAGACTGTCAAAGTACAGAGAACATGGGGAAAGGATCTGAATCAAGGAGGAAGGGCAGAGACAATATCAGGAATAAGAACTAAGATTTGGAGAACAAATAAGACTTTGCCAGAAAGAGGTTTTCAAGCTAAAGTAGTAGGTAGTGAGAGGGGGTGCCTTTGAGTCTTCCAGATGAGAGAAATGCACATTTGAATAAACTGCCATGGAAGAAAGTCGCTGTGGAAATCCTGGATGTCCTTGGGAGAGTGGCAGATTGTGAATGTAATGTAGAGTGGCAGATGATGAAAAGAGATCAGAGGCCGATTGAGAAAAAGGAGTCAGTGTACGAGGAAACACTAACATTTCCCAAAGTGGTATAACAGAGGAGAGAGGAGCATGAGACAGGGAAAAATGCATCCATTTTTAAGACTTGAAGACATTTTAAAACCAGGCAGAAGTTCTCAACTTAGAGCCTCTAGTTTATCTGTGAAGAGCTCCTTCACTGGGATTCTCAATTGAAAGTATCCCTATACTTTTCTTTGTCTTTCATGTGACACAGCATTTTAAAATTTATCCTATGCTGCATCAATAAATAATAATTTCTCAGCCAATCGTCTCAAGGGGATCTGTCTCTTCAATTGAAACAACTATGGATTCATTGTTGGTTGTACTGCTGTGGAATGGTGATTATATAATTATTCTACTAAATAAGATTGATATGTTTAAATGCAAAAAGCAAAAAAAAATCATCAAAGCAAACAAACAAAAATCATGAAAGATACTTTCTTCTCTCTCCATCATTTTTCTACTTTGAAAAAAGTGTAGTTCAAATTTAAGAGTAAAGGATTTTAGAATTGCTATACCCAATCTAAACAACCTGATCCAGTATTGTTAATGGATGAAGATGACAGGCAAATATTGGTGTTGTAATAGAATGAGTCAGGTCTTTTTTTGAGACTGGAAAGGGAAAAGAGAGTTTCTGAATGCTTCACCGCTTTATCAATGAAGCTTTCTCTTTTATCCTCAGTGATTCAATCATGATAAAAGATGCTGTTTCAGGGTGGTACAGCAGGTTCATGCATATTGGTCAAATTTTTTTGCTGTAGAAATACCTCAGATATATGTCAGATTCCTTATCTCCATTTCCTATGTTAAAAAAAGAGAAATGACTCTGTATCTTCAGGATAATTTCAACTAATTTGGGTTTTTACAATTCCAACTATAAGTTAATTATCATTCTTTCTCAAAAAAATGACATTTGATGTTCTGATACTAGTCTAATATGTCATACATAGAAAAATGATTAATTAGGGGCAGAGAATACGGTGAGAAAGAAGAATTAATTTATGTAAAGACAAGACATCCATAAATAAAATAGCACATTGGGATGTTCAAGTTAAAGAATACAATTCAGGCTAAGTCCTTAGTATCAGGTTTTAATGACTGCCATAAAAAATTTCCACAGACTTGGTGACTTAAAAGAACATGCATTTTTTTTTAATTTTACAGTTTTGTTGGTTTTAAATCAGATTCAGTTCTCAGATACCGATACCAATACAGATACTAGGCTAAAATCAAGATGTCAGCAGGGCTGTGTTTCTTGGAAGCTCTAGCAGTGAATCCATTCACTCGCCTTTTCCAGCATCTAGGGGCCACCCAGATGCCTTGGCTCATGGCCCCCATCCTTCCATCCTCAAAGCCAGAAACTGCATTTGTTTGACCATTCCTCAGTATTCACATCTCTTTCTTATGTCTCTTTCTACATTTAAGGGCCATCCTGATTACACTGGGGCTGACTGGTTACCAAAGGTGCTCTCTGTGTCTGCTGATTAGCAGCCTTAGTTTCATCTGCAACTTTAATCCCCCTCCACCATGTATTCACAGGTTCCAGAGATTAAGACACTGACATCTTTGGGGGTCATTATTCTGTCTACTTCATCCTCATGTCTTCCATAGTTTTTAAAAGCACACATGGGATTTTACAATTGCCAGAAATGTATTGGGTTTTAAGTCCTTGCCTGTGATTTTTTTTTAATATGAAGGGTATTGTACAAATGCTTATTCTAACATTCAAGCTGTGGACTCTGTATGGCACTGGTGGATTTATCATGCATTCCATGCACTTCAGGGTTTCAGCAGGAAGAACCAAATAGTGTGCTTACTTAAGGCCATTTCCTTCCCCAGAGCAGAACATGCTCCCAAATAAGTTTTTTCACATTGTGTTTGCAGTTCAATAACCCCTACGTTAGTGTTTTTACCTTGAGTTTCTGTTCCCTATCTTTGATTTTTTTTTAAAGAAGATTTAAGACTATGATGAGAACAATAGAAGAAAAGTAATCATTTTGACTCATCTTCCTTCCAAATAATTATTTGTTGGCTTTGCTCAGTCCATTTTCGTGCTGATCGTGGTCAGTGGTGGAGAACTGTATTTGGAAAATCCATGAGATACTAAATCAAAGCACATAACATAAAGGCTATGAGGCTTTTAGAGAAGAAAATATCAGTGAGAGAGAAGAAGCAGAAGAAGAAACTGGGAAAGAGGAAAGACAAAATTTGGGGAAAAGAGAGACAAAAAAGGAGTTGTCATGAGATAAAGACTTTTGGGGAGATAAATAAGCCAAAGGTATTTTGGGGGAAGTCTTACAGTTTAACTCAGCTCTCAAAAAATCTACCTTGTCTTTCAGCACTTTCACAATTGAATCTGTTTCTATTGAAGGTGATGTGTTGAGACTGCTCTCCAACCTGGGTTTTTGTTAAATAAAGATGATCCACAAACATTGTTAAATATCTACCAAGCAGGGAAAGCTGGAACCAAAATAAAGCCTAATTCTTGACTCAAAGGTCTTAAAATCTGCCTATATTTAAAGTTATAAATAAATAAATTCATACGTTATAGAGAAAACAGTAAATTATGATGAATAGAGCTGATAAATTCTACAAGTGACCAGAGGAAAAGGAAGTTACAAAGAAACTGCCACCTTATTTTATATCGAATGATGATAATGATTATAGCAGCCATTTGTTGAGTATCTACTATATGCTAAGCATGCCCTGATACTTTATAGTATACTATATAATTTACTCATAATCATGCAATATAGATACTATTATCTCTATTTTATAGGCAAATAATGGTCAAGTATTTGCCTAGAATAGGTGATGGAGCCAGTAATCAAACCCATCCTATGCTTTTCTTTTTCCCTAAGAAGTCACGTCACAGACTGTGTGCAAGCCATGTGACATCTTTAGTCATTGTCTTTATAGTCTTTAAAATGAGCAGAGTGTGTTTTCTGTCGCTGCCTGTGGTAAGCTGAAAAAAATTGTTCCACAAAGGTAGATGCACTTCCTGATCCCTAGAACCTCTCCATATGACCTAATATTGCAAAAGAGCTGATGAAGTTACGGATATTGAGAAGAGGAGTTTATCCTGGATTATCTGAGTGGGCCTTAAATACAATCGCATGAGCCTTAGAAGAGGGAGGAAGAAGGAGATCAGACACAGACATACACAGAGGAGAGGCCTATATGAAGAGGGAGGCAGAGATTAGCGCTAGGGTCACAAGCCAACGAACATCAAGAAATGCAGGAGAGCCACAAGAAGCCGGAAGGATCAAGACACGGATTCTCCCTGACGGCCTCCAGAGGGAGTGCAGCTCTGCCAGCCCCTTGATTTTGAACTTCTGGCCAGCAGAACTGTGAGAAAATAAATTTTTGTTATTTTAAGCCTCCAAGGTTTTTGTTATTTCTTACAGCAGCCTTAGGAAACTCATGCATTGTCATAACAAATCACCACAAATTTAGCAGCTTAAAACAACACAAATGTGTTATCTCGCAGAAATCTGAAATGAGTCCAGGTGGGCTCAGCTAGTTCCTCTGCTTCAAGTCTCATAAAGCTGAACTCAAGGTGTCAGCTGGCCTGGCCTTCTATCTGCAGGCTCTGAAGAAGAATTTTCTTCCAAGAGCATTCAGAGTTCTTGGTAGAATTCAGTTCCTTGTGATTGTAGGGCTGAGGTCCCTATTCCATCTAGGAACCTCTCACAGTTCTTTCAAGCTGGTCATATGGCCTCCTTGTCACATGACCTCTCCATCTTCAAACCAGTGATAGTGCATTGAGTTTTTTCCTCTTTTCTAACCTCTCTGGCTTCTCCTTCAGCTGCATCTCTTCTGCTTCCAGGCTGTAAATTCTTGGATTTTAAGGGCTCATGAGATTAGATTGTGCAGACTCAAATAATCCATGTTAATATTCCTATTTTAACATCCTCAATTTTAATTACATTTGCAAAGTCCCTTTTTGGCATGTAACATAACATATTCACATGTTCCATGGACATCTTTGGGTGGGGTGGGGAGCATTCTGCCTACCACAGGGAGCTGAGAATGGATTATGTCCAGATTAATGTGCTGTGAAAACATATGTATTACTTAGAGTGTGGATTTAACTACTAGAAAAAGGGACCCAAAATACGATGACTTAAATAAGATGGAATTGTATTTTTATCTCACCAGAGAGCCCAAAGAAGGCCAGCAGACAAGGTTGGAATATAACCATGTCCTAACGTTGTTTCCTTTTTCTGCTCTTCCCTGGGGACTTGTTTTCACCTGCAAGGTTGAAGGTGAATTTCCACCATAATCATTCACATTCTAGGTCAAAGTAAGAGTCCACACATTTGAAGTGGAATGCAAACAATTTCCTTTTGAGCCCATGGTATGGAAGTGGCAGCATCACACCTACCCATTGGCAAGAATGTAGGACTCGCCCACGCCTAACAGATAGGGAGGCTGGAACATGTAGTCTTCAGGTAGAATGTCATGCACTCTTAAAATCTACAACTGAAAGA
Organism: Homo sapiens; assembly: GCF_000001405.40. Taxonomy (NCBI): domain Eukaryota; kingdom Metazoa; phylum Chordata; class Mammalia; order Primates; family Hominidae; genus Homo; species Homo sapiens. Next base: position 121,252,231 of record NC_000008.11, on the reverse strand, counting down.
GAAGAAATTGTTCTAGGGACTACTAGAAATCTGCTACAACATGGAATTCAAACAAAATTGTAGGAAAAGGAAGGAAGAAAAGAAAATATCTGGAAGGAGGACATATTTTGATCAAAAAGTATTGCAGGATGGATAGACAGTCTATGCTTAAGAAACAACAGGTATAACATAATACATGGTTGGAACAGGGAGATAGTAGACAAAAATTGATTATAAGTCTGGAAATGAACAGAATCATCCCTCCTGGCAGCATGGATCTTGAGTCTTGTTCATCATGTTATCACAGGGATTTAGCAATATTTCTGGCACATAGTGTGTTTTCAATACAATTTTAAAATTTAATTTTCCCATTGCAGGGAGATACGACTTCCACAAAAGCTAGGATAACTGTGCTAGCTACTAGGAACATATAAAAAGTGCAGGACAAAACATACCCCTGCTCTTTAGAGCTTCTGGTTTAGACAGAGGTAAATAGACAGTAAAATGATAATATAAACAAATTCATAATTACAAACTCTGTGAATAATATGAAGGAAAAGTAAAAGGAGAAAGTAGTCTTAGGGAAGTCTTCCTAAGAGAGGGGATTTGGAGCTGAAATATGAAGGATGGAAAGATGTTGAATGAATGATGTGTAAGTAGGTGCAGTATGAGAAAGGCACATCCAAAGAGTGAAAAAGCACCCCAGTGTTTCCTACAGCTTGTGGACTCACTATCTGGTGATGTTTATTTTATTCATTTATGTGTTTATTATCTTCCCTTCCAACTGGAAAGGAGTATCATGATGATGTATGCAGGTATGTAAACATGGTAACTTTATTGCACTGGTGTAAGATTCCAAGGACCTCCAATTACATCACTGTTTTAGCCCATTGGGCTCTCACAAAATATATAAACTAAATAGTTTATAGACAACAGAAATTTATTTCAAACAGTTCTGGAATCTTGAAAGTCTAAGACCAAGTGGCCAGGAGATTCAAAGTCTATTGAGAACCTTCTTCCTGGTTCATAGATGGCGTCTTCTCATTGTGTCCTCACATGGTGAAAGGAGCAAGGCAGCTAGTCACTGTTTGGAAATTCTTAATGATTTTATCTTTCAGTTTGTATTCTGTAAGAGGAGTAGCATGGGACAGTAGAGGATGCATGCAGGCTTAGAGCCTCATCTCACAGCTCTGCATCCCATGGCTTCCCTGGAATGGATACTTGGCTTCCCATTGCCTTGGTTTCTGTTGCTCTGGCTGTACATGACCTCCTCCATCCTAGCCCCACTACGCACTGCTGATGCCTCCTGCCCCTTTGCATCTCAGGCACTGCCTGTCCTCCTTCTCGCAGGCCAGTGACCACTTTACATTGGGAGGGTTTGTGCATCCACATATGTCATGGGGAGGGTCTGGGTCGGATGGTGTGTACCCTGTGGCGTCTCAGGGTGGGGCAAGACAGTGGTGGTCTGTGTCCCTGGCTGACAGAACGATATGTATTTGGTAAGGCAAGGCTATTACTCATTCCCAATTCAGGATTTTCAATCCCTAGAAGGTTACCCATTCGTTACGGGTTGAGACAGAGGGCCATGGAAAGGCAGACTGGCTTCCTGCCCCAGAGAGGCACAGTGTGTAGGTTTGGTGGCTAACAGGAAGGAGAACTTGGCAATACGTGGGCCACGTGAGCCAAGTTAGGAGTGAGGCTCCCAGTGCCTGTGAGAGTCTGCATTCACCCAGCTGGTGTCCCCACACCCAAAGGAGTGCACCATTAAATAACAAACAACGAACACCATGACAGGTTGAGAAAGAAAGGATGGAATAAAGAAAAAAAGGCTCATGTTTTATTACATTTAGTGGCATTTTTCCAGCGTTTTGAATAAGGGGGCCACACATTTTCATTTTGCACTGGGGCCAGCAAATTATGTGGCTGGCCCTGCCTATAAATCACATACTAAATCATATTTTACTCATTATGAAAGCTGCTAGGAAAGCCAGAACAAAACTTACAACCCCACTTTAGCACAATATCAGAGAATTTATGGCATATATTTTGAGCAGTAAAATAAACTCATACCTGTCTTTTTCCTTATTTTTCTTGATTTTATTTCTCTTTATCTCTCCATATATCCATAGGGGAAAAATCTTATTTTTCATTTATCTTTGAAAACATGTTATGTATTCATCTAGGGTATAAATAGTTATGAATTCAATAATTATATACCTAACACACTCTCACATGACCCAATAAATCTTGATTGACATGACTTGTGATCCTTTACTTAAGATACATTTCCATCATTGCAGATGGTACTGTTTTAATACTTCCCCCTCTTGTAACACATATCATACTTGTGATATCTGAATTCATCACTGGCTGGCATGTTCAATGACAACACCATGAAAAGAATCTGTTCTCTGAAAAGACAGTATCTTCAGCATTTGGACTTCTCACTAGAATAATCCATTAACAGTAATTTTTTTTTTTTACTGATTAACTACTATATGCCAAGTTTTTCTAGGCATTGAGGAAATTAGTGATGCACAAGTCAAAAGCTATCACTAGCCACAAGAGAGAGCTCAGTACTAGGAAGAGAGAAAGAGCATCAACAAGCAAACAAACCAATAATATCAGTGCAGATCACAGTATGTTATAAAGGAAGTAAGCAGGATTGTTTATTGCAAACAGAAGTCAAGGGAGTGTGGGGCCTTCATTTCATAAAAGGATCTATGATCCCAGCACTTTGGGAGGCCAAGATGGGTGGATCATCTGAGGTCAGGAGTTCGAGACCAGCCTGACCAACATGGTGAAACCCCGTGTCTACTAAAAATACAAAAATTAGCTGGGTGTGATGGTACACTCCTGTAATCCCAGCTACTCGGGAGGCTGAGCAGGGAGGATTGCTTGAACCCGGGAGGCAGAGGTTGCAGTGAACTGAGATCGCACTACTGTACTCCAGCCTGGGCGACAGAACAAGACTCTGTCTCAAACAAAGCAAAACAAAAACATAAAAGGATCTATGAAAATGATCTAGGGATCAGAGGTAGGCCTCTTTGAAAAGGTGATAAACCAGAACTTTGAGGATTCCAGAAGTCAGTCATCCGTGATGCTGGGTGAAGAGAGTCTGGGTGGAAGTGTAAAATGGACAGGAAAAGAAAGGAGGCAGTTTGGCTGAGGCATATAAAGAGAGGCTAAGAATGGTCCATGATAATAATTACTGAAGTTTCCCAGCATGAGCCCTTACCATCCTGCAGCTCTCATCCTCTGTCGCTGAAGGGCTCCCTCTGGTGGCCACCGTGTGCACACATTCTCCTGGGACAAAATCACAACCGGTGGAAGAAATCTATGGAAAAAATGAAAGATACCAAGACAATGTTAGCCAGGTGGGCAGAGAAAAAGTGAGCCAGGAAGAGTGAGGACAGGCCCAAGATAGTTTGTAGTCACCAACTGGCCCAAGAAGGAGCAGAAGGACAAAGGTAAAACCAGTTAATGCTGGCGAAGACCCAAAAGTGTGGACGCTTCATCCAGCTGCTTTGTTATTACCCAAATATTTTTTATCACCCTTATAAACCCTTATAACTTTTATTATCACCATTAATCAAAACTTAGGAGACTCAAAGTCTTTTTTTTTCTGATGTCCTGGCCCCAGCTCTTAGACTAAGGTATCTCTCTGCCCAATAACCCTAAGTAGGCTCTAAATGATTCCATCTTGAATACTCAGTGCAGGCAGATGTTATGGCCAGTAAATGTGATGATTAACAAAGATGTTCTGAAACTTTAAAACAGTAAATAAATGTGATGTTGCTGATGATGGTAATGAGGGTGATGCCTGTATAATTCTACTCCTTTTTTTAAAAAAATTATACTTTAGGTTCTGGGATACATGTGCAGAATGTGCAGGTTTGTTACATAGGTATACATGTGCCATGGTGGGTGGCTGCACCCATCAACCTGCCATCTACCTTAGGTATTTCTCCTAATGCTCTCCCTCCCCTAACCCCTCACCCCCCAACAGGCCCTGGCATGTGATGTTCCCCTCCCTGTGTCCATGTATTCTCATTGTTCGACTCCCACTTATCAGTGAGAACATGCGGTGTTTGGTTTTCTGTTCCTGTGTTAGATTGCTGAGAATGATGGTTTCCAGCTTCATCCATGTCCTTTCAAAGGACATGAACTCATCCTTTTTGATGGCTGCATAGTATTCCATGGTGTAATGTGCCACATTTTCTTTATCCAGTCGATCATTGATGGACATTTGGGTTGGTTCCAAGTCTTTGCTATTGTGAACAGTGCTGCAATAAACATACATGTGAATGTGTCTTTATAGTAAAATGATTTATAATCCTTTGGGTATATACCCAGTAATGGGATTGCTGGGTCAAATGGTATTTCTGGTTCAGGACATAGGCCTGGGCAAAGACTTCATGACTAAAACACCAAAAACAATGGCAACAAAAGCCAAAATTGACAAATGGAATCTAATTAAACTGAAGAGCTTCCGCACAGCAAAAGAAACTATCATCAGAGTCAACAGGCAACCTACAGAATAGGAGAAAATTTTTGCAATTTATTCATCGGACAAAGGGCTAATTCAACTCCTTTATCTAAGTGATAGTTTTCTAAAAATAAAATAAAATAAACCTGATTTGCACTGGCAGAATTTTTTTTTTATGCCAACATCTTGTGAATGAAAATGTATGTTGCAGAAAGTGAAGACTTCCACGGATTGCAATAGGTAGTTAGTGTTGTGATCGAACTAACATCATCACATCCCTGCCTTAATTCAGCCCTATTAAGTAGAAGAAAACCATGTGAGAATCTTTGGTTGGGGAGGGAAGAGTGGGAGGAAGAGGGGAAGGCTCTCTAAATGCCCTTTTTAACTCAGTGGAGCATTTCAGGAACTCAAACCACTCCAGGCTTCAAGATTCTAAAGAACTCAGCCATGGTGTGACATTAACCAAAGTTTTGAATGATTTTCAGAGGAGGAAAAGAGAGCGGAGGGGTATATTGTGGGGTCAGATAAATCACAGCACATTTGGCCAGACACTACCCCCCTTCATTTCCAAGCACATGTGAATTTCCAGGGAAATTGAATCCATGTGTTCCTGATTCATTTACATTTAACGCTTCACAATGCTTTGTAAGCCCTCCAAGAAGCCTTCAGTGCGTTGATGCCAGAGGTTGGGTTTTGCTTGCCATGCAGGGATCCTATATGCTGAATGAATGGGGCTAGATTTTAAAGACAGAACTAAGGAAGGTCGAGTGGCTTGAAAATTTGACCCAACATAGTTCCCTTAATTTCTGGATCCTAACCACCCAACTTTTGCAAAGTATACACAGAAATAAACATTTCTCTCCATGGCTCTCATTTTGCTGAGAGGTGCTGGCCTCGACACCCATTTCCACACAAGCCTAAGCCTCTTCGATGGCCAGAGACAGGATAAATGACACTTGACAGCAGTCTTGTGCTTCCCCGTGTTGGCTTTCTTTTCCTGTAAACCATTTGCTTCCTTCTCTGAAGCTGAAAAGTGGCTGCTGCCACCCCTGCATCTTTGATAAGAATTGACGAGACCCAGGAGAGTGTGGGAAGAGTCTCTGACTCTAGCAACTTGGCAGAGGTTCTGCAGAGACTTTCTGATCTTCTTCCACATGCTGGAAATCCCAGAAGTCCTTTGACAGAGAGGAGCTTCAGAAGGACAGTGTTCCTGTCCTCATTTCTACTTAAAAAAAAAAAAAAGCATAAAAAAAATGAGGGTAGCTACTAGATTATATCCTCTGAGAAAGCAGACATAATAAAAATGTTTTTTTCTTTGAGTGGGATAGGGAACACTTTGAGAGCAGTCACTTCCTCCTGCCCACACATCTGAATACAGCCATAAGAGGTCCTACCCATCTTCAAATTGCACAAATATTATGGCAAAAACTCATGCTTCCTTTATTATTTGATAATAGCTTAGATGCCTGGCTCACAAATGAGTCAAGCTCCTGCAAAAGAAATGGCCAGAACTCACAATGAATGGTATTCAAGATTCTTTCTTCCACCTTTCATCTCTGGTGCTTCTTCATCTGCCGTGTATGCACAAGGCAGGGGCATTGTGAAGAGTGGCAAATATTTCTGAGATTGTTTAGCCTAATTCTAATAAAGTCTTTGTGAACAGGTCAAACACTTTTGTAAGCTCTCAGAGCAATTTTACATTTGCTGATGCGATTATGCCAATAATGACCTCTGCTAGAGCGCAAGCCCTGTGAGGATAGGAATGGTATTGTGTCTTATTTTTGTAGTGCTTGGACCTGCTACAGTGTAGATACTCAAAAATCTTTGCTGAATTGTTTTAATGAGGTCTCAGTATATACAAGCCATGGTCATTAAATTATACTTAATGTTCACAGTAAACAGAGAAGGTATGTGCTCTTAGGATCTTCATCTTACAGGCGATGAAATTGAAGCTTAGAAATATTAAGCAGCCTTTTGTTACATATGTATACATGTGCCATGTTGGTGTGCTGCACCCATTAACTCGTCATTTACATTAGATATTTCTCCTAATGCTATCCCTCCTCCCTCCCCCCACCCCACAACAGGCCCTGGTGTGTAATGTCAAGAACTTAAAGTGTAATAATAAAAAAATAAAAATAAAAAAAGAAATATTAAGCAGCCTACTAAGGCCATCTAAATTAATAAAACGTGGAACTAGGGCTCTAGGGCAGGTTTGTTTCATTCTATTGACCTCTGATCTTGTAAGGCTCACTCAGGATACACTTGGTGAATATGAACTTCACTTTCAATAAGAAGCATTTCAACTTACGTAATAGAAGGAAGTACCTAACTAATGTTTGTAAGAAGCTTCCTCACTAATTAGCAAAAAATTCCTCTTGGCCCTCTTTGTCTGGCACATATTCTCTGAATTCCCTGCAAAGATGTCTTTAGACATCCTAAAACATTCACTTCCCTCTTTAAGTGTACCAATATTTATATGTTATTTAATGCATATACTCATTCAGAATATGACCTATAGTTTATTCTGAAATCTGAAAACTGGAAACACTAAATAACTATGCAATTTAAGATCTCTAACTGTCAGCTACAGCTTTCTTTTCTTTGATTTTAGTCTGCTTTTCTTTGCCTTCTGAAACGGTTTCTTGAAGATTACAGCCACATCAGATTCCTTGAACAAGCTTACTGCCGGTTAGTTTATAGAAGCGCAGTGAAGTGATTCACAAGCAAACATAGGACTTTACAGATACCTAAGAGACTTTGTAATCCTTGGTAAATATTCCAATTTGAAGTATTTCAACTTCAAATTATATATGTGTGTGTGTGTAAAATTTTATTGTAAACTGTAAAGCACAGTCCAAATACTAGTTATACTTGTTTTAAGTAGGAAAGAAACTGCTGGTGAAGTCTGAGGCTGTGACTTCTGCTTTTGTTATTTTGCGTCTATTCATTCTCTGAGACACTGAACCTTATAGCATGTGCCAGGATGGTTCTTTCCTTGAAACCCATTTAGGAGTAGAGACAGGACCACCTTCAGGCAACACTTTAAAAATTGAGTGAAGAATTATAATCCCTAAAGGGATTTAAGAACACCATGGAATTATCAACTTGACAAGATAAGCTTGGAAGCAGAGAACTAAACCTGAAAATATCTTTGGAGTTTTTCCAGCAAAGACTGTTATCGCTCAGTAGACATATTTCGTGACCTAGTGCAAAAGTATTATTGTTCTGAGCTTCTCCATAGTAGTGCTTCTCAAACTTTAATGCCTATCTGAATCCGCATGGGATTTTGTGAAAATGCAGATTTCAGTACAGTAGGTCTAGGTTGTTGCCTGAGACTCTGCATTTTATCAAGCTCTTCATTGGTGGTGATGATGCTGGACTATGGGCCGCACTTTGAATAGCAAGCCTCCATGGAATGATGTAATACAGCCTTTACATTTAAGAATTAGGGCTCAGACTCTGAATTTAGACTGTGTGGCTTGAAATTGCACCTCAGTCGCTCACTGTGTTATCTTGTTCAATGTATTGTACTCCTTTTTGCCTTGTCCGTATCTGAGAATGAGGCAAATATTAGTATTACTTCATAGGCTTTTGTAATAATTGCATAACGTATCTATGAAAATGTGTGGTTGGTATTACCCATTACACATAGTAATTGTATTAGTCCGTTCTCATCCTGCTGATAAAGACATACCCGAGACTGGGTAATTTATAAAGAAAAAGAGATTTAATGGACTCATAGTTCCACGTGGCTCTGGAGGCCTCACAATCATGGTGGAAGGTGAAAGCATGGCCACAGGCAAGAGAGAAAATCAGAGACAAGCGAAAGGGGAAACCCTGTGTAAAACCATCAGATCTCATGAGACTTATTCACTACCACGAGAACAGTATGGGGGAAACAGCCCCCATGATTCAATTATCTCTCACTAGGTCTCTCCCAGAACACCTAGGAATTATGAGGGCTACAATTCAAGATGACATTTGGGTGGGGACACAGCCAAACTATATCAGTAATCATATAATAAATATTATTTATTTAACAATTGTATCCACAGAGGATGTTGCTTCTCCACAGGATCTCTTCTTAGGCATTCAAAAGAAATTTTCTCAGGTAAAGTATTATAAAAATCATGATAATTTTTTTTTCTGAATTATAACAGGATACATAAAACGATCTTTTCAAATTCCCTTCGTGTAAAAATTAGTCAATCGATTAGTGTGTTTAGTAGACATGTTTATGATAACATGGCTTTTGATGTCTTGGCATTCTCCAAATTCTATTTTGGTGCTTGTACTACTTCTTTATAACCAACTTTTCTTACTCAATTCTACATTAAATTTAATTCGTTGTGTTCTCAAAGTCTCACAGGAAACTCTCACTGAAGTGACACAATTTGTCATTTTGATCACATCACAATCTGTTGTAGGAATAAATAAGAGAACCATGTTTGTTCTTTACTACATTCTATTTTGACTGTGCGTGTTTTTCTATTACTCAAACACAGTAGGAGTATTATCATCCTTTTGTTCTGTTTTATTGGTTTGACCCTAACGGTCCTTCTGCCTATTTAACAATAATATATTTTAAAAACAGAGGGTTTAGTGCAGCCTTGGGAAATCTTGATATTCTCTGACTTCCCACAAGAGATTCCATCAAGAGGTTCTGAATATCAGAACCACTGTAGTCATACTGTTTGCTTCCTTACTGTCTTTCATTTACATGTAATTCCCTTCTCTCAATTGGTGAGTCTTTTCAGTATGGGTCATTCACCTTCACACTGTCAGGGCATAGTAAAAATTCTGCTTCGTTGTATGTGCTTCATGAATGCTTGAGGGCTGAAGGGAAGAAGAGAGATAAGAAGAAGAGAATGAGGAGGAAGGAGGAAGGAACAAGGGAAAGGAGAAAACAAAATGTTGGGGAACATAGAGAAAAGTAATATTTAATATCCACGTACTACATGCCACACCCTCATCCCAATATTTTTTTTCTTATTACTGATTAGAAAAGATGTTTAGACACTATAACTCAAGTTTACCCTGTCAACAAGGGGTAGAACTTGCAATGATGCTTAGACATATCTTAGTCCCACACCTGTACTGTCATACAGCACGCAGCCTCCAAGGCAGTGATTCTCAAATTTACCTCTACAATAAAATTACCGTGGAAACTGAAAAAAAATACTGATGCCTAGTTCTCTCCCTCCAAGATTCTAGTTAATTTCTAGAATGCAGCCTGGCCACTGGGATTTAAAAAATCTTCCTAGATATATCTAATATTCAAGCAAAATTAAGAAACACTTTTGTAAGGTTTACATGAAAATTACAGATCACAAAATCAGAAATGAAACTATGTCTTTCATAGACGTATTTGGCAGGGGGAGGAACATGTATGTGGAAAAGACATATGTGTGGCATTTAATGATAATGAGGTATTAGGCAGCACTACCCACATGCTTTGGGTTGACATCAGAACAGACAGCCCTAATCCTCAGCACTGACCCTTTTTAAAGCACCTGCTATATTCAGGAATTATTTTATTTTAGATATATTCATGTTATTAATCCATTTAGTCCTCACAATCCTTCTATGAGGAAGGATTATTTTTACCTCCATTTTACAGAAACATTGAGAGTGCAGGTTTATTAACTTGCCCAAGTTCTGACAGCATGAATAGAGAGAGCTACAATGCAGAGTAGTGGGGTTCAGTCTAAGCAGTGGGATCCAAAGTCCTCATACTTAACCACTACTAGATCAGGTTATTTCACCCTCCCATCCCATTCAGGGCCTAAAGGGAGGCGAATAAGGCAGGTACAAAATTTAAAGGCACAAGAAAAACTCAGTAATCAAGAGAAATAATATTTTAATGAAAAATTTTAAAATACAAAATAATGCAAAAATCATGATGAGCGACTTTAAGTTTCTAAATAAAAGGGTTCCATGCGGAGCCATATTGGAAACTTGAAACAACAGGAAAATCAACAATGCTAATCCTCTTTTTATGAAAAATTTTAATATATTGTTCATCATAGATTTGTGTTAATTTTGACATTTTTAATGTATCTCATAAAATATAAATTTCTTGATTACTGAGATGTTTTTGTGCCCCCTTGAAATTGGCACCCAAAGTAAATGCCATATTCACCTCCTCTTAGTCCTGGCTCTGCCCATCTCTTCCTCCTATTTCTAGACATGGTAGGTGCAAGAACATCTTGAGGACAAAGCCCAGGTGTTGCTTAAAATCTTTTCCTGCTACAGAACTGCAACTGTGTTGGGTTTCCCTTCCCTTTACCCCCTTACTTTCTACTTTCCATTTTTAATTTTCTCTTTCTCTCACTATCTGTGTTCTCCCTCTCCTTCCTGCTACCTCACCTTATTTTTTTTTTGTCTTATAAACTCCTTCCCCTGCTTCTGAGATCTCTTAGATTTGTGCCTTCCAGTTTACAATGTAAATGACCTAAATATTACTGTGCTAGGTGAGGTCCTTCCACAATCAAGTCAAGGCAGCTTTTAGCATCGCAGGCTATTTCAACAGCAGTACCACAGTTATCTTTGCCATATTTGCTCCGTCAAGTTTGAGCTTTCTCTTCTCATGATCAAAGGAAGGAATCCAACCTTTTAAATATTTTACACTTCTGAATTAGTATATATTTGATCTGTTATCCATGTAATGAAGGATAATTTTATGAGCAAAATGGTCAGGCCAGGTATCCTAAGGAGACTGAGGCAGCTTTGGTCTGTGCTCACCTACAGTGTTTTTGGAGTAAATCTGAAACTGAATTCAATCACATTCTCCTTTCAGATTAATAATAGAACAACTTGCAACTTAGAACTAGAGGAAAAAAGATTCATTTTTAAAAGAGCAAAATAGACATGAAGCCTTATTTGATTATGAGATATTTTTGTCCTCTTTAAAGAAACAGATTCCCTGAACCCTCTAAATGTTCTCCCTTCTGCCACCAAAGGAACAAGTCCAGTCCAGCTTGCTGGAGTGGGCGAGACTTCATGAGCAGTCAAGTAACTCATCTCAGCTGAGGCCCCTGCAAGACCAACTGGTTCCCAGATGACCTAGGAATTGACCTCAGACACATGAGTCATCCTGCCACATTCAGCTGAGCATAACCCAAATTGATGACTCAAATTGTAAACCAAATACATGGATGTCAGTTTAAGCCATGAAGTTTTGGGGTGGTTTCTTGCTACACAGCATGAGCTAACTAATGCAGAAAATGTTTCATGAAAATGTTTGGAGTCTTCTATCATTTCAGAAGGAATTGAGCTGCTTTCCCAGCTGTGGGAAAACCATCAGTCTCTGGCTAATCAAGAGAGCCTCTGTGGGCTCCTTCTGAAAAATGCAAGAGGTTTTTCTAATGCAGTACACTTCTGGGATCCACTCTAATCATTGATAACCTCCTTTCTACAGCCACTTTTGTATGTGTAACAGACCTCACATTGCTTAGTCCAATAATCAGATTTTTTTTTCCCTAAATTTCCAGGGGTCCTGCAAGTAGTTGATATCAGTTTGAGGACTACACACCCCTCCTTTCCTAGAAACATCCCTAAGTAAAGCATCAACCACAGTCCTTGGAAAACCATGCTTTTAGAAGCTTTGATCAGTAGGCTGGCACTGTAGAACTCTTCCCAGTGTGTGGAATTGGCAAATTAAATCCTACATTTCTATTTCTTGCTGCTCTCCAAGCCTGATTCTATCATACCACATCCTTGCACAACCTTCAAAAACAAGGGCAGAGGTGAAAGACTAAATTCCAGGGGAAAAGAAAGAGGAAAGAAAAATAGCATCTATTGGGTTGGTTATATGCCATGCTTTTTCTATCTTATTTAAATCCTAAAATTATGAAATACTAAATATGCTAAATGATAAATATTCTCATGTATGTTTAACTCAAACTATCTGAAGAGACCTTCTGAGGTAAGTAACACTCTTCTCCATTTTACAGATTAAGAAATTGAGGCAGAGACAGTTTAGGTAATTTACCCCTTACAACAAGACAACATCTCAAGAGGGGACTGAGAGACTCTTTGGATGAGCAAATCAGCTCTGATAGAGAATCTGAAGTTTACGCTGGCAGAATATTTATGTAAAATGAAACTTAAAAAGTGGAGGAGATTGTTACCTTGAATTGGCATGCTAAAGTTTTAAAGTTTTATAATAAAGTTTTAAAGGGAGATTGAAGAAGTTTAATATATAAAAAATATAAAAGTTACTTTTTTCTGTTTCTTATTATTTTTGCAAATCTGATTTGTATTAAGTGTGTACAATTTAAAATACCATCCCACATCTCATCTCTCTCATGATAGGTAAGTAGGCAATGAGTTCTGGATTCACATAATAGTTATGTGTACTTTCTAAAGCGCATTTATCTTGCAACTGAGGTTTTCCCTTTTTTTTTTGACAGATATTTTGTTAGAAGAAGAATAAAGAAAAAAGTAACAAAAGGAATGATGTAAAATAGAAGCCTGTATAAACCACTAAAGACACCATTAGTCCCTGCCTGCCCAAGCGCTGGCTCTGTCATGCCCCTTCTCCTGGAAAGAACAGTCTTTTTCTAATACGCACTGGAATCAGTGCTAATCATCGCCATCCTCCTCTCTGCAGCTAGCTTCATATGTGTGCTCCCATGAAATTAACCACCCTCTTCCACGCATTCACATCCTGGTTCACTTTAGCATCCTTTCTGTTGTCCAGGTTTTTTTGTTTTGTTTTGTTTTTGGTAAATGCTCTATCCCATTTTATATTCTATAAAGTAATTATCCCTAATCCAACATTGTTTTTGTTTTTATAATTGCATATTACTTTTGTCAGAGAAACACTTCACCTCAAACTGGGTCCTATTTTGAAGAAAAATTTAAAAGCCTGCTGTTACAGGTTTCTGTCCTCTGCCTCTCTTAACTTGCCAGCTTTCACACTTTATCTTTTTCCTTTTGAACCCAGTATGATAGTTAGGTGCTTTAGCATTTGAATTCCAGCTACACGATTGTTATACTTGTGATAAGATTACATCAGCCGAGTCTCATTTTACCTATCCACAAAGTGGGAATATGATGATCAGAGTGCCAACAGCCCAGAATCACTGCGGGTGTCAAATACATTTAGGTTGTGTGGCCCAGTATCTGGCACTTACTAAACACATATTGAACACTGATTGTTCCTCTCATTCTCTTCCTTCTAGGTTTATACACAGGTCACTGTAGTTAGTAACTTTCAAGCATTTATCAGGATCCAGTAATCCTGACTGCTCCGCATCTGTTTTCCGTATGCTTCTGCGTCATCTTCAAAATTTCCCTCTGCCCACATCTATGAAATGATTCATAATAAATGAGGCTTGCAATTATTGAAATATTTGTATAGGTGTTCACAGCTTAAATATTGGACTCATTCTGGTTTTGCTTCTGCATCATAAGTTCAACTTTTCTTTCAAGTGTTTGCGTCCTAAGAGAAAGACGTTAACCCCATGAGGTAGAGAAGATGTGAGATCTGAGATGTGAAACAATGTGTGTGGCAGACCAAGTGCAACTACAGCACAGTTTGTCCCAAGTGGTTGATCCTAAAAGTATGCAAACTGGTTCTTTATGGAATGCCATTCTCACACATGAAGTGGATTAAATAACAGCTGGCAATGAAAACATCGATTTTACAGATGAGCTAATTAAGGGCTGGTTCTCTGTATCATAGACTTTATGTATCTTTTTGTATAAGATAAGGGTGAAAGGAAGGAGAAGGAAAGCAAAAATAGACCCATAGTTATGTGTAGGCCTTATCTGACCATATTTCAGGCATGGCTCAATGACCTGTTTTTGTATAAGAGATGTCTAAAAGCAAATTCTATAGACACAGAGACATTGCTTACATCCTCCTAATAATTATTACGAGATTTGGCTGTCTAACACAGACAAGGAGAATGTCCCTGGGTTATCTGATTGGAAACCGAGACTTAGAGAAGTTGAATAAATGGCCTAAGATCATCCAATGAGTATCAAACCCAGGATTAAGTTCAGATCTGTCTGAAACCAGAGTTCATGCTTTTGCAATTACAACACGAAGAAAACTGATAGAAGGCAAATTGTCTGGGGTGAAAACAAGAAGAATTGTTTGAGACAATGGGCCTATAAAGAGGCAAGTTTGTCTTGTCAGCTGACCACTTTGGTGTTTCACAAAGATATATCTAATTAGTGAGAAGATCATAAGTAAATTTTCAGTAAACAAGATTATACAACAAGGTATATTTTGAAAGGTACATTCTATTTAACTGTGCAAGGCAAAGATGGAACATTCTATTTTCTAATATCCCTTTTAAAAGTTGTGATATTGGAGGAGGGCTTTTGATTCAGAGTAAATCCACTTATTTTCCTCACATACATCGGCTATAATCTACATTTTACTCTATGGTGCTTATTACATTTATTCTGTAAATACATCCGTTTTACAGATATTGCCAAGGTATCATCTGGCAATGTAATTTAGCATACAATATACCACATCATTTAAAAATGCTGAGACTTATATGGACAATGCCAAAATGGAAAAAAAGGTAGGCATCAAATATACTTCTTAATCTAATTCTTACTAGCAAGACAATATGGTTGGTAACAGCAATGACAATATGCTGATAATAAAGAGAAAAATAGAGAAAGAAGAAAAGAATGAGAAAGGGGGAATAAATTAACAAAAGAAAAGGAAATTGTAAGTTAGTGGGAGCCTAGATAAAAACAATTACAAAATGGTCACAAAAAGCTCAGAAATATGAAAGTCTCCCAGGACCAAATGACTGTCTAGCCCCAATATCTAGGTTCTTCAGTATTTTATAAAATATACTTTTTTCTATTATTATAAAGAACCTGATCAGCAACTGAGAAATTAGCCAAAATTTAAACCAGTTTGGAACCCTTGAAAAAAGACCCAAAGAGGATGGGCTATGGTGAAATTCAAAACTGGGGTTAGCTCCTGTCTGCACCACTTAACTGCTGTGAGGTCTTTGTAAAGTTGTGTGTGTGTGTGTGTGTGTGTGTGTGTGTAAAGTGTGTATATATATATGATATATATCATATATATCATATATATATACATATATATGTATGTATGTATATATATATATACATATTATATATATATAATATACTGTGTGTGTGTGTATATATATATAATCATACACACACACACACGATCTAACATATATTTTCAGTGGTTTAATCAAATAGTCGATTTACATCATCTTGAGATGATAAAGTTTACCCTCTGTATCTTCTTCAACCACCATTCCCAGCACTGTGATTGCCCTCGTCATCAAGTCTTATTTATTACGATTGCTTTTTTAATGTCCCAGCAAGAAGAAGCGGAAGTATATCTAAACTATCAAGGCATGCACACTTTGAAACCACTGAAGTTTTAAATAAATATTGCCATTTTGCAGGTGCAAATGTATAAATCCCACATCTAAAAACTTTTTTTTCCAGATTATAGATGCATAAATCCTCAAAGGCATGGTATGTTCATAGCAGTATTTTGTTAATTGCTTGAAAATTTGAAAGTAGCCAAAGTGATCATCAATAGGAATATTGTTTAATAAATTTATATTATATTCATAATACAGAATAGGATGCAACTTGTAAAAGAAATGTACTAGCTTTGTGTGCTACTGATGCAGAAAAAAAATTTCTGTGAGGCCTGGTGTGGTGGCTCACATCTGTTTTCCCAGCACTTTGGGAGGCCGAGGTGGGAAGATCACCTGAGGCCAGAAGTTTGAGACCCACCTGGGCAACCTAGCAAGATCCCATCTCCACAAAAAATAAAATTAGCCAGGTATGGTGGCACAGCTTATAGTTCCAACTCTTCAGGAGGCTGAGGTAGGAGAATTGCTTGAGCCCAGGCATTTGAGGTTACAGTGGGCTATGATGATGCCACTCCTCTCCATCCTGGGTGACAGAGTGAGAAGGAAGGAAAGAAGGTGGGAAGGAAGGAAGGAAGAAAGGAAGGAAGGAAGGAAGGGAGGGAAGGAGGGAGGGAGGGAAGGAGGAAGGGAGGGAAGGAGGAAGGGAGGGAAGGAGGAAGGGAGGGAAGGAGGAGGGGAGGGAAGGAGGAGGGGAGGGAAGGAGGAGGGGAGGGAAGGAGGAAGGAAAGAAGGAAGGAAGGAAGAAAAGAAGGAAAGAAGGGAGGAAGGAAGGTGATGTATTTATGTGCCTGAAATAATGGGTGCTCAAAATATTGGCTATGATATATTCACTATTTCCTAAATAATAAGTTCGTATGCTGAGTAGAACAGTCTCCAAGGCATTGTTTACATCACAAAAGAAATGGAAGGGAAAAAAGAGAGACAATCTCTTGCCATTTATGCTGTCACCCCCCTCCCCCTTCATTTGGGGAGACAGTGTAAGCACAAGAAAAGACTTAAGAACAGTGCATTGTAACATCCCTATCAGTGTACTCAAAGGGTTTAAAATGAGAATTTGGAAATGAGTGACAAGAACTTGATAGCAGAGTAACAGCCACCGGGCTTAATTTAAGGATGGTTTCATGCATGGAAGAACTGAATCAGGATTTATATGAGGCAAATGGACATAAAACAATGTTATGTAAAACAAAATAAATCAGAGTAAAAGCACATAGTCAAGGAAGAATTGATGGAAGACATTCATAAATATTGCAATTTCGTGGGAGAAGAACAAGAGATGGGCTTGGAGGGATATGGAAAGTATCCAGTGCAGGAGCTGCTAAACTGAATAGGCAAAGAATGAGACCCAAAGAGGCAAACTTGGTAGTGTACGAGCAACCACTGTTCATTCTCAGCAGCAAGTGAATTATGGTATTGGCCCTCATTGTCTACCTGAAATCTATCTAATAACTGATAAAGGAATAGTACTGGGTATTCTATGATTCGTGGGTAAATTGACTAGTTTTTGTGATTTTTATAATGAATAATTTATTCAAAGTTGGAGAATTAAAAATAGATTTTAAACAATCTTGCTTTTCTTGAGACTGATAATAGTAATCAAGAGGAAAGGAAAATGTCAGTGAAGAAATACCAACTGGGGTTTAACTAAAGCACAGAACACTGGCATCTTCTGGCTGCGAAAACAAAAACCAATCATCAATAGAAATGAGTGGCTCATCTCAGCAGTCATTAGTAAACTGCATAAAATCAGATGTGCACTTGATGAAAAACCTCTGGCTACTGTGGAGAAATTGTTTTGTAGGTGGGGATACATAGAAACAGGAAAAAGCATGCTTTCAGGTAATTAATACAAGAGTTGACAGTTGCTTGACTAAGATGTTAATGATAGAATTTGAGAAGAATAATTGGATTCAAGATACTTTTAAGAGTAAAAACAAACATGAACACTTCAGCTTTACAAAAGAGGAAATTTGTATAACAAAATAATCAAAGGCTTATTGAGATCAGTGAAAGTGCTCAAAGTCACACAGCTAGTAAAGTGAAGATCTGGGATTTAATCTGTAGCTTATCTGTTTCCAAGGCCCTGGTCTTATGCAATACACAACTTCAGCTCCCCTACACAGTGGAAAGGACAGAAAAGTTCATGTCAACTCATACTTTCCATTTAGGCTTTGAAATTAAGAAAAAAAATAACAAGACTTCAAGTACTCACTGTTTTTCTAAGGAGCTGTAAAAGGCAGAACCCAGAATACACAAACAAAATAGCCCGTAATTTTAATAAAAATAAAGTTTCCCGAGAAGGTTTACAGGTGCCCATTTCTTTGAGATCTTTCTAATTAAAAATTAAATGTTTATTTTTAGTTGCTTTTTAATGCAGAAGATGCTATTTTTTTCTACACACTCCCAATTTTCAGAAAAGTAGCACTTATCGAGAGCCCACATTGGGCAGAAAAGTATACATGATATTAATAGAATACATGAATGTTATATGTACGTTAGAATACATCATATGATAGCCAAGGTCCATGGGCTCTATTCTGAAAGTCTGTCATCAAACAGGATGAGGGACCATAGGGAAACTGCTGTAAAAACCCGTATGTCAGAAACACATACACTGCACACACACACACACACCAGGAAAACCAGCTGTAGAAGTCAGCCTAGAAACCTGTGCTCTCCAAAAGGTAACCATTAGCTACTAGCTACTGAGTCCTTGAAATGTAGTGAGTACAAATTGAGATATGACAAAAGTGTAAAATACTCACCAGATTTTGAGGACTTAGTGTGATAAAAAATGTAAACTATTTATGAATTTTTACATTGATTACAATCTGAAATAATATTTTCAATATATTTGGTTAAATAAAATATATTATTAAAAAGAATTTAATCTGTTTCCTTTTACTTATTTTTTTAAATTTTAATTTAATTTAATTTAATTTGTTTTAGACAGAGTCTTGCTCTGTTGCCCAGGCTGGAGTGCAGTGGCACAATCTCAGCTCATTGCAACCTCCGCCTGCCAGGTTCAAGCGATTCTCTTGCCTCAGCCTCCCAAATAGCTAGGATTATAAGTGCCCGCCAACAGGCCCAGTTAATTTTTTTGTGTATTTTTAGTAGAGACAGGGTTTCACTATCTTGGTCAGGCTGGTCTCGAACTCCTGACCTCAGGTAATCAACTCGCCTCTGCCTCCCAATCCTTTTATTTTTTTATTGTGGCTAAAAGAAAAATGTCAATGACCTATGTGAATTGCATTTATAGGATCACCTTACATTTCAGTTGGACCACACTGTTCTAGACATATGTACTAGAGGCATTTTAGAGAGTGTTGCATTGTGAGGGGTAACAGACAACAGGTGGATGGGATGTATCTGGATGTGTCCAAGCTTGTATATCTTTCCTTAAACACGGTCTTTTCCAGCCACTGTCAAATTTTGAATTCAAATGAAACTCTCCCCCCAAAAATGTTGCAAAAGATTATTTGTCCATAAGTCCGCATTTTTGCACTGCTATTATTTCTCTACTTTCAGCAAAGCTCCGATGTTACCATAAAAGGTTTTAATTCGGATGCCAGCTCTGCATTCACATCAAATGACATTGTATTCTTTCTGTGATGTTTTAATAGGAAGAGAAATGTGCTGATGGGTACTATTAAAGATCTAGATAATCACCAAAATGCATTAGAAGGTAGCACTATAGGGTCTTGCCTTGGCCTAAGGCTATGAAAAAGCATGATACCATAGGTTTTGCCCTCAAGGGGCTCATTTGAAGAGAAAAGACAAAGATAAACATAAAAGGTGAAAATGCACAGCATCACATAGCATGACAAATGAAAAAATCACAGTGCAGTATGGGAATTAAAGATTGATGAGATGGTTGTGAGTTGATGAGAGTTAACTGTGAGAATTATGGAATAGAAGAATGGTGGTGGATGAATGCAAGAAAATATCACTGAGTATGTTTCCTTTCCACTGACTATGAGTTCTTTGGCAAAAGATTTAACTTTCTTGAGGATCGATTTCCTTACCAGCTTCTATAAACCAGTACAGTGTCTGACATTCAGCAATCTTTGTTGAATGAATATATGAATATGTCTAGAAAACTGAGATACTAATGCATGTATATCAAGGTTTTGGGGGTATTAACTTCAATGAGTGTGTAAAGTTTCAATCACAATGAATATGCTAGCTGTTTATTCAGCAAATAATATTGAACATGTATGGAGTTCCAAGAACTATTCTAGGCTGTGCCTATTAATTAGGCTTTGAAAAAAGAGTAGAGTTTAGGCTAACAGTGAGGAGGGAAAAGTCTTCCAGGCAGACAGAAAAGGTTGGAAAGACATCGAATGGATAAAGCCTTCATTACTTTCATATTCTAACTGGCTTCCTTGCTTCCAATCCTGAACACCTTTGGACATCTTTTGTACTTCTAGCAGGTATCTTTGCTGCTCTGTGCCATAGCCTTTCAGCCTTCCCTGGTTGTAGCTGCAGCTCTGGTGCACATTACAATGGAAGCTTATACTTACCTGGAGGTGACCCTTCTTCAAATACACTCTCCTCTCTTCTGCTTCCTGCCCAAGTGCCATTTCTGATGTCACAAGAGCCAATTTGACCATCCCATAATTGCATCCAGAAATACAGGGGAGTTAAGAATCACAGGAACATAATTCAACTAATGTGAAACTGAAAACAGAGGATAACTTTTCCAGCTTCCTGTCCTTTGAGTGGACAATTCAAGGTCATATCTGTACATTTCTCAAAGATTCAGGTAGGATCAAGTTCTTGTTCCCTGCCGCAGCAACCTCAATAACGCTCTCTCATTTTGCTTTTTCTCCTTCCCCATTGCACTCCCTTTACTCCCTTTCTCCTGCTTTCTGGGGTCACTTCCTAAATAAACTACTTTTACCCAAGTCATGTCTCAGGCATCACTTTGGAGGAAACCTAACTAAGAGGAAGAAGCCCAAACTAAGTTAGCATTACCAAGACATCATTCCTAAGATATAAAGGAGAGCCATCTTTAAGCAAAGCTCTGATCTCCCTCCAAGTCTCAACCCCCCAGGGGGGTCTCCATAATCTGCAGCCTCCCACACTTAATGGTTCAGCACCATCTTTGTTCCTTCATCCCTCTACCTTCACATTGTTCATAATCTGCTTTGCAGAGGAACTATTTAATTTAATGTGTGTTTTCCCCATTCAGTGGTACATTCAAGGGCAGGACTGTGCATATTCAAATTCATGACCCCAATCAACAACTAGCATACAGATTTGAACATTATAGGTGCTCAAACACTGCTGACATTGTTGTAAATACAATCTTTCATGATGCAGCATACACATCCTGAAATGAACAAGTCTCAGAAATATGGGATGATAGGATTCCAGAATAAATGGGTCATGGTTGCAATCATGATTGTAAAAAAACAGCTTTTCCATATGATACTAAATGACACACTTCTAATGAGGCAGAAAATAAATAATTTCTTAAGAAGAACTTACTGTATTTGGGGAAAAGAAAATGCTCACATGGGCCCCGAGGCTGTTAGACATTCTGAGACTCTGAGAAGAATAAAGTGTGGCAGAAAGGTTCTGGCCCAGAAAAAAAGGAAAACTTATTTTACTGTTCTGAAATAAGGGCACTACTGGATATCTATCCAGAGGAAAAGAAGTCATTATACAAAGTAGATACTTGCACACGCATTATTTATAGCAGCACAATTCACAGTTGCAAAAATGTGGAACCAACCCAAATGCCCATCAATAAACAAGTGGATAAAGAAACTGTGATATATAGGTGATGGAATACTACTCAGCCATAAAAGGAATGAATTAACGGCATTAGCAGCAACCTGGATGGGATTGGAGACTATTATTCTAAGGGAGGTAACTCAGGAATGGGAAACCAAACATCGTATGTTCTCGCTCGTAAGTGGGAGCTAAGCTATGAGGATGCAAAGGCATAAGAATGACACAATGGACTTTGAGGACTCAGGGGGGAAGGGTAGGAAGGGGGTGAGGGATAACAGACTACAAATTGGATTCAGTGGTTCAGTGTATATTGCGCAGGTGATGGGTGCACAAAAATCTCACAAATCACCACTGAAGAACTTACCAAACACCATCTGGTCCCAAAAAACCTATGGAAATGACGAATTAAAAAAAACTGAGATAAAATAAACAATAGAAATAAATAAAAATAAATAGGAGATGAAATAGAGAGGACACTGTTGAAGAGATAAGAAGGGCATGCAAGCTGATAGAACACTGTGTGGTGTGAATGTGATTTATATATCTGACCTCTCGAATATTTTGACAAAAAGTATTTTAAAGTCTCTAAAATCTTAGAGTGATTTCATTTCTTGTGGAAATAGGTAACAGAGTGATTATCGTTGTTGGTCCTGCCTGGTGTGGAATATAGCCCCTGTGTTTATAATCCCCTTCTTTATGTGCTAGGTTTTAACATACACGAACACACACACACATTAAATATATAAATATATACTTATAAACACACACACAGTGGGTCCTCGTTATTTATGAATTCCATATTTGCAAATTTATTTATTCCTAAAATATGTGTGCAAGCCCCAAATCGATACCTATTGTGTTTTCACAGCCATTCATAGACATGTAAAAAGAGGCTGTAAAAAGACTGAGCCTCCAGTCGCACATTCCCAGCTGAGGTCAAGCAAGGCGATTCTCTGCCCTCTTGTTTTACCTATCATACTGCAAACGAGTGGGGTTTTCTTGCACTCTATTTTGTGCCACATTTTCTTTACCTTTTTGTTATTTCTGTTGGTGATTTTCCTCTTTTTTTTTTTTCTTTTTTTTTTTTCTTTTGAGACAGAGTAGAGTCTTGCTCTGTCTCCCAGGCTGGAGTGCAGTGGTGCAATCTCGGCTCACTGCAGCCTCCGTCTCCCGCGTTCAAACGATTCTCCTGCCTCAGCCTCCCGAGTAGCTGGGACTACAGATGTGCACCACTACGCCTGGATAAATTTTGTATTTTTAGTAGAGACGGGGTTTCACCACGTTAGCCAGGATGGTCTCGATCTCCTAATCTCATGAGCCACCTGTCTCGGCCTCCCAAAGTGCTGGGAGGTTTTGCTTTTTAAAATGGTCCCCAAACATGGTGCTGCAGTGCTGTCCTAATCTTAAGGCTGTGATGTGTCTTTCAGAGAAAATACATGTTAAATAAGCTTCATTCAAGCATAAGCTACAGTGTTATTCAATCTTAACCAAAAATATATATTAAATGAGCATCTTTAAACAAAAGTACACATAAAACAAGGTTATGTATTACTCAGTTAATGAAAATATTATGATCAGCATTTCACAGAAACTGAATTTTGTATTTCCCTTAGGAGCAATGGCTCAGTAATCCTGTGTTCACAGCAACTATAAAGAACATAAATATAACACATAATGAGAGTAGGTGCTCTCTCTCTGGGTGCGTGTGTGTGTGTGTGTCTGTGTACATACAGATAAATAGATATCTATACCTATCTATCTGTATATCTATACCCATAATATATAGAGGGATATATAAAGATATATACGTATATACATCCTTCTCTCTGTGCATGTATGTTTGTGTGTATGTAGATAGATATCATCTATCTATACCTATATATCAGTAGTTTATATATGTATATATAAAGCTATATCTATATATATCTATAGCTATATAGATGTAACTATCTAAATTTAAATATATAACATAACTTGGTATAAGTTTGTTTTTTTCTCTTGGATTTATACTCTAAAGTGGAACTGCTGAGTCATAATGAATGTGAAAATTTGACTTTATAAAACAATGTTGAATTGATTTTCAAAGTGGTTATATCAATGTATATGCCCATAGCAATTTATCTAGTTGTAATTTTGAAGCTCATCCTTCAAAATGTTTATTTTTTTTTAATTTTCAAACAAGTAAATTTTCTACTCATTCAAAATTTATGACTATGTTACAAAGAAATGTGAAAGCTTATAATACTGCCTTTAGTAAATTTAGAAAGCTAATAACCTTTTTATATGAAAGAAAATTAAAATTAGAAAAATCAGAGAACACATAGAACCCACGGTTCCATGGAAGAATGTCAGAAGTTCCTGAATTGCATGCAAAATTTGTAGCAAATGTATATTATTCTGGGAGTTCTTTAAATTCTCAAAGACTTTCATGACCCAGAAAATGTTGAGAATCATGGCAAAAGAATACATTGAAAGACAATTGTGCTAGAATTTTGTAATAAGCTATTTTAGAAGAAAAAATATTCCTTAACTTCCTAGAAATTATACCCAAGGAAGAGGCACGGCTTGTTACATAGTTTTCACAGGACAAAATAAAACACACTGTCCTTCATCTTAATAATTAAGCCTTGCTCAGGGTCTGATCTAAAAATCACGTGTACTTTTTATAACTTATACTTCAGTTGAGCCTTGAGGAATAGCGTAAATTTAAAAAACAGCCATCAACAAGGTACCAAGTAAAACTCCTGACTTGGTAAAATGGAAAATTACCTATACAAAGAAGAGAGAAGATGGAGTGGGCAAGAGGCAAAAATTGTAAGGTGATTCTAGCTAAGGAGTGTGAAGGAAGAAGAGAATTATTAATACACAGCACATTTTTTCATCCAGGGTTAGGTAACTGGTAAAGGAGGGCCTCATTCGGTGGGGACTGTGTTTTGCTAGGAAAAGCAGCTACATTTGACCACCCTGGGAGAAGCTTATAAAACTCTTCCAAGCTAGTAAAGGAAAAGATCCAGACAATTAAAACAGGAAGTCCCAGCTGCGGAAGATCTCCATTGGTATTCATGCATACACCAGATACATAATGAACAACAGAAGAATGGAAGTGAGGATGGCCTAGGAACCCTTCTATGGGAAGGAAAGAGCAGGTGGCCCCCATCAGGAAGCGTCTGGTATTTTGTGTTCTTAAAACCCATCAAACTGCTGAGAGGCTATTTGCTCTTAAAATAAAAAATAAAAAATGGTGTTTTGTCCTTATCGACAGGATAGTAGGCATTTCCACTGGGATTTAGATACTTTTTTAGTGACTCAGGTTTTTGTGATACATGGTTGATAAAATTTTATGCAGAAGCTTTTTATCTAGTTTTCTTATTTCCTTACCCATGTGGGTTGAACAAAGAGTTCCCCTTAAAATGTTGCCTGTTATTACCTGGAGTAGTTTAGTAAAATTTTAAATTGGGTAAAACTTTAAGAAATGTGATTGTGGGGGATATCAATTGTTATGGAAATATAAGGATAAAATAATATGGAGAGGTCATCACTCAACTTAAGCAATATCCTTTTATAGAAAAAACTTTATTATCAGACTACCTGACAAGAAAAAAAAACATCTATAGTTGCATGTCCCGCAACATTACTAATATGTTTTATTGGTCAGATTTAATCTGTCTCTGCATCTTAGACCTCCAGTCTTCTAGCGTATTGTGTGGTCTTTCTGTTGGGCATTTCTGGATCTCACTGTACAATAGGTTATACCAACTTCCCCTGATTCTAGAACTCTATTTCTGCACACACACAGAAAGAAAGCACCACATTTAATTAGAGAAGCAGGACTGAAAAACCACCTACATGGTCCAAGTAATTAAGTGATCGTTAAATACCCTCTGGCTCCATGATTCCAAGATTTAAAACTGGAGGTGAAGAGAAGAAATACAATTTTCAAAAGATTGATTTGGTACATAACTTCTGGTAAGATTGTTTACCATCTGATAGCAATCAATTTGATAATAATGCTACAATGGCTTCTAATATGAGTTGACATGTCAAATTACCAAGTGTTACTAGTTTAAACCCAAGAGTATGTTAAAAAATAATATTCTATGATATGTATTAGGGTATGATCACATAGTAGGAAAAGATTTATCAAAATTACGGAGGAAAAATTGATAAAGTAGAATATATTAAAATGAAAATCTTTTTTTTTCATCAAGACACATGACAGGGACATCAGTAGGAATGGTAGAATAAGGAAATCCAAATATGTGCTCCTCCATTAAAGCAATGAGAATGCATGCAAAAATTACCAAAATCAACTTTTTCAAAACTCTAGAAACTAACCAAAGACTTGTAACAAGCTAGACAGCATTTATTCCAGAAAAGTGGCTGAGTCCTGGTAAGAATAGAAAGCGGTCTGGCATTTTAATTTACCCTATTCCAATACCTTATTCCCTAATTCCACAGGTGTTTTAAATACTAGCAGCCCCACAGTCATGGTGATAACCAGTACTTTAACAATCACTAGATGGGCAGAACACATTTGAACCTCCCCAATAGCAGCATTTAGAGAATTGTCATTATTCGACCTGTCTAAAAGTTTGCTAGAAACCCTGACTCCCATAAACTGTCTTTTTTGTATCTCTTTATTTTTCATTCAGTGTGAACAGCCTTTCAGATGAAAATATTTGTCAAATTATTTAACATTGCACCTGTGTGCACGACCTGTGTTCATGTCCAGAACCATAAAGGCAATGGCTCTTACTTCTGACAGTATTTACAAATGCAGGAAGTAAGGGCTAAGGCAGAATTATGAACTACCTGCCTGAGCATTGAAGGTGTGCCCCAACATGCACACAGAGCATCTCAGCAATAGTTGAGAGACTTACTGGTTCCAGGCATTTAAGGAAATATCTGTCCAGTCATTAACTGACCAGTAGGCTAGCAAAGCAGAGGCTTCATGGGCAATATATAGTAAAGAATAAAGACTTTGCAACATTAGTTCAGGACCGTAACCAAACAAATAAATGCAACAGCAACAATAATAATGAGCACAGTAACAGCAGCGCCAAAACCAAAAACAAACAGTGACAACATCAAGCCCTAAGGAGGACTGAATTATTTTTAGGGTTGCTATGTTATATTACTTAAAATGTCCAGTTTTCAATAACAAAAAATGAGACATGCAAAAACAAAAAGAGTATGCTCTTTGCACAGTAGATCCTGTCCCTGAAGAAGCCAAGACTTTCGACTTACTAGACAAAAATTTCTAAATTAGCTATTTTAAATATGTTCAAAGAACTAAAGAAAGACATATCTAAAAAAAAGATCAAATGGAAATGATGTCTCACCAAATAAAGAATATCAATAAAGAGGTAGAAATTATAGAAAATAATCAAACAAAAACCTGGATTGAAGAATACAATAGCTGTAATGAAAAATCCACTAGAGAGGTTCAACAGCAGATTTGAGCTGGCAGAATAAATTACCAGATAACTGAAAGATTAGCCAATTGAGATCATTTAGTCTGGGAACAAAAAGAAAAAAGATGAAGTTAACAGAGTCTCAGAGACCTATGGAACACAATCAAGCATGCCAACTCATAAATTTATATATACAGTATGATTCTCAGAAGTAGACGAGAGAGAAATGGGCAAAAGACTATTTGGAGAAATGATTATCAAAAAATTTCCAAACTTAAAAAACACATTAACCTGTACATCTAAGAAGCTCAACAAATTTCAAATGGGATAAACACAAAGAGATTCAAATCTAGACACATGATAACCGAACTGTCAAAGCTAAAGTCAAAGAAAAAAATTTAAAAGCAGCAAGAGAAAAGTGACTTATAATAACAAATACTCAATAAAATAGGTGCCTCTCTGTCCCACAACTTCAAGGAATTGGATTCTGCTACCAACCACATAAACTTGAAAGGGAAACCTGAGATCCAGAAAAGAAATGCAGTTTAGCCAATGCTTTGCTTTCAGACTTAGGAGACCACAAACGAAAGACAAAACTAATGTATGTTCAGACTCTTGAACCATGGAAACTGCAAGATAATACACTTACATTGTTTCAAATTGCTATGTTTGTGTTAATTTGCTACTACCATTAGAAAGCAAAGGCGTGTAGAAGTTTAAGAGGGAAGTGAAAGGGAGCTATATTGAGAAAAAATGCCCAGGGTAGAAACGTTGGTCTCTGGGGTATTGTCACTATACTGTTTCTTAACCTTGGTGATTAATGCAGGTATTCATTTTACATCCATACGTTAAATATATTTGTTAAATGTGTTTCGTGACTCTAAGTAACTAGGTCATATCTCTTAATTTAAAAATATATTTAAGTACTTTAAACATGTATGCAGTAAAATGTATGATAATGGGTCAGCAATTTCAGTTCAAGCAACCAAAAAGCTTACGCTTGTTAAACTAAGTAGAAATGCATAACAAGTTGAAATTAATTGACAGTTCAGAGAGAAATTTAAGAGTATATACACCCCATAGCCATGAACCAAAACCAAAAAGATAGATACAAAAATAAAGTTTCAAAAAAAGGGAAAGAAAACAATATGACAATTAAGGTTCATGCTCCCAGTAAAGCCAACTCCTTCTTAATCATTGGCATGGATTTTCACTTATCACTCTTCTGGACTCACACAGCAGTAATCATTCAGAAAATAGTGCCTTTTGAAGCGCATGTTGAAGCAGAAGATTTTTATCACAGCAAAAAAAAAAAAAAAAAAAAAAAAAGATTCTAACCCAATGTCCATATTGTGAACATATGATAAATTTAGAAAATTTAGAGCAATTGAAACATCAAAATAAAAGTGAATGGCAGGTGTGTACTTTTTTGTATTTTAGTGTCTCTACCTGTGCATAGGCTTACCCCCAACTTCCTCCATATCTCATTTGTAGACCTAGTGATTCCTTTCCTTTCCATACTGCCATTTCAAAATCATCAGCACTTCAGCACAATCAGTGATTTGGCATCTACCATGGTCTGAATGTATCCTTAAAAATTTATGTGTTGGAAACTTAACCCCAATGCAACAGTACTGTGAGTTAGGGCCTTTTGGGAGATGTTAAGTCCTGAGGGCTCCACCAAATCAGCGAAGTAGTGCCATTTTAAAAGGGCTTGACAGAGGGAGTTTGGCTCCTTTTTACTGCATCTGTCATGTGAAGACACAGCCTTCCTCCACTCTGGAAGACGCAGCAATGAGGGGCCACCTTGGAAGCAAAGAGCAGCCCTCACCAGAAAACTGACCTGCTGACACCTTGATCTTGTACTTCCCAGCCTCTAGAACTGTGAAAAAAAATAAATACCTGTTTATTATAAATTACTGTCTTAGGTATTTTGTTATAGTGACATTAACAGACTAAGACAGTATTCAGGTTTTATTTACTTGAACATTTACTGAGCATCTCTCATGTGCCAGGCACTGTGCTTCGTAGAAGTTTCAAAGATGAAACAGACATGACTCATTCCCTGAGGTGCTGCTATTCTAAAGAGGAGGGGCACCATAACAGATCATTTAAATATTTATGAAAGAGGCCAGGCGGACTGACTGACTTAGTAACTCATCCTTTGGTTATATTATTGACCTAATATTTAAACAAGAATAATTTTGTAAATGAAATTATTTAATACTTGATGCCTAACCATGCAATAGAGGGTTTTCCACATACATCTTTCAACTCCAAATAATTTAAAGTAGGAAATGTGTGTTTAGAGCCTTGTACTTGTCTTTTCAGTGTTTTTTTATTTCTCTCAAATAGTATCCCTTCTCATACATCTTGTAACCTTAGCAAAGAGTCCTGAAAAAGTGCTGATAGAAATTAAGGACTTGAGGAGTCACCACTAACCTAAGTATTTATGCATATAAATAGGAAATACACCTTAAAAGTTATTTTGAGGAAATAAAACCTGTTATAACAATGGCTTGACAAGTGTAGAAGTGAAATTTTTGAGCTATATAGTTTAATAATTTATTTCTAACAAATGCTACTTGCCTGGTAGCATTTTAGGCTCTGGATATCCGAAATAAATGAGGTATAGTACCTACTCTCCAAGTGTTACAAATGGGTAATTCAGCCTTAAGATAAAAGTGAGTATCGAGTGCCTTGAGAGTTTAAAACAAGGGCCCTTCAGCACAGCTTGTGGATACAAGGTGAAAGGGACAGAAAGAAGGAAGGATTTGAGGCACAAGACAATGAACATAGAAATGTTAATTAGAAAATCACTAAAATAAACATCCATGCATGAATAAAAGTGCTAAATAAAAGGGCAGTAATGGAGACAAAAGGCACAGCATGGAAGGAGAATTCCCAGCGATTCTTCTAACAAGTTATAACTGGAGTCTCAACTTGGACCAGCTTCTTCCACCATAAGGCAATTATATCTTTGGTGTTTATTACCTTACCAGAATGTAGAGATAGATGGAAAGGACCTTAATTATATTTCACTAGTTGGTGACCATTCAACTTGCCACTTGCCTTATTCAATCACACAGTCAACATTTATTGACTGCAAACTTTATGCCACATACTTTCCTAGGACCTGCAGATACAAGGCATTTGAATTGTATTAAGTCAAGGGATCATTTTTTAAAATAGTCAGTGTGAAATTTTGTCTCTTATTCTAATTAATAGTGATCTGAAACTTACAGCTTTGGGAATTTCAACTGTTACTCAGCTGCCACCTCAGGTCACTCTTATCTTTGCAACTTAAATAAGATGGGTTTCAATGCCCTCTCCTAAGCCTAGCACACTTACAGGGATTTACCTAACTTTAATTTCGTTATCTTGTTGATTTCTTCCTCTCTACTTGTTTGTCACCATCTAGAGACTTTTTTGTTTCAGTCAGTCCATGACCAATTCAAATGTAGAGTATAGTTCTTTTGAATGATGTTTCCATAACACTTTTCATATAAGTTTATGTTGCAGGTCGGACTCAACACTTTGTACAATAGAGCCCACATATAAAACATCACATAAAAAACATAAAATACTAAACTCTTCTGGTAGTCCCTTAGAAAGTAACAACCTATTCCAAAATTAAGTGGCTTAAGAGAACCATCGTATTGGCTTATAATATTTTAGGCCAAAAATTGAGGAAGCATTGACGGTTCATCTCTGACCAACATGGAGTCCACTGAGCAGCTGGGGATGAAAAATCTTCTTCCAAGATGGTTTCTTCACTCAAATATCCAGTCCCTTTATGCTCTTTGACCTCTCTATCCACAAAGTCACACCTCCCAGGGCCTCTTCACAATGCTTGAGCTTCACATAGCAAGGTGATCTCAAGGTAGTTGCACTTCTTATGTAGTGATTGTTTTCTGTGGGGAAACTGAACTTAATATTACCCTACTCAGGACTGCTGAAGGAAGTGATGAATTACAGGTGCTACATATACTGCCAGGGGAAATCTTTGGCAATACTGATACAGAATTGTGAAGAACACATCAAAGTAAGCCTGATAAAGAATTAAGGAAAACAGGACATCAGAGTAAAATCAACATAACTACTGATGCAAATTGAGTGTCTGCTGCCTATTTACTAAAAGTAGGATAATGTCCAACAATGATAAAGCTTTAATTCCATATAAATACAGCTGAAAATCCACTACATCTCATAGGCACTGGCTGTTTACTTGCCTGCATTCAAGGTATTCTTTTTACTCAATAAAGAAATCAGCTAATTGTATATTTATAAATTGGCATCTTCCTCTTGGTCTTGACTTCTGTCCCCCCATACCACCCCTCACTGAAAATGCTTTCAAGAGACAGGAAACAGACATTGTTAGGCTACATAGCGGCTATGCTGGAACTTGCTCCACTTCAGTCATAGAAGATTGATAGAGTTGCTGTAGAGCAAATGAGGGAAGAGATATTCTTGCAGCTATATTAGGAAGTCTATCTTCCACATAGAGATCCATTCTTATGAATTTGCCAGTCACGCTTGCCTCTGAAATTACCCTCTGATTGATATTTCTGCTCAAGTCCTCAACATCATTGTTCAGCCCTCCTCACCCTATTACTTTTCCTCTCTAATACGGTTTGGCTTTATGTCTCCATCCAAATCTTGTATTGAATTGTAATCTCATAACCCCCATGTGTCGTGGGAGAAACCTGGTGGGAGGTAACTGAATCATGGGGGCTGTTTCTGCCATGCTGTTCTCATGATAGTGAGTTCTCACGAGAGCTGATGGTTTTATAAGTGTCTGGGATTTCCCCTGCTGGTACCCATTCTCTCTCCTGCTACCCTTTGAAGAGGTGCCTTCCACAGTGATTCTAACTTTCCTAAGGCCTCCCCAGCCATGTGGAATTGTGAGCCAATTAAACCTCCTTTCTTTGTAAATTACCCAGTCTTGGATATTTCTTCATAACACTGTGAAAATGGGCTAATACAGTAAATTGTTAGCAGGAGTGGGATGCTGCTATAAAGATACCCAAAAATGCGGAAGCGACTTTGGAATTGGGTAACAGGCAGAGGTGTGAAGAGTTTGGAGGGCTCAGAAGAAGATAAGAAAATGTGGAAAAGTTTGGAACTTCCTAGAGACTTGTTAAATGTCTTTGACCAAGATGCTTACAGTGACATGGACAATGAAGTCCAGGCTGAGGTGGTCTCAGATGGAGATGGGGAATTTGTTGGAAACTGGAGTAAAAGTAACTCTTGCTATGCTTTAATGTTGTTATGCTTTAGCAAAGAGACTGGCAGCATTTTGTCTCTGCCCCAGAGACCTGTGGAACTTTGAACTTGAGAGACATGATTTAGGGTATCTGGCACAAGAAATTTCTAAGCAGCAAAGTGTTCAAGAGCAAGTAGAGCATACAAGTTTGGAAAATTGGCAGCCTGACTGTGTGAAAGAAAAGATAAATCCATTTTCTGGGGAGAAATTCAAGCAGCCTGCAGAAATTTGCATAAGTAATGAGGAGCCAAATGTTAATCAGCAAGACAATGGAGAAAATGCCCTCAGGGCATGTCAGAGATCTTTGTGGCAGCCCCTCCCATCACAGGCCCAGAAGATTAGGAGAGAAAAATGTTTTTTTGGGCTGGGCCCAGGGGCCCCCACTGCTCTATGCAGCCTTGGGACATGGTTCCCTGCATCCCAGCTGCTTCATGTTCCATGCATCCCGCGATGGCTAAAATGGACCAGGGTACAGCTTGGACCATTGCTTCAGAGGGTGCAAGCCCCAAGCCTTGGTGGCTTTCATGTGGTGTTGAGCCTGTGGGTACACAGATGTCAAGAATTAAGGTTTGGGAACCTC
This sequence comes from Homo sapiens, assembly GCF_000001405.40. Taxonomy (NCBI): domain Eukaryota; kingdom Metazoa; phylum Chordata; class Mammalia; order Primates; family Hominidae; genus Homo; species Homo sapiens. The sequence continues at coordinate 121,219,353 of NC_000008.11, read as the reverse complement.
CATCTAGATTTCAGAGGATGTATGGAAATGCCCTGTTATCCAGGCAGAAGTTTGCTGCAGAGGCGGAGCCCTCGTGGAGAACCTCTGCTAGGGCAGTGCAAAAGGGAAATGTGGGGTTGGAGCCCCCCACCACAGTCCCCACTGGGGCACTGCCTAGTGGAGCTGGGAGAAGATGGCCACCATCCTCCAGACCCCAGAATGGTAGATCCACCAGCATCTTGCACCATGCCTGGAAAAGCCACAGAAACCCAATGCCAGCTTGTGAAATCAGCCAGCAGGGGTGCTGTACCCTGCAAAGCCATAGGGTCAGAGCTGCCCAAGGCAATAGGAGCTCATCTCTTGCATCAGCATGACCTGATTTTGAGACATGAGGCAAAGGAGATCATTCTGGAACTTTAAGATTTATGACTATTGGATTTTGGACTTAAATGGGGCCTGTGGCCCCTTTGTTTTGACCAATTTCTTCCATTTTTGGTGAGTGTATTTACCCAATGCCTGTACCCCCAGTGTATCTAGAAAGTAACTAGCTTGCCTTTGATTTTACAGGCTCATAGGCAGAAGGGACGTTCCTTGTCTCAGATGAGACTTTGGATTTGGCCTTTGGGTTAATGTTGGAATGAGTTAAGACTTTGGGGGACTGTTGGAAGGGCATAATTGTGTTTTGAAATGTGAAGACATGAGATATGGGAGGGGAGAGGGGGATAATGATATGGTTTAACTTTGTGTCCCCACTCAAATCTCATCTTGAATTTTAATCCCATAATCACCACCTGTCATGAAAGAGACCCAGTGGGAAGTCATTGAATCATGGGGGTGGTTCCCACCAGGCTATTCTAGTGATAGTGAGTGAGTTCTCATGAGATCTGATGGTTTTTTTAAGTGTCTAGGATTTCTCCTGCTAGTGCCCATTCTCTCTCCTGATGCCCTGTGAAGAGGTGCCTTCTGCCATGATTGTAAGTTTCTTGAGACCTCCCCAGCCATGCAGAACTGTGAGTCAATTAAACCTCTTTTCTTTATAAATTATCCAGTCTCAGGTATTTCTTCACAGCAGCGTGAGAATGGACTAATACACTCACCTACTCTATTTCCTCCAATCTCAAAATTATTGTACCTTTCTTGGACAGGTTTGTTTCACTGATTGATGAATGAACTGATGTTCTCATCTGCTTCATTGAATTATCTCTGCTATTTCCAGAAAGCCTTATCTTTATAAGCACATCTATTAAATTGTGTTTAAAACAAAGACAATTGTCCTTCTGAATGAAAATCTGCACTAGATATTAAAATACAATTTCCATCTTTGCTACATTTAAATTTCTTATAGTAACCAAAAATACAAAAACCCAGCTTCAAGTTTTTGGTCTTTTTGTAATTTGTTTTTTATTAGTATGTAAAGTTTATTAAATACCTTTTACTTTATTCTTTAAATATAAGAAAAACTATTTTTGATTACTGAGAATTCAAATCAAAGTCTAAATTGTCTTTGTTCCTTTTTCTCTCTTCCATCTCCAAGCCTAAATTTACTAAAAAGTTCTCCATGTATAGCTAAAAGCTAAATTCTGCAGAGAGAAAAGCAGACCTGAAGTTTGTATACTTGGGGCAAAGCTGTTATCAGCTTTTGCTGTTTTCAATCTATACCACAGTTAAGAATGGGGCAATTATGCAGAGTAAGTTTTCCTTTCAAAGTTAAAACACAAAAGAAGCCCTTGCCAAGAATTATTAATGTCTTAAGTAAAGTTTATCATAGCCAAAGCAATTCTAAAGAATAAATCTACCAAAAATAGAAAAGTGTGTATGTAGTTATGTAGAAATGGTGGGGGTGGGGCTGAAAGAAGAAGGTGAAGGACTCGCTTTCTTATAAGGTACAGAAAAAAATTAATATTTTATTGGATAAAAGAAAATACAGCTGTAATAATAAATAAATCCTCTTTTGAAAAATAAGCTTAAGTGAAAAGGGAACATAGAGGTCAGAAATAAAAACCCAAGTTTAAATCAGAAAATAATGGTATTGAAAGAGCCCTGGGCTTGGATTAGAGTATGGGAATCAATGGCATGAAGATGGAACATAAGAAGGTTATTTTACAGAACCACTCCTCTAAAAGGTGGTACAAATATATAAATTATATGTTGCTTACAAGGAAGCTTATTAATGACAATATCTCCAAATTAATTTATATAATGTTCAGTATAAATATTTTCTTTGTGTTTTGGCATTTAAAACGTATGACACTTTAAATATAAACATTTAAAGTAGAGCAACATTTTTCAATGCTGATTTTTCCTTCTTTCATTTTTTAATGTTAATCAAATCATCCCAGACCTCTGATACTGCTGCCACTTAGTAACTGTGCAAACTTGGGAAACACATTAAGTTTCTTTGCATCCCACTTTTATTTTACAGAAGAGAGAATAACAATACCTGCCTTACCTAAGTCACAGGGTTGTTGTGAAATCTTACGTGTAAATCATAAAGAACAGCAGAGAGGCAAGGATCTGCTCTTGTTTGAAAGTATCCCCAAAGTCCATGTGTCTGAAATTCAATGTCATATTGTTGAGAGGTGGGACCTTTAAGAGGTCATGAGAGGTCTGACCTCATGAATGGATTAATGCCATTATTTTGGGAGTGGGTTAGTTACCCCACAAGAAGTTTTCTAATAAAAGGATTATTTTGGTCCCTCTGCCCTCCTCTCTCTCTCTCTCTCTCTCTCTCTCTCTCTCTCTTGCATGCCCTCTCACCACCTGGTGCCTTCTGCCATGTTCTGATGCAGGAATAAGGCCCTCACCAGATGCGGTGCCTCAATCTTGGACTTCCCAGCTTCCAGAACCATGAGCCAAATAAACTTCTATTGTTTATAAATTACCCAGTCTGTGGTTTTCTGATATAGCAGCAAAAACAAACAAACAAAACAAAACAAGAAACAAAAAACAAAACAAAAAACAGACTCAGACAGGGGTCCTGATGTGATTGTTAGAATTGTTAGAAAAAAAATACAGTCAACTTTTAAGTGTAATTTTTGTAGTAATTCAAGTTGTTTGTTTAGGAAATGCTGAAGCCAGAGTTAGAACTGAGTTTTCTATCATTATCAGAAAAGCTCACATTTCAGAGACCTTTGGCTTCAAAATCACCTCCAAATCAAATGCTGAGCATGGCTCTCCAGGTATCTCTCTCCAAAAGGCCTTTCAAGAAAGTTTTGCTGAAAATGAAATTTTTAGTTAATTGATTTGCTTCTCCAGTGACGTTGATAGTGAGTATATGTTCACACACTCACACTACATAAGAATAAAAAATTAGTAAAAACAACAAGATTTATTAGCTGCAATATTATTCTAAACCTAAGGATGTTACAAGGTTGAGTTTCCCAGGGAGTAGACTCTGAGGGGGAGGTTTGCTTGCAGGAGTATTTTGAGGCACCTTCAGGATTAGCACCTGCAGGGAAGTTAAGAAGTCAGAATTCAGGAGAAAGAAGTTGAACTGTGATGAACTTGTAGCAAAGACTCAGAAAATCATGCAGAGTCCTAGACCTGGAATGGACCTTCATAGTTGTTTCAAATTGAGGTGAGGGGCACAGCTTTCATATCCCCATATCAAGTTGTCCCAGGCTCTCCCAGCGAAGGGGGTAACCTTGAGCAATGCAGCTTTTTAACACCAAGGACAAGTGCCGGAGAGGGACTCAGCTTAGAGATATGTTACCAACACTCTTGAGATGAGAAATTTAGTCCTTCAGTTTTAAAGTGTGATCTAGGTGAACACCACAGAATTCACACCTTATGCTATTCAGCTCCACATACATCAGGTCTGGGATCGGTGTTATTGTTCCTGGAGGAAGTTTACAAGAAGATGGTCAATGGAATGAACACTAGGTTTCACCAATGAAGCTAGTTTTGAAGCTATAACTAATATTCACCATACTCCTCTCTTGTTACCCATTCAAGATTCCTTCACCTTCAGCTGACAACTCTGTTAGCCTCAATGGCTTACCTGTTAAAGCAATTCAGAGCTTCATCTCTGAGGCATTGGTATGTCCTTCTCGAGTTTTGGTTGCTAAACTTGTTCAGTTACTATCAAAATTGAGTAAAAAATTACCAAGAGATGCCCAAATGGATCACCCGAGTGCCAAACATATTATTTACTTTCATGTAAGAGCAGTCCTTCCTCCTCTTGATAATCAGAATCACTTACCAGGTTGGTGAGTCCTTTCTTTGTATGCCAGTATCATGGCACAAGAAACTTAAAGTGATTGAACACTAGTTGCTGAAGCTTGAGCTTTAATGGGAGTTTTCTTGCATTCCCTGGTGGAAGCTTTCTCCCTCTGGAAACCAAGGCATCTAAGCCCACAAAGCCCAGAGTTTTCAGAATGAGAAGCACAATTTCCCTAAGTGGGTCACTTGGAATGATAATTAAACAGGCTACTGTTACATTCACTGCTTAGTTCTAGGACCTATGTATTCTATCATTTGGGGGACATAGAATCATACATGGTTGCTGACTTGGGGTATATAAAGAATTCCTAAAATATTCTCTCCAAGCTGGTGCCTCAGATGTTCATTCAGCAGGCTGCACCATTGCTAAAAAGACAGACAACTCCTATGAGAAGTGGAATGTGATAGAACTAATGGATCCCATGGAGATAAACTGATGTCAAATCTACTGTGCTGTGAGGTTGGTCACTTCATCTGATGTTATATAAAATCACATGTCAATGGGTCAAATACTCTGTGAGTCCTCTAATCATGGTGCTAGCTGAGCCCTACTGGCAGGAAAGACAAACACAAACTCCAAAGAGCATGGATTAACAAAGTTAAAGGGGTCTTACATATGGTCAATTCTCCACCGATGGGCTGGTTGGTTTGTTTAGTAGATGATACCGTATTTGAGGCTCAGAGTTGATCTCTGCTGCTAGCAGTCTGGAATTCGTTAAAGGCAGTAGTAAGATCAGACTTGATCATGGAAAACCATGCAATCTGGCCAGTGCACACTCTCCATCCCTGCTGCCCAGCCTACTCTGTTCCATGTGCACAATGTGCCAGTAGCAGAGTGGTTGACATTAACTGGGTCAATCAGTCTACTTGGTTACTTAGTGTCTCTCCTATGGTGGATCTTCTCTTATCAGGATTAATAAGCAGTAGAAAATCCAGCACAATTCATGCCCATGCCCAATAGGTTATCCAAATGCTTCTTGTCTAGAACTCCTTGTCCCAATCTTATACTCTTTCCAGTACCCTGATTAACCAGCCAAACAATTTTCACCGTCCATGTGTCTGTGTTATTATTACCTCAGGCTACCTCTCTTTCCACAGAAAATAGACATCCAGGTTCACTTCTCAAAGTCCTGGCCACTGGGATGATTTTCCCTGAAAATTTTATTCAGTGCCACTTCTAAGTGGGCAATAATGCACCACAGTTCATTTTCAGTTTGCGCCTATACACTGAACTGATCTATCTATAGCCTAAGCTTGTTTTTTTCCCTCTTGCTTGTGCCTTCTAGCCCTATTCTTGTCTAAACCCATCTGTATTACTTCCATCTTAGAATGGATTACTGCTGGCCCCACTCATTATTACGATATGGTGAATTTGCCTGAACCCTGATCATGGTGGGCAGTTCTGGTTGTATGATCATTTGATGTTCCACGGCCAGTCATTCTGTATTTACCAGGGTCCAGTATCGAAACAGAAAGTGTTCTCAGAAAGTTATCATACTTATTCAATATTGACAGCATAGTCTTACTATAAAACTACAATTTTACTTTAGGATGAAGGGTTATCTGTCACCGATGATGTATTTCCCAGCCCTTAGGGCCTCTATAAACACTCCAAAGCAAACTAAAAAGCCACATTTAACAACTTGTTTCACGTAGGTGCTTGACAACATTAAGGTGAAGGGATAGATCTTAGGAGCCCTTACTGGTATAGCAAATACTTATCCAAGTTTAATGTAGTATGGGCTGAAAGGAACAGATGAAATTTTTGCAGTTTTCCATGACCCTTTTCCTTCAAATCATTCTGAAAATCTAAAATAAAATGTTTATATAGTATTATCAGAACCCTCTAGGGATTTCAGATTCTAAAAGACATTATCTACTTTACCTAAGCCTTTAAACTTGGAGAGGGCACAAAAACACAAATCAATCAAGTAATTATGTTCAATATAAGAGAAAGTAAAAGATAACAAAATCAAGTCCAAGTCAGAACCAGGACAGATATTGTTCCTGACTTCTCTTTTTTCTCCTTAAGAATATAAAAAACGGCTGGGCACCGTAGCTCACGCCTGTAATCCCAGCACTTTGGGAGGCCAAGGTGGGCGGATCACGAGGTCAGGAGATTGAGACCATCCTGGCTAATATAGTGAAACGCCGTCTCTACTAAAAATACAAAAAATTAGCTGGGCATGGTGGCACGCACCTGTAGTTCCAGCTACTTGGGAGGCTGAGGCAGGAGAATTGCTTGAATCCAGGAGGCGGAGGTTGCAGTGAGCTGAGATCACACCACTGCACTCCAGCCTGGGTGACAGAGTGAGACTCAGTCTCCAATAAATAAATAAATTAATTAAATAAACAAAATAAAATAATATAAAAAACATACATACATTTCCTTCATTGTCTTTATTAAAGGGCTCTTTTACTTTCATTTAACACTGAATAAGGAAACCATTTCTGTTCTGTTTATTTAAAATGAAGCATTTCTAACCGAAATAAGTGACGTTATTCTCCTCTAATAGGAAATGCAATTTGTGCTTACTAAAGGTACAGCATATCTTAAAAATGTAATATAGCAGAAGCCTAAATGAGTACTTGGAGGAAATGTAGACTATTGTTTAAACAGGAATTACATATAATATTGTATTATAGAACTCAGGACTGAGGAGCAAACCTTTTAAGGGGAAGGGATTTTCCTGTTCTTAAAGAAACATGGATGTTATTAGAGAAGTCTGAACTCTGCAGACTTCAGTTCACTGTAGCAAAAAGGCGCTGTGAAAGATGAAATCATCTGCTTTATATTATGAGCAGGCAGGCCAGTTGAAAAGGAACATTGAGTATGCAATGTGGTAGATATTAGCAAACACTTAAGAGAAACCACAAAAAAAAAACAAAAAAAAAAACAACCTCATGCATTGGCCTGGAGTAAGCCTTCAACATCTGCTCAGGCCCTTCAGTGTCTACACTGCTGAGAACATAAGTCAGTTTGTTGGTCATTCTTCTGAACTTGGAGCCAGATGAGCAAATCCAAGCCATTTTACGGTAAAATCATTCAAATCATTTCAGTATGTTACAAGACTTTTGCCTTTTCCTCGAGCTTCAAAAAGAATTAGGCGGCATTTGTAACACCTCACACATTCCAAGGAAATGATTGGATCCGATTGTGAAAGTTTTCAAGTTCTGATAAATTTTTTAATGTATAATTTATATTGAGCATCTAACTTAAAATAATGTCTTGCTGCAGAGCCATGGTGCTAAGTACAGTATGCTTACTGTACTTAGCATAAAAATATGCTATTTTTATGTTTATTATTTTATTTATGCTATTTGCTAATATTTATTATTATATGGTTCTCGTCCTTTGACAGCTTCATCTAAAAGGAGTACATTCACCAATAATCTTAAACTAATAATCACCAATAATCAGATTCACCAATAATCTTAAGACTCACGAGTAATCTTAAACTAATATTTAAGATTAATAGAAGGGTATGTAGAGATGATCACACAATAAGAGGAATTCCATTACATTAAAATTTTCCACAAGCACTTTTAAAATATATATACTTATAAGCTCCTGCATAGCAAAATAAATAATCATTGGAGTAAACAGACAACCCACAGAATGGAAGGAAGTATTTGCAACCTGTGCATCCAGCAAAGGACTTATATCCAGAATCTACAAGGAACTCAAATAAATCAGCAAGAAAAAAAAAGCAAATAATCCTGTCAAAAAGTGGGCACGTGATATGGATAGACATTTCTCAAAAGAAGATATACAAGGGGCCCATAAACATATGAAAAAAATGCTCAGCATTGCTAATCATCAGAGAAATGCAAATTAAATCCACAGTGAGATGCCAACTTACTCAGTCAGAATGGCCATTATTAAAAAGTCAAAAAAACAATAGATGTTGGCATGGGTGTGGCGAAAAGGGAATGCTTATACACTACTGGTGGGAATGTAAATTAGTACAATCTCTATGAAAAACAGTATAGAGATTTTTCTTAAAGGACTAAAAGTAAATCTACCATTTGATCCAGCAATCCTGCTACTGGGTATTTATCCAAAGGAAAATAAGTCATTATATATTTTAAAAACCCTGCATGCATATGTTTATTGTAGCAGAATTCATAATTTCAAAGATAGGGAACCAACCTAAGTGCCCATTGACCAGTGATTGGATAAAGAATATGTGATATACATGCACCATGGAATACTATGCAGCCATAAAAAAGAATAAAACAATGTTTTTTACAGCAACTTGGATGAAGCCAGAGGCCATTATGCTAAGTGAAGTAACTCAGGAATGGAAAACCAAATAACATTTGTTGTCACTTCTAAATGGATCTAAGCTATGGGTACACAAAGGCATACAGAGTGATATAATGGATTTGGGAGACTCAAAAGGGAGGAGGATGAGAGGAGGATGAGGGATAAAACACTACATATCAGGTACAAAGTACTCTACTCGGGTGACAGGAGCACTAAAATCTCAGTCTTCACCACTATACAATTCATCCATGTAGCCAAAAACCACCTGTATCTCAAAAGCTATTGAAATAAAAATGTATATTAAAAATATAATTTTATATATATGTATATATATTTAAATTTGTGAAGTTAAAAACAATGGAGCAGGTATTTGGATTATTTTACTGCAGTTAAATACATTTTCTTGCTATCCATGAAATATCTTTTTATACATAGTCTTATTTCTAATCATCTTTATTAGAGTATCTTTATAAGCAGGGGTGGAAGTGAATACCATCCTCTCAGAGCAGAATTAATCTTACTCTCAGAAGCAAATTATTTTATGGCAAACCTAGAATGTTTAGCATATGCCCAATGGCCTCAGACTTTTCCTGTTAGGGTTTTTGCCTATCAGTTTAGAGTTTTGCCTATTATATTGGTGCTACCTGGGTAGGAGAAAAAAGGGGCTGGGGAGAAGGGCTTTGAAGAAATGTTAAGTTGACTCACAAATGCTCTTCTATGTTTTCCTGAAATTCTGAGATGTTGAGTAAGATTTTTCTCTCTTGAGAGTTAAGAATTGCCCAGAGATGTAAAATTCTCTTCTTTGCTAAACAAAAGGACAATTCAAAGAGGTCCTGAGGGCAGACTTTCAAGAATGCCAAGCATAAGATAATTTTCTCAAGTATCTTTTATTCTGATATAAGGATGAAAAAAGTGAATGTTGGAGAAGTTAGGTGAACTGCAATGATCATGTACTTATTAAGTGCAGGATCTAAGATTTAAAGTAGAATAGTCCCATTGCTATGAATCCTGCCTCCTTCCCTCCTTACAATGTTACATTAAAGCAAATCAAGACTGGTAAGTGTCTGGCATTCAATCATCTAGGTTCTGTGTGTGTGTGTGTGTGTGTGTGTGTGTGTGTGGGTGTGTGTGTTTTCCCTTTTACTTCCAGTAGAAAAGTCTCAAATAGAAAAGGTCATAAAGAAGTCAAAATCTCGCTAGAATCAAAACTACAACCACTCTCCTTCAGTACATGTAGCTAGCCAATGTATGACATTACCTTCTAGACTAGTATTTCTTTTTTCCTTAAACATATAAGATAGAATTTCAATGGGTTATATTACACATGCTATAAGTAATAACTGCAAATGGGAGTTTAATAGCTAATTTTTGAGCCAATTTTTGCAATGGCATTTTTTTCTTTTCTGTAGTCTATGACCATTTTTGTACCCTAATTTGGTTTACAAGCAAATTGTACATTCAAGTGATTTCAGTTAGCATAAGCATGTAGGTAGTTAAGAGTCATTTTAAATTTATTTCCTGCTGTTTGCCTTTTGAAGAGACTTCCCTGAGCTGTTTCCTGTGCCCTCCTTCTAAAATTTCATCCTTTCAGGAAACCTTGATTAAACTCAGAAGTGAAGCGTTTTCCTTAAAAACCTGGGCACCAAGCTGAGTTTTCTGACTCAATATAAATATAAGAATGACTCCTTCTTCAGTGACTTATTGCACATACAATATGATTTTAAAATGGAAGGAAGGAAGAAAGGAGGGAAGGAAGGAAGGGAGGGAGGGAGGGAGGGAGGGGAGGGAAGGAAGGAAGGGAGGGAGGGAGGGAGGGAGGGGAAGGAAGGAGGGAGAAGGATTTAAGCTTTTTCACCAACTCACTGTGTGAGCCTGAACTCTTTTCGCTTCTCTGATTTTCTGTCTATATAATACGTAAGATGGAGTTAATAATTCAATTTTCATAAACTTGTTGAGAGGATAATAAGAAATTAATTATATAAATTAATTGTAGAGTTCAGTTTCTTGCACAGAATAAACTCTCAATAAATTATGTAGTATAGCATTATTAGAGACCTATTGATAATGTGACTGCAATGAATTTCTCATTTACTAAGTAGAACTGACTTCAGAGAACACATTTGGCTCCTATCTGGATCCTCCAGGTGATGGGGTAGTTCTTCATCCAAAAAACAGACTGACCTTCCCTTCTCTCCAACTCATACATTATGATTTTTGGAAGAAATATTGCTTAGCAGATCAAACTCAAACTTCCATTCCCCAATGGAGAGACATAGGGAGTGGTGAGAACAGGAGAAACAAAGAGTAGACATATGGCCAAGCTATCATCAAGTTTGTGAATGAATATTCAAATAAATGATTACTAAACAAAATCAACCCAACCAAATGAATATATTTTCACATATGTTTAAGTTGAGTTTCAAATAATTTTTTCAGCCACTGAGCTTTTATTTCAAATACATAATTTCAAATAATAAGTGACATTTATCAATAAATTGTTTTTTTATTAGGTTTGAGTTATTTATTTATATTAACTCATTTAATCTGTACAACAACTCTTTGAGATAGGTAATAATATTGTTACCCATATACATAGGGGGGTTTACAGCCCATGAAGGGTATGTGATTCGTCTAATTTATACATCTCATAAGTGGTGGAGCCAACATTTGGATTGGGTATTCTGGGTCCAGAACAAATGCCTTAACCAACGGGATATAGTTTGTATAATTTTCAAGATAATTAGAGAGAATGGAACAGAAGACAAAAGAATGACGAATATCTGAAAGCTTGTCTGTGCAGCGATTTTTATTAAGATAAATTCTAAGTGAATATCATAATAAAGTATTTTATGAAAATGAGAATTTGTTTTGCTATAGGAAACTTTCATGATCATTTCATTGAAACAGGCTATTTTAAAGACAAGGAGAGAGGCTGAAAGAGGCTAGTTGACTTGACAAAGTTTACCCAAAGAATCAGCCTCAAACTTTCTCCCCCAACCAGGCTGGTATGCCTTCAAAGGAAGTAACATACCTCAAAAGCAAATTTAAGATTCACTTGTGTGGGAATGGTAATAAAAATAAGAATAGCAGAATCAATAATAATAATTCATCTGACAGCATGGAAGTCACAATATTCCTGTTTCACTTACAATACCTCAAATTTATTACTGAGTGTCAAGGATATGAGAGACTAGTTTGGTTATGTCACCTTGTCCTAGGCCAAGATGGAATTGCTCTCTATAGAGTATTCTTGGAAAGCATAGAAGAAAAGTTATTGTAGCAGAATCATCTGCTAAAGCAAATGTACCTAGAGCCAGATATTGGATCAGGGCCACTGCTATACAAACTGAGTCAGAATCTATTAAAATGGCAATGGAAGAACATAAATTAGACTGTTAGACCTTGTCCATACCTTGGGGAATAAACTGAACATACACTGCAGCTGTTTTCATGGAATGGGTATAAAGTGTTATACCTGTGTTTTCACCAAAAAATACAAAAGTGCTAACTAATTCAATAGTTAAGAAATAAAGCCCTTGCAGAATCTTTCCAATTGTTCTGATATGTTTGCCCATTATTTTAGATATTTTAAAGAATTCTCCAATAATATAACCTCAGTTTGGGATATAACAAATTGTTGAATTGAATTAAATGAAGAGAAAAATTCCAGTGGTTTGGAATCATTTCCTTCTTATTTTAACATTTCCTAATACCTTCAGACCAAATTTGGCAGTGAATTTCTAAAATAAATGAATTTCCAGAAAGTTATATCCAGCAAGATTCAAGCATGTCTTACCCATGGATAGAGCATGAATTTCTAGGTTTGGCCTAACCCCTTATCAACTGAGTTACCTGAAGAAAGAAACCAAACCCTCCTAAGCCTCAGTTTCCATCCCTGTAAAATTATAATAAATTAAAAATTATCCCCAGAGTTCTTGAAGATAGAATAATATGGAATAGAATAAGATGGAATAATAATGAAAGTGCTTAGTCCAATGCCTGGCACACCATAAGAACTCTTACATTATATTACATCAGCTAAGTGGCTTTTCTAGTTGATCATACTTTCCCTTTGGATCTACAAACTATTTCACTCTATGTACAAAACAATCTTAACTCCCTTGTGCTTATACTTTGAGACTTATTTTTAAAGAGGTGGTATGCTGGTGTAAAGATAGTTTTGAATTAAAGTGAAATACTGGGCTCTACTCGGGGAGCTGTCACCAGACAGAGGATTTGATGAGTTATTTTGCTTTTCTTGGTCTCTGATTTCCTCATATTTAGAATAGAAATCATGCCATTGCAAATATCTTTTGGAAAGTTACATTAAATAAGAAAAATCAAACCAGTGGTAAAATCTGTAACCTGTGACCGACAAAGACTAAGGACTCTAACACAAATGAGGGAGACTACAGTCATCTAATTATCCACAGTTTCTAAACCACTTGGTCCAGTAACCAAAGACTCATGGTTAGCTGGTGTTAAGTATGCAATGAGTGGACATGGTACATAGGAATTCTAACTGGACTGCATGAGAACTTAATTATGATTCTTGAAAACTTCTTTAGAAGTTTACTAAACCAATGGAAACATGGTAAGATGTAGAGAAATGGGCATGGCAGGCATCTCTTGGCAATTCTACCACTCTGTAAAGGAAGGGGCACACATACGATCCTAACCTAAATATTCTTAAAGCTATTGCAACATATCTGAGGTCTGCGCAATATAATGAATTGAGCATGAGATCCAAAATTCCAGATTCAAGATTCAAGAACCAGTTCCCACATTCTGAATTGTGGAAATAAATAATATTTACTCAGAGTGTTGCTATGAAGATTAATAGGAAGAGCACATATAAAGCAGCTGATTAAGTTACAGCTTTTAAAAGACAGTCAGTTCATGTTAGTCTCCTTCCTTTACTAAGCAGGACTTCTCCTTTGAGAGCTGCTGATTCTCACCATCCAAGTTTATGGAAAAGTAAAACTTATTAGACCTCGGGATAAAATGTAATGCTCTAAATTAACTTAATTTGGTTGCAAGAAAATTTCAGGGCTGAAAATTATACATTTTTGGCCTTCATCTAATGGTTCATAAGCAGAGAGAGATTGTTGCTTGTTAGTTATAAAAATGATTAAACTTCTTTGGATGTTATATACAAGATTTAAGCATTAGATAGTTTAGCTGGATGCTCTGCATATCCGGAGGCTCTGTCATCTCATTTTTCCATCCTTGAGCCCTCGTGATAAATAACACTTTTCCAACCCTGATACCCAATTAATACTCCAGCAACTCAATATAGGACAAGTTTCCCAATAATACTACAGTACACGCACATACAGACACACACGTGTGCACACACCACATATTGCTCCATCTTCTCCTCATACTGTGCTTGTAGTGAGGGAAAGGCACGATTATCTTTCATCTTCATTTTGCTTATTTATTAATTGATGTCACATTCAATTCTGTCTCTTCTGTTTGGAGGTTTTTCCAAAATTATCCACATATTTATTTTTTAATGACTAATTTAATGCAAATCAGTCTTTCCTAATTGATCAAAACAGTAGTAGTATTACTAACTTGTCCAATGATCTTTTGTTCATCTTTGAATTCTATCTAATGTTTAGTATAATACCCGGGATATACTGTATTCAGAATATGTATTTGTTGAATTAATTTAATTATAGACTCATTAGAACTGGAAGGGATTTAAGGATCATTTAACCCAATCTTCCAGTCATTGATTGACAACTGTGTTTTAGAGCTGTACCACCCAATATGGTAGCCATTAACAACATACAGCTATTAAGCACTTGAAATTTGGCTAATGGGATTGAGAAAATAACTTTTAGTTTTGTTGAATTTTAATTAATTTTAATTTTAATGTAAAAATAAATCCTTTCACTATCGCAAAAGTTTTAAGCATTTCTGGAACAATATGACTATCAGAATCTACTTTTTCAACTGTGAACCTTATAACATTAGATACAGATCAAATATTTGGATAAAATTTAGCATCCTAATTGATATGTGTTGTAAGTGTAAAACAAAGGTTGGATTTTGAAGATTTAGTACAATAAATGGGTAGAATATATCATTAAAATGTTCATACTGGTAACTTGTTGAAATAATATTTTAGAGATTATTGGTTAAATAATATATTATTAAAATTAATCTATTTTTACCTTCTTACATGTGGCTACTGGAAATTTAAAATTTTATATGGGCTAGCATCATATGTCTATTGGAAATACTGGGTAGAATATCCCAAGCAGAAATTCACTCATCCTGGGCTTCCTCCAGTGAGTAATTTAATAATGATGTGAATAGCTTATTTCATAAAATGGCTGTATTTGTTGAAAAGATTTTTACATTTAAGGAGTTGCAATTATTTTCATTCTTCTACCCATGGTTTCTATTTTCGTATCTGAAGAGAAAAATCTAAGATAAGAATTTCCTGTTCCATGTGTCAGCCCTCCAGAAACTGAAAGAGTAATAACAGCAATAATAAAGGTAATACTAAGTATTTATCATATGCCAGGCACTGGACTAGATGCTTGACATAAATTACTGCATTCGAGCTTTGAGATAGCTGTGAGATCACCCCCATTTTATGGATGAAGAAACCGAGGCTGAGAGGAAATAAGCGATTTCATAGGAGAAGTGCTTAGCATGCTACCTGGCATATAATAGACACTTAATATGAGTTGACACTATTATTGTCACTCCTTCTGCTGCTTTTTTATAGCAATAAAGATTTTTTATTAATACATAATACTTGTACATATTTATGGGGTACATGTGATATTTTGATACATGCATACTGTAATGATGAAATCAGGGTTATAGGGATATTTATTACCTCAAACATTTATCTTTTCTTTTTGTCGGGAACATTCCAGTTCTTCTCTTCTAGCTATTTTGACTTGTACATTATTGTTAACTCTAGTCACGCTATGTACTATTGAATATTATATCTTATTTCTTCTATCTAAATGTATTTTTATGCTTATTAACCATCCTGTCTTCTTCCCCACCAACGGTCTACTCTTCCCAGCCTCTGGTAACCACTAATCCACTCTCTATCTCCATGAGATCTACTCTTTAGTTCCCACACATGAGTGAGAATATGTGGTATTTGTCTTTCCATGTCTGGTTTATTTTACTTAACATATGACCTGCAGGTCCATCAATGTTGCTGCACATTAAAGGAGCCCATTCCTTTTTTATGGCTGAATGGTATTCCATTGTGTGTGTGTGTGTGTGTGTGTGTTCTTTATCCATATGTGTGTGTTTGTGTGTGTGTGTATTTTATCCATTCATGTTCTTTATCCAATCACCTGCATTCATCTGTTGACAGATGCTTAGATTGGCTTCATGTCTTGGCTATTGTGAATAGTGCTGCAATAAACATGGGAGTGTAGATATCTCTTTGATATACTAATTTTCTTTTTTTTTTTTTTTTTGATATATACCCGGCAGTGGGACTGCAGGATCATATGGTAGTTCCACTTGTAGTCTTTTGAGGAAACTCCATACTGTTTTCCATACTGGCTATAAAAATTTACATTCCCATCAACAGTGTATGAGCATTCCCATTTCTGAGCATTCTTCACAGCATCCATCATTTTTTTTCTTTTTGATGAAAGCCATTTCAGCTGGGGTGAGATGACATCTCACTGTGGCTTTGATTTGCTCCTTCCCGATAATCAGTGATGTTGAACATTTTTTCGTATACCTGTTGGCCATTTGCATGTCCTCTTTTGACAAATGTCTACTAGATCCTTTCCCACTGTTCAATCAAATTATGTGTTTCCTTGCTATTGAGTTTTCAGAGTTTCCCATATATTCTGGTTATTAGTCCGTTGTGGGAGAGATATTAACAGTTGACAAATGTTTTCTTCCATTTCATAGGCTGTCTCCTCACTTGGTCGATTGGTCCTTTGCTGTGCAAAAGCCCTTTTTAAAATTTTAATTCACGTATAATAATTGTACACATTCCTTCTATTTGTAGAACTGAGAGAGAGAAGGAGTCCTTTTCCCCTGGGTTCCCGATGAGGCATGAATTTCCTTGCATTTCTAGGTTTCCCATATGAGCACAAGCAAGCCTAAAAGTACTCTACTTAGTTCCATGGGGAAGAAAGCTGAGGGACACATTATGGACATGAGTCAAGGTGCTGTTGCGTTTTGGCTGCAAGAGTTTGGCTCAAGTCTGTATCAGGTTAGTTGCCACAGAGGTAGCTGGGGCTAGAACAATTGGCCAAAAGCTCAGCAGACTAGTGGGGCTGAAAAGATCTGAAGTGTGAAAAAGGTGTCTGATTCAAACAGGCAACTCATTGGGTAGAACATCAAGCACAAATTGCAGTAATTTAGAAACATCCTTATGATGCTCCTATTGGCAGTATTATATTGAGAATATGGCTTGATTCCTAATATTACTTTTAAGCTACCATATAACTTTATTTTTTTATAACTATGACTCATTTTCTATTTTCTAAATCAGAAACTATATTTTTTAAATTACAGGCTGATTGAACAAGTGAGATTTTGTTATATTGCCTTCAATCACGAAAAACTTTCCCATTGAGGAGATGGCCATTTGTGGATCAATTGGATATAATCATAAAAAAGACAAAATGAAAGAGCTTAACATTTAATAACTTGACACATATGTATGGAAGAATCAAATGACAGTTTTGGTTAAGGTTCCACAAGGGTCATTCAGCATATGAATTTATGAACTCCATCTCAGTGTACTAGTCAAAATGGAATTTAATTTATCAGAACATATGTGGGTCAATGACACGAATAAAGAAAGAAAATAAACATGACATATTAGCAGGCATTTTTAGAAGAAAGCATTGTACCTACAATGAGTTGACAAAATGGGGACCTGGGTAAATAATTTAGCTTTGTAAAAAGTTGAGCGATTGATTACATAAAGAGATATATGGAGACACAAATGTGTGTGTGTATATACATATATACACACGCAGGCACACACACACACACGTATACACATATACATATATGTATATGTGTATGTATATACACATACACGTATATACACATATATGTATATGTACGTATATGTATATGTGTATGTATATACATATGTACGTATGCATACGTGTATGTATACGTGTGCGTATACACATATGCATACGTGTATGTATACGTGTGCGTATACACATATGCATACGTGTATGTATACGTGTGCGTATACACATATGCACGTATACGTGTGCGTATACACATATGCACGTATACGTGTGCGTATACACATATGCATGTATACGTGTATGTATACCTGTGCGTATACACATGTATGTATACGTGTATGTATACGTGCGCGTATACACATGTATGTATACGTGTATGTATACGTGTGCGTATACACATGTATGTATACGTGTATGTATACGTGTGCGTATACACGTATGTATACGTGTATGTATACGTGTGCGTATACACGTATGCGTATACGTGTATGTATACGTGTGCGTATACACGTATGTGTACGTGTATGTATACGTGTGCGTATACACATATGTGTGTGTACGTGTATGTATACGTGTGCGTACACACATATGTGTGTGTAAGTGTGCGTATACGTGTACGTACACACATATGTGTGTATACGTGTGCGTATACGCGTACGTACACACGTGTGTATACGTGTGCGTATACGCGTACGTACACACGTGTGTATACGTGTGCGTATACGCGTACGTACACACGTGTGTATACGTGTGCGTATACGCGTACGTATACACATATGTGTGTATACGTGTATGTATACGTATATTTGTATGTATACGTATATGTATATACGTATGTGTATATGTATGTGTATGTGTATGTGTGTACATATACATATATGTATGTATGTGTATGTGTGTACATATACATATATGTATGTATGTGTATGTGTGTACATATACATATATGTATGTATGTGTATGTGTGTACATATACATATATGTATGTATGTGTATGTGTGTACATATACATATATGTATGTATGTGTATGTGTACATATACATATATGTGTGTGTATGTATGTGTGTATGTATACGCATATTTGTATATGTGTATGTATATGTATATGTGTATGTATATGTGTATGTATACGTATATGTTTATGTATATACATACACGTGTGTGTTTGTGTGTGTATATAATATATAAATATATAGCTACCACATAATGAGCACTTACTATGTACCAGATAGTGTGCACTTGATTTTTTTTAAAAAAAATGCTATTTTGTTTCATGACAACCCATTAGGTTGGTCTCATTATTGTGCCTTGTTTACAGACAAGAAAACTGACTAACAAGTTATAAATAATTTCCAAAAATCCGTGAGTAATAAGTGGTGAAGTCAAAATTTAAAAGAGCTATTTCAGCCTCCAAAGTCCCCGCACTTAAATGGACTTAAATGCCATGTGTTGACTCTTTGAAATAGAAAATGATAATAGTTACTATTAGCTGAACACTTTACCAAGCCAGGAACTGGGCTAGAAATTTTGTGCATACTAGTTCTAAATCTTAGAGATGGATTTTTAAATCTCTAAATTACAGACAGGCAAACTAAGCCTCAGAGAGGCTAAATAACTAATAAAATAAATATAATAATAGTGAAAATAATCTTCCATCTGAGGAACCACACAGGCAATTTACAGAGGGCATGCAAAACTGGTGAGGTATTTATAGATGTCTGCTGCTGTTGGCAGGCTAAGACCAAGAACCACATGAACAGACATTGGCGTGCACACTTCGACTTGTAAAATATTTACATCCACATGAGTGATTATAGATGGCAACCAAACTACTGAGAAAATTTAATCCTTCTTATGTGACAAAATGAAATCCCTAAAATATTCCTGTAACTTTAGGATAATTATATGATTGTACAATCACAAATGAAAGTAACTGGAGGAATTGCATGTTCAGAGTTGGTTTTTCTGAAAATCTAGAAGACTATTTTGCACATTAGTAATGGGCTTGGAGCTGAGTGTGGTGGGTCATGCCTCGTAATCCCAGCATTTTGGGGAAGCTGAGGAAGGAGGATTTCTTGAGCCCAGGAGTTCAGGACCAGCCTGGGCAACATGGAGAGATACTGTCTCTACAAAATTTTTTTTAAAAATTAGCCAGGTGTAGTGGCACACACTTGTAGTCCCAGCTCCTCACAAGGCTGAGGTAGGAGGATCCCTTGAGCCTGTAAGGTTGAGACTGTACCACTGCACTCCAATGAGAGAGAGAGAGATCCAGTCTCAAAAAGAAATAAATAAATAAATTTTAAAAGAAATAATTGGTGGCCAGGCGTGGTGGCTTACACCTGTAATCCCAGCACTTTGGGAGGCCGAGGCGGGTGGATTATGAGGTCAAGAGATCAAGACCATCCTGGCCAACATGGTGAAACTCTGTCTCTACTAAAAATACAAAAAAATAGCCGGGCGTGGTGGTGGGCGCCTGCAGTCCCAGCTACTCGAAGGCTGAGGCAGGAGAATCACTTGAACCCAGGAGGTGGAGGTTGCAGTGAGCTGGGATTGTGCCACTGCACTCCAGCCCGGCGACAGAGCAAAACTCCGTCTCAAAAAAAAAAAAAAAAAAAAGAAAGAAAGAAAGAAAAGAAGTAATTGGCTTGGCTTGGCTTGGGCTGGTACATTATATTTTTGAAAAGGAAGGGAATTTCTACTTCTCCAGCGGGTACTTATGCTATAGGAATTAAAGTTAAAGAAAAATAGAACACATTTCTGATTCAATGCTTTGCTATCTTGCATTCTATCTAATTTAAATATTAGAAGGAAAATACAGCAAACGTGTTGTAGAGCCTCTGACTGGTCCATAGATTTGGCTGCAAAATAAAATAAAATTATACCTTCCATGTGTACTATGGCATTGTTCCAATCATTATTCTGCAGTATTAGCAGAGGTCTGCTGTTAGAAACCAACGGGACAGGCATTGCTTTGCAAAAATTCCAGGCAGTACCTGTATGGTCCTTAGCCTAAAGGACACAATACATTGGTAGATACTAGGTCACTTGATAGTGCTAAGTGTATTCATTTGGGGGGGTTAAAAAATAGACTAAAAGTATATATAGTGTCAAAAACAGTAGTTTATTTCTTGCTCATGATACAGTAGTAGGCAGGCAAAAAGATCAGAGGAATTTCCCTTCTTTACGCGGTAATTCAGGGACACAGGCTGATTAATCTGCCATTTTCAACAAATGGCTTCCAGGGTCGCCTTGAAGATTTTATCCATTCTGATCAGCCAGAAGGGAAAGAGAGCATGAAAAAATGTACATCTAAGGTGCAGGCCTAGAAAATACACTTTTCACTTCTGCTCACATTTTGTGGGCTAGAACTCAGTCACAAGGCCACATGAAGCTACAAGGAGGGTGGAAAATGTAATCTACCTGTGTGCCTAAGAAAAAAGGAAAAACATGGATTTGTGTGAAAAGCTTGAAGTTACCTCCAAATTGTGTATCTCCAGTTGTCATCTGTTGTGAGTGTTCTATTTCACACATAAAAAACACACCCTTCCCCAAGGACACAGCCCAAAGTCCCAACAAATTGGTATATCTAACTCAAAGTCTGGGATTTCTGAGCACTGTGAAGTCCTTTTAGTCAGAAATGGATGTGCTTCTTCACAGTCCAATATGCTATAAACTAAAAGTACATTATCTGACCTACCATAAGCACACATATCCAATAAACAATGGTGTAATAAAGACAGGATAACTGTAATTAAAGTTCCTATTTGGAAAGTGGACATATGTGAGCCATTCAGATGTCATTGGTACAGGTTCAGTATCTACTCTCTGAAATGCTTGGGACGAGGAATGTTTCAGACTTCACTTTTTTTTGGAATTTGGAATATTTGCATAGAGACAATGAGGTATCTTGGGGGTGGGATCCAAGGCTAAGCACAAAATTAATTTATTTTTCACATACAACTAATACGCATGGCATAAGAGTAATTTTATATATCTTTGATAATTTAGTGCATGAAACAAAGTTTCAACTGCAACCCACCACATGACGTCAGGTGTAGAATTTTCCACTTGTAGCCTCATGTTGGTTCTCAAAAAGTTTCAGATTTTGGAGTATTTCAAATTTTGGATTTTTGGAATAGAGATGCTCTACCTACACTTGTCAATTATGAAATCTTACTGGGAGGCCAGGTGCAGTGCCTCACACCGATTATCTCAGCACTTTGGGAGACAAGGCGGGAGGATCACTTGGGCCCAGGAGTTCGAGACCAACCTGGGCAACATAACAAGACATCGTCTCTATTAAAAATTGAAAAACAAAACAAAACAAATTAGCTGAATATGGTGGTATGCACCTGTAGTCCCAACTACTGGGGAGGCTGAGGCAAGAGGATTACTTGGGCCCAGGAGTTCAAGGCTGCAGAGAGCTATAATAGGGCTACTGCACTCCAGCCTGGGCAAGAGAGAAAGACTCTGTCTCTAAAAAATAATAATAAAATAAAAATGATGGGCAGACATTATGAAGCACCCCTCTACCAAGAATAGAGAAACTTCTTTGATTAAACCCAGATTCTTGTATTTGGGAGGAAATCTCTGGACAAGTATTCTCTGTAGCCTTGACTCTACCCACTGGACTTTTCTTCCATTGTCCTCCAGCACCAAATCTGAAGGAAAGGTTGCCTATAAACAAACCTTGGGGGCTGCATAGATTTCAGGGCATGCTTTCTACTTTTGAAGGTTTCAAGGTCCAAGATTGTTATGTAATTGGAGGCTTTTTTGGGGCCAGGCCTGTGTTTTTATCAAGTACAAGTAACTAAATGCAAAGTTTCTTCCTGGGCATGCTCTAGGATTCCTTTCCTTACCCATGTTTCTTCTTTCAAATTAACGACGGTTTCCTTGAGGCCAGTGTAACAAATAGGCTTGGGGGAAAGGTAACACCACCAATATGAACTTTGCTGCATAGTGAAATACTTTAACTGAGAAGTTTTATTGGGCTTTTGATGCTCAAAGCCTTTTTTTATTCTTACTTTCCACAGTTAAGGATCTTTAGCACTCAGATTTTCCAACTCTTTGAGAACCCATATTTCTAAATTCTGTCTTTTCCTTTATTTCTCTATGTAAAGTTGGGAATTCTGAGCTCAACTCTTGTAGTTCTTTGTTTAAACAAAAGAAATTATAAACATAAGCATGCTAATTTATTTCAATAATTTCTTTTAGAAAGCTCAGTTGGTTTGCTCTCCAAGTGATTTCTTATGATGGTTTTTACCAAGTATTTCCCCCAGTGTGAGCACACTATTATGAAAATATTCACCTCATCTCCTCCAACTCAGCAGAAAGACTATACTTTTCCAGCCCATTGATATTGGGCAAAGACACACAACTTGCTTTACCCAGTAGAATGTCAGCAGATGTGTCATAAAATGTGTTTTGCTGTTGTGTTTATACTCCTGCACCACCAGCATCACCGTATAAAGAGCTTCCTCTAAGTAACTGCTATATCTTTAGCCTGGGCTCCAGAATGAATGTGCATAAAGTATACCAGAGCAAAATCTATATAGCAAGGAGGTAAAGCCAGCTATCTCTGCAGATTGAAATACAGTTTCCAAGCCAAACCATGTCTTGAACAGCTGTTTCTCAGCTAAACCACATTTGTGTGAGTGAATTAAAATGATTGTCATTGAAACTATTGGTTTTTTGAATAGTTTGTTATGTAGGAATAGCTATCTGATACACTCTGCATAAAATGGGTCTTCATCTTCATGGATTCTAATGTCTTTTTCTTTGTTGTTGGTTACCTACTGCATTACTATTAAGTAAACACAAGTTTAAGGTATGAAATCAGAACTACTAAGTGTGGGTTAGCTGCTCTAACAAAGGGACTCCAACATGTATGATAGCTCAAGTTCATTCAATAAGAATGGGTGGGCAATCAAGTTGATGGTTAATATGTGGCTTAAGAAGTTATTTTGAAAGTTATCTTCATTTTCTCAAGCTCAGAAGTTGAAAAGAGCATAGAGAATATATCAGAAGTTTTGGTGATCCAGGGCTACAAGTGGTGTACATCATTTTTGATCATATTTTACTGGCTAGAAATTATTTGTATAGCCACGTCTAACTGCAAAGACCAGTGGGAAATATATTCTAGTTGTGTGTCCAGAGAAAAAAAATGGCAGATATTTTTGGTGGTCAGGTCCCAACCTCTGCCATAACATGCATAGCCCCTCTCTGAGATAAGGAGAATAACTGACAAAGATATCCTTTTCTTCTTCACTTATGGATTTTTATTACTATGATCAATATCACTATTGCTACTGCTGCTATACCTGCTACTACTCCAGGTCCTATTTCATACTACATTTTGTTGAGCTCTGTTTTCTAGTCACTTAATGTATCTTTATTATAGTTGATCCTTATATTGCAGATGAGAAAAATAATACTCAGAAATAAGTAGAGGAGTCAGGGAAAAACTCCGTTGTGTCAAATTCCATCATGTTGCATTATATGTCTGTATATAATCAAGCTCCTCTTAGATAATCTCAAGTGTTTAAGAGAATAAACTATACTTCTTCACACACACACACACACACACACACACACACACACACACACACACAAATGTTCAAATCCCTGACAGTAGTAATGACAAGCTTATTCAGGCTAAGAAAACACAACAGATTTTTAAAAATATATTTTTCTTCAGCAAAATATGCTGTATTTCTCAAAACATCTAAGAAATTGGAGGTCATATTACCTGTTTCCAAAACATCAAATTTCAGTAAACGTAATGAAAGTTGATCAAATCAGTGAGAAAAAGAACTCAGAACAAGTCTGCAGATCCCTTAAAAATAAACAATTATTGATTGCTATTTGCATTTCAATTATGTATATAACTATAGTCTTAGACATATATTTAATTAGTAAGGCAAAATTACCCTTACTAGGTAAGGTTAGTGTAATCTTGTCCAGGATTATGTACTTTTTTGCTTATTTCTGAAGATTGGCACAAGTAGAAGGGTGTGGGAAGTAGCAACATGCATGTAGGCAGAAGCCTGATGTTATTAGTACATGGCTCGTCATTTATTCTTGCTGGCTCTCTCTGGCTTCCAAATTGATCGGAAAGGAAGTAATCAAGTTTAAGAATGGCATGCCCCAACACCCCCCAGCAAGCTGTTCTCTTTGAAAATTCTTTCATTGTACTTTGATGACACTGAAGACCAAATACATAACCTTGTCATTTTACTTTGGCTTGAAGATCCAGCCAAGAAAATGCAGAAATGGCCCTTTTTCTCTGGCCTTCATCTCTTAAATCCAGGAACTCAAAACAGCTTTCTGTAGCATAAGTCCTGACCACCTCTGAGTTTCTCATTACTCCTCTGGACCTAGTTCAAGACAATATGATTTGGAGACTTTTTTTTCAAGAAATTGGAGACACCTAAAGAAAACATTCATGCAATGTCCAATATTCAATTTTATGTACAAGACCCAATTATGGTATCATGGCAATAGTTTATATGATTTATTTAGGGATAATTTTTCTACATTAGCTAGGAGATAAGCCCAGTGACATAATCATGTTTTCACATTTAAAACTACTAGGATAATTAAGGAAAGTAAACCAAGAAAACAAAGCTTTGCTTGGAATACTATACTTGGGGTTCTTACTTGTATGAGATTTGATGTTGCTGGCCCCACTTTAAAAGCGAGTAATATTAAATAACAATTGGAGACATAACAAAAGGATATTGAGCCAAATTCCAGACCATGGGGCAGTGAAGAGAGAAAAAAGAAAGTTTATAAGACAGAAGAATTGGATGATTAGCTTTTCCTCTACTATTTCTTATCCAGGACACCTTAGGGATCCCACACCTGGGCATCAGTTGCCTCATCTGTAAGCCAAGGTTAGTAACACCACACCTGTCTAAAGACAGAAGGCTGAACTCAATGTTCTCTGCGGTCCTTTTCAGTTCTAAAATCTAAAACTCAGAAGTTCAAGGATGCCAGTGACTAATAACCTGAGTCTCCATGACAAATGGAAAGTAGAGCCCTGATGGCTTCCCCATGTTTCCTCCACACTCACTCCATGCTGAATCATTAAGTGTACTTATTACCAGTCATGGTGGACTATATTAATGATCCAGAATTTCCCTCCTAGTAGGATGACTATGTATCTCCCTCTTAGTGAACCCAGGAGTGTTGATGTGATGTACTTTGGCCAAGGATACGTAGGCAGAAGTGTCTGATTCCTTCATAAAGGTAATGCTCTCCAAATAGTGAAAGATGTAAGGTTTAACTGTAGGTTGACCAGTCATCTGCTTTTAAGGGTCTGAGGGGTTTCCCAGGATGTGGGACTTTCAATGATAAAACACAGAAAGTCACAGGTAACCTGGCAATATGGTTTGGCTCTGTCCCCACGCAAATCTCATCTTGGATTCCCATATGTTGCGGGAAGGACCCAGTGGGAGGTAATCGAATCACTGGGGCAGGTATTCCCTGTGCTGTTCTTGTGATAGTGAATAAGACTTACAAGATCTGATGGTTTTATAAAGGGGAGTTTCCTTGCACAACTCTCTCTTTGCCTGCTGCCATCCATGTAAGATGTGACTGGCTCCTCCTTGCCTTCCACCATGTTTCTGAAGCCTCCCCAGCCATGTGGAACCATAAGTCCATTAAACCTCTTTCTTTTGTAAATTGCCCAGTCTTGGGTATGGCTTTATCAGCAGTGTGAAAATGGACTAACACACCTGGCATGAGTTGATTACCTTTGGTTTCACTGATGAAAGCTCTGCAAGGTGCTTGGGTGTAATGCTTTCCTATGGCTGCTTAGGATCTCCTGGCAATTCCTTTTGTATTTGTTTTCCATCCACATTTAACATGTCTGTGCCCTATTTTCTCCCATAAAATGTTGAAAAACAAGTCTAATAAATAACACTACATCATGTACACCAATATGGTACAGGAGAAACAGCCCTCGATTTGCATATATAAGAAATACCTTTGGGCCTTCACTCTTCTACATAGTAGTTCTACAACTTTGAGGCAGCCACCTAATCCCATTGAGTTTTGGTCCTTATGTTTTAGAAATAGAGCAAAAATAATATAAAAAACACCTTGCAAACTCCAAAGACTAAAAATAGTATTGTTATTGTTATACATGGAAAAAGACTGACCATGCTATTAAATCACATTTTATCCATTTGCCAAATTAATTTCTTCTTTAATGGTCATTTCCCTTTATCCAACTCACACCCCTGTGTAGAACGGATGCATGGACAGATGGCATTTACCCTGGGTCCACAAATACGGAAATAACGGTAACTTATACCAGGGAGGGATTCCTACTTGGTCAACCGAGCATGGGTAGTAATTATTGGAAATGTACATTTGGAAGTATAGGACATGAGTATGGTGTTGATAATGGGAAGGAGCTAGGGAAGTACAAGGAAAAGCAACTTGTCACTATTTTGAATCTCTGAACTAGTAGTATATACCTCTGAATAGGAGGCAAAGAAAAGAAAATATACCAGAACTACTAATAAGTGCATTGTCACTTTACAGGAGAGCTGGTAACCCCAAAGTCACTCCATATTCAGTTGTAGTAGAGCCACTGTGAAAGGTGATTTAAATGATTAGCCTTCCAAACCTATACCCTATTTTCTCCTTCCTATTCTATGCCTATGTGTAAATTACATCAACAGGTATCTGCCTTTGGCTTAAGATGGGAACACTAGCAGGAACTTGGAGGAAGGAAAGTGAGATTAGGTGTTTCACCTTGACTGCACCATCATCCTGAATGGTTGTTGAGGGGTTGACTGTATTCCTCAACCTAAAGTCATAGCTCCAGTCGAGACAGCTGTCTACACATAATATCATCCTGGGTTCCTGTCATCACTGGTTTAAGGTGATAACAGCACTTTGGATGTTACTCTCCCAGGGACGCTATGCCATCCACTTGTGGTTTGCCTACATCCTATTAAACTTTCTTAAAATAACCCATTTTCAGAGTACCATTTGTTTCTGGTTTTTAAAATATGAATCATTTTCATCTATGCATAGTAACACTTTATATTGATTATTATTTCATTGAAAGAGAGTGCCTTGTTTGACTCTGCCTTCTGTACTTATGATGAGAAATAAATTTGACTTACAAGACCGAGTCACTCTATGGAATGGCCTCTTGACTAGCCTCTCTGGACCCCGGTTTTAATGAAGGCTACCGAACAGTTCAAAAAGAGTCTCCTGTCCTGTTCTTTTCTGCAAGATGAGCGAAGCTGAGCGCTGGGCAGCTTCCAAAGTGTTTTACAGGCCTGGCTTCTCTCTCCTCTTAGACCATTTCCAACATCTGTGACCATAACACATGTGAGCAATCTGAGTCTTGCCAGTGCATTTCCTGGCAGACACAGTGCGTGTCAGTTTTATTGCTCATTCAGACTTGGGAATTGAAATCAATGCAACCAATGCTTATTGAGCACAATTTTGTGTAAAAAGTACTTTGTTAGGTGCTGTTGAGAATACAGAACTAAATTATTGTTATCAAGAATGGAAAACTTGGAACTTGGGGAAACATTTAAAAATTTAAATAGTAACTACCAATTGTTACACACTTACGATGTTCCCAAACATTACTAGATATTCATTCATTATTTCAGCCCATTTGAATTTCAGAAAAATGCTGCAAGGGAGCAATTATTTCTATTTTTATGAATGAAAAACTCTGAGAGGCTCAGAGATGTTAACTGTGTTCCCTGTGATCACACAGCTAATAAGTGGGGCAATCACCATTTGGAACCACGTGTACCTGGTGCCAAAGCCCATATTCATCACTGTAACCCTTAAAAATAGCACTAACCTTACTCTAGATTCCAAACAGCTGAAGAGAATGATCTTCAAAAAGGTCAGCAGTCAATGTAATCTTAATGCCTTCCCTTTTTAAGCAGTTGCCAGAACATGAGCGAAGCTGTATCATAAAATGTGTATTTACTCCTGCATGTGGAGTCAGGAAGAAGAGGTGGACAGGCATGCTCTTTGTTTGAGCCTGCCAAAAAAATTGGATTGTTTTTACACCTATGGCTCACAGACATGGTGAAATGAAGAGACTTCGGGAAAATTCAGTACACTTTTGTTTTGTCCAAATGGAAAAGGATAGAAATCTCCCCATTGTTAAGTCTTCTTGGATGCAGGGTTGGCTGTAAACAGATCATTTGAATATTAAAGTCTCTTTTTAATGCAGTAGGAAATATTATGAATTAAGGGAAAATACAGGGATTTCTTCAGTTAGATAATCTTTTTTAATATGACCAATTATCTGTTTCATTAATTGTATTTCAAGTTGTTACAAAGAAATGTTTCTTTGCTATTACTACACTTAACTAGTGTGTCTTTTTCTGGTAATATACTATATTGGAGTGCAATCACGACTCAGAAATTTCCTGCTTAAGAAAAAGGATCCCAAAATAGAAGAATTAAATAATTGACACTGTGATAAAGCTACTGCTCTCTCTGTCCCAGGACAAAGGACTGCTCATGGAAAAAACCAATTGCTAGTCCCTTCCTGCCACAGGAATCTGGTTGTGTCTGTATCATAATTCAAGCAATAAATGATCTAAATTTTTCATGGAGAAAAAAATCTCAAAGAACCTTCTCTTCTGCTCCACTTTTTTAAAAACAGGAAACATTTTGCTCTTTAGCCTAAATGACCACATCATTTGCATCTTGGGAAGCAAATAAAGTTTCTTCCTGAAGCTGAATATAATTTCTTAAAGCTTAAAGCTCTCAGCACAGCCAGATGGCTTGCTACAGGTCATCCTTTTCTAAGGTGAAATGTGGCTCAGACAGCACCAGGTGGGTGCTGGAGATAGCCAAATGTGTACATGATTCAAGAACGGAGGAAAAGTAAACCTTTATTTAGCTTCTGTGTGTTCTCATTTTCACTCACTTATTTTGGAGATAGGCAGTTGTTCCAGTGTTTTAACAGTATTAAGCATGGACCAAGTACTATGGTTGTGTTTGAACTAAGGAGCACAGAATCCAGTGAGCAGAGAAATGCTGATGATGATGGTTCCATCCAAGTCTTATCATAACACACAGTTTAATCCTCCTTCTTAGGTTCTGTGAGCTTCTTCTTAGCTGACATGGTGCGCGATGAAGCATGTAAGACAGGAGCTATCTATGTGACTTTGGGTAAATCATTCCCCTAAGTCATTTCCCTGGGTCTCAGGTGTTTCCTTCGTAAGTTGAATGAGTTGAGATTAAACAAACCTTAAGTTTTTCTCAAACTCCAATATTCCGTACACTAACAAGCAAATGTTTTCATAGAATTCTTTGTCATAGCAAAGCCTTGTCTTCAGGGGAAGTTTCTGAGCTGCCAATGTAAACATCAAAATTTCTTAGTATGGGATATGATTTCTATCAATATAATGATGTCTGAAACACTGTTGTTCTGGTCCCTGATCTCATATCTTGTTTCATGTGTAGCAGTGACCAAAGTTCATATTTGTGGAAGAGTGGAGATAGTGATGACCACCCATGGTGAATCTAGGCTATTGTGTCTGAAATAAAATAAGATAAACCATTGTACTTGGAACACAAGTGTCTGATATATGAGATCATTTTGCCAAAGGGCAAATAACACCATTTGTAAGAGCCTGTAATAGTCTTGCTAGACTAAACAGTCTCCAATACTAAGACTGGCCTGGTAAGATATATTCTCCAGACTTTGGGTACTACAGTTGTGATGTGTCATCATTTGACAAGACAGGTAAGTCAGTTTCATGTTTCCCAAATATCAGTCATTCATGTCACCTGCATGAACTTAGAAACATCCATATTTTTACTTAAATAGATTCATAGTTTGAATGTCATTAATTTGTTTAATTTTTTTACTATTGTGAAGAGTAAACCATAAATAGATGTAAACCAAACAATAAATAATTAAATAATATATTGCTACTAAATTTTGAAAACTGAAATCAAGCAAATATGATCTTTTAAATGAGGACTGAAAGACTCTTGAGTACTGTTTTTAAAACCTGAGAGGGCACGCTCTACCAATCTATCTCTTCTGCCTTCCCAACATAATCTCTTGCTTGTTCCACTCCAGCTATAACCTTTTAGTTTTTAATTATTCTGATTTTTCTGCATCAAAGCTTTCACAGGATTCTTTCCCTACAACACGCCCTTTCCACAATTCTGCTCAACCTTCAGATTCCAGACTTCAGTTCAAAAATTACTACCTCAGGGAAGAATTATCTGTCTCTGTGACTAAGACAAGTCCTATATTTCAAATCACTATGTGCTACTCCTTTGTATGCTGGACACTGTGGCAATTCTCCATTTCTTTTGCATTTCTTTGTTAAATGCATGTCTTCCCCAGTAGGCTGAAAGTTCCAAAATGCATCCCTGGTATTTCTCACCCCAGCATCTAGCTTAGTACCTGATAAGTAGAAGATACTGGGATTCTTATTGCAGGTCAAGCAACAATAAGGAATGGGCATGAGAGAAAACAGTTTTTCCCTGCAAGAAAAAAAATACTGTTTCTCCAGGTAAAGAGACACAAATAGGAGTGATTCAGTAAGGGTTTGACTGTCAGGAACCTTACATTCCAATTGTTGAAATCTCATCCTTTCTCAATTCTAATTTGTATACCTAAACACCCTAATAACTGTGAACTGAACACGTGAAAATTGATATGGAACTATTAAACAAATATTCCTTCATGAACCATCTGACATCATTGTGCTGGCTGCCAGTGATGCTTACACCACACTTTGGGACACCATGTTAGGATTGGTGTGAGGTTAATATTCTCAAAGTCCAGCTTCCGTTATATCATCTTTCCAATCAGAATAATTCAAGGGTTTCCCCATGCCTACAAAATTGAAAACCTGACTGAGTTTTAGAGCTCCAACTTGTCTTTTCAATCTTATTTTCCAATACTAGTATTTACCTTATGCTCCTGACAAGCTGAACATCTCCTAAACATTCCCTCTGCTGACCTCATTTCTATGTTACTTCCTCTATTGAGAACACTGCTGTTACTCTCATTTTCTCATAATGTATAAATCCTATTCATCTTTCAAAGCCTATTTCCAACATCTCTTATTTAAAGCTTTTTTGAATTCCGCTAAATAGATTTAATGTCTCCTTTCAATGAGGGATGTAGAATTTTATCTAGTTTCCATTATAAAATTTATCACTTCTTACTTTGTATTGCATTTCTTTATTCTCATACATAACTTCAACAATAAAAAAAAACACGTAATTGAACTATACACTCCTTGAGAGGCAGGGTTTTGTCTTAATCGTATTTGAATTTCTCATAGTTCCCGGCATAATATAGGCACACAATAAAATATGTATTCACTGTATAAATTAATCTGGCATGTTTCATTTTAAAGAAACACTTAGATTTTCTGGGTTTAACTTTAAAATCTCATCTCATTCCCTAAATGGGATACTTTGTCATGGGCAATCTTTTTCATCTTTCTTTTAGTTTTTTATACAGAGTTCTAAGTAGAGGAAAAGAAACTCTCCTTTAGCAATTTTTAATCTGTCTAAGGCAGCAGTGCCAAGATATGGCTTGAGAGCAACGTCTAACTGTGGAGATACATCAGGCCAGAGGAAGATGAGGAGGCAGAGAACGCACCATAGGATGTTGTAGATCAACGGCATCCATGTTCATTTACAAGCTAACATTTGATAAAGTTTAGGAAGGATACTGCTAAGTGGGATGCCCTTGTACTCAGATAAGTTTTTCTTTTACTGATATACTCTGAAAAGTAGGATTAAATAGTTGACAATAGTGATAAGTAGCTGTTAGTTGTACAAATCAGCTATTTATGTTTCAATGACTGTCAGCTATCTTAGTGAATGTAACTGCTGTCAACCTGGCCATCTTGCCTGCTCTTTCTCTCATCCCCAAACCATCTGTGCACTCCCACCAAACTGGTCATTCTACAGCACAGCAGTCTGCATACCACTGCTGAAAAGCCTTCAATTGCTCCTCTTTGTCTAACAATTAGGTTGGTGCAAAAGTAATTGCGGTTTTTGCCGTTGAAAGTAATGGCAAAAATCGCAATTACTTTTGCACCTCGAATAGAACCGTCTTTAGCTTGTCATTCAGTGTCTTCCACATTCTCGACACAGTTGACTTCAGTTTCTTATACTCAAGTTCAGAAAAGCAAACCGACAGCCTCTTAGACTCGATCATTTCTAAAATATTTTGAGTTGTTAGTATGATTTAACATATTGTATAAGTTGTCAACATTTAAAAATCAGAACAGAGTACATGACAACCTAGATTTTTGTCATTTTATTTCTTTTTTATTTCTTTAATTGGCAAAGGTATAATATATATACACAGTGTACAACATGTTATTTTGAAATATGTATACATTGTGCAATGGCTAAATCAAGCCATTGATTTAGTAGTAACATGCATTACTTTACATATGTATCATTGTTTCATAGTGAGAAACACTTACAATCAATTTTCAAGAATACAATACATTGTTATTAACAACAGTCATCATGTTGTATAATACGTCTCTTGACTTTTTCCCTCTTATCTCACTGAACCATCATCTCCCCGGTTCTTGCATCTCTCTTGCATTCCTCTGCCCCAGCCTCTGGAAACTACCCTTCTGCTCTCTGCTTCCGTGAATCTAAAAAATCTAGCCTTTTTAGATTCCACATACTAGTGAGGTCCTGTAGTATTTGTCTTTTGGTGCCTCATTTATTTCACTTAACAAAATGTTCCCTAGGCTCATTCATGACACAAATGATAGGATTTCCTTCTTTTATGAGGCTGAATAATATTCTATTGTGTATGTATACCACATTTTCTTTATTCATTCATCCGTTGATAGACACTTAGGACGATTCCATATCTTGTCAAGAACATGACAGGCTGCCATAAACATGAGAGTGCACGTATCTCTTTGACATACTGATTTCATTTCTTTTGAATGTATACCCCAGTAATGGGATTGCTGGATCATATAACAGTTATATTTTTATTTTTTAATGAAATTCCATATTAATTTACATTTCCACCAAAAGTGTTTCCATTTCTCCACATTCTCTTCAATACTTTCATCTTTTTGATAAGAGCCATTCTAACAAGTGTGAGGTGATATCTCATTGTGGTTTTAATTTGCATTTCTCTCATTAGTGATATTGAGCATTTCTTCATATATCTGTTGGCCATATGTATGTCTTTTTTTTTTTTTTTTTTTGAGACGGAGTCTCTCTCTTTCACTTAGGCTGGAGTGCAGTGGCGTGATCTCGGCTCACTGTAGCCTCCGCCTCCCGGGTTCAAGCAATTCTCCTGCCTCAGCATATGTTTGTCTTCTTTTGGGAAGTGTCTATTCAGGGTCTTTGCCCATTTGTCTATCAGATGTGTGGTTTACAATATTTCCTTCTTTAAAAATTCAGAATTTCTGGCAACATTGGTTCTTCATTCTTGTGTGACAATAATCACTGTAGCCAAGCAGCACCTGCTCCCTTTGAATGGGCAGAACCTCTCCAGTTCTTCACAGGTGCCATAACTCCCTATGACTCTTGCATTCACCAGTATAGACTTTGGTTTCAAATCAACCTGGATTCACTTCTCTACTCAGCCACTTACTGGCTTTGTATTCTTGAGTAAGTTCTTTAATGTTTAAAAATATCAGCTTCTTTGTCTGCCATGTGAAGCTAAGACTCTTGCTCATTTCAGACAGTTTTGTGAAGATTGGGAGAGACAATACATGAAGAGGGCTTAGTACAGCCTCCCATACTTAAGTACTCTCTAAATGTTACCTATATAGTTGTTCTTCTTAATACAGAAGCATTCTCGGCATTTATTTTTACTGTACTTTTTGAAGGCAAAGAAACTTGCAGCTGAATAATCAAAACGACAATGACCCAGTCTTATTTGCAGCCTATGAAACAAGCAGCAACAAAAATCTTATTTCATCTCTTTTACTAGATAGTAAAACATTAATATTTGGCATTTACATAACACCTGCAGAATGTAAAACAGCTGAGGTTGGTGTTTCATGAAGGAGCCCTCAAAGGGTTCTACCTTCTGAACAAATCTCATTAAAATCAAAGCAACATGATATTACCACCTTCCTTAAAGGAATGGCAGAATTTCACATTTTAACAGAGAAATTGACCATAAGAGAGCACAAGAAGTTATCTTCTCCTTGCCTAAAATTCTGTAGCCCTATTGATCCTTCCTGGCATACCATACGTAGGCCAGATCAACCTCTGTCAAGAAAGAGAATCTGAAATCAAATCATCAAAAACATAAAGGATCTATTATATATGACCAAAATAATGAGTTTGATGCGATTTAGACAGTCGATGGAAGAAGAAGAAAAAGGGAGAAAAAGAAGGAGCCCACTTACTGACCCTAAGCTCTGTGCTTAGTGCATGATCTCACGATTCTAACTATAAGTAGGCACTACTGCAGTCTCCGGTTGCTAGACATAGAAACTAAAGTTTGAGGCTCAGTGTTACACAGACAGTGAGTGGTGGAGGTGGGATTCCAATGCAATTCTTATTTTTCTGAGAGCTTCATTCTGCTCTTATTCACTGTGCTCTAATATTGAAGGGGCTCTGTGAACGTATCTAAACAAATTAAATTACTTTATTCAATAACCATTTAGAATCTCCAAGACCTTTACTAAATTCCACCCTCCTAGAATTAAAGAAAACTTTTGGATACTGAGAGAAGTAAATTAAAGGTGTGCAAATGGAATTTCTACTGAATACTCTAGTCAGTGATCATTACTTACAAAATGGAACGTTTCCTGTAAATTTTACTGAGATCAAAGAATAGTAACCGGCCTGGTGCGGTAGTTCATACCTGTAATCCTAGCACTTTGGGAGGCTGAGGCTGGAGGATCACTTAAGCCCAGGAGTTTAAGACCAGCCTGAGCAAGATGATGAGACCTCATTTTAAAATAATAATAATAATAATAATAAAGAACAGAAACCTATTGATAAAGAGTTTTTAAGAGTATAAAAATACACTTGAATGTCCTTATTGCTTTAATCTTAAAATTCTATGTCAAATATTCAGACGTCTTATTTGGATGATTCTTGGTCTGTTCCCCTGATGTATTGCTCTTTTTAATATGTTCTTGTTAAAACGAGCAATCATTGCATCAACTGAGCACAATCATATCAATAGTAAATGTAATTTAAATTTGAGACACACTCAAGTATGATCCCACTAACAAGTAGATTTAAGGAGCAAAAAGCAAAAACTAATTCTGCCTTTCAGTGGGAAAGAAAGACTAATATGAGCATCCATTACATGCCAGTTACTTATCTATATGATATTGCTTAATTATCAAAAAGCCCAGTGAAGTCAGAATTATATCCCCAGAAGTTCAAACCGCGGCACAAAAGAAAAGTATTTGTTCCAAATCACATTCCTCACATATAAGTGCGCCAGCATTCAAATTTGGACTCTCAAACTGCAAAGCTTCTAATAATCTTTCAAGGTCAGAAACATATTATTTTTCCCTCACAGTTTTGGAAGTATAATTTTAATAATAAAAATATTTTTGTTTGTTCCTTTTTAAATATTTTCCAATTTCTAGAGAGATAAAAGAGCAAAGAAATGTAGTGTAAAACTTCCACCATTTCTATGATCAAGGGTAGTGACAGCATTCACTACAAGTAGAAACCGCCTGTTTGGTTTGGGAAAATGCATCAGTGGGTCTTCGGGTTATGGATGTCTAATATGCAGCTGAAAGACACAGAAGCAAAACTTCTTTAGCTAATGAAGATAATAGGTGTTTTCTTAGGTGGAGAGAGAGTCTTCTAATAGTAATTGGTTTTTTTTTGTCTTCTCTGCATTGAAAGTGAAGAAGTAGGGCCGGGTGCAGTGTCTCATGCCTGTAATCCCAGCACTTTGGGAGGCCAAGGCGGGCGGATTGCCTCAGCTCAGGAGTTCGAGACCAGCCTGGGCAACATGGTGAAACCCCATCTCTACGAAAATACAAAAAATTAGCCAGGCGTGGCAGCGTGCGCCTGACGTCCCAGATACTCGGGAGGCTGAGGCAGGAGAATTGCTTAAACACGGGAGGCAGAAGTTGCAGTGAGCCGAGATCGTGCCATTGCACTCCAGCTCTGGCAACAGAGCAAGAGTCCATCTCAAAACAAAACAAAACAAAACAAAACAGTGGAGAAGTAACGAACTTGGGGTCACTGATCTGATAATTGAGAAAAGAGTGAAATGTGAGATGAGTACACCTGGGACAATAACAGCCAGCAATGACTCCCGAAGATGGAATGGAACTCTGGGACTTTCGAAGGAATAATATATGCCATTGACCTTAAAGTGATTTTTTTCTTCTATTTTGTAAATCCCTTATGCTATCCTCAAATTCACAAGAAATTGGATACATCTTGTGACGTATTACACAGGGATTAGTGGTTCATGTAATCCCAGCATTTTGGGCGGCTGAGATGGGAGGATTGCTTGAGCTCAGGAGCTCAAGACCAGCCTAGGAAACATAGTGAGACCTCATCTCTACTAAAATGAAAAAAATTGGCCAGACGTGGTGCACACCTGTAGTCCCAGCTACTCAGGAAGCTGAGGCAGGGATCACTTGAGCCCAGGGGCTCAAGGCTGCAGTGAGCCACGATCATGCCACTGCATTCCAGCCTGGGGTACAGTGGGGGACCCTGTCTCAGAAAAAAAAAAAAAAAAAAAAAAAGAAGAAAGAAAGAAAGAAAGAAAAGAAAAAGAGAGTCTGATACACATAAGAACTTTGTATCAGACATGCTCTCAAGCCCTGCCCACACATGAAACAGGTCAAGCACTACTAATACTTACTGAGTACTTATATTGTGCTGAGCACTGTCTATCTATCTATCTATCTATCTATCTATCTATCTATCTATCTATCATCTATCTATCCTCCTTAACTCTCACAGAAAACATAGTAGATAAGTAATTTAAAAATATACATTTTTTAAATGTGGAAGCTGAGATGCGAAGAGAGTACATAACTTGGCCATAGTTAGGTAGCTAGTAAAAGTTGGGTCTGGGATTTGAATCTGAGTCTTCATTCTTAACCAGTTTAAATGACGGCGATGCAACTACTCCTACATTTCTTTTTGTGGAAGGGCAGTACATTGGTAAAGTTGCACCTGAAACAAACAAACAAACAAAACAGTGCTTTTCACAATGCCTGTAAAGGCCTGAGATGAGTGGATAGTGATAAGTAGCAAGAAGGTGACAGTGGAGAAACTGGCTGTAGCATGGATATGACACAAAAGCTCTTTTCCCCAAAGAGTTTACAGAAAGTAGTGAGTTATTCAGTATACAGGAGTGAATCAAGCAACCTATGACAGGTTTATAGAAGGATGGTTAGAGTAAATAAAGCTTTCTACCACTTCTGTCATTTATTTTTCACGGCATCTTGCCTGACCTTGCCTGGAGAATCCCAGACCATCTCTAGCTGGTTGGGGCACATGCCAGGGCTTTCTGCCCGTGGACCTGTCATCATTTGTTCCAGCTGTGACTAAATGAATCAAGGATGAAGGAAGCAGAGTCCTATTACCAGAAACAAGTCCGAAAAATAATTAGGATGCCTGCCAATCTTGACTTTAACATTCACCAACCTCTCATTCAACTAACCCCTCTTGATTCTTCCTACTTTAGTCTGTTTCTCCCACTCATACCCTACCTGCATAGACAGTACCCTAAATCACACTCCCAGTGCAGGAATTCTGTAATCCAAATATTACAATATGTTACAAATATATAATATGTGCTTATCTCATTACTAACGCTACCTTTGATTAAATACACATGTATTTTTAGAATGACTTCACATTCATTCCTATAAAGTGCCTTTTATATTCACTAGCTGGGGAAGTTTTAAAACACCTTCAAATCTTTGATCTCCTCCTGTTGAGAAGTTAAGAATATGCCATGCCTCCTTGCTTTCTTTTTTTTCTAATGTAAAGTTGCTGCAATTTATTCAATTGTGATGTGACTTGAGTGACAAGTAAAGGAACAATTAAAATCTACTCCTTTAGCAATTTTCAAATATATATTATTAACTGTAATCACCATGATACACGATAGATCTCAACTTATTCCTCCTAAGTGAAATTTTGTGTCCTTTGACCAATATCTCCCCAACCTCCTGGCCTCCAGTAACCACCACTTCACTCTTTGTTTCTATGGGTTTGATGTTTTAACACTCCCTATGTGTGAGATCATGCAGCATTTGTCTTTCCTTGCTTGGCTTATTTCACTTAACGTAGTATCTTCCAGCTTCATCCATGTTTTCACAAATGACAGGATTTGCTTCTTCTAAAAGGCTAAATGGTATTCCATTGTGGACATACAACACATTTTCTCCATCCATTCATCTGTTGATGGTCATCTAGGCTGATTCTTTTTCTTGGGCATTAAAAATAATGCTGCAATGAACATGGGAGTCAGACAGCTCTGTGATATACTGATTTTACTTCCTTTGGATATATTCCCAGTTGTGAGATTTCTGGATCACATGGTAGTTCTATTTCTAATTTTTCAAGGAACTTCCATACTGTTTTCTATAATGCCTATACTAATTTACATTCCCATCAAAAGTGTACAGGTTTCCCTTTTTTTTTCACATCTTCACAAACAATCTCTTGTCTTCTTTTTTTTCAAATTTTTATTTCCATAGGTTTTTGGGGAACAGGTGGTGTTTGGTTACTTGAATAGGTTCTTTAGCAGTGATTTGTGAAATTTTGGTGCACCCATCACCCAAGTAGTATACACTGGACCCAATTTGTAGTCTTTTATCCTTCACCCTCTTTCCACGCATTCCCCCTGAGTCCCCAAAGTCCCTGCTTGCTTTCTGAGTGGGCTTTTAATGGAATGTGGCAGAAAAGTTTTTGCATGACTTCCAAACCTAGATCTTAAAAGGTCATGCAGCTTCCTCCTAGCTCACTGGAACAGTTTCTCTGCAAGCCTTGACTGCTGTGTAAGAAGTCAGATTACCTTGAAACTACCATGATGGAGTAACCAGCTGTATGCATTCTAGTCAACAGTCTCAGTAGAGTCCATTCACTCCGCCATACCTACCAAGCAAGACATGAGTGCAGAAGCTGCCAAATTATTCCAGGCTCCAGCCATGCAAGTCACTCTTACAGTCATTTACACAAATAGCCATTTGTGTCCTTACAGTCGAGGTCCCAGAGATGGACATGACATCATGATGTGCACTAATAAGATATTTGTTATTTTGTGACACTTAGTTTTGAGGTGGTTTTCTCTGCAACTGTAGATAACCAGAACACCAGCGTTTTAATAGAATTTCAAGATAGGAGAAAAATAAATGGAATAACAAGTACTATTCACTTGGAACATATGCATAGGAATATGTCTCACCAAAACACATCAGCTGTCGTTTGTATTTCAACAGAGAAAAGATTTAAAGCTCCTGCCCTAGAATCTTAGAGTCTTTACTAAGGGAGAAACTTACCCACTCCTACCAACATACCTCTAAAAAATCATCTCATCTCATGATGGGCAAGATGTTCAATTTTGAGTTCTAAAAATCTAATTAAAACAAGTTTCAATTTAACAAGGGGATACATGTATGACTTGGAAAAATACCAAAATAGCACACAGAGAATCAAAGAGCTTCAGGGATCAGGACATGGTTTCAGGAGACCCAGTTCATCAGAACTGTCTCACTCTCATTCAATTATATCCGATCTCTGTCTCTGCGTGGCTTTATTCAAATATCATTGAAAATGGTAACCAGCATGCAATTCCATAGCCTCCAGTGCAGCAATATCAGCAGAAAGATTTTCCCCCCTAGAAGTCACTTAATAACATACAAAAGAATCCATGCCTATCCTTTGGGATAATCATTGTGTCAGGATGGGGTGCTATGATTAATCCATGCTAAAGGACAAGACATCCCTGTGCTGGAGCCTAAAAGGGATAAGTGACAGTCTCACACAGGCCACATCACAATGTGGAGAAAAATTCTTAAAAGAAAAGGAACACTTTGGCTAGAAGAAAGAAGTTGGAATAATGTGATGAGAAGACAAAAATCTGATAGCAATCCTAGCCTACTATCCCTTTTCTTCCATAAGTAAATAGAAGATTTAAACTCAGTATGGAATGTTTGGCTCAGTCAGTCTACAGTGTTAAGATTCCATAAAATGTAACATTTTGGAAAACTATACCATCCTTACCTCATATATGCCTTAAACTGTGTACTCTAATATTAAAAGTAAGATCAACGTATTTGGAAAACAAAGTTGCTGATGAGTTGTCAGAGGAAATTATAGAGAAAATTAAATTTATTAAAATTATATACATTTAATTTCCCCTCTTAAATTGTGTGCAAAATAAATTGGATTCTTAACAATTTTATACTAAAACAGAAAGCAAAACCTCAAAATATATTCAACAAGCATTCCTATATGTATTATTCATAGAATAATTTCTTAATAGGTATGAGTATGCTTTTGTATGGACATATTCATCCAATGCCTTGGAAATGAGGAGTACAAAGTGCTTTCTTAACCTGCAAGAATTAATTGCAAATTATAGAAGTATCTATAAGGTAGAAAAGAAATCGTGATTTAACTGGAAAAGTTCTGAGCACTGAATTTAGAAAGACCTCGGTCCAGATACTTCACCTCTTTCATCTAGTTTCAGCCTTCATGTAATGGAGGTCATAAAGGAGTCATGACATATGTGAGTAAATGATTAAGTCAATCAAGTCAACTTAATTGGTTGCTTATGTCCAAATTTTACTTAAGATAGAGATTAAGCTAAAAGAAACAGGAACAAGTTAGAAAGTACATTTTCTCAGATCCTTCCATGGGTCAAATACAACCCATTGCTTATTTTGTAAATAAAATCTTATTGGAACACAGCCACCCTCATTTATTTACATGTTGTCTACAGATGCTTTAGTGCTTCAAGGACAAAAGTGAGAAGTTAGGACCAAACTATACAGCTGCAAAGCCTAAACTACTCACTACCTGGCCTCTTCAAAGAAAAAGTTCAATCCTTGCTATAGTTCAAACTCTTTTAAAGAGGGAATTCTTATGAACTCAAGATAATTCCACCCTTTTTTCTTTCCATCCTAGTGAGTTAGAACAGAATTTTGATCACTTATCTTTTCAAAACAAACTCTTGACAGAGAAGTTTATTGGACCATAAGACTACATTTTGATTGCTACTTCACCAAGGACAGGGCAGGAGTCCTTGGTCTTACTGTTGCTGTCTATCCAACTTTCCCTATATGAACTGGATATTTCTTTTTTCATCTTCCTTTCTTCTTCAATTTCTGTTCTAGAGTGAATGAAAGTGTACACAAGTTTGGATCAAAGAATCATTAACTCTACGGTAGTTCCCTCTGTCTGTGGTTTCACTTTCTACAATTTCAGTTACCTGCAGTACTAAGATATTTTGAAAGAGACAGGGCACATTCACATAACTTTTATTACAGTACATTGTTAAAATTGTTATATTTTACTATTAGTTATTGTTATTCATATCAAATTATGCCTAATTTATAAATTAAGTTTTATCATAGGAATTATGTATACTAAAAAAACATAGTATATATGGGTTTGGTACCATCCGTAGTCTCGAGCATCCACTAAGGGTCTTGGAGCATATCCCCCCATGGATAGGGGAGGCTATTGTATTAGTACCTAGGAAAACAAGCTGTTAATGATGGTCACCTGAGAAAATGACCATTGACGTTGGAAAGGTAGGAAATATTTATTTGAGAATGCAAAAAATCCACTTCTGAAAGTGGTTGGCTAATATAAAGGAAGTGGAGGTGCAGAATGGCAGGGTAGCTGTTCAAGAGAACACTCTCCCTCTCTTTGTGGCTAAAAGCAAAGAGATTTACTGAATATTCAAATCGCTGTCTGTTAAAGATGTAGTTACTAATTTATTTCTATAGAATAATACATGAGGCATGCAGATAGCTGAAGACAGCAGTGGACACCAAAAAGACAATGCAAAGTGCTCATAGAGTGACCCAGGTCAAGAGACCAAAGTGATATATAGATAGAGAAACAACCTATGGAAGGCTAATTGAAGCAACCTGACTCAAGATGATTTTCACCAGCAGGAGCAGTGCAAAGGAATTGTCTATAGATGGCTCTACAAACTTGGGCTTAGAGAAGTACGGTAAGCACCTGTGTAATCCAAGGCCTGAAAGTAATACAGAAATGGAAAAATCTTAATTCTTTTTTTAAGGCCAAAGCTAACCCAGGAGGAATATGATTATGGGAGCCTTAGTTTGGAACATCAGTCCTATGGGCAGCACTGGGCTAAACGACTTCCTCGGTGCTTGGAATGATAATAATAATAAAAAGCAGAGTAAGTTTTAAGAAAAGAAGCTACAGGTGGGAGCCAGAGAAATTCCCAGGATTAAGTCCGAGGAGTGAAGGTTTAAACAAGAAAGAGGAGTTGAGAAAGCCAAAACATGTCAGGAATCAGAGTAAACTGCAAGGAGAGAAACCATTAAAACAGAGACAATGCTGAAAAGGGCATGCATCGTTGAGGACCCCACTCTTAATAAACTGGGTGTAGTCTTTAAGGAATGGAGACAGGCCAGCTAACCTAAAGGCATGGGATTTAACGTACACTTACAACATTTCATACCATTTGATTTGCCTATTTCTGCAATACCTGATAATGTGGGTTTTATTTTCTTTCCATGAAAAGTTATTTTTGTACATTGTAGCCAGTAACATTGTCGAAGAGAGATTGTTCCAGGTATCCAATAAGAGGCTCAAGACTGTAGAAACCTCTACAAAGTAAATAAAAACCCTCTATAACATGAGCCTCTGAGAACTATAGTATACACCTGATTCTCCCACAAGTTGATTTATGAACTGGTTACCCTATTCTTACAGCAGGCTTCTTCTCACATAGGTCTACTTTATTTGTTATGTTAACAGCATCTAGTTGGTCCCAGCTGTTCCCAATACTAGTACACTTCATACTCTGTAAGTCTATCCCCCTTAAACTTTGACAGACAGCAACACTGCCTTGCAGAAACCAGAACTGACTGTTTAAGAACAGTCTGTGTAGGCTGGCTAACACATCCTTTTCTACATATTTAACATCATCTGGAAGCATTTTTGTTTTCCATGAAAAACACACATCACCTGATTATTCTATGGTTCATTGCTATAGAAAATGTTTCCTAAATAAAAATAACTAACAGAAAAAACTTTTAAAAATACAAGAACAGAACAAATCTATGCAGTTCTTTATTAGCATGATTTCAGTGGCCAAGAATTTAGGAAGATCATCTCCCAAATAGATTGACATAAAACTGATGTATTTGAGCCAGGTGGTATTTAAATACTAATTGATAATATGGCAAAGATTAAGGAGAGTACACCTGCAAAAAAATTCTTGAGATGGATTTAATTCCCCAAAGCTACTACCATAATCAAATCCAATCACGTAAAATTCATGTTTA
Organism: Homo sapiens; assembly: GCF_000001405.40. Taxonomy (NCBI): domain Eukaryota; kingdom Metazoa; phylum Chordata; class Mammalia; order Primates; family Hominidae; genus Homo; species Homo sapiens. Next base: position 121,175,403 of record NC_000008.11, on the reverse strand, counting down.
AAAATACTTTAAAGAAAAAGGCAGTAGTCATCATTTGCCTGCTTCTTTACTTCAAAACTTTCAAAAAATAATGTCAAAAGGATTTATGCTCATGGGTTTTGGTTTATTCTGCTAAAGACAGTAGAAATTTCTTTAGTTTTTCACTGCTTGAAAAGGATAAAGGTGGAAATGGAAGGATTTTATCTGTAAGTAATTTTAACAATTGATACCCAAAGCTGCTAAAATATGAAATTAATTAAGAGAGAAGGGAATAAGTATAAAATTACATTCTAGAACAGATCTTAGACACTCAAGATCTAGCCTTAAATATGTGAAATATTAAGATGTAAGCAGTATGGAGAGGTGGAGACTGTGGAAAACTGGGGAGTGTCCTCTTAATAAAATTCAAAAATCACAGCACTTTAAAGCAGCATGATGGAATAAGGTCAAAGTCTACTGTATTTTGAATGTCAGCAATGGTCTACAGCCATACCACCCTGAACACACCAAGTCTCATCTGAGTATTAGCAATACTTGATATAATTGAAGGCATGCTTCATTTTACTACAGTAGATAAACATTAACAAGAACTGTGAAAAGTCCTCAAATTCTTTATTTCATTTAATCTTAATTCTCTGAGGTAGGCATGATTATCCCCACTTCACAGAAGAGGAACCTGAGATTGCAGTCTAGGGCCTGGAATAATTCCTGGCACACAGTAGGCATTCAATCAACATTTGTTGAAAGTCTGAATGAATGACAGAACTTTTCCCATCTATATTTTATATCATGATGTGAGGCTGAGACTCTGTAAGCTTTATTTTCCTCCTATTGGGTTTTGTCAGTGAGGGACACTAGAGGGAACAGGAAAGCAGGAGGAGGGGAGAAGGAGCTTCTTCCTATCCAGCGTCACATCAGCCACAACCTTTCTCCCAACAGCAACAGTTGATTCTAGTCTCCAGCTTCTTTGACACTGACACAACTGGCCTCACTGCATCCCCACAGAGCTACCAGCAGCAGCTAGACAGCACCTCCTGTTCCGAGGTCTGAGCCCTAACTCCTCGAAGCCTCTCCTCCAAGCTCTTGAGGTAGCAGCATGAGCCAGGTGGCACTCCCTCCTTAGAAGCCAGAGTCCTTAGCTCCCAGGGACGACTGCATGTTCCTGAGTACAATGACCAGCCGGCCAGCTTCCTCTCCTCCAAGTTCTGCATCCTAGCTCTGCAAAATCTCTCATTTGAGTTTCTAGATTCTGAAAACCCCAGCTCTTTTTATTCCTCCAGCCGAGGGATGGAAGCTCTTTCTTGTGTTTCTTCTGTTTCTTATACTACATCAGTGTTTTTTTTTTCTTTTCTCCAATTTCAGGCTTCCAATCCCAAATTAACCAATTCTCAATACCTTTCTGTCAAAATACCTAATATGGTTCTAGTTTTCTGCCTGGGCTATGAGTGATATAGGATAGCTACCTCATAGAACGATTTTGGTGATTAGTTTATATCTAGTTTCATAGGAGATTCTTATCAAACATTATTTGATTCCTCACTTAGAGTATATGACTCTCTCCCAGTTTAATATTTTCTACATATTTGATCATCATCCTTCTATGCCTTCACCCAAGGTGATATGGTTTGGCTGTGTCCCCACCCAAATCTCACCTTGAATTGTGGCTCCCATAATTCCCATGTGTCATGAGAGGGAACCCGTGGGAGGTAACTGAATCACGGCAGGTCTTTCTCATGCTGTTCTCATGATAGTGAATAAGTCTCAGGAGATCTGATGGTTTTATAAAGGGGACTTCTTCTGCACACGCTCTGTTGCCTGCCACCATGTAAGCCGTGTCTTGCTTCCTCTTTGCCTTCTGCCATGATTGTGAGGCCTCCCCAGCCATGTGGAACTGTGAGTCAATTAAACCCCTTTTGTTTATAAGTTGCCCAGTCTCAGCTATGTCTTTATTAGCAGTGTGAGAACAGACTACTACACAAGGTAATGCCAATACAGCTAACTAGAACTACTGAAACCCTGTTTTATATCAACAGAATTCATCTTCAAAATTGACTCCACTCTTTTAGGTGTGTTACTATCTTTCTACAATGAGAATGAATGATTTTCATCATTGGATCATGAAAAAATTACACCTATTTTCATTTTGAAAAAAAAGAATACATTTAGTGCTTTAGACTAGCTTTGACTGCAACACGACGGACTGAAAAGAGTGCTGGCTTGGGAAATGTAATCGAAGCTCTACTGCTAACGAATTAATGTACAACTGAGGGCAAGTCACTGAACCACTCTGCTTTCCAGTTCTCTGGAAAGGAAAATGAGAAGCCTGAACGAGACAATGTCCAAGATTTCTTTCAGCTGGTTCACTCTAAACAAAAGGATGAGTGTTTTCTCTGCATATTTCATATCACTAAGATATTTTGGACAACGAAGTGATTTTAGACCTACTATATTTCCAAAAACAAGAATATGAATTAAAGGAATGAGTACTTCTTTATGCTGATGTGAAGCTAGTAATATCAAACATGGAAAAAAAAATCCAAGTGAAATGAATTTCTCAAAAATGTCAGTACTTCAATGGTCAATTAACTTTAAGCCTAAGAGAAAGGGAAGCTAGTCTAGCTGAAATCATAATTGTAAGGAAGCTATACATGCCTTCTTACCAAGAAGGAGTACCTCTATAATAGTGGCAAGACTGGTGGTATGATGTGATCAAAATGTTATCCAATTTTGTGGGAGTAGAGTATGTGTTAAACTTGCCAACTAGAACATCAAGTTCACTTAACAATCCTTTGTGGCCTCCAGACTGCCACTGTGGCATCCAGCTGTCTCTTCACCAGGGACTTCAAACAGTGCAGCTGACACCACAGGCAGCAGCTAGCTAAAGTCTCTCCTACACGTTTAGAAAGAAATAACCATAACCACGAAAGCCAAAAAATTTTTTGCAGCTGCCCTAGTGTCCAAATAAAGATCCTCATTCCAAAGTAGTAAAGTGACAAGAGCCTGAAATATCTGAAGAAGGAAAATCCCAGCTCAGAAAAGAAAAATGTGTTATCCCCATGATTACCTCTATAATAAAACACTTTTCCTTATCATTTTCTTCTGTCTTCCCTTTTTCCCTCCCTTCCTCTATCCCTTCCTTGCTTCCTTCCTGCCTTCTTGCCTCTTCTTCCTTAAAACATATGGTCCCTCTATTTTTTAAGCTATTATACTAGTGAAGACTGTTTGGACAAAGATAAAAATCGTAGCCCCTGAATTCATTTAGCTCTCAATCCAGAGCGTAAAAATAAGAATCATGTACAATAGTAGAATTGAGTAATATATACTATAATAAAGGTATGTACAAGATTCTGTAAGAGTACACAGCAAGTCAGAGTGAGAAGTTAGTATCATAAAAGGAGAAATGCTTGATACGAATCATGAAAAATGTGTGAGAGTGACGTGATAGGAGAGAGGGGAAAGCGGGGGACATCTGGGCAGCATGAATAGAATGTGAATTGTCAATCAAATGAGAAGCAGCCCAGCACCTCCATAGATCTCTGAATCAGGGCATTGTGGCTGAAGTGGAAGGTATATGAAGAAGCAAGGACGGATGAGGTGAAGGAGACAGCAGAGGCAAGACATGGTGCAAATGTATGTGAAACTAGTGTTTTGATCAATACTGCACATAATGAGAAACCTTTGAAGGAAGCTTGACATGATAAGATTTACATTTTAGAAAAATTATTTGGGGGTCAATGTAGAGAATAGATTAGATCAGATAACATTGGGCAGAAAGTGGGGAAAACATTAGAGGTTACTGCAGTGTTTCAGGGATGATCTAGGAGCATTTGGGTTCAGATTGCAACAACTGGAGGGGAGAGGACAGACACAAGACACCAAAGAGCCAGATTTCAATCACTGCATATTGGAGGGTGTGAATGAAATAGAAAAGAGGGTATAGGGATTCAGGATTCTTTCTAAGACTTTATTTTGTTGCGAATTAATTTTATCTTTGCTGGGTCTCAATTATACATGCTCAGAGGTGGAATTGAGTCCTTTGTTTGTGGAAAGAAAAAAAAAAATCTCAAATTTTAATCTCTTATCTGTGGTTGTGGTACCTGAAATTCTTTATCATGGAGTTAATTCTTGTTGTTTCAAAGATACGTTGTCCCACAGGAATCCCAAATTACAATACATATTACTCCAGGCAGGAGTAATAATACCGTAAGCCTGTCAGAGAAGTGCTCTGAAAAGAAGTTCTTCAGAGAAGTTCTCCTAAAAAATGAAAATAAATATTTTTCTCAGAGTAACCTTGGGCATAATATTTGTATTCTGTGTTAACTTTAATATATTAATAGCATTTTAATGACATTTTCAATAGCACCTGAGAATAAGTTATGTTCTATGTATATATGTCAAAGTTACAGTATTTTTGTGGCCTCAATATACTACCAAATGTCCACAAAGATAAGGATTTTCATTTAATATGCACAGTCTTAAGTGCATCTCAGAAGAGTCTCTGTGTTAAGAAGAATGATTTTCACTAGATAAGTTAGATACAAATTGTCTGAGAGGAGGACTATTGGTTGTTCGTAGTCCAACATCAGAAAATGGGCATGAAAGAAGGGAAAAGAGGGATGAATGTTTAAAGCAAATTCTCCCTTAGGATTTTTCCGTAAGTTTAGCACATAAATTAAAACACAGGGGAGATGTCAAGGCTAGAGATGTACATCTGGGAGTCAGAAATTGCATAAAGAGAAGACAAATAAATAGGGAAATATGAAATCATGAGAAATTCTAACACTTAAGGGGCAAAAATAGGGAGGCTTTAAAATTGGCCAGAAAGGTAAAGGGAATAGAGACTTTATTTAACAGTACGGTCACTTAGATCAGGCTACATTGAGGTGATGACCTTTGACAAAGACCTGCAGGATTTAGAGAGCCAGCTATGTGGGCATCTGATATAACATCATCTCTAGCCTAAGGAACAATCAGGGCAAAGTCCCTAGAAGGAGTCTGGAAAGTTCAAGGAAGACCAAAAGGTCAGTACAGCCAGAGTGGAGTGGGCAAGGGTGGGAACCGAAAGAGATGAGGTGAAAGAAGTGATGGGAGAGGATGATGCAGGGACTTAAAGTCTCTTGTCTTGACTCTAGCTTTTGCTCTAAGGGATCTGGGATACTATTTCAGGGTTTTAAGCAAAGGAATGAAATACTCTGGCCACTGTGTTTGGAATAAGCTATAGGGCAGGCAAAGACAGATATAGAATAACCAGTTAGAACACTATTAGGTGAAAAATAATGTTGGCTCAGACTAAGATAATGATGGCTCAGAATAAGATGAACTGGAGGAAGTGAAGTGAGAATTGGCTGGATTGTGAATATATCTTAAAGGCAGAGCCATAGTTCCAATAGTTCTATATTAATTATATGTAGGATATAACAGAAAGAGAATAGTCAATGATTATTCCAAGTATCTTTGCCAGGAAAACTTCAAGAATTGAATGCATCGACTAAGATGGAAGAGGCTGTGAGTAAAGGAGGTTTTAGGTAGAAGTTCAGGATTGAGTTTTGGACATATTAAAATTGAGATAAGTCTTATATATTCAAAAGCAGATTTCAAGAAGGTAGTTGTTATGTAGGTCTGGTGTTTGGGTGATACATTTGAGAGTTGTTGGAATCACAGAGGGAGCTTAAAACTCTATAACTAGCTGAGAATAATAAAAAAGCAAGAGTAGGTCAGAAAGGGACCATTGGTTGAGGCCTGGAGTTTTCATCACCAAGAGTTTAGGGAGAAGAGTAACCATTAATAAAGATAGGAAAAGAGTGGCCAATGAAGTAGGAAGAAAACCAAGAAAGTGTGGTGGTCTAGAGCCTGACTGTACAAAATACACGTAGAAGGAGAGAGGGAAGGATCCAATGTGTCAGATGCTACCAACAGATCAGGAAGTGGCCTAAAAATTTGCAACTGGACTTAATAACATGGTAGTAATTTAGTGGACCTGACAGGCAAAGTTTCAGTGGAAGGGTGGTGGTGAGATCCTGACTGAAAACAACTCTTTCAAGGAACACCAAAGGCCAGTACCTTTTGGTGCTCTAGACTTCCCCTGTAAGCCTGTCCGATTTCTTTATAGCATTTACACAATGGCTGCAAAGATTTCTTTATAGCCATTTACACAATAGCTATAAAGAAATTGGCTTACAGGGCAAGTAGTGTAAAGAAAAGTTTATTTGTATTTTAAAACAGGAGAAAAATAGTATGCTTATATGTTAATGGGAACATGTGGAAGAATGAATGGGAAATGAAATAGAAATAGTGATGGTACAAAACTCACAAGAAGTTTAATCTGGAAGAAATAGAGAGTACAAGGAGTGTTTGTGCAGAGGGACCCCGAGTCAAGGGGAGGTTTATAATTTCTTTTTAGGGTAAGATAAACAAGTGTGGAAGAGAAAAAAGCCAGTAGAATTAAAGTGATTTAAGACAGGGAAGAAAAAGAAATTATACATAGTGCTAGTCTCAATGGAGATGAGAAGAAGGATTAAGAGTACAGATGGAGACTTGACCCATGCACAGAGTGATAACTGCTTCTCTAAACCCTAAAGGAGGGACAAGACAGAAGAGATGCAAGGTTAAAGCAAGGGAATAAAAGTGAGGATGTGTGCATTTTAGTGGTAATATAGAAAGTAAGGACAGCTGAGCAAGGGAGTGTACGTGCGGAGTTTAGAAAAGGAGTGAATTTTGGAATATTTGCTGAGAAGAAGAAAAAGGATCATGACTAAAGATACAAGTAAAGATGGGTTCGCTGGCTGAGATGAATGTCTACATGAAGTTAAAAAAATCTTACATTAATAGTGGCACCAACTCATATAGTATAGTGATTATTTTCTGCAGTTTTTCTTAAATAGCACGATTGTAAGAGGTAAGAAGGCAGATGGAGGATTGATCTAGGGTCCTGGCTTGCCAGGCAGATGCTTTAGAAATAAAAGAAGGCAAGAATTGATGTTGCTGGTGCTTGAGTTGTGGCACTGATTAACCATGAAGTCCAGGCTGTGTAGAGATGCAAATAAAGCCAAGAGAGGACAGACAGAAAAACAATAGAGGGCAAGGAATAGATGGTTCCTCAAGGTAGAAAAGCAAGTAGATGGCCGGGTGCGGTGGCTCACGCCTGTAATCCCAGCAATTTGGGAGGCTGAGGTGGGTGGATCATTTGAGGCCAGGAGTTCAAGACCAGCCTGGTCAAATGGTGAAACCCTGTCTCTACTAAAAACACAAAAATTGGCCGGGCAGTAGTGGCATGCGCCTGTTATCTCAGCTATTTGGGAGGCTGAGGGAGGATAATTGCTTGAACCTGGGAGGTGGAGGTTGTGGTGAGCTGAGATCATGCCACTGAATTCCAGTCTGAATGACAGAGTGAGACCTCTTCCCCCGGCCCACAAAAGGGGGAAAAAAAAAAAAAAAGTAAGGAAAAGCAAGTAGATGTGAAAACTGAAAGAGGTTGATGTGAGCCAATTCCAGATAACAATTTTAGGATATGGATAACTAAAGTGGAATATTGGGATAGTAAAGATGCCTTAGATTAGAGTTGGATGGGTCACTGATGCTTGAGTCACTGAGAGTATTGGCAGGATATATAGTAAGGAGGAAAATTGTGACAGAGGTATTCAAGCCTTCTTTTTTCCTTTTCAGCTCCTAAGTTGGCCTACAACCCATGGTACCATTCATGGTATTTGCTTAATCCTAATTGAAGGTCTACTACTAAGAGTTTGCTGATCCCTGATATAAATGTCCTCTTGGTGTGTGGTAATAATTCAGTTTCTTCCCAAAGCACCTAACCTATTTCTAAGGCAATAGTTAGAAAGAGGGAAAAAGGAAGTTTGGTAACTATTCCTGTAAGTACCGCTCCATAACAAACTATCCCAAAACATTTTGATGTAAAATAACCATTTCGATGTAAAATAACCATTTCAGTAAGTTCAAGGTTCTGAGGGTCAGGAATTGAGAGAGGGCTCTGCAATGTCTGGGACCTCAGCTGAGGCAACTCGATGGCTGATGGGGTGACTGGACATTTGGAGCTGGAATTATCAGGAGGTATCTTCATGTATGCCTGGTGGTTGATGCTGGCAGCTGGGACCTCAGCTGGGTCTGTCACCAACAAGTGGCTGCTTTTTCTTGAGACGTAGCTTCTCACAGCATGGAAGCCTCAGGATAGAAGACTTCTACCATTCTGGTTATGGGTTCCAAAGTCAGTGTTCCAAGAAAACCAAGTGGAAACTCTGACCTTTTCTGACCTGGCTTTGGGAGCTGCATAGTGTCATTTCTGATACTGGTGACAAGCAAGTCACTTAGGTGAGCCCAAATTGAAAGGAGAGGAACCTCACTTCTCAACTGATGAAGTGTCAAGAAAATTACAAACATGTTTTAGAGCTTCCAAGTGGCATTCACGGGGCTTCCTTAACCCGACCCCCAAGCCTAGTGTGTCCTGTCATAAATGTATACATAATTCCTTATGTATTATAAACATTTAATTCCTTTTCTAAACATCAAGCCTATTGCTAGATAGGAGATAAAAACAAAGGAGAAGAAAGTTTCATAACTAATGATAATATCTTTTTAAATTAAAAAATATAGAGTCTGTTAGTCTTCCCATCCATTTACTTACTTCCTCTGTTAAAGGATCTAAACAATTCTGAGCTCTTGTCTCATGAGAGGAAAATTTTGGGTTAAAAATGAACAGCCTGCCCTACTTTGATCTTCTAAAGCTAGAACATTGGGGAATCAAGGGGCAATGACAAGTGTTGAAGCTGCAAGGGCCTGGCAGGGCACAGGTTCTTCATGCCATCCCCCTTCCTGGCTTAGGAAAATGAGAGAAAAGCAGAGGAAAGAGGCTCTGATGGTGACGGCCCTAGACACAGAACACTCATCGTGCACTGCCTTACCAGACCCAGCCTTCGGGAGTGAGGAATACCCTAAGCGGGAATGGATACACAGTCAGTGTGGAAAGACAGTGTTATAATTAGTCTCAAGGGGATGTCTAGGTCCCACAGTGGCTTGAAAGAAACAGAATAGAGTTCTTTGCTTGTCAGTGTGGCATGGCATGAAAAGAGAGTTGTCATACTGTATAGCAAGGATGACATTGAGAACAAATGTCCCTAAGCCTTAGTATAAAGTAGCATCAAGCAAAGAAAGAAAACCCCCAAATTAATTGAGGCATAATTGATGTTCCCACCCCTCCCCATGAAATGAGTGCTTAAAATAAAATTTAAAATGAATTGAAGAAAGTTTAAACATATTTATCACACTTGAGCTATGAGCTAGACTCAAATCCATTTTGATTTTTTCAAAGCTATACATTGTATACATTGTACTGAATTTATTTTACCCCAAAGGCCATGAATGCTGAAGGACCTGAGGAAGGACCTGCTAATAATGTGCCAAAGCATAAAACAGATACCAGGTGAGATTTTGTTCATACTTTTCTTACATAGGTGGCTTTTTTTAAGAGTCCATTTTCTGAGGTCTTTTGCCTCACTTTTCCCTTCCCTCCAAAATAATCAGAGCTAGCCACAAAAATTACCCCTGATAAAAGTAAAAAAAATAAAAATAAAGCAGATAGGCTTCTTTGAGCTTCAGGATGAGGAGTAACATCGAGTTATAAACACCTTGAATGAAGGTCCTCTGTTTTATTCAGCTCTTAATTCCCACAGCAACATGCACAATGCCTTGTAAATCAAACATGCCTAGTAAAAGGGACTTGACTTAAACTAAACTGGAGCTTAAAAAATGAACCCTGTTCCATGAGGGTCAAGCAGGAAAACCTCTAGAAGTGCTAATGTTAAGCTACTTTGCTCTATTCACCTGCAAACAAGACTGGTTAACTCAGACTTTGGTTAGCCTCCCCGGATGATTTCCTTAAGAATCTCCAGGGCAGTGGCTTCCTGATGACAAGGTGACAAAGGTCAACCCCAGCATCTGCACAGCCAATATAAAGGTTCTGCCAGCTACTTCTCATTTCCTGTCAAGCCAAGGAACAAATTACGTGTCCCCAGGAGTTTCTTGACACAAGGCTGAGCTCATGACAGATATCTGATAAATTCTTGGGAATGTAAATTGAGTTATCTCATTGCAAAGCAACATTGGCAAGAAGGTAGGGGGCAGATAATATCAAATTTAGGCTGAATTCCTTTTTTTTTTTTTTTTTTTTTTTTGAGATGAAGTCTCACTCTGAAGCCCAGGCTAAAGTGCAGTGGTGTGATCTCAGCTCACCGCAACATCCGCCTTCGGGTTCAAGCTATTCTCTTGCCTCAGCCTCCCCAGTAGCTGAGATTACAGGCACACACCACAGTGCCCAGCTAATTTTTGTATTTTTAGTGGAGAGGGGTTTTCACCATGTTGGCCAGGCAGGTCTCAAACTCCTGACCTTAGGTAATCCTCCCGCCTTGGCCTCTCAGAGTGCTGGGATTACAGATGTGAGCCACGGCACCCTACCTAAATTAGGCTGAATTCTTAACTCTACCACCAGTGTGGACTTGGCAAACCTGTAAAATACGGCTAATGAAACACATCCTGAAGGGAGATGAAAGAGGTGATAAAAAACATATGGGAAATAACAGCCGCCACTGTGTATTGGATGCTATGGTCCTCCCTCAGGTCCCCACTGCAAGAATGAGAGATCCATTTCAGTTGCTTGTAGTGCTGGAACCTGAGTCCCTCGCCAGGAATTGCCCTAAGCTGAAGAGAGCCACTTTGCTCTAGGTCACATTCTGTGGAGCACGCTCTATATGGCACTGGCTGAGGCCCTTGCTGCAACTACATGGAAGCTCAACTCCTGTCTCTGACCAATCCACCTCTTTCTACTACCCCAGAGGTATTTGTCCTATAGGCACTCTCCAACAAACTTCCTGCTTGCAGGTCTCTCACAGCCTATTTCTGGAACTGACCTAAGACATACTTGTCAAAAGAAAATGATTCCTGTGACTCAAATAGAGATGAAAGACTTTATTGATGGAGCTCCTAAAGACCAGGTGGCTTCCAACTGAAGCAGTCAGGGTTTTTATAGGATAGTGGGCACTTGAGTACCTGGCCTTGAGGTTTTGGCTGGGCAGCAATTTAGCCAACTTTAACCCACACTCACAGTTGAACATCCTTCCTGTTTACATGTCCCTTGCTTAGAGTCCTTGGCATTACACAATCACAATACACATCAGAACATTTTTTACATTGTTTGGAAGCTTGTGGTTTATCAGCTAGTCAAAGTTTATGAAATGAGGGAATTAGATAGCAAACGAGAAAGAAAGTGGGACAAAGAAGGCAGTGGGAACATGAGGGAACATCAATGTTGGTGGGGTTTTTTTGTTTTTTTTTTTAGTCCTTTTACACACATATTGAGTACTAATCACATCTCAGACTCTGTGCCGAGGTTATGCATGCATTGTATTCAATCTTTTCCTTAATCACTAGGGGTGGGGATGCTTGGCTGCCATTTTCTGCTTAGATTTTAGGATCCACAGTGCTAATGAGCAAATGCCATAACAGAAAAGCCGCAGAGAACACGAGACTGAGGGTGCTCTCTGCTTGCTTCAGGGTTTTTGCCCTCAAGTCCTGACTGCCTTGGTTGTACTCTGAAGCCTACAGTTTTGTTTTGCTTTATGTATTTTATCCATATTTTATATCTGTTCTATGGTAAGAGGATGAGTTTGATATAAAGAACTCCACTGGACAGAGAAGGGAACTGAGGCTCAAATAGAGTAATTACTTAAGGCGAGGCAGCTTGCAAGCAATGAAGCTAGCAGAATCACCCAGAACTCCCTGATTCCAGTAACTATGCTTTTAACCTACTGGTTTAATTTAACTTACTGGCCACTTGCAAACTTCAGACTATAGTGGAAATTTTATGTTTTAATCGATACTTCTGAAACAAATTAGTTGATTAAATTATCCCATAAAATATAAATACGGCTGTACAATACTGTGTAGTGTTTTATGTTTAAAAGACCTTTGATTCAAACCATTATGCTTTACTTACTTGTTCTATTTTTAAATTATATCAGCATAAAAATAAAGGCATAGTCACTCAACACAGTAACCTATACTTAGCAATAAACATTAGGCAATTCTTAAACACACACAAGGAATTACTAGGACAACTGAAATAACATAAGCTTGCAACATGCCAAGAGGTCACATGGGTGGAAAGGGGATGGGAAAAGCAATTCTGTATTGTTTACTGCCACTTTTGTTGAAATAAACTCTGGATGTACAATTTTTCCTATGAAGAACTGTGGTTTTGCTGGTGGTTTTAATGAATCTGTGCAGCATATAATTGAGGGTTTTCCAGTTATGAAGAGAATTACTAATATGTACCCAAACACACTAAGAGGATAAGAACATTCAAGCACTGACTAGAACACTGGAAAATCTTAAATATAATAAAGATACTCAATAGAGGAAGAATAATTCTTCTTTTCTATTTAATTCATGTATGTGTTATTTTATGATTCAGTTTTAATAATGATTATTTGCTAAGGGACTCTTAGCACTTGACAATTCATCTCTGATATCTCTTTTAATACAGTTAGCAATCTTCTAGTTGAGTATTGTTATAACCTAATGTAAAGGCAGTTGTAGCTCCTAGATAAAGGTTTGATGCCACTTACTAGATGTGACTCTGGACATACTTAACCTCTATAATAATGCTTCAATTTTCTTATCAATGAGATAGAAATAATGATAAGACATGCTTCAAAAAATGTCTTTTGAAATTAAATATGATGTGTGAAATGTATGAATAATTAATAAGCATTATAATTCCATCTATTATATATGAAATGCTGAGTCTTTGGGAAGTTAATAACCCAGTTACACATGATTTGAATGTGTCAGAATTGTGAGTCACTCACTCACTCACTCACTCTCTGACCCCAGAATTTGTGGACTTAATGACTGTAGTGTATCTTCCTCCAAGTCTGGGGGTTGTATTTCTCCAATAAACAAATCAAGTGTTATAAGACAAAGCTAACAAGCACACCAAATCTTGTGTAATGAGTTAACTGGTGGCCCCCAACAGATACATTCATGTCCAAATTCCTGAAACCTATGAATATTACCTTGTTTGAAAAGAGTCTTTGCAGATATAGCAAGTTGAAGATCCTGATATGAGGAGATCATCCTGGATTATCTGAGCAGTTCCAAATTCCAATGATAAGCATTATTATATTGTGAGGCAGAGGGAGATTTGACCCATGAACCCATACAGAGGAGACCATGTGATGACTGAGGTAAAGATAAAAGTGACATGGCCACAAGCCAGGGAACACTGACAGCCATCAGAATCGGGAAGATGCAAAGAACAGAACTTTCCTGGAGCCTCTGGACTAGAAAATTATAAATCAAGCACTCCTGCTGATTGATGTCTTGATCTCAGGTGGTCCTGCTGAAACCCTGATCTTAGAATTTTGGCCTCCAGAACTGTGAGAGAATAAATTCCGTTATTTGTTATGACAGCGCTAGGAAACTAATACAACTTGTTTAGCATAAATTTAAATTTAAAATGTATGTGTTAATTTCCTCAACTCCCACTTCTATAATCTTGTCTAATACAGCTAATTTATAACAGCCTTGCCTTTCTCTAGGTTCTTTTTACAATGCAACCAGTAACTTAATATACATGCTGTTTGATTTTTGGCCAAATGTATCATACAAGTTAGGATTTTATCCTACTTTCTTATTTCTTCATGGTTAACTTTATCTCTCCAAGTAGGATGTGGATTCCTCTGAGCTGAAACTATCTACTGATTTCTTTATGGTACATTCACTTTGGCCCTCAATAAACACCTTTTTATTGATTGAGATTGGTCAAATAAATGGGAAACTAGAAACTTCTATAAATATATAATATAAAAACAAGGGACACGCAGGAAAGAGTAGAGGCTTTGATGTCAAACAGACCTGATTTTTAATCTTGTTTCAGCTATTTACTAGCTTTGTGACTTGGTGTCAATTACTTAGACCCTGAATTTCAATTTCCTCATCTGTAAGCAATGATAACCCTACTCTTTAAAGCCATTGAAAGGAATCACAACCTGTGTTGTTTAGATATTGATTTTTTTTCTTCCCAGAATACATTCATACCTTTGTGGTAATAGGGTAGGGTGCCCTGTGATGATAGCCAAGGTGCCAAGGTTGGGAAGCCCTGCTGCAGAGGAAACAGCACAGCACACTGTAATCTCCAAGAAGTAAGTGGCATTATTTAGAGTAATTAATACATGTGTTTTGAATCAGTTAATTTACTCCAGAAGGAAAATAAATAAGACAATGATTGCCACAAAGGATAAGAAGTATTTGAATTCTTTCTCAGCAATGTGCCTACCAATGGCTGATCAATGTGCTTAAGCCATGTGTTGCTCTGGGTCTTTGATGGTTTCTTTGAAACATTACATTAATCAACAGTACCCTTCCTCTTTTCCTTAGCCCTCCCTATGTCCTCAATTTCTTCATTTGAAAAAACCCTCTTGTCCTTGAATGCGCTACCACATCTCTAACGAATCTCTGGCATCAATTGATCTCCCTTTAGGAAATGACCTAATCAACAAGATCATTATATATGAAACCAAAAAAAGGGGAGGAGCAGACAAAACCAAATATTATTTTACGTTCCAAGTAATCTATTCTCTATTTTCCTTTCTTTGTAACTCTTTTGCCCATCAGCAATATGTGGTTTCAATAATGATGGGGATAATGAGATGAACTTCAGGACAGGTTACAAAGCGAATAAATAATCAGAGAAAAAAATAAGACCTTCACTTTGGAAGGAATCAATTTGGCTTGTATGATAATGAAGCTTCATTATTTGACTGGTGATTGGTAACTAAGGGAGCTTTATTAAAAATGAGTCTCTGGCATAATATCCAGTTCTTGCAGTGGAGTGGCAAAGGTTTCATATCTTGGGTCCTCTTGCCTGAGGATTTTTGTTTGTTTGTTTGTTTGTTTTGAGACAGAGTCTCACTCTGTCACCAGGCTGGAGTGCAGTGGCGCGCACTCGGCTCACTGTAATCTCCGCCTCCCAGGTTCAAGCAATTCTCCTGCCTCAGCCTCCCGAGTAGCTGGGACTACAGGCAAGCACCACCATGCCCAGCTAATTTTTTTACTTTCAGTGGAGACGGGGTTTCACCATGTTGGCCAGAATGGTCTCGATCTCTTGAGCTCGTGATCCGCCCGCCTCGGCCTGCCAAAGTGCTGGGATTAGAGGCTTGAGCCACCGCGCCCGGCCTCCTGAGGATTTTTTAAAAATTATTTTATAATCTGGCAAACTGTAGTGATCTACAATTTATATGATTAAAAGGTTCTTAAAAGCCTAGTGGGTTTCACCAAACTCTGACAGTTTTAAATAATCCACTCAATAGAGAAACACTAAATGAAACTGCAGGATAAAAATAGCTTTAAATAATTTCCTAGCACCGGAGACATCTCCTAGTAATTATTTTCACTGGTTAGGATGGTTAGGATAGTTACTATCTCGATTGTCTTTAAAGAACAACTATAAACTCATCTTAATTCCTTTAAACAATGTCCAGATTTGTGAAATGTTTGGTTATTTTCTGAGCTAACTGTATCCAAATGAATATTTATTGTTAACTAAAATGATCTTTCGTAATGCTCTGCCACAGTCAAATTCAAGAATGCAAGAAACAGCCCCTATTTTTCATTACCACTATTGACAATAGGCGAGATAAGGGCGTATCCTGGAGATTAGAGTTCATTGGATCTACCAAAAGCAGTAATGTGGGGATTATCAATGTAGTTCTCCCTCCCTGAGGAAGAAACAGCTAGAGATTTTGTAGATAGTGATTTTCTCAAAGAGGCATCCTGGAAAGAGGATAGTGGGACCAACTCATTTTCACCTCTAACTTCTGCTCACTGGCTATTTGACCTTGGGAAGTTACTAAAGTTCTCTGAACCTAAGTTTCCTCATCCATAAAATGGGAAAATAATATGAAAATAATAATGTCTCTCCTATTTTCAGCTCAGCATTGCTAATATTCAGAAGGGAATGTAGTGTTTGTAAAAACACTTTTAAAAGTTGTACCAAGGTCAATTGCTATAATAATTAATAGTTATGGGTGACAAAAAGATATAGTTGATTCATCTGTTTAGACTGAAGTACATTTCACTTACTGTAGTTAAATTGCTCTTTGATGATAACTATAATAACTCAATAGTTGTTTTGTGTGTGTGCCAAACAACCAAGTTACCGTCAGCATGCTACAGTTTTCAGTGAATTGCTTTCCATTGTCTCATAAGTTTGGGAACCAAAAATCCTGGGGTTAAATTCCCAATCTGTCACTTACTAGATATAGAACATGGTATAAACCAATTGAGCCTTCATTTTCTCACATGTATATAGTTTATAAAGCACATAGAGTATTGCAAAGAAGAGCAAATATTATACAGAATTTATTATGCCTGGCATAATGTGAACACTGGATAAATGTTAGAGTTTTACAGAGACATCACCAACGTACTCAGAATTAGCTCTAATTATATTTTCTTCAATTTTCCATTGCAGACATGGTCCAAATGCATAATGCCATGAACTGACAATAATCAAGCAATGAATAATATTCATCATGGTCTTTTGGCTGCCAAAATCAATCAATCAATGTGTAAACTTTCTTACCTAATATTTGCTCTGAATGACTGCTTCTCATTGAAAATTCCTGTCCTACCAACATTCCGATTCCACAACCAGAACCCACAGTTAATTGAGCTCATAATACTGGTAAGCAAGTACCAAAAAAGTTATCTCTTCAGCCAGAAAAAAATGCCACAAATGTTCACCACAGTTAAATATATACAAGCATTATTCCTTGATATCTTGCAGAATCAACTAAATATAACAGCTGAGGCTTAAAAACTCACTTTCTCTGTAGAAGGACCTATTTTGGTTATGCTTGGATTTCCACTGAACAGCATTTGGCTTTGTTTTACTAACCACACACTGTCTGTTGCCATCCTCTCTCTAAGTCTACCCACAGAAATGTGAATGCTTCCACTAATGGTAAACCACCAACATCAATGCAAGCACAGCAATAATTCCACAGCCAGCCCTAGATCTTAGTACTCTAAAGGGAAGAAATCAAAAGGTTTTCAGAACATAATTTATTGACACTTAGGGTTTTCACCAACTCTGTTATGCCTGTTCAGGCCACCAAAGCAGACAAGTTGATTGAAACTTTTTTTTAGCATCTCTACATGATTGTGATTACATTCATGTCAAAAAATATTTTGTGAATTTTTATTTTGGGGGTTGTAGGATAGCAAGATGGCATCGATATTTTGGGCTTGCCCAGGATGCTATATTTGGAATGTTTAAATTTTTCAAATGATTGAAAAGCAATTAATCTCCATCATGTAGGGAAACCTAGTCATGTTTACTACACCTGACGTTCATATACTTGCTAGGTAAGCATCTAGATTGAAGTAAAAACCAATATTATTATATTTATGTATTCCTAGTGAAAACATTTTGTGTTTTTAAGGTGTTTTAGGTGTTTAGGACAAATTCTAAAGTAAGAGAATTGTTTTATTTGGTGGCTTTTATCTTTCTTCACTCTTCCCCCAAATGGGCATGGTTCTATAATCACCATAATTCTCCCACGGTTGCCAAGATAAGCGTGCACGCGTGTGTGCGCGCACACACACACACACTTTCTCTCTCTTCTCAGAACCTGGCACAAGCCTGCAATTACTTAAACTCAATATCTCTATCATTTCAGGTATAATTTACATAAAGTCAAAATACACAAGTCTTAACTGTATAATTCCATCAGTTTTGGTAAATGTAGACACCACACCTCTATCAAAATATGGAGCATTTTCATCATCCTAGAGGGTTACCTCATGCCCCTTCCCAGGCAGTCCCACCCTTGCTTCCCATTCACTCACAAAAGCAGCCACTGCACCATGGAATAGTTTCATCTCTTCCAGAATTTCATCAGAATGGAATCATAAGTATGAAATTACTCATTTTGTATCTTGCTTCTTTCACTTAGCATGTTTTTGAGATTCACGTAATAGAAGTTCTGTCTTATTGCTAAGTAGTTTTCCATTACATGAATATTTTACAGTTTGTTTATCCATTTTCCTCTAGATCGACTGATTGGGCATTATGAATAATGCTGCTATGAAAAGTCTTGTACAAGGTTCTGTAGACGTATTATGTCTCTTGAATACTCAGAAGTTGATTTGCTGCCACACTAGTAGATGTACATTTAACTGCTAAAGTAAACTGCTGTTTTTTGTTTTTTGTTTTTTGTTTTTTGTTTTTGAGACGGAGTCTCGCTCTGTCGCCCAAGCTGGAGTGCAGTGGTGCGATCTTAGCTCACTGCAAGCTCCGCCTCCCGGGTTCGCGCCATTCTCCTTCCTCAGCCTCCAGAGTAGCTGGGACTACAGGCACCTGCCACCATGCCCGGCTAATTTTTTGTATTTTTAGTAGAGACGGGATTTCACCGTGTTAGCCGGAATGGTCTGGATCTCCGCCCGCCTCGGCCTCCCAAAGTGCTGGGATTACAGGCGTGAGCCACCGAGCCCGGCCAGTAAACTGCTTTTTAAACAAACTACTGAACAGTTTTCCAAAGTGGTCATATTAGGTTGGTGCAAAACTAACTGCAGTTTTTCCCATTAAAAGTAATGGCAAAAACCAATATTATTTGTTTTCTTTCCCCCAGCAATATATGAGTGTATCTGTTGTTCCATACATATGACAGGATTGGCTTTGATAATCTTTTTTATTTTAGCCATTTTAGTGGGTACGTATCTCATTGTGATTTTAAATTGCCTTTCCCTTGTAAATATTTATGCTGAATACTTTTTTATGTGTTTATTAGTCATTCATACACACACATATTCACACGCATATACATATAATCTATTATATTACATATTTATTATATAGATGTTTGTGACATATCTGTTGAAGTCTTCTGCTGATATATATACATATATACGCACATATATGTTGTGTCTATGTGAGCTATTTGTCTTTTTATTATTGAGTTTTAGAAGTATTTTTGATATGAAAAGTCCTTTGTCACATATGTTTTATTAATATTTTCTCCAAATCTGTGGCTTATTTATTTTCTTATTGGTGTCTTCTGATAAGAAGATTTTAATTTAATAAAGTCTAATTCATTAATTTTATTACTTTCCTGGTTAGTACTTTTTATGTTCGCTTCATAACATCTTTGCCTATCCTGAGTTTGTGAAGATATTTATTTTTGCTTCTAGAAGCTATGCAGTTTTAGCTGTTATGCTTAAGTCTATGTTCCATCTTGAATTAATTTTTGTGTCTTGTGTGTCTGCATCAAACTTGACTATCCTGCTATGGTTTGCATATGGCTAGTTTGTCCCCATCAAAGTTCATGCTGAAATTTAATCTCCAATGCTGCAGTGTTGAAAGGTGGGGCCTCATGGGAGGTGTTTGGGTTGTGGGTAGGTAGATTTTAAAATCTTCTGATTGGCAATTGGTTGAAAGAACTATTATCAATAGAAAGGAATGTCTGGGTTGTGATAAGGGGTTGTAGAGACCAAATTTTATCATGCAGATGAAGCCTCCAGGTAGCAGGCCTTAGAGAGAATAGATTGTAAATGTTTCTTAACAGAATTAAGGTCTGTGTTGATGTGAAAGGCTTTGCGGCTTTTCCTGAATTCCAAAAGGAAGGAGGGTATAATAAGGCACATCCGACCTCCCACTGCCCTCCACAATCTGAACCAGTCTTTCAGGTTAAATTTGGAGTGTCCTGGTTGAGAGGAGGGAGTCCATTTAGATGGCTGAAGGGCGACCTTTGCATTTTACTTTTGGTTTGCAAAGTAGAATGGGCATCATAATAGAAGCTACCTCAGAAGGCTGTTGTGAGGGTTACACGGGTCAGGACTTGTTCTGGCACACAGTAAGTGCTGTGAGTCTGTGCTGCAGCTGTTGTGCATATTGCTCCTTTAAATGCATTGAGCACTTCATTTTACACAGACCTAAAGGATCTAGGTCCCTCTTTAGAGTGGGTGCAAATCAGGGCCCCAGAGCTGCAGTTTGTTAGATATAAGGCTTGAGTTTATCTTTGAAGGATTCTTTAGATAGGGAATAATGTAGAGCCAATATAGACACATAATCTTAAAATAGATCAGCATCCAATCTATTTTCATCTCAGTATTGGCTTTTCCTGCCGAGTGCCCTCTATGCTCCATTCTTGTTCATCTGCAGTGCTGATAATACCGGGGAAAAGAGGGAACTGCTTTTATCTAAGATGACTGGCTGCCTTTGGGAAAGGAAGATAGAGGAATAAGTTAAAATCAACTCACTTTTGTAAGAAAAATGTGTTATTTATAATCCCTTACCTATTAATTTATATTTATTTACATTTAATCCCCAAACAACTCTAAAAGATAGATTTGCAAACAATATTTCCCCCTTGAATTTACAGACAAGGAAACTGAGACAGGGAGAGGTTGAAATATCACCCACACATTCATAGGCTGTAAGTAGTCTACATGGGACTGGAATCAAGTTTTTCTAACTTTAAGACCAGTTGTCTTTAAACTGTGTCATCAGATACCATGTTTGAATTTGTGCTTCTCCATCCAGTGGCTGCCTCTCAAAGTTGTTCTCAGGATTAATACATAACAGAGTTGAAAGCACCTAGCTCAGAACCTGACATTGGAAATGCTCTTAAAGTATGAGCTAAATCTGAATGTAATCAGCTTCAGGATGATGGGATAGAGTAATATTTGAACAAAATACTCTACAATGAAAAGTTCCCATTATCTATATTTCCCAGTCAATAAAGGACTAACTAGAAAACCTTTTTCTCAATTTATTTTAGATAATAATCTTTCTTCCTTTGTTTAAATAATGAGTCATTGAACTTCCTGCCTTAAGCAATAAACTGCAGTACATTTTTTCCCTCCTTTAAGGCTTGAAGTTTTATTTTGGTGTTTTCTGAATATCAGTAATTTTGAAGTATGTGACCCCAAATTATTTACGAAAAAGATGTAAATATTTGAGCTTCATGTAAACAGGTCCCAAGGTCCATCCTAATTTTTTAAAATAAATCCAAAATTAATTTATTTGCTTGGTTTGGCTTTTTTCAGATAATATGAAAAAAAAATCTAGGCAATTAACAGTTTAGTTTGTTTGGTTTAAGATAATCAAGCTTTACCGTGCTAAACAGATAGCAGCAAGGGGGAACGTTTCAAGGAGTGGTGGATTAACATTGCGTATGTTTTAACTTGGAGGATCCTGTTTTGATTTTATAGCACATTCAGATATCCAGCCTTGAATTAAGCTGTTGCTAAAGCTCAGGATAAATGTTCTCAACAGCAAAAGCAAGCACAGATGTGTGGGAAGCTATAGGTGTCCAGGCTGAATGGGATTAATGTTAGATGCCCAGTGTCAGTAAACAAACTCCAATTAAAATAAAAGAAAAACAAAAATGCAAATGAACTATCAGCACCATAACAGAAGATAAGATGAAGATTTGTCTAGGGTCATCACAGATGAATTTACCTGGATACACACTTCTTTCTGATGGGTTTCCTTCAAAGGCCCAAGTTCCTACTCCACAGTCTCTTCCTCACAGCGGTAGATAAGCCCCAGTCAGTCTTTAAAAATGGAGCCCTCCAATCCAAGATGTGATACTGTCATAACCTTTCTAGAAGTAGCAGCTCCAGCTGGAAAATCAGCAGCCCTCCTCCTAGTAGATTAATATATGAGCCGAGTGTTGTGCCTGCAGCCAGAACATGTGTGAATGACCCTAACCCTGAGGTCGTGTAAAAGCACTTGTTTTACCCGCCATTGGGTATGTCTAGAAATTCACATGATGTTTACATAAAATCCTTGTTGATAGGAACCACTGACATGTACATATGTTCCTATGTTCTCACGCTCCCCCATCATCACTGAAATCTATTGCCATGGTGGCAGATTACTTTTATGACAATTCTGTTTCCCAAAGTTCCCAGCCTTGTAAACCCAGAGAGTGTTTTCATAGCAGATACATACTCTCTCTTTTATTTCTTTCTGCCATGAACTGGTCCAAGGCACAATTTCTTCTTGTAGCCCACCTGGGGGAGTTTCACATGCTCCGCTGACGCTGCTAAGGCATTTACCTGCTTGTTTTAAAGTCCATTTAGTATAATGACATCTCACTTTCTATGGCTTCACATCTTCCCTGCTTTGTAAAAAGGTAGCTTATATTTGCTTTCCTGGTACGGCCTTGACAAATATCAAAATGATTAAGAAAGGCTGGAGGGATAGGGGACAGAGATAAAGAGAGATTATGGGGGCTGGGATGAAAGGGAGAGAGAGAAGAAAGAAAACTGGAGGAATGAGGAAAGAGACAGTGTGAAGGAGAGGAGGAGGAGGAGGAGGTGGAGCCAGGCCAGAGGAAGAAGAGGTAGAAGGGAAGAGAAGAGAGAAGCTGTAGAAAGAAATAGATACCAGCTCAGAAAATTTAAAGGTCTAATTTTGTGCTTAAATTCCTAGAAAGGGAAAACAAAACAACGACTTAAACTCTTAAACCCCCTTGTTGACTAGGTGGCTTTCCACTAATGATAAATTCTAGGCCTGGGGTTTGGTAAAAGAGAATGCAAACCAAGGAGAAAATTTAGATTACACAAGTAAATGCATTCCCAGGCTGGGAAGTTGCAGTGTATTTCACGGGGGAAATCATGAAAAATATTGCTTGTAGTTACAGTGCACATTATTTAAAGTATCCAGAAACAGAAACATGATAGGGTATAATTTTCATGTATTCTTACTACAAATAAATTTATACAGTGAATAAGTTATTCTGAGCAGATACGTGGTGAGGATTGGAGTCAGCATGGGATAGTTAAAACATTAAACTAGATGGGTAGAGTTAGATATACTGTACTTGCATTTGAATATACTTACTAAGCTATATGACCTTAGGCAATTAAGTTATCTGAGTCTCAGTTTTGTATATCTGTAAAATATTGCCAATAATATTTGTGCGTATCCACAATAATGATAGTAAGTATCAGCCGGGTGCAGTGGCTCACGCCTGTAATCCCAGCACTCTGGGAGGCCGAGGTGAGTGGATCACCCGAGGTCAGGAGTTCAAGACCAGCCTGGCCAACATGGTGAAACCCCGTCTCTACTAAAAATACAAAAAATTAGCCGAGGACAGTGGCAGATGCCTGTCATCCCAGCTACTCAGGAGGCTGAAGAAGGAGAATCGCTTGAACCCAGGAGGCAGAGGTTGCAGTGAGCCAAGATCACACCATTGCACTCCAGCCTGGGCAACAAGAGTGAAACTTCATCTGAAAAAATAAGTTAATAATAATAATAATAATAGTAAGTATCTTAGAGAGTTGTTATGAGAATTTAAACCCAAAAGGGTTTGAATACTACAGTGGTTTGAACAGTGTTTCCCTAAGAATTTGTTTCCACCTATAACTTCAGAATGTGACCTTATTTGGAAACAAGCTCTTTGCAGGTACAATTAAGATGAAATCATAGTGGCTTAAGATGGGCCTTAAACCCAGTGACTGCTGTCCTTATAAGAAGAGGAGAGGACACACAGAGAAGGAGAGAAGGCCGTATAAAATAGAGGTGGAGATCGGAGCTATCCTGACACAACTCAAAGAACACCAAGGACCACCAGAAGCTGGAAAAGACAAGTAAGAATTCTTCCCTGGAGCCTCCAGAAGGAGTGTGGTCCTGCTAACACCGTGGTTTCAGATTTCTGGCCTCCAGAACTGTGAGAGAATAAACGGTTGTTCTAAGGCATGAAGTTTGTGGTAATTTGTTACGGCAGCCCAAGAAAATCAATACAAGTGAATAATAAGTACCCAATAAAAGTCAGCTCAACATCATGTGAGTTTTAATCTATATTCTGGGTACTACCTTGCAGTTCTTGAATTGGTAACTTAAATTGGTCCTACTTTAACAGTTTTAACCTCTCCAGGTCTCAGCTTCAGCCATTTAGTCCACTTTTTTATTCTCCAAACCTGAGCTAAGGGGGATCCTGCATATTCTCCCATTAAATCTGCCTTGGCTGTGAGCCCCGAATTACCTGTCTCAGCCTATCCAATTCGTTTATCCATTTGATACTTATCTATTAAGCAACTACTATGAACCAGTCAGTATGTAAGGAACCAGGTATAAAGCAGTGAATGAAACAAATTTCTCTTTTCATAAGAAATACTTTCTGGTGAGAAGAAAAAAAAGGTAAACAAGTAGGCTAGTGAATATATATCAGATGGTGAGGTGGTTAGTGCTATGTAAACAAAATAAGGCAGAGACGGAGCTATGCAGAGCTAGGGCAGGGTGAACTAATGTTGGTGGGTCAGGGATGATCTTTCTGATAAGGTGGTATTTTAGCAGTGACAAGAATGAAGTAAAAGAGGAAGTCCTTCTGACATCTGGGAGGAGAAAGGAAAGAAGAAATGGGGGCTCAGTCACCTACAACCGTGTAAGCCATGACTTGGACTTGGATTTTTGCACTGAGTGATATGGGAAACCAGAAAAGGGTGCAGAATAGAAGACAGCATGATCTGCCTTATACTTACTTTTACTTTCAGTTCTGGGATACATGTACAGAATATGCAGGTTTGTTGCATAGGTATACATGTACCATGGTGGTTTGCTGCACCTATCAACCTGTCATCTAGGTTTTAAGCCCCACATGCACTAGGTATTTCTGCTAATGCTCTCCCTCCCCTTGCCCCCCACCCACCAACAGGCCCCAATGTGTGATGTTCCCCTCCCTGTGTCCATGTGTTCTCATTGTTTAACTTCCACTTATGAGTGAGAACATGCGTGTCTGGTTTTCTGTTCTTGTGTTAGTTGGCTGAGAATGATGGCTTCCAGCTTCATCCATGTCCCTGCAAAGGGCATGAACTCATTCTTTTTTATGGCTGTATAGTATTCCATGGTGTATATGTGCCACATTTTCTTTACCCAGTCTATCACTGATGAGCATTTAGGCGGGTTATAAGTCTTTGCTATTGTAAATAGTTCCACAATAAACATGTGTGTGCATGTGTCTTTATAGTAGAATGATTTACAATCCTTTGGGTATATACCCAGTATTGGGATTGCTGTGTCAAATGGTATTTCTAGTTCTAAATCCTTGAGGAATCACCACACTGTCTTCCACAGTGGTTGAACTAATTTACACTCCCACCAACACTGTAAAAGTGTTCTTATTTTCCCACAGCCTTGCCAGCGTCTGTTGTTTCCTGACTTTTTAATGATCGCCATTCTAACTGGTGTGAGATGGTATCTCATTGTGGTTTTGATTTGCATTTCTCTAATGACCAGTGATTATGAGCTTTTTTTCATATGTTTGTTGGCCGCAAACATGTCTTCTTTTGAGAAGTGTCTGTTCATATCCTTTGCCCACTTTTTGATGGGGTTGTTTTTTTCTTGTAAATTTGTTTAAGTTCCTTGTAGATTCTGGATATTAGACCTTTGTCAGATGGGTGGATTGCAAAAATTTTCTCCCATTGTGTAAGTTGCCTGTTCACTCTGCTGATAGTTTCTTTTGCTGGGCAGAAGCTGCTTAGTTTAATTAGATCCCATTTGCCAATTTTGGCTTTTGTTGCAATTGCTTTTGGTGTTTTAGTCATTAGGTCTACTTATGACAAACACATAACCAATATCATACTGAATGGGCAAAAGCTGGAAGCATTCCCTTTGAAAACTGCCACAAGACAAGGATGCCCTCTCTCACCACTCCTATTCAACATAATATTGGAAGTTCTGGCCAGGGCAATCAGGCAAGAGAAAGAAATAAAGTGTATTCAAATAGGAAGAGAGGAAGTCAAATTGTCTCTGTTTGCAGATTACATGATTGTATATTTAGAAAACCCCATAGTCTCAGCCCCAAAACTCCTTAAGCTGATAAGCAACTTTAGCAGTCTCAGGATACAAAATCAATGTGCAAAAATCACAAGCATTCCTTTACACCAACAATAGGCAAGCAGAAAGCCAAATTATGAGTGAACTCCCATTCACAATTGCTGCAAAGAGGATAAAATACATAATAATATAACTTGAAGGACCTTTTCAAGGAGAGCTACAAACCACTGCTCAAGGAAATAAAAGAGGACACAAACAAATGGAAAAAAAATTCCATGCTCATGGACAGTAAGAATCAATATTGTGAAAATGGCCATACTGCCCAAAGTAATTTAGATTCAATGCTACTCCTGTTAAGCTACCATTGACTCTCTGGGCAGAATTTGAAAAAACTACTTTAAATTTCATATGGAGCCAAAAAGGAGCCCGTATAGCTAAGACAATCCTAAGCAAAAAGAACAAAGCTGGAGGCATCATGCTACCTGTCTTCAAACTATACTACAAGGCTACAGTAATCAAAACAGAATGGAACTGGTACCAAAACAGATATATAGACCAATGGAACACAATAGAGATCTCAGAAATAACACCACACTTCTACAACCATCTGATCTTTGATAGATCTGATGAAAACAAGCAATGGGGAAAGGATTCCCTATTTAATAAATGGTGCTGGGGAAACTGTCTAGCCATATGCAGAAGACAGAAAATGGACCCCTTCCTTACACCTTATACAAAAACTAACTCAAGACGGATTAAACACTGAAGTGTAAAACCCAAAACCATAAAAACTCTAGAAGAAAACCTAGGCAATACCATTCAGGACACAGGCATTGGCAAAGACTTCATGATCTGCCTTATACTTTAAAAGAATCCCTCTAGCTACTGTTTCAAGAACATATTTTAAGCAAGGAACTTCAAAACAAGAGCAGTTAGGGTGTGATCATAAGAGGTCCAGGCTAAATACTGTTTCTTACTCCTTTCTCACTCTTTCTTCAGACTTGTGGTAACAGGCAGGTAGAGTGGAAATATTCATTAGAAGTTACTGGAGTCTGTTTATATTTTGCAGAGAAAGCCAATTGGAAATTTTTATAAATCATTATGGTTTCTGAGAGAAACAGAAATTAAGGAACCCTCCAAGTGTTTTACTGAGATAGGAAAGACTGGAGGAGTAGAGGAAGGAGATAGTTTAAATGTGAGGAATCCAACAAGCTGTGGATGTGAATTGATGAACTAACTTCCCTTCCCTTGCCATTATGACCTGGCTTTCAGCTGGTAGAATCCAACCTCGTCCAGCAATGTTACAGGAATTTAACTCTTTTATAAAACCTTTTATAAAAACTCTTCTATAAAACCTTTTATAAAAACTCTTCTATAAAAGCTTTTATAAAAACTCTTCTATAAAACCTTTTATAAAAACTCTTTTATAAAACCAGGCCCAGCTGTGCCTTTCTAAAGCACACTGTCTTAAATATGCATTTTAATTTTTAAACATTATATTATCATGTAGGCCCTTAGAACATCAAGTACACAATGTTCCCCTAAAACAAAAACAGAAAACGAATCATAGCACCCTTTTCTTTTTCATTGCTGTCTAATTCCCACCTGTGTGTAGGAGCTATAACAAGTAAAGCTGGCAGACCATTTTAAATGGGAATGGACCTCCCCAAATCCAAGCCAAATCCAGATCTGTAAAGACAGAGCTTATGGAAGTGATAGGGCCAAGTACTGAAGACAGATCTGAGCATCTTGCACTACCACTGATTTTATTTGTCTGCTACTTTGAAACAAGGAAGCTAAAAAGCTCTCTCTTGCCCAAAGTCACCAACCCATTTGCTTTGCCGGGTACCTGAAAAAGCATGTAAAAAGGGTTGCTGACTTTGGGTAAGAGTGAGCTTTGTAGCTTCCTACAAACAAGAGCACAAGCAGTTAAAAAGTAAAATATTGCCAGTGGTTTTGTGGGTGAGCTGGGGAGGGAGGGGGAGACAGGGGGATTATACAGCATGATTTTTCACACCAACTCTGTCTTTAGTAGACAATTCCTTAAGCCATGAGAAATTCTTCAGGGAAGCAGGGCTACTAGTACGAGGTCCTAGGTGGTAATCTTTTGCAACTCCCCCCGCAAAAAAATGGATAGAGAACAGGGGACTGCTGAGAAACATATGTTCTTCAGGGAGTCTTGCAAGTCTTGCTGTAAACTCTGAGCCAACCCAGCTGTAAGGGAGCAGAGGTCAAGACTTCACAGAAAGCCAGATGCTGAAGCTAGCACATATTGTTTCACAGACATATATATGTATGGATATGTGTGCTGAATAAATATATACATCAATGTGTGTATATACACTGGCAAATGCCCTTCCCAGCTTCCCATCCTTTTAGGTAAACTGAAGGAGGAAGGGAAGATTTCCTGTGAAAACAACGTATAACTCTGCTCATCTGGTTAATGTGTGTGTCTGGATTCAATATAACCAAATGAAAAGAATGAACAGGGAGAAAGCTTTTGTGATATTAAAAAAAAAAAAAACACCTTTACACAGAGTATTCAATCTAACTGAATTCAATTTCTGACTACTATTTCTTGGCACTATTTGATACTATGTGCAATGTAGAAATAATTAAAAGACCAGTTACTTTTATCCATTTATAAACAGCATGACCTTGAGAATGGTATTTAATCTCCTGGAGAAATAACTGAGTGGGAGCATTTTGCTATTCCATCCTTATTACAGTAGATACTTAACAGGGATGCTCACAATATGACATAATAGAAAGAGCAATGGGCTTGGATTGCAGGCCCAACTCTGCCCCTAGTTTGCTGTGTTACTTTGACCAATTCATCTCATCTTTGTCTCTGCCCCCACAACTATTGCTAGAAAAGGGATAGTTTCCTCTTCTATGAAATAAAGTGGTTGGATTAGAAAAAGGGTCAGAAAATAAAAAGAACTGATTGGGTTCCAAGTATTCCACCAGGGCATGAGACACCTGTCTACAGGAGGCGAGGACTCTCATCGGTGGCCTACTGCTGCCATATGACAACAAAATCTGTTCTAATTTTTCAAGAAAGGGTGGCCATCTGTATTCTTATATGATACTAATTATTTTTCTTTTTTGAGACAGGTATATTACTCTGTTCTCATGCTGCTAATAAAGACATACCCAAGATTGGGTAATTTATAAAGGAAAGAGGCTTAATGAACTCACAATTCCACATTGCTGGGGAGGCCTCACAATCATGGTGGAAGACAAAGGAAGAGCAAAGAGAATTCTTACATGGTAGCAGGCGAGAAGAGCTTGTGCAGGGGCAGTCCCATTTATAAAACCATTGGATCTGTTGAGACTTATTCACTAACATGAGAGCATCATGGAAAAGACCCACCCCCTCCAATTCAATTACCTCCTACCAGGTCCTTCCCACAACATGTGGGAATTATGGGAGCTACAATTCAAGATGAGATCTGGGTGGGGAGTCAGTCAAACAATATCAACAGGGTCTCATTCTATTACCCAGGCTGGAGTTAATGGCATGATCATGGCTCATTCCAGCCTCAATCTTCCGGGCTCAAAAGATCCTCCCACCTTGGTGTCCTGAGTGGTGTGCCTGCCACCACATCAAGTTATTTTTTGTATTTTTTGTAGAAATGAGGTCTCACCATCTTGCCCAGGCTAGTCTCAAACTCCTGGGCTCAAGCGATCCTCCTGCTTTGACCTCCCAAAGTGCTGAGATTACAGGTATGAGCTACCACACCCGGCCCTAAGCAATTCTTAAAATACCATAAAGGACAAACAAAACCCTTCTGTGTGTCCAATCCTTGCCCACAGGCTGACAGGCTGCCAGTTTGCAATCTCAGGACTGAATGACTCATAAAGTTTCTTTTATTTCAAACAATGTGTAAGATTTTGGCATAGATATCTCAAGAGTACCCACATACCTCCTGCTGCTGAAATAAATTATGTTAGCAAATTGTGTCAGGGGGCCTTCCAAGGGTCACTCACTGCCTTGCCTAAAGCTCTTTTGAAGCCATGCTGCCTAGTTCCATGTCCAGAGGAATCTCTAAGCTGCCTTGTGGCATTCACAGCTCTACAGAAGTCAGCAACGCTGCCTATAATTTACAAGAGAACATCTCCTGACCTGGTCATTGAATCTTCTCTCAAAGTCTGTGACTCCACATCCAGCTACAACTGTGGAGGCTACTTTTGCCTCCCTGGGAAAAACTCAGGGACCTTTAAATAACTCAGCAGCACTCAAATCCCAGAAGATCTAAACATTCTGTGTATCAGAATTGTTAAAATAACTCATTGGGAGGTCATTAGATTGTAGGTACTCCAGCATCCTGAGTTTCTACATAAGTAAACCAAAACCCAACTCAGAAAGAATTGTGATAGCCTAGGAAAACAAAACTTAAGTTTAACCAATCAGAAACTGCCAATTAACCTCTTTGATGGTAAATACTGAGTGTCAAACTTGATTGGATTGAAGGATGCAAAGTTTGTTCCTGGGTGTGTCTGTGAGGGTGTTGCCAAAGGAGGTTAACACTTGAGTTAGTGGACTGCAGAAGGCAGACCCACCCTTAATCTGGGTGGGCACAATCTAATCAGCTGCCAGCATGGCCAGAATAAAAGCAGGCAGAAGAACGTGAAAACACTTGACTGGCTTAGCCTCCCAGCCTACATCTTTCTCCCGTGCTGGATGCTTCCTGCCCTTGAACATTGGACTCCAAGTTCTTCAGCTTTTGGGCTCAGACTCGCTTCCTTGCTCCTCAGCTTGCAGACAGCCTATTATGGGACCTTGTGATCAGGTGAGTCAATACTCCTTAATAAACTCCCCTTTATATATACATCTATCCTATTAGTTCTGTCCCTCTGGAGAACCCTGACTAATATAACTTGTAACTAGAGATTTAAAACTACTGTCCTACCTTAACCAATCACACATTTTCTTTGTCTTGCTTCTGTGAAAACCTTATAAAAATGTTCCCCTCACACCTCTTCAGTGGAGCCCCAAACCACCTGAGGTCAAATTGGAACTGCCCAATTCATGAATTGCTGTCTAGTCAAATAAACTCTTGAAAATTTTAATGTGGCTAAATTTATCTTTTACCATTATTTAAAAATAAAGAAACTGAATCTATCATTATAGAGCACCCCCCATGTGCCAGGCCTGATGCTGCAAGCTTGCACATAATACAACAAAAGAAAACCACACATAACGTGTGTAAAACTAGGCAGGATATTGTCACAGAAGAGGATAGCTGGATGAGAAATAATTAAGGAATATGTGAATGATAGATGTTGCCAAGAGATTGTGCTCAAAGTTTTCCTTTGTTTTTAATCAATGCATATGTAATGACCTGATAGTTTCATTTTGCCTGCTGCCCAGATAGAGCCAGTTTATCAAGACAGGGGATTGCAATACAGAAAGATATTAAGTCTCACAGAGCCAGCTGAACCAAAGACTGGAATTTTATTATAACTCAAATCAGCCTCCCTGAAAATTCAGAGGCTAGAGTTTTTCAAGTATAGTGTGGAAGGCTAGGGAATGGGTGCCGCTGATTGGTTGGGAATACAATCAAAGGGGTATGAAAATCGGCCTTTGCATGCTCTGAGTCTGCTTCTGGATAGGGTGATAGGACCAATTAGTGGGTCTGGGTGGAGCCATTGGTAGTCAGAAATGCAAAAACCTGAAAAGACATCTCAAAAGGCCTATCTTAAATTCTGCAATAGTGATGTTATCTGCAGGAGTAATTGGGGAAATTGCAAATCTTGTGACCTCTGGCATAATGGCTGGTAATTACTTCTACACCTTAGCAGAATTCAGGTCCCCTCATTCTCCTAACCTGGTGGTCTTTCGTTAGCTTTACAAAGGTGTTTTAGTTTGAGGGAAGGGCTATTATTTAAACTATAAACTAAATTTCTCCCAAAGTTAGCTTGGAACAAGGCCAGGAATGATTAAGGGCAGTTTGGAGGTTAAAGGCAAGATGGGGTGGGCTAGATGAGATCTCTTCCACTTCTATAATTCTCTCACTGTTACAATTTTTGCAAAGACAGTTTTGAGTATTTTATTTAGTTTCTACCCATTACATACCATGCCCTGGACATACCTACCTTTACACAGGTAAAGGCTAGAGAGACAAACAGACATTGAAAAATAAATTATAAAAGATATTTAATTGAATACTAGATAGAAGGGGAAAAACAGTTTCATGGAATCATGTAATCTAGCTTGGGAGTGGGGTTTGGTTTAGAACATTCTTTATGGAGTGTAACAGAAACCTGATGTTGCAATAATCGCATCAAGTAAGTTTAGCCACAAACCACTTGCACTTGATGTTTCATTTTAGAAATTTTCTTACCATTGACCTCCACCCTGCAACTTGGTTACCAATCTCCACTTGTTCTTGTTGGAGTCAGAAATGAGCCCAATCTGTCTCTCCCATTGCAAGACACTTTTGTAGAAGTTCCTACATCTATGGCCATTACACCCTTTGAATAAAATCTGCCTTACCACCTTTAACAAGTGTCATAAATAATTTTTTTTAACAAGTGAAAACCTTTCCGGAAATTTTATAATTGAGTTTAATCTTTAGCAGTTTATAGATTTCTCTAGTATACACTTAATTTTTTTAATGTTTTAAATTTAGGTTTGGGAGTACATGTGAAGGTTTGTTGCATAGGTAAATTCATGTCATGGGGGTTTGTTATACAGATAATTTTGTCATCCAGGTATTAATCCCAGTACCCAATAGTTATCTTTTCTGTTCCTCTCCTTTCTCCTATCCTCTACCTTCCATTAGACCCCAGTATTTGTTGTTTCCTTCTTTGCATTCATAAGTTCTCATTATTTAGCTTGCACTTATAAGTAAGAATATGTGGTATTTGGTTTTCTGTTCCCGCATTAGTTTGCTGAGGATGATAGCCTCCATCTCCATCCATGTTCCCACAAAAGACATAATCTTATTTTTCATGGCTGCATAGTATTCCATGGTGTATGTGTACCACATTTTCTTTATCCATTCTGTCATTTATGGGCATTAGGTTGATTCCATGTCTTTGCTATTGTGAATAGTGTTGCAATGAACATACACATGCATGTGTCTTTATTGTAGAATGATTTATATTCCTTCAGATATATACCCAATAATGAGGTTGCTGGGTCAAATGGTAGTTCTGCTTCGAGTTCTTTAAGAAAGTGCCAAACTGTTTCCCTAGTGGCTGAACTAATTTACATTCCCATCAGTGTATAAATGTTCCCTTTTCTATACAACCTCACCAGCATCTGTCATTTTTTGACTTTTTAATAATAGCCATTCTGACTGATGTGAGATAGTATCTCATTTTGGTTTTGATTTGCATTCTCTAATGATCAGTGATATTGAGCTTTTTTTCATATGCTTGTAGGCTGCATGTATGTCTTCTTCTGAAAAGTGTCTGTTCATGTTCTTTGCCCACTTTTTAATGGTGTTCTTTGTTTTTCTCTTGTAAATTTGTTTAAGTTCTTAATAGATGCTGAATATTGGACCTTTGTCAGATGCAGAGTTTGCAAATATTTTCTCCCATTTGGAAGGTTGTCTGTTTACTCTGTTGATAGTTTCTTTTGCTGTGTAGAAGCTCTAAAATTTAATTAGATCCCACTTGTCAATTTTTGCTTTAGTTGCAATTGTTTTTGGTGCCTTGTCATGAAATCTCTGCCCATTCCCGTGTCCAGGATGGTATTGCCTAGGTTGTCTTCCAGGGTTTTTATAGTTTGGGGTTTTACATTTAAGTCTTTAATTCATCTTGAGTTAATTTTTGTATATGGTATACACTGAATTTTCATGTGTGGTGAGTAGGGTATAGTTTACCATTCCCAGTTTTTTTGTTTTTTTGCTTTTTTTTTTTTTTTTGAGACAGAGTCTGGCTCTGTCACCCAGGCTGGAGTGCAGTGGTGTGATCTCCGCTCACTGCCAGTTCCACCTCCCGGGTTCACGCCATTCTCCTGACTCAGCCTCTGGAGTAGCTGGGACTACAGGCACCCGCCCCCACGCTCAGCTAATTTTTTGTATTTTTAGTAGAGACAGGGTTTCACCATGTTAGCCAGGATGGTCTCAATCTCCTGACCTCATGATCTGCCCGCCTCGGCCTCCTGAAGTTCTGGTATTACAGGTGTGAGCCACCGCGCCCAGTCCATTCCCAGTTTTTAAAATGTGAAAACCGAGGTTCAGATAATATAAAACATTTGCCCCAAAATCACATAAGTAGCAAATGACAGAAATAAGAAAAAATTTTAACTTTCTATTTTTTAAACCAATGTTTCTTTCCCCCTATTCCATTTTGTAGATGGTAGAATTCTCAGTACAAGAGAATCTAGAGTTCTCATTTTCCCCAGGGGAGAGTGAATAAAATGAAGGAGTTCCAAAACCTTGAGCTAATGAGAAAGAAGGGTCTTCTATAGTCTCAGCTCTCTAGAAGGGCATTAAGTGTCTAGAAGGGCATTCACAAACCAGAATTTTGTCTCTAGAAGGGCATTCACAAACCTGAATTTTATGACTATCTGTTTCTCAGAATTTATTAATGATGTTGCATTATGAAAGCATTCTGTAGTTACATGACTTGGGGAAGCTCTGGGTTTAAAGTTGATTTCTTTTAACTACAGGGAATTGAAATACATTACTAATCGCTCAGGGGGAGTATACTACAATTTCCAAAACTTATTTTCACAGCTTGTGTGTTCTGAAAAAGGCAATTTAGTAAGATCGGCCTTACAACAAAAGGAAGACTCAAGGACAGGTTTGACTTTTAGGTCCTGGCCATGCGTGAGCCAGGTCTCCTGTGTGAAAGAGGATCTGAAGGAAGAAGTGGCAACTTGTTCCCCAGCTGAGATGCATTTGCTAGCTTTGGCAACTGTCCAGGACAAAGATGGATGCTTAAAAGTGATTTTTAAACTACAGAAAATTAGAATCAGTTCAATAAATCATTTGTTTAGCATCATAATAAGATTTAAATACAGAGCTAGCAATTTGTTATTTTAAACTGCAAGAACACAGTTGAGTGCCTGGAAGCATTCCCTGACATTCTAGTGACTTTTTAAATGAAATTCTAGCAAAATGGAAAAAAAGACACGTAATGATCAAGAGTTCAGGGAGAGGTTTTGATATATGAAACTGTTACATTTGCCAGTGTTAACAACTATCAAGTGGAGAGAAGAAATATCAATTTTTTTTTCCAAAGCAAATTTTCTTCAATTAAGTGACAAGAAAAAAATGCCAAAAATACATTTTAATTTGCTTTTATATTTCCTCCAGACTAACCAGAACCAGATACAGAGACCAGAAGTATCAGTAGGAAGAACAGAACAAGAATCTGTTCATTCAACATTTTGTCCTGGCTTTTTCTGGATGCTGAGGATTCAGTGATAACAAAGAAAAATCTATGTCTCCACTGGAACTTATATTATTGTGGAATACAAGAAATAAAAATTTTATGTTTTCAAGTAATTTGTTCATTCATCAAACATTAAGAAAATAAATGAATATATCCTTTGTGTCAAATACTGTGCTAGATTTCATGGATAAAATAGTATTTCCTTTCACCCAAACTCACTCCAGCCACATTCTTTGTCCACCTAGTAATAGAGCACTCCACTCAATCATATAATCAGACTAAATATCTTAGGATCCTTGACCATCTTCTGCTTCTCATAAACCATATTCAAACCATCAGCAAATCTTATGTTCATCAAAAAATATACATATTAAAAAATTCAACAATTTCTCACCCATATCCACTACTATCTGCATGGTCCAAGCCACCATCATTGTTCGTAACAGTTTCCTACTCAGCTTCTGTATTAGTCCATTTTCATGCTGCTGATAAAGACATGCCTGAGACTGGGCAATTCACAAAAGAAAAGAGGTTTATTGGACTTACACTTCCACATGGTTGGGGAGGCGTCACAATCATGGCAGAAGGTAAAAGGCATGTCTCACATGACGGCAGCAAGAGAGAGAATGAGAGCCAAGCAAAACGGGTGTCCCCTTATCAAACCATCGGATCTCATGCGGCTTATTCACTATCATGAGAATAGTGTGGGGGAAATCACTTCCATGATTCAATTATCTCAAACAAGTCCCTCCCACAACATGTGGCAATTATGGGAGTACAATTTAAGGTGAGATTTGGGTCCAGACACAGAGCCAGACCATAACATTCCACCCCTGACCCCTTCCAAATCTCACGTCCTCACATTTCAAAACCAATCATGGCTTCCCAACAGTCCCCCAAAGTCTTAACTCATTTCAGCATTAACCCAAAAATCCACAGTCCAAAGTTTCATCTGACACAAGGCAAGTCCCCTCCACCTATGAGCCTATAAAACCAAAAGAAAGTTAATTACTTTGTGGATACAATGGGGGTACAGGCATTGGGTAAATACAGCCAATCCAGATGGGAGGAATTGGCTGAAACAAAGGGGCTACAGGCCCAGGCAAGTCTGAAATCCAGCAGGGCAGTTAAATCTTAAAGTTCCAAAATGATTTCCTTTGACTCCATGTCTCATATCCAGGTCACACTGATGTAAGTTCCCATGGTCTTGGGCAGCTCCACCCCTGTGGCTTTGCAAGGTACAGCCTCCCTCCCAGCTGCTTTCACAGGCTGATGTTGAGTGTCTGCAACTTTTCCAGGTGAAAGGTGTAAGCCATCAGTGGATCTACCATTCTGGGGTCTGGAGGATGGTGGCCTTCTGCGTTTCCATATATCTTCTGAAATATAGAAGGAGGTTCCCAAATTCCAGTTCTTGACTTCTGTGCACTCACAGGCTCAACACCACATGGAAGCTGTCAAGACTTGAGGCTTGCAACCTCTGAGGCCACGGCCTGGGCTCCATGGCCCCTTTCAGCCACAACTGGAGTGGCTGGGACACAGGGCACCAAGTCTCTAGGCTGCACACAGCCCGGGGACCCTGGGCCCAGCCCATGAAACCATTTCTCCTAGGCCTCTCGGCCTGTGATGGGAGGGGCTGCAGTGAAGACCTCTGACATGCCCTGGGGACATTTTCCCCATTGTCTTGGGGTTTAACATTCAGCTCCTTGTTACTTATGCAAATTTCTGCCACCAGCTTGAATTTTTCCTCAGACAATGGAATTTTCTTTTCTATTGCATTGTCAGGTTGCAAATTTTCCAGGCTTTTATGCTCTGCTTCCTTTACAAAACTGAATGCCTCTAACAGCAACCAAGTCACCTCTCGAATGCTTTGCTGCTTAGAAATTTCTTCTGCCAGATACCCTAAATCATCTCTCTCAAATTCAAAGTTCCACAAATTACTTGCAAACTGCCACCAGTCTCTTTGCTAAAATATAACAAGAGTCACCTTTGCTCCAGTTCCCAACAGGTTCCACATCTCCATCTGAGACCACCTCCACCTGGACCTTATTGTCCATATCACTATCAGGCTTTGGGTCAAAGCCATTCAACAAGTCTCTAGGAAGTTCCAAACTTTCCTACATTTCCCTGTCTTCTTCTGAGCCTTCCAAACTGTTCCAACCTCTGCCTTTACCCAGTTCCAAAGTCACTTCCACATTTTCAGGTATCTTTTCAGCAACACACCACTCTGCTGGTACCGATTTACTGGATTAGTCTGTTTTCATGTTTCTGATAAAGACATACCTGAGACTGGGCAATTTACAAAAGAAAGAGAGGTTTATTGGACTTAGAGTTCCACATGGCTGGGGAGGCCTCACAATCATGGCAGAAGATGAAAGACATGTCTCAGATGGCGACAGCAAGAGAGAGAATGAGAGCCAAGCAAAAAGAGTTTCCCCTTATCAAACCATGGTATGAGGGAAACTGCCCCCATGATTCAATTATCTCCCACCAGGTCCCTCCCACAACATGTGGGAATTATGGGAGTACAATTCAAGATGAGATTTGGGTGGGGAGACAGAGCCAAACCATATCAGCTTCCAATCATTTTTTCCTAACACCTGTATTCAACAGGTTATCCAGAGCAAGTCAGAATACTATTTTTCTGTCTGATATCTTCTTTTATGCTGCCTCTCTCAGTCTGTTTGAGATGCTATCACAGAACCATACACTGGGTTACTTATAAAGAACAAAAATAGATTTCCCACAGTTCCGGAGGCTGGGAAATCAAGGGATTGGCAAATTCAGTGTCTGATGGGGGCCTGCATCCTAGTTCACAGATGACTGTCTTTTCACTGTCTCCTCATGGAATGGACAAGGAAGCTCTCTGGATTCCCTTTTATAGGAACGCTAATCTCATATGAAGTTTCTACCCTTATGAACTAATAACCTCCCAATGGCCCCACTTCCTAATACCAACACACTGGAGGTAAGATTTTCAACATATGAATTTCGAGAGTATACATTCAGTCTACAGCACTGCCTTAATGCATTTGTAACAACCTGCCATGTTGTCTATGCTCATCTGTTTGTGTATTATTCATCTCCCTCCTCTTAAACATAAATTTTTTAAAAAGGAGTATGTTTGTTTCTAATATCTAAATCATCATTTAGTCTATTATAGTACATTTTACAACATGATAAATATTCATAAGGTGTAAGCAACAATGGTGTCATAGATGATAGATGAGGGTTTGATCAATGCTCTTTGGGCTTAGATTGTAGAAAGATCAGGGAAAATTTTATGAAGGAATTGAAGCTTGCTCGAAGGAATTGAAGCTTTCTCAAAGGAATTGAAGCTTGTTCAAAACTTACTATGTTCTGAAGGGAGTACTTCTGCCCTCTCTGTACAATATCAACAATAGCCTCCTGACTGATAAGACATGTCTTTAGTACTTACCCCAAACAGCCTCTTCCTTAAGACATTTTTCGTGACTTTTTGTGTGTTTAATAAAAATTGATTGAGTGTCTTTTGTTTGCAGGCCATAAGGAATGCAATCATGGATGAGATAAATGTGAAGACCACTGGAATGCAGTGAGGTAAGGGCAATCAGAGGCAAGTAAACAGGGCTATGAGCCTTTGAGTCTTCCAATTTATTTCTCCTTCTTCTTCTCAATTCTGTTTTGCTTAAAGTTGTATGTTTCTCCAATATGCTTATAGCTCCCATTTCCAGCAAAGTTAATTATTCTAACATGGGTGGGTTTTGAGTTTGAAATGTAGTTACTCTCACATACTCTTGCTCTGCTCAGTCCATTTCAGCTGCCTGTACTGAAGGCCACAAACAGCCTCTATTCTCTACCTCTTGGATCCATTAGCAACAAGAAGTTGAAGCTGGAACCACTTTGCTTCACTAACCTGCTGTGTGGTGTGATGGCCACCTTTACAACACCTGGCAATAATAACGGTGCAAGCAAATACTAGAGAGGCAAGGCAGGTCATGTAAGTGAGAGAAGCATGCTGGCTAAAATGTAATAATGAGTAGTGGGGACTGGATGTGGTGAAGAGAACTTGCACTCAATGACGGCAGAGCCAGGAGTGACTGTCACAGAGGGAATGTAGATCAAGGGTAGGGAGGAAACCTCTTTTCCTTTTTCTTTAAATAGAGGGACACACTAGCCTCTCTCCATGCTCTCATCCACTCCTACCCAGAGATAAGTGAAGGATCGGGCCTCTCAAGTTAAGAGGAGGACCTGGACTTCATATCCCAGCCTTTTTCTTGCTCTTTCTCTCTGGCATTTACCTGTCTGCTCCTCTATGCGGTATGTGTTACAGAATCAGGCCACATAAGAAGGCCTGCAGTTGTTTGGTGTTGCCTGTGACTGGCTGAAGAAGCCTATTTCTGGGATTTGGTATTAAGAATCCCATTGTTTCTGCTCATTTAAGCCATGTCTTTTGTCTTAG
The DNA here is from genome assembly GCF_000001405.40 of Homo sapiens. Lineage (NCBI taxonomy): Eukaryota > Metazoa > Chordata > Mammalia > Primates > Hominidae > Homo > Homo sapiens. Next base: position 121,135,777 of record NC_000008.11, on the reverse strand, counting down.
ACTTTGTCCATAGTAAATGAGATATTTTGATCTTCACCGGCCTTAATCATTTTTTTCTCTAATTTTTTAGTCTATTCGTAAACTCAAGTGAGGAAAACAGGGGTGCTATTTATTGGGCCCCACAAATCATGTGACTGGTGTTGCTTGATTTTCTAATTTCTAAATAAAAGTTCAGATTTTTATATTTAAAAATCTTCCGATTCCAAAATGTTGGCAAAATAACTCATGCATTTATTTTCTCTTTAAAAAATTTAATGAAGAACTTGCTTCGGAACATTGCTTGGGAACAATTAGGAACATTCCTTCTATAAACTGAACTTTTTCTAAACATTTTAAATTTATTTATTTTAATTGACAAGCAAAAATTGTATATATTAATTGGGTACAACATGTTGTTTTGAAATCTGGATACACTGTGGAATGATCAAATCGAGCTAATTAACATATGCATCACCTCACACACTTATAATTTTGTGTGAGAACAGTCAAAATCCACTCAGAATCCATAATTCATATATTTTTAAAATCCTAGGTTCCAAATGAAATATATCTGTAAGCCAATTTTCACCAGAGGTCACCAGTTTGCAATTATGCTCTAAACCCTGTAGTTTAGGGCAAGTGTCAGTATCTAGGTTGCTGTCCCAGTCCTTTCTGATAAATCCAGTTCTCATTTGAAGTTGGAACCCCGCTTTTTTAATTTTAGTTTTTTAATTGATAAGTACAAGTTGTATCTCTTTACCTGAGTTGACTAATATGGATTCCTGATATCTTAACTATCCAACCATCCCTGTTCAGCACCTTGTCCTAGAGGCTAGCTCTCATTCTCTTCACCCTCCTTCTCCTCCCAGCTGCAAATTATTTAATATCAATATTCCTCTCCATTCACAGATTATTTCTCTCTCCCAGCCTACCTTCCACTGAGACCTTTAAAATGCATGGTATTCATGTGCACACTATAAGATCTGAGCAAATTCAATTTCTTCTTTTCTCTCTTTCACACTTGGTGTGTGGCCATTAATACAAATTTTTCTCCTCTTTCTCTTATCAAATAGGAATACCTGATATACCTATAATACCTGATGTAAGGTATTATATGTTTCTTCTTTCCATTTTCATTGCCCTGTTATTTATTCTCCTTGCTTTCTTTCTGGTAACTAGCTCCACTGACAATCTCTTTCCCTAGGTCCTTATTCAGCCAGTCTGATAACAGCCTCCTGGGAAGAGCAAACTGAATCAATTTTTTTTAATAGCTGATTATTTTCCAAAGCTTGCACTAGTCAATAAGACAATGTCTCCATCTCTCCTGGGACCACCCATTCAGTCTTCAACACAGCTTATTTGACTTCTTTCCAGCCATCTGTTTTACTTGGGCAAAGAGAGTCAGTTTTAATGTCTACATGTTTTTCCTTTTATGTATATTTTTGGCACCTTTAGTTAATTCAGAGTTAGCTCCAGAAAGGAAACATTTACCATGTCTCAGCAGCTGTTTAGTCCTAGAGGAAAAAAATGAAGTCTTGCTCTTCTTTCCCATTGGCTTGTTCTTCCTTTTTCTGGCCATAACTTTTCCATCATCCTTGCACTCCAATCTGCCTGACACCTGGATGCACTGATTTTTGCTTTGGAATGAAAATAATAGCTTCTGAGTTCAATTCTTGTCAACTCATTTTTCAATGTGTATGAGTTCTGAATTCCATTATATCATCCAAGGCTCAGAGTTCAGAGGTGGACTCCACCAGTCATCAAACTACATCATCAAGATATACTTCACTTTCTTCCTCTGTGAAATGAGAGTGCTGATCTATAATAGAGATCCTAAATTCAAATGTCGTTTGATACCCATAGATAAAGGAAAGGAGAAACTACTAGAGGCACTGTCTGATACAAGACAACTGGATATGACAGGGATTTAAAACTGAGAAGGCATGTCCTACTCAAAGTCATTTATTAGCTCAGCAAAATCTATCTGCAAGCTCCTTATCCGAAGACTGGCTTTAGCTGACAGTTTGTAAGCTGAGCGATAACTTAAGCCCTGCCATTCTAAAAACCTTAGTTTCCCCCAGCTACAGTTTTATCCCCTGAAAAATTTCCCCTTAACTGATCAATATTTAGAATAGAATATTCCATATAATATGATGAAAGGTGAGATATAACTTTATAAATCACACTAGTCAGCCTTTTGCTCACAGATGGAGATATCACATTAGCAAAGAGCTGACTTATTAGTATGGGGCATTTACTTGAGTAGTAGTAAATATATGAATGCATTGCAGGAAGGTTGTAACAAAACTTTTGTGGCCTGAATAAATACAAATTCTTAAAATACTGTTTGCTTTTATAGTGCTGGAATTCAGAGAAAGCTGGAGAAACATGCAGAGATGACAATCACTTCAAGGAAGATGACTATCAGCATGTCTTTTCCTTGACCTTCACCATTATTAGATTATGTCTGATGGTTTGAGATGGACTTGGCTGGCAGGAAAGGCCAAAAGGAGCATAAGGAGTCTTAGCTGTTGGCCTGCTCTCAAACATGGGACCAAGGGTTTTGAGAGCAGGCCAATTACAACACAGTGTGTTGAGGTTGTAGCCACATTGACATGGTGGTATGCTTGAGAGACAGCGGCTAAGGAGGTAAGTATGAATAATTATAGAATAATCTATACTGTTAAAACCTAAATCTCAAGAACCCTATGGTCAGTGCAGGAATCTACATCAACAGTGCTATCATAGATACTTTTAGAACTGTGCTAGACAGTCTTCAGCAGCAACACCTAGTGGCAACTACAGCAGTAGTAGACTGATCTCACTCTCCAATCTCTCATTACTTTGCATTTGAAGGACAACTAATCAAATACCATTTAAACTATATAAGTCCAGGTGTTCTCGGGAAATTGAAAGTGGAGAATGCCTCTAGAAGAGGAAAAGATGATTCTTGTGATAATGTGGGAATGTTGGCTCTTGAGCAAAAATTTTAAAACTGAAATAGGTTGGATCAGTTAGTTATTATTACAATAAGGCTGTGCAGTGCATGGCATTTCAATAGCATTCAGCAATAAGCATTCTTACAGGTTAATGTGCTCACTGGAGTTCAGCTGATCTAAGCTGAGCACAGCTAGGCCACTTTGCTTCTCATTGCAGATCTGCAGGTGAGCTGAAACCGCTTTATTCTACATGCCTCACGTCCTTCTTGGACTATCAGGCTAGCCATGGCATGTTCCTCAAATAGTAGTGGTAGAGGCGCCAGAGGGGAGATTCAAATGCACAAGTATATTTTAAGACCCTACTTGTGTTATGTTTTCTAACCTCCTATTAGCCGTGAAGCCCTGTGGCTGAGCTCAAAGGGATGGGGCAGAAAAGTGTATTCCTTCCATAGAGGAACAGAAAAACTTGCATGGCAAAAGCATAAAAACTCAAAGCCAATAACTGAATCTACAACAGATGTGAGCATATTTTATATCCTGAATTGAGGAAAATGGCTTAACAGATAATTACAGATTTGGATGAGCTTCAAGGTTTTATACAATGCTTGTAAAATAAAACACATTGCTTTTTGCTATATTGATATGAGGTTTAAAAAAGTATAAAAGATCTGATGTGTGATGTGTATTTATGTTTATATACACATACATACTTAGAACAAATGTAAGTTGAATTCTATGGCTGAGGCTATAAAGGATCACCAAAGATCCACGCTTCCCCTTTAATATATAGAGTTGTTACTAGGAAGTGGCTCCATATCCAGGAACTAAATTTCCAGTCCTCCTTGCATCTAGGTGGTGTCACGTGACTAGCTTCTGTCAATGGAATAGAAATAGAAGACGTGGTAGCTCAGGTCAGCGTAGGTGAGAAGTAGATATCATTTCTCTACCTCTTCTTCCCCATTTGCCAAGTAAATGCAGAAGACCCAATCTGACAACTTAGTCACAAGATGGAACAAGTGTAGGTCTCTCAATCTTGTGGAAGCCCACCAGAAACTCTGTTACATGAATAAGGAATGAGCCTTTGTAACCAAATACACCATTTTCCTAAAAATTATTTTTACCCCTTCTCTTTTCCCCTGTGCACTCACCTACCTCTTACTTAGCACCTTAGAAATGCAATTGTAACCTTTACCTCCTCTCCACCAGGCACTCCCTGCACTGCGAGATCAACTAATTATCTGTTTGCTTAGAAGTTCCAGGGACCAAATCTTAAAACAAACCAGTCACCCTCCAGAATTCTCCCCCACCAAGAGATTGCCTCACTACAATAATAATTTTACAACCCAATTCTGCCAGCAGTGGTGCTGGCCAGACCATCAGATGGCCCATTACTAAGATAAGCCATTAGAGCCAGTCACGTAGACCCCACACCTCCTCACCCCTCCTGCATGCCCTGTGTACCAAAATTTCTCTTCTTAAGCCCCTGCTTTCTGCCCAGAAATCTGAAGTGGTTCCTTTGGATGCAAAACTGGCCACTTCCCCAATGCTAAGCTCTGGAATAAAGTTGCTTTGTTCTTACCACTTCTCATCCTTGTCATTCAGCTTTACAAACATCGAGCAGCTGAGCCTGTGCTCAGCAACACCTCCACTGTGTTTATTTTATGCCATTCAACTGGGGTAAGAATTCCTTACAGCAACTTACAAGTTATATGGAGAAGAGGCTGAAGCTCCTCTTCCCACTGTCAAGAATTTATAAAGAAGATAAAATAATCAAAGAGAACACTTACTGCATATTTATCACGTGCAAGGCTTTTAACTAAATATATCACACAGTTAAATGTTTCAGACCTGTGATATGGTTTAACGGGGTATAGCGATAGAGTAGAAAGAAGCTGATTGCTCCAACATCTGCTACGTTGAACTGTGCAAATAGTGGATGAATAAAAAATAGTAAAAACTCTTTATTTTGATATGGTGAGATATCCATGGAGACTGTAGAACCATGTGAAATAAGTCAGAAACAGCAAATTCAGGACACTTTACAATAGGATCTGTAAATAAACTTAAACAAAGGAGGTGTCTGGTGCTCCTAGGAGAGTGCAAGTGTAAACATATAAATGTTCAGTAATTATTAGGATTGGGCTACTGGAATCTTAAGAAACTATCTTAGGGAACCCACTCTTACTCATGGTACCTGAACCCTAGACCACCCCAATGGGCAGAGTTGACCATATTATGGATAGAAGGTTGTAGATTATATGGTTGTTGAGGAAAACGTGAGGACTGGAGCCCATATTTTCTAGAAAGCATGAGAGAATTAAGTTTCTGTTAGTGGTGGTGATGGTGGTGGTGGTGTTAATTGCCAGAGATGCTAGAAACTGCTAAAACTTTCTGTATAGAAAGAAAAAAATCTTGGAAGTATTATTTTTGTGCTTTTCTTTATTTCTCACATTTCTGGACGTGTCTGCAAGTCAACTTCAAGAATTAGCATTTCTATAGGAATGCAAAAAGGAAAAAGTAGCCTTTTATTTTTACTAGCCAAAACAGACACTTGCAATCAAAAGGCAAAGCACTGAGTCAAGAGAATGGAACTTAGAAATATAGGAAAGATATGTGTACTGTATAAGAAGTGGACACACAGGAGGACCAAGGAGGATCTTGTATAAATATTTTCCCAAGAAAACAATGTAAGAGAAATTCCTCATTTATTCTGTTGGTGGCAATTCTAAACTGAGACTGTCAGAGGGAGGGCTAAGGATAATTCACTATTTTTAACCAAATCACCAGCTATTTCTGGCATTCTAGTGTTAACAATTGCCGTTATGCTCATTCTCTCCAGAAGAAAACCACAGGAAATTTGTAAATTAACGGACTGTTCCTCTCTGAAACCTGGACCCAGAGGTTTGGTTGTCTTTAGTTCCCAGGACTCAGATCCTTTCAGCATTCTCCTTTACAAATAGGCAGAAATCAGCCAGCCTCATAAAGAGGGATGACGCCATTCCAAAAACAATTTAATAGTGGGCATTCTCATTTCTCCTCTGTCATGCCTTTGGCTTGGAGAATTGTTTTGAAACTTCAACAAAATGAGGTCGACCATGTCAGGGGAGGATTCCTTCCTTAGTAGCAGTTCGAATTTTAAAGCAAACAGACCAATCCATTTTGTAAGAATTACGGAGAAGCTTGCTTAGAAGATAAATCAAGTTCGCCAAATGGTAAAGTATAATAGATGATATCCCTTGCCAGAATTTTTTCTCTCACCCAACTGGCACAGGCCATATGGTCCTTTAACACATATGTAGCTTAGATATAGTAAGAAGTGGCAGTAACCAATTTTGTTATTTTTCTTCATTTCCTGAATTAGTTTCCTAAGGCTATTTTAGCATACTGGTACAAATTTAATGGGTCAAAACACACACATTTATTATCTTAAATTCTGAAACTCAGGAGTTCTAAATAGGCCTTTCTGTACAAGCAGGGCTGCATATTCTCTTTTTTTCTGGAGGAACTATAGAAAAATCCATTTTCTTGCTCTTTACAACTTTTAGAAGGTGCTTACATTCCTTGGCCCACGTCTTCCTTCCATCTTCAAAGCCAGAATTGGTCAGTTGAGTCTTAAACCAAATCACCCTGACACTGACTCTTCTGCCTCTCTCACAAATATTTAAGGATGTTTGTGAATACACTGGGCCCACCTAGATGATCCAGGATGGTCTCCCTATTTTAAGGTCGTTTGATTAGTAACCTTAATTCCATCTGCAACCTTAATCCCTCTTTTCCATGTAATACACCATATTTATGAATTCCAGGGATTAGGTCATGAATATCTTTGGGAGGCCATTATTCTGTCTACCACATTCTTCTTGTCAAATGATGTTGTACAATTTGTTCTTCTCTTCCCTGGTTGAAATCTTAGTCAGGCCACATAGGGTTTTCCAGTTTCTTAATAATTTAAGTAATTTTAAAGTATATGCCCTATGAGTTTATTCTCAACATTCCTAACTGATATTCAATTTTAACCTTTCCTATCTCCCTAATTATGCCCGCCACAGGCCTAGAAACTTGGAGTGGGAAGGGAGATGGGTATATGACTGACTTCAATTTGCTTCTTTATTACCTTCTCCCCATATCTACAGCTGCTGCTTTCTACCTAGCCAGGCTCATGGAGGAAAAGCACTGTATTACAGACTTGCAGAGTTGTCTTCAGGCATTGATGCCCATTAATGTCAGATGCACAATTACTAGCTCTTTGTTTCATTGGTTGCTTGTGCAGGCTCCTTGAAGATCCTCTACTGGGAACCTCTTCCTGCAGTTCCCATGATATGGTCAATGTGCCCCCTTAGGAAGCTTTTTATAACTCCTTTTACAAAACTGGGGTTCTAGAATTCTTCCCCTCCTGTTGGGGTCATATGGAACCTCCAGACAGTCAAATTGGACAGTTGACCTAGGCCAGCTCCCTTTCATTGTAGAAATACAGGTTGGTCCCAATGCTGCTCTTAAGAAAATCCAGTCATATCTTATGACATTTAGACTTGATACATAATGCAGAAGTTTACCAAACTCCAAGAGGCTTTTGTGAACCACTCTAAGTGGTCCCCTTGAAATTCTTTTCATTGGCTTAAGGTAAGATAAAAGAACACTTCCCTCCTTGATGAACATGGAACAAAAAGAAATAAAACAGATGCAATGCTTTTCAGAATTGTCCCTTTTGCTTACTTCTATCAGTTTCTTAACATGCAGCCAAGAATGAGTGGGATAAGGGTGGGCAGAATGTTTTGCAATTCTTTTAGCATGCCATGAACAAGAAGTTGAGCATATGCACCCAACTTATGGGATTGTTCCTGGCACCCATTGAATTGGGCTTTGGTGCCTCAGTGGAAAGAGATAAACATCTATATCTGTATCATCATTATCTATCTATATTTTATAGCAAAATTATATTTATGTAAGTATAACAGGGCATATTAAACAAATTGTTAGGACATTGGCATTGCTAGTGTAGAGAGCCTCACCCCAAGAATATTATTATTATTAATTATCATTAGAGATGGGGTCTTCCTATGTTGCCCAGGCTAGAGCACAGTGGCTATTCACAAGCATGATCATAATGCACTGCAGCCTCAAACTCCTGGGCTCAAGTAACTCTCCCACCTTAGCCTTCCAAGTAGCTACAGGTGTGTACCACCAAGCCTGGTCCCAAGAATATTTTTTGAGACCAGTGGGTTACATAAATCTTTTGTTTATAACCAGAGAAAGAGGAAGATTTTGGTACAGGGCCAGGAGAAGAGGGGAAGTGAGAGAGAAAGATACTAAAAAGCAAAAGTATGAAATGGTTTCTGTCCCCTTTCCAGCCCCTGTACTACTATCCTGCCTCCCTAGTATTTAGAAGGGTGTGGGCAGAGAAGATATTATGCTGAGACACATTTTTTGGAGACTCTCGTCAAAAACAATGTTCATCTAGAGCCAAGTTGACAAATCTTGGCACAGAGTGGAAAAAAAGTCATCTTTGTCACCTCTACTTTGAATCTACCACCACTTTGGCATTTGATGGTCTAGTCACTCTGTAATTGGGAGATAGCACTCCAAGCATGGTCACTGTTATTCTCACATGGGCACAAAAGCAGTGGCAATGAGATAAGCAGCCCACAATAAATCTGAAAAAAAGAGGATTTAGTAGATCCTGTATGCTGAATACATGCCAAGGAATAGATTCTACATGCTAAGGTAGGAAGCTTAGTGGTATAGACTAAGTTAAAATACTTTGGATTATTGATGTGAACATGACTTTATTTGTAACACAAAACAAGAAAGAGTAGGGACATTTTAGATACGTAGGATTTTACAGTTTACAAAAGCTTATCACATTATTTCAAGTAACTAAAGAATAGGCAGATTGTTAAGCAAGTTGGATGAAAGACAAATTAAGAAGCAATCACACTTAGGCATAAGATTGTACCACACATTTAATACACTGAATTAACCATGCAAGACTTTTACTTTTGTGCATTCAGCAGTTCTTCCTGAGGATTATGTTCATAGGACCCGCAACTTTGAAACAGAGAAACAATTCACTGAGTGATTCAAGTATTTAAAAAATAAGAATCACTTATAACACGCACACACAAATCTCTAGTCACTGGACTGAATTTTCAGTTTGTGCCCAGATATGCAGCACTACACAGCAGAGATCTGTTCTGAATTATCGTGGGCAGGAGTCATGAGACTCAGATACACCTACGTCACCCACATATTGTTTTAGAGCCTTCCCTTTGATAATTGCATCGTCTAGAAACTGAACGGCTTGGTAGAGAACTGAGGAAGAAAAGTGAGTTTATAAAGTCTATGAGGTGTTCTGAAGAATAAGGAGAAAGAACACAGGAAAAGAAAATGGAAAGATCAGATTATTTTCAGTACTAAATACACATTTTGAATAGAATACCTGTCTATTAATGACTATTAAATATTCCTAAAACTATAACATTGGCCTGCTGTTTCTTTTGAATTTCCACTCTGCTACTGGATTTCCAGTCTGCTTGTCTCTTCCGCCTCTCTGACTGTATTCTCAGTGCTGTTCCATGACCCCTTTTATTTTCTGACCTCCTGTTAAATGTAAAAAGTCCTCAAAGTTCTGTGCTCTGTTTTTTCCTCTTCCTTCCTAAGCAATAGTTCTAGTCAATGTCTCACACCAATGATTTTGACCATTGTATGATCCATAAAGATCTCATATCCAGGGCCAGGTGTGGTGGCTCATGCCTGTAATCCCAGCACTTTGGGAGGCAGAGGCGGGTGGATCACCAGGTCAGGAGATCAAGACCATCCTGGCTAACACAGTGAAACCCCGTCTCTACTAAAAATACAAAAAAAAAAAAAAAAAAATTGGTCTATTCAGAGATTCAACTTCTTCCTGGTTTAGTCTTGGGAGGGTGTATGTGTCGAGGAATTTATCCATTTCTTCTAGATTTTCTAGTTTATTTGTGTAGAGGTGTTTATAGTATTCTCTGATGGTAGTTTGTATTTCTGTGGGATCGGTGGTGATATCCCCTTCATCATTTTTTATTGCATCTATTTGATTCTTCTCTCTTTTCTTCATTAGTCTTGCTAGTGGTCTATCAATTTTGTTGATCTTTTCAAAAAACCAGCTCCTGGATTCATTGATTTTTTGAAGGGTTTTTTTGTGTCTCTATTTCCTTCAGTTCTGCTCTGATCTTAGTTATTTCTTGCCTTCTGCTAGCTTTTGAATATGTTTGCTCTTGCTTCTCTAGTTCTTTTCATTGTGATGTTAGGGTGTCAATTTTAGATCTTTCCTGCTTTCTCCTGTGGGCATTTAGTGCTATAAATTTCCCTCTACACACTGCTTTAAATGTGTCCCAGAGATTCCGGTATGTTGTGTCTTTGTTCTCGTTGCTTTCAAAGAACATCTTTATTTCTGCCTTCATTTCGTTATGTCATTCAGTAGTCATTATGCTTTATGCTTTATGACTAGTAGTCATTAGTCGTTATGCTTCAGTAGTCATTCAGGAGCAGGTTGTTCAGTTTCCATGTAGTTGAGCGGTTTTAAGTGAGTTTCTAAATCCTGAGTTCTAGTTTGATTGCACTGTGGTCTGAGAGACAGTTTGCCATAATTTCTGTTCTTTTACATTTGCTGAGGGGTGCTTTACTTTCAACTATGTGGTCAGTTTTGGAATAGGTGTGGTGTGGTGCTGAGAAGAATGTATATTCTGTTGATTTGGGGTGGAGAGTTCTGTAGATGTCTATTAGGTCTGCTTGGTACAGAGCTGAGTTCAACTCCTGGATATCCTTGTTAACTTTCTGTCTTGTTGATCTGTCTAATGTCGACAGTGGGGTGTTAAACTCTCCCATTATTATTGTGTGGGAGTCTAAGTCTCTTTTAGGTCTCTAAGGTCTTGCTTTATGAATCTGGGTGCTCCTGTATTGGGTGCATATATATTTAGGATAGTTAGCTCTTCTTGTTGAATTGATCCCTTTACCATTATGTAATGGCCTTCTTTGTCTCTTTTGATCTTTGTTGGTTTAAAGTCTGTTTTATCAGAGACTAGGATTGCAACCCCTGCCTTTTTTTGTTGTCCGTTTGCTTGGTAGATCTTCCTCCATCCCTTTACATTGAGCCTATGTGTGTCTCTGCATGTGAGATGGGTTTCCTGAATACAGCACACTGATGGATCTCAGGAAGAAGTTGAATCTCTGAATAGACCAATAACAGGCTCTGAAACTGAGGCAGTAATTAATAGCTTATCAACCAAAAAAATTCCAGGACCAGACGGATTCGTAGCTGAATTCTACCAGAGGTATAAGGAGGAGCTGGTACCATCCCTTCTGAAACTACTCCAATCAATAAAAAAAGAGGGAATCCTCCCTAACTCATTTTGTGAGGCTAGCATCATCCTGATACCAAAGCCTGGCAGAGACACAACCAAAAAAGAGAACTTTAGACCACTATCCTTGATGAACATCGATGCAAAAATCTTCAATAAAATACTGGCAAACTGAATCCAGCAGCACATCAAAAAGCTTATCCACCATGATCAAGTGGGCTTCATCCCTGGGATGCAAGCCTGGTTCAACATATGCAAATCAATAAATGTAATCCAGCATATAAACAGAACCAAAGACAAAAACCACATGATTATCTCAATAGATGCAGAAAAGGCCTTTGACAAAATTCAACAACCTTCATGCTAAAAACTCTCAATAAATTGGGTATTGATGGGTCGTATCTCAAAATAATAAGAGCTATCTATGACAAACCCACAGCCAATACCATACTGAATGGGCAAAAACTGGAAGCATTCCCTTTGAAAACTGGCACAAGACAGGGATACCCTCTCTCACCACTCCTATTCAACAGAGTGTTGGAAGTTCTGGCCAGGGCAATCAGGCAGGAGAAGGAAATAAAGGGTATTCAATTAGGAAAAGAGGAAGTCAAATTGTCCCTGTTTGAAGATGACACGATTGTGTATCTAAAAAACCCCATTGTCTCAGCCCAAAATCTTCTAAAACTGATAAGGAACTTCAGAAACATCTCAGGATACGAAATCAATGTGCAAAAATCACAAGCATTCTTTTACACCAATAACAGACAGAGAGCCAAATCATGAGTGAACTCCCATTCACAATTGCTTCAAAGAGAATAAAATACCTAGGAATCCAACTTACAAGGGACGTGAAGGACCTCTTCAAGGAGAACTACAAACCACTGCTCAATGAAATAAGAGGATACAAACAAATGGAAGAACATTCCATGCTCATGGGTAGGAAGAATCAATATTGTGAAAATGGCCATACTGCCCAAGGTAATTTATAGACTCAATGTCATTCCCATCAAGCTCCCAATGACTTTCTTCACAGAATTGGGAAAAACTACTTTAAAGTTCATATGGAACCAAAAAAGATCCCACATTGCCAAGTCAATCCTAAGCCAAAAGAACAAAGCTGGAGGCATCACACTACCTGACTTCAAACTATACTACAAGGCTATAGTAACCAAAACAGCATGGTACTGGTACCAAAACAGAGATATATACCAATGGAACAGAACAGAGCCCTCAGAAATAATGCCACATATCTACAGCTACCTGAACTTTGACAAACCTGAGAAAAACAAGCAATGGGGAAAGGATTCCCTATTTAATAAATGGTGCTGGGAAAACTGGCTAGCCATAAGTAGAAAGCTGAAACTGGATCCCTTCCTTACACCTTATACAAAAATTAATTCAAGATGGATTAAAGACTTAAACGTTAGACCTAAAACCATAAAAACCCTAGAGGAAAACCTAGGCAATACCATTCAGGACATAGGCATGGGCAAGGACTTCATGTCTAAAACACAAAAAGCAATGGCAACAAAAGCCAAAATTGACAAATGGGATCTAATTAAACTAAAGAGCTTCTGCACAGCAAAAGAAACTACCATCAGAGTGAACAGGTAACCTACAAAATGGGAGAAAATTTTTGCAATCTACTCATCTGACAAAGGGCTAATATCCAGAATCTACAATGAACTCAAACAAATTTACAAGAAAAAAACAAACAACCCCATCAACAAGTGGGCAAAGGATATGAACAGACACTTCTCAAAAGAAGACATTTATGCAGCCAAAAGACACATGAAAACAATGCTCATCATCACTGGCCATCAGAGAAATGCAAATCAAAACCACAATGAGATACCATCTCATACCAGTTAGAATGGCAATCATTAAAAAGTCAGGAAACAACAGGTGCTGGAGAGGATGTGGAGAAATAGGAATACTTTTACACTGTTGGTGGGACTGTAAACTAGTTCAACCATTGTGGAAGTCAGTGTGGCGATTCCTCAGGGATCTAGAACTAGGAATATCATTTGACCCAGCAATCCCATTACTGGGTATATACCCAAAGGATTATAAATCATGCTACTATAAAGACACATGCACACATATGTTTATTGCGGCACTATTCACAATAGCGAAGACTTGGAACCAACCCAAATGTCCAACAATGATAGACTGGATTAAGAAAATGTGTCACATATACACCATGGAATACTATGCAGCCATAAAAAAGGACGAGTTCATGTCCTTTGAGGGACATGGATGAAGCTGGAAACCATCATTCTCAGCAAACTATCACAAGGACAAAAAATCAAACACCGCATGTTCTCACTTATAGGTGGAAATTGAATAATGTGAACACATGGACACAGGAAGGGGAACATCACACACTGGGGCTTGTTGTGGGGTGGGAAGAGGGGAGAGGGATAGCATTAGAAGATATACCTAATGTTAAATGATGAGTTAATGGGTGCAGCACACCAACATGGCACATGTATACATATGTAACAAACCTGCACGTTGTGCACATGTACCCTAAAACTTAAAGTATAATTAAAAAAAAAAAAAATTAGCCAGGTGTGGTGGTGGGCGCCTGTAGTTCTAGCTGCTCGGGAGGCTGAGGCAGGAGAATGGCATGAACCCAGGAGGTGGAGCTTGCAGTGAGCCGAGATCGCGCCACTACACTCCAGCCTGGGCGACAGAGCAAGACTCTGTGTCAAAAAAAATAAAATAAAATCTCTTATCCTATCCTGTTTTCGCAGTCTCCATCCTGATTCTATCATTTAGCCATTTTCACAAATTAGAAACCTCCAAACAGCTTTAGGTATTTCCTTTAGCCCCTACATCCAGTTAACCAACCGATTGATCTCATCCCTGCATCATTTCCTGTAGCTGTTTTTATTTTTCCATCCTGCTGTCTTTCCTTTGTTGTAACTTACCTTCTGCAATAACTTCCTAAATACCTCTCTGCTTCTCACCGCCTTCCTTTAGTAATTATCCACATCCCCTCTAGTCATCTTTCAAAATACAGTTACGGTCAGTATGACTTGCTAAGTTAAGACCTTACTGGTTTTCCATCTTTTCTAATAAAAAAGCCTAATTTAGTTGACATAATCTTCAAGATCCATCACAGTTGAAATCTAAACTGCTTTATTAGTATTCTCATCAGTCCTTTTATTTGTTCTCCTTATTACTATTGGAGTATTGTGCACCTCCCACCTCAGCTTTATTCTCCTACTTATCCACCATCCCCTGAACAAAAAAGATGCATAATACCTTACATCCTCCGAGCTCATGTTATTATCTTCATGTGGAATATCTTATTAGCACACAGAGAATGAATAATAATGACAGCAATGGCTACATTTGTTGAGCAATTACTATTCAGCTATTCTAAGAGCTTGTCATTTATTACATCATTCAATCTTCACTGTACTCTCTAAGTAGTATGATATCCATTTTATAGATGAAAAAACTGAGGCACAGAGTAGTTAAAAGCAACTCACCCAAAGTCACAGGGTGATATACTATGAATGTGTGTCCCCACCCAAATCTCATATTGAAATGTAATCCCCAGTGTTGGAGGCGGGCCTAGTAGGAGATGACTGGATCATGAGGGTGGATTTCTCATGAATGGTTTAGCATCATCTGCTTGGTACTGTCCTCCTGATAATGAGTGAGTTCTCATGAGACATGGTCATTTAAAAGTGTGTAACACCTCCCCCATTCACTTTCTCTTGCTCCTGCTTTTGCTGTGTGATGTGTCTGCTCCCCCTTTGCCTTCCACCATGATTGTAAGCTTCCTGAAGCCACCCCAGAAGCCATGCAGATGCCAGCATCATGCTTCCTGTATAGCCTGCAGAGCCATGAGCCAATTAAACCTCTTTTCTTTATAAATTACCCAGTTTCAGGTATTTCTTTATAGCAATGCAAAAATGGACTAAGACACAGGGCTTACAAACTTTATTGAAATTCTAGTATAAGCAAGGCTTTCCATTTCATTTTGTCTGATTATTAAAGCAATATTATAAGTATCATTATATACATTTCACTGGAAATTGTGATTTACAGTGGTCTGACTCCAAAAGCTTTGCTATTTCCAGAATAAAATGTTTCCTCTCATCTAAGGAGAAGACACAAGTTTTGTTGTTAGACTGAAATTTGGGGATCTCCCATTTGGCATAGTATTACTTTCTCCATGAAGCTTTTAGTAGGCCAGCCAAGTGATGATGCTGTGCTGGCTTGGGTTACACATTTTATGACCTGCCAGCTGGAACACAGTCAGCCAAGGGAAGGAAATTTGTGAGAGCAACTAAATTATGAATCTGCTTGTGACATCCAACTAGCATAGCTCTGATAACATCATTGGCTGAGATAAATGTTACATAATATCCAGTCTATGGACTACACACAGACTGTTTCTAATCTTTACATAGCGTTTCCAGATATCCTTTGAAAATACATACCTGAGACATTATTTGGGGCAACTGATTTTTGATTTTTAGGTTTTCCTATTTTCAAATATTTTTCTGAATAAAACGGTGTGCTTGATTATGAATAAGAACGTTATGGCCTTCATGCTGAGAAGTGTTTTCTGCCCTAGTCATGTGGGAGGCTGCTCTTGCCTCTCCTAATGCATCTGCAGAGGATATCACGCCATTCAAACATTGCACAACCACACTTTTTTTTTTTTTCCAGGATGCTTGCTTTGCTAGGTAACTAAAGAGGACATTTTGCAGCTCTGTGTCAAAGATCAAAACAAAAACAGCAAAATCATTGCTCAGATTCTTTTTTGTGTATAATTGAACAGCTTAAATTCACCAGCAATGTCCTGCCTTTTGGTTAGCGGCCAAAATTGAAATAACACATCTAGTAAAAAAAAAAAAAATCCATTGTAAAAGTAGTCTGGGAGATTGTAGATCACTTGAAAGTTTTAGGAAAGTACCTCTTTCCAATGTTATTATTTGAAAATGATGTTATTGAGGGGCAGTGAGCAGTGTGCACTTCAGTTACACCCACAATAATTGCTGGCAGATGTATATAATTTCTAGTCAAAATTTCAAACCAGAGACATTTAGTTTGGTCCTATGGATAATGAGGAAGTTATGCAGCAACTGTACCTCTGGATACTGGTTTGAATGGTGAAAAGTGAAAAGTTCCATCAAATCACAACATAGACTGTAGCCACCACTGTATCAGCCTTTGCCTTGAAGAAGTCCTATTTCAGGGTAATGGCACATCTATTTTTCAATCACCCAGGCTCACATCTTCTTCCACCTTTGAAGCCTTCTTCTGCCTGCGATAGACATTTAACATCTGTCTTAGTTCATCCAGGCTGATATAACAAACTACCATAGACTAGGTGGCTTATAAACAACAAACATTCAGATTTCAAAGTTCTGGAGATTATGAAGTCCAAGATCAAGGTGCCAGCAAATCTGGTGTCTGGTGAGGACTCACTTCCTGATTTATAGCCAGTTGTCTTCTTGCTATGACCTCACATAGAAGAAGGGGTAAAGGATCTCTTTGGCACCTTTTTTATAAGGGCACTAACCCCATTCATGAGGGTTTCACCCTCAAGACCTAATTATTTCCCAGAGGTTCCACCTCCAAATACCATCAAATTGAGATTTAGTTTTCAACACTTGAATTTTGGGAGGACATCTTCAGTGTATGGCATTATTTCCCTTTCCCCCCAACCCCCACCAAATTTATGTCGTTGTCACATGACATCAACTCAAAAATCCAAATCCAAAGTCTCATGTGAATATCACCTAGATTAGATGTGTGTGAGTCTCTAGGTATGATTCATTTTGAGGCAATTTTTTTTAACTTTTATTTTAAGCTCAATGGTATAAGTGCAGGTTTGTCATATAGGTAAACTTGTGTCATGGGGGTTTGTTGTACAGATTATTTCATCGCCCAGGTATTAAGCCCAGTACCCATTAGTTATTCTTCCTGATCCTCTCCCTCCTCCCACCCTCCACCCTCTGATGTGCCCCAGTGTGTGTTGTCCCCCGTTATGTGTCCATGTGTTCTCATCATTTAGCTCCCACTTATAAGTGAGAACATGCAGTATTTGGTTTTCTGTTCCCGTGTTAGTTTGGTACTGATAACGGCCTCCAGTTCCATCCATGTCCCTCCAAAGGACATTGTCTCATTCTTTTTTATGGATGCATAGTACTCCATGATGTATTTGTACCACATTTTCTTTATCCAGTCTACCATTGATGGGGTTTCAGGTTGGTTCCATGTCTTTACTATTGTGAATAGTGCTGCAATGAACATACATGTACATGTGTCTTTATAATATTAATAGAATGATTTATATTCCTTTGGGTATATACTCAATAATGGGATTGCTATCCCAAACAAGTTATGTGCCTCCAAAATACAATGATGGGACAGTCACAGGACAGACATTCTCATTCTAACAGAAAGGAGGAAAGAAAGGACGGAGTGACTCATCCCAAGTAAGTCCAAAATCTAACAGGGCAACAACATTAAACCTTAAACAACATTAAAAATTGAGAATAATCTTTTTTGACTCAATGCTCGGCCCTCCAATCCTACTGTGCCAGAAGTCCCTCTTTATAGACACACTGAGATGGTGATCCTGCCCCCACAGCTTTTCCAGATAGGAGTTAGGCCCTCAAGGGTCTGGCAACCCTGTCCCCATGGCTTTGTCCAGCCCACTCCCCACAGCTTGGGCAGATGACCCTGTAGCAGCTCTTTACCTGGAGCTTTGCCCCTGCAGTAGCTCTGTGCCTAGCTCCAGAGGCTATCCAGGGCAGGAGTTCCTGAGCCCAGAGCTTAGTTAGGAGGCACTGTCCTTTTATATCTAGGTGGAGTTAGCCATGCAGTTAAGCATCAGTATCAATCCCTGGGAGAAGAACACCAAGCACCAATGATCAATCCCAGGAGAGGACTCTTAACACTTGACCAATATTTGCTAAAGTTCTTAGATCTGGCAGAAGGTTTTATACAAATGCAGCTGCCAGAGATTTTGCACAAACCCAACTGGCAGAGTATAAATCCAGTGAGACAGAACACTTACACAGCCCATCAGGCAAAGCAACTTTATTACTCACAGATAGGCAATAAGAATCAATGGAAAGCCTAGGATCCATGGTAAACTGGTTCCCCCAAGGCTCAGGAAAGCTTTCCAAGATGGATGAGATCTTGTCTGCAAGTGCGCTGCTTTGCACTACAGATGAAAGACCCTGAAACCATTCTGCTCTGGGTTTTTATACCCTAGGGGCTACTTGGATTGCTGGCCTAAAGTGCTGCAGGAGGTCCTCTTCCAGGAGGGATGCAAAGATAGTCCAGGCTGTATTGAACTCTTCCTTCTTATCTCAGGATGTTGCATTCTCAGTATATTCTGCCCAACAGTTGCAAGCAAGAAGGGGATTGGTTGGGCCAGCCAAGATCACCCAGGAACCTGTCTTCCTGCATATGACCCCCAGGCTTATGCACTTTACACACTTGCAGAGACTACACCCATCAGAGGCACAACCACTGTGGCCTGTGCCACATCCAGACTCACCAGAACCACAACTGGGGTGGATGAGGAGTACAGTGCTGGAGTGAAGGGAGCAAAGCCTGCAATGTGACTGTCACTGGGAAGTGTGTCCCCAAAGTCCCAGAGGCACAGGGGTCCCTCCTTTACATTCTTCCCTTGTCTTGAACAATAACTTCTGGCTGCTGTTCAGATGACTAACTAATCTCTATCAGATGGCCATTTATCCACACCCTGAGAGTTCTCTTCTGACCATGCTTTCTTGATTTTTATATTATGGATAGGCTACAAATTTTCTAATCTTAAATTTCTGTTTCCATTGTGATTAACAATCCCATCTTTAAGTCATTTCCCCTCTTCTCACAGGTTTCTATAAGCAGTCAAGAGAATTCAGTAAAGACCTTCAACACTTTGCTCAGACATGTCCTCAGCAAAATACCCAATTTCTTCACTCACAAGTTCTACTTTCCATGAAACACTAGGACACGAACACAATTCAACCAAGTTCTTTAGTACTTTATAACAAAGACGGCCTTTCCTTCGTGATTCAAAAACATGTTCCTCATTTTTGTCTGAGATCTCATAAGAATGACCTTTATCAGCCATATTTCTACTAACATTTTGTTCAGGGTCACTTAGGGTTTTTTTGGTTTTGTTTTGTTTTGTTTGAGACATTCTTGCTCTGTTGTCAGGCTGGAGTGCAGTGGCATGATCTTGGCTCATTCCAACCTCTGCCTCCTACGTTCAAGCGATTCTCCTGCTTCAGCTTCCTGACTAGCTGGGATTACAGGAGCCCACCACCATGCCCAGTCAATTTTTGTATTTTTAGTAGAGACAGGGCTTCACCATGTTGGCCAGGCTGGTCTCGAACTCCTGACCTCAGGCGATCTGCCCGCCTCAGCCTCCCAAAGTGCTGGGTTTACAGGCATGAGCCACTGCGCCCGGTCACTTAGGTATTTTCTAAGAAGATTTAGGCTTTCTCCAAACCCCTCCTCCTCTCCTGAGTCCTCATCAGAATTGCCCCTAAGAATCTATTCATGGCAATATAAGCTTTTTCTTTATGCACCTCAAACTCTCCAGCTTCGATCTTTTACCCAGTGCCAAAGCCAGTCCTGCATTTCTAGATACTTGTTATAGCAGCACTCCACTTTTCAGCACCAATGTTTGCTTTAGCCTATCCAGGCTGCTACAACAAATTGCCATAGACTGACTGCCTCAGGAGCAATAAACATTTCTCACAGTTCTTGAGGCAGGAAGTTCAAGATCAGGATGGAGGCGGATTTGGCATCTTATAAGGGCTCATTTCACATTTCACAGACAGACAACTGTCTTCTCACTGTGTATTCACATTGCAGAAAGGGAAAAGGGCTTTAAACCCATTAATGAGGGCTTGGCCCTCATGACAAATCACCTCTCGAATCCACCTCCTACTACCACCACCTTGGAGGTTAAGATTTCAGCATATGAATTGAAGAGTGGGCAGGGAGGGAACACAAATATTTAATCTATAGCACCTAATAAACCACAGTCAATCTCTTTTTGATTGTCAGATTTGTTTCCTCCCTTGCTCTAGGATTAGGACTTCATTATATTTCTCAACAAGCTTTTCTTTTTCATTTGTGTTTTGCAGTTATTTAAAAGAAATTTGGATTATAAATCCTAATGTTCATCATTGAACAAATATCTTTAGTTATTTTCTATTTTTCCAGCTTTCTAACAGCCTTATAACAAATATAAAGGAAATATTTTAATGAGAAAAGTCTATCTCCACCTTACTATAAAAACGTCTCAATTTTTTGTTTTTTTGAAGTCCCCTACCAATTCTATTCTATACACGTAACTAGCTGTACTCCTATATAAATCAGTTAACATTGGGAGGCCGAGGCTGGCGGATCACGAGGTCAGGAGATCGAGACCATCCTGGCTAACACAGTGAAACCCCGTCTCTACTGAAAAAAAAAAAAAAAAATTAGCCAGGTGTGGTGGCATGCACCTGTAGGCCCAGCCACTCCGGAGGCTGAGGCAGGAGAATGGCGTGAACCCGGGAGGCAGAGCTTGCAGTGAGCCGAGATTGCGCCACTGCACTCCAGCCTGGGTGACAGAGCGAGACTCCATCTCAAAAATAAATAAATAAATATAAATCAGTTAACAAGATGAGATGAGGTTTGGGTAGGGACAGAGAGCCAATCCATATCATTTAACTCTTTAGTTCATTTGGAAATTTCTTAGAGTATGTTCTGTGGTCATGTTCCATAAATACAGAGAATTACATGGAAGTTTTCAGTTTTCCTTAAACAAAAATTAGTAGAACCAACCCCTAGAGATATGCGTTTAGTATGTCTAGGGTTAAATATATATGTACATATAAAATTAATTAATACAATTATGTAAGTATAATTAGCATAAACATTTTATGATTATAATACATATATTATCTAACTTTTAAAAGTTTCAAGTTGAGGAAGAGTAAATAAATAATAAAGCAGAGTATGTTTTGCTCATAACAAAACAATGTTTGACTCATTATTTTCTCCAAAATTGGAGGTCTGTAATTTCTTTCTTAATTCGTGTGTTATATAATACTCATCCCCCATTGTTTCAGTTGTTGCTTTAAATACTAATATTCCTCGTGTAAAAGTGAGTCATAGAGTCCAATGCACCTGGCCAGGAGCATCGGCTACAGGGCCTCTACGGGCAGGATTCGCTGAATAGGGGAGACAGAGCTACCTGTCTAGTATGATGTTCGGGCTCTATGGAGAATAGTAATCTAGAGCTTAAGATGGGAAAACACCACTTTGGGAGGCCGAGGCGAGTGGATCACGAGGTCAGGAGATCGAGACCATCTTGGCTAACACGGTGAAACCCCGTCTCTACTAAAAATACAAAAAATTAGCCGGGCGCAGTGGCGGGCACCTGTAGTCCCTGCTACTCGGGAGGCTGAGGCAGGAGAATGGCGTGAACCCGGGAGGCGGAGCTTGCAGTGAGCCGAGATAGCGCCACTGCAGTCCGGCGTGGGCGAAAGAGCGAGACTCCGTCTCAAACAAACAAACAAACAAACAAACAAAGATGGGAAAACAAGACCTTACTGCAAAAATGAAACCTGATGAAACCCCTGTATTTGACCAGAGTACTCAGAGAAGTAGCCTGGAGTCAGAATACAGCTAGATTTTCTCCAGCCATTTCCCCAACGCGTCCTGGAGGAGACCTGTTTTGAGACCTGCTATTGTACTGCTGACTTAAATAGAGGTGTGCGTGTGTGTGTGTTTTAAGATACGGGGTCAGCTGACAAGAGACTGGAGTTGTGAACCCTGAACAATTTATGAAATCTTTTGAGCATATAAAGAAATCTGGGGACTATGATGTTGCAGTTGTGGAAGATGCAACTCTAGGACAGATTGTTGCTACAGCAACTCTGATAATAGAACAAAAATTCATCCATTCCTGTTCTAAGAGAGGAAGAATAGAAGATGTTATCATTAGTGATGAATGCAGAGAAAAGCAGCTTGGCATGTTGTTATTACCAACTCTTACTTTGCTAAGCTAGAAACTGAACTGTTAGAAGATTTCCCTTGAATTTCTACCACAAAATGTTGGTTTGTATAAAAAGTCTGGATATATTGTATCTGAGGAAAACCGCGCGGGCTGGAGGTTTCTAAACTAAAAATCTTTTTTAGAAAATTGTTAAAGGAGCTAATGCTATAAGTCTATACTCTTCTTAGAGTTAAAATAATGTGTTGCTGCAGCCCAGTAACCTCCATAAGTATGGGACTGAAAAAAAAAAACACGGCAATACTACAAGTATAATGACATTTAGAAGATCATTTTGGGCTGGTGGGATGTATGTGAATTTAGATTACAAATGAATATTATAAAGGGAATGATTTTCAACAGAAGGAATATATTTTTAGCTTGAATCTTTTATTGAATGTATTTTTCTGAAGTTTGGCTTCATGGGAGTCAAGATTATGGGTAATAAAGAGTCATAAGACTGCTGTCTGTATTGCTCATTTTTAAAAAGTGTATGTTGAATAAGGCTGTTTCTTATCACATGCAAAAAATTAAATATTTTTGTTTCAAAGAAACATATCTCAATACACTTAGGACTATATCATTTCCCACATATTAAGTGAGGATGGATAAATTAGTTATTACAACTAAACATAGCACAGTCCAACATGTGTTGATACTAATGCAGGCAAACTTGTTCAGCCTTTTAAAGAAGTGTAGAAGAAATGAAAATGCTTCATTTGACAAGATTCAAAGTAAAATAATTTAAAAGTTTTACTAGAAGTTTGTATAGTTCTATGTAGATAAAAAGCACCATTTTTCTTATTTGTGAAATATAATTATTCATTTGTTAAAAATACCGAAGAGCAATTATATTGGGACATCTAAGGTACTTTTTAACAGTGAATTAGCAAATCTCAGCATATGTATTTCAACCCCACTGTTTCTTTTCATGGGCATCTGAAGCCTCTGTTCTGAGTAACACTTTTGTCAAAAATGTAATATCAATGAGTGGAATACAATATTTAAAAACGTATTAATATTGTTTGTAGGCTACACCCAAATCTCATGTTGAATTGTAATCCCCTGTATTGGAGGTGGGGTCTGGAGGGAGGTGATTGGATCTTGGGGCCAGATCCCTTATGAATTACTAATCCCTCATGAATTAGTAATTACATTCTCCATTCACCTTCAAGTATCCTGAGGCACCTTTTGTCACCTGCTCTCTATACTTGGAATATCTGGCTGTAATCCAAACTTCTGCAATGTCCAAACATCTTTCGGGATATAGTTCAAGTGTTCCTGTCTTTTGCATGATGCTTTCTTCGAGGTTCTCAACCAGAAGTAATCCATATCCTTTTTCCAAACAATTTTAATTTCATGCATTTGATTCATACTTTTTTTTCCCTCTCAAGTTTGTGAGCAAATATCACTAGAAAGAAGATTCTTGAATAGGAACTCTTTTCTTTCTAGTGATATTTTTTTTCATCTCTGTATTCCCCATCAGGCTTACAACAATGCTTTTAGAAAAGCAGAGAGATGAAAATTATGCAATATAAAAATGGTGCTTTTTCTTTGTGTAACTAATAACTATAATTCTGTAGGAAATTGTAATTCATAGTGATTTTTGCAATTATTGTCCTAATACAATCTTAACAACAAACCTGGAGGAAGGAATTAATAGCATGGACATTTGGTAGATGAAGAAATTGGAGGTCAGAGAGGCTGGTTGGTAGGAGACTTGGGTTTTCAACCAAAGCCAGACCCACAGGGTGAAGATGTTAGATTACTTCCCTCCACATTTCCTCTCACCCTACTCATTCCCCAACACAAAAACACTCATTCTATTCCACTCTCCGTCAACTGCACTTATACTTGGTGGACACTTATTCTTCATCTTACAACTATAATCAAGCTTTCAACTTTATCCATGAAATTACTCTAAGTATTAAAACATCATAAAAACATTTATATTAATAAGTATGAGATTACTATTAATGGCTAAGAGGCATCATATGCTAGGATTTTATTTCCTTTCTTATACACAATGCTATGATTCCTGGAGCACTCAAAAGAAATTTGTTTTACCATTAATGTCCAAAGGACTGTTTTTTTTTATGCCCAACACTTACTTAAAAGTTATGTTTGCTTTATATTTGAATCATGACGTTTTCTGAATATCTCTTTGTTCATTCTGTTGATTTCTATTGTCTTTTAAGAACATTATTTGCATTTACCAAATCTTCAGCTTTCCATGTTTTAAATGACTTTCTACTTTATTCAACCCCACATTTTTTCTTAAAATATTTCACCCCTTTTCCCATAACATCATCTTTCTACATCAATCTGAGTTATTGGGTCTGACAGGAATTATCCTGAAACCTACATCCCTTTAATGCTAAATTAGACTTGCTGTAACATGGATCTGATATCTTTGAATTTTTGTTTATATTCCTGATTTTTTTAGTCTATATTTAAGTAACTTCCTAAGACAAGAGTGAATGAAAAGTAAACTTCATGAATCATGAATGCCTTTATGCCACACTCACACTTGATTCATAATTCATGGATATAGAATTTCAAGATTGAAAATATTTTTTCTCATAAATCTGAAGAAATTTTTTCATCTACTTCCACATCTAGTATTATTGATGAAGATCATAATATTAGCCTGATTAATGCTTCTTTGGTAGTGATTTTTTTTTTATTTTAGTCTGCAAAATTTTAGACGCTTTTCTTAATTTTTGGTGTTTGGATAAATAATCAGAATGTACACAGGGATGTGTGTCTTTTTTAAATTTGTGGTCTCTTAAGAGACTGATTGATAGCACTTTTTCCTATGCAGATTCTCAGTCAATAGATTTTTTTTTTAAAGTCTAGTTACAGGCCACAGTATTATGGCATCTTTAGAGAATGCACTTTAATATCAGAGTCCAGTGGCTTCCTAACATTTAGACAAAATTAGGAGGGTATAATGCTGCTGCACTGGGACAACCTATTCTACCCCTCACAGTGACAGAGTATCTCCCTAGAGGAGCCAAGGGGGATACCAGCCAACTTGACATGGAGAATTTGCTCCTGAGTAAAAGCAAGACAGAGCTGAGCAATTGTCGGTTTTATCATCACAAAGTTATCAATAATATAAATTACTCCATGTCCCCTGGGGCAAAGGAACAGGTAAAAGGAAGCTTTGAGTAACAGTAAATTTTTTTTCTTAGAAAAAAATATCACAAATAGGAAAGAAGTGTTCCTTACTAACAGACCTGAGGTGGGTTCTTGAATCTGAAGTGTGTTCTGTATTAACTGTGGGAAATTTTTCTATAATTTAATAAATCTTTCATTTTTGTTTTCTTCATTTTTTTCTTTCTGTGCTTTTTATTTACAGTATATTGACTAATAGGACTATTTCTATTTATTCTAATATTTTTATGTATATTCCATGTCTGTTTTTTGCTTCATACTTTGGAAATTTCATTGACTTTTTGCAATCCTCCTATTGAATGTTTTCAAACTGTCATAGTTTAAATCATTAAGATCTTTTTCTTATTCTGGTGGTTTGTTTTTTATGATGCACTATATTTTTAAACACATCTGAGTGTTAATTTCTACCAGCACTAGTATAGAACAGAACATACCTCACATGTCTAAAACATACCAAAATTATGACCATTCCACACAATTTAGTCTTCCTCTAGTGTTTGCTATTTTAATGAGAGGCTGTCAGATTGGTTTTCAATGCAGTTATCTCCATCTCGTCTCTTCGACTGTCTCATTTTTAAGGGACACCTTTCCTAACTTCTGTAGCAAAGCTTACTTCATCTTTGCACCTTTCACGACATCAGTTTCTCATTTGTCTTCTTGATGATTTTATTGGTTGTCTCTGCCACTAGATGTAAAGGCAGAAACTACACCTATTTTTGTTCACCATGTATAGTGCCTGTGACTTGACAGACAATACACAGTCATTAAATATCTGTGAATGAATAAAAGAATCTATGCATGCATACATAATTATGATATCTCATTGCTATGAAATCTTAGAGGCCAGGTTATGTCAAGGAAAGGTGCATTGCAATGAAACCTACTTATGATTTTGTTAATATTTCAGTTTAAATTACCCCTTCTAGGAATTTGTATTTGAGTTTTAAATGACTTAGAAGTGGTTACTTGTAAATATTTTTTATCTGTAATGAGATTGTGTTGGAAATTAGCTGTGTTAATTTTTTAAAAATATACTTTATTTTTAGAGCATTTTTAAGTTTACAAAATAAATTGAAAGGAAGGTACAGAGATTTTTCATATGCTCCTACCCCCACATAGTCACAGCTTCCCCCATTACCAGCATCCCCTATTGCAGTAGTATATTTGTTATAACTGATTAACTTACATTGACATATTACCAGTCAACATCCATAGTTTACATTTAGGGTTCATTCTTGGTGCTGTACATTCTGTCGGTTTAGGAAATTCATAATAACATGAATTCACCATTTGAATGTCATACAGATCAATTTCACTGCTCTAAAATTCCTCTTTGCTATGCCTCTCCATTCCTCTCTCTCCACTAAGCCCTGGCAACCACTGATCTTTTTACTGTCTCCATAGTATTACCTTTTCCAGAATGTCATATAGTTGGAATTATACAGTATATTAGTCTTTTGGATTGGTTTCTTTCATTTAGTATCATATTCATTTAAGTTTTCACCATGTGTTTTCATGACTTGATAGCTATATTTTTTTTAATGCCGAGCAATATTCCATGATCAGGATGTACCAGAGTTTATTCATTCACTTACCAAAGGACATGTTAGTTGCTTCCAAGTTTTGGTGATTATGAATAAAGCTGCTAGAAATATCTGTATGCACGCTTTCATGCGGACTTAGTCTTTATCTCCTTTGGGTAAATACCAATTATCACAATTTCTGAAACATATGGTATGAGTATGTTTAGCTTTGGAAGAAACCTCCAAACTGTCTCCCAAAGTGGCTGTAGCATTTTGCATTTCCACCAGCCACGAATGTGTGTTGCTTTTGGTTCACATCCTTGTCAGTATTTGGTGATATCAGCGTTCTGGATTTTGGCCATTCTAATAGGTGTGTATTGGTATCTAATTGTTGTTTTAATTTGCATTTCCATGATGACATATGAGGCAGAACATCTTTCGTTTGCTTATTTTCATTCATATATCTTTTTTGGTGAGGTATCTGTTAAAATCTTTGGGCATTTTTAAATCAGGTCATTTGTTTCTTATTTTTGTATTTTTAATTTTTATTGTTACGCCAACCTCTATGCCTATATATTATCTCCTACCACTATTTAAGAAGCAGACTATATGCTGTTAAGAGGAAGAAACAATAATAGCTACTAAGTAAATATATATTTGAGGTGATGTTGAAAAGTGTTATGGAGTAAAACAAAACAGCACAAAGGACAGGTTTTGCTGTTGTTGTGTTTAGTTAGTTAGTTTTTATATTGAGTGGTCAGGGAAAGTGTCTCTGTAAAGATATCATTTGTACAGAGATCAGAAGGAAGGGGGCAAGCCATGTAGCCATCTAGTTTTAAAGTATTTTGGACAACTTTTAAAAAATAATTGCAAAGACCATAAAATAGAAACAAATTTGACATGGTAGGGGAACATTAATACCTTGCCTGTATGGCTGAAGCAAAATGATTAAGGAAAAAAATAATAGACGAGTTTAGGACAGTGGCAAGGATTCATATCATGAGTGCCTTTGGTAAGGGTTTTGAATTTTATTCTGAATGAAATGGGAAATCATTAAATATCATTTTATACACCAAGCACTATTAAGCCTTGAAGATGTAAAATTATATTTCTAAGGAGCTGACAATTCAATATCGGAGAGAGGCATGTAGTTAAAACACTATTATTATATATGATGAAATACTATGCAGAGGAAATTTTCAGGGAGCAACAATGAAGTCCATCTATCCCATCAGAGGATGTCATAACTTAGAAAGAAGTAGAGATGTGGGAACAATCTCATCCATCTTTCTTTGTTCCTCAGAGTTCTGATTTTTAATGGGCTCCAAGAATAGGTCTCGGAGTCTTGGGATTCTTGGGTCAATCTTGGGAGGATAGCCAGAGCTTATTTACAGAGACCTAGAAAGACTTAGAATAAATTGCTGCTACAGTGCTGGTAACCTGAGTCTTCATGTGTTCTCCTAGTTACATCATCCCTATTCCCTGACCTTCTGCCATCTTGGAAAAATCTATTTGATTGAGCTTTTTCTACAGTTTTTCTGATTAGCATTTCACATCCCTACTAACTCTAGTTGCTCCATTTATTCAGAAGCAATCTTTCAATGGGGCTCTCTATCAATGTCCAATCAGGGAAATAGAAATCACTGAAGGTATTTCAGGCAGAAGGGGATTTAATATAGGGTATCATTTACAAAATATTAGAATGGCTGAAGAAACAAAAGAGGAAAGCTGATGTTACACAGAAGCCTGTAGCCACAGGGAGCCTCTATTTTCACTACAGATTCCAGGAGCTGGCATTCTCCATGACACTCTTAGAGATGCTGCTGCTGCTGCTGTTGATTAGGAAACCATAAGGCCACATACCTGTCAATGCTGCTGCCAGTAATTGAAATGTCATCTACCTTCCTCAGGCCTTCTAATCCCATGTAAGTGCTTCCCGCTCATCTAATATAAATGTAACTGGCAAGTAAGGTGATCAATTCATCCTCATTTGCCAAGGAATTTTCAAGTTTTAGCAGTGAAAATCTTACATTCCTGGAAACCCAGGCAAACTAGTCCTGTTGATATGTAATTGGCAAAGGAAACCGGGAAATGTAGTTTTCCAGTTTCCAGTCTCAGCAGTACAAAGGAGAGTAAAGAAAAGTTGCTCTGGGGCTGAATACCAGCAACAGTTCTCTAACATAGTTGCTTTAAAGAAAATACAGGTGACTTACAATCAATATGCCACCCCTACTTAAATGTGAGCATACCCGTTATTCAGAACTCCTGTAGTTACTATGATGATTGACCACTGACCATGAATAGGCCAGACTTTGAGTCTAGGATTTTTGTAAGATTAAGATGATTATTATGTAGCACATATTCAATGAAAGGTCGAAGTTACTATTTATAAATACACAGTAGTAATATGTTACTATTACTACTGCTACTACTAACAGTAACAATAGTAACTAATGAGCAAAAAGAGGTTGTAAAGAGAATAATAAAATTGAGGACAGGCATGGAAAAAGAATAACAAAAACATTCACCAGTTGACTTCTCTAGTTTCAAAGGGCAGAGCATATATTTTGTGACTATTCTCATTCCTCCCAAAATGTACTCCCAGACATTTCTAATGCCTCCCAAAGGAGGAATTAAACCCATTTTCCTGGTATAATTGTGGCTATGGGGCTTGGCTTATTTAAAGAGCCAAGAACTACCTCACTCCTATCCCTGCCCAATTGCTCTTGCTATGCTAAAAAGGCAAGGAACACTCCACTGTCAAAACACACAATAAAGCAAAGACTAAATATCATTTTAAACATTAAAGAATGTCATGCAAGTTTTTGGCACCAAGAGGAATTCACTACACGTTCATGGGGAGCAGAATCTTTGCTTGGCTATGATTTTGCTTGCATGGCTTTCAAAAAGTTCCATAAAATGCATTTAGATTTTGTGCCATTATTTTGGATTATCAAGTAAACATTTAATAATAAGACTGGTAATAAAGCACCCTTCAGGCAGGATGGTGAAATCTAGAAATGGCTTCCCTAACACTGAGGAGCGGATAGCAACTCCAGACCTCTGTGTTTCTCACAAAATTGTGTAGAGAGGGCTTTCAGAAATCTGAGACTACAGCCCAAAGTTCATCCCCTAACAGAGCTTTCATCATGTGTTCTTGTTTACAGTCCTGTATTCTGGCTGCCAGACAGGGCACTCACAGCTTTCTAACCTGAATGTACAGACACTGCATGTTTACCATCCTGGGGCTCTGACATCTGACGCCCAGCTGTGCTTAAGCCAGAAGAATGGACTCCAGAGGCATGGCTCCAGTGACTGCTCCCAGGGAAAAACTCCCAGGGAGGGACACAAATCCCTCACAGATGACAGAGGAGGGAGGCTCCAGGGAAAGGCAGCTGAGGCTGCAAGGAAGTTCAGTAAGGAAAATTTTTGCTGGGTGTGCACATATGATTTGGGGGTTGTAGAAAGAGCTAAGGTATTGCTAATGGACCATTCATTTTTCAGAGCAGAAAATGGCAGAGTTGTGTATTTTTTTAATGACATGTTACATTTGCTCTCCCATGCCCTTATGTGGAATGTACATCTACATGTGCCCTCTTTGACTCTTTCACAGTAATGCTCTTTTTAACTCTCCTCATTCATACATTCATTCATTTCATTCATTCATCTACTTATTCATCCCCTTTTTGATATTAAATGCTTGGACTGTGTCAGGCACTGTGCTAGGAACTAGGAATACAAGAAATAAAAGAAAGCATTTATTCAAGGGGATTTCTTCTCTCTTCCATGGTCAACAGCAAGCATGTAATTCAAATACATTTTGAAAAGCACATATAGTGGTTCAATATATTAAAAGCCACTATGAGAAAGCCTACATTTTTCCTGATATCCTGTCCAAGGGTAAGCATGTTCATTCTTAGACCCTCTGAGATTAATAGACGTGGCTTTTGATACGGTTGTGGAGTTGTGGGTGAAGAAAGGTACAAATGAGAGACAGTGGTCAGAAAAGAGAAACAGTTACTTCCCGTGGGTGAGATATTTTACCAAACACTATGCTGATGAGTGAAACATTGGCCCAGGCTTAACTTGTGGTCAACTAAATTATGATTACATCCACCATCACATTTGGGGAATTTTTTACAAGCCATGTCAAAAATGTTTACCTCTCTCTTGCACTTTCTCAACTGATTTAAACACACACACACACACAAACACAAATGCTGAATTTTATGTATATTTTTTTCCTGTTGAATTTTGTCCTATTGGTTAAATTCAATATCTAAGTCTGGTGAAATCATTAGGAATGTTGCTTTTGTCATCTATTATTGTAACTACTCCACCCAGCTTTATGTCTTTTGAACATTTCACAATCATCCCTTCTTTCTCTTTTTCTCTGTGCAATCCACCTGCCACATGGCAACCAGAGTGATCTTCCTAAAGTAAAACAACAACAACAACAAACCAATCTTCTTTTTCTCCCACCCACATACAGTTTTAATGTGGAAAATGCTCTAGTGTGGAATCAAGGCTTTCAAAATTTCCCCCTTATTTGCCTCTTCTTCAACTCTTGACACTAATTCTCCCTTACTTCCAAGTGGACTGAACTACTTAGAAGCTCTCAGAACTCAGCATACACACGCTGTCTACCTACTTGCCCCAATCTTCCTTTTAGGATGCACTTTTCTTTTTAATCATCCTTAAAAAACACTATTCTTTTTTCAAGCATCTGCCATATTGCACCTTCACTGGGAAGCCTTTTTTTTGGAAACACCCACATCCGCATCCTCTCCTTCAGGCTAGTGTTTCATTCTCTGTGTTTTCATGGTAATTTACAGGTACTCTAATATGCCACTTGTAACATCTGTTAAAACTCAGCTTGTCAACTCTATAATGCTCATACAGTCACCTAGGTATTCTGGTAAGATGCAGATTCCGATTCAGTTGTTCTGAGATGGTGAGATCTGAAAGTCTGGATTTCTAGTAAGTTCCTAGGTTATGCATGCTGATGCTACTATCACAGGCCACTTTGAGTAGGAAGACTATAACTCTGTATATGTTTCCTTTCTCAACTGTGAACTGCTTGAAATTAGAGCCTGTGACTTACTCATCTTTGAATCTTTAGGTCCCAACACACGTATGAAGATGAAAAACATTTTCGATGAATTGATTTTTTGTTATTATCCAATAGTTATTTGTTGTTTTGTTTTGTTTTTGACATCAAACAGTTTTGAGATTCAGAAAATTTCTGCTTTGGAGTATCTTCTTTGTCTTTTTTTTCTTTTAACTTTTAAATTTGGGGGTACACGTGAGGGGTTGTTACATAGATAAACACATGTCACAGGGATTTGTTGTGTATGTTGTTTCATCACCCAGGTATAGTTTTTTAAAATGTTGAGCAGAGCTACAAGAAACTAATCTTCATGTTGACATTTCTATGATTCAACATTTCATTCAAAATTACTTGGCCTTTACATTTTTGACTCAGAAAGGCTGAAAACTAATTGCTGAAAGGGGAGCTCTACACATCACCTTTTCTGATGTTTGCTGAGGTCTAGCAAAGGTTGCAAAAATAACTTGGCTACAAATACTAATATTTATGTTAGGATACTTGCATAAACTTTACAGAAACCACTTTCACATACATATTTCTTTCAATGTTCATTTACAACCACTGTGTAAGATAAAGAGTGTATATGTTAAGGACACATAGATTCACTAGTTTTGATGCCTGACTCTGCAATCTACCAGCTGTGTGATCTTGGGAAATTTACATAAAATCTTTTAGCTTCTATTTACCATTTGTAAAATGGAGATAGTAATAGTTTTTCTGCCTCATAGGGTTTATTGAGAATAAATGTGTTAATATGCATGAGGTTCTTAGACCAGTGCTTGCATGTATTCAGTGTTACGTAAGTATGGGCCATTATTATTTACTTATTTACTCAAAATATTTGAGCCCCTGCTTTATGTCATACACTGTGGTCTATGCTGGAACTACAGTGATGCATAAGATAATACGTCTCATCTCAAGGGGCACATTGCCTTACAAAATCAGACAATAACAAAGTAAACAAACAAATAAATAGTTAAAAATTGAAATACATGCTGTATAGTAGCCAAACAGGGCCATATCACAGAGCAGAAAGGAGAATGGAAAGCTAGTTAAATAAGGTAGTCAGGATCAGAAAAGCCATCCCTACCAATAGGACTTTGAATTTAAGACCTGAAGGAGATTAAGCCAGTCAGGGATGAGCAGAAGTGAGAACATTCCAGGCAACAGAAACAGCCTTTGCAAAGATCTGAAGTAGGAAATACATGACCATAACCCTCTTCTATGGGATGAAATTGAAGCAAAGTGAGGTTAAGTGTTTTGCCCATTGTTAAATTCTAACCTCCATCAAAGTGGAGATCACAACCCAAATTCCTGATTAATATGGCTCTTATAATTATACCATGTTATGGACCCACAACATGGAAGGAAAAACAAAGCAAGTGGCCAGCTATTTGTTCATGAGATTGGTTCAGCCACTTCCCAGTCTGAAAGGATTATATATTTAAACCAGCCTTGTCAATTATATGTAAAGATGGATAGAGGATGACAGGAAAGCCCTGGTCTTCTTCAAAAAGCTGTCCAGAAAAAACCTGAAATATTCTTAATTCTCATTTAAACATGTTTCCGTAGTGTATTAGCTGGTTTTCACTAGGTTATGCAAAAATAAATTACTCCAACATTAAAATTAAATGTTAAAAAATTTTTATTTCTTGCTTGCCTTGCATTTTGATGATGATTTTGTTGTTGCTCTGTTCATCCCAGGGTGCAGCTGAAGGAATTAGACCCTATGAGACATTCTGGCCTATTAGCTAATGGAAAAGAATGAGGGCATAGCCATGCAATGGCTTCCTGCAAAGAAGAATTTCATACCACTTTCACTCATGCAAGGAAAAGTAGCTTGGCCAAAATCAATTTGATGGCCAAATGCAACATGAACAAGGTAGAAATTGGAGGGGATATATAATATTCTCCCAACGGGATGCAACAAACATATAGAACAATAATATGATCTACCACATGTACTAAACAGAGACATTCAAAATGTGTTTCATTTGAATTTAGAATAATTCAACAGCTATTGCAATATTGAGATATGCAAAGTGCTTATTATCAGAGTTTTGAGAGGAATTTTATTCAACTTGATCCGCATATTTATTCACCAATTATTGACTGCTGCTATAGGCGAGAATCTATATATTTCCTCTTTACTCTTAAATCTATACTTCTCTATATAAAAAATGAAAAACCCTATTTGGAAGGGGGAACTAATGGGACTGAGGCAAAGGTTTGTTTGCAAACCATACGTAGAGAAAAAGAATGAAATCATGTTCTTAAAAAAAAAAACATTTTATTATAATAAAATATAGAGATGGAGTCTTGTTATGTTGCCCAGGCTGGTCTCCAGCTAAACTCAAGCAATCCTCCTACCTCAGCCTCCCAAAGTCCATGAGCATGAACCACCACACCCAGGCAGGAATCATATCTTTTGCCTTAGTTATAACATGTAAAAACATATGATTAAATTTTAGCTATTGTTTACACCAACATGGAGAGCCTTCTCTTTTTCTCCCTTTCTGCTTTCTTCCAGAATCTCTGCTCAGTACCTGCATTGGTAACAGTATCCTAGTTTGAACATAAGAAAACATAGTTGCTCATTAGCTATCTCACATAAGCCAACGACTAAACATTATAAAGTATGCTACAAAATTGGAAATGGTGAAAGCAGCAGCTTTCCAAATGCACATGATTCAGAAGAGCTGAAAGGTTTTTAATAACCCTCTACAAATATATTTTTCAGTAAGACATAAATTGAGGACACAAGGAAACTTACTTTTAGGTTGGTGTCTTAGAGACCCAAAGGATGATAGTATTGAGTGTGAATCTTATGCTATGGGACAAATCTGCTGAAAATAAAAAAGAATATTTTAATTTTGTCTTATTTCCTAATTTTCAATAATACACTGCAAAGAAAGGTAACTTTCCTGAGATTAACCCCTTTGCTAGACAGAGCTAGAGACTTTAACTTAATGCAATTAATCTATAATTCCTGAAGTCATATTCCCTGGTATATGAAGGACTGATATATTTAGCTGGCCACACTGATACGTTAACTACTGTACACCAGTAGTTAAAATTGTGAAATACTTCCATGTTTGTTAGTGAAAAGCTGTTCCCTGAACCTCCTCCCTGTTGATAAATGTTTTTGAAATTCACCCCTGTTGAAGCATTGGTGGTTATGATCAAGTTGGAACACTGGGGTAAGGAAAAGATCTGGGGTTCAAAGAGTAAAGTTTGAGCCTCAGCTCTGCCACTGATTTCGAGATTCAGTACTTAGCCTCTTACCTTCTCACTATTTTTCCTTATTAAAAAAATTGAAAATGGCAATAACAACTTTTTTGCCTACCTCATAGGACTGATTGACAATCAGATGAGTGCCAACCATAACAATAGATAACCTGTAGGAGGCTTATTATGCATCAGAAATTCTAAGTGCTTTACATCCTTACCTCCCCTCACCCCATACTCAACACTATATGGGAGAAGTTATTACCACTCCTATTTTTTAGGTGAAGAAACTAAGATTGTGAAAGTGCACCTTACCAAGGTTATACAGATAGGATTTGGTAGAGCTAGGGCTCAATCCAAGATCACTCTGACTCCAGGGTTTATCTAATTAGTAGAACATTAGAAAGGGTATTAAAAATGCAAGATTTTCTCACACTTTTACTTTCAAGAACCAACATTTGGATGAAGGTAACCATGGTCATAGTCTTGATTGCCAGGTAATATTATCCCTTTAAAAAATCTGATTCTGGCCTCCCCTAAAAAATTCCAAAGTAAAAAATCCAATTTCTTGCTCCATAGACCACATGTCTTACGTCAGCCTTCTAAAACACATGTGATAGCTCTGTTAACAAGATCAGGACACACAAATGTTTTTGATCAGGTTTCCCAATATCTGTGCTTCTCTGATGACAAAACATGCTATAGTCATTTTCCAAGGCTTGGTAAGATTCTCTGTGGTCAACTGTGCTGGAAGGAGGAGGGCTCATCTGGCAACATCTGTGCACTTAACGGAAAGAAAGCGGCCTTAAGCATTGAGACCATATGTTTACTCAGCAGTTGGTTTGTCTCCCCATCTGGAAAAAGATTGAGGCCGAGCAGAGTCTCTGACCTTGAAATAGGGTAGTAGGCAATAAACCCATGCTGACCACAGACTCCCAATAACCATTTTGAAATAAACCAGGAAAAATGGCAGAGAATTCTCGGCCAAGCTTAGCTTAGACTAGGGCCTATCTTTGAGAAAAAAAATCCCCATTATGGCTACTTTATGTAATAGTAATCTGTTCTTGAGTTTTGTACTTTTCTTCACATTCCATGATGCATACTACTCTAGAGTCTTCTTCCCCTATGAATGGGTACTTATGCTCTCATATTCTTTCCCTAACCTTGTATATAAACATATTCTCAAGAAAGGACTTTATTTATGTTATATGACCTCATTCAACCTATTTTACACTCTGTTACCTCATGCAAAGTTTCTAAAGGTAAGCATCAAATGTAAAGAATAAAGAAAAAAATGAGTACCTGAATACATAAAGCACTTTAAAATAACTGTGTTGTATTCAGTGCTTGAAATTCCCTTACTTTCCCTTCTGCTTCTCTCAAGGATGAACCGCAACTATTGAATCACACATGATGCCTTCCCTGACCCCCACTGAAGCCTGCTCTTTTGTGCTCCCATAGTGCTAGGCACATTTTTCACATTGTTACTATTTGCTTAAAAAGTAACATGGCCACAAATGAGGCCCATTCATCTGTGAGGTCCTGAAGGACAGGAATCAAGACTTTTGTTAAAATCTCTGAATGGCTGATTATTAGTTCACACCTCATACATAAAAAACACTTCATGAATATTTGGAGAGTGATTATGGGGTATGCACTGGAAGTAAGCACAAATGCTTATATGTCCTCCTTAGTTTAAAAAGTAATTTGCCATTATTTAACAATTGTGATACTTCACATGAAAATCTATAGTCCTGATTTTTTGAGGAGGAAAAAGAATGACCTGAAGACTTTGAAACTTTGGGTTTGATATGGTTTGGCTGTGTCCCCACCCAAGTCTCATCTTGAATTGTAACTCTCACAATTCCCACATGTCGTGGGGGGGAACCCAGTGGGAGGTGATTGAATTATGGGGATACTGTTCTTGTGATAGTGAATGAGCTTCAGTACATCTGATGGTTTTAAAAATGGGAGTTTCCCGGCACAAACTCTCTCTTTGCCTGCTGCCATCCACATAAGATGTGACTTTTCTCCTTCTTGCCTTCCACAATGATTGTGAGGCCTCCCCAGCCACATGGCACTGTAAGTCCATTAAACCTCTTTTTCTTCCCAGTCTCAGGTATGTGTTTATGAGCAGCATGAAAAAGGACTAATACAGTATATTGGTACCAGTAGAGTGAGGTGCTGCTAAAAAGATAACCAAATATGTGGAGGCGTCTTCAGAACTGAGTGACACGCAGAGGTTGGAACAATTTGGAGGGCTCAGAAGAAGACAGGAAAATGTGGGAACTTCCTAGAGACTTGTTGAATGGCTTTGATCAAAATGATGACAGTGATATGGACAATAAAATCCAGGCTGTGGTGGTCTCAGATGGAGATTAGGAAAAAAAAAAGTTATTAAAAAATAGCAAAAATTCTGACAGAAAAAAATATGTATACATTTGCAAGATTCTAATTTCCCCCGAAACATGTAGGGTTTTCACAAGTAACAAGAATAACACCAATCACCTTCCCCCACGTAAGAAAAAAAAAAAAAAAAATGTTCTGCCCTATTTAGATGTGCCATGTACTCTATTAAACCCAACCTACTTCATTTATTACTTTTAATGACTGACCTTTTAGGCTTTTGATTTTTTCCACTTTTGAAGGAGCTTTATACTATACCAACTAAGCACGACTACGTTACTCACAAATTCCTTTCCTGTATGTTTCAGAATTAGGGTTTGCCCATAGAGAAATTCATGTGAAACCAGGAAGGCTGAAATATGGCAGTTCTTGTGTGTACATTGGACAGGTGGACGTTGGGTCATGCACTGCTGCAGCTCACTGACAGGTCTGCTGACTCATCTTGTTGGCATGGGACAGCAGCCGGAAGCACAGTGCTCCTGGCTGGACTAGTTGTAGAGCAGCTCCTCAGTGAAATATAGCAGCTCTTGAACTTAGTGGCTGGTTGTTGGTGAAAGACCAATGTAGGTTCCAATCTGTCCTCATGGATTCCAGCTCAGGTTCTCAGGCCTCTTGTTAGCTCTCCCATACCTTGTTTCCATCTTCCTTCCCTGACTACCAGCCCTGATGACTTCGGGATGCAGCTCTTGAAGCAGAGGCAAAAGACATACTAATTCATAAAGTACTTAGCTAGCTCCCATGATTGCATAAAGCAAAACTCCTATAATAAGTCACAGTGGTTCTGCTTCTCTGATAGAGCCCTGATAGTAAAACTGCCTCTGCAAAATTATGACAGAGAAATCTGACATAGTTGACTTCATCTTGCTTCTGACTTCCAAGCTGTCCTTGGTCATTCTTGGGCATAGGTCACGGTAACTTTGGGAGAAATTTAGTTTATGGTTTGGCTTGCAAGCCAGGCTGATAATAGTACCTCCCTAAAACTAAACCCCTCCCTGCTCAGGGTTCAAAAACCACCTTTATAAGACTGATAAAAGGGTGTAAGAATAGGATTATGGGAGGAGCCTGAACTCTGCAAAAAGATAGGTATAGTTTCTATAATCCCTTACTGCTCAGGAGTCATGTGGGCCAGAGGTCACAAGATTTTTGACTTCCCCAATTTCTTCTATGGATAACATCACATTATAGAACCTAAGATGGTTTTTTAGAGATATCTTTCAGACTTATCCTGTCTGGATGGTGACTCATGACTCAAGTGATCCTTTGGCCCTACTCAGATGTGAACTGTGCACATGAGGACTGTTTTCACACCCCTATGATTTCATCTGCAACTAATCAGCAGAACCCATTCTCTAGCCCCATGCCCGCCACATTGTCCAGAAAAACCCCAGCCTCCAAGCTTCTGGGAGATTGACTTGAATGATAATTCCGGTTCTCCCACATGGACTGGCCTTGGGACAATTAAACTCTTTTTTTTGCTACAATGCTGTGTCTCAGTGACTTGATTTAGTCTGTACAGCAGGCAGGAAGAATCCATTGGGCGATTACAACACATCTACCACAATCCTAAATCAGCATTAATAATCATGATAGTTGGATCCCCACTTCATAATTCAAATATAGGATAATAATGATAATAGCGGGAAAAACTAACATTTATATATTATACTTTACAAAGTAATTTTACATATATTATCTCATTAATGCGCAAAAGAAATCCTCCATGGTATTTTAAACAACTTCTTCTGACAGTTGATGAAATTGAGATTTCCAAAGTCAAAGTGATGTGCCAAAGGTTAATAGCTAGACTGAACAAGTGCCAAGGTCAAACACTGAAGACAGTTGGCAAAATTGTACAATCCTGCATCCAGCTGAAAATTTTAGATCTCCTCTCTACCAGATGTTACCCTTGGAGATATATTTCTTATGGAATTGTTGTAAAAATTAAATGAAATAACACATGTGAGATACTTGGAAAGGTATCTTGATTATAGTAATGACTCAAAAAATTAATTATTATTATCTGTTGTAGTAATATTAATGGCAAAAGAAGAAGCTGATTCAAAACGTAAATTAGCAAATAAATATTTTAAATAGCTAAGACAAAAAGTAACAAAGAAGGGTCTACTTGCCATATCACTATGGACCAGTTGTTTAATTTCTATAATCCTTGTTTTTGTGATCTGTAAGTGGGAATGACGCTATTACCCTATCACTTTTATCATCCTGGTTCTCAATTACTCCATTTCACACTTTCTTTTCTTTTCCTTCTTTCTAATCTTGTTTAATACCGTTTCACATATAGTAATTACTGACATCTTTTTCATTCCTTCTGGAACCCTAGATCATTGCTGTCTGAATCATCAACTAGTATTTCCCCCACAGATCTCAATTTTTCTATTTTCCTCTCACAAGATTGCCAGGGAAACTTTTTCTTTCCTTTTAAAAATATAGATTTAACATATTCATCTCCAACCCTTCAGAATAACCAAAAATTTTTAGGCACCTCCACCCTATGCTGTATTCACCAAGGTGGCAATAACTTTTACTGATGCATCACACAGGACCACAAAGACAGAGCTTGCCTTGGAGAAGTAGGATGAGCATTCAGTAGCTGGCTTTGACTAGTGCCTGTGGCTCTGCCCTTGATGCCATTTGCCCTTAATTTCTACAATGAGATTTTAGTACTTTTCCCTAGCAGTGTTACCTCCAGTACAATTGCTATTGCTTTTAATTCTCATTACAATTCTGCTAACAAGTCACATGACAAAAAGAATACCTCATCTACCCCATGGTAGTTTAGCCTAGCCAGCTTCTTCCCAATTCAGCTCATGCCCCAGAACACACGCATGCTTCCAACCCTCCCAAAGATCAGGAGCTTCCCAGAATCCCATTAGAGCTCCTTCCAGCCTTAGATTCCCCTGCTTTCCTTTGGCATCGGGCCATCTTTTATTTTGACATTTAGAATTTCGTTTCCTTTATAAATGAGTTCCATTTTTGCTTTGTGCAGTGTAAAGCCTTCTGTTTCCAATAGATTTTCTTTTGTCAATCATCCACTTCAAAATATTCTTTTCAGCTTTCACTTTATTTCCTTTCATCTTCTCATTCATAAATCACAAAGGGTGTTTTATATTAGTTATTTTTAAAGTATAATCCAGTCCACTCTCTTTGTCAATGTACAGCTGTATCTCCTCTGATTGCACTTCGCTTTATGATACTTCACACATCCTGCGTTTTCGGAGGTTCATGGCAACTTTGTGTCAATCAAGACTATGAGTGCCATTATTTCAACAGCATGTGCTCACTTCATGTCTCTATGTCACCTTTGGATAATTCTTGAAATATTTCAAACTTTTTCAATATTATTTCATCTGTTAAGGTGATCTGTGATTAGTGATCTTTGTTGTTACTGTTATAATTGTCTTGGGATTTCACAAACTGCATCCACATAAAATGGCAAACTTAGTAAATGTTGTGTGTGTTCTGATTAGTCCATTAGCTGGCCATTGTCCTGCCTCTCTCCCACTCCTTGAGTCTTCCTATGCCCTGAGACATAGCAATATTGAAATTAGGCCAATGAATAACCTTGCAATGACCTCTAAGTGTTCAAGTGAAAAAG
Source organism: Homo sapiens (assembly GCF_000001405.40). Classification (NCBI taxonomy): domain Eukaryota; kingdom Metazoa; phylum Chordata; class Mammalia; order Primates; family Hominidae; genus Homo; species Homo sapiens. The sequence continues at coordinate 121,094,422 of NC_000008.11, read as the reverse complement.
AGTCACAAGTCTTTCCTTTAAATCAAAAGCTAGAAATGATTAAGCTTAGTAAGAAAAGCATGAGAAAGGCCAAGAGAGGATGAAAACTAGGCCTCTTTTGCTAAACACTTAGCCAAGTTACAAATGCAAAGGAAAAGATTTTGAAGGGAATTAAAAGTGCTACACCAGTGAACACATGAACAAGAAAGAAAAAGAGTCTTATTATTAATATGGAGAAAGTTTTCATGGTCAGAATAGAAGGTCAAACAGCCACAGCATTTCCTTAAGCCAAAGTCTAATCTAGAGCAAGTCTCTAACTCTTCAATTCTATGAAGGCTGAGAGAAGTGAAGAAGCTTTAGAAAAAAATGTTTGCAGCTAAGAGAGGCTGTTTCATGAGGTTTAAAGAAAGAAGTTGTCCCTATAACATAAAAGTGCAAGGTGAAGCAGCAAGTGCTGATGTAAAAACTGCAACAAACTATCCAGAAACTTTAGCTAAGATCACCGATGAAGGTAGCTACCTTAAACAACAGATTTTCTCTTCTTTCTTTTTTTTATTTTTTATTTTATTTTATTATTATTATACTTTAAGTTTTAGGGTACATGTGCACAATGTGCAGGTTACTTACATATGTATACATGTGCCATGCTGGTGTGCTGCACCCATTAACTCATCATTTAGCATTAGGTATATCTCCTAATGCTATCCCTTCCCCTCCCCTCACCCCACAACAGTCCCCAGAGTGTGAAATTCCCCTTCCTGTGTCCATGTGTTCTCATTGTTCAATTCCCACCTATGAGTGAGAACATGCGGTGTTTGGTTTTTTGTCCTTGCGATAGTTTACTGAGAATGATGATTTCCAATTTCATCCATGTCCCTACAAAGGACATGAACTCATCATTTTTTATGGCTGCATAGTATTCCACGGTGTATATGTGCCACATTTTCTTAATCCAGTCTATCATTGTTGGACACTTGGGTTGGTTCCAAGTCTTTGCTATTGTGAATAGTGCCACAATAAACATACGTGTGCATGTGTCTTTATAGCAGCATGATTTATAGTCCTTTGGGTATATACCCAGTAATAGGATGGCTGGGTCAAATGGTATTTCTAGTTCTAGATCCCTGAGGAATCGCCACACTGACTTCCACAATGGTTGAACTAGTTTACAGTCCCACCAACAGTGTAAAAGTGTTCCTATTTCTCCACATCCTCTCCAGCACCTGTTGTTGCCTGACTTTTTAATGATTGCCATTCTAACTGGTGTGAGATGGTATCTCATTGTGGTTTTGATTTGCATTTCTCTGATGGCCAGTGATGATGAGCATTTTTTCATGTGTTTTCTGGATGCATAAATGTCTTCTTTTGAGAAGTGTTTGTTCATGTTCTTCGCCCACTTTTTGATGGGGTTGTTTTTTTCTTGTAAATTTGCTCGAGTTCATTGTAGATTCTGGATATTAGCCCTTTGTCAGATGAGTAGGTTGCAAAAATTTTCTCCCATTTTGTAGGTTGCCTGTTCACTCTGATGGTAGTTTCTTTTGCTGTGCAGAAGCTCTTTAGTTTAATCAGATCCCATTTGTCAATTTTGGCTTTTGTTGCCATTGCTTTTGGTGTTTTAGACATGAAGTCCTTGCCCATGCCTATGTCCTGAATGGTAATGCCTAGGTTTTCTTCTAGGGTTTTTATGGTTTTAGGTCTGACATTGAAGTCTTTAATCCATCTTGAATTAATTTTTGTATAAGGTGTAAGGAAGGGATCCAGTTTCAGCTTTCTACATATGGCTAGCCAGTTTTCCCAGCACCATTTATTAAATAGGGAATCCTTTCCCCATTGCTTGTTTTTCTCAGGTTTGTCAAAGATCAGATAGTTGTAGATATGTGGCATTATTTCTGAGGGCTCTGTTGTGTTCCATTGATCTATATCTCTGTTTTGGTACCAGTACCATGCTGTTTTGGTTACTATAGCCTTGTAGTATAGTTTGAAGTCAGGTAGCGTGATGCCTCCAGCTTTGTTATTTTGGCTTAGGATTGACTTGGCGATGCAGGCTCTTTTTTGGTTCCATATGAACTTTAAAGTAGTTTTTCCCAATTCTGTGAAGAAAGTCATTGGTAGCTTGATGGGGATGGCATTGAATCTATAAATTACCTTGGGCAGTATGGCCATTTTCACAATATTGATTCTTCCTACCCATGAGCATGGAATGTTCTTCCATTTCTTTGTATCCTCTTTTATTTCATTCAGCAGTCGTTTGTAGTTCTCCTTGAAGAGGTCCTTCACGTCCCTTGTAAGTTGGATTCCTAGGTATTTTATTCTCTTTGAAGCAATTGTGAATGGGAGTTCACTCATGATTTGGCTCTCTGTTTGTCTGTTATTGGTGTATAAGAATGCTTGTGATTTTTGTACATTGATTTTATATCCTGAGACTTTGCTGAAGTTGCTTATCAGCTTAAGGAGATTTTGGGCTGAGACAATGGGGTTTTCTAGATATACAATCATGTCATCTGCAAACGGGGACAATTTGACTTCCTCTTTTCCTAATTGAATACCCTTTATTTCCTTCTCCTGCCTCATTGCCCTGGCCAGAACTTCCAACACTATGTTGAATAGGAGTGGTGAGAGAGGGTATCCCTGTCTTGTGCCTGTTTTCAAAGGGAATGCTTCCAGTTTTTGCCCATTCAGTATGATATTGGCTGTGGATTTGTCATAGATAGCTCTTACTATTTTGAGATACGTCCCATCAATACCTAATTTTTTGAGAGTTTTTAGCATGAAGGTTGTTGAATTTTGTCAAAGGCCTTTTCTGCATCTATTGAGATAATCATGTGGTTTTTGTCTTTGGTTCTGTTTATATGCTGGATTACATTTATTGATTTGCGTATATTGAACCAGCCTTGCATCCCAGGGATGAAGCCCACTTGATCATGGTGGATAAGCTTTTTGATGTGCTGCTGGATTCGGTTTGCCAGTATTTTATTGAGGATTTTTGCATCAATGTTCATCAAGGATATTGGTCTAAAATTCTCTTTTTTGGTTGTATCTCTGCCCGGCTTAAACAACAGATTTTCAATGTAGTTGAGACAGCCTTATATTGGAAGAAGATGCCTTGTAGAAATTTTATAGCTAGAGAGAAATCAATGCTTAGATCCAAAGCTTCAAAGGACAGGTGGACTTGTACACTAGGAGCTAATGCAACTGGCAACTTTAAGCTGAGGCCAGTGTTCATTTACCATTCCAAAAATCCCAGGGCCCTTAAGAAATTATGCTAAATCTACTTGGCTAGTGCTCTAAAAATGGAAAAAGAAAGCCTGTATGACAGCACGTCTGTTTACAGCAATAGTTTGCTGAATATTTTAAACTTACTGTTGAGACCTACTCCTCAAAAAATTATATTCCTTTCAAATATTAATGCTCATTAATAATGCATCTGTCACCCAATAGCTCTGATGGAGAAGTATAAGGAGATTAATGTTGTTTTTATGCCTGCTAATACATTATTTATTCTACAGCCCATGAATCAAGCAGTAATTTTGACTTTCAAGTCTTATTATGTAAGACATATATTTCAAAAAGCTATATAGCTGCCACAGACAGTAATTCCTCTGATGGATCTAGGCAAAATAAACTGAAAACCTTCTGGAAAGAATTCACTAGTTCAGATGTTATTAGGAACATTTGTAATTCATGAGAGAAGGTCAAAATAGAAACATTAACAGGAGTTTAGAAGTTGATTCCAACCCTCATTGACTTTCAGTGGAGGAAATAACTGTAAATGTGACAGAAAATAGCAAGAGAAACTAGAATTAGAAGTGGAGCCTGAAGAAATGACTGAATTGCTGCAATCCTATAATAAAACTTGAATTAATGAGGAGTTGCTTCTTATGCATGTGCAAAGAAAATGATTTCTTGAGATGGCATCTCCACCTTCTCCTGGTGAAGATGCTATGAACATTGTTGAAATGACAAGAAAGGATTTAGAACATTATATAAACTTAATTGTTAATGTAGCAGCAGAGTTTGGGAGGATTGCCTCCAATTTTGAAAAACTTTCAACTATAGGTAAAATGCTACCAAACAGTATCACATGTTACAGAAAAATCTTTCATAAAAGAGTCAATTGATGAAGCAGACTTCTTTTTTTTGTAAGAAATAGTCACAACCACTCCAGCCTTTAGCAGCCACCACCCAGAGCCATCAGCAGCCGTCAATATTGAGGCAAGACCCTCCACCAGCAAAAAGATTATGACTTACCGAAGGCTCAGATGATTGTTAGTATTTTTTTTAGCAATAAATCTTTTGTAATTAAGGTATCTTTTTTTATACATAATGCTATTGCTCATTTAATACACCATAGTATAAACATAACTTTTATATGCACTGGAATACCATAAACATTGTGTGATTTGCTTTATTGCAATATTTGTTTTACTGTGGTGGTCTGTAACTGAAAAGATATGCCTGTATTTGCAGAATAGTCAGCAGCTAGCTTCACCCTTTCTTATGAGAAAGGCTTTTTTCCTAATGCAAATACATACAAGCACTTAAAGAGATATCTAAAATTGTCACTGAACTCTATTTAACACATTTGGGAAAATTTCAGATAGTGAGTTGGTTTAAAAGTAGCAGAAACAGGTTACATGCTCAGATTAGATTAAATTATAATTATTTTTAGTTCCTTATCTCCTAGTAGATTCATTTCATCAGTATGCATTTACTGAAAATTTAAGGCTGAAAGCAACAAAGACTTGTCACTCCCATTAAAGGTCTTTAGCAGGTTGGCTGGAGATTTGCTCTTTATCATTCTCTTTGGAATTCAGGCCAACAGAGTAGTCAACACCATGGGTGTTTCTTTTCTCTGTAGCAAAGAGAAGGAGAAAATGATGAATCACACTCTGGCTCTAAATTTCTCCTGAAAGAGATGACTCACATCTCTTCTGCTCACATTTCTTTGGTCAAGGCAAATCATGTGGCCATCCCACAAAAAAGGGGATGGAGGTAATAAAGGAAATGCAGTTTTATCACATTCCAGCAAGAGAAGAAATGAAAAGCTTTCAAAGAACTGTAATGGATACCACAAAAAATGTCTGAATGTTAAACTATTAGAATGCTTTGATTGTAAGTAGAAAAATACCAAACTCAAGCTGTCTGAAATAATAAGAAAATTCATTTTCACAACATAGGAAGTCTAATAGTAGGGTGGACTCCAGTGTGTATTTAGTGCCTCAACATGTCATCCAGAACCCAGATTATTTTTATTTCTCTTATCTACCATCTTTAGAAGGTTGTCATTGCCCTCAGGCTAACTCTTCTCTTAGTCTCGAAATAGATTTAGCTCTTTCCAGATAATACATTAAGCAAGAAAATATGTAAATGAAGAATTCAAAAGGTTGATCTCTTTCTATGTCTCCTTAGGTATGAGAAAATCTTTTGTTAGACTCCAGACTTTCCCTCAAGTCTCACTGGCCATGGTTGGATCTTATGCCTGTTGCTGATCCAATCCTTGCCAAGGATAGTAGAGTTGCTCTGACTGTCTTAGACCGATCATTTGATGAATGAATTTTGAGGAATGTATCATCCTTTGAATTCTCTATGCTGGCCATACCCTTTGGGACATACCAGGCATTTATAAATGCTTGTTACAGTCACACATAAATAAATTAGTGGGTGACAATGACATTTCATTCTGGACTGCCTTTCACGATCCTCTCTATGATTTTTATTTTTGATGTTATTCCCTTAGTTTATAAATAAGGGATTCAGAATTAGTTTTCCAGGAGTGTCATGACCAAGTGCTACAAAATGGGTGGGTGGCTTAAACAACAAAAAATTATTGTATTACAGTTCTGGAGGCCAGAAGTTCAAAATCAAGGTGTCATAAGGCTAGGTTTTTTTCTGAGGACTATGAGTAAATTATCTGTTCCAGGTGTCTCTCCTTGGTTTATAAATGGCCACCTTTACATTCAAGTTGTGTTCTCCCTGTGTGCATGCCTACATCCAAATTTCACCTTTTATGAAGACATCAGTCATATTGGTATAGAGCCTATCCTTATGGCCTTATCTTAATTAACTACATCTGTAATGGTGCATTTCCAAATGAGGTCATATTCTACGGTACCAGAGATTAGGACTTCAACATATGAATTTAGAGTGGGGGAATTACAGTTCAATCCATAACAGGTGCTATAGCAAGTAGCCATAGGAAGCTGTCATTTATTTCTTTGGTATATGTTTTAAACATTTTCTCTTATGATGTCCCTGAAAGAAATTTTATTTCTTAGTACCTGTGTAAGCTCATATGCTACCCAAGAAACTGATATCTATATTTTTATCTTATTAACATTGTGGATCTTTTAACTGATTCCATGTCTTTTTTGCTGCAAAATTTTTTATGTATTTCTCTAAAGAACATTTTCCTTGATTCATTTTACTTCCACTTTTAAATGTTTATCCTGATATTTTTATTTTTCCCTATTATCATTTTTAGATAAATTATTTCAATGTGAGTAGAATAAGAAGAAAGGAAGGAAGGGAGGAAAGAAAAAAGGAAGGAAGAAGAGAAAAAAATACAGAGAAGGGAGGGAAAAAGGAAAAAAGAAGGAATAAAGATTAATAAACAAAATTTAGAACTTCTGGAATTATAAAAGTAATAGCATCTGGTAAGAAATCAGCATTAATTTTTCCAGTTTTTAGCAATATTCTAAAAATATCTACAATTTTTTTCATTTATCTGCAACAGAGAAGTTGGGTTAACATATAAACATTTAAGAAAGATTCAGTAAAAATACAATAAATTCTTGTTTCAGATTAATGGATATAAGTGAAATGAAATGGTGACATTCTAATTAGGATGCATTCACAAAAGGAGATAGCTTTTTAAAATCTAATTTCCTGTAATGCCTTGAAATAAGACCAAGTTTTAGCAAATAGAGATTGCTTGAAGACTTGCTTTAATGAGTGCAGAGGAGTAATATTTAACTAAAATATCAAGCTAATTTGTAAGTGAAAGTTTCAAGAAATAGAACCATTTGTACTAACAAATAAGAACCACTAGTAGTTGTTCAGCACATTCTGCATGCCAGCCAATGTATACTACACACTCTACGACACTTCATTAAACCTCAAAATGAGCGTATGAAATGTGCTGCTAGTATTTCCATTTTACAGATAAGGCTATGAGGCTCAACTAGTTAAGTTTTGTCCCAAAGTCACTGAGCTAGTAAGGAATAGAGTAGGAATAGAACTATAATATACTTCACCCAAAGTCCATGCTCTTAAAATCACACTAAATAAAAGGTCACAATATTTTAAGTTTCTTTCCTAAATTACCACACATTTTGATTAAGTGCATGTTTTATAATATCCTGTGGAGCTCACAACTGGGTAAACTAGAGATGATTTAGAAACAGTAATCTTAGTGGGAAAAAATCATGCTATTTACTTTATTTTATTATTATAAGAAAAATATACAAAATATTACATAATATTAAATGTACAAAATATTAAATATTAAATTCATGCAAAATTTTCAAATAAAATATTTTTAAATCATTAACTAAGAAATGAGTTTAACATAGTTTGATAGTAAGTTTATGCTTGATATCTTACTCTGTATTTGTTGACCTATTGCTGTGTAACAAATTACCGCAAAACTTAACTGCTTAAAGTGACACACATTTATTATCTCACAATTTCTGTAAGTCAGAAATCCAGCCTTGGCAAAGTGGCATATTTCTGGCTCAAGGTCTCTCACAAAGTTGCAGCCGAGCTGTCAAACAGTATTGCAGTCTCATCAGAAGTATCAGCTAGGGAAATATCCATTTATAAGCTCTCACATATGTTTGTCGGCAGGACTTAACATCTTTGCAGATTGTTGAATGGAGGATCTTAGTCACTCCTGTTGGAATGGAGTTCCCTTCAGTTGTTTGCAAGGTGGGCCTCTTCATAGAACAGCCCACAAAAACGTAGTTGAATTTTCTTAGAGTGAATGAGCAGGAGAGTAAGAGAGGGTATGCAGGATGGAAACCACTCTTTTTACAACTTAATCTCAAAAATGTCATCCCTACCTGTCTGCTGCATTCCATTCTTTAGCAGTGAATCAATAAATCCAGCACACACTTTAGGAGAGGAGAGTAGATATAGGTGTTAAAATTGAAAGACAAAGATCATTGAGGGCCATCTTAAAGGCTGCCTATTACAATGGTTCTATACCATTACTATTCATGATCAGAGACCCACTAGTATTAACTTTCTCAAATTGTGGATCATCTCCATTGACAAAAACTTTCTTCACCAAAGTGGGTAATGAAAAGTTTAAAATCATTTTTACAGCTATTTAAAAATTTATAGTAGTTGCACTTAAAGATTCTAATTATTTTCTTTTATTGACAAATACAATGTTGAAATTTTTTGTGCTGCTACAAATGAATTTTAGCTTCAAATTTTTTCTCACATTAAACAATATGACAAATCTTTAATTTGCAAATATGCATGGATTGGGAAAGCAAGAAGAGAGATGGCTAAATGGGCACAGCAGCCATAAACAGACAGGAGGAGCCAATGTATAAGAAGGTAAAGATTTGTGCCTGCCACCTGGAGTTGCATTCACAAGGAACTCCTCTCTGACTTCTCCACATCACACGTCAACCAGCCACATTGTGGCCTCTGCACTATAGTGTTTGTGTACCTAGGAAATATGCTGGAAATTCTCCAGTGGCTCTAGGACCTCTTTTACGTGGTCATCAGTAGCCATTCTGCAACTGGCTGCTGGAATGCATCCAGGAGGTAAAGCTCATACTTGAGTATGTTCTGTACTACCACTTGTCACACTTTAATGGGCATGCAACTCACTCAGGCATCTTGCTGAAGTGCAGATTCTGATTAAGTAAATTCAACATGGCGACAGAGATCCTGCATTTCTAACAAGCTCCCAAGTGATGCTGATGCTCGTGAGCAGCAAGCCTCTATATAACCTAGTTAAAGACTGAGAACCACACGTTGCTCATCATGTTTGCTGCCACTGAGGACGATGTGGGAGTAATGCTAGACTCACTCCTGCAGACTACAATATGAAGGTAGAGTAGACAATGTAGTTGTCCTACCCTGAAACCTTTAGATCTCTTTTACTGATACTACATTCCCATTCCCCCTAGTTCTATGGGCTTTGCATTTAGGATAGGCATTCTGCAACTTTATTCAGAGGATTGCCCTTGGGCTACTGCCCTCACATACCCAGAACCAGTAGTGCTTGATCATCCCTGTCCCATGGGGGCAGCCTGTAGCCAAGACTGACTATTGTGGGAATAGGAGAGTTCAGCTTCCTCACTTCAAGGTGGGAGGAAATCTTCTGTGCCTTTATATTTCTTTGTCTATTGCTCATCCTCATTTATGTTCCAGAGCTCCCTGCAGAACGCAGCTTCAGATTGAGGCTCGGACTTCACTAGAAATTTCTGCCTACTTAGCATTGACCTCTTCTCTGTCCAGCTCCTTCCACTCTCTTACAGGAGTTTTTTGGAGTGCTTTTTTGTTAAATCACTTACACACGTATCCTTGTCTCAAGTTATACACTAGAGGAGGATACTTGCTGCTTGAAGCAACTGACTAGGCCAACCTAGGCCCTGCCTTCCTCCTGGAGGGCCAAGAAAATCAATATATCTGGCAAGCCTATGACTGGCATACTCGTTGGGAAGCTCTATGCCGGAGAACCAATTTTGTGTAAGTATACTACACAGCGAGAATCATGGAACCCAAATAGTTTGCAGCCATCCTGTTTTCTTATCAACAAGGCAAGATATCCACCTGTTTCTGCATTTGTAAGCCTCATGTTATTGACAGAGATGTCAATGAACCATGTCCACTTTTATAATTTTCAAGAAGAAAAACTATCAAAGATGTAAAATTATTACACTCTTCCAAGTCACTTTTGCCAGTGATTCCTAATTTTTTCAGCAATCAATTTTAGCTGGTCTGTGTCCGTTAGCCTTTGCAGTTTGGGCTACAGTGTGCAAACAAGAATGGTGAATTAAACTGAAGACATTAATAACTTATTTAAAGTAGTTGCATTTTACTTCAAGGACAAAAGATGAAGTCCTTGAGTTTGTTCATAGGCTTTTGGTATTTGAATTCTCTTTAAAGTGAAATATGAAAAAAATCTGTGCTGGAAAGGAAGCTACAAACAGTTTCATGAGGTTGTGTAATGGAATAACATCTCATCTCATTATTCTAATATGGGTTTGTCCCAACTAGTGGATAATTCAAAACAACTGCTACTTCTCTAATGCCTTGTTATTCTTTAATAAAACAGCCGATAATTCAAAGTTAGTTTGTTGAAACTCACATATTTTTGTCTTTTATTTCCTGCTCTTTGCTCCTCTGATTCATTGGGTTTCACCATAAAGTAAAAAATAGAGCTAAGAATTGTGATAACTAAAAATCAGTAATAGACTGAAAACTGCAGCTTAAAGGAAACTACATTTAAATGTGCATTTATATTTCTTTATCTATTTATTGCTCATCCTCATTTATGTTCCAGACTCCTTCGAGTAAACAGCTTTGGATCCACTCTGTTTCTGCTGCAGGTTTTAATAATAGTAGAGTGTTTCTTTCTGCAGTTAATCAAAACTACTTCCCAAGGAGACTAAGCATGGCTTTTCCACATTCAAACTGCAGCTGTTTTTCATATGATGGTGTTCTAGAAAGGATCTTCAGTCGGCTAGCCCTCTGAGAAGGTGGGCAGAGTAAGAGAAAGTTCTGTTGTCCATTATTGCCTACCATTTCTGTTCCTGGAACACCCAAAATAAAACGATAAGTAGTTTTGTCCTTACAAAAATTCTTTCCTCCTTCTTTTTTCTCTAAGTAGTGTAAACACTCAGAAACCAATTTTTTGGCTACCCATCTTTTTTGGCTATTCATTTCTCCCGAGGGAAAGGAATGCTAAGGAAGATTTTCTGTTATAGTTTGTCTTTCACCGTAACAATGACAATGACAGAATCAAGCACCTCTTCCACTCAATAGGTGTTTGTCGGATGCCTATTGTAATTGCCTGACAGGTCCTTCCTGCCTACTGCACAAACAAAACCAATTCACAGAGACTGTAGTATTATAGTAAAGAAAGAGTTTAATTAATGCAAGGGTGGCCATGTGGAAGATGAAGTTAGTACTCAAATCAGTCTTCCCAAAGGCTCAAAGGTTAGGGTTTTTTAGGGATAGTTTGGTGGGCAGGGGACTAGGGAATGGGTGCCACTGAATGGTCGGAGATGGAATCATGGGGATATGGAAAATGGTCCTCATGTGCTGAGTTCACCTCTGGGTGGGGCCACAGGACTGATAGAGTCATGAGTCACGACTCCAGGTGGGGTAGTCTGAAAAACATCTCAAAGGGCCAATCTTAGGTTCTACAAAAATGATGTTATCTATAGGAGCAACTGGTGAAGTTATAAATCTTATGACCTCCAGAACAATGGCTAGTTATCATTTAACTGTGCCTACATCTTAGCAGAATTCAGGCTCTTCTCATAATCCTAATATTTTGGCCTTTTATTAGCTTTAAAAAGGTGGTTACATTTTGGAAAGGGCTATTATCATCATTGCTTTAAGGTTAAACCTTAAACTTAGTTACTCCCCCAAAGTTAGCTTGATCTAAACCCAGAAATGACTGAGGACAGTCTGGAGATTGTAAGTAAGATGGAGTCAACTATGTGAGATTTCTCTTACTGACATAATTTTGCGAAGGCAGCTTCGCCATCATAGGTCTGTGGGCTAAAACAGAGGAAATAAGTTCAACAAGGCTAAGTTCCTCCACTTAACAAGTTCATAATTTTGGGGTGGGGGTAATAGAAAAATCAGCCAGTGTTTTCAAAACAATGAGGTTAATTACTTCAAAGAAATACATGTGACATGGGCACAGAGTTTAAGTAACTTGCCCAAGTGACATATTTTTTAAAGTGATAAATCAAGAACTTGAATCCAATAATATTACACACCCATTTCTATGGTTTTTCCAACATTATTTCACACTGCATTTGTATTAAGCAATTAATCTCATGGTTTTGGAAATAGCGGCTTATTTGACAAGTGGAAAAATTTAGGCTTATTCATCTCTGCCTTCTCTGTGTCCCAGTTTTCAAATCTGAGAAATAAGAATCAGGCCACAGTACCTTGATTTTAAAGCAGCATTGATTTTAAATTACCGTACTTAATAATAGGTTGTAAGGGGAAGAAAAACCACTACATTAAATGTACTCACAGCTGCAAAACACCATAATTTCTGAAATACTGAAGTATGAAAAAATGTGAACATAATTATATATAGTTATTAGAGGCTGTGAAGGGTAGAGGGGAAAGGAGAATAGAGAGAGGTTGGTTAACACATAAAAAATTAAAGCTAGATGGGATAAATAAGTTCTAGTGTTCTATAGCACTATAGGGGTAAATATGGTTAACAAGAATTTGTTGTATATTTCAAAGCTAGAAGAGAGAATTCCAAATGTTCACAACACAAAAAAATGGTAAACATTTGAGGTGATGAATATGCTAATGATCATTACACACTGTATACATGTACTGAAATATTCTGTATTCCATAAATATGTACAATTGTAGCCATCAACTAATAATAAAAGGAAAAAATGGTGACATATAGTATGTGAATTTTAATAAAGCTATTTTTAAATAAAAATATAAAATAAAAATGTGAATAAATATATAAAATATTAATATTAAAAATATCCTAAACAATGCCTCAGGAGAGTCTTATAAGGATAATTGAGAACATTTAAAAAGTACCCTACTCATTACTTAGTATACAATAGATGTCTTATAAATGGTAGCTCTTATTGCCATTACTATTACTTAATTAAGAAAAGGATACTACTTAGATGGAAGGAAAAAGCTTAACTCTCTGACTCCTTAGAGAAAGTTTCTCAGTGGAGGCAATACTTAAGCCGGCTCTTCAAGAATGATTGTCCCAGTGGATAAGGAATGAAATTGCCTTTGAATCAAAGGGAATGAAATACGCAAAGACAGACTGGTATGTTGGTTTCTAAGAGTCTAAAGTAGTTTGCCATGGCTAGAGTACAAGGCATGCATGCCACAGTGATGGCAGACACAGCTGGGACTATATGCAGGGCCATGTCAGGAAGGACTTTGAATGGACTTTGGATGGCATGACATAAAATTTGTGTTCCCAAATGTACAATGACAGTTTGAATTCTAAAACAACAATTTGGGTTTGCAAATGAAAAATGACAAAAATGAGAAATGGGCAAATGATACTTGATATTAAGCTTCCATACAATTTCCATTTTGTTGCCATGGAGAAAGAATAATCATTTCTTTGTTTCATTTTGCTAATAGAGACATATTAGAGCTATATGTTTCCAACACTTTTAACAATATGGCAATTCCAGAGTAAACTGATTTCTTGCCTTTCTAGTGGGCTTAACAAGTCATAGTGACCTCTCTCAGTCAGAACTCATCCAGTGCTGTACAATGTGTAGAACAGGATATAACTTATTTCTGAGGACACTGTTGCTGAGCTAAAGACTGAATGACTTGCCCAAGATCTCATAGCTAGCAAGTGACAGACGTGAGACTCACATCCATGTCTTTGGACTTCAGATCAGAAGCCTATAAGGCTTCTTTGGAAGGAACTCCTCTGGGTCTGTTGTAATAGTAGAATTGGACTGGTCTATCTCATCTTTCCAAACATAGCTTTCCTCTAGACATTTTCTCACACAGACTCTCATGCTTAGAATGCCCCTTACTCTCCTCCTTGTGATTTTTTTCCCATTTATCCAAAGTCTGATCACCAGAAGAAATGCTTCAAGCCCTTATTCATCTGAGAAGCCTTCTTGGCCTCTTCCAGTCCATGCAGGACTTTCTCTGTGGCCCCTTCCTGTACTCTTTTGTAAAAAAAAAAAAAAAAAAAAAAAAACCCAAATACTTACAATGTTAATCTTTGACTTTTTTTTTCCTTCACTTTCTTCCCAGTAATTTCCCTATGATTATTCAGAACCATCAATATTACCTTGAGTGAAAGTAGGATTTTAGAGCAAGAATGAAAAATGTAACACAGACCTTTCTTTGGTCATTTCCATGTCAAAAGACATTTGTATTTTTGTACTTCAAAATAGGCTTTTGAGACTCTTAATAAAAGACTGAAGAAAGTACCACATAAAATATAGACTATAAAAATAAAATCAGGAATGGAATGAAAAAGGAACCAGATAATCCATTCACCCAATGCCCACATCTGTACTCAGGGGATACTATTGGGAGACTACATGGAGCTGTCAGTGGGGGCAGACTCTTGGGATTGCCAAACATCATCAGCGGCCAGCACCAAGGTGGCACATGGAAGTTTTTGTTTATTCAAGGAAGTACCCCCATGTCATCCAAAAGGAGAAGTCAAATTAGAGTGGCTCCATTGTAGCAGGGTGTGGACTCTCTGTCAACTGCCATCTTAGTTGCCAGTAAGTCATCAGAAGAAGGAAATCCACCAGGCCACGGACATTCCTGTATGCCATCAGAACTGACCATGGTTCTCTGTTAATTGTCCAGGACAATGTGAATGTTGTCCCTTGGAGTTGCATGATGTTATGGAGTTGGTCCATAAGAAAAGATTTCCCAATTTATCCAGCTAAATAAAAAGATTTTGCAACCTTCACTCCCAGATGATGATGTGAAGGGGATATGAAATATGAAGTTTAGTTTTGGAAACTAGGGGGACAGGAGGGTGGTTAAACCCAATTCCATTGCCATGTATAATTCCACATATTATTAAAGTTTTCATGTATTGGTGCCTTCACCCTACAACTAAATTATAAAATATTTTTTGGCTGAGACTAGTCTTCTAAGACTAATTGTGTATCTCGAAGAGCACTTATGGAAACTAGATGTTCAAAAAATTGATTGATAAGAGGAAATCTTTTCCAAAGTCATTTATAGATTACAGTGTGAAATCCTAGATTTGGGACCCTTAACCTTTAAAAATAGTTTTCTCCAAAACCTATATTTATTCATGAAGTGATTTAGGTCTTGGAAGATGTTGTGCACACAATTTTACATTGCTGGAATTATTATAACAGATGCATTTTTGTCTTCAGCATTTGTCTCAAAGTTAGGGTGGTAGTAAATGGGAAAACCATGGGGCCAGGAGTCTTCAGGATAATACCTTTATGAAGTCTTTCTTGACCAACTAAACTCACAGGGTGGAAATGTCTTTCTTAATGTCTTCATTCTTCATTTTACTATGCTGGTATTTCTATCAGAACTGCTATTACATCAAAATATTTTCCTATTTATACATTTAACCTCCCTCTAGATCAGTGGTTCTCAGTGAAGGGATATTTGGCAATGATGACACATTTTAGTTGCCACAATTAAGGTGGGGAGTGACATTGAATGTAGTGCGTAGAGGCCAGAGATGTTGTTAAACATCTTACAATAGAAAGGAGAGCCCCCAGCAACAAAGAATTATCTGCCTCAAAATGTCATAATTCCAAGTTTTATACCCAGCTATAGAAGGTACATTTTCTTTTTTTTAGACACAGTCTCACTCTGTCACCCAGACTGAAGAGCAGTGGCAAGGTCACGGCTTACTGTATCCCTGACATCCCAGGATCAAGCATTCCTCCTGCCCAAGCCTCTTGAGTATAGATGGGACCACAGGCAAGTGCCACCATGCCCCATTTATGTGCCACCATGCCTGGCTTATTATTATTTTTATTATTTTTTGGTAGAGACAGGGTCCTACGGCATTGTTGCCCAAGCTAGCCTGAAACTCCTGGGCTGAAGTCATCCCCCATCTCAGCTTCCCGAAGTGCTGGGATTACAGACGTGAGCAACCATGCCAGGCCTAGAATGTACCTTTCTTGAAGGCAGAGATCATGGCTTACTTATCTTTAATCTTAAATTCCTGGCATATAGTAATTTACTAGTATTGTATTAATTAACTAATGCAATAAATAAGTCATGAAGAGGACCTCCTTCAGGTTATCTCAAGGGCTGTTTCTTCATCTTGGGCCAGGTCCCTGTCTCTTTTGTTTCTCTTTTGTAGACCCCAAAGTTTTATTTTTCTTCCACAGAAACGCAACAATAAATATGTATCCAGTGCCTATTTATGTGTACGACAGGAATAAAGCATGAAAACAAATATACTTGTTTTCATGGCTTTCTCAGTCCCTGCAGCATAAGTCATGCTTTTTCAATTCCTCTGTCCTATTAGCTCCAAATAAAACTACAACACTATTCATTATTTCTAGTTCTTCTAAAGTTATTAATTTAAAACATTTTATCTTTCTGCAAATTATGACAAAGAAGCAGGGGTTACGGACTAAAAAGTACACCTTTTTAGAAAAATTTAAGATGAAAGAACTCAAACACCCTTGGGGTCAGACGTGCTTTCAGAGAAGAGCCGTTTCTCAGCTATATGGAAGAAGGTTACCTTTAACTTCTCATGTTACCCACTTTTGCATATGGGGAAAATAGGTCATCATTTCCGCAAAGGTGAGAGAGCTTCCACAAGACAGTGTACTAGAGTGACCATATTGGGGCACAAGATGATGGAGTAGAACTTAAGGATAAAAACCTAGTTGAGTCCACTCTATAAGGAACATGCAAAGGGATATGATGCCACTTTATGGACAGCAGTAGGTTGTTCAAAAGCTATCGTCCACCCTGGAGCTGGCAGTCTGGCCCTTGTGCATATACTGGTGTAACTCTGAAATGTATTGTCCCAGGCAGAGATGTTTCATTGACTTGAGTAGCACTCTGCAATAGAATGTTCTGCAATAATGGAAATGTTCTATAATACACCTTTTGTGGGAGAAAAATATGTTACCTGGCAATGCTTCATGAAGAGTTTAAGAATTAGAATCCAATCTACCCCAGGGTCCTAGATTGTGTGCCCAATACAGTAGCCCCTAGCCATGAGTGGCTGTTGAGTACTTGGTATGGATAATGCAGAGGAACAGGATGCTTTTATTTTATTTTATTTTTATTAATTTAAATTTAAACAGACATTTATAACTAGTGACTCTGGTACTAGACAATGTGAGTCTAGAAAAATTTATATTCCAGATTAGACAGCTTTATAGAAGTACAATGAGTGCCATATATGAAATTACAAGTTTCCTAGGAGCCACGGTAATAAGGTAAAAAGAACAAAGTAAAATTATTTTTAATAAAATATATGATTTAACCCAATGTATGCAAAATAGGACAATTTAAAATTTAATTATATATAGTTATTAATGAGATAATTTCCATTATTTTATTAAACTAGGTCTTCAAAATTTGATGTATATTTACACTTAACAGCACATCTGAATTCAAATGTTAAATTTCCAATGGTTAATATGAAACAGTCTTACAAAAACAATAGTTTTGTGTTGAATAGAAAAGTATTTCACAGTGCTCCCATTTTTAAATTTAAATATGCATGAATTAAAATGAAATAACATTGAAATTTCATTTCTGGGGCACACTAATCCCATTGCGAGCACTCAATAGTTACATGTAGCTCCTGGCTATCCTATTGGACAGTGCAACTCTAGATAAATAGAAAACTAATAAAATTTAAATGAAATATAAAATGAGTTAATGATCCTGTAGTGAAACCAAGACAGTAAGTGTGATGAAAAGTTAATGCTACTCAGATTTAGATTCTAGAATTTCCTACCAGAACAAAAGTGGAAAATGAAACAACTTGCAGAAATGGAACTTTCCCATTTTTGATCACTTTTTCATTTTCTAGCTTGTACTTATGAGGCTTCAATATATCCATCATGTTAATCTGGCAGGCACTTCTCCCACGTTTTCTCTGCCCTGGCTAAGGAAAATCTCTCCATATAAATGCAGAGCTGCAGGGATTCAGCTTAGCTTGTGTTAGATCCTCACACTTCATTCTGCTTTACCACAGTATCCTCGGGACAACACTTTTCTGCTTCCAAAGAGCCATAATTATTCTGGCTCATATTACTAGCATCTCCTTCCTTCTGGGTTCAACTGTTGTATAAGCAGCTGCTAGGAAGTATAAAAAGAGTACTATACACTCCAGACCTGTCTTCCGCCTCTCTCCAGGTCCTGGCTCAGAACGGTTATATGTGAGAAACTCTGCTTATTCAAAGAGAAACAGGACTGAAAATGATTTCCAGGACCCTATATCCAATGTTCTTCTTATCCTACTCTCCTGAGTATTAATGAAGAACTGTTTGAAATGTTGTCAAAGGGGAAGACAGGATATTACCTCTAAAAGGGCACCTTATCCCTCAGAGTTTGAAAAAAAATATCAAAGAGTTTCTTAGAACATGGAATCCACATTGTGCAGAGGACATCCATATCCAGATGTAAAGATGGTCCCAAAAGGACATGGGAAGTTCTATTAGGGAACTATTTCCAATTGTTCTTTGGAATCTCTCTCTTTGGAAATGAGAGACTGGCCCCTAGACAATTGCTATTAGTCAGCCAACTGGCACATTTTAAATTTCCTATTCTATTTATGGACAGTCTAATATTTTCATATGTTACAAGGGCTTTCTGTAGGGCATTCTTTTTCTTAATGGACTTCAGGTGCAGAAAGTCGAGTTCACCATTTTCTCCAGTTCATAATACGTTATCATCATTGGTTCAGGCAATTCCCAAGCTTAATTTTTAAAAAATTCTTTCTTCATTTATCCATCTGTTTATTTATGTATGTGTGTCTTTTTTAGGTGTTTTTCTTTTTTTTTTTAAAGAGATAAGGTGTCCCTCTGTCGCCCAGGATGGAGTGCAGTAGCCGATCACAGCTCACTGCAGCCTTGAACTCTTGGGCTCAAACGATTCTCCCAGCCCAACCTCCTGAGTAGCTGGGACTACAAGCATGCACCATCACACCTGGCTAATTTTTTTTTAATGTTTTGTAGACAGGGTCTCACTATGATGCCTAGGCTGGTCTCAAACTCCTGCACTCAAGTGATCCTTCCATCTTGGCCTCCCAAACTTCTGGAATAAGATGCGTGAGCCTCTATGCCTGGTCTATGTATGTGTGTCCTTTATCCTTTTTTTTTTTACTTTCATTTCCCTCCTCTACACAGATAACTATTGTATGCTATTTAATATCTTATCCTTTTTTATGAATTACTACAAGATGTGTTCCTTTTGTGTGCATGTATTTTTAAACTATGTTATTTATGTAGCTCATTTTATTATATATTACTCATTCCATTTCTTAGTGCTTCATTAAAGACTACATGTTGAAGATCCCTCCATGTCAATATGTATACAACTTATCTGTTGCATAATGTAATAATATAATATAATATAACATAATATAATATAATATAATATAATATAATATAATATAATATAATATAACATAGTGCATCTACCACACTGTAACAATCTACCATCCAGTTAAGGGACAGCCAAACTGCCTCTAATCCCCATCACTACATATAATTCTGCAATGGACTTCCTCATGCATGCTCCTTTATGTAACTGTGTGAGATTTTCTTTGGGATATTGACAGGGGCAATCTTGGATGTTTGACTCAGCCTTTTCACCATGTTTCTTATTCCAGAGATCAGAGAACCAGTCTTACAGCCTGCAAGCTGCTATGTATGTACATCCCAATTATGTACTCAAGCACTAGGGAAAAAAGCAAAAGGCTGAGTTCATAGATGGACTGAACCTACCGTGAGATACAATACACCCGGTCCCAAATTCCATTTGGCTTCCATCTACCCCCACTCAAATAGGAAGGAGATGAGAGCATTCTGGGTGGCCTGGTGGCAGTATCACCTCATACCTTGTATTCATTAGCCCTCAAAAGTTGTTGGTGTTGCCTTTCCCCCAGGGCAGAGTTACTCTGGTAAGTGATTCAGTTACTTTTGAGGAAGGATTAGTGGAATATTTATCTCAGACACTTGCAGTGACATTCCAGGCAGCTTCCTGGAAGAAATGGGCTCTAAGTTTGAGAACTGGTTGGATTGAGAAACTAGGTGAGAGATGCAATTTTTCATTTTAGTGGCTAACATCAGCCTTCTGCTTGTTTGCTTTTGATGTTTCCAGTTATAAAAGTCAGTCATTCATCCTTCATCTTGTCTCTATGAATATCATGATTTATTTAAATGAGTGCCATCATCTTTCTCATGGTAAGTGCTGACACCTGGCCTGTATACTCTCTCTGCCGAAGTCCCACCGTCTCTGTTTGCATGAGGGAGACCAGTCCCAAGGCAGTGTTTCTGTGGCTAAATCTGACTGTGAGAGTATATATTCTCGGCCCTCCCAGGAAATACAGTCAGGTTTGGGGTTGTTACTCTCATTTTTTCAAAATTCCTAACCCTCTGAGCCTCCTGATCCTACAGAGTACTGTCAAAGCAGCTTCAACATCTCCAACTAATTAACTGTAGGTCTCCAGCTAATTAACTGTAAGTCTAATTAACTCCAACTAATTAACTGTTTTTCCATGTTCAAGTTTTAAGAAGACAATCTAGAAAGTATTAGGCCAAGGTCTAGGCATCCTTGCTAAGATGCTAAAGCAAGAGCAATGTGAGAGTGTCCCGAGGCCGACAAACTCCTACCTGTCTGGCCTTATATTCCACCCACGCTGTATTAGTTTCCTAGGGAGATTGTAACAAAGCACCACAAACTGGATGGTTTAAAACAATAGACATTTATTCTTTGGAGGTTCTGGAGGCTAGATGTCTGAATTCAAGATGTCAGCTGGGCCATGCTGTCTCTGAAGGCTCTAGGGTATGATCCTTGCCTCTTCCTATCTTCTGGTGGTTGTTTGAGGACCCTGAGACCTGTGGACCCATCACTCTAATCTGTGTCTCCATAGTCACATCGCATTTCCCTTGTGTGTCCCTGTGTCCCCGAGTCTTCACATAACTTTCTGATAAGGAAAATAATCATCACATTTGGGGCCTACCCTAATCCACTATGACATCATCATAACTTAATTAATATCTGCAAAGTCCCTATTTCCAAATAAGGTCACATGCAAAAGTACCAGGGTTTCAACTTGAAGCATTTTCCAACATGAACAAATTCTTCAACTCTCTGGATGTCAGCTGCATATCTTACAGTTTAACTCAATTCTAACACTAGTAATATCCAGAATTAGCTCAGCCCCCACAAGTTAAGGGCTTAGTACTAAAAATACTGCACTACCTCAGATGTCAATTATACGTATGGGCCTTCCATACTTCTGACCAACCAGCTATAGGTTGAGGGTTCCCACAACTCCTTCTTCAGGTTTGAGAATTTGCCAGAATTGCTCACAGAATTCCAAGAAACACTTTACTTGTGCTTACTGGCTTATTAAAAAGGATACAACTCAGAAACAGCCAGATGGAAGAGATGCACAGGTCAAGGTATTGGGCTGGGGGGTGGGTGGCACAGAGCTTCCATACCCTCACTGGGTATACCAACTCTCCCAACACCACTATTTTTCACCAACCTAGAGATTCTCTGAATCCTGTCCTCTTCAGTTTTTATTGAGGTTTCATTATATAGGCATTTTTGATTAAATCATTGTTTGTTGGTGATCAACTCAACCTTCTATTTTCAGTCTTTCTCCTCTTCCTTAAAAGGTCAGGGGTGGAGCTAAAAGTTCTAACCTTCTTATCATATGGTTAGTTCCCCCTGGCAACCAGCTCTCTATCTTTAGGGACTTTCCAAAAATCAGCTTATTAACACAAACTCAGGTGTGATTGAAAGGGGCTTGTTATGAATGGCACAAGATTCTCCTTTCACCTTTATTGCTTTTATCACTTAAGAAATTCCAAGAGTTTTAGGAGCTTTGCCAAGGAATGAGATGAACCAATATGTGTTTATTATGAATAACAATATCCCAGGATTTCAACATATCTTTTGTGGGGACACAATTTAACCCACAACACACTGTACCCAACCCTGGTTTAAAAGCTATGTACTCCTTCATTTATTATATATTATATATCAAGGAATACTTATATATTCCTTTGTTTCATGCTGGTACCTAATTGCCATATCCTACAACTCTTTTAGTAATTATGCTATTTCCTTCCAGTGTAAGAACTATACTTTCCTGCTCAGGCTAGAGTGAGATCTAACTTTAATTACGTGTCTGGATACAAGAAGTTGAGACAGAGGTGGAAATTGAGGATGAACATCATTTTGTGAGGCATTCGTGCAAGGTGAGATTTTGTTTTTGTTTTTATGAACAAGAGACTCTTAATAAGGAAGAACATGTCACTTCTTTTGTCCTAAAATATTCAGGAAAATCTGGAGTAAAAGATTCTTAAGTACTTCTAACCAAATGTCATTGAGAAAAGAAACAAAAACCAAACAAACAAACAAAAATTTTTATCTGAGGAATGCAAGTCCTTTTAAATTATAAGGTCAACAGAGGTTTTAAATGAGACAGCAATCACATCCTACTCCTCCATTGTATCTCTTGAAATTGCTTGCTATTGCCATAAGTAGAAATAAATTAACTTAATAATGCCTCATTAACACTATAACATACCACACACTACAGCTTAGCAATGTATAGCCAATCAATAACTTGTTATTTTAATGTGAATTCTTAACAAACGATACAAGAATTCCTCTTCTTTCCCTTTAAAAACCCACTTGTGGCTGGGTGCGGTGGCTCATGCATGTAATCCTAGCACTTTCAGAGGCCGAGGTGGGTGGATCACCTGAGGTCAGGAGTTCAAGACCAGCCTAGCCAACATGGTAAAACGCTATCTCTACTAAAAATACAAAAATTAGCTAGGTGTGGTGGCACAGGCCTGTAATCCCAGTCACTTGGGAGGCTGAGGCAGGATAATTGCTTGAACCTGGGAGGCAGAAGTTGCAGTGGGCCAAGATTGTGCAACTACACTCCAGCCTAGGCGACAGAGCAAGACTGTGTCTCAAAAAAACAAAACAAAAAAACACTTGTAACTGCTGCTACTGTTTATTTAGGAAAATTTATGTACACAGGTTGCAATCCTCAAGCTTGACCCATATAAACTCTCTTACTTATATTAATTTTTCCTCAGCTTCTTTTCTTTAGGTTGACATACCCAGTCATTATTTCAGTGTCTCATACCTTCCCTAGTAGGGCCCTGAAGTTTAGCACAGGAGACCTATAAAGACTGTGTGAGAAATCTTCTGGTAATTCAGCTACCTTAACAGTTATAATTTTACCTATTGTTAATAAAATCTCTCAGCTGCAGATGAGAGTCTTAAATGCTGTTGTGGAGGCCTTTGGGTTTTCACATGTTCTAAAATAAAAAGCAACTGAAAGAATGTCTGTGAAGTATAGTTTGTGTTTATTATTAAGTCTTCTGTTTGTTTATCTTCTAATTAGTCGTTCCATTTCTTATTAAAAATTAAGTATGGCTGGGCCTGTTAGCTCATGCATGTAATCCCAGGACTTTGGGAGACCAAAGTGGGCAGATCCATTGAGCTCACAAGTTTGAGATCATCCTGGGCAACATGGTGAAACCCCATCTCTACAAAAAATACAAAAATTAACCAGGCCTGTGGTGCATGCCTGTAGTCCCAGCTACTTGAGAGGCTAAGGTGGGAGGATGGCTTGAGTCCAGGAGGTGGAGGTTGCAGTGAGCAGAGATTGCATCACTGTACTCCAGCCTGGGCAATAGAGCCAGACCTTGCCTCAAAAAAAAAAAATATATATATATATATATATATATGTATATATATATATATATATATATATATATACATATATATATATATGTATATAAAGTATGATGGCATTGATGATTACTATTAAATTTTCTATTTTCTTCCTCAATTTTGTCAGTTTTTGCTTCAAATGTTTTAGGATTCTGTTACTATATATATGTTTATAATTAACTTTTTTGTTTTAAAGTCAATTTTTTCTGATACAACTACTCGAGCTTTCTTATAATTGATGTTTGTGTAGTAGATTTGTAATCATCTAACAGGTTGTTCCTCCCTGCTTCACAAAGTCAACCCACTGAGACCATGGCATTGCAGTAGAGAAAGAGTTTAACTGATGCAAGTCTGGCCCACATGGAAGAACTAGAATTATAAATCAAATCAGTGTTCCTAATGGCTCAGAGGCTAGGGCTTTTATGGGCAATTTGGTGAGCAGGGAACTAGGGAATGAGTATTGCTGATTGGTTGGGGATGCAATCACAGGAGGGTAGAAAATGGTCCTAATGCACTGTCTCCTTCTGGGTGGGCCACAGGATCCACTGAGTCATGAGTCACAAGTCCAGATGGGATAAGTCTGAAAAACATCTAAAAATAACCAGTAGTAGTTTCCACAATAGTGATATTATTTACAAGAGCAATTGAGAAGGTCACAAGTCTTGTGACCTCTGGCCACATAACCCCTGAACAGTAAGGAATTATAGAAAACTATTCCTATACCTTAGCACAGTTCAGATACCTTTTATAATGCCATTTTTGAGGTCTTTCATTAGTTTTGTTTTATTTTTTTTTTTATTGAGATGGAGTTTCTCTCTTGTCGCCCAGGCTGGAGTACAATGGCACAATCTCAGCTCACTGCAACCTCTGCCTCCCGGGTTCAAATGATTCTCCTGCCTCAGTCTCTTGAGTAGCTGGTATTATAGGCATGCACCACCGTGCCCAGCTAATTTTGTATTTTTAGTAGGATGGGGTTTCACCATGTTGGTCGGCCTCCCAAAGCTCTGGGATTACAGGCATGAGCCACCACACCCAGCCTCATTAGTCTTACAAAGGTAGTTTTCAATTCCTGAGCAGGGAGGGGGTTAGTTTTGGGGAGGGATTATTATCATCCTTGCTTCCAAGTCAAACTACAAATTAAATTCCTCCCAAAGTTAGCTTGGGCTGTACCCTGGATAAAACCAAAGACAGCTTGGAGGTCAGAAGCAAGATGGAGTCAACTAAGTCAAACTTCTCTTACTATCATAGTTTTGCAAAGGTGGTTTCAGATACCTTCTATTCTTTTCTTTTCAACCATTTGTATCATCAAAACTTAAGTGTGTCTCTGTAGACAGCATATAGTTGGATCTTGTTTCTTCCATTCTGACAATTTCTGCCCTTTAATTGGATTGTTTAATCCATTTACATTTTTTAATTTTTAAAAAATTATTTTAGATTCAGGGAGTACATGTGCTTATTACTTAAGTATTATGTGTGTAATGGTGAGTGTTGGGCCTCTCATGTACCTATCACCCAAATATTGAATATTGTATCTATCCATTTACATTTAATGGTTTTAATATTGTTGATTTACATCTGCCAGTTTACTTTTTGTTTTCTAAATGGCTCCATGTCTTTTTGTTCCTCTAGTCTTCTTTTGCTGCTTTTTCATTTGTGAATATTGCTAGTGCTATATTTTAACTCCTTTGGTGATTGTTTTTCACTATCCTTTTTGTTATTTTCTTAGTGGCTTCTCTAGAGGTTACCTTATACATCTTAACTAATAAGAATCTAGTTCATATTTATACTAATTCTTACAAGACACAGAAAATTTTCTTTTATATTATTTTATGCCTCCTTCTTCCTTTTATGTTATACATATTTTATCTATATAGGTTACCAATTCAGCAATAGATTGTTATAATTACTAGCTTATATAATGTCTATTAAAGAAGCTAAGAAAGGACTTCAAATATATATTTATGAAGTTAGTAATATTTTTCTTATTTATCATTTCTGGCTCTTTTTATTTGTTCAAGTTCAACTTACCATCTTAAGTCATTTCCTTTTTCAATAAAGTTTTGATTCTACTTATCTCCTTTATGCTTTAGTTGTCAAATATATTACATTTCTATGCTATAGACCCAACAATACACTTGTATACATTTGTTTCATATAATTGGCTTCAAAATTAGTCAAGAAAAAAGCAAAATATGCATTTATACTCTTTTATAATTACATAATTATTACCAGTACAGTTTGCTTGTCCATGTGGATTTTGATTTTCACCTGTGTTTATGTGATTTTAGCCTGAAAAACTTCCCTTTGTGTTTCTTGGAAAGCACGCCCATTAGGAATGAATTTTCTCAATTTTTTTGCTTACCTGGGAATGTTTTATTTCACTTTCATTTTTGAAAGATAGTTTTGCTGGATACAAGATTTTTATTGACTGTTTGTGTTCCTAGGATTTTGAATATGTAATCTCATGCTTTGTGGCCCCCATTGTTTCTGACTAGAAGTCAGCTGTTAATCTCATTGGGATTCCCTTATCCTTAAAGAGCAGTCTTTCCCTTAGTGCTTTCAGAATTTTCTCCTTTGATGTTCAACATTTTTACTATGATTCAGCTGGGCATTGATTTCTTTGGATTTATCCTACTTGGAGTTCACGGATCTTCTCGAATGCATAGATTTGTATTTTTTATGAAATTTGGAAAGTTTTCAACTATTGATCTTCAAATAATTATCTCTGCCCCTTTCCTTTCCTTCTGGTACTATTATTATGAATATTTTGGTAGACATAAAATTGTCCCACAGTGTCTTCTAGTTTCTCTCTGATTTTTGGATTGGGTATTCTCTATCAGTCTGTCTCCAAGTTTGTTGACACCTTCTTCTGCTAGATTCCTCTAATGAATTTTCATTTTAATTATTACAATTTTCAGCTTCATACTTTACATTTGTTATGTTTTTATAACTTATATTTCTTTATTGATAACCTCCATTTGTTGAGACATTGTTTTCATACTTTACTTCCTTAATAGTTTCCTTTAGTTCATTGAATATATTTATAATGACTACTTTGAAGTAATTTTATTATCTGTTAAATCTGATACCTGATCCCTCTTACAGCTAGTTTCTTTTGATTTTTTTTTTTTCCTGTGTGTGTGTCATGTGTTCTATTTCTTTGCCTATCTCATAACTTTGGTTGAAAATTGGATATTTTAGGTAGTATAGCTGTTTTGGGTACTTGTTTTGATTGTTGTTTGCTTATTTTTTGAAATGGTTAGTCTATATTAGTAACTTACATTTCATCCATGACGTGAAGTCTTTGGTGTATTCCTTGGAAGGTACCCACCTTCATCATGTGTACTGTCATTCTGGGATGGGATGTTTAAGCAGGGCTTTCTTTACCTATTTATTTCCTTAATATCCCTTAATATTGTTACCAAGCTATCTGCTTCATTTGGTAATACACCCCACTCACTGAACTCCACTAATTACAGGCTAATTGCTCTATTGCTTTTTTTTTTTTAACAATGCCCTAAGGCATAAATTGCTGGAGTCTGATCTAATTAAATTTGTTGCTTTTGAAGCCAGTCTTTTGACCCTAGGGAGGGCTTTTCTTCGCTATCTCTTTCTCTGGTTCTCTCTGAAGAAATAACTTGCTTATTGTTTAGCTTATTGCTCTTAATTGAGAGGAGCTATTGTTTTAGAAGAGCCCTTAGGCTTGAACTTCTTCACATTTGGATTCAAATAATGTCAGTTCATTTGGGTAGAGCTACAGACCTCTCTTTTCCTATTCACTGTTTTTCCCCTTAGGCAACCTCTCTAGTCACTAATTTAGGCAATAAGCCTCTGGTTGTCTCTGCATGCCTCTTTCATTGTAGAATCTCTGCCCAATGTATGACCCGAAGCAAGGACAGCTGGAGGTCCCTGTAATCTTGGCCTGCCTGCCTGGGATGGAGTCTCTGTACTATGAAGATGAGCTTGGTGGGGGAAAGGGATCCTCAGCCTTTCCCTGTACTCAACAGGAATATTATTTTTTTAATTTGGAGTTGAAAGAGATGAAAAGTGCTAGAACCTTGTCCTCCTATTGAGATACTGTAAGCATTGATTGGAAGATGAAGGGAGAGGGACTTCTTCCTTAGCTTCATCCATCCATAATGGAGCTCCTCTAAACTGAGCTGGGGATGGTCTCGAGAGGGAGGATTGTGGATCAAATGCTACTGACTGGCTGTTCTTAATAGGTTTTAGTAGATTTTCTCTAGTAAATATTTATTTGCTTTATTCCCTTAGGACACTTTACAGAGACTTTAATTTATTGGATTTTTTTCATTGTTTTTTACCAACTTTGTTTTTCTGGGGAGTGGGTCCATGGAACTTCTTATGCTGCCATCCAGAAGTGGAATTCATTGATGTGGTACTTTTTAACATCATTCTAAGATATTGTAAGGAAAACTCGTTGACCTCCTGGAATGCTTGTGTACTAGCCTTGCACTAAAAAATATTCACAGTTGACTTTGTAGAATGGAATATTACTTTCATGACTCCATCTATGTTCATTACCCCACAGCTAATTAAGATTAAAGCCTTACTATGCCACTATTGCTGGTTCTCTCTGTAAAAACACACATATTTGTGTCAAGGCCACTGCTTATTGGCCCCATAATTGTATTTTCTGCATCCTCATTGTTCCTGGCCACCTAATGCTGATGAAAAAGTGGGAAGAATATTTCTTATTCCCCACTCTAGGTCACACTTTGACACAGAAGTGGGCACTCAAGAAAAAATACTTGTACTCTCCGTGCACCACAAAAGGCTTTGACAGTATGCCTCTATAATCTGTGCCTGATGTCCCACTTTTCACATACACAAACCTCTGACTTCATGTAGGTAGGCCTGGAAACCAATATGTGAGACAGGTATCACTGGGTCCACAAAATATAAACTCCTCCCTTTTTTGCCTTTGCACACACAAGACCTCAGTAAAGATCTTTATTGGAATCTACTCATGATGGCCCCCTGTACCAGTTTATAAAATATGCATATTTTTGCCTGTCTTCCAACAGAGATTCAAGCTTTTCCTAAAGCAAGAGTTGGCAAAATATGGTCTTTGGGATAAATCCGGCTTACCACCTGTTTTGGCAGAGCCTGTGAGTTAAGATAGTTTCTATAGATGAACATTTGATTATAGGGAATGCTAATTTTGAAGTAAGTGAAATGCTATTTCCCCCCAAATAATATTACTATTTTCATTAGATTTAAGTCACAAAGTAATTTGTACTTAATTATTATTATTATATTTTGAATTTTATCAATAAAAATTTTGTGGAAATTTATTTTCACTCATTATATACCTTAAATATTATCATGAATTTGTCCTATTGGTCCAAAAAGCCTAACATATTTATTATCTGTTGCTTTAAATAAAAATTTTTCCAACTCTTATCCTATAGGATGCCCAAGGGAATATGAATTTGAAGAATGCTAGAGAAGAGTACAAAAGTTGTGAAAATTGGCATACTCCTGTACAGGATATAGTATCCCAGATCTTGGGGATAAGACAGAGTTAGTGACAAAGCTGAAAGGTCCAATAGTACAGCTACAGATTTGCAGCAGATGTGGTCAATTTACTCCTTTCCTGACCAGATGGAGGCTATAAAGTAGGAAGCAAGACAACTTTCTTTGTACACTCCAGTTTTTTTTTTAACACTGTCAACACATAAACTCCAAGAAATGGCAGGCACCTTGCTTTCTTCAGGGCAAAACACTTTCAGTGAATTTTTATTAGCCTAATTCTCACCCATATGCATGGCTAATACACAGTGCGATGTTTTTATGCTTCAACTACCTGCACAGTAGCATGATGTGTTTAGATCAGAGGCAGTAGGATGTGGTAGAAACTTTGCAAGATACAAAAAAGGAACTTAAAATCTTGTCACTTTAAAGTTGAGTGGCTTAATCTGTATCAAATTACTTAATCTAACAAGTCCTCAGCTTCTTTGCTGTAAAATGGAAATTCTAATATGTAGCTACTTCCAAGGCTGCTATTCAAAACATGTAGTAACC
Organism: Homo sapiens; assembly: GCF_000001405.40. Taxonomy (NCBI): domain Eukaryota; kingdom Metazoa; phylum Chordata; class Mammalia; order Primates; family Hominidae; genus Homo; species Homo sapiens. Next base: position 121,064,749 of record NC_000008.11, on the reverse strand, counting down.
AACATAGCACAGGCACTGATGAATCAGAAAGTATATTGGCCATGAAGAATGGGTAGAGCCATACAAGCCAGACTTATAAATTATGTAGAAACTTCATGAGAAACTGTCATGTGTGCCTCAGAGTCTAAAATATAATAAGTGCATTTTAATTTTTTGCTGTTGTTACAATGACACAATTTCCTCCCTGCATCCTTAAAAATGATTTCCTACCTTACCTGTTTAAAAGTACTGCATTTTTTATATAGCAATGTATTTATAGTGTCAGATAAGATTTGACACATGATGAGAATATGGGCTTCCTTGAAAACAATATCTAGAAATGATCCTCAAGGCTGACTTGACTGGAAAATATTATGTTTATCCAATAACCAAAATTGGTAGTGAGATTATTGCTAAAAGCAAATTAAATTAATAATCCTTAGGTCTTGAAAAATAGCTAGTTTGCATGAAAGGGTTGTGGTGAATTTAACAGGGTTTACCCAAGCTCAGACCATGAGCAGAAAACACTCAGGCAGAAACACATCTAGCATTTCTCTGTAGTTTTGATCTGTATACTCTAAGTATTTTATTCTTTGAAATGAATATATGTTGTGGGTAGAATGTTTGTGTGCCCTCAAAATTTATATATTGAAATCTAACCCCAATGTGATAGTATTAGGAGATGAGGTCTGTGGGAGGTATTTAGGTCATGAGGATGGAGCCCTCATGAATGGGATTAGTGCCCATATGAAATGGATCTCAGAAAGCCAGCTCACTTTCTTTCTACCATGTGAGAGTATAGTGAGAAGCTGGCAGTCTGCAAACCCAGAACCTGACCATGCTGGCACCCTGATCTCTGACTTTCAGCCTCCAGAACTGTAATAAATAAATTTTTATTTTTTATAAGCCACCCTGTCTATGGTACTTTGTCATAGCATCTTGAAGTAAGACAGTATACAACATTTCTTAGTGTTTGTGACTAGAAGAGAGAAGAGAGGTCAGTGAAATCCTCTATCCTGATTAGGTCCACGATGACACATAATAGAAATGATTTATTGACTATGTATACAAATACTAGGTATTGTTTGAACTGCTTTACACATATTCATGTAATTGTTATGACAGCTCTATCAGATAGTATATTGAACACCTTTTAATCACCAGTTTACACTCTTTTGGACTCTGTTGTCCAATATTCCACAACTATATCAACCAGCTCTACGTATGTTCCTATCAACTTCACACTGTACAAATGATAGCGCTTAGTCCCTGGCCACCCATGCCATTTGTTTTTAATCCCAAACCCCAGAACTTACGTTTTGATGCCCTAGAGTAGGACACCAAACAACCTGCTCAATGCTTACATATGCAACCCAGAAATTATGAGGAGTTAATACCAAGGCAAATATTCATTTAATGAAAATTAGAACTGATTTTCCTATTCTTCCAAGCTCACAGTCTTAAAGTGTTTTTCATATGGCTGCTTAGACAACACTGCAGAATTAAGTAATCAGTAGCATGTAGCAATACCCAACTCAATGATATACCTTTGTAATAACCCCATCTTCTTTCTTGCTTTACCCCTAAGGTCAACTTAATCCCCCTCCCTGGGTCATACTCTCCAATAAACCTCTCACATATATCACGAAGGAGCCTTTGTTCCAGGATCAGCTTTCTGGGAACTTGGTACTAACCCAGTTATTATCAAACGTGGCCCGAGACAGTAGACCCTCAAGATAGAATTTTGGAGCATGAACACTCCCCAGTCAGAGGGCAATAAGATGATCCCTATTCATGCTGCCAGTTGAGATGAGGATTACCATTGGAACTGAGTAAAAATAAGAATTACTAAGATTCTTGCCTATGGTTTTTTAGGATAAGGTAAGTAGACGGTAAGGCCTTGGGTTATGTGATGGCTGTGGCCCATTAATGCTTCGTGGAGCTGACAATAATTACATTTGTAGAACAAGCTGATTTTATTTGCTGGAAGTCTTAAGAAAAAGAAAGAATCATAGTAGCCAACTTAAACTCAAAGCATGCTGTGAAAGCTGTAGATCCTCTATGGCAGCTTGAAAAAGACATTAAACTGCAGCTGCAGGGGTGATTGTGCTGAAAATCAGGCTCCTCCCTAATCTAATTATAAAGATGGCAGAGCATTAAAGGGTAGTAAATGCAAGCTTCAACAGATGTCCTATGTCACAGTCAGGAACCCAGCAGGAAAGAAATAAAATTCTGTGGCCTTGGATGAGGATATTCAATGGATAAGCCTGAGATTCGTTTTTTTTTTAAATCAGATTTATTAAAGTGTAGTTTATATACAATAAAATTCACCCCTTGTAAGAGTACAGGTCAATGAGTTTTGACAAATTCACATGCTTATGCAACCAGCAACACAATCAAGATCCAAAATACTTTTAACACCCTAAAAAGTTCTCTCATGACCCTTTGAAGTCAATCTCTTACCCTCACCTTTAGCCTCTGGCAACTATTGACCTATTTTTTTAAATATCTATAGTTTTGCATTTTCCAGAATGTCACATAAATGGAATTATACAGTACAACATTTTTTTAACCTCTATGCTTTCATTTAACGTAATACTTTCCAGATTCATTGTTTTTCTTCTAATATAAATAGTTTGTTCCTTTTAATTGCTAAATAACATTCCATGTATATATCACAATTTGTTTATGCATTAATCTGAGGCTGAGAATCTGGAAGCCCTGATTTCCCTGGACAAAATCATGCTAGCAAGAGAATTCTCTTACCAGAGAATCGTTTCCTTACCTGGAGATCCTGTGTGATTAAGTGGACATGAAGGCACAGCATGAAATTATAGTGTCTGCTTTAGGAAGAAATAGCATCTACATCAAAGGAATAATAGAATCTGAGTGTGTCAGAGAAACCCCTCCCTCACTAAATATATTTGTTCCCTAATCCCTGATACCTGTGAATATTACATGCCTAAAGGCCTTTGCAGATGTGATTAATATTAAGAATCTTAAAATGAGGGTATTATCCTGGATTGGTCCAATCTAATCACATGAGTCATTAAAGGTAGAAGAGAAAGGCAGAGGAGTAAGTCTGAAGAGATGTGACCAGAGAAGCACTCAACTCATTTTTGCTGGCTGTAAAAAGGGAGAAATTGAGCCATGGGCCAAGGAATCCAACAACCTCTAGAAGCTGGAAACAGCCCTCATTTTATAACCAGTAAGAAGATAGGGTCCTTGGTTCTATAATTGCAGGGAACTAAATCCCACCAACACCTCAAATAGCAGGAAGCAGATTCTCCCCTGAAGCCTCCAGAAAGACTCCACCTGCTGACAACTTGATTTTGTCCAGTGAGACTTGTGATTTGTACTGACTTCTGACCTACAAAAATGTAAGATAATAAAGCTGTGTTGTTTCAAGTCACTAAATTTGTGGTTATTTGTTACAGCACAAGTAGAAAACTAATATCTGCAGTCACGTATATTAGCAAGGATTGGGAGAACAAAGTGTAAGAGTGTGTCTGGAGGGTGTTAATATGGGGCAGGAGATGGAGCAAAAACTAAGGCCAGATAGTGGGAATGTATTAACATTTGATGGAGCCTTCATGTATGACTCGGAGTCACTATTCTGCCAGAGATGTCTGAAATGTAGCCTAATACAACCCTAGAACCATGCCTTGCAATTTGGCATAATGATGGCCAACAGAAACTGAGATAAAGATGCCAAGACTTCCTTGAGAAAGGGTTAGAAAGCTAAGAGGTAGGGATATCAGAAAGAATTTATTATGTCAGCAGAAGAGATCTGCGGACAGATATGTGCTGATATGTGCATAAACCTGTACACCACCACCATAATGAAGAAACTGAACACATCTATAAAACCCCAAAGTTTCCCCAAGCTCCTTCATAATCCCTTCCCTTCCCTATTCCCAGGCAGTCATTGACCTGCTTTTTGTGTCTATAGATTAGTATGCACTTTTTAGAATTTTACATAAATGAAAACGTATATAGTATATTCTTTGTATGTTTGGCTTCTCACTTCACATAATTACTTTGAGATTCTTCCATGATGTTGTGTGCATCAGTAGTTTATTCCTTTCATTGCTGAATATCATTGGATGTATACACAGAGTTTATTTATTTACTTAGTGCTTGGACATCAAGCTGTTACTAAGTTTTAGATACTTCAAATAGAGTTGCTATAAATATTTGTATCCAAGTCTCCATGTGGACATATGCTTTCATTTCCCTTTGGTAAATATCTAAAGTAGAATGGCTGGATCATATTGTAGAAGTATGCTTAATGTTTTAAGACACTGTCAAACTGTTTTCTAATGTGGTGTACAATTTCACACCTCCACCAGCAGTGTATAAGAGTTCCAGTCCCTCCACATACTCACCAATGTTAGATATGGTCAGTGTTTTTAGTTTTAACCATTTTGATAGGTGTACAGTGCTATCTCTTTGTATTTAAAATTGATCATTTATCTTGCAGGCTTGCTAAATTTACTTAGTTTTAGTATCTTTTTTTGTAGATTCAACTGATTTTCTACATAAATGACTATGTTGTCTGTTAATAATGACAATTCTTCTTTGATAACGTAAATGGATTTTTAATTCTGTAGTTGGCAAATTTTGAAACTTCAAATGGAGGTCACAGTGAATTTCATGTATTTCATCTTGACCACTTAGTCATAACTGCTCTAATAATGCACACAGTAGGTACCCAATAAGTAAATACCTTATGATTTTCTCAAAAGGATGTGTTGTCATATAAACTAGGTCGATGCCTGAAAAACATTTATGAAAGAGGAGGATGAGAAAAAGTAATTTTAAAGGCTCTTCAATTTATGTAAAACAGGAACTTTGTCTTTTTTTTAATGAAAAAGTGAGAGAGAACATCAGAGAGTTGTCACCAGACATTAGCAGGGTATACACTGGCTAAAGAATATTAATGCCTTTACATTCAATGTAACTTTAATTGTCATTGGCATTCCAGAAATGTATTTGGTTTCTGTGTGGACTCTTCCATTTGCAGAGGATATTAATTTTTGACTCTTCTTTCTATAGTAGTGATGTACACTGTATATATGAGTGTATAAACTAGAAAATCATTTTTGGTTTTCCTGTTGTTATTCCAATTGCATCCTGGCCAGCTTCCTAGATGATTAATTCTGGAAGTCTCTGTTGAGTAGATGAAGTGCTAAGTTTGTGAATTAGACAACTAAACTTTCCAACCTACTGAGATACTTTGGTCCAAATGAACCAAAATAGTGGTTTCTAGGAATTTTATATTGTCTCACACGTTGAATATGTTTAATCCTCTCCTTTAACTTTCACAGGATATACTATGTATAAAATATTTGTTATTTTAATAGACTTTTAGAGAAATTTTAGGTTCACAGCAAAACTGAGCAAAACATAGAGTTCCTATATACGCCAAGCCCCTACACGTACACAAACTCCCCAACTATCAATGCCCCACACCACAGCAGTATATTTGTTACAATTGATAAACTTACACTGACACATCATTACCATCTAAAGTCCACAGTTTAGGGTTGACTCTTGATGTTATACATTCTGTGCATTTTGTTAAATATATAACCACAGATATCTGTCATTATAGTATCATACAGAATAGTTTCACTGCTCTAAAAATGCACTGTGCTCTGCCTATTCATCCCTCCCTGCCTCCTAACTCCCGGAAACCACTGATCTTTTTGCTGTTTCCATAGTTTTGCCTTTTGCAGAATGTCATATAATTGGAATCATAGACTATGTAGCCATTTCATGTTGGCTTCTTTCACTTAGTAATACGAATTGAAGATTCCTCTACATCTTTGCCTGGCTTGATAGTTCATCTTTTTTTTGTAGTGCTGAATAATATTCCATTGTCTAGATGTATCACAGTTTATTTATCCAGTAGTTCATTTTCTATTGTTGAATAGTATTTCATAAAAGTTTATGCTGATAAACTATCTAGAGGGGTAGGCAGTCTTCTCCACAAGGTCATCCCACAAGTCAAGCCCCTTCTTTTGTTCTCTGATTCCCTAGGGTGTATTCAGATAGTTCACCACCACTGTGCCCACATTCTAGCCTATGAGAAAGAAGAAAGGAAAGCATAACACAAACACTTTCCTTTTAAACTGATGATGTGAAAAATAAATGATGGAGGGATAGGTAGATAGATACATAGATAGATAGCTACATAGATCTACTACTGAACTAAGAAGAGGTTAGATTTTAGATAACAATTAGCAGACAACACCACGGCAGGTAGAAATAAGCAATTTTCACAAATTACAGGGCACACAAAATTATGGGCCCTATAAATTCAAGTCAGTTTTAGTAAGGTATGGAAATGTTGAACCTCACTAGCAGAGGTAGTATAGAATAATACAATGTTTCTCATATTTTCTAAAATCAGAGTTTCTCAAAGTGTGGTTCATTCCAAGTACAAGTAAGCAAGTAACGATTTTATGAGGTCTTTGGATACATTTATGTTTCTTTTCAGTAGTTATCTCTATTTATTGGCTACCTTATTTTTATGGCAAGCTATCCCAGTTTTCCATTTATGGCAATGATATAGTTTCATTTAAAAATATATTTAACCAAAAGCAATAATCATATTTAAATAAAAATGCCAAGCAAAAATAATACCAACATGAGATTTACATAATAAAAATTACTAAGGTGGACTCAAATGACTTAATATATATTCCTTAGATTAACATAAAAACTTCATTCTCTCTTTGTTAAAATTTTCAAACAAATTAGATATGGCTAAAACAAATGAATTCTCTTTTAGTCTGAGTGTTTACCTATTTTAAAACTTCATAGACTGCCATACACTGAGATTCTTATGCACACCCATAACAAGATGTAGCACCTCATTGGGAACCACTAGGCAGTTGAATAGACACTGAAACATTTTAGTGTTGAGCTTCTTTCCTGAAATGACCATTTACTGGTTATGACACTGAGGCTCAGTTCCTTCATCTACAAATGGGATACTAAAAAGAGAAACAGAAAAAAAGAGAGAGAGAGAGAAACAAATGGTATAGTAATACCTAAGCTTCCAGATTTAAGAAGGAAACAGTTCAGCTAAAATTAAGTGTAACTGGATCTGCAAATATAAGAAATCCATTCAGCAATAGTAAAAACAATCTGGCTCTCAGTAACACTATTTTAGTCAAAGTGTTCCCGCTGTGAACTAGACCACTGTCATATGGTGAAAAGCCAAACAATGGTGGACATGGGAAGGAACAGCCATGGGAACCCACGGTCGAGGTAGTCAGAATCTGGTTCAGAAGACGACCATGGCACCCAAGGAAAATTTAACTGACTTCAAGGAGAAAATTGATCTGAAAAATACAAAGGCTTATTACTGAATATTATCCTAATAAATGTCTCTTTAGGGAAATAGTCTGAGGGAAATGTGACATCCAGGATTCCCTCCACTTTTTCCTCTCTAAGTTAAAAAGGTATTCCTAATTCTTTTAAAATAGTTATGCTAATAGTGCATATTATGTTATATAGCATTTATAAATTGCTATTCTAAACACTTTCTAAATTTATTGCTGTTCAAACATACATACACATGCACACTATATTTTAGGTATTTTTTTCTATTATAAGAATTATGTCATCCTTCTCTCTTACAGTATAAAAAAGAAGAGATTGTCAGGCGCAGTGGCTCACGCCTGTAATCCCAGCACTTTGGGAGGCCAAAGTGGGTGGATCACGAGGTCAGGTGATAGAGACCATCCTGGCTAACACAGTGAAACCCCGTCTCTACTAAAAATACAAAAATTAGCTGGGTGTGGTGGCACCCACCTGTAGTCCCAGCTACATGGGGGGCTGAGGCAGGAGAATGGCATGAACCCGGGATGCAGAGCTTTCAGTGAGCCGAGATCACGCCACTGCACTCCAGCCTGGGCCACAGAGCAAGACTCTGTCTCAAAGAAAAAAAAAGAGAGGAAAAGCTCCGGTCTACAGCTCCCAGCGTGAGCGACGCAGAAGACGGGTGATTTCTGCATTTCCATCTGAGGTACCGGGTTCATCTCACTAGGGAGTGCCAGACAGAGGGCGCAGGACAGTGGGTGCAGCGAGCCGAAGCAGGGTGAGGCATTGCCTCACTCAGGAAGAGCAAGGGGTCAGGGAGTTCCCTTTCCTAGTCAAAGAAAGGGATGACAGACGACACCTGGAAAATCGGGTCACTCCCACCCTAATACTGCGCTTTTCCAACGGGCTTAAAAAATGGTGCACCAGGAGATTATATCCCGCACATGGCTGGGAGGGTCCTACGCCTATGGAGTCTCCCTGATTGCTAGCACAGCAGTCTGAGATCAAACAGCAAGGCAGCAGCAAGGCTAGGGGAGGGGCACCCGCCATTGCCCAGGCTTGCTTAGGTAAACAGAGCAGCCCGGAAGCTCGAACTGGGTGGAGCCAACCACAACTCAAGGAGGCCTGCCTGCCTCTGTAGGCTCCACCTCTGGGGGCAGGGCACAGACAAACAAAAAGACAGCAGTAACCTCTGTAGACTTAAATGTCCCTGTCTGACAGCTTTGAAGAGAGCAGTGGTTCTCCCAGCACACAGCTGGAGATCTGAGAACTGGCAGACTGCCTCCTCAAGTGGGTCCCTGACCCCTGACCCCCAAGCAGCCTAACTGGGAGGCACCCCCCAGCGGGAGCAGACTGACACCTCACAGGGCTGGGTACTCCTCTGAGACAAAACTTCCAGAGGAACGATCAGACAGCAGCATTCACGGTTCATGAAAATCCACTGTTCTGCAGCCACCGCTGCAGGCAAACAGGGTCTGGAGTGGACCGCTAGGAAACTCCAACAGACGTGCAGCTGAGGGTCCTCTCTGTTAGAAGGAAAACTAACAAACAGAAAGGACATCCACACCAAAAACCCATCTGGACATCACTATCATCAAAGACCGAAAGTAGATAAAACCACAAAGATGGGGAAAAAACAGAACAGAAAAACTGGAAACTCTAAAAAGCAGAGCGCCTCTCCTCCTCCAAAGGAACGCAGCTCCTCACCAGCAATGGAACAAAGCTGGACGGAGAATGACTTTGATGAGTTGAGAGAAGAAGGCTTCAGATGATCAAACTACTCCGAGCTACAGGAGGAAATTCAAACCAAAGGCAAAGAAGTTGAAAACTTTGAAAAAAATTTAGACGAATATATAACAGGAATAACCAATACAGAGAAGTGCTTAAAGGAGCTGACGGAGCTGAAAGACAAGGCTTGAGAACTACGTGAAGAATGCAGAAGCCTCAGGAGCCGATGCGATCAACTGGAAGAAAGGATATCAGCGATGGAAGATGAAATGAATGAAATGAAGCAAGAAGGGAAGTTTAGAGAAAAAAGAATAAAAAGAAATGAACAAAGCCTCCAAGAAATATCGGACTATGTGAAAAGACCAAATCTACGTCTGATTGGTGTACCTGAAAGTGATGGGGAGAATGGAACCAAGTTGGAAAACACTCTGCAGGATATTATCCAGGAGAACTTCCCCAATCTAGCAAGGCAGGCCAACATTCAGATTCAGAAAATACAGAGAATGCCACAAAGATACTCCTCGAGAAGAGCAACTCCAAGACACGTAATTGTCAGATTCACCAAAGTTGAAATGAAGGAAAAAATGTTAAGGGCAGCCAGAGAGAAAGGTCGGGTTACCCACAAAGGGAAGCCCAACAGACTAACAGCGGATCTCTCGGCAGAAACCCTACAAGCCAGAAGAAAGTGGGGGCCAATATTCAACTTCTTAAAGAAAAGAATTTTCAACCCAGAATTTCATATCCAGCCAAACTAAGCTTCATAAGTGAAGGAGAAATAAAACACTTTACAGACAAGCAAACGCTGAGAGATTTTGTCACCACCAGGCCTGCCCTACAAGAGCTCCTGAAGGAAACATTAAACATGGAAAGGAACAACCAGTATCAGCCACTGCAAAATCATGCCAAATTGTAAAGACCATTGAGCCTAGGAAGAAACTGCATCAACTAATGAGCAAAATAACCAGCTAACATCATAATGACAGGATCAAATTCACACATAACAATAGTAACTTTAAATGTAAATGGACTAAATGCTCCAATTAAAAGACACAGACTGGAAACTGGATAAAGAGTCAAGACCCATCAGTGTGCTGTATTCAGGAAACCCATCTCACATGCAGAGACACACATAGGCTCAAAATAAAAGGATGGAGGAAGATCTACCAAGCAAATGGAAAACAAAAAAAGGCAGGGGTTGCAATCCTAGTCTCTGATAAAACAGACTTTAAACCAGCAAAGATCAAAAGAGACAAAGAAGGCCATTACATAATGGTAAAGGGATCAATTCAACAAGAAGAGCTAACTACCCTAAATATATATGCACCCAACATAGGAGCACCCAGATTCATAAAGCAAGTCCTGAATGACCTACAAAGAGACTTAGACTCCCACACAATAATAATGGGAGACTTTAACACCCCACTGTCAACAATAGACAGATCAACAAGACAGAAAGTTCACAAGGAAACCCAGGAATTGAACTCAGCTCTACACCAAGTGGACCTAATAGACATCTACAGAACTCTCTACCCCAAATCAACAGAATATACATTTTTTTCAGCACCACACCATACCTATTCCAAAACTGACCACATAGTTGGAAGTGAAGCTCTCCTCAGCAAATGTAAAAGACCAGAAATTATAACAGTCTCTCAGACCACAGTGCAATCAAACTAGAATTCAGGATTAAGAATGTCACTCAAAACCGCTCAACCACATGGAAACTGAACAACCTGCTCCTGAAAGACTACTGGGTACAGAACGAAATGAAGGCAGAAATAAAGATGTTCTTTGAAACCAACGAGAACAAAGACACAAAATACCAGAATCTCTGGGACACATTCAAAGCAGTGTGTAGAGGGAAATTTATAGCACTAAATGCCCACAAGAGAAAGCAGGAAAGATCCAAAATTGACACCCTAACATCACAATTAAAAGAACTAGAAAAGCAAGAGCAAACACATTCAAAAGCTAGCAGAAGGTAAGAAATAACTAAAATCAGAGCAGAACTGAAGGAAATAGAGACACAAAAAAACCCTTCAAAAAATTAATGAATCCAGGAGCTGGTTTTTGGAAAGGATCAACAAAATTGATAGACCACTAACAAGGCTAATAAAGAAGAAAAGAGAGAAGAATCAAATAGACGCAATAAAAAAATGATAAAGGGGATATCACCACTGATCGCACAGAAATACAAACTACCGTCAAAGAATACTACATACACCTCTATGCAAATAAACTAGAAAATCTAGAAGAAATGGATAAATTCCTCGACACATACACCCTCCCAAGACTAAACCAGGAAGAAGTTGAATCTCTGAATAGACCAATAACAGGATCTGAAATTGTGGCAATAATCAATAGCTTACCAACAAGAAAGAGTCCAGAACCAGATGGATTCACAGCCGAATTCTACCAGAGTACAAGGAGGAACTGGTATCATTCCTTCTGAAACTATTCCAATCAATAGAAAAAGAGGGAATCCTCCCTAACTCATTTTATGGGGCCAGCATCATCCTGATACCAAAGCCTGGCAGAGACACAAGAAAAAAAAGAGAACTTTAGACCAATATCCTTGATGAACATTGACGCAAAAAACCTCAATTAAATACTGGCAAACCGAATCCAGCAGCACATCAAAAAGCTTATCCACCATGATCAAGTGGGCTTCATCCCTGGGGTGCAAGGCTGGTTCAATATACGCAAATCAATAAATATAATCCAGCATATAAACAGAACCAAAGACAAAAACCACATGATTATCTCAATAGATGCAGAAAAGGCCTTTGACAAAATTCAACAACCTTCATGCTAAAAACTCTCAATAAATTAGGTATTGATGGGACGTATCTCAAAATAATAAGAGCTATCTATGACAAACCCACAGCCAATATCATACTGAATGGGCAAAAACTGGCAGCATTCCCTTTGAAAACAGGCATAAGACAGGGATGCCCTGTCTCACCACTCCTATTCAACATAGTGTTGGAAGTTCTGGCCAGGGCAATTAAGCAGGAGAAGGAAATAAGGGTATTCAATTAGGAAAAGAGGAAGTCAAATTGTCCCTGTTTGCAGATGACATGATTGCATATCTAGAAAACCCCATCATCTCAGCCCAAAATCTCCTTAAGCTGATAAGCAACTTCAGCAAAGTCTGAGGATACAAAATCAATGTACAAAAATCACAAGCATTCCTATACACCAACAACAGACAAACAGAGAGCCAAATCATGAGTGAACTCCCATTCACAATTGCTTCAAAGAGAATAAAATACCTAGGAATCCAACTTACAAGGGACGTGAAGGACCTCTTCAAGGAGAACTACAAACGACTGCTGAATGAAATGAAAGACGATACAAAGAAATGGAAGAACATTCCATGCTCATGGGTAGGAAGAATCAATATCATGAAAATGGCCATACTGCCCAAGGTAATTTATAGATACAATGCCATCCCCATCAAGCTACCAATGACTTTCTTCACAGAATTGGGAAAAACTACTTTAAAGTTCATATGGAACCAAAAAAGAGCCTGCATTGCCAAGTCAATCCTAAGCCAAAAGAACAAAGCCGGAGGCATCACACTACCTGACTTCAAACTATACTACAAGGCTATAGTAACCAAAACAGCATGGTACTGGTACCAAAACAGAGATATAGATCAATGGAACAGAACAGAGCCCTCAGAAATAATGCCGCATATCTACAACTATCTGATCTTTGACAAACCTGAGAAAAACAAGCAATGGGGAAAGGATTCCCTATTTAATAAATGGTGCTGGGAAAACTGGCTAGCCATATGTAGAAAGCTGAAACTGGATCCCTTCCTTACACCTTATACAAAAATTAATTCAAGATGGATTAAAGACTTCAATGTCAGACCTAAAACCATAAAAACCCTAGAAGAAAACCTAGGCATTACCATTCATGACATAGGCATGGGCAAGGACTTCATGTCTAAAACACCAAAAGCAATGGCAACAAAAGCCAAAATTGACAAATGGGATCTAATTAAACTAAAGAGCTTCTGCACAGCAAAAGAAACTACTGTCAGAGTGAACAGGTAACCTACAAAATGGGAGAAAATTTTCGCAACTTACTCATCTGAGAAAGGGCTAAGATCCAGAATCTACAATGAACTCAAACAAATTTCCAAGAAAAAAACAAACAACCCCATCAAAAAGTGGGTGAAGGACATGAACAGACACTTCTCAAAAGAAGACATTTATGCAGCCAAAAAACACATGAAAAAATGCTCATCATCACTGGCCATCAGAGAAATGCAAATCAAAACCACAATGAGATACCATCTCACACCAGTTAGAATGGAGATCATTAAAAAGTCAGGAAACAACAGGTGCTGGAGAGGATGTGGAGAAATAGGAACACTTTTACACTGTTGGTGGGACTGTAAACTAGTTCAACCATTGTGGAAGTCAGTGTGGCGATTCCTCAGGGATCTAGAACTAGTAATACCATTTGACCCAGCCATCCCATTACTGGGTATATACCCAAAGGATTATAAATCATGCTGCTATAAAGACACATGCACACGTATGTTTATTGTGGCACTATTCACAATAGCAAAGACTTGGAACCAACCCAAATGTCCAACAATGATAGACTGGATTAAGAAAATGTGGCACATATACACCATGGAATACTATGAAGCCATAAAAAACGATGAGTTCATGTACTTTGTAGGGACATGGATGAAATTGGAAATCATCATTCTCAGTAAACTATCGCAAGAACAAAAAACCAAACACCGCATATTCTCACTCATAGGTGGGAATTGAACAATGAGAACACATGCACACAGGAAGGGGAACATCACACTCTGGGGTCTGTTGTGGGGTGGGGGGCGGGGGGAGGGATAGCTTTAGGAGATATACCTAATGCTAAATGATAAGTTAATGGATGCGGCACACCAGCATGGCACATGTATACATATGTAAGTAACCTGCACATTGTCCACATGTACCCTAAAACTTAAAGTATAATAATAATAAAAGAAAAAAAAAAGAGAGATTAACTCTCAGAATTCAAATGCCTTGTTCAGGGTCATACAAGAAGGCAACATTTGGAATGTCTACTATATTAATAGGCACTCCACATATGTTTATTTGATAAATTAATGAATCAATAAATAAGTTAAATATTAAGAAAACAGAGATTTCTGCTCTTAAAATGAGTCTTCTATGCCACCATTTTATTTTTCTATTTTCATTGAGTCACAATTCCATAAAGTAATTAAAAGGAGCAAACATGGTAGCTTATATAATAAGATTATTTGCTGATGGCTTATGTTCCTGCCATATTAAATGCATAGTTTCCAAATTATTTTATAATTTTTGCTGTCTGCCTCAGAATGACCACTTAGACCACTACAAGTTGTCCTCCAATAGAACTCCGCCTGCTTCAACTGCCAATATTCATATCACATTTAACCCACAGGCACCTCATAGGATCCAAAACAGGATGTTCAAAGTAAGCAAAATGTATGATGTGAAAGCTTTTATATGAATTACTTAAAAAGCATTCATGACTATAAATGTTTCTACTCTTTGATCTGTGACTTTTTATTCATAGATCTCCACTTTAAAGATATCTAAGATTTCTTCCAATGAGGAGGCATAAGTCTATGGTCATGAATAATGTGGGGAGCTGTTTTTGATTCAGAGTCCTCCCTGCCACAGAGCTTTCAGATCATGTACACAGAACCCAGCAGCCAACAAGATTTACTTCTTTAAGAAAAGAGGTAATGTGTGGATATAGTTCAGCACCAGTTCCATGTTCTCTATCTCAGCTCACCTTGTTATGCAGTTCCAGAGATGGTTGCTATGTCCACTTGGCAGGATTGAAATCATAAGAATGACATGGAGGATTACATAAGAATAGCAGTGAATTCCTTTGAAATTTGAATGACTTTTGGTGCTCTTTACATTTTATTTCTGGATCTTATTATGTGTGTGAACCTTATTAGATTTCTACTGTGCACCACTCAGTTGATTCTCAAAGTAATCATAAGTTTCAATTCAAATGTTCCTATTACTTGCTCTATCATGCCTAGAGTTTGGTCTCTCTTCACTTCTAGGTAGCATGAGGGTATACATGGAGTTCAACAATCCCCTTGAAGTATCTGAATTTGGAGCTGATTGAATGCTCAAATTGATTTTCATATTAGGCAGTCATACGGACCCACTCCACTACCACCTTTCCAATAAATATTCATTTGACAAAGAATTCAACCTTCTTTCTGAATGTCAAGTAACTAGAGAAACTCAATTTTGATAGAAAAATCTATCATTAAAATAATGTCAAAAACATAGCACCAAGAGAAGAGGTAAAATTAAGTCACATGACAATAAAGCTGCTGTCTCATTTACTGTTTCCTATAGCAGAAATCCTGTTCAATCCATTACAATCAAAAAAAGCAGCTGTTAGTGTGATGGATTTTTGTTTTGTTTTGTTCTTGAGATGAAGTCTTGCTCTCTCGCCCAGGCTGGAGTGCAGTGGCACAATCTTGGCTCATAGCAACCTCCACATCCTGGGTTCAAGAGATTCTCCTGTCTCAGCCTCCTGAGTAGCTGGGATTATAGGTACACACCACCACTCCCAGCTAATTTTTATATTTTTAGTAGAGGCGGGATTTCACCATATTGGTCAGGCTGGTCTTGAACTCCTGACCTCAGGTGATTCACCTGCCTCAGCCTCCCAAAGTGCTGGGATTACAGACGTGAGCCACTGCACCTGACCATGTGATGGATCTTTGGAACAGAATTGGGCAAATGGGCAATGGCACAGTATGTGCACTAAGACAGAGTGTGAGCACTGTGCTATTTTTTTCAAATTACAGACACAAAATTAGTCACAAAGCCAATAGTCACCCCATCCTATTTGAATCACACAGAAAGAAAGATGGTCAGCAATTTTATCCTAGGAAGTCTAAGTGGCAAGTTAGCAACAGATTGTTTGCCAATTGGCATATGCTTTCCTGGGAGACAGTACAACGTAATGCTCAAAAATTCTAAGCTCTTGCCTTAGACTGTCAGGATTTCATTCTTGCTTTTACCTAATTATGTCAGACTCTAAGTCAGTTGACTCCTGTTGGAAATGGGGATGGTAAAAGTTCCCATCTCAGATAGTGGTTGTGAGGATTAAACGAAATAAGGAACATAAAGTGCATGATATATAGAGGACACTCTTATTTGCAATTCTTGGAAATACTAAAGGCCTTCTTTACAAACTTGAGTTTTTCTTCCACATTATAAAACAACGCCGTAGTTCATCTACAGGTGCTAAAATTATGTCTGCTGGTCAAGCTTTCCATATTTGACTCATCATTAAAAATGTACAAGTCTTTCTTATGTTTCTGTCCCACCGAATGCATTTATTTCCAACTTACTCATCAACCATTCTTAAAATAAAAATGTATTTAAATACAATCAATCTCTTATGTTCCAGCCCTTTCATGTGTTCTATACATAACTGCAGGAAAGTTTTAATTCATTGTGGACAACTTTCTAACCTCTTCTACACAGTTTGTGCTTATCTAAAACCCTGGCAGGTGCCATTACCTCACGCTCAGATGTTGCATAGGCATTAGAGGAAAAAAGGTATAAAAGGAAATTATACACCAATATCCCCCAGCTCCACCCCCAGGGAGTTGAGTTCAGTTGGAAGGATATGAGGGTAATAATCTGTGGAATAACTGAACCACAGAGACCCTGAACTTGGAAACACAATGCAGAGAGGAGAGCAAGGGTAAGTCCTCAAATTAAAAACGAGGGGGTAAATAACATACTTCCTCCTGAACAGTAAGACAGCCAACCCTCACCCAAGCACAGGACACAGGCAGTCAAACTTGATATCACTCGATACCCCTAGCTCCTGGCAGAAAATTGGAAGAAGTATCTAGAAACATTGACCTACTCTCAAGCGAACGTCTAGAGATACTGATGTTTTCTGGAGGTGGTGGGGGCAATTCTACAAGTAAATAGCCAAATTTCTAACTGATACCCCTACCAGTCAACTAAGGCAGGGGGTGTGGGGAAGGAAGGAAGGAAGGAAAGGGAGGGCGGGTGGGCGGGTGGACGGACAAACAGAAGCAATCCCCCCAAAAATGTAAATATATTCATAGCACAATACCCTATTTAATTCTATATCATATTTACATAATCATGATAATGAAAACTAAATATGGATTTTTTTAAATTGTGAAATAAGTATAATGATAGAATAGAAAAAACGCAATGAGTTGTAAGAGCTAAAATCATTATCTAGCATTATTGGAATTCCATAGGTTATGTCTAAATTAATGAATCAAGTTTGAGGAAAATGGTTATTATTTAGAGATACAGAGAAGAACAGGATTTGTCAGTCTTTCAGCATGTTTTTAAAACCAGTTAAACCTATTACTTTGTTATGATTTAAAATAATTTGTAAAAGTTAATGTTACATTATGAAAAGCTCTATAGGGAACATCAAAGAAAAGGGATATTTATTTATATATTGAGATGGAATCTTGCTCTGTTTCCCAGGCTGGAGTGTTGGAGTGTAGTGGCGCTATCTCGGCTCACTGCAACCTCTATCTCCTGGGTTCAAGCAATTCTCCTGCCTCAGCCTCCCGAGTAGCTGGGATTATAGGCTTGGGCCACCATGTCTCGCCAGGTTTTTGTATTTTTAGGTATGCACCACTACACCCAGCCAATTTTATATTTTAAGTAGAGACAGGGTTTCAACATGTTGACCAGGCTGGTCTCGAACGCCTTACCTCAAGTGATCTGCCCGCCTCAGCCTCCCCAAGTGCTGGGATTGCAGGCGTGAGCCACCGCCCCCAGCTGAAAAGGGATATTTAAATCACACTTCAAGGGGAGGTGGTCAGGGATGACTATTCCAAGGGCGCAAAAATGTGTCCTGAATTTTGAAGGACGAGTCAAATTCCCAAAAGATAATAAAAGCTAACTTTGCTTTAGTATTATATTTTAGGCACTACACAAAGAATTGTGGTGTTTTTTCTTCCTTAATCTTTCCAATGACCCCAAGAGGTTAAGCACTGTTATTACTATATTCAGATGAGAAAACTAAAGCTCAGAGCAGTTAATGCACTTGCCCAAATTTTCTCAAATGGTATGTAACAGCTGAGAAGTGAAACAGTCTACTGTGAGGACGAAAAATGACAAAAACACATGCTCTTAGCTATGCTGTCTCCTTTAATAAAAACAAGTCATATAAGAGATTCTGGGTAGAAGAAACACAATGAGACAAGCACTGAGGTATGATACGGCACATGAGTTCACTTGGAGAAGCTGCAGAGGCGGGTGGATCATGAGGTCAGGAGATCGAGACCATCCTGGCTAACATGGTGAAACCCTGTCTTCACTAAAAATACAAAAAAAAATTAGCCCAGTGTGGGTGCCTGTAGTCCCAACTACTCGCGAGGCTGAGGTGGAATAATCGCTTGAACCCGGGAAGCGGAGGTAGCTGTTAGCTGAGATCGTGCCACTGCACTCCAGCCTGGGCCACAGCGCAAGACTCTGTCTCAAAACAAACAAACAAACAAAAACAAAACAAAAAACAACAACAACAAAAAAACGAGAGAAAGAAAAGAAAGAAAAAAAGAGGCTGGGCGGGGTGGCTCATGCCTGTAATCCCGGCACTTTGTGAGGCCGAGGCGGGCGGATCACAACGTCAGGAGATCGAGACCATCCTGGCTAACACGGTGAAACCCCATCTCCACTAAAAATACAAAAAAAATTAGCCGGGCGTGTTGGCGGGCGCCTGTAGTCCCAGCTACTCGGGAGGCTGAGACTCCAGCCTGGGCGACAGAGCAAGACTCCGCCAAAAAAGAAAAAGAAAAAGAAAGAAAGCTGGAAAACCTGAACAGAATCCCAGTGAGAAGAAATGGGGAAGTCCTAACTTAAAGTGCTTGAGTATAGGGAAAGCCTTTACATGTATGAATGCAAACTCTAGGTGCTATTGGAGGATTAATGAAAAAAGAAATTACTTGGTAAGTTTGTTTTTAGGAAGAATCATTCTGACTACCATGTAGAAAATGGGCTGGAAAGTGAATAGATTGGAGCACAAAGATCATTTAAGAAGCAACTGCAAGAGTAGTGCAGAGAAAGCCTGATTGAAAGCAGGGGCTTCCAAGTGAAGAGGGGACACATTTTTGAGAGTTTGAGATATGAATGAGGTTGAATAGGCAAGACTTGTTGTTCAAGTGAATATGGTTAATGAGTCAGAGAGAATATTTAACAACCTACTGTCTGGGGAAAAAAAGATTACTACTCTGGTTTGTAGGCTTTGCTAATTTCCATGGTGTAAATGTTGAATATAGAAAATTGCCCTCATACAGATACCAGAGAAATAAATAACCTTAAGAGCATAGATAATAGCAAAATGTGGTGAAATAATTAGGAAGTGAAGAGTTTTGAGTATTTATTACTTTTGTTTTTAATAAAATTCATTCAGTTTTAAGTTTCAAAAAGATTGATTTAAAAAAAATACTGGCTGTGTTTAAAGATTGTTTCACAAAATTCCTGAAAAATTAACCATTGACTCTCCTAAACAAGTATGAACCACCCCAGCACACCATTGGAAGGCATGTAAGATTTCAGGCGAAGCGTCACATCCTCCAGGAAGCCTCTTTTAATCCTACCAGAGTAAGTAGAGAAGGCCTTCTCTGTGCTCTCACGGCACCTTGTGAAGGGTTGTACCATATCATTGATTGGACCAATCAACATTTTATGTGCTGATTTTCACATCAAATTTAACAACGTATTGGTTTCTCATCCTCTCAGTGGTGGCATTCCAGTGTTTAGGAAATCATAGCCAACTTTTTCCAAACTATTTCTGTGCTAGACAGTTTGGCCCTGAGGTGCAAAGATAAATAATAATCTTTATATTAAAGAATCTCACAGTCGGGAAAAGAGATAGACAATAAATCTCACGGTAACCTCTTGCGTTAAGAACTATGATAGAGGTGAGCTGGAGGTGGAAACGAGGCATAGACAGTGCCGCCTGACCCAAACCAAGACAATTATCAGAGAAAGGATCCTGGGGATGTTGACATCCAATGTTCATGATTCTTCCTACATATTGTTTTGAACTTTAACCAAGAAAGCAAACAAACAAAAACTTCGACATTAATAGCAGACCAAAAAAAATCATTAGAGTCAAAGTATTCAAGCCAATTTTAGAACTGATAGAGGGCCTTCCCAATAATTTCTCCCTTTTCCCTTAAGATTCTACTTAAAACAGTCTAGATTTCCAAGAATAGTTTTTCAGCCCCTTCAGTTTTCCAAAATTTCTTTTTGCTTGAATCAGGAAAAGATTTCTCAACTCCCTAAATGTAGGAGTAGAGTGAGAAGTCAATCCTCTTCCCGGCTTCAGTAAGACAACATCAGGCCCTAACTGAAAACAAATTTGTGGGAAATGCTCTTTCACAGCAAATATGTTTTCCTGCCCTCTTCCCACATTCTGGGACATGAAGCAGCTGGACTTCCATCCTTTGCAGGGACACTTTGGGGTAACTGAGTCATCCCTACCACTGCTCCAGATAGTCTGATTCAATTGTTAATGGCCTTAGCAGGATTCTCGTTCCAGTAGCTGGTCTGCAGAAACAGCTCCAAGGTGAAACCTGGCTGGTCCCTGAGATGCAAAGCTCTTTGGGAAAGTAAGCAATGATCCACTCTCACAACAAAATTGCTAAGTATAAGTCATAATTTTTAAGATGCACAAAAAATTGTTTACTGTCACTGACATTTTGCAGGTGTGTATTTTATCAGTATGAACAGGAACTTGAACGGCTATGAAGTCCAAAGCACAGGGAAGGCAGGACATCAGTGTTACCAATAAGTCATTTTTCCTGGCTTTTGTAATGACAGAGTCTGCTTTAAATTTCTCAACTAGATTTAAAGTCCAGAACTACCATTTAACTAACTATCTAAGCTTAAATATTTTAAATCTATTTCCTTACCTGTTAAATGGCAATCATATTTTCTGCCTTCACAAGGCTTTTGTGAAGATTAAATGATATTTTGAAAAGATTAAATGAGATAATATTGAATGGATAAATAAGTTTTTCTAAGAATCTGAGATTAGCACTTGCTAAACTATAAAACACGATGTAAATTATTATAATATTGTTAATAAGTGTTATTATTTACATAACATTAAGATGCCGATTTAAAGGCCACAAAGTATAAAGAAAAAGATTATCTCATACTTGTGATCCCGGCACTTTGGGAGGCTAAGGTGGGATGATAGTTTGAGGCCAGGAGTTTGAGACTAGCCTAGGCAACACAGTGAGACCACATCTCTATAAAATAAAATAAAAAAAAAGAAAAAGATTACCTTGACTTCGTAAAAATTTAACGTAAAAATTTTTAATTATATATAAATATAATTATATATAAAGCTAAGATATAAATAACACAGTATGCAGTATATATCAAAATTTATATTTCTGTATATATAATAGCAAATATGGTTCACTATATAGTAACATATAGAAATAAAATTATTAACAAAAATATTCCAGTTTTTTATAGTCATAGAAATGAGATAGTAAAATACAGAGTTTTTAATCACTATGGCAAAAGTTCAAAAATTGATAACACACTAAGCAGCAACTGGCTGGAAGAAACATATTCTCAAATCCTACTCATAGGAACAAATTAGTACAGCTTTTCACAATGGCAATTTGGTAAAATATATATCAGAATTTAAATGTGCATACCTTAGGACATATCAAGTCAATTTCTAGAAATTATCTTAAAACAATTAGACAAACAAAATGTACACAAGATGTTTATTACAGCATTACTTAAAATATAGAAAAATGAGAAGCAATCAATACTAGTGAGTGTATCAAAGCACTAGTTATGTAAATTCTCATATAATCATGTAATGAAACATGCAGTTATTATATCTTTGTGCTTCCATATTTGTTGACATTTATGATATATTAAGATATTTCTTGTATTACGTGGTATATTTTTGGCATATTAACAAAATAGTTTAAAATTGTATGTGAAGTTCAATTGATTAAGTTAATGAAAGTATTTTAATATAGCATGATAGACAGCAAGATGTTAAAAATAATGATAATTACTGATATCATTAAATTAGGTTTCAATAAGTCTATATTACTTTTATTATAATAATAACAACTTTTTTATTTTGAAGGGATAATTTTTTTTCCTATCTCTGCTGTTTACCCAACTGAAATAGACATTTTATCTTTATGGTAAATTACCTTTTCCTCCCCTGATCCTATCCTTTCTCTGGCTGCTTGTTGCATTTGTTGCTCAGTGATACTATGATTCAATATCATCAAAACTACTCTTCATCATAGCGCTTGTGACCAATGGAACAGAATAGAGCCCTCGGAAATAATACCACACATCTACAACCGTCTGATCTTTGACAAACCTGAGAAAAACAAGCAATGGGGAAAGGATTCCCTATTTAATAAATGGTGCTGGGAAAACTGGCTAGCCATATGTAGAAAGCTGAAACTGGATCCCTTCCTTACACCTTATACAAAAATTAATTCAAGATGGATTAAAGACTTAAATCTTAGACCTAAAACCATAAAAACCCTAGAAGAAAACCTAGGCAGTACCATTCAGGACATAGGCATGGGCAAGGACTTCATGTCTAAAACACCAAAAGCAATGGCAAAAAAAGCCAAAATTGACAAAAGGGATCTAATTAAACTAAAGAGCTTCTGCACAGCAAAAGAAACTACCATCAGCAGCAAAAGAAACTACCATCAGCGTGAACGGGTAACCTACAGAATGGGAGAAAATTTTTGCAACCTACTCATCTGACAAAGGGCTAATATCCAGAATCTACAATGAACTCAAACAAATTTACAAGAAAAAAAACAAACAAACCCATCAACAAGTGGGCGAAGGATATGAACAGACACTTCTCAAAAGAAGACATTTATGCAGCCAAAAGACACATGAAAAAATGCTCATCATCACTGGCCATCAGAGAAATGCAAATCAAAACAACAGTGAGATACCGTCTCACACCAGTTAGAATGGTGATCATTAAAAAAGTCAGGAAACAACAGGTGCTGGAGAGGATGTGGAGAAATAGGAACACTTTTACACTGTTGGTGGGACTGTAAACTAGTTCAACCATTGTGGAAGTCAGTGTGGCGATTCCTCAAGGATCTAGAACTAGAAATACCATTTGACCCAGCCATCCTATTACTGGGTATATACCCAAAGGATTATAAATCATGCTGCTATAAACACAGATGAACATATGTTCATTGCGGCACTATTCACAATAGCAAAGACTGGGAACCAACCCAAATGTCCATCAAAGATAGACTGGCTTAAGAAAATGTGTCACATATACACCATGGAATACTATGCAGCCATAAAAAAGGATGAGTTCATGTCCTTTGTAGGGACATGGATGAAGCTGGAAACCATCATTCTCAGCAAACTATTACAAGGACAAAAAACCAAACACTGCACGTTCTCACTCATAGGTGGGAATTGAACAATGAGAATGCTTGGACACAGGAAGGGGAACATCACACACCAGGGCCTGTCGTAGGGTGGGGGGAGGGGGGAAGGATAGCATGAGGAGATATACCTAATGTAAATGACAAGTTAATGGGTGCAGCACACCAACATGGCACATGTATACATATGTAACAAACCTGCATGTTGTGTACATGTACCCTAGAACTTAAAGTATAATTTAAAAAAAAAAGAAAAAAGAAAAGTCAGTTGTGGCCAGGTGCAGTGGCTCGCACCTGTAATCCCAGCACTTTGGGAGGCCGAGATGGGCGAATCAGGAGGTCAGGAGTTCATGACCAGCCTGGCCAACATGGTGAAACCCCATCTCTACCAAAAATACAAAAAATTAGCTGGGCGTAGTGGCTGGCGCCTGTAATCACAGCTACTTGGGAGGCTGAGGCAGGAGAATCGCTTGGACACAGGAGGCAGAGGTTGCAGTGAGGCAAGATCGCGCCACTGCACTCCAGCCAGGGTGACAGTGAGACTCAATCTAGTAAAAAAAAGCCAGTTGTATTTCTATACCATAAAATGAATTATCTCAAAAGGATTTTTTTAATGTCATTTACAATAACAACAAAAAGAAGAAAATATTTGGGAATAAATTCAGCCATGGAGATGAAACATCTGCATACTGAAAACTATAAAACTTTGATGAAAGAAATGGAAAAGTTCATGACAAATAAATAGAAAGATATCTCCTGTTCATAAATTGGAAGAATGACTATTATTAAAATGTCCATACTACCCAAAATGACCTACAGATTCAATGCAAACTCTGTGAAAATTCTACTGACATTTTTCACAGAAATAGAAAAAAAAATCCTAAAATTCATGTGGAACCACAAAAGACTCCTTAATCAGTTTGCAGAAGAAAAACTTGGAGGAAAAGAAGAAAGATAATTAAAAGAAGAAAACATATAAAGATGTTTATATGAGAACTGATGACATATTACTTTATTTTATTAATAAAAATGCCAGTAGCATGGGTGGATGAGGAGAGTGCATGCGGGTGACCACACGTAGCATGTATTTGCATCTGAAAGAAAAGCACATCTGGAAAATAAGACTTAATTTTCCAGAAGTGGGACTGTCTTACTGAGTCACCAGTTTGGGCCTCACCTGTAGAAATACTTTGCTTTAAGAACACAGGCAAGATTATATATAACAATTAGCTCAAGTAAGTTCCTTGAGATATAGAAAAGAAAGGTGAATATTTGTTTATACAGTAAACAGAAAAAAATAGAGCGAAAGGGAAGGAGGTGTGCTGATTATACAGGTTTTTATCGATGTATTCTAGAAATCCATTTTCAGCTTTCTTCTTTTCTTATCTGCATACTCTCAAGTATCTCACTTACTCTTGCTGCTTCAATACTTAGCTAAGAAATAGGTTTGCATACAATAACGATAACAAAATGAACCTACTTCAACACATGCAGTAGAAAAAAAGGAATTCATAGAAGAAAGGGATTGTGGCTCCCATTAAGGGGCACTGTTGCTGAGCACTTGTAAATGAGAAGTATTTCCTAGTCCTGGTCAGGAATGTGGAAGGTATTACAAATACATAGAGAAATACAAATATATAGAAAGATAAGAGAAGAAAAAAGAAAAAGTTTAGAGAAACCAATACATTCATTTAACTAAAATAAGAAATATATGCTATATTTCTATATAGGAGATGACACCAGAAAGATAAACTAGGGTAGATTTATAGGATTCTTGAATGACAAATTAAGAATCTGAGACAAGAAAAATATAAACCATTATAATCATAATATTGAGATTTTTTTGCCTCTTCTCTAGTTGTATTTCTCCTTGATTTTATCATACTATTGTTTCTGCAAAACACAGTGGTGATTATATTTTTTGAAAAGTGAAAATGTAAAAACCCATCATTAATTCAACAAGAAAAATGCTGTCACTTTTAATCTCCTTAATTACACTGAATGAGAAGCATTACTGGAAGATTTGGCAACATATAGAAAAACGTCCATTCAGTTAGAGAAATAAATCCAAATAATATACAATTTACAGGGAAATGTTCCAAATCTTTCCAGTAAGAATGGGCATGACCCATTCTTTGCCCAGGCGTGTTGACCATTACCGTCAAAATCCATTTGCAATGGGAGTAGACTTTCAGAGACAGAACAGATTGCCAGTGAAGGCTTAATGGCCAGAGGTCTCAGAAAACTTGGCAACAAAATGCTGAGTACTCTGAGTCTGGAGAAGAAAAGCTGTAATTAGTGGTCATCAAAGCTCTAAGCAAAGGTCAGCTTACCTACACTCAGCCAGTGTTTCTTTGAAGAACTATTATTGGGCTGCTGATTCCCCGAAAAGCCCTGCAAGCAGGTGGCTATGCTTCTCATGCTAATTTGCACTGCTTTTCCCCCTTGTGTGATGAATAGTCCACCACATAGAAGGAAACCTGCCAAGACACTGAGCTTGTGCATGGACCTATACTCCTTAAAACTAACATGGTTTAAGTATCCACTAAAACAGTCTCCTAATCCTAAACCAACTGGACTCCATGCTGAAATGGGCCAAAATGGTTCCTATGTTTTGCTTTTAAATTGCTCCCATTGTTTTGTGGCTCAAATAATTTTATTTCACTTAATCTGACTTGTGGCTAGAGGAGATTTGGCTATTTTTCCTACAGATAAGCAATTCCTTGTCAGATAGACAAGCCTATAGGATCAATGGAATGAGTATAGGAACAAAAGTATTTTTAGGAGGACTGGATTGGCTACACACTATGCTAGGAAGGTTTGCATAATTCTCTTTGTTCCAAATCTTTCTTCATCAGCTTGACATTCCATCCTTAGAAATTAATTTACATAAGTCAAAGTTTTCCTTTTTTTTGAGACAGCATCTCACTCTGTTGCCCAGGCTGGAGTGCAGTGACATGATCACAGCTCACTGCAACCTCTGCCTCCCAAGTTCAAGCAATTCTTGTGCCTCAGCCTCCGTAGTAGCTGGGATTACAGGTACCTACCACCATGCCTGGCTGTTTTTTGTGTTTTTAGTAGAAATGGGGTTTTACCATGTTGGCCAGGCTAGTCTTGACCTCCTGAGCTCAAGTGATCTGACCTCGGCCTCCCAAAGTCCTGGAATTATAGCCATGAGCCACCATGCCTGGCCAAAAGTTTTCCATTCTTTAGGATACCCCTACTAAAATGGAAATATGTCTGAAAGCACCTCTTAAGGGGAATGGGATACAGGTTGGATGACTGGTTTGGAGCAGGGAGATAATAGCAGAAAAATGGTAAAAAAGATATTTAAAAGAGTATTAGAACAATGAAAGCACATTTTTTTTCTTCTCAAAATTTTGTTACAGAGTAGGATGAATGTTCTGTTTCTAATATTCTCCCCCTCAATAATTTAGGCTCCTGACATCCCTTTAATTTTTATAATCCAGCCTCACCTAAAGAGAACCCTATCAAAAGTAATAAGAATATCATAATGATGTGAAGAAAATCAGTACGTGATATTTGAAGCCCATGTAGGTTAGGGTCAAATAATTGAAAACTTTAATGTGACTTTCTTGAAGTCAAGTTAGGGCTGGGAAAACAGGAATGCAAGAGATGCCATGTGTGATCATTTGGTGTATTATCTCTTCCTGCATAACAAGTTACCACACACTTAGCTTAAAATAGCCAATTATTAGCTCACAGTGATATAGCTTGGAAATCAAGGTATGCTTGGCTGAGTTCCCTACTTAGGGCCTCATTTCCAGGATGAAATCAGAAATCAAGGTGTTGGCCATGGTTTTCATCTAGAAGGTCTGGGGAAGAAGCTACTTCCAAGCATGTTCAGATTGTCAGAATTAAATTCCTTGTGGTTGTCCCCATTTTCTCACTGACTGTCAGCCAGCTGCTACTCTCATCTTTCAGATGTGGCCTGCATTCCTCTTCAGATGGCCTCTTCCCCATCTTCAAGCCATCAATGGCATTTCAAATCCTTTTCATGCTTCTACTTTCTCCAAATTGTACCTTTTGCTACTGTCCAGAGAAAACTCTGCTTTTACAGTGCATAGATTGGGCCTATGTTACCTATGGGCCATGTTCCATAAAACACAATCACAGCAGTGATGTCTCATCGTATTCCCAGGCTGCACCCACACTCAAAGACAAAGGTATTAGACAAGACTGAGGATCTTCAGGAGTCATTCTTAGAGTTCTGCATAGCACACTATGTATCTTACTTGTTAAGATTTAACAGGCTGGAGCTTCACTATTCACTAGACAGAATTCACGCTACTAGAAATGCTATGATGGATCCCAAACAAGGGAAGTTTAAGTACTGTTTTACCAAAACTCGAAGTCAGATTCGTTGATGCCTTCCACTTGCAGGTTTATTTCTTCCCAGGTTCTGAGGTAATTCTGACTACAGCAAGACAATAATGGGCATCTTACTTTTACTATCTGTTTGGGTCAACACTAGTTTTGCTGCGTAGCAGTGACATATTTGGTGTGAGTCCTAATAACCTAGTTAACAGCCCAGCAACAGCCCTTTCCTATCTCCATGCAAGTTAGTGTGGTTCATACGGCAGGGCTTTACTTCCAGCTTTTATTTCAGACCTCCATTCTCCCCAAGGAAGAGAGGACACTTATAGATCACAGACCACTAGACTGCCTCTCAGACACACTGTAGCTCTTTCTGGAGGCTTGATTCTGCTCCCTGCTCCCTTCATTAAGCAATGAAAGGCAATCTGTAAATGAGTGACAGATTAAAATTTTAACTTTAATGGTAGGTATACCACCTGGCATTAAATATAATCTACTGCCTGGACTCTGATTTTCTAGCCCAATCAACTAGATTGAGTATTTTACTTCTTTTTCACTTGATTTAGGTATACTTAACAAATGAAATGGAATATATTTAAGGTGAGCAATATGATGTTTTATATATATCTATACATTGATTACCAAATTCAAACTAATTAACATATCTATCACTTCACAAAGTTACCATTTTTTGTGTGTGTGGTGACAACACTTAAGATTTACTCTCTTAGCAAATTTCAAGTACACAATACAGTATTATTAATTGTAGTCACCATGCTGTACATTAGATCTCCAGAACTTATTTATCCTGCATAACTGAACTTTGTACCCATTAACCAACATCTCCCCATTTTCCCCACCACACAGCCCCTGGGAATTCTACTCAGCTTCTATGAGTTCAACTTTTTTAGATTTCACATTTTATATTGTTGATGTCACACTTCATGTCTTTTTATATTGTGTACCCATTAACAAATTATAGTGGCTGCAGTTATTTTTAATACTTTTTATCTTTTATGCTAGGTTTAAAAGATACACACCATCATTGCTGTATTAGAATATTCTTAATTTGATTTATACCTACCTTTACTGACATGTTTTATGCTTTTATGTTTTCATGTTACTATTTAGTATCCTTTCATTTCAACTTAAAGAACTTCCTGTGGCATTTCTTGTAAGGCAGGTATAGTGGTGATAAACTCACATAAATTTCATTTGTCTGGAAATGTCTTGACCTTTCTTTCATTTCTAAAGGGCAGCTTTTCTGGGTATAGTATTTTTATTGTATTTTTTTTCTTTCAGCACTTTGAATATATTATCCCGCTCTCTCCTGGCCTGCAAAGTTTCATCTAATAAAGTGGCTGATAGTCTTATAAAAGTTTCTTTGTATGTGATGAGTCACTTTTCCCTTGTTGCTATCTAAATTCTCCTTGACTTTTTAATGGGTCTCAGTGTAATCTTCTTTAGGTTTATCCTCTTTGGGAATTTTTAAGATTCATAAACCAGAATGTCCATACTCCTTCCAAGATTTGGGGAGTTTTCAGTCATTACTTGTTTAAATAGCTTCCTTTTCTTTTCTCTCTTTTTCTTCGTTGACTTCCATAATTGGTTCATTTGATGGTGTCCCATAAATCCTGTAGGCTTTCTTTACTTTTTAAATTATTTTTACTTTTTTTCTGCACCGACAGGGTAATTTTAAATGACCTGTTTTCGAGATCACATATTCTTCCTTTTGTTTCATTGAGGTTACTGTTGAAACTCTCTATTACGTTTTCAAAACTTCATTCATTGTATTTTCAGCTCCAAAATTTCTGTTAGGTTTTTTTTCATAATTTTTATTTTTTGTTGGACTTCTAGTCTTGTTTTCCTGGTTTCATTGAGTTATCTATGTTCTCTTGTAGCTTGCTGAGTTTCCTCAAAACAATTATTTTGGCTTCTTTGTCAGATAATTCATAGATCTCCACTTCTTTTGAATCAGCTACTGGAAATTATCTTGTTCTTTTGCAGTGTCATATTTTCGAGATTTTCCATGCTCCTTCAAGTATTGCATTGCTATCTTCACATATGAAGGAGGAGTCACACTCTCGTTGTATGACTGGCTTCAGAAAAGAAAGATCTTCATCAGTCATCCTGGTTTGGGATTCTTAGAGTCTCTCAGACCTTTTCTATGGATGCACTCATTCCACTCCTTTTCTTCCCTCTTTAGAGAAAGTCTTGTTTGTCTTATCATGGTCTTATAAATCTAGGTTAAGTGCTGAGAGTGTTCTGTTTATTTTCCCAAGGGGAGTGCCCAGAAGTGTTCAAAGTGTTTTCTTCCAAAGCACAGAAGACCAGGATGTTCATACCCTTCCCAAGATTTAGACAGTTTTCAGCTATTATATGTTTAAATCAGCATTCTGCCCTTTTTCCTCTCTCTTCTCTTGCCTGAGACTTCTATAATGGGTATTGTGTTTCACTTCATGGTGACTCTGGCAGAGTTGAACAGGCTGTGTGTGCTTGTGCATGACCTGGAGTGGCATATGTACACCATCCGTGGGGGAATGCTGGGTGATGGCTACGGGGTTGGGCATACAGAATGCTAGGGGTTTGCATGGGCTACCTGGGGGGATCCACAGGTAATGTGCCCTACAATGTTTATGGGCAGGCTTTTTGGTGGAGTCTGTGAAGCAATTAGTAGAAATCGCTGCCCTTGAATTTCTCACTTGGGTTGCTGGGATTCACCCATGTCTTTTCACTGCTCCTAGCTGCCCCTAGCCATGCCAAGCCCCTCAGTATTATGGGTGGGATAGAAAGAAATGGACCTCTTGGGAAGCATCCTGAACAAATGGAGGAGCTGGGTCCTCACTGCACCCTCACTATTCCCCATGGGAAAAATCACAGGCTGAGGGAGTCTCTCTTGGCAATGAGCTGTGCCACTTTGAAGGAGAGGTAAGATGGGTAAGTGAAATTATTTTTGCACTCTTTAATGCATCTATTCTCTGAATTTTTTGCTCCAATGGGATGCTGGGTCCTTTCTTCTGACTCCTGATCTCCTATAAAAGTACTGTTGTCTGTGGGTAGTTATTAAAATCAGTGTTTCTATGGAAGGCGTGAGGGCTAAAAAAATTCCTATTTTACCATCTTGCTGACATCCTACCTATGAACCTTTTGAGTATAAATACTCATTGGAATTGAGGAAAAATGCATCATGCATACTGGACACTCCAATTTGAACTATCCATTTTCCCTCACAAGGATCAGATGTCTGATTCATGGTTAACCCTCAAGATTCCATCAAGCTTCCTCCCCTTCCCCATTGATTGATCTATACTGGAAAGTCAAGCCTGCCAAGAGTAGAATTGAGTTTCAGTTCTGAGAATCAGATCTTGGATAATATCCATAGTGAAGAGGCAAGAAGAGAGGACAAAGAAATAAATAAAAAGGGAACCGGGGAGACAAAGGTTAAGAATGAGGTCAGTGTCTTCTCATGAAAAACTAAAGGAGAAGAGGATCAGTATTGTAGAATGTGATGATAGAAGAAGCCATTTGGTTTGAAGATTATTGGATTCAATAACTACATTAACTGTTCTTGGAGAGAATGAGCGAATAATATTTTTCTAATATTGGAGAGAACAAATAATTGTTACTGACAGGCTCTCTAGGAGAAGAAAAATATAGGATAGGATTGAACTTCTGTATCTACCACTCCAGAGAGTAAAGGGCTGACTAGTGGAATTAGCACAAAGCATTCATTCCCCACTCTCCTCACTTGCAGGAGAACAATAGGTGAAGTAAGTGGAGTGGGAGATTGCCTAGACCAGCTTATTCTTCCCCTCTATTTGCCAACTCAACTGACATATATTTTTTAATATTGATAGATAACAAAATAAATATGCTTGCTGCGTAGTATGTGTTCAATATAATAATGAGCTCGTTTTCTTCATCAGACACCACAATCATCTGCAAACCCCTTCCTACACTTCCCAATTAAAACCACTATCATTGGTCACCCATGATCTCCCAGAGAATTTCAGAATCTTTTCCTTAGATTTATTTTTAATTTATCTCGATATTTGACAGTTAACTATCTCATATTTACTTTACTTTCTTTTGCCTTCCAGAACAACACATGATGCATCTACATATATACTTCTCCAGCTCCTTGTCTGTCCTCTCCCTTGCACTGCCTTCAGTTCCTGCCCTAACATGATAGACATCCCCATAAACTTTCATCTCTAGTCCTCTGCACTGGAAGAAGAGTTCTATTCAATTCCTAAATACCACTTGTATATTAATGATTTTAAGTTTGTATCTCTAAGTGTGCTCTGTGTCATGACTTTTAAAAAATCCACATTTTTTGTTTAGTTTACTGTCATGGCAAACAAATCCCAGCTTTTTAGTTAACCTACGAGTTAATTTCTTATTCTGCTTATTCAATGCAGGTGTCCCTGCCTGGTGGGCAGATTTTCTCCAAGTAGTAATTGTGAGACCCAGGGTTCTTTCATCTTGTGGCTTTTCTACTCACATGGGTGGCCCTTTTGGAGTCCTCCACATCTGGATGAATGGGAAAAAGAAAGAATGGAGAAGGTACATCCACTTCTTAACCCTGGCCCTAAGAAGTGATACGGCCTCTGCCATGCATTCTATGGCTGAGAAATGATTATATTAACTCACATGCAAGAAGACAGGCTGAAAAATATAAAAACTGGCTGGGAAGCTGTCTCCCTGTAACAACTCTGTACAATGAAAGAGGAGGCAAGCATTTTTAGTGAACCGTTAGCCATCTGTACTTTGACACTTTTTTTCAAGAAAAATTTCTTGTATCCCATCATCCAAAAATTGTCTTTATCTGATCAAGGACAAAATTAATATTGAAGAATTTCACAGTCAATTAAGCTTTGACAATGCTGCATAACATACCTCCCCTTTGAAGAATAGATGAGATCACCCAGGAAATACATCACAATGAATAGAGGAGAAAATTAATGATAGGACATAAGAAACACCAAAAGGAAGCTGAGAAAGAGGGGTAGAAAAGCAAACAGAAAATTAGGAAGGTTCATGAATTTATAATACAGTGAGACCAAGTCAAAGATTCCAAGTGGTTAATAGGATAAAGTGCTGTAGAGCAGTGGTGTTTGTGTAACCACCACCACAATCAAATTACACAACAACTTCATCATCACAAAAATCTCTCTTGCCATCCCTTTTAGTCACACCCATGCCCCTTTCCCTCACCAGTCTCAGTCCCTGGTAACCACTAGCCTATTTTTCACTTTAATAGTGTGTTATTAGAAAATATTATATAAATTGAATCATCCAGTATGTGACCTTTTAGGGTTGGCTTTTTTTTTTGTTCATTTAGCATGAAGCCCTTGACAACCATACAAGTTTTTACTGTATCAATAGTTTGTTCCTTTTGTTGTTGAGTCCTGTTTTATCAGCGTTTCTGGATTACTGGTTTCTCCAGTATCCAGTCTGGGATATACAAGGCAAAAAGAAAACCAAGGGACTCTCATGATGTTGTTCCTTGGGTCTTGAGATCTCCAGCTTGTCAACCTTCTTCTCTTCAACTTTTAGTCTCCTTATGTATGTTTTCAATAATGTTATGTATAATGGCCAGAGTTTTTAGTTGTACTTAGTGGGAAGAATAAGAAAATGTACATCTACTCCATCTTTACAGAAGTATAAATGTAATTGCCATTTTTAAATGTATGAATAACATTTTTCTTGGGTTTTTTTCCAACTTTTATTTTAGGTTCATTGAGTACATGTGCAAATTTGTTATATGGGTAAATTGTATGTCAAAGGGGTTTGGCGTGTAGATTCTTTCATCACTCAGGTAATAAGCACTGTACCCAAAAGGTAGTTTCCCAATCATTACCCTTCTGCCACTGTCCACTCTCAAGTAGGCCCTGGTATCTATCGTTCCCTTCTTTGTGTCCATGTGTACTCAATGTTTAGCTCAAATTTATAAGTGAGGACATACAGTAGTCGGTTTTCTCTTTCTGCATTAATCTGCTTAGGATAATGGCCTCCAGCTTCATTCATGTTGCTGCAAAGAACATGACTTCATTCTTTTTTATGGCAACGTAGTATTCCATGATGTATATATACCACATTTTCTTTATGTAGTCCACTATTGATGGGCATTTAGGTTGATTCCGTGTCTTTGCTATTGTGAATACTGCTGCAATGAACGTATCTGTGCATGTGTTTTTATGGTAGAATGATTTATATTCCTTTGGACATATGCCCAGTAATGGGATTGTTTGGTCAAATGGTAGTTCTGCCTCCTGGGTTCAAGCAATTCTCCTGCCTCAGTCACCCGAGTAGCTGGGATTACAGGCATGCACCACCATGTCTGGCTAAATTTTGTATTTTTAGTAGAAACAGCGTTTCACCATGTTGGCCAGGCTGGTCTTAAACTCCTCACCTCAAGCATCCCAAAGTGCTGGGATTACAAGTTTGAGCCACCTTGTCCGGCTTGTCTGTTTCTTCTGACAAACTTCAAAACCTACCACCTCCTCAAAGCCTCTGCAGCTGAAAGAAATCCAATATCTTGGATTTGTTATAAATAAAGCCCACATTTGCAGAGTTTTCCTTTCAATATTATACTCAAATAGGAACATCTTTATCAGCCAAATAGAGATGACAGCATGTGATCTGGTGGGTGAGACATAAATGTATGAAAAATATGAATATACCATACATGTTATTAAAGAGAGAAGGAGCATTCTGTACGAGTACAATAAAATCCTCAAATCATCTGACTGCTTCCCTACAAAATCCAAGGTAGTTGAAATGATAAACTGTTGAAGTAACATACAGAAATTAATAAAGATGACAACTTTAAAACATGGAAAAAAGAGATACTACCTATCCTATCGACTAAAACTTGAAATATGTATCTTAAGAAAACATGCAGAGCCCATAATAGAGACTTCTCTAAAATTTTACTGAGGCCATGAAAGAACAAAAGAAATTGAGACACATTCCATGTTTCTTGATAAGAAAATGGATATAAAAATGCCACCTCTTCTAAAACTAGTTGGTGGTCTTAACCCAATTCTGAACAAATTTTAAAAGGAGGGAAATAATTTGGTGAAATACGTCTAAAGGTAGCTGGAAGAATAAATTGATATGACTAAGAAAAATTTCAAAAAGAATAATTAACATAATATTTAACATTAAAGATATAGTAGTTCTATTTCTAAAGCACTGAGGTAATAATAATAATAATAATAATAATAATAATAATAATAAATGATTATGAAGCAACTACTATTTCCACAGGCTTTGGAATAAGCACTTTACAACATTGTTTAACTCCCATGCAATCCTATGGCGAAGGGAATATTATGCCTGTTTTATAAATGAGGAGGTTAGGTCATTGGCCAGAATTCACATATGGAGATAGAGCAGCCTATTGGATAAGTATATAGGCTCTGGAGTCAAGGAGGTCTGTAGTCAAATCTCTAATACATCCCTTGCTAGCTGTGGAATTTTGAGCTTGTAACTTAACTTAATTGAAGCTTCATTACCTAATCTGCAATTTGAGGTTAAGAGCTCTTATAAAATCAACATATGAATGAAACAATATAAATATACATAGCAGAGTCCTATCACATAGTTGGTGCCCAATAAATGCAAGCTTAAAAACACTAAAAACTATACAGTAAAGCAGGTTTGAAACCCAATAATAATGGCTAATGTATAGTGAACCCTTCATTCTGGGCATCATTTCAAATACTTTCTATGTGTAAACTTCTCTTGATTATCCTAACCTCAGAGATAGTTAAGATTATTACTACCCCCATTTTGCAGAAACAGAGGCACAAACAAATTAAATACTTTGCCAAGGAGATACAGCTGAGGCAGAGCTGTGATTAAACACAAGTGATGCTCTTAGCCACCACATCTACAGCATTTCTTCACACACAATCATTGACATGAGACAGACAAGGAGATAGATGGAGTAGGAAGGCCTGAATGTGGGCTGTGGCTAGGACACTATGAAACAGCCCAGGCTTGAGTGGATGAGGATTTAGACAAAAATAAAAACTAAGGAGTTAAAAGAGAGGAAACTAGTATGGCAACTATATTTAGAAAAAAATAAGAAGACGACTAAGAAAGTATCAGATGTAGCTGAGAGAAGAGTCCAATCTCCAAGTTCAGAAAATGGGATCAAAATGATGTTCTTCATCAAGATATGGCAGGAAAAAAAAAAGGAGCTTTAAGAGCATTGGCCCAAATTAAGCAAACTGTATACTTTACAAAAAGTCAATATTTTATTTAACACTGACTATATGTCATGGATAACAGCAATTAAAATCCCCTAATTAACAGTAGATACATAAAGGAAAATTTTACTCTAAGATAACCAGATTAATATGGACAATGAAACAACATATTATGAGGATTTCTCAGTTTAGCTATGCAAGCCAAAGTCTTGTTTTGTTGTAACTTGCATGCAATCAAGTTTTGCAAGTCTTTGGGAAAATTAGGGGAAAACCAAATATAATTGCTTAAAACTCTCAAAGAACCAATTTGTAACAAATAACAGATTTTGTTAAAATTCAGTTAAGAGGCTCTCAAATTTTACAAAGTCTAAGGTTCTTTTATTAACATACCACCAAAAATATCTGGAGATATGGTGAGAGAGTCGTCTCAGGTATACTACCATATTAATTAGAAAGTTTCCTATACAGGTATCATTATCAAAACCATCCTGAAAAGATCAAATCACCTTTCTCAAGCCCTCTCACATTTTCTCCTATTCTTATGAGAAGACGTCAGCACACATGGACTTATTCTGCAAAAAATAGAGAAAGAAGTTTTCTATTATTTTGAGATACGTCCCATCAATACCTAATTTATTGAGAGTTTTTAGCATGAAGGGTTGTTGAATTTTGTCAAAGGCCTTTTCTGCATCTATTGAGATGATCATGTGGTTTTTGTCTTTGGTTCTGTTTATATGCTGGATTATATTTATTGATTTGCGTATGTTGAACCAGACTTGCATCCCAGGGATGAAGCCCACTTGATCATGGTGGATAAGCTTTTTGATGTGCTGCTGGATTCGGTTTGCCAGTATTTAATTGAGGATTTTTGCGTCAATGTTCATCAAGGATATTGGTCTAAAATTCTCTCTTTTGGTTGTGTCTCTGCCCGGCTTTGGTATCAGGATGATGCTGGCCTCATAAAATGAGTTAGGGAGGATTCCCTCTTTTTCTATTGATTGGAATAGTTTCAGAAGGAATGATACCAGTTCCTCCTTGTACCTCTGGTAGAATTCGGCTGTGAATCCATCTGGTCCTGGACTCTTTTTGGTTGGTAAACTATTGATTATTGCCACAATTTCAGAGCCTGTTATTGGTCCATTCAGAGATTCAACTTCTTCCTGGTTTAGTCTTGGGAGGGTGTATGTGTCGAGGAATTTATCCATTTCTTCTAGATTTTCTAGTTTATTTGCGTAGAGGTGTTTGTAGTATTCTCTGATGGTAGTTTGTATTTCTGTGGGATCGGTGGTGATATCCCCTTTATCATTTTTTATTGCATCTATTTGATTCTTCTCTCTTTTCTTCTTTATTAGTCTTGCCAGAGGTCTACCAATTTTGTTGATCCTTTCAAAAATCCAGCTCCTGGATTCATTAATTTTTTGAAGGGTTTTTTGTGTCTCTATTTCCTTCAGTTCTGCTCTGATTTTAGTTATTTCTTGCCTTCTGCTAGCTTTTGAATGTGTTTGCTCTTGCTTTTCTAGTTCTTTTAATTGTGATGTTAGGGTGTCAATTTTGGATCTTTCCTGCTTTCTCTTGTGGGCATTTAGTGCTATAAATTTCCCTCTACACACTGCTTTGAATGCATCCCAGAGATTCTGGTATGTTTTGTCTTTGTTCTCGTTGCTTTCAAAGAACATCTTTATTTCTGCCTTCATTTTGTTATGTACCCAGTAGTCATTCAGGAGCAGGTTGTTCAGTTTCCATGTAGTTGAGTGGTTTTGAGTGAGTTTCTTAATCCTGAGTTCTAGTTTGATTGCACTCTGGTCTGAGAGACAGTTTGTTATAATTTCTGTTCTTTTACATTTGCTGAGGAGAGCTTTACTTCCAACTATGTGGTCAATTTTGGAATAGATGTGGTATGCCGCTGGAAAAAATGTATATTCTGTTGTTTTGGGGTGGAGAGTTCTGTAGATGTCTATTAGGTCCGCTTGGTGCAGAGCTGAGTTCAATTCCTGGGTATCCTTGTTAACTTTCTATCTCGTTGATCTGTCTATTGTTGACAGTGGGGTGTTAAAGTCTCCCATATTATTGTGTGGGAGTCTAAGTCTCTTTGTAGGTCACTCAGGACTCGCTTTATGAATCTGGGTGCTCCTGTATTGGGTGCATACATATTTAGGATAGTTAGCCCATCAAGCTACCAATGACTTTCTTCACAGAATTGGAAAAAACTACTTTAAAGTTCATATGGAACCAAAAAAGAGCCCACATTGCCAAGTCAATCCTAAGCCAAAAGAACAAAGCTGGAGGCATCACGCTACCTGACTTCAAACTATACTACAAGGTTATAGTAACCAAAACAGCATGGTACTGGTACCAAAACAGAGATATAGATCAATGGAACAGAACAGAGCCCTCAGGAATAATGCCGCATATCTACAACTATCTGATCTTTGACAAACCTGAGAAAAACAAGCAATGGGGAAAGGATTCCCTATTTAATAAATGGTGCTGGGAAAACTGGCTAGCCATATGTAGAAAGTTGAAACTGGATCCCTTCCTTACACCTTACACAAAAATTAACTCAAGATGGATTACAGACTTACATGTTAGACCGAAAACCATAAAAACCCTAGAAGAAAACCTAGGCATTACCATTCAGGATATAGGCATGGGCAAGGACTTCATGTCTAAAACACCAAAAGCAATGGCAACAAAAGCCAAAATTGACAAAAGGGAACTAATTAAACTAAAGAGCTTCTGCACAGCAAAAGAAACTACCATCAGAGTGAACAGGCAACCTACAAAATGGGAGAAAATTTTTGCAATCTACTCATCTGACAAAGGGCTAATATCCAGAATCTACAATGAACTCAAACAAATTTACAAGAAAAAAACAAACAAGCCCATCAAAAAGTGGGTGAAGGATATGTACAGACACTTCTCAAAAGAAGACATTTATGCAGCCAAAAAACACATGAAAAAATGCTCATCATCACTGGCCATCAGAGAAATGCAAATCAAAACCACAATGAGATACCATCTCACACCAGTTAGAATGGCAATCATTAAAAAGTCAGGAAACAGCAGGTGCTGGAAAGGATGTGGAGAAATAGGAACAATTTTACACTGTTGATGGGACTGTAAACTAGTTCAACCATTGTGGAAGTCAGTGTGGCGATTCCTCAGGGATCTAGAACTAGAAATACCATTTGACCCAGCCATCCCATTACTGGGTATATACCCAAAGGACTATAAATCATGCTGCTATAAAGACACATGCACATGTATGTTTATTGTGGCACTATTCACAATAGCAAAGACTTGGAACCAACCCCAATGTCCAACAATGATAGACTGGATTAAGAAAATGTGGCACATATACACCATGGAATACTATGCAGCCATAAAAAATGATGAGTTCATGTACTTTGTAGGGACATGGATGAAACTGGAAATCATCATTCTCAGTGAACTATTACAAGGACAAAAAACCAAACACCGCATGTTCTCACTCATAGGTGGGAATTGAACGAGGAGAAGAACACATGGACACAGGAAGGGGAACATCACACTCCGGGGACTGTTGTGGGGTGGGGGGAGCGGGGAGGGATAGCTTTAGGTGATATACCTAATGCTAAATGACAAGTTAATGGGTGCAGTACACCAACATGGCACATGTATACATACGTAACAAACCTGAACATTGTGCACATGTACCCTAAAACTTAAAGTATAACAGTAATAATAATAATAAAAGAAGTTATCTAAAGTGTGTTTTTGGCATGAACTGATTTATTCTAACATTAAAAAAGATTTCTTCTTCTTTCTCACAAATATTTCTCTTTGCCACCCCAAAATTAGAATGGTGTCACCAGCTTCTTTGCTTTAGAGCTTCAACTCTAACCTCTCCAAGGAAAAAAGACCATGATTTATAAAGGCATTCCAGTGTTCTAGGCTGGAGAGAAAAGGCAGTGTTGGATACCAACTGCACACTGGCACTTAAAAAAAATGAATCACATCACAACAGAGCACAAAATCCCATCAATACCACCATCATCATCAAGCCCGTGTCCCCACATAGCCCTCAGATCACCTTGAGAAGGCTTAGATTCTTTTCCTCTACAAACTTGTTTTTAGAAGATGACAGAGACATTGTGGAAAAATCTCAGTGTGGGAACAGATTATATATTGTGCTTCAGTTCTGGGCCCTGGTCTATCGGACAAAGTCACTTAAATTCTCTGAACTTCAATGACCTTATCTATAAAATAGAGGACTAGATGAAGAGGCTCTAAGAATTAAGAACAATGGTAATATTGTTGTTTCACTGCTATTTCATGCAATGTGATTTAATACATTTTTGATCGGAGAAGGGGGACCCAGAAGGAAAGCACTGACTGTCCCTACTTTCTAAAGTTGACCATGGACTTTGTGTCCTTCTCTCTTAGAATGATTTTACCCAGAGCCGAAATTATAATGAAACACTACAGCTCACCACTACTGTTGTTGCTGCTGATATTTTTCTGGAAGACTTTAACATTCTAAAGTTTTTTCTTCTTTTAAAAAAAATTATTGAGCATCCTCTATGAGCAAGCACAAATATTAGGCACTAGGAACAGAGTGGTTCATGAAATAATTGTAGAACCAGCCCACATGGAACCTAGAGTCTAAAACTAGTTGGTTTCTCCGAATATAGCAAAAAGTCGTCATATTGTTCCAGAGATAATATTCAAGGATGCAAATTTGAAGGGAATTCTCACCAAAATTTATAGACTTGTAGAAGCATAAAGACTGGAAGGAATTTTTTTACCCTTCAATTATTCTAACTTCATATAAATGTATTGGAATCCATGATAAATGGTTAGTCAGCCTCTCTTTTAATACTTCCTATGGTGAAGCACTTATAGAACAGTCCATTGCACATCTTTGGCACCACATGATATATGACACATGACGTCCTTTTTTTCTAAGAGATACTGGAATATCCCTTTGAAAGGGCCAACACGTGCCTGCTAGGACATTTTACAGTGCCTCCCCACAAGTGATTATTTGGAGAAGTCACCTAATAATCCTGATAATACAAAGTTTAAAATGATTAATAACTTATATTGGCATAATAAATATTAAAGTATAACAAGTATTTAAGGAGAGGATTTATTTTGTGATTATGTAGCAATTCAGATTTGAAGTTTGTTATTTGAAGAGAAAGCAAGTAGGCAGGATTTAAATGTTTTAACTGTATTACTTGAAAAAGAGTGCATTTAAAATATGTAAATATAGTGGGTATCTAGGAAAGGATGAAAAGCTGAATATACTTGTCTAATTTTGCTCTCTTCTAAAATTCCATTAAAATGACAGTAAAGAATTTTTTCAGGCATAAATCCACAAAGATGAGAAGTAGGAGAAGAGAAAATGATGATAAAATATTAGAAGGTGGGAGACAGATTAGTTGTAAATGACTTACTGAGTTCAAGAAAACTAAATCTTAATATAAAACTGTCAACAGCCATGATACAACTTGATTTTCCCTGAATTTTCTAAAGGCTAAGAACTAGTAAAAGTTTCTGAAAATAGGAGCAAAGAGGGTAGCGTAAGGAGGTTGATAGAAAGTTGATTTAAGGAGTAAATATCCAGAACCGGTCCCTAATTGTACGCAGCTGGGGAGTATCGGGATCTTGGAGTTTAATTCTCAAGAAAGAATAGTATCCAGGGTAAGAAACAACAAGTACATTTGTGAGCAGAGGTACTATTCTCAAAAGAGGAGGATTTAGTGAATATGTCTTTACCTCATCGAACAAGTCTTAGAGAGATTCAGAGATCTACACAATAAACAAGTAGGCTTCTCTAATTTTGGAGCCCAAACTCAGAATCG
Organism: Homo sapiens; assembly: GCF_000001405.40. NCBI lineage: Eukaryota > Metazoa > Chordata > Mammalia > Primates > Hominidae > Homo > Homo sapiens. The sequence continues at coordinate 121,022,801 of NC_000008.11, read as the reverse complement.
ATTCAACACAACCTTGCATTCAGCTGCCCCTGGAAGAGCCCCTGTTTACCAAGATGGAACCAAACAACCAGCATCTGGGTCCAATCTATGTTTCAATCCATGTTTCACCTCCTTCCCTACTGGCTATGCCAAATATCTGGAGGGTGAAGGTGCATTGTGCTGTGGGTTCAACTTGACTGCCCTTTTTATCCCCATCATGTGTAGACAGAAACCAGGATTTAGTAAAAAGGAGAACTATGTCTCAATATTTTGCTTTGGAACACCCTAAAATACTACAGAGCCTGTAGTTATGTTAAGAGTCAAGCTAAATGGAATCAAATTAATGCTACTCATGCCCAACCAAATTATCTAAGTAGCCCCGGAGATTAGCTGTCAATCTGACTGTATTCAAAACCTCACGGAATTCACCAAAATGACAAGTGTCATTTGTTCAGAAAGCCCATTTTCAAATGGAAAGTTGTGTCATGGCCAAGGGACAGTCTGTAGTTAACAACTCAAGCAAATAAAAAACAAACAAAAAAAACCTCAACTGTGTCTCTTTTTGCACTACTGTGAAGGCTGTTTATTTGTTTCCATACTGTAGACCTTAGACATCATTCTAAGAGTACAACCTTAGATAGTGTTCTAAGAGTTCAACCTGTTTTAAGTACAAAGCTATACAACAATCCTTTAAAACAAGTTTACCAAAGGAATAGGACTCATTTCATTATAAAGATACATGTATACATATGTTCATTGCAGCACTATTCACAATAGCAAAGATAGGGAATCAACTCAAATACCCATCAATGATAGACTGGATGAAGAAAATGTGGTACATATATACACCATGGAATCCTATGAAGCCATAAAAAGGAACATGGATGGAGCTAGAAGCCATTATCCTCAGCAAACTAACACAGGAACAGAAGACCAACACCACATGTTCTCACTCATAAGTGGGAGCTGAATGATGAAAACACACAGACACATGATGTGGGACAACACACGTTGGGGCCTGTTGTGGGGGCTGGGGAGGGAGAGCATCAAGAAGAATAGGTAGGTAATGGATGCTGGGCTTAATACCTAGAGGATGAGTTGATCTGTACAGCAAACCACCACAGCACACATTTACCTATGTAACAAATGTGCATATCCTGCACATGTACTCAGGAACTTAAAAGTTTAAAAAAAGGGGGTGCTTAAACAACAGTTCTTGTACATAAACTTTGTGGGGAAGTAAATGTGTAGAAGATGATTTTCGGTTATCCAAGTAAGATTTTTCTGACGTTCCCTAGCTCATTGCTGTTTCTGAAAACCTACTGAGAGGTTTAAGACCTAATGGTAGGCTCTTCTGATCACTCTAATTGCTGCCTCAATGGTTATTGCTTCCATGACATCCTCAAAAGATTTTGCAACAAATTTTCATGTCTTTATTCAAGAAAATAGTTAAGTCAAATTTCAGACAATTTTTCTGTCACTTTCCAGTCCTTTAGCATAATGTAGCCCAATATGATTTGTGATCTATTTTTTTATTTTCTGATCTAGATCACTGCTTAGCTTTGGACTGTGGACTTCTGAGTTAACGCTGAAATGAGTTGAGACTTTGGGGGACTGTTGGGAAGGCATGATTGGTTTTGAAATGTGAAGATATGAGATTTTGGAGGGGCCAGGGAGGAATGATATGGTTTGGCTCTGTGTCCCCATGCAAATCTCATCTTGTAGCTCCCATAATTCCCATGTGATGTGGGAAGGACCCAGTGGGAGATGACTGAATTATGGGGGTGGGTCTTTCCCATGCTCTTGTGATAGGGAATGGGTTCTCATGATAGTGAATGGTTCATGTTCTCATGATAGAGAATAGGTCTCACAAGATCTGATGGTTTTAATAATGGGAGTTGCCATGCACAAGCTCTTTTTGCCTACCGCCATCCACATAAGATGTGACTTGCTCCTCCTTGCCTTCCACCATGATCGTGAGGCCTCCCCAGGCATGTGAAACTGTAAACCTCTTTCTTTTGTAAATTGCCCGGTCTCATTTGTCTTTATCAGCAGTGTGAAAATGGACAATACACGAAGTGACCTTTGAAATGAACCACACCATTAAGTGGTTTGCCCACAGCATGTCTGCACTTATTCTAGGTGTCTGCATTTTAAGTCTTGCGTTCTTCTCTCATCCCTCACTGCCTCTCTGTCAAAATGAACAAAGAAGATTGTAAATTTTCTTCTCAAAAGTTATTTTAAAGCAAGGTGATTTTTAACTAGGTGGGAGATATTAAAATTCTAATCATAGTAGCTTTGAACCACATAATATTTCAAATTCTCTTTTTACCCAGTTCTAGAATCTTTATCAACACATTGTATCTTCCATTTCTGACAAACAATGCAATTTTTTTCCTTTAGAGTTTTTTGTTTTCATTATGCTTCATTCCTGAATCTTACTGACAGGACAGAAAGCCACCTATTAGTTTCGATAGAAAGAAACAATGGGAGATTTCAAGTTTTTCAGGAAAGAATTTTCTAGATACTGTTTTGGATCCACCCTCATTATACCCATCCTTAAAGTATTTTACCCATATTTTGTGAATCTGTTTGCCAGTGCCCCTCTTCTCAAATAATTCCAAGTCTGTCCTACTGGCATTATATTAACACAAATTTTCCAGAAATAACTTCTTTAGTTTCTCCATTGAAAGTTGGTGGCAAATTCAAAATGGTAAAAAAAAAAAAATTATCTAAACAAGAATTATAAGTTTCAAAGCATGTGCTTTTATGAAGATTCTCAATAAGGAATGTTTCCACAATTACTTACTTTGAGGTTTTATGAATGTGTTCTCTTCATAAAATTAACCTCACCTATCAACTTTCTTCCGGTTTTCTCCTCCAATATCATATGCAGAGATGTTTAAGAAAATGAAGGTATTGAGGTTTCACAAAGCAAAGCTTCACTTTCTTAGACATCTCTGAATATAATGCTGTCATTCCTTCTTTCAATTTTTGTGTTTTAATCTCAGGACTGATTTTGAAAGTAGTGTTGCTTTAGTTCATTGTGCATATGGATTTGTGCATAATTACACCCCACTAAAGAAATTAAGTTTAGCCTTAAGAATGTTTTTGTAGAGAAAAAAACTTTTTCTCCATGCATTTATGTTCAGTAGCTGAGGGTCTGTAAATTAAACTGGCAAAAGTCAGACTAACAGGAGAAAAAAAGTTTATTTGCATGTGTACTATAGCTTACAAAATAAGTAGCTTGATAAATGGTTAGAGGTTTATATATCTTTCTTAGTAAAGAAAGGAAGAAAGACAAAAGAGGTCCCCATGAGAAGAACAAATGGGTTTTTATAAGAACAAATAGAAATAATAAAGTTTATGGTACTGCTTGTTCATGCAAGTCTGAAAATTCTTTCTGTCTTCTTCATGGAGACACATCTTCCCCAACAGGGGATTTGTGGTTGGTTTAATCTCGGTCACCTTCCTGGGAATAAAATCGAACCAGAAAAGAGAATTTATGGCAGCTATGTTCCCAGAAGCTTCTGTTTTTAGTCACGTAAGGGAAATGCCAAGAAGGCTTCTTTCTGCATCTGTCGAATCACTGATGTCTCCAACTTAAAATAATCTATATACTAACTCTAGGATTTTGAGTGGTTACCCACAAACCTAAAGGTTATCAACCCCAAGAGGCACATGAACTTTTTCTGAACCAGAAAAAAAAATCCCCTAATAGAATATCATACTTCTGCATTATGCAAATTTGAGGCATATTTAAAAAACTTTGTAATTTTAAAAGAAAGAAAACTGCTCTCTCAGATAAATGAGTGACTCCAAAGTGTTCATGACCTAGGACCTTGAGGAAGATCAAATTATTTGCCCAAGTTATTGACCTATCCCTGTATCTATATCTTTTAATATAAAATATGGTTTCTTATACCTAAAGTAAATAAGTATTCTCCAATACTTGACTTTGGGCTCATCTACTTGACTTACTTTGGCCAATGGATGTTTATGTGCTCATGCCATCAATATGAAAAGAACATAATGTGGCTATCCCACTGGCCCAAAAAGGATGACAGATACGTAAGAGCCACTGATTGACCTTTATATCTAGAGTGTGAAGCAATCATCCCAGCCACCCTGCAAATTCATGAGTAAATATCTGTATATACACACACACACATGCGTGCACACACATACACACACACATACATATATATGATACACACACACATATACTTCCCCCCCCCACATACATACATACATATATATATATATATAAAATTTTTGGATGATAATGAGATTCTGTGGTTGTTTTTAAGCAGCAAGAGATAACTCATCCAAACTCTGATTCATACATTAAACACCTTAGGTACTACATTTTTTTCAGTGCGTTGAAAGGTAATTTGTGGTGTAAATAATTGAAAACTTCTCCAAAACATTTATGTTATATAACTGAAGCAATTCTACCAACATACTACTATAACAATATACAAGCATTATACAGTAGTATACAAGCACTACTGATAAACTAGATGCAAGCACAACAATTACAAATTATCGTCAGATTGCTCTTCTATGTAACTGCCATATTACCAGAACTCCAAGCCAATCAGTCATTTTGATGAGCTTGGAAGAACATTTTGATAATATACAAGACACAGTTTTTACACAGTTGTATCCACTGTACATGAAATATTCTACTTTTTTATATGTTATTATTTTCCAAGTTTCTAAAGAGCTACATACATACTGCTTTATAGTATAACAATATATTCTAATTTTCTTGCCTTTTCAGTTTTCGGATGTTAAGTTTAAATTTCTTTCTGTCATGATTATAAATTACAGATAGGTATATACCTTTATAGTACTAACTTCTTTTCTATTGTTTGGAATTATTTTAAATGCAGGTTTTATTCTTTTTAAAAAAAATCTCTGTATTTTACCAGTGATTTTCTCTGTTCTTGTGCTTAAATTTAAACAAGCTACCTTCATTTTATTGAATTTCAAAAAGTACAGTTCAAGTATGATTTCTTATTTTTATCCATGACAATGAAATATAAAGTAAAATTTACATTTTCCTCAATTTTATTTGCATAATCTCTCTCTCTCTCTTCACTTTCTCTCTCCCTCCCCCTCTCTAAACAAACATACACACACACACACAGCTGAGATTGACTCCAGACTTCATTTTAATATAATTTAGTTGGCTCTCGTCTCATCCCACTGACTCCACGATGACTACCCAAAAGGAATCTCTACCAATTCTCCCCTTCTCAGGCTTAGAAAGAGTTCCAGGTTGACATGCTTGGAATGCCAGGCAAATGATAAATCATAACTGGGTTTATAAGAAAATTTCAACTGACTTCAGCAAAGCAGCCAACTAAGGAGTAATAAAGAGGGCCAAAAAGCTTGTTCATAGGCCTTTTTAGAATTGTTTCTTCTATCTTGAAATCTGCTATTTTGGGTCTTAGGATCAGGTGAACATAGAGGATGCTATGCCTTTCCTGGAGGCTTTTCTACCTGGTTGAGAGCAGATGTTAAATAAAGTCTCCAGTATTCCATTTTTCTATTAAATCACCAGAAACCTGAGTGTTATAGATGTAAATCATTGTGCAATAGCATCTGTCTGCAAAGTGATTCACTTATCTTCTGCCAACACTGGCTCTCTAGGGTTCAGCTTGAACAAGGCAGGAGTCCCAGACCCCAGACCACTGCCAGATGCTCCATGTGTGCTTCTCCAGAGCAATATGAGATGCAACCATAAGAGTGTAGCAATGGCTGTGAGACCATCATATCTTTTTCCTTTTGTGCCTCCCAGGCCTGGGCAGAATTTTCATATACAATTCTTTGTATAGATGATAGTTTTAAAGTAAGGTCTAAAGACATTTTCATGTGTGCTTCTAAGTTTCTTGCTCACCTAGAGGGGAGGAATTTCTGTTGTCAGCATGGATTCAAAACTCTCCCACCAGATGAATTATACCCTAACCAAGCACAACCCACTGTTGATCACTCCATTTTATACCGCTTCAACATATAGATCTAAAATTTACATAAAATAAGGACATATCTATACAACTTGTGTATTCAAAATTAATGACCAAGAACTGGTCTCAAGTCAGAGAGAACTGACTTGTATATTCCTGTTCTTGCCTCCTAGCTACAGGTCCTTGGTCAAACTTCAGTATCCTTATTTTAAAATAAAACTGAGTTAAAATTAAAGACCGTATCTGGAATTGGAAGTGCTCAAGAGAAACTGGCTACTATAATTGCCTTTTTATTATTAATAGTTCAAAATAGTTACTTTTGGATGTAATACACTTTTTTCAAATAACACTGTTTCTGAAAAAAAATTACATCACTTGATCAATTCCTCCTGAATAATTTTATAAGACTTGTGAAAATCAGATTAATAGTTTTCTTACATATACATTGAGATAGGCCATGGGCATTATGTTCAGATCCTGTTATGCATTTGCTCAAATAAACTAACCTTCCTATGTCAATTAATATTTTACCAAGAACAAATTAACATGGCAAAACGAATAGAGAAATAAAAAGTGGGTACCAGAAATTTAATGTATGTGGCAAATTATATTATTTTTTAATTATTTACTGCCTTCCCTATAAAAAGATTTTATGCTTCTCCCTCATGACTACCAGCCTGGGTCATCTTACTTACTTTGGCAGTAGAAATATGTAAGTGACATAAGCCACATCTAAGCAGACACCTGAAGAACCATCAGGTAATTTCATCATTGCTTTTTTCCTATCTCTTCAAAAATGTTGTGAAATTTCCCTTTCAATTCTGGAATTCTGAATGCAGACTTGTGAAGTATAACTCTAGTCAATTTATAATTGGCAATTGTAGAGATACAGGCAACTAAACAGATTTATGCACAGGAATTAAATCTTTATTATATGAAGCCACTGATATTTAAGAATTGTTTGTTATACAGCATAATCTTAAAAAGCTGACTAGTACAGAAACAATTGTCCAGGGTAATGTACTGCATGACAGGAATGCTAAATGGGGGAAATTTATTTAAAGCCCCCTTAAACCTCTAAATGAGAAAGAAACTTACTGGAAACTGGGAAAATGATGGCTCCTATATGCAATAATAACTTGCTATCTGTAAATAACTTGGGAACATTCTGTTTGACTTAGCTGCTATTATTTGCATTTGAAAAAGTACTATTAAACGTGTGTGTAAATAGATAGATAGACAGATAGAGAAATCAGATAAGATAGACAGATGGCCCAATTGAAGGGTGACAAAATAATGCCCATATCTGTAACCTCTCAATTAAGGTTATGCCTATTAAAATGTTTCAGGTGGATAAAAGTGCTCATAAAAAAGACTTGAAAGCTGTGAGTCTCCCATATACACATAATAAGCTCAAGCTACTTGTAAGTAAATCTAGAGCGGTATAGAGATGTGTTTCAAAAAGGATTTTGTATATGGCTTCCTAGAATAATATTTTTTAAATATTTGTAATTCTAAAAGAGCCAAAAATCTGGATTAAAAGAGACTGACCATTTGAGGCTTAAAATGATCTTTGCTACCTCCTGATATTGTCATCAAAAAGTAGGATGAGAAATCTGTTAAGCCACTAAGGAAGGCACAATAATGCCTTGCTTAGATGTGGCTAAGAAAGACAACAGAAAAGGAAGAACATTCTAATAAATGGGGTCAGAGCCAAGCAGTAAAAGGGACTAAGAAACTACTTTTAAGGATCAAAATCTAGATTTTTAAAAATTGATTTTGCTTTTAAAAAATCACCTTCTTACAGGAGGTATTCTCATTATCTACCCAGTAAGATTTCAAAATTGCTACGGATCAGTGAATTCTGTATACTTCCAATTTGCTACCTTCTTAACTTGATGTTGCCTTGTTTATTTTATATGTAGCCCACAATCCTACAATAGTAGGTTCGCACAAAGATATTTTTGTTCATGGGTCTCAAAGAAAGTTTCATCAGAATATGAGATACAGATTATTACAATACTCTCTGTTTAGGCCAGTTGCTTTGATTGAAAACAACTTTTGATGGATATTTTTTGTAGACAGTGATTTTTAAGTAAGATCAGAAAATATATTTTTGAAATTATTAAGGAAGATTGGGATAGTTTGTTATTATTGCCATTTGTTCACTGCCCTGTCTGTAAGAATATATTTTTCTACTAAAATGATATAAAGCTTCACCATTTCACTTATTTTTCACCAGTGAAATCAGCAGTAATGCAAGCCACATCCAAGCAGAAGCCTTTAGAGTCATTATATGGTTGTTTTTTGTTTTTTGTTTTTCTTTTTTTTTCTCTTCCATGGGAACATCATGTCCAAGATACTGACAGCTCCTTAGACTGAGTCAAACAATGGGAAAACTTGTGAAACAGAATTTCAGCCATCCAGAAGCCAACAGTACGAGAATTACAGATGACCACAAAGATGATGATGTAACTTAAGGAAAAAAGAAAACTTGGGTGTGTGAAGCCACTAATGTGCTAGGATCATTTTTATCACAACCCAACCTAACAAAAATTGATTAATAATATTTATGAGAGGCATTGCATTTAATAAAATATCCATAGAAGAGCCATTTCAATTTTTCCAAAAGTGAAAAAGAATATTGCCTAATAATGGTGAATTCTAATGAGTGTAATAGATATCTTTTACTTGTGAATTACTAATAGATAATAGTATTTATGGATTACTAACATATAATAGCATTATGTATTTTGAACAGCCTGCTTATATTTTAATCATTTTCCATGTTAGAATCCTGCTTCTCTGGGATAGAATTCAGAACGTATCCTTTCAGTGCAGATGCAGACATGTGACCTATGTCCTGCAAATCAGACACAACCATATAAGACTTGAATTTGAAATGGAGCAATGATCTACAGAAGCTTCATTCAGGGTACCTGATCTGTATCAGGCTTGGAACAGAAACACCTGGTGCTTCAGAAATGGTAGTTAGTTGGATGCTCTGCATTCTGTTCTGAGTGTAAGGAGCTAGGCAGCCGTGTCCCTGAGGAGATCCTCCCATGTGGTCCTACACTGTGCCTGGTTTCAAAGCTTCAGAGTCCATCTCTCTGTACCTTCCAAATGGACTTTAATGAATTCGTTTTAAAAAAAACAAATTAAACAAGCCAGAGAGAACTCTGTTGTTTAAAAGTAGGTATCAAAACAAACATATATGTGAAGAGAAAAATACTGTATTTGGCTACAATTTGTACACAAGTGGAGAATGATTCATATTTCTAATGTAAATCAAAGTCTCCTGGAACATAACACTCTCCACCACCATCAAAGGTACAAATTCAAGGAGAGGAACTTCATCACAAAATTGGATAGCCTTAAATTTCTTGACTATTTCTAGAAAGGGTTGCTACACATACTTATAGTTTCTTGGTTCCCACATCTCTTTTCTTAACTTGCATTCAATCTCTCCAATCTTAAGCCCTAATCACCACTTCCAAGCACTAATGCAATGATTTTCCCTGCCTCTAATTTTTTAACAATTGGATCCAATATTCACATTGCTGCCAGGACAGATCCTTTTCCTACACAACTCAAGAACTACCCATGGACTATAGGAAAAATCTACCACAATATATTCCCAATGTACTTCTCTAGCCCCCTCAACAAAATCATCTCATGCTTCCTGAACTTCAGCCACAGGAGACTTGACCTCTGAAAAATGTCCTCAATGGCAACTTATACCAAAAATGTTTGTTCAGCCCACTCACAGAAATGTCTCCCACCTGGTCAGTGCTTCTCGCACCTGCACATATGAAAAATTGGAGAATTAAAAAGAAACTGTTATCCTTCAAAGGAAACTCAAATACTACTCAGTAGGAAGGTTTCTCTGATCACTCTGAGGAAATTCATCACTCCTAAAGCATTGTGTACCTCTCTAAGAGTGTCTATTTCTCTTTGCTTGTATTGTTGTATGTGTTTGCAGGTCTCCACATCCACATTACATTGTAATTGTAAACTCCTGTCAAGCAGGAGTCATGACTGAACATCTGTAAATCCAGTGTAGCAGTAATATCTTTGTCTCTATTATACTCCAAGAGTGAGCACAATAAAATAAAATGGCTCTGAATAGAGTAGAACAGATTATACAAAACAGGATAAGCATTTCCTTAAATGCTTTTCTCTGACTAAGCCACAACAGCAGCAACAAATTTTGTTTTCAGTATGAGAGAGAAGTTTATAAAAAATGAATTAAAAATGTGCTTGGGAAAGATTAGATTATTGTGATGCGTTCACAGGGGAAAGGACTCCTTTTCTGGCATGTTTAGACTTAGACCATTAAATGGCCTTGAATGTTTGGAAACAGGAAGGGAGCAGAGTCCAGCTTTCTCCTTAGGTGTGGTTCCACCAATGTTTGATTATGGATTTAACTATTTGCATCATCCTAAAATAATAAACTCTCCTACACAATGTCACCTGATATAGGCTGTCCAGCAAAAATAGGCTCACATCAGCACTTGTTTCAACTGGGAGGAAATAATGACATAATGGATTCTAGTTGCTCAGTGAATTTGAACCATGCAAGGACAGACATATAAGTCTGGGTGGAATAAAGTGGATAATAGTGTGATTACATACTTGACATCTTTGCTCCGTGTAACAACTTCCCTTGACCTCTTCAAACAAAATTAATTTGTTTGAAACAAAAATTCAGCTGTACTTTATTTGATGTAAACATTACTCAACTCTAGTGATTAGCAAAGGAATTAGAACACAATAGGTAAGCAATAAAAGGTATTCAATATGGGTATTTGGTAAAATATAGATATTCAATATGAGTATTCAATAAAAATTTGTTAAACTTTACTGAATTAAAAATTAATTAATGCCTCATCAATTTCCCCCTACACCTGCAAGAAAAGAAAATAATAATCGGCTACTTTGGCTATTCTATAAGTGTAATGATCTTCAACTGCCTCCTCACATTCCCAAGCCAAACTTTATGTTTTTCTGATGTCAAACATACCTAATTTGTTTTAGGCAGCCAATCATCTGGCTTCACTCAACGCGTTAACTAATTGGCTAACCATTTGACTGATACATAGGCATTGTCATTGTTCCCTTTTATTAACCCTTTTTTTAAAAAAAGTCTTCAACTTTGGGTTTACCAGTCATGTGAGGATATATATATCCTCAGTACATTTTGAACTCTATCCTTTCCAAATCAATCAGCTTACAAGTCCTTGACTTCTGTAGTGCTGAAATATTAAACCACCCTTACATTAAACAGAGAAACTAAATGTCCAGAACCAAGAACAAGTTGGAGAAGCCTTCACAGTGTTATAATGCAAGCCATTGTTCTTTATACTAAAATCAAATGCAATGGAGAAGAAGCGGTAAGGTCTCAGGAACTTCTTTTTCCATAGGAGGAAAAAGAAGATATTAATAGTGTATCTCAGTCTGAAAGAAATTAATATCCCTTAAGAGCAATAGACTTTTTCATGAACTTCATTTGTAATTCATCTGCTTGGCCAAATCAAAATGTAACACAGGGGAACATTCAAATAAAAAGATTATAAGCATTTGGAGAATAAAAAGAGATATTGAAAGAGTGAGGATTAATATAGGAAAGGATGAAGAAGATGGTAATTTAATAAAACAGCTGTTCCATCTTTTTTTTCCTATTCTTGAACATGAGAGTGCATACTTCTGCAAAACAGAATAATTACTGCTTTCCCTACAGTAAAACAGAATCTTTCTATGCTTATAATTACACAAAAATAACAAGTAGCAATTCATGTGCTTCATTCATTGTTAGATCCTAAAAGAGATTAATTTTCATAAGTATATTCATCCTTTACTAGTTACTATAAAAATAGACCCAGATATAATAGAAATGGGGAAAAACTTCCAACTAGTCTTCATAATTATGCATGAATATTAATTTTTCTGGTCTGCATAAAATAGGATTCTGATATAACTGACCACAAAGGGATAAAGTTGTGCCTATTCATATAACAAAACAGAACAGTGATTCAGTAGAAATCACAAGCAACAGGTTTGTTGTGCTCAAATCTTCATGTCTTTGCTGGAGTTTTTGTTGCATTTTGCTGATAATTACTAAGGAACACGGCATTTCTAGTAATTTTTTTCAATTACAAAAGAAAAAAACAAAAAAGGTAATCTCTGTACTTAAAGATCAGGTGAGTATCTAAGGCATCTTTGCTGTTTACAACTTCTCTGCCTCAGAATTTCTTACATTATATCATTCAAAAAGGGTCACATTTTAAAATCATTATATTATCTGAAAAGAAGCGCTAACTAGGTAGTAAATCCAGATATAATTATCAATTCATGAATGCAGAAACCTGACACTTAGAAAAGTTACATGGGGTAAATAGCCCTAATCTTGTCACCATATTCTCAGTTATCTACAAAGATATCAGGTAATTTCGGTATTTGGGATACAGGTAAAAGAGGTTTCTTGTTTCTTTACATTTACTATTGAAGAATAAAGTTAAAGAACCACAAAATGTATTGTTAAAAGGGATTTTAAAGATCATCTCATCCAACTTCTTCAGTTTACACATGAAGAAATCAAGGCCCAGAAAAGAGAACTGGTCTACACAACATTGCAGGGTTGTCCATCTACATATCAAGGATTCATATCCAGTTATTTAAGTCTGCAACCACTGGACTAGACTGCCTTTCACTCACTCAAATCAGCAATCATGATGACAAGAGCATTAAGGTCATGTTTCCATGTGTCAATTCCCTGTAATCACACCGGACTTTTTAATCAAAAACCTTCTTTCCCCCAAATTCCTTTTTTGAACAATGTACAAAGCAAACAGTGAAATTAAAAGAGAAGACTGATAATCAGTTACCTGCAATCATCTATTCAGGATTCACCAAGTGACAACCAAGAGCTATGCTGACCTCATCTTTTGTCTCCATCCTCAAACACTCTGGGAAGTCTCTCTGGCCTACTAGGTGAGCCAGCAGCCTGTTAGCATTCTACAGTGGAGGATATATTAGGTTGGTGCAAAAGTAATTGTGGTTTTGGCCATTACTTTTAATGAACGTTGGCTGGGAATATGGATTGTTTGTGCTCACCTGTTCAACCTCCTCAGAGTTGTCCTCTGTCTAAATCTGAGGTTTTCACAGGCCCTGCATTTTATTCAGATCTGTTGTATCACTAAGACAAAAAGCTTCAGAAACACATGAGCATGAACACTCTCATCAGCCATCCTGCTGTCTCTCCTCCTAGACAGGAGTTCTACCTGCTCCAAGAATGGGGTTTGCCTTGGTCATTTTTTTTCCCCATCACCTACAACTATGGCTGACCCTATAGCTACACAATAAATATTTGTCTAAAAAATGAATCTGTTGGAAAGATGTCATGAATTATGAGTCAAAGACCAATCTTAACTCTTTTTGTAAAATGACTCTGGACCCAGATCTCTCTTCAGTATAACAAAACACAATGCCTTTTTATTTAAGTGAGGGAGGGTAGAGGAATGGAAGAAAGGAAATTAACTTTTATGAAATTCCTCCTATGTGCTGGATGTTGTGCATGGTGCTCCACATATATTATGTATCTATTCCTCACAAGGCAACTATTATTATCCCCAAATTATAGGTGAGAAAACAGAAGAGATTGTTAACATATCTGCAGTATTTAACAGAATAAAATCAGTGAAGTTTCAATGGAGAGAGCAAGATAAACAGATACAACATTCAAAGGGCCAGAGCAAAATGCAAACTTCCAACGTAAGTGTTCTAGGCTGGCTTCTCAAACTTCGGCCCCTGAACCAGTGATGCCTGGCACAATTTGAGTACATAAAAGGTCAAGAGAGTGAAGAGAGAGAGAGTTTGAATAGAGTAGCTACCAGCTCTGAATTATGTGGGTGCCACCGTTTCACCTTTGGCCAAACCTGAGAACCCTTGCTAGGTCTCCCTGTAGAGCTTCAGATAAGTCTATGAGTGTTTGGTAGGGATGGGAGGCTGAGATCTGACCCTTGCCTGGAAGCTTGGAGGGAAGGATAGCGGGTGGGCAAGCTGCATTGCCAGCTAAGCTTTGGTCAGGTGCATTTAGCATTATGAAATATACCTAATGTTAAATGACGAGTTAATGGGTGCAGCACACCAACATGACACATGTATACATATGTAACAAACCTGCATGTTGTGTGCACATGTACCCTAAAACTTAAAGTACAATAAAAAAAAAAGAAAGAAATTACACTTCCCTCTAAAGAAGTGCTATACAGATGATGCATGCTTTCCAGGGATCAGTTTTGTGGGCCTTAAGAGAGAGAAAGCTGACCTGGAGCCTTTTTAAAAAAAAAAAAAAAGTTCTGCACAGGAGAGTCTCCTAGGAGTATTGCATTTGCAAAAGTGAAAGTAACTGTGGCAGGATCTTCTGAAGAATCAGGGAATGAAAGGAAGCAACCCTCCAAGGAACACAGCCTTCAGGATGGAGAAGCTGCAGCCAGAGGCCTTCAGAAGTGATACAGAAAAGTTTACAAAAGCACAGAGAGAGAGAGAGAGCAAGAAAGAGAGGGGGAGAGAGTGCCACCCACCCGTTCACAAGGCCAGAGAAGACAAGGTCATGTTCTTGAAAACACCTTTGCAAAAATTATAACAGGAAATTGTGACAGTGAAAGAGATCTGACCTGACTCCATCTTCCTTCTAACTTCTAAGCTGTTGTTCCTGGGTGTAGGCTGAAATGTCTTCCTAATCTTGGGAAGAAATTTAGTTTGTAGTTTAACTTTGAAAAAAAAAATGACAATAACCCTTTCCCAAAATAAACCCCTTCTTCCCTGGGACCAGTCTGCCTTTGTAGGACTAACAAATTAGCTACAAGTTTAGAAATTATGTTTAGGAGCCATGCAGCCTCCGGCTGAAAGACTCTGAACAAATTGCTCCTGGGAATAACAGTGCTGTTGTAAAACCTAAAATCAGTGCTTGAGATATTTTGCAGACCCTGCATCCCAATGCATCAGCTGGCCCCACCCAGACAAGTAATCTGGCTCAATTAGTTCTGCAATCCCACCCAGGAACAAAAGACACTAAGAAAAACTCACTTCGACCCTCTGTGATTTCATCCCCAACCCACTTCCCATGCCCACTTCCCACTTCTCATGCCCCTACCCGCCAAATTATCACTTCCCAATTCCCATGCCCCTACCCGCCAAATTATCACTTCCCACTTCCCATGCCCCTTCCCGCCAAATTATCATTAAAAACCCCAATCCCTCAGTTTTCTGGGACACTGATTTGAGTAATAATAAAACTCCACCTGGCTCTGCGTGAATTACTGTTTCTCTATTGCAATTCCCCTGTCTTGATAAATCAGCCCTGTCTAGGCAGCGGGCAAGGTGAACCTATTGGGCGGTTACATTCTGACAGCATGGATTCAAGATTTAATTCTCTTTCCTTTTCTCCTCCTCCTTTCCCCATTGTTCTTATTTAGATGGACTTGTCAGTGGAGTGCAGGTAGAAAAGATAGAGCAGCTGCACACTGATGGCAAGTTGCCAGACACAAGTGGGCTCTAGCTTGAAGGAGGGATATTTTTTATTATTTTCTGGGCTTAAAAATATATATCTTGAAATTGAACTCTGTTTACACTTTTTTCAAATTTTATTTTTCCGTAAGTTATTGGGGTACAGGTGGTATTTGGTTACATAAGTTCTTTAGCGGTGATTTGTGAGATCCTGGTGCACCCATCACCTGAACAGTATATTCCACACCATATATGTTGTCTTTTATCCCTCACCCCCCTCCCATAAGAATGATACAATGTTCATACTTTGAAGTGATATTAGAACATTCCAGATGACTTGCAAGTTGTGAATTTTGTCTTCTTCCCTTTTGGTTTCAGGAGCAAAGTCATAACATCCTTCTCTGTCATAATGCTGGTGCCATGTGGATTGTTAATGCCACAATTCAACCTTAAATACCAAGATTCTCCAGGGACCCCTGGGACCGTCTAAACACACTGGAGCCCAGCCTGGCTCCTACCACCTGCCAATTATTTCCTATAATGTGGGAAGATTTAGAAGCCAGTACCTAAGGGAAGAGGGTAGATAAGGCAAGATAAAGTGGTATGATAAGGAGGGAAACTGCTCCCTCCAAATAAATAAGGGAAATAAAATTGCATGGCATCAAGAGCCAAGGAAGTGCCCCAACACAAAAATGCAGCACCCTGGAGTCAGGCTTCAGGCGCCTCTCAGCTGAGAGGGAAAAAAGAAATAGCAAGATGTCTAAGTGTACAGAAAACATTTTGGTAGCTAAATTACTTAGGTACCGACGTATTTGAAAAAGAAACACTATGACCTTATTCTAAGGTCCATGACATTGGTAATTCTCCAAACCAACAGGCTAGAAGTATACCAAGGGTCACTTGAGACCCCACATGTGTGTTCTATGTGCCTGATACATGTTAGATATTTGATATTTGTTGAATAGATAGATGAATGGGTCTAAATCTGTCAATTACCGTAATAATATTACTTTCCACTGCAATATAAGTATAACGTCTAGTTGTTTTATTTATTTATTTATTTATTTATTTATTTTGAGATGGGGTTTCGCTCCTGTTGCCCAGGCTGGAGTGCAATGGCACAATCTCGGCTCACTGCAACCTCCATCTCCTGGGTTCAAGTGATTCTCCTGCCTCAGCCTCCCAAGTAGCTGGGATTATAGGCATGTGCCACCACGCCCAGTTAATTTTGTATTTTTAGTAGAGATGGGGTTTCTCCATGTTTGTCAAGCTGGTCTCGAACTCCTGACCTCAGGTGATCTGCCCACCTCAGTTTCCCAAAGTGCTGGGATTACAGTCATGAGCCACCGTGCCTGGTCTAGTTTTCTTTTTTGCTTTATTGTTCCTGTTCTTATTTTTCATAGCTTAAAAGACAAAAGACCATGCTTAAAGTGCCCTTAAAATCCTCGGCCTTGAAACAAAAGAAGAAAATGCCATACCAGCAATAGCCTGAGAAATAAGGAAATAGTTGGGCATGAGAAAATTAAACTTCCAGAATGCTGATCAAACTTTCCTTGCAAATAATAAGTAGAGGAAAGACTGGAAGAAATGAAAGCATGGACACTATGAGAACTTCCCCTCAGATCCCCAATGGAGAGGAGCTAGTGAGTTAGCCGCCCCAGCAGCAAAGCTCTGAAGCCCTTCAGAGACCTTGCACAGGCTGCTTCCAGCCTCAGCTGAGCAGCAGGAAAATGAAGGAAGGCCCATTCTTGGCGGCTGTGGAACTCTAGGGCAAACCACTCTCTCTAGGACTTCCCTTTAGCCTTGCTGAGCTTTCTTAGAATTACATCACTGCCTTAGATTCCTCCTCATAGTTGCCCCCAGTTCCCCCTCTCCTTCCTTTAAGGGCATTTGTCCTAATAAGGCTCTTTCAAGTCTGATCCTGAATCAGCAACTGCCTCTCTGAGGAGCCAGGGTATGTAAGGGTGTGTGTACTCAGTCTACCCATTCACTAAGCAACAACCCATGGTATCCCTGCAAGAATGAGACCCAGGGCCGGGCACGGTGGCTCACGCCTGTAACCCCAGCACCCCAGCACCCCCGCACTTTGGGAGACCGAAGTGAGTGGATCACCTGAGGTCAGGAGTTCAAGACCAGCCTAACCAATATGATGAAACCCCGTCTCTACTAAAACTACAAAAATTAGACAGGAGTGGTGGCGTGCGCTTGTAGTCTCAGCTACTCGGGGGGCTGAGACAGGAGAATTGTTTGAACCCGGGAGGTAGAGGTTGAAGTGAGATGAGATGAAATCACGCCATTGCACTCCAGCCTGGGTGACGGAGTGAGACTCCATCTCAAAAAATAAATAAATAAATAAAAAACAATGAGACCCAGTGTGACACAATATTTTTAGAAAAGCAAATCCATGTTTTTCATGTCAAATTCAGGATTTTTAAATATTGGCTCAAATTTTTCTTAAATACGATATTCAAGCCAAGCAATATTCCTGCAATCTAGAGTCTCCCACAGGCTGCAAGCTTGCAGCCTCCACTCCATAGTGTAATTATCCATGCAGAGTTTTTAACCAACTCTACTAGGATTTGCCTTATTCTCCTTTTCACTGTTCTCCTAGGCAGGAACTCTCACAAAACCTCAAACTGAGGATGGGTGAGGAGACCTCTCAGTATTTAGAGAATACCCGAGACATAGATATGGCCCAAAGATGGATGTAGCAAGTTCTCAGAATAGATACTTGGAGAGCCCAGTTGCCTTTAAACCAAAAGAAACAAAGTGAATACCCATTTTTTCTCCCTGAGTTCAAAGACACAGTTTAGACAGTCTTGCCTCTATCAGGTGCTATATCTGACCAGTGTTTAAATGTACTTTCAGTTGGCCTTTGAAATTTGAGAAGGTCGTATAGTACATTTGCCATAAAGTCTTTGCTTAACGTGGAAAACAAGTCTTTAGTGGAAGCCCAATATCCTTGGGACAGCTGCTGTAAGCTTTTTTAGTAAATCACTGCTGCTTATGAGTTTAAATTTTATTACGGTCCAGTTAGTCCTCATCAGTATGAAAAAGTCTGATTTATTTGGTCAAATTTACAGTTTCTGTCTTACTAGAAGACAAAATCATTATTTTATTTGCCCTCCACACAAGGTCAGTAATTGGAACTCCCCAAATACACATTCATTTTAGTTGTTCAGAGAAAGTTACAAAACATAATTAAAATGGATTCCTTAGACCACATTTGTGGTGAGATTGCAATGACGGACCTGAATAAAATTCCCTCTCACTCTCCAAGCTCTGAAACATCCTCTGGTTTCTGCAGTGTATACTTCAGGACAACTGAACCCTGAGGAATATCAGCATAGGCCATGTCATTTTAATCAGTAATAAGAGTCTCACATTGTCTAGTTCTTTCCTGCTTTACGCAACACTGTTGAACTTCATTTGGATTTTCATTTCTAAATTTCAGAGTGTGATGCCAAGATTGCTAAAACATTTCAGCTGGTAAGAATTGGTAGAACCCTAAAGGGGATTCCTCTTTTTCCAGCTACTTTGCAAACATACACTTATTTTTCTCAACAAAATCCACACACAACTGCTTAAATTTTTTTTCCATAATCTCCCTATCTATAGTAGGCTTTGAGACTTAGAGTTCAGCATCACACTTCTATTTTTCAGCTAAAAAACTAGGTGTAGAATCACATACACAGAAAACTTAAATCATTCTATGCATAGATTAATGGAAAGAGGCTTGATTCACTGTCCAGGGACCTGGATTGTTGCTGCAATCCTGCCTTTAACATATGATTCCAAGAAGTAAGAACTTACCTCTCAGCTTTTTTCTCATCTACATAATAACAGGGTTGCATCATGGGTAAAGCTAGGTTTTATGAGACCTGAAGTATATACATTTTGGGAGCCCTTTATAAGGAAAATGAATTCAAAATTGTGAGCCCAAATTGGATATTTAAAAAAAATTTACAGTAAGAAAGTAATTATATCAAATTACTAATTTCAAAAGGTTGACAAATACCACAGACCTGAATATAGGGAAAATTAAAATAGTATTTATGTTAATTAGCTGCCTGGCACATCTCTATATTTATTTGCATATATATATATATATATATATATATATATATATATATATTTTTTTTTTTTTTTTTTTTTTGTGAGACGGAGTCTTACTCTGTCACCCAGGCTGGAGGGCAATGGCGTGGTCTCAGCTCACTGCAACCTCCACCTCCTGGGTTCAAACGATTCTCCTGCCTCAGCCTCCCAAGTAACTGGGATTTCAGATGCCCACCAACACACTCGGCTAATTTTTGTATTTTTAGTAGAAACAGGGTTTTGTCATGTTGGCCAGGCTGGTCTCAAACTCCTGACCTCAGGTGATCCACCCACCTTGGCCTCCCAAAGTGCTGGGATTACAGCTGTGAGCCATGGGGCCCTGTCTGCCTGTATGTTTTGGCTGCACACTCTTGATTGCTTCTTCACTTGACAATAATTTCATAACTTTGTCTACAAAGAGGAAAAAAAATTGGCCTTTCCTTTAGTATGGTTGGTCAAAATTTGTCTTGTATTGTTTATGGATTAGAAATGTTCCTTTCAGTTTCACAACCTATTACTGGTAATTTCATGTAAACATTTAATCTCTTGCCAAATTTATGGAAAACCTCTATCCTTTCTATACAAGCTGTAAGATTCGGTAGAATTCTCTATAGACAAACTCCTGGCTCCATATATTTGCAATTTTGTTTCTTTTCCACTACAATTTGCAAAAATCTCATACTTCTAATGCCAAATGCCATAGACCCCCTTCATGATGCAGCAGGATTTCTGGCACCTCCGTGACATGACCTTGGTTTAGTCAGAAAGATGGTTGGTAGAAATATTCCTGAAAACCATTTTTAAAGATATGGCTAGCAATAATTTAACAGTACATGGAAGAAACTAGAAACCACATAAATATAGCTCATTAAATCCAAACTTTAAATATATCTTACTTTTTCAAGTTTTTTAAACACACATAACCATGTGAACATGACCCTCCCAGGATTTTGGAAAGACCCCTTGTTAAGTGAGGAGTCCTAAAGCTTAAACTTCAGTATCATCATGGTAAATCCATTTCCATCTCAAACCTTCCTAATCCCAAAGACGGTTCTGAAAAATTAAAATCGCTAAAATTTAACCCAGTATGTTTGCTTTATCAAAAGAAAAGGAGGAGGCAGAAAAAGCAGTGAAGAGGAAGAGTAAAAGCACAGACATATGGTTTAAATTATATTGAGTTTATTCATTGATTTCAGTCACTTGTATACCATTTTTACATACCACAAACAAAAGTTGATTTTAAAGCCCTCTTATTTATTAAATTAGGTAAAGGTAGAAGCTGCTGTCTTTTACTATTTAAGGATTGAGTTGACCCAGTTCTGAATTTAATGTGGATATGGCTTACATTTGGTAATTTAATATTAGTCACTAACGTTCCAAACTGCCATTCTGATACAGATTGAGTTTAAGAATAGGTATCAGTCTGGCACAGAAAATTTTGGACATTTTTGTTAAGATTTGTCTCATTATTGAAATTTATAATATTGTAGTAATCTCAAAATTGATCCTAGATCATAACACAATAATAAGTTGAACTACTTTAAGGAAACTTTATTAATGAATGAGGAAAGCCATGTGATCTTTATTTATTCATTCGACTTCTATTAATACCTATTATGTGGCTGGCACTGTGCCAGGCAGAAGCATGCTTACAATTTGTGATCTGACAGTCTTTCCCCAGTTCTCTGGGCATGTTGATTCTATCCTTGCCTGTCTTCAAGTTCTGAATTGGTTGGTGAAGAAAAATAACTGAAACTAAGATGCATCCTGCTGCCATGTGATTTTCCCTCCAGGGAACTGTAATGGATACCAAGTGCTGAAACCTGGAATCAAAACACCTGGCTTCAAATGCCTCCTTTGCTTTCTACTGCCTTTGTGAATTAGGTTGGTGGTCTTCAAAATGTTTTACCTACATTCTCCCTAAAACACATGTATTTAGGTTGATGTCTCCATTTTTTTAAATCGAAAGTTTAAATAGGTACATTGTATGTGACTTTAGGTGTATTATAAATTTTGATATTTTAAAATATATGATTACTCACTCTTTTAAATATGTCCAGTAAATCTAAATGCCATAGAGATACATACTTGCCATCAATTATTTTTTAAATATATAAACAAGATCTTCCTTAACAGGAATTTTATCTCATTTCTTTTTCTCCTTGAACTTATTTTCCATCCCCACCCCCACCAACACACACACACACACACACACACACAGAGTATGCTAGTATAACATATTTCTATATTTAAAAGATCATCTTACCATATTTTTCTATAGCAAAAATATTTATAAAAGTATAAAATGATAATTTCAGGTTTTAAGTATTAAGAAATTTCTTCTGGAATGTATCATAAAGGCACTAGTTCACAATTAAAAAAACAAATACATTAAAAATTTTGAAACTCATCAAACAAAAAATTTGTGGAAGTATGTCTGTTAATGAGATGAGTTTTTGTTTGTTTTTGCAATTAGCTCATAAGGGCTGAGTATGACCTAATACTAGAATAAGATTATTTTGAGTCTCACGTCTATTCCTGTTTTTCATTTTTATAGATGTAAATTCTGAGAAAACACAATAAATAGAATGAGATGGGAGAAATTTTCTATAGCAATATCATCTCCTTTTCTTTGAATTTCCTCCAAGTTAAATGACAAAATTCATATAGTGATTTATCATTTACCATTTAAAATTATTTTCAATAGTTTCTCAACTGACAACTTAGTTATTTCTTCCTTTGATTTTGTTGAAAGCCAAAAACTGGAAAGAATCTGACCTGCAAGGTGATTTGTTATCCAGCCATGAAAGTTATTCATTTTCTGGGAAATACACCAGAAAGGTTTTACCAAGTCTTATTAAATGACTCTTGGTCTTTCACACAGCAGAACCCCATTTAACCCAATGTCCTCAGAAAGGTTTAAGGAACTCAAAATATTGCTATTTTCAGTACACTTCTGGCAATATTAATTTTTAATAAAATGCCTTTATCTCATCATGTGGCTTAAATATACTTTCCTCAAAACCTGGGTGCTACCATTGAACTCACTCAGCTTATGAAAAATATCCACTAATAACATAACTGGCAAAGGCAGCCCTCATTGTCTAACCAATTTATTGATTCCAGACTCACTTTCTACAAGGAAATGCCTCACTTTAGTTATCAACTCAAATAAATGTATTAATTTGTGTCCCTATGACAATCAGCTGACATCTAAATTATATTTCTAAGACAAATAGACAAACTATGGCACTTTGCCACGCTTTTTCTTTTCAGTGGCTTTTTGCTTTATAGTCATGAAACTCCCTCTCAAGAACAATGAATTTTTGACAATAGCCAGACACATAGTAGACTAACAAAATGAGAAAGCCAGTTAATGCCAACGGATTGTAAGTGTCCTTGAGCCCTGACAACGTATGTTGAAGACTAGTACAGTCATCCTGGATGAAATCTGGCATAATTTAGTCATATTACATAGACATTCAATCCGTGACTCAGAATTTCCACTCTTGGATCTATATCCCAAAGATATTGTCACCTATAATGGAAACATTGGAGAATGTATATCCAGATTACCTGGCACTAAGAAGGTGAATAGATATGTGGTAAAAGGTCACCATCCAATGAATAGATATTAAAATCATTGTACTTGTGAAAAACAATAAGCAGAACCCACGTATTTCACAACATATTTATATAAACTAAAAATACCTTCACATTAGGCAATACATATTTTGCAGAATGCACACACAATGTGATAGACATTAAATGCATCAGAATTATTGTTGGATTGTAATGTACTAACGTTGATAATGTATTAAATGCTAATAAATATTTTAAATAATTCATAAATATATGCAATATGGTCATAATTCTGCCTTCAGATACAACTCCACCTTAAAAAGGACAAATGCAGTTGATACTTAAAGGTATTCTATCCTCCTTCCTTTAGTCGTTCCAGGCAGGTTGATTAGGGAAGACTGTATTGGTCTGGTTTTGCATTGCTATATAGAAACACCTGAGGCTGGGTAATTTATAGAGAAAAGAGGTTTCATTTGGCTCATGATTCTGCAGGCTGTACAGGAAGCATGGTGTTGCATCTGCTCCTGGTGAAGCCTCAGGAAGTCTCCAATCATGGTGGAAGGTGAAGGGGGAGTAGCCATGTTACATGGTAAAAGAAGGGGACAGAGAAAGACATAGTAGGTGTCACAGTCTTTCAAACATCCGGATCTCCTGTGAACTCAGAATGAGTAGTCACTCATCACCAAGGGGATGGCGCTAAGCCATTCATGAAGGATCCACCCCCATGATCTAACATTTCCCACCAGGTCCTACCACCAGCATTGGGAATCACATTTCAACATAAGAGTTGGAGGGTACAAACATGCAAACTATATCAAAGATGTTTTAATGTAAAATAAATTATCCCAGGGGAAAAAGAATCTGCTCCTTTTAAAATAATGGAGTTGGTCTTGGAAGAAAAACAAAAGGGAGTTTAGTGGAGAAAATCTAGCTTTCAATTAGTGAAAACAATGAGGCTCTATGGGAAGGACTAAGAATTTGGCCAAGGACTGTCTCTCCCCTTCTATCTTCCTCTAATCCTGCTATCACCTCCTCTTCTTATTTCCTTTTATATATTTCCACTCCATGATCACTTCATCAGAGACCTTTGAGAAAAACACAAGTGGCTAATCAACAAAAGAAAAGATGTTAAACCTCCAGGGGATTTATGGAAATGGTAATTAAAACCTAAATAATATTTCCTGAAAAGATTTAAATGGAGTGTGCTTTAGAAAGAAGGATAGATAGATATAGATTTGATCAGAATTTTAATTCATTATATAACTTTCCAGTTGCATCTCAAGATACAAATGATTAAGCATATAGATGTTAAAATATAAAACAAATGGTGTAACAACAACAAAACAGTATTTAGTTGTATTGAAATAGACTGTTATACTAATAGACTGAAAATACTATAGAAACAGCATTGCAATAGTATAACACCTAGTGATTTTAAAACAGGATACATAGCTTCCAAATCATGGATAATAGAAACTGGGGGAGAAACAAATAAAAACTCATCAATTCATTAGAGTCCAGTAAAAAAAA
Source organism: Homo sapiens (assembly GCF_000001405.40). Taxonomy (NCBI): domain Eukaryota; kingdom Metazoa; phylum Chordata; class Mammalia; order Primates; family Hominidae; genus Homo; species Homo sapiens. The sequence continues at coordinate 120,998,133 of NC_000008.11, read as the reverse complement.
AATAAGTTTCCGTGTTAAAATTAGAGGTATAAATGAACAAAATATTTGAACAGATAAATTACAAAAGAAGATGTACAAATGGCCAATAAGCACATGAGAAACTATTCAACATTATTCGTCATCAGAGAAATAAAATTTAACAAATAATTAAAAACTGCTATACACCATCCAGAATGGCCCCAAGTGAAAAGACTAACACTAATGCTGGCAAGGAAGTAGACAATCTGAACTCTCAAACATTGTTGGTGGGAGTGTCAAATTATACAGCCAATTTGGAAAAAATATCTGGCAGTTTTTCTGAAAACTTAACATGTACTTCCTCTATGACTTTAGGTATTAACTCCTAAATTTTTACCCAAGAGAAATGAAAGCATATGTCTACCAAAATTGTAACATATTTATCGATAACTTCCAAGAAATGGAAATAGCCTGTGTCCATTAATAAGAAAATAGGTAAATAAATTGTAGTACATTCAAACAATGAAGTGCTACTCTGCAACAATAAGAAATGAAGTATCAGCTAAATGTAATAAATTGGCTAAATCTTAGAAATGTTATGCATTTATGCAGCCAAAAGACACATGAAAAAATGCTCATCATCACTGGCCATCAGAGAAATGCAAATCAAAACCACAATGAGATACCATCTCACACCAGTTAGAATGGAGATCATTAAAAAGTCAGGAAACAACAGGTGCTGGAGAAGATGTGGAGAAATAGGAACACTTTTACACTGTTGGTGGGACTGTAAACTAGTTCAACCATTGTGGAAGTCAGTGTGGCAATTCCTCAGGGATCTAGAACTAGAAATACCATTTGACCCAGCCATCTCATTACTGGGTATATACCCAAAGGATTATAAATCATGCTGCTATAAACACACATGCACACGTGTGTTTATTGTGGCATTACTCACAATAGCAAATACTTGGAACCAAGCCAAATGTCCAATAATGATAGACTGGATTAAGAAAATGTGGCACATATACACCATGGAATACTATGCAGCCATAAAAAATGATGAGTTCATGTACTTTGTAGGGACATGGATGAAGCTGGAAACCATCATTCTCAGCAAACTGTCACAAGGACAAAAAACCAAACACCGCATGTTCTCACTCATAGGTGGGAATTGAACAATGAGAACACATGGACACAGGAAGGGGAACATCACATACTGGAGATATACCTAATGTTATCTCCTAACATTAGGAGATATACCTAATGTTAAATAACGAGTTAATGGGTGCAGCACACCAACATGGCACATGTATACGTACGTAACTAACCTGCACGTTGTGCACATGAACCCTAAAACTTAAAGTATTAAAAAAAAAAAAAAGAAATGTTATGCTGAGTGAAAGGAGCCTTAGGCAGGATTAAATACTAAATTATTCCATTCATATGAAGTTCTAAAACAGCAAAATAAAAACCTGTAATGAAAAAATTCAGAAATGATTGCCTCTTGAGTGACTGAAGGTTGGGCTTGGCTGTGAAAGGGCACAAAGGAGCTTTCTGGAATGATGGTCATGACTTGGTAGGCTTTGGGGGACAGTTACATGTTATATGTTGATCTTAATTCACCAAATAGCATCCTTAAGATTTGTGCACTTCACTGTATTTAAATCTTATGTCAAAAGAATAAAGAATGAAAACCAAAATTGAATTTATTTCAGGATTTGTATGCCGAAGTGCTTAGTGCTAATGTGTTGATGTCTCAAACTTACACTGGGGTGTGTTTTTAAAAATGGTAAATTGATATATGGAAAGAGGCATGGAGAGGTGAATAGATACATGATAAATCAAATACAGAAATAGGTTAAGATACAGGAGCTCAGGAGATATCTAGATTAAATACGGCAAAGTGTTAATCTGGTAGTAAGCACCGGAGGACGTCTCATGTTATTTTTTGTGTACTTGTATTTTCCTATATTCTTGAGTTATTTTATTATTACAAATATATGTGCTAAACCATGTATTACTTAAGTGCTGTACAAAAAAACCTGTATAAATATGGAGTCAGAGACCCTCTACAACCACTCTGCAGTCCCCATCCCTGGACATCCCAAGGTGAATATAGAAACTACAAAAATTCTATGGTGTTTTGGCTGTTAACTTTGTAGGTGTGTTGATAGGTTTGTATGCTTAATTAAATTGCATAAGATGGAGTAGCAAAAGTATAAACAAATCTATTCTTGAGTAGAAGCCACTATTATTCCTCAAGTGAATTTCCTCCCTCCCCTCTCAGAGGATTATACAGCCCCATTCATTATCATGTGACTTGCTCTGACCAAAGCATTTGAGCAGGCATGACATCTGCCACCTCCAAGGGAGAGTGTTGTGGGCTGAATGTGTTTCCCAAAATTTATATGATAAAGCCTTAACCTCCAGTACATCAGAATGTGACTGTATTTTGAGATAGGGCAATTAAAGAAGTGACAAAATTAAATGGAGACCATTAGAGGGTACCCCCACCTAATCTGGTTAGTGTCCTTAGGAGAGGAGGAAATCTGGACACACAAAGAGACATCAGGGATGAGCCTGGATAGAGGAAAGACTATGTGAGGATAGGGAGAAGGTGGCCATCAGCAAGCCAAGGGGAAAGTCCTCAGGAGGGACAACCCTGCTGACAACTTGATTTTGAACTGCTAGCCTCCAGAACTGTGAAGACAAGAACAAGAACTTGCATGTTCCATAACTCCTGGAAGGAGTTAAGTAACTCCAGTTGTTCTTTCAACCCGGAAGTGAAAGCTAGGTCACATCAGTTGCAAACAAGTAACATGAGAATAAATGCTTGTTGTCAGAAACCACACACACACACACACAGCAGGATGTATGTGACTATTCTTTTTGGCAGAATTTAAGTGGGGCCAAATTTTACAGATTTGACATTATGGCGCAGGAACAGTGATTTTGCAGCCCTGTCAGCTGCCTTGGTCATTGGTGAATTGCACTTTGCAATACAAAATAAAGCTTATTTTTTGGTGCCTTCCATAGGAGAGCAATTTGACTGGCTCTGTGATACAAAATGCTGCAAATGATATGTTGCCAAAAAGTTAAAGTTATTAAGCTTTTCTTTCGTCTCATCACAACCAAAATAAAGGCATCCTAGACTCAAAACAATAAGGAATTTTCTTCTTCTGCTCAGGCTGGAGTACAATGGCACAATCATGGTTCACTGTAATCTTGAACTCCTGGGCTCAAGTTATAATCCCATCTCAGCCTCTCCAGTAGCTAGGACTATATCATGCCCCGCTATTGTGGTTTTTTTTTTTTTTTTTTTTTTTGGTAGAGACAAGGTCTACTATGTTGCTCAAGCTGGTCTTGAACTCCTGGCATCAAGGGATCCTCCTGCCTCGGCCTCACAAAATGCTGGCATTACAGGCATGAGCCACTGTGCCCAGCTACGAATTTTCTTTTAAAAGTATTCATGAAAAGCTTGTTCTTTTAAAGTTTGATTTGAATGAACAAAATGTATTTTGGTGTTATGTTTTCTTCTAATCCCTTTTCTCCAATACTTGCTGGTTGTATTTTATAATAATGAATGTACATTTATATTTCAATGGACTGTTATAATTTTAACAAATAAAAAACTTTTTTTCCCTGCCCTTGAAGTCTTGAAGCCTGGGCCCAAGATGTATATCTTGGATGCTTTAGGGATGAGTTTGAAAGCTTTCCAACTCTTAATAATTTGAGACAGCTAAATTGATATTCTATTTTCACATGTGAATAATTTCTAAATATTCTTTTTGTTTAAAATATTCATATATTAAATTAAATAATTAAAAATTAAGTGAAGTTCTCAGGGGTTAAGTGTTTATCATTAAGAACACTAATAATTTTACAAAGATTAAAATTAAGATATAATCTCTATTATTTGGTTTTTATAATTTAAATTTTATATACATTTTTGATTCAAAAATAATAAATTTCACCATTTTTTCTAGCCAAAATACTCTCAATGTTCATATTAAATGACAGCTTTTATATTTTAAAAATATTTTAAAGTTCTTAATTATATTTAACATAGAATCAACATACTTTTAAAATCATCTTTAAAATCACAAATTTTTCAATATTGAATATACATTTTATTTCAGTGAACTTTTAACATTTCAGCAAGTAGAGCTCTTAAGATTTTTTTGCAAGTTGCATCTAGCTTGTTTTTTGACACTAAAACATTAAATAATCAGCTATTAATATTTAGAATACTCAGATATTGACAACAAATTCAAATGTCACTGTTGGTATGTCACCCAAATGCCGTAAGCACTCATGCTCCAGGGAAGGCCAACATAAAGTTTTCTGATGGGAGCCCTTGGTCTCTTCCCTTGAAAGCTTTCTCCAAGCATAGGAGCCTATTCAACCTGTGCACAACGTAGGCCAGAAAGGTTGAAATGTTAAGATACCCTCCACACCCTCAGAAAGTCCTCCATCAATAATTGATGGGTTTTGATGGACAAATACCTCAGCTACTCACATTTCAGCTGGGGTTACTCTGAGGTGTGGTCTACTCTATCCACCAGAGTTCTGCACTACAATTGAGATCTAGTTACCATAATAACAGATTCAATAATATACCTTTATTGGCTTTCTTCCCTTTCCTGTATCATTTCCCAACCACCAACTAGTGTTTCATAGACTCACCTCACAAATAACTCATACTCACATCCTTTTCTCAGGGTCAGCTTTGCGGGGAACCCATCCTAAGACTTGCATAATCATGTGATTGCACATACTTCGGGAATGCCAGAAATGGTATCGAAGAGGCCATTTGGCTCTTCAGGCTTTCAAAACCCAAGGACAAAGATAAAGTCCAATATCAGATTTTTACTGAATCACCAAGAACAAAACTGAACGAGAAAACCATGTGGTTATATGCTGTTCACAAAAGACATTCCAAACAGTATGACATGGAAAGATGGAAAGCAAACAGATTGAAAAAAATGTTCTAATAAAAAGTGGTTAAAAAAAAGACATGATAATATTAATAGAAATGACAAAGCTTCAGGTTAATCAGAGAATTTTTTTAAAAATTCACTAATGCTTTAATCCCTGAAGATGATACTGTAAGTCAAGAACTGATATATACTTAGTCATGAAGCATCTAAATATTTAAAACAAATGTTAAAATGATGAGTTCATGTCCTTTGTAGGGACATGGATGAAATTGGAAATCATCATTCTCAGTAAACTATCACAAGAACAAAAAACCAAACACCGCATATTCTCACTCATAGGTGGGAATTGAACAATGAGATCACATGGACACAGGAAGGGAAATATCACACTCTGGGGACTGTTGTGGGGTTGGGGGAGGGGGGAGGTATAGCATCGGGAGATATACCTAATGCTAGATGACGAGTTAGTGGGTGCAGCACACCAGCATGGCACATGTATACATATGTAACTAACCTGCACAATGTGCACATGTACCCTAAAACTTAAAGTATAATTAAAAAAAAAAAGAAAAAAGAAAACTAAAAGAAGCAGAGAAGAGAACATAGAGAAAATCAGCCTAACAGTTGTTTGTGGCAGTTTAGCACAGAGCAAAGCCAGTACTTTCAATGTCACAGAAATATATATATTAAAAATATTACGGGCCGGGCACAGTGGCTCACGCCTGTAATCCCAGCACTTTGGGAGGCTGAGGCAGGCAGATCACCTGAAGTCAGGAGATTGAGACCAGCCTGGCCAACGTGCTGAGACCCCGTCTCTACTTAAAATACAAAAATTAGCCTGGCACGGTGACAGGCACCTGTAGTCCCAACTACTCAGGAGGCTGAGACAGGAGAATCTTTTGAACCCAGGAGGTAAAGGTTGCAGTGAGCTGAGATCACGTCACTGCCCTTCAGCCTGGGCAACAGAGTGAGACCCTGTCTCAAAAATATATATATATATGTATATATATATATGTGTGTGTGTATATATATATATATATATATAAAACCAGCAGCAATGGAGTTTAGATATAGTAAAAAGATGCATTGGGTTATAGATATGGGGAATTCTCACAGCCCCACAGACAATGGGAATAGAAAAAATATTATGTAGAAATGGGCACTGCAATGAAGAGAATTTTAATATTCAGCGAATTTAATGTATTTAGCTTTCAATACATTAATATAATAAAGCAAAATTATTTGGGTCAATAGAAGAGGTGAAAATGATATTATTAGAGCATTAGAGCTTGATTCCTTTGAATATGTTGACTGTAACAATAAGTGCCATGATGAATCCTATATTTATCTTTAGTTAAGTGAAAGTCTGTTTAAAATGCTTTTATCCTTAATGTATGAGCAGATGTCATTTTATTTCCAATAAATGGTTGGTGGTCTACAGGAAAATAAATAAATAAATAAAATAAATAAATAAATAAATAAAAATATAATTTTAAAATGTTTCATATCTATAGTCAGATAAAGAAACTTAAACATTAGTTTCACATAAATGAATAAATCATGAAGAAAATCATAATAATATTAATAAGCTGGATTTAAGATATATATATATATATATATATATATATATATATATATATAATTCAACTAAGCCTAGATCTGTTTTTACTCAGACATAGTCAGAAAAAAATCAAATGTGAATTAGGCCACAAAAAGGTTTTAACAATTTCAAAAAGGCAGAAATTATGCTAGCCACATCTTCTAATCACTATATAATAAAAGTTAACAAAAGTAAAATATATACACAGTCATAAATTTTAAAATATCTTTCTAAGTATTTTTCATTAAAGAGAAAATAAATTGAAATTAAAACCACTTAGGCATATTCCAAAAATGGGATAATTCAAATAAAAAGTGCTGTAACACATGAAATTAGCCCTTAATAGTCTTGTTAGAACAAAATTAATTTTGAAGTAAAATATTCCAATACATGGAGCTGTAAAAAGTGTTTTTAATATGGAAAAATTAATACATATAAAGGAAATAATGCTATTTGTTAAAAAGGAACATATTCCACTGTGACAAAGTTATAGAAGTTTCCAGAAGACATTTAACCAAAATGTCTCCCAGGCCAAAAAATGCTCTCTTCACTATTTAGGTTTTTATAACTCATATTTCCAAACCATAAACCAGAAGCAATTTGTGAGTTTGGTAAGCTGCTATTTGGAATTCTTTCTTTCCCTTGTTAACACCCCACCAGCACCATCACCACCACCACCACCACCATCCTCCTCTAGGATACTAGCTAATGCCACATGCCTACTAAGCCTTGCTCAGATTAGCGGTAGGGTTGAAAAAGCCCTGACAAACTCACCCCTTTGAAAGCTACCAGCTTCAGGTCTACAAAGGTTGACCCTCCCATTTTAGTCTTAAAGTTTTAAACTTGTATCAATTGTCCATTACTACATAAGAAATCCCAAATTCAGTGACTTAAACTAACAATTTATTATTTATCACAATTCTGTTCTTTGACTGTGCAATTCTCCTCACTTCACCTGGCCCACTCATGCAGCTGAGTTACCTTCAGGAGAAGGGTCAGTGGGCTAGAAGTTTCACTTGTTGGCTGGGGTGACTTGATTTTCCTCCATGTGGCCTCCCATCATCCAGGAGGCTAGAATTAGTTTCCTTAAATGGCAGCCTTCGGGCAGAATTCCAAGACGACAAAAACATATGCTGCATGGCCTCTTGAAAACTAGGCTCTGGAACTAGCAACTGCCACTTCAGTCACATTCTATCGGTGAAGGCAAAACACCAAGCTAGCCCAGGTGGAAGAAGTAGGGTTATAGTTGTTATCTCTTAAAGGAAAGAGCTGCAAAAATAGTGTGGCCATTTTTTTCAATCTACCATAAACTCAACTGTCTTTGGAGCTGAAACCAGCTACATGCTCATCAATCCTATATCCACTTCCTGGACATTAAACAGAAGTACATTTCTGAGTCTCTTTGTAGGCAAGTTGAGTCCAAGTGGATGGATTCATGGCACTTCCAGGTGCAGCATTAAACTCCCTGGGCAGTACTCTGTGCTCTGTCTTCCACTGTGTCAGCAACAGTGATGGTATGAGTTGAAGATGGCACCAACACAAAATAGGAGAAACATGGGTCCCTGAGGCATTGATTTTAAAGTAAATCCATCTGATTTTCATTAGCCTTTGACATGAATGAGAAATAAACTCATAGTGCATTAAACCACTGAGATTCAAACACCGCAATTGAACATACCCTAATATAGCCTTTGAGGACTCAAAGGATGAACTCAAATAATGTAATGTAGGACATGGCAAAAAGCTGGTAGTAGAGAGTTTCTTGCTACTGTTTTTGTTGGGAATTGGGGGAAAAATTCACCTCATTTTATGCCATGTTAGCAGTCTTCCTTCTACTCACTAGCACATCTTCCCTATGATATTCATTAGTCTTTTAGGCTCTGTTAGTTCCAAAGAAAACATAAATGAGGAGACTTCCTACCGTGGAAGAAATTTGCTTGCACAGTAGATACATGTCTTATGATTCAATCCACAGCTAGACTACGCTATTCACAGGGAAGAGGTTAAGGCTAGGAGCAAATACAAACATTTAGGGATGGGGTCGGGGGGTGAGTTCATGACTAGCTTAGAAAAACACTACCTTTAGGATAGTGTCCAAAATTCATTTTCTTTCACTCTAATTATTTCTCATTCCTTAGATAAGTGCTTCTCTATTGGCACACTTGTAGAATTTCACCCCTGAAAGAACTTGCCAGCTTCCTAAAATGCTAGTTTTTCCTTTGTTTCAACTCAGCCATATGAAAAAAGATTAAGTGGGTCACTGGGAGATTTTTATCCATATTCTAGAGTAAGAACTCCTCCAAGTGTTTTAAAGATGTAAACCTGTTCCTTTTCATGTCTGGCAACAAGGCTGATGATGAGAAAAACCTTCCCAGACCAGGATGATCCATCCAAGATTTATTTATTTTTCCATAATCCCTCTGTTTATGTGTTCTCAAATGACTAACGAGGCCAATCTGGAACTGGCAGATTTTGCCACAATTTAGACAGATGGTTTCAGTATATGTGCATAAAGAAAGCAATGTTGAAAATGTGAAAATAAAGATATGTTTTGTACCATCCTGAGTTTTTCTAAGGGAACAAAGATAAAATGACAAGGGGACATGGAAAGCTCTCAGTGTTACTAAACCCTACAATATTATCCTCTTATCTTACAAACCTCTGGAGTAACTACTGAGAATCATTATATTAACATATAGATGATTTCTTTAGCCCAAACACTTGGGGAATTTTAAACATTCACTCTAGTCATTGCTTTAGCAAGCTTATTTAGGCAATATTGAGTGAACTGTTGCTGATAAAAACGTGCCCTCACTCTAAACCTGAGCTCTTCCTAGAACTGAAGCAAAATGAAATATTTCTGGTCAATTTTAAATATAAACAGGGTTGACCATTTTTCACGTCTTTGCACAGGTGACACATTTCTGAGTCTTCTAATCCATCTATCCAAATGTTAGTGTGGTCTCCTTTAGAAGGGAACGGTTTGAAGCCTTGATACATTTTCAATTTACTACATAGAGTTGAAAGCTATAAAAATACAATTCATTTCTTCACTCAGTCATTCATGTATTCTCATGTATTCATGTATTCTCAACTAATACACACTAAATATGTACTTTGTGTAAGACAAGGCAATCGCTGCTGAAAAATTCAAGCGTGAATACACCCATTGGCCCTGTTTTTAGAAAACTCAGATTTTAAAGAAATGTAAACAAATTATTGTGATACAGTATGGAAAATGTATAGTTCCTTAGAGAATAATTGCATTTTGTGCTGCTTATGGCTATGGTGGTAATAACAAGGAAGAAATGAAATGAAGGAAAGACAAAGTGTAATAGGTTACCCTGATACATATTACCCATATGCCTGTATCCAGATACAAGTACCGTTAATGATAATTTGCTAAGCATGTCAGCTGTTTGTGACAGTGGATGAGCCCACCCATACGCAGGGGTTGTCTATGGATCTTGGAAGTGAGCATAAGGAGCAGAAACCTCTAAATGTCTTTCAAGACTCTTTGATGCAGGATAGAAATAAGACTGAGAAAAGAAGGGCAATGAGCTGTGAGCCACAAGGTAGCCACCCATGCACTGCTGCAGTGAAACTCCAATGAGTCTCTGAATTTTAAATTTTAACTTGGATATTAAGGTCATTGTAAAGGTATATGTGATGGTTAATTTTATGTGTTCACTCGACTGATCAAAGGGACTCTCAGACAGTTGGTAAAACATTGTTTCTGGCTTTGTCTATGAGGGTATTTCCAGAAGCAATCAGCACTTGCATTGGTAAACTGAGCAATGAAGATCTTCCTTCATCAATACAGGTGAGCATTATCCAACCCACTGAGGACTGAAATAGAATGAAAAGGCAGATTTGCTGTCTTTACTTGAGCTGGAACATTCATCTTCTCTTCCCCTCAAACATCAGTGCTCCTGGTTCTAAGGCTTTCTGATTCAGACTGCAACTTACATCATTGACTCCCCTGGTTCTTAGGCCTTTGTCTTTGGACTGGAACTACACCACAGACCTTCCTGGGCTTCCAGCTTATAGTTAGCAGATTATGGGAGTTCTCAGTGTCCATAATCACGTGAGCCAATTCCTCATAAAAAAAACTCTCTCTTTCTCTCTCTCTCTCTCTCTGTATATATACACATGTATCCTATTGTTTCTGTTTCTCTGGAGAATCCTGACAAATACAGTACGTTTCTCAGGGTAAGAAGATAGAAAATATATTATTTAGTATGTTGTTTAGTAGATTTATAATTTGTAAATTCCATGCATTATAAAGATTTCTATTTATGTGAACTCCAACCCCAAACACAGACTGTGTATGTTTGGGAGCTTAGTCAGCAAAAAGTCACAGGCTTTTGCAGGCCACGCTTGCAGTTTCATTGGTAGTAATATTCCCTCAAAATCTCTGTAGGTATTTGACCTATTTTCATTCAGCTTAGTTCCTGTGTAAGTAATCACAGCCAAAGGTTTTCTTCCTGTCTGTTTTTTTCTCTCAATTATATCTATCTTGCAATAATTTGAAACAATGGGCTTATGTGGGAAGAAAACACTGTTAATCTGATCTTTGGCACTGAGTTCTCTCCCATTTTCTGAACAATAATAACACATGATGAGAGAGGGAGGCAATACAGACTTGAGACCCCACCTTCATAAAGTGTTTCATCAGCACTACCTCTAATAGCTAGCCTGACTTCAACTCTCTGATAGGGTTTTGCTAAATGTAGAAAAAAAAGAAAAGAAGCTAGCTCACATCAACAGTGTAACTTTTTCCAAGCATGGCTAGATATGGTCTGCCTTTCTAAAGCATTTCAGATGAGAGTTTATCAAATGTCTTATTCAAGTATAACAGGGATCTCTGGCTTTCAAGCCTAAAATGTGTGTGTCTTACCCCTTACAAACAAATGCTAAGACAATGGCATGTGTTTTCCATACCTGTTAGGACAGTAGTGGTCCAACTCTAAGAGACAAACTCTGTATTAATTGTAGAAAACAAAATCAGTGCATAAGACCCAAAATACAATGCTTAAGCAAGAGACAAATTTATTTCTTACATAGCAGTTCAAGATTTTGAGAGCAGCTTTGACATTTTCAATGTGGAACTTTCAACTCTAGGTCTAAAGGTGACGGCTCCCCTTCTCATTTCCCAAGTGGTAGAAACAAGGGAAGGGGCAAGAGGAGCAATGATGCATTCATTTTTTTATGAAATACAGAAATAGCACACATATTTTCTATTTCCATCCAATAGGACAGAATTTATTCACATGGCAACACCAAGCTGCAAGAGTAGCTGGAAAATGAGTTCCTGTGTAGCCATGCATAGAGCTAAAGCTTGGGCATTTTAATACTTAAGAAGAAGGACTTGATATTGATAGACAATCAATAGTCTCTACTATAATTACTGATAAGGTCAGAATAGAATAAGTAGAGAGAGAAGGAGTGGAATAAGAAACTCACAGACAGATGCAGGATAAAAGATTAGGTAGGAACCTTATCCTGAGCTGATTTTAAGTTTGATACCCTGAAGATGTTAGTTCCTTAGAAAGAGCTCACTGTAGGCTGAGTCCACCTTTCGTCTTTTAAGAGGATACTTCTCAAAATTATACAGAAGCTCATCTGCTACTAACTGAAACTGCTAGGTCTCAGTTAGTCTCATTCTCCATTGTTTTGTTATACACACTCACCATAAACAAAGAGGATTTGCTGTATGTGCATTAGCAGCTCAGAAAAACTCAGAGGATGGGGGAAACCTCACATGCTCTGAAGCAGTTTTACAAGAGAAGCAGCAGCTTAGGTAAATGCAAAAGGAATAAAGAAGGACAGAGGAAGAGAGCCAGGCTTCTGTGAGGATTGATCAGAGAAGTTGTCTCTCTCTGCTACTCGGACTTCGCAGGTCTACACAACTTCAGAGAGAATGACTTGGAGCCAAGTAGATTAGAAGGATTAGTGTCCACAATACAAATCCCAGGTTGAACTTGAACTGTTTACTTAACAGCTCAGTTCCTCAGCGTCCTCATCTATAAAATGCGGATAACGCTTACCTCATGAGTTATTTTGAAGATTTCAGTGACAGGGTGTATATAAAATGCTAAGGCATTGTGCCTTATACATACATTTTAAAGATGTTTTCTAAAAACATGTATCTTGGTGCTCTTATTAAATCATAATGGGCAAAGGATGGGAAATATATTGTTATTCAAAGTAATATTCTTCACTGCCTCTAACATTGTTCCTGGGAACACAGCAGTTGTTCATTCAATAAATGAAGGAAAAAAGTGAATGAAAACACTGAGATCCATTAAACTAACCAAACTACCCCAGCTTTCACCAGCCTCTCAAATTTCTTAAGTAGTGGCTCAAAAATGAAGAATTTATGTTAGAAATGTGAGCCAAAGCACATAATTTTATCTGAACAAAAAAAGTCAAAACCTCTTATTAATTTACAGTGAGGCCATAACATCAGCCTGGGAAAGCCAAAAAGACAGCAGCCTAGAAATGTTCTAGAACATACACGCACACACAAAAATCTCTTAGCTTCTTATTAGCTAAGAAAATGGAGCCATCTACAGGCCAAATCTATCTACCATCAAACAAAACTCATTTCTTGAATTAGTCATCATAGAACAAGACTTTTACTTCTTATTGTTCTTATGCTTGTTTCTCGTTTAATCTTATTCTCCTACTTCCAAATCTGTGACCCTAATTCGGGAGTATGTCCAGAGTATGAACAGTGTTTGCTACTCCCACCACCACCTCGTGCCGCCATCTTTTCTCCCTAGACCAATGCAATAATTTGACTAGTTGCCTCCTTCTGCCTTTGACCCATTACAGTCTATGTTCAACAGCAGCAAAGAATTCTTTCAAATGTAAATCACCTAAATATCTGTCCATTCAATTTAAAAATTAATGAGCCATACACCTTTTAACTATTGATGCTAAAGTCATAACAAAGACATTGTGCCTCTTTATGAAGAAAACGGAAAAGCGTATGAAAAAAATTAATAACTGCTATATTAAAGGTAAGAGCAAAAGATGAGAAACAATGCAACTAGCTCCCTTAAAATGAGATAGCATTTAGGCTGAATTTTAAAAGATAAGTAGAATGACATCTTTGTTTTTTCAGTAAAATAAGAATACTAAGAAAAATGCAATCACTGGCGGACTACCTGCCTATCAGGCACAGTGCTAAGTGCTTTAATGCAGGACCTCACTTAATCCTTATAACCACCAAAATTGGCAGAAATTTTATCCTATTGTGCAGAGGCAGAAACTGAGACGTATAGAGGTTAGATAATTTGCTGAGCAATATATACCTAGTCGGCAGTGGATTTGAGAGCTGAACTCAGCTGGTCTGTTACGGGAAACTGACCTCTTAAGGACTAGGCAATATTTCTTCTATGAAAGGTAGAAACAGAAATCCAGAGACAGAGCTATTGCAATAGCAGGAGGATTCTTAATCATCTATTCACAGGCTTTTCATTGGAATCCTGAAACTTTAAAGTGGCCATGATTATTTAAGAGAGAGAGATATGCCAATCCCTGCCTCAACATAGATTTCTGACATTGCAAACACACACACATGCACACACACTCACATGTACACACAAACAGAGATAACAATGCTTCATGAGACTATGCAATTAAGAGGCTATAACAAGAATATGAGCCCCATATGGGCAGGCCAGGCACTAGGTCTTGGCACCATTATGTCTCCAGTACACCACGTGTGGGCATATAGTGGATACTCAATATATGAACAGATGATCTGAGACTCTGACTGCATTTTAAATATCCTGTTAACAATTCGAAGATAAAAAGTACCATTAGCGGACAGATTGTACAACAGATTGTACATGATGCCAAACAGTTGATGCTTTTGTTTTCAGCTATATGAATCTTAAACAGGCAATTGAGCAAGGAGTTGCATTTGGCTAAGTCAAGTTATAGTTTGGGTTTGTCTTGCTTAAGTCTAGTTTTATAACCACACCTATTACCAATTCCAGTTAGAGATGCTTTGCTGATAATTATTTAGATAGGGCTTCTTCACCCAGAGAGCCAGTGGGCGTCCACATCTGAAGCATAGCACAGTGACTTCAGAAGACATTGAGTTCCTAAAGGTTATGGTGAAGAGAACAAACACCTGGAAATAGGGACATCACAGGGTTCACGAAGGTGAGAGCACTGGGCCCATATATTTATCAGGGATCCTTCAGTTTCAAGCGATGGAAATCTTTCTCAAAATGGAGGAAACAATGATTAGCTCCTGTAATTGGTATGTTCAATAAAGGGGCATGGCTTTAGAAATCACTAGACCTACAGCCTCAAAAAATGTCATTAAAACATTGCCTGTCTCTCCAGCTCCTGCCTCCGCACTCTGTGTATTTGGCTGCGTTCTCAGGTTCTCATTTAGAGTCAGCAAAAATGATTTCCAGCAGCTTCAAATTTACATGCTACCTGCTTAGCGAGACTGGTGGATAGTAATGCCACTTTTCCAGTAATTCATAAAGCCTTGGATGTCCTCTGATTGGTGCAGCTTGTGTAACTTGTCCATCCCGGTGCCAATCACTGTGGCCAATCAAAATCATACATCTCTCTGATTGGTTAGAACTGGGACACATAACTATGGTTGGAATCCAAAGATGGGATTTTCTCTGCCCAGATGATATAGACCAAGACTGGAAGAGGACCGATTCCCTATATAAAATTTGAGGTTTCTTTTACAATAAGAAATGCTAAAGATAAGTAATAATAGTAAAGTGGATAGGAAAAACAGAAGCTGAAAATATGGGAAAGCATCTTGAATGTGACCTGGCCAGGACTGACCCTTGACCGAATCGGTTTGGGGGTGGGAAATGCGAGTGAAAAGGGGACATTAAATCTGTTAGACCACAGAACAGTCACTAAGTATCGCATTATGGAGGAAGTTTTGCCAAGTGGTAACTGGACAGTTCACCAGTTGAGCTGAGAAAGGACAGCATTAATACACTTATTCATTGTAGGTGATTGAATGAATACATACATGTATGAAATGAATGAAAGGATAAACAAATGAAGAACAACTTTCTAAGACAGGCATTATTTATCCCATTTTACAATGAAATAAAATGAAGTCCAGAAGCTGAATAGTAAAGTTCTTATAATGTCAGCAACCCGTTATTTTAGCTTAAGGGCTCAACTTTTGGGTATCCATTCCCATGTGCTCTGAAAATTAAGTACATTAAAATGAGGCTTAGTATTGTGAATCAGTTTTAATCCTAAAATTTAAAACTGTGAAAGAGACTTTCATAATTAAAAGAGCTTAAATCTGAACTCTTTTACTAGCCAAGAGTCATAAGGTAAGTTATTTAATCCTTTTTAGCCTCCACTTCTTCATTATAAAACAGTGATAACACATCCTTTATGGCAAATATTAAATAAAATAACCTATGTGAGAAGCACCTAAATAACATATTTAAAATTAAATTTGAAATTTAACTAATTAAATTTATGAGTTTTTTTTAAAATAAAATAGAAACTAAGATCCATTCTTTAAGACAAAATGAAACAACATCAAAAAAAAAAAAACACAACACACACAACTTATTCTGTCTTTCCCCCAAGCACAATTCCAAATCACCCCATGCTGTTACTTAAGTTAATATAATTATGTACTAGGAAAGAAAGAGGCATTTACTAAGCATATAATGCCTAAAAATATGGGCCCAGCTAACTCATTGGATCCTGAAAGCAATTTAGGTTTGGTTTTACACCATCTGCAACCTCTCAGACTTCAGAAGCTTTGAATCAGTACTGCACCACCTTGCCATATATCGGGCACAAATATAAAAAGGAAAAGAAAAATCAAGCCATAACTCTGGACTCCATCCA
Organism: Homo sapiens; assembly: GCF_000001405.40. Taxonomy (NCBI): domain Eukaryota; kingdom Metazoa; phylum Chordata; class Mammalia; order Primates; family Hominidae; genus Homo; species Homo sapiens. The sequence goes on along the minus strand of NC_000008.11, from coordinate 120,981,756 downwards.
GGAAACTTTATCTTGAGGTTAAAGTTTTATAAAATGTCTCTCTTCTGAAAATTAATGGAGTAATCATACCCTTGCCCATGTCAGACCTCTACAGTCTCTTCGATGTTTTCGTGTTCTAATGGAAACTCTTTAACCCCAAGTCCTGACCCCTCTAACCCTTGTGATGTTCTCCCCTGGTGGCCTCAAAAATATGGCTTCCCTTTCTCCAGTTTAATCAAACACTTTCATCCCTTCCCTTTTATTTCTATCACCAATCAGTAGCCACAGATGTGTCTCATGAGTTCTTACTATCCAGCATATAAAACAGGACAAAGGAAAACTACCATAAAGGGAAATAGTGATAAACTGAACTTTACTAAAGTTAAGATCCAAAGATATCACTGAGGGAGTGAAAAAGCTGTGAGAATACGTTTATAATAAATAAATCTGACAAAGAACTTGTATTTAAATTTTTTTAAATCTACATCAAAAATAAAGGACAATACAATTTTTTCAAGTAGGTGAAAGACTTAGTTCACAAAAGAAGGATACTTAGCTAAAAATAAGCATAGAAAAGTTGATCAACGCGATGAGGTATTGGAAAACTGCTCATTAAAACCACAGTGATGAAATATTTATATATCCATTAAAATGACTAAAATTTTAAAAATAACAATTGAATGGATCAGTGTTAGAGAGTATGTAGAGAACTAGAGTCCTCTTATTTTGCTGGTGGTCCAGTAAATTGGTACAACTACTTCAGAAACTATTAGATGCTTTCTACTAAAACTGAATAGATATGTATCCAATGACCCAGCAATTCCTCTCCTGATACATTCCCAAAAGAAATGCATAAGTGTACAGATTTGTGCAAAAGAGATATTCAAGAATGCTTAAAGCAGTATTATGGTGAATAACCAAAAATGAGAATTGACCCAAAAGTCCATAAACAGTGGAAAATAACATTGTGGTAATATATTCACACAATGGGATACAATACTGCAATAAAAGGAAGAAACAACTGCTCTATGCAATGGTATAAATGAATTTCAAAAACATGATGTTGAGCAAAAAACACAAATTCTATGATTCCTTTCATGTAAAATTCAGAAAGACAAAACTAGCCTAGGGTAACAGAAGCCAGGATATGGTTATCTTTGGCACAGGTAGGAAGGGCTGAAGGAGGCAGGGATGATTCTGTACTATTGACAGTGTTCTCTATTTTTATCTGGATGGGGTTACACAAATGTGTTCACTCTGTAAAGTTCATTAAGTTTTAAACTTAAGGTTTGTTCACTTTACCAAATGTAGTTTGTATATCAATTTAAAAATATACAAGGAAGTCCATATCCTTCTTCATATTTCTAATTAGAACTTCTGAATTCCATACAACCAAATCTGTGGCTTTAGGGTAAACTTGGAAATATGACTGGAATGCAACCATCCACACAGAGCATTCCCATTCTCCATATGCACAAGGCTACCTTTTTTCATTTTTCAATTGAGCATTCTCTGAGTGATGGTTTGTGGGTACCATCACGGACAGAAATGAAAAGCAAGAGGTGAGTTCCTAAAACACTCATAAAATAGGAAATATGCATAGACTACTAAACATAAAACAATGTGCTTTAAGTGCATTATTTAATTTAATCTTCACAATAAACATTTGAAATACATACCATTATTATCCCTATTTTAGAGGTAAGAAAACGAAGGGCCAGAAATGTTTAGTCTCTTGTCAAGGTTTACACTGCTGACAAGTGGCTAGAGTCAAGATTTAAACCCAAATATGTCAATTTACCATGTCAACTCCAGGGACTACGTTATTAAACACTAGCTTACCCTGCCCTCAATAAAACTGAGGATGTGGGAAATATATTCTCTCTTCCCTGTCTGCCCAAGGAAGAACTTTGTAGTAAGGAAATAGGTGGAAAGTCATGCAGACATTTCATTTTCAGAGCTCCATTCTGGCCAGGAACGCTTAGTCCTCTATCTGGGCATGCCCTCTCTATGGAAAGCATTTGTCCAACATGGAATGGAAAGACAGCATGCAGCCTTTAGAGTCTGAAAGATTTCAGAGCTCTTCCTCTTGTGTGCTCTTGGACAAATCCATTTCCCCATCTATCAAATGATGAAGATGGATCTTTTTCATAAAGTTATTCAGTGAATTAAAATGGAAAATGTCTATTGTCTTAAACTGATGCATTGGGAAGTTTTATGTTTTGCTTTTTAAAAAATTTAATTATATTTTATGTTATTTATTTATTTATTTTTGAGGTAGAGTTTTACTCTGTCACCCAGGCTGGAGTGCAATGGCGCAGTCTTGGCTCACTGTAACCTCTGCTTCCTGGGTTCAAGTAATTTTCCTGCCTCAACCTCCCAAGTAGCTGGGATTACAGATGCCTGCCACCACACCTAGCTAATTTTTGTATTTTTAGTAGAGATAGGGTTTCACCATGTTGGTCAGGCTGGTCTCAAACTCCTGAACTCAGTGATCCATCTGCCTTGGCTTCCCAAAGTGCTGGGATTACAGGTGTGAGCCACTGCACCTGTCCTATTTTATGTTTTAGAGATAGTGTCTGATCTCTGTCACCCAGGCTGGAGTGCAGTGGCATGATCATAGCTCACTGTAACCTCAAACTCCTGGGCTCAAGCAGTCCTCCAGCCTCAGCCTCCCGAGCAGCTAGGACTACAGGCATATGACACCACGCCAAGCTAATTTTCTTATTTTTTGTAGAGACCAGGTCTTGCTCTGTTGCCCATGCTGGTCTTGAACTCCTGGCCTCAAGCAATCCTCCCATCTTGGCCTCCCGAAGTGCTGAGATTACACCTGTGAGCCACTGCACTGGGCCATGCTTTTGTTTTTTAACCACAGTGGAGCATAACCTATGTTGTCCGACATATATTCCTTTGAGATGTCTCTTAACCCTCACAATAGTCCTGGGATGTATTTCAGAGAGGTGATTAACTTACAGATTAACAGTGTTTAAATTAAAGTTTCTCAAACCCTCATCCGCTGCACAAAACTGCTCTAAATTCCTTTCCTCGTTCCTCCTTATGTGACCTTGCCTAAACCATTTGGAAGAACACTCAAGTATTTTGTTTCCTTTTAAATTTCGAATGCATACTAAATTTAAAAGGAGAAAGCAGCTACATTCCTGCTTCCTTCCTTCTGGATCTCATCCTGATCCTTCTCAATAATTCATAGCTAAATAATTATAGTTACCACTTAAGCATCACCTTATTGGTGACACATCTTAATATGCAATCATTTTTGCCCAAAACCTTTCTGTTCCTTTTATTACCCTCTTCACAATTTGCCGTCATTACCCACCCAATTTTACAAATTGGTAACCTCAGAGTCAACTATGGTTCTTTACTTCCCTTCAACCCATAAAGTCACTGTTTCAAGACAGATTCTGAGTTTAGCCCACTGTCTCAAAACCTTCCTACTGCAGGTAGTTCTTGCAATCTGGATTTTTAGCCATTCAGTTGCGTGTGGCATCTTCTCACCTAGTCCCTCTGTTTCCTTCTCTCCTCTCTCCTCTCATCTCCACTACCTTTAAAAGAAAATCCAAACTTCTTAAATGGCCAATAAGGCCTGTCACTCTCTAGACCTACCTTTCCAAGTGCCTCACATCTCTTTTCACACCCTATACTTCTGCTGCTGTGACATTATCTCCATTCATTTCGTGATTCTTTGTGCAAGCTGGGGTTTTTTGTTGTTATTATTCTCCTCCCAACCCTACCCATCTGACAATCTCCTACACATCCTTCAAAATGCTGTTAAATGTAACTTCCTATGAGAAAGCTTTTTTCCCCATTCCCTGCAGCCCAACTGGTTAATTTCTACTGAGTTCCCACAGCACTTAAGATATTAAATTGTGATATCTATTACTAATAAATCAAATTGCTGATTTCTGATTGCTGCCACTTCTCAAGAGTAAAAGTTGCCTCATCTTTTTCTGTGTATTCCCAGCGCTCAGCACTATACCTGGCATATACAGCTGTTGTGGGGATTAGAAAAGATATTAGAAAGAAGATACAAAATGAATAAATGAATGGAGTTTTTAGAAATCCAACCCAAAGTATTGCATTTGAGGGGATAAGCTGCAATATACAAACGTAAAAGCTGCAAAGGAGAATGAGAATCTGATCTGGAGAAAGAACATTGAACTGAGATTCCATATACCTGGGATATTGCTCCATCCATGGCACTCACTAGCCACAAGGCTCTAAAGGTGTAATTTTACCCGTCAGCACTTTTAGACTTAATGATCTGTGACAACAGATCTTACTCTAAGATACTATAAACCTTGACAGAAAACAAAAGCTAACCAGTGACCTAAGTCTTTCTCTGTGTATTGAATGAGTTAATTCAGATGCTAGTGAAGTTTTATCATATACATATATCTTTCCTAACTGAGGCTGGGAGGAACTAGCCCCAGTAATTCTAAGCAACAGTTTTAAAGACATAAGAAAAAAGAATATTGGCTCAGAAACAAAATACAAAGGACACTCTCTGGTTGTGAAATAAGCCACATGAAGTAAGAGGAAATGCTTTTTTTATGAGAAGATCCAAGCTAACCTCTTCAAAAAAAAAAAAAAAAAAAAAAAAAAAAAAAAAAAAAACTATCATTATATCCAGACAAATTAAAAGTCCATTCCAATGCAAAGCAGTTTCATTTAAGGCAAGTCAAATAGTGCAAAGGTCTTGCTGAGTTGGACCTAGAAGCTCCACACTTAAAATAGAGAGGCATTTTAACTTTTCATGTATGGTTTTACTCTTGCCAGTTACCAATTTTTTGTTAATTGCCTTTGGTTGTCCTTCCTGCCCGATGCTGGAAAATTTTCTTGGAATGGAAGAACAGTGGTGCTGGAGGTAAGAATCTTGTCTGTGCTGTCAGTGTTAGGGACAGCCAGGAACAATACAAGTCAAATTTCATGTGAATGCAGGAACCACCGTCAGGCTGGCTTCGCCAAGACCAGAATGTAATCTGGGGAACACACATTTTGCTTGGCAACATCTCTTATAACCACGTAAACTGTTTGTATCTTCAGTGGCCCAAGCTCGTTAACTCATACTCTACTATCCACTGTTAGCATGACTCAGTTATATCCCATGCCCTTTTTCTGTGTGATTTTCAAATCCTGCAAACCAGTATGTTGTCTCATATCCCTGGATCAGATATTTTCAAGAGAGAGTATCAGAACACACCACTGTTGTGTAAATCAGAGCATTGATACAAGGCTACCAAGTAGGTTGCTGGCCAGCCTACAGATTGCTCACACTTAGTTAGGGCTCCACCCTGGTTCTATCATCTTTGGCCAGAGTAGAATGGTCAAATGAATCAACGTTGATATTTACAAAAGAAATCCCTTGGAAGAATATTTTGGGTGAGGCCAGCACTTGGAGATTAGGCCTGTCCGGGACAGAATCACAAGGCCCATTATGATAACTGGGGTAACTTTCCTTATTTTTAAACTGAAAGAAGCCACAGCAACTCCAGATACCTCTGAACATATCTTCAGTATCAGCAGTCACTTGAATGACCCACTTTGTTGTATTGACATAAGGCCACTTTTCAATGAGCTTTCTGCATCAGTCAGCTGTGTTGCTTAAGTTTCTGTTATTAGTTGGCTAAGTTATGCTGTAGTAACAATGGTCCCCACAATCTTAGTGGCTTACAAAGAGTTACTGCTCTCTCATGTGTGTCCATTGTGATTGATTCTGGTTCTGCTCCACATTGTCTCTACCTTGGGACCTACGCTGGCTAAAAAGTCTCTGTCTCTGAAGGGTGACTATACATCTCAGTTTATCCAACACTGTCCTAGTTTATGCCTATTGTTCCAGAGCAATTATTAATAAATAGCATATATTTTCACTCAGTAGTGTAATCTCTTGTTTTAAACATTCCTAGTTTAGACGATAAACCATATGTCATCTTTTCTATGAGATGTCAGTGATTTCATGGCAAAGAAGAAAGAAATGGCAAAAACACAAACTGGCTGTTAGAAGTCTCTGCTCAAAAATGATTCAAATCACTTCTGCCCACATTTCATTGGCTAAACCAAGTCAAATATGTACTTCTGAGTCCAGTGGAGTAAGAAAGTATAATTGCTCCACAGAGTGGCAGCAAATATTCTGAACCAAATACAACCTACTACACACCAAATGACAGCAAACTTAAAGAGAAAATAAAGTGATGTAAGTGGTTTGCCCAAACTGTGTATGCAAAATAGGTGAAGAGGTAGAGTTAGAGGCACTGTAATTCAGGGGCTTTATACAATGTTATTCAGTCTTGTCCAAGGCTTTCAATTTATTAAATGCAGAAAAACCCTGAATCCTAAGGAGGGGAAGTAACTTGCCCAAGATTTTAAAAGTCCATGGACCAGTCCATGACCTATTAATATGGGAGTTTCAGAGTATGATGGAAGGAAAAGAAGTTAAGTGATAGTGTCATCCTATATGTCTAAATATGAAGCAATCCCAAGTTACTCAATTTGCATAGCATTAAGATAGTTGTTAAAAACGGTGTGGTACACACATAGTAAATGAGAGAGTGCCCATAGCATGAGAAACATTGTAAGAACTTGAACATAATGCAATAAATGGGTTATTCTTTTATGAAAAATAATTTCAGAGAAAGTCCTCAGCTTATATTCAGACATTTATGGCACATGAGTCTTACCTCCTACTTGGCACTAGGTAACCTGACAACCTCCCTGCGCTTCAGGGCCCAGCTGCTGTGGTTCTCAACCCTGATGCCTGGTTGCCATCCCCAAAGATTCTGATCCAGTTTTTGGGAGAAGAGGTGTAGGGAATCAGTATTATGTAAAAAGCTCCCGGGTTATTCTAATTTATATCCAGGATTGAAAACCACTAATGTAGGATTTTTTATAGTAGCCCATGGACCATAATAAGACTCATAATAATAAGAGAACTTATTTTTGGTCTAGGCACTCTTATAAGGAGATTCAAATGTCATATTTTAAGAATGGAATACTGTGTCACCCCAAATATATATGTTGAATTCTTAACCCCCAATGTGATAGTATTTCAAGATGAGGCCTTAAGTTATTAGGATTACATGAGGTCAGCGGGGTAGGATCTTCATGTTGAGATAATTGGCCTTATAAGGAGAAATTTCAGAGACCTAGCATTCTCTTTTTTTTCTTTTTGGAGACAGGGTCTCACTCTCTCTCTCAGACTAGAGTGCAGTGGTGTGATCTCGGCTCACTGCAACCTCCACCTCCCAGGTTCAAATGATTCACCTGCTTCAGCCTTCCAAGTATCTGGGATTACAGGTGCACGCCACTACCACCCAGCTAAGTTTTTTATTTTTAGTACCTACAGGGTTTCACCGTGTTGGCCAGGCTGGTCTTGAACTCCTGACCTTAAATGATCCACCTGCCTCAGCCTCCCAAAGTGCTGGAATTACAGGTGTGAGCCACCACACCTGGCCCATTCTCCTTTTTTCCCTCCCTCTCTCTCCTCCCCTTCCACTTTTATCTCCCTCTCCCCTTTCTTCTCTTTCAGTCCCCCTCCTTCCTTTTTCTGTCTCCTTTCCCTTCCCTTCATACACATACATAAAGAAGTCACATGACATCTGAGCACACAGTGAAAGGGCAGCCACCTACAAACCAAGAGAAGAGGGCTCAGAATAAAGCCCACCTTGCCAGCACTTTGATCTTGGACTTCGCAGCCTCCAGAACTGTAAGAAACATTTCTGTTGTTTAAGCCACACAGTCTATGGTGTTTTATTATGGCAGTCTGAGCAGACTAATACACCATTTTTCTTCAGAATGACCTGGGTCCTATTTATCACTGCAAGCACCTCCACCCCCAAACACACACACACACACACACACACACACACACACACACACACACACCTGGTTGGTTTGTTTCATTTGTTTGCTTGTGATGCATTTTTCTATGCAAGGTAACAATTTAACATATAAACTAGGCATTTTTGAAATTAAGAGGGAATACTATTTCTTCCAAAGAGAGGAAAGAGTCTTTGGTGTTTCTAGTTTGAAGATTCAATGTCTTTCTAATGAGTGCAAGGCTAGAGGTTAAGAAACATTTGGTCTAGTGCTGGTTCTGCTACATAACTGGCCATTGAACATTGGGTGGATCACTTTACCTCCCTGGATATCACTTTCTGTATTATAAAGGAGAGAATCAAACAGATGTTTTTATAAGGTCCTTTTTTCCAGTTTAGGAATCACACAACCATCCATAAGGCAGTAGTTCTAGCCCACTTTTTTAAATGAATTAAGCTTCCTAAAAATGCCAAGATCCATGACTCTTCTCTCCAACTACAAACAAATTGGTTTAATTGGCCCAGGGCAGGTAAGGCCACTTTAATGGTATTTTTAAAAAAGCTATCCAGGGTATTCAAATAATCAGCCAATATTTAAAAGTATTGAGCTACTTTACAAGTTTTTGCCAATAAGGATACAGACTCAGGTGAAGTCATTTGTCCAAAATCACATAGCTTGTAAGTGACAAAGCCAGGACACAAACCTTGGTTGTCTAGCTACAAAACTCCTTCCACTACAGATGGTACAGGAGCTCTTGGAGCTGCCTGAGCCTCCTGAAAGAGCTTTTGCTTCTCATATTTGAAAGTTGACTTGGCTGAGTAATCAGTCACACTCATCTGTCAGCTGCTATAGGCATAAGAGGATGAAACTGTGGTTATTGTAGAATGAAAGAAGGGACCATTCTTCCATTTATATCCAGTAGAATATACTGGTTCTCCATATCTGGGTGTTAAAAAGGAGAATATGATGCACAGAGACTAATTGTGGATTACAAATATGAATGTTTGTAGATTTCTCCGGCTTTCATTTCCACATAGAACTATTTTCTGGTATACTACTACATTGGCATTTGATTAATGTTACATTTTTGGCTTGTTCTTCAGTTGTAGCAACACACAGATTTCTGTCTACATGTACTATTCACTGTCATCTGAACTTCCCACTCAATGCAGCTGATAATTACATGTTCTGGAAGCTGTGTGTCACAACCAATTAACTTGACAGGCTCCACTGATTTGGGTAAAAATGGAGGCTGTACAAATCTGTTTTGTGGTATCTCAGTATAGAGAAGCAATTAAGTGAAAGGAATACAATAAAATAACACTGACTTAAACCTAGGCACATGAGAAGTGATTAGAAAGATTGAGCTTTGGAGCCAAAGAGACTGAAGTTCAAATCCCAATTCTGCCACTTACTAGTTGAATGGTCTTGCTAAGTTACTTAGCCTTACTTACATTTTTAACTGTATATCTACCAAAAAGTACGCCTAAAATACGTATTCTTATTTAATATTAGGTTGCTACACCAACCTAAATTACTTTTGCACTAACCTAATAAAATAATAATTTAAAAAGAAATAGGCCACAGTGGCTCACACCTGTAATCCCAGCACTCTGGGAGGCCAAGGCAGGCAGATCACTTGCCATCAGGAGTTTGAGACCATTCTGGCCAACACAGTGAAACCCTGTCTCTACTAAAAATACAAAAAAAAAAAAAAAAAAAAAAAAGGAAAGAAAAAAAATGAGCCAGGCATGGTCTTGCACTCCTGTAGTCCCAGCTGCTCAGGAGTGCAAGACCCAAGGCTGCATTTGGTCCTTGGTCTATATTTTGCTGACCCCTGCTTTAGAGAAATTGACAACTTTATACTGAGAGAAATTTTGCAGAAATGCTTCTCTTAACATTATTCGTAATACCAAGCATCTTAAATGGTCATTGTTCATAGAATGAGACTGCATATGTTGTTTTATAGTCAGTGAAATACTATATAGCATTGAAAATTAATGATCTCTAACTGCATACATCAATATTAACTGATTGTAGACACAATGAAAAGCAAATAGAGCAAGGCACAGAAGACAGATACGTAACATGATCCTAAAGTTCAGAACAGGGATACATATATTTAGGGATACATATACAGGTGGTGAAACTGAAAAGAGGAACTACAGAGGAAAGGAAGGGGACAATTAAAAGAGGCATGGAGTTATCATTGGGGAGAAAATGGATATGAAAATGGATAAAGTTCTGGGACTTTAAGAGTACTACATGTCAATTCTATTTCTGAAGCTGATCTGATGAGCATAATGATGCTTATTTTATTTTGTTTTATTTTTTGAGACAGAGTCTCGATCTCTCACCCAGGCTGGAGTGCAGTGGTGCAATTTCGGGTCACTGCAACTTCTGCTTCCTGGGTTCAAGTGATTCTCACGTCTCAGCCTCCCACGTAGCTGGGATCACAGGCATGTGCCAAAACGCCTGTCTAATTTTGTATTTTTAGTAGAGATGAGGTTTAACCATGTTGGCCAGGCTGGTCTCCAACTCCTGACCTCAGGTGATCCACCTGCCTTGGCCTCCCAAAGTGCTGGAATTACAGGCGTGAGCCACCACGCCCGGCGGGAGGTGATCCTTTCTAGAAACAATCCCTTTGCCTCTCTGTGGGGCAACTTGGTCTAGAAAAAAAACAAAGATGACTCTGTAAGAAATCCAATGCATGGGCTAGTCTGGCTGGCCTCTGTGGTTACTACCGGAAGAATGCCAAGAATCTCACATCATGTGAGCTTGGAAGGGAATCCGTTGTCTCCCATCTTTATAGCAGATTCCAATCCCACGCCTCAGAGCTCCACTGGGCAGTCTCAGAGGTGGCTTCATTGTCAAGCCTGTTATTTACATCTGGTAGAAACATGCTGCTCCCCAATAAGGAGTAAATGTGGTTTGTGGAAAATCCTGGAACTGACTTCCACTGACACAGGACCTTGGGAAACTTTATGTCTCTGGATACCCAGACTTCTCAAGTGAGTTTCAAGTCAGGCTCCTGTTCTGAAATGTTGTAATTAAGCACATTTTTGGCTACTCATTTCCAGTTTCTTTCAATAAGAAGTTTAAAGTAGGCAGCACTTAGGTGAAAGGCATAGAGCTGGTATAGTTAAAGATGAATTCAAATTAGCCTCTGTTCTTAAGACAGGACCACCTATAATATTTGCAGGACTCAGTGTAAAATGAAGATGGAGAGCGACTTACTTGAAAAACGGTAAGAATTTCAAGATGGCAATAGCAAAGCATTGAGTCAAACGTGGATCCGTTGAAACATGGGCTACCGTGCAGCTTCACAGCTCTCATGCTGATGAAGCCAACCCTCGTAATCTAGTAGATGAGACAGACACAAAAGCAGCTACCTTATAAGCAAGAAAGATTGTTCAATGTTCACACAAGTAATGGGCTATCAGCATGTAATTCTAGGGGATCATCAGGGTAAGCACCCCACAGTAGGAGGTATTTAAACTGGACATTAAATGAGTGAAGACACTTTGATAGGTATACCGTGGGACAAAGTATATCTTTGGGAAACCGGAGAAGAAAAATACGGTGGTGTGACATGTTTGTTTAATAGAGAACAGGCCAAAAGGCCCCAGGGGCTGGAACGTAAGGTAGTGTAGGTGACCTGGCACCGGTACTGAGGATCCGGAAAAGTCACTTGAGGTCAATTACTTGGGTGATCCTGGGACCCAGAATTCCCTGACTTTTGACTTTATCTTGCATTGGATATACTGAGCCTTCCGAGATTTTTAAGTGGGAGAATGACACGCTCAGTCTTAAAATTCCAGTAAAACAAAATAACTCCAGTGCTAATGTGGCAAATGGATCAGAGAAGAAAAGCCAGAGACAGATAAAATTGTGAGAAAATAGTCACCAATGCCTAGGGAGGGAAAATGGGGCCCTGTATTACAGACAGAAAGGAGATTGATAAAAGATACTGCAGTGGGCCTTCCTCCTTTGAAAAAGAAAGGAAAATTGCCAGGAATTTATATATTTCTGAAATAATGACGTGAGGTGGGTGGATAGGTTATAAAAATTCATGCAGCATCCCTAAAGAACTGAATGCCAGGCTCAGGAAGCTTGTTCTTGGGCCCTGTCAAGCAATAGAACAAGCACAGACCACGCTAACATGTTCAAGTCTCGGGAGCTGTCACCAAGGTAAACTCAAAAATGTCACGGTCCAGGACCGAAGGACCCACCTGGAGCTGCCCTCAGCACTGTGTCCTTGTTCCAGTCCAGCTTCTGAGCTGTTGAGATGTAGACAGATCTGAAACATCTAGTTCTTACCAAAAGCTCAAGTTTAGTAGAGCTGGGCAAGCTCAAGAAAACTCAGAAATTATTTTTACATATTTTTCATAAAAACACTAGAATCATTACTAAAAAAAAAAAAAATAGTAGATGAGGGCCGGGCATGGTGGCTCATGCCTGTAATCCCAGCACTTTGGGAGGCTGAGGTGGGCGGATCACGAGATCAGGAGATCGAGACCTTCCTGGCCAACATGGTGAAAACCTGTCTCTACTAAAAATACAAAAAATTAGCTGGGCCTGGTGGCTCCTGCCTGTAATCCCAGGCAGGGGAAACGGTTGAACCCTGGGGGGCAGACATTTCAGTGAGCTGAGATCATGCCACTGCACTCCAGGCTGGCAACAGAGCGAGACTCCGTCTCAAAAAAAAAAAAAAAAAATTAGATGGTTAAGAACCAGAAAATTATTTTAAAAATTGCCTTTGTAGGATCTATTTAAATATCTAAAGCATCATTTTATTTAGGAGAAACTTTTAACAAATAAAATTTTGATACCAAAAAATAGATGACAAACATTAAAATATTGGTTTCTTGCTCTAATTCAAAGTAGAGATATCTGCAGCATATTACAGCTGAAACAATTGTATAGAAAGAGCCTGGTTGAAGACATGGTTCTGTAATATACAGTTGATCTGACCTGAGACAAGTCATTATGCTTCTCTGAGACTCTACTTCCTCACCTTGAATATAAGCATCGGATTACTTCCTTTGCAAACTTCCTAGAGTATTAAATCAGGCAAAGATAAGCAGATATACAACAAGCTTTGAAGGCTCCAACGGACTCTAGAAATCCTGGGTATTATTAGCAGTATTACAGATCTCAGTGGTCTACAACTTTTTATCTTACAGTTTTAATTTACTTCCTTATAACTAACATGGTCCCAAGAAAATGTGGAATGAACCTATTTGAATTGTTGTTGTTGTGTATGTGCTGTTTTATTTGTATTTTTTTTTTTAGTGAAATAAGACACACAGGAAATATTAGCAGACATCATAACAAGAGATTGGAATACAAGGAATAAATAGGAAGGCCTGCCAAGCTCTTCAGTGTCTAACAAAGAAAATATATTTCATTATGTTGTCTTCTGAGCATATGGGAAATGTTAAAATAAATGAACCCAACAAATACTTGTAAGTCTCATTTCTTTTGCTTCCCTGCCCCCCAACAGAAAACACTCATAAATCATTCATTTTATGTAAAACTAAAATTATTACCTCCTACTTGGCTGCTTCTGACTGTACAAACTGGTCATGTTATGTCCAACTGTTCCCAGCATCAAGAATTCAGCTGGCTCTTGCTCTAATATGTCTTAAGTTCACTAAGTTTATGTTTCTCCCACACCCACTAGACAGAAAAGCTCTTGAGGGCAGGGGCTGACTTCTCTGTAACCTCAGCTCCTCCTTCAGTGCCTGACATACCGTAGGTGCTAATTCAATGGTGAAGGAATGAGTGAGGATTAAATAATTCTTTTACCGTATGCACAGCCAGATTTTCTTTTTCATAATTATCAAATATTCATGAGTAGATTTTTCCTGTTATCAATTTTTTCCCCAAAGACGGCAAAGACTGGGTTGGATGCCTTAGTTAGGCATCCTTTAGTTTTTTTATATCTATGTAACAAACTTCACCTAATACACAAATTTCATCTTTACACAGCTGTAGTGAATATTAAATGGGTTTACACATGTAAAGAGTTTAGCACTTACATGATATGTCCTCAGTAAGCTAAAGATTACTATTATTCATCCATAAGAGGAACTGTAGTGGCTCTGAAGTCAGATTACCTGGATTCCTATCCTAATTCTCCTGTTGCTGCTATGCGATGTGACTTTATCTCTATAGTGGAGAAAAGTACTGCTCATCTCATAATACTGTAGGAGTTTCACATGAGATACTCTGTATGAAAATAATGCAAGAAAATTAAGCACATGCACAGTGCTGGAAACATAGTATGCAAATAATAAATACTAGAAAATAAAAAAAAATGCAAGAAACATGTGTTAATCACTTGCTATATACAAGACACTAGGCTAGCTACTCTGGGGGAAGAGATGTAAGATAAGACCCAGTCCCAAACCTTATGGGGTTTAGATTCTCAGCAGAATCTCAATGTAAAGCTGTCAAGGGAATAGATGATAAAGAGGACAGATAGACTTCCCCTCTGTTGTTCTCCCAGAGCTCTGGGAAAACAACATAACTTTTCTGTCATATAACTGAAAGAAAAGGGATTTATACTGCAGCCATGTAAAAGGACCATCAAATGTCTCCTAACACTTTAACTATTAGATGTTAGTGGTATATAAATAATAAAAATAACAACCTGATTAAGCTGAAAATTTTATATTTGATTTCATTTAATCCTTACAACAAAATTGCAAAATAAGTACCATTACCCACACTTTACAGATGGAAGTTCACAGATGATACATAATTGCCCAGGGTCATATATTAAGTGTGGCTATACCTAACTGCTCTATAAACCCAAAAATGCACACTGGCACTAACACAATAGACGTTCATTTCTTGTCTACTAGGTTGTTGAAGAGGAAGGCAGAGACCTGGCTGCCAGAAGCTCTGTCAATTTCGATATTCTAGCAGAATAAAGAGGAGAAAGAGGATGCAGGAGAGTATCTGGGAGGGTTAAGGAACCAGGCCTGGAAGTGGTGCACATCACTTGTGCAAAGTTTCTGTAATCTAGAACGCAGTCACCTGTACACACTTAACTCCAGGAAGAAATGGGAAATGTGGAATCTGGCTAGGTAGACACTTCTCACGTATAACTCCTTACTGTTGAACAGGAAGCATAAATATCTGTGTATCTTCAGCCCTCTCTAGACGAAATATCTGTGTATCTTCAGCCCTCTCTAGACAAGAAAGTAAGTACCAAAGTCATGAGTGAAACTCAGGTTTATCTGACTACAAAGCTCATGCTTCTAAACAAACACTGGTAACCATAAGAGCTCCTGATGGTCCCAGCACTGCTCCTAAGTGCTGTATATGTTTCAAATCATTTCATCCTCAAAACAACTCTATGAAGAGATAGACTAAGAAAGCACAACCCAGAAGGATTAAGCAGCGTGTTCAGTTCCTTCATGAGAATTACATGAGAGAGTATGTGTGTGATCAGGGCTCACATCACCCCTGTCCCTGATCTTGTTTCCTCTTTTTCTTGTACTCTTTGTTTTATGTTTAATTGACAGATAGTTATTGCATGTATTTATGGAGTACAATGTGGTATTTTGATACATGTATACATTGTGGGATGATAAAATCAGGCTAATCAGCATATCTCTTACCACAAATATTTAATGTATCTTTGTGGTGAAAACATTCAAAATTCTCCTTTTAGCTTTGTTAAAATGTACAGTTTTGACCATTTCCCAGTACTGTTCCAGTTCTGTGTGCAGCCTGAAAGCCAAGTTCTGAGAGCTGCCTGGAAGAATGTCTTCTACCAGTTATCCCAGGAGCAGAACTGAGCTGTCTCCCACAGGATGCCACCAAAGACCCCAAGACATCCTATAGACAGTTATTTTGGCCTGTATGATACCATCACTTGATTTTCTCTCTTTACAGACAGTCCTTAATGTGGGTTATCCAGGAATCCCACAACAAAACATCCCACTGAGAGAAAAAGGTTTTGGCTTTGTACACAAAGATTTAATGTACTTGCAGCTTTTGGAACACAACATTTCTCTTCAAAAGTTTGCCATAGAATGGTGACATTTGTCAAGACTAAAAAGCTATAATTCTATTCATATATTACTTTGAAGTTGAAAACTAAAATTGCATTTACTGGACATAGATTTTAAATCCTCTATTTTCAAAGTAACCACAGACCAATCTTTTACAGTGAGGTCTTATAGCAGAGTAAATTTCATGGTGGTTGCTGCTTCTAAAAGGATTTCATGACGTTAAGCTTATGAACCCAGGCTTTGGCACCAGGTTTCGTGCGTGTAAGTCCCAGCTATGTCACCTCCCGTAGATACATGACCAAGGCAAAAGCACTTAACACTAGGCCAGTATTTCCCAATCTGCTGAATGGAGCCAATCCCAGTGCCTATTTCAGAGTGCTGTTGTGAAGACTGGACTTACTGTGTCTAATGGAATCTCGCTCAGCAAAATGCTTGGTCTGCAGCAAGCACTCACCAGATTGTGTGAGCTAACTCAGTGCCCATCACAATTCCAAAAGACACAATCCTGAGCGCCATAATCCCAAGTGTTGAAATCCCAAACAATCAAAATCCCTAAAGTCTAAAATCTCTAACGTCTAAAATCCAAAAAGTCACAATCCTGAAGGATTAAAATCCCGAATGTTGAAATCCTGAAAACCAAATTCTGGGGAAGGAATTTGTGTGTTGGGTTATTCTCAGGGTAGTTGCATCATGGTAGGCAGAACTATTACCTTGCTGTTTTTTATTTGGAAATTAAGTATGGTTTAAGATGATGTGTTTGGGTGCCATGTTGACAAGGTGGGAACTTGTGGGCTTATTTTAAGTGTCAATTTGACTGGATTAAGGATGCGTAGAAACCCGGTAAAGCATTATTTTGGGGGTCTGTGAGTGTTTTCAGAGAAGATGAAAGTGTTAGTCTGTGTAGATATGGTGGGGGAAACTCTTCCCTTACGGCTTGCAGGCACCATCCAATCAGCTGGGGGCCAAAGAACAAATATGGAAGGCAAATTAGTCTCTTTCTGAGAACTAGGACAGACCTTTTTTTCTGCTGCCTTGGACATCAGAACTCCAAGCTGTCCTGCCTCTGAACTCTAGGACTTAACACCAGTGGCCCCCCGGGTCCTGAGGCTGTTGGCCTCAGACTGGGAGTTACACAATCAGCTTCCCCAGTTCTGAGGCCTTTGGACTTGGATTGAGCCATGCTAGCGACATCCCAGGGTCTCTAACTTGCAGATGGCCTGTCCTGGAACTTCTCAGACACTGTAACTGCATGAGCCAATTCCCCTAATCCTCTCATTTATCTATACACATATCCTGTTGGTTTGGACTCTCTGGAGAACCCTAATACGGATTTGGTATTCAGGAGTTTGAATATTATTCCTTCCTACTGTATGCCTTACAACATAATGGAAGAAATCAGTGAAACTATTTCCTTGCAAAAAGGCTATGAGTTAAGTGTATGAGGCTTCTTAATGGTGAAAGGTAGTTTAAAGAAAGTTTAAAAGCTGATTATTATTGGTGCTGCAAAAGCAAAACAAAATTGCTTAATTCCAAAAGCCAAACAATAGCTAGGCTTTCAAATGGAACTGCATATACTTATAAAACTTGTAGACCACAACTGCTTTCAAAATACAACAAGTGTTTCAAAGATCATAGAAAACAAAGGGTGAAAAATGAAGAATTTTCCTTTGCCAAAGCACCAATTCACTGTGCTATGTATTTTATCTTCACATCATTTCCAATACTGGAGTTATAAATTACGTAGTGATATGGTTTGGCTGTGTCCCCACCCAAATCTCAACTTGAATTCTATCTCCCAGAATTCCCACATGTTGTGGGACGAACCCAGGAAGAGGTAATTGAATCCTGGGGGCTGGTCTTTCCCATGCTATTCTCATGATAGTGAATAAGTCTCATGAGTTCTGATGGGTTTATCAGGGGTTTCTACTTTTGCTTCTTCATTCTTCTCTTGCAGCCATCAGGTAAGAAGTACCTTTCACCTCCCACCATGATTCTGAGACCTCCCCAGCCATGTGGAACTGTAAGTCCAATTAAACCTCTTTTTCGTCCCAGTCTTGGGTATGTCTTTATCAGCAGCATGAAAATGTGTAGACTCTTAAAAAGTTCTAATTTGTTTTATGTAGTTTTTGCAAATTTGACTCCACAAAAGCACATTATCACAACATTGACTCTGTGTAAGCATTGTATGTGTATGTAAAAGCATTGAAACTTCCTTAATGAATGAAGAAGTGTTCTTTTTGTATATCTGCATTTGTGAAAGATGATAAGATTCCTCAAGATCTTATCTCTTTGGGCGACTGCAATAGGTGGTGGTGACTCATTATGGTTTTTGATTCTTTTTATCAAGAGTTAGGTTTTCCATCATGGTATTTCAGATGACCACAGTTATAAAGGTGGGTGCACACAGTTACCAACTATAGTGACATGCATCTATACATTTCTCTTTTTGACGTATTTCTTTATGAATACAGTTCATCTGCTTAAAACTCTGATATCCATGTGACTGTCATTAGTATACCTGAGTGTTTAGGTATATTTGCAAAAATATGTATGTTATTTTTGCCTATTTTATTTGTAAAGTGGCCTATGAAGTGTTCTAAGTGTTCTGTTGTGTTTTTATATGTTTCTCAGGTAAATTGCCTTTTAAAAATGTAAACAAGCATATTTAAAAAAATTTTTTGTGTAATTATACCTTTCTGATTTTGATCATTTGGGATTGTGATTTGGGGGATTGTTGACTTTAGGAATTTTGATCCTTAGGGATTTCAACATTTGGGATCATGGCATTTAGGATTGTGTCTTTGGGATTATGGCACAAACTCAACCAAGCTAATTAGGTACTTTATTTTCCCATTTTCTTAGATTTAGAACCCCTTAAAATGGATCAAACAGAAATTTCCTCTAATGTCATGACCTCTTTAATCAATGTAACACTGATGACCAAGCTCTGGGTGGCATCTGCCATCTCATCCTGGATCAGAAGGGTAGCCCCATGGCTTTAGAAGGTATAGCCCCTCGATTAGATCTATGCTGATTACCTAGTACATGATTAGTATAAATGCTAATTTTCATCTCCATAACTAAAAGGGAAACTCAGCTCTTAAAAGCACCGGTCTGGGGCCAGATGAATACATGTTAAGAGTCTCAGATCTACCTACCACTTTCTGTGTGATCTTGGACAAGTCCTGAACTTCTTCACTCCTCAGCTTTCTTATCTCTAAATGGGCTTTATAATAATATCATCCATATAGGCCTACTATGAGGATTACATCTGATGTGACACCGTGCTGAACACTTTATAAACATACTGTCTTCAGTGAGTACAATAATCTTTTCACTTTTGCAATAGATTCTCATTTTTTCTTTAAATAAAGACATGGTAAATGTGAGTGTAAAATAAAGTCACTGTGGGAAACAGTTTGGCAGTTCCTCAAAAAAGTAAATATAAGATTACTACATGACCTAACCATTCCATTCCTAGGTATATACCCAAAAAAAATGAAATCATATGGTCATACAAAAAAATTGTACACAAATGTTTATAACAGCCGTATTCGTAACATTCAAAAATGTGTAAACAACCCAAAAGCCCACCAATTGATGAATGGATAAACACTATCAAATGTTATTCAGCCATAAAAATAAATGAAGTACTAATACATTCTATAACATGGATGAACCTCAGAAACTTTATGCTAAGTGAAAGAAACCAGATATAAAAGACCATAGGTTATATGATCCCATTCATACAGAATAACCAGAATAGGCAAATCTATAGAGAAAGTAGACTGGTGGTTTCCTGGAGCTGGAGGAGAGGAGATGGGGAGCTAATTGGTAAAGAGTTTACTTGGGAGGGGTTGTTGATTAAAATATTCTAAAATTAAATTGTAATGATGGCTGCATAACTCTGTAAACCTACTACAAACAATTGAATTACACAGTCAAAATGGGTAAACTTTAAGGTATATAAATTACATTTCAATAAAGGTGTTTCAAGGAATATATGTAATGGTAATTGTATCTACTATAAGTTCTTGGCTGGGATGCCTAACAGCTTCCATATTGCTTTGCATGTTATCAACATTTAAAAAGTAGCTATTGAATAAAGAACAAAATGTAGAAGCCAAACTTTTCCACTGAAATTTCCTGCCACTGTCACAGTCTCACTCTCCTTCTGGCCCTAAATCAAGCTGAATCAAGTGCCAAAATAAGCCTAAAGAAGTTAAAAGTAGCCAACTTTTTTGCTGCAAATAGATATTGGTGTAGGAACTAGACCTTACGCAGCCTGGCTCTTCAACCTAAAAGAGCAGTAGTTTCCCACCCACAAATACATTCTCTTTCATCCACAACAAACAGTTGAAGACTAGAACTGTGTTTATAAACGGTCGCCAGACTAAAAGATTTTAATTACTTAGTCAGCCATACCATTGTTTCAATGAATTTTTCCTCCGTGTTTATGGGTTGAAGAAAGTAACCTAATTGATTCTTTCATTTAATTAATATGTATAGATCACCTACACTGTAACAAGAACTAGTCCAGGTATTAAATCTACTTAAATAATTAATCAATTTTCGGCATTACCAAACAAAAACATTTCTTCAAGATAACTCAAATGTGCTCATAAAGATTCAATAGGGATGTTAATTTATTTAAACAAGGTTCTGGCCAAATAGCCAAATAAAGTCAAAAAGGAGCCTCTAGTTGCTTAGATGCAGCCTGAGATTTTCAAGCAAAGAATGGTAACACTTTACAGCCCACTAAGAAACCATTTCTTACTACTCTGGTCCTATGTCTTTTACTTACACTGAAGTATTGTTAATCCAAAGAGAATGTGGAAAGGCATGTAATTTCCAAACGATAACCTGATTTTCCAAAAACAAATTGCAACTAAGATTTTCAGCACAATAAAGATGAGAAATGGCACAGAAGAAGACAGCGTGATCCACTGAGGCACCAAACTTTAATCCTTGGCCTCCTCCACGCTGTACGTTTTACCTTGGCCATTCCCTTCTGCTTTCAACTGGCTTCAATTACTTCTAGCTTTGGCTTCAGCAAACAACAAAGTATTGAAAACTCAATTTTCCATTCTTCAAAGTGCATTACTGAGAAAAAGTGAAATGCAAGGCAACAAAGAACATTTAATCATTAGGATCTTGCCCCTTGCTGTGGGGAAACCACACAGCTTGGCCCACTTCCAAACCCAGAATGAATGAATGAGCAAGATTCTCAGGGAAAGCCTTTAACTACAGCTGCTTAGCCCAGAGAGCCTGCCCCTTTATTGCTTTTGGCATGTCTGCCTCTGTTTCTAATGGATCACCTTCCCTCGGGAATTTGCAGAGAGAGAAAGGTGCAGCCTTATGAATTCATGTTTCCATTTCCTTTCTTTTCTTAAGAAACAGACTTCAGGAGATTTAATTTTATGCCAAAACAGAAAAGTCTTGAGTCTTAGGACTAAGAGAGCAGTTAGTTGTGTTCGTCCTCTGCCATTTATTGTCTCTGAAGAATGTGGCACTTGCTTGCGGTTAAGGTTCTGGGCTACAGTATATCAGACACTGAATATTCCCTAAGCTCAGACCTCCAGGGCCCCTGTAGCGGCAGCATCACGGACCCTCTCCCCGTCCTCATATGTCTTGAAAAGGTAGATCACCATTATGAGCCCAGCAAGGGCAACTAACGCGGGGCTACCATCCTAGAAGTGAAGCTGTCTAGACAAGCCAAGTTAAGAGTTACTCGGCTTCTATCCTAGAAATTCTCTCCTGATTGCTTCTTTCACTCAGGCTTCCATAAAGCTAGTGCAGGAAAACAGGCCTGACACTGCACTGTGACATTTGTTGTATGTTGCCACCTGCTATCACATCCATCTAAATATTGAATATCACCTTAATTTCCTTTTGGGGAATTCCTTCTACCCTTTCTAAACATAGTCTTGCAAGTGTCATTAAATCACCATACCCACCTCTAGCCAAAGGTGAGCACACGACATAAGCTGGGGCCACATATGTTCTCTTCCCCAAAGTTTTCATCTTCAGAATGATTCAAAACAAAAATTGAACACAGATTTTTTTTTTCTTGGGGTTGGGGGAGTGTTTAGGACAAGGTTTTTTTTTCAGTTCTGAATATAAAGAATCCACTTACCGGGCTCCCACTGCCCCCAACCACACACAGACAGCTGGTGTAGTCCCTTGCTGTCATTCCTCCTTCCTATTCCATGAGCAACTCCACATCCTTCCAAACTCCCTCTCTGCATAAGTTAAGCAGACTCAGTTTCTGTTACTTGAAATCAAGCAGCTGCATCATAACTTCAATTTTTCTCAGTTTAATAAAGCCAACTCGAAGATGTAACTAAGAATCTGGCCTCTAAAGATGGACTATGTTTCCAATTCTTCAAGGAAATCTTAATAAACGTATTTTAGAATTGTTTACAGGCTTTAAAATCCTTTCTCTGTCTCTCTCTCTCTCTATATATATATATGTGTGTGTGTGTGCATGTGTGTATGTATATGTGTGTATATATATGTGTATGTGTATGTTTCTACATATACACACATAGAGACTATATATGTATTATATATATATAATACAGAGAAACAATCTCATTTGAGACAATAAAAACTGACTGTTCTTTTGTAACTATTGCTTATACTTTATAGAAATTATTAACTGAAATAAAAAAAGTGAAGTGGATTGCTCAAAAAATAGTGGGGTTATAAAGAAATCCTCATATTTTCTGGCTCCCAATTCAGAATGTGTTCAAGTAAACAGAACACAAAATAATGAAACTAAATCTTTTAACACATACTACCAAAGTATTACAGGTTACTTATCTCATTTAATCCTCTTTAAAACCTGCTAAGATATTATTAGGCCTATGTTACATTACAAGGTAACTGGGGATTTTAAGTGAATTGCCTTGGTCCTCAGCTAGTAAATAACAAAGTAAAGCAATGAAGCCCAGGCAGTTTTGACTGTAAAGTCTGTGATCTTCACCCTACATCATGTTGACTCTCTATGAAAACAAACTCTTAATGCATTTAAGGCAGAATAAATTATTCCATAAATGTTCCTTAATCATCGATGTAATACCAGGGTGAGAGACAGGGGAGTAGATTCCTACCACAAAACCTAAATCAAAATTAATTCAGCATAACTTGAAGTGTTTCATGTTTAAAAATGAAACAAAGCAAATATAGAATAAAATATAGGCAAAATTTTTCTGATCTCAGGGTAAGGAAAGCCATTCTAAGCAGAAAAACAAGTAAGCATCTTAACGAAAATTGTTGATATATTTGACTGCATATCAGTTGAAAACATCTGTAGCATAAAAAGTAACATAAATTGAATTCAAAGACAAACAGGAAAAATATTTTCAGAGTACATTACACAACATGAATATTTTTAGTATATAAATGTTTTTTTCTAAAACAAAAAGAGAATAAACCCTTCAATATTTTTATATTTATTTATTTATTTGAGATGGAGTCTCACTCTGCCAGGCTGGAGTGCAATGGCGCCATGTCAGCTCACTGCAACCTCCACCTCCCGGGTTCAAGCGATTCTCCTGCCTCAGCCTCCTTAGTAGTTGGGAATACAGGTGTGCACCACCATGCCCGGCTAATTTTTGTATTTTTAGTAGAGACAGGGTTTCACCATGTTAGTCAGGCTGGTCTCGAACTCCTGACCTCATGATCTGCCTGCCTCAGCCTCCCAAAGTGCTGGGATTACAGGTGTGAGCCACTGTGCCCAGCCTTTTATTTTTGTTTTTTTTAAAACAGGGTCTCACTCTGTCACCTAGGCTGGAGTGCATTGGTGTATTCACAGCTCACTGCAGCCTCAATCTCCCAAATTCAAGCAATCCTTCTACTTTAGCCTCCCAAGTAGCTGGGACCACAGGTGTGCTCCAACATGCCGAGCTATTTTTTAAATTTTTTGTTTCCCTATGTTGCCCAGGCTGGTCTTGAACTCCTGGGCTTAGCAATCCTTCCCACCTTGGCCTCCCAAAGTGCTGGGGTTACAGGCATGAGCCATCATACCCATCCTTTGAGTTTTAAAAATAGGCAATAGTCATGACCACTCAAATTACAGAAAAAGTCATATGCATGAGCAGAATACATCTAATGATAAATTTAGATTCACTAATAAAAGAAACACAAAGCAAATAAATTATAGGCTTCTATTTTTTACTTACCATATTGACAAAAGTTTGTATTAGTCATGTCAACACTATTATAATGCCAGATGCTGTGAAGGGTGTCAGAAACACTAAATTGGCACAAGTTCTACAGAAAACACTTTCATATTATCTATCAAATGTCTTAAACAATGTCCGTACAACTCGTCTCAACGGGGAAGACTTTTCAAAAGGCATTTGTTTTATGCAATACAATGCAATGAAGTTATTGAGTGACAAGATAATTTTCACCTTCTTTTATATATACTTTCCAAATTTTCACAATAAATGTATACAGGAAAGTATGTGTGTGTACATACATACATGTTTTTATAAGTAAAAATATAAATGTATAAGCATAAAATTGTGTGTATACACATATATAAATATATACATACATATATAAGGTTTTTTAACATTTGTGCGAATTTAAGTTTATATACATTTAAGCACGTGTGCGTGCTGAGAAGTTTAAACTCATTGTGATATAAACAAGAAATCATTTTATTCTCATTCTCCTCTGTCAAATTTCCTTTTCCCCTCCATATTGACACCTTAGGCATATTCCAGGATTCCTGAACACCTTCAGTTATTTAAAAACACAGTCCTTTTGTTTTAAAGCAGTCTTTCTCCCCTGATTCAACCTCCTGTTTCAGCACCTAGCAGCCTCCTAGCTTGGAACCTAAAGTAGGGAGCGGGGTGTGGTCTACGCTTTGTCTTTCTAAAGCTTGGGTGGGAACAGAGCATTGTGGGCTTCGAGCACTCTCTGCTCCCTCCTTTCTGGATCTAGCGCTTCCACCCTGGGGGCTAAAAAGAGGAGAGCAGAAGGAAGCACCAAGACTTGGGGTTCCCTGCCTCACCTGGTTGTTAGGTCCTTTTTCCCTGGGAACACTAGGGGGCAGTGGTGCCCTGCGTGGTGCTCCAGAGGCTCAGCTGGCCCTGCAGACTCCTTCCCAGGGCTCCTGTTTGCAGGACTCAGCGGTGCATCCATCTCCCCCACATCCCTGCCTCTCTCCCACCACTCTGATGTTCCCTCGGAGCCTTTTGCTGCTGGGATTTCTACCCAAGCAACTACGTCGCTCAGAAAAAGACCTCTGGAGCTGACCACCTTAAAAGAAAAACCAGACGCAGATTAAATTTAACAGAGTTTAACTGAGCAAAAAACGAGTTTTCAATGGGGCAGCCTCTCAAGCCAGAGTAGGCACAGAGAGACTCCAGCACAGCCACATGGTGGAAGAAGATTTATAGACAAAGAGGCCTACAGAAAATGGAAGTGAGGTACAGAAACCGCCATTTGGCTACAGCTCCGCATTTACTTTATTTGAATGCTGTTTGAACAACTGACCCCCGTTGGCCAAAACTCGGTGATTGGCACAAGAGTAGGTTACAATCTGTTTACAACTCCATTAAGTTATAGTTCACTATGTACAGAGAAACTTTTAGGCTGAGCTTAAAATATGAAAGGAGGCAGCTTTAGACTAAACTTGATTTAACAACCTCATGTGGGTAGCTAAGAAAGAGAGAATAAAGAGAAAGCAACTGAATCCCTCTTGACACATCTGCTTCTCTTAATTCCTGTCACTGTGAGCTCTGGCCAACATTATCTTCTGCCTGGATTACTCAAAGAGCCTCTTAGCTCCCTGCCTCCTAATCCCCCAACCCCAATCAATCTCAACTCTGCAAGCCAGCAGACTCCTAAAACACACATCCAATTAAAGACCTGTGGTCACTGATTTCCCATATCCTTAAGATAAGCTCCAAACCTACACACAGGGGATACAAGATTGGCAACTGGCCTCTCTTCACCTCACCCTCTACCTCCTTCTCCCTGTTGCATCCTCTCCAGTTCTGGACAGACTGAATGTTCACTCCCCTCCAAAGGGCCTCACTCCTGCTTACCCTAAGGTCTCCACGGAGGTGCTTCCTTCTTCCCACCGCACTCCCCACCACCCCAGCATGGTCATATCCTTACCTAATTCATGCCCCCATCCTGCTTTCTATTTCGATTCAAGCTACACTTACAGGGCCCCCATCCGAACACAAGGCAAGCTGTCATGTCCCGTAACATCAGCTGCCCTGCACTCACTGCTATTTTGCAATCATTAATTTCCGTGCACTCTAATAGGCAATGCTTTCACTGAAAGCTGGATTGTATCTTTCATAGTTAGAGGTTTATACCCCCAGGACCTAGCACATAGTCACTTGACCCATAATAAGCACTTAACTATAAATGAATTAATTCAGATGGAAGCTTACTTCTGGGTATCTCTTGGGCTCCTCTGCAAGGCACTGATGGGTACAGGCAAACTGAATAATCTGAAAGAATTACACTAAAAAAAGAGTATTTTCAAAAGAGTGAGCAGAGCTTATGGAAGGCAACAAGGCCGGGGCAGCATCCTGGGGACAGGGACACCAGGGAGCACTCACCACACCTTGGGTGTAAAGGGGAAGAGAAGGGAGCCGTGGGTAGTCAGGATCTACCCAGAGACAGAACTGGATGGAGAAGGATAACTGGCCAGATGCAAACCAGACATAAGCCTGCAGCTCAGGAGGGAGTTGGGGAATAAATACTCCAAGTTCTCTCTCTTACCCACTGGCATCTCCTATTGGTGGCATCCATGGCCTGAACCAAACCAAATTCAACAGCAAAAGAACACAGTGATGGGTCCACATAAACCAGGCTTCCAGTGTGCAGAGCAGGGTGGAGACGAATGGAGAGGAGTAGAATCAGAGCACCAGCACTGCATTAGCAGAGGCAGGTTTCAACTTTTTTTGCCCCATATCCTCTCAGTGCCCAGTACATACGGTGTGTCCGAAACATTTATGAAAATGAATAAGGTGAATTGAACTGAACTGAGTTGAACTGCTTTGAACTGAATGGAACCAACCAGATTGCTGAATAGTTTCCAAGTCAGGATTTGTCCCATCTTCAAGTTATAATCATGGATATTGCACCCCTGATTCCTGATACACTCACGCCAAGCCTCTGGGTTTAACACAATTAGGAAGGCATAACATCCCATGTTCCAAGCAATTGCAGTGAAGCCTGCAGTTTACTGTTACATGACATTTTATATGACTTGATGTTTTATCTTTAATGACTGGGTCTCCCTTCCCCCAAAGCATATAGGGCATAATTTAGGCAAAGAAATATTGGTTACATCTGCAGTTTCAAACCAAAGAGGTAGTTAATGTTGCAGGTTTATATACATGCATTAAAATAAAAAAAGTGAAACTTTTACTTGAGATTTCTTCATGCATTTAGTGGCAGCATCTATAAAGGCCTCCAGGTGCTGGTATTGGCTCGCACACGGCAGCACCTTGTGAATTATCCAGCTGGCAATTCACGGAGTGCAGCTTGTCAGAGCACAGAACCATTTGAATGGCAGCTCATGCTGGCGCAGGTGACATGCCAAAGGCAAGTCACTGGCATCCATTAGGAGGGCAGTCAACAGAGTCCAGGAGTAAAAAGAGTCAGTCAGGCTGAGTCACAGTGACTCAAAAATAGCCTGCCCAATAATCAGTTATCTTAGTGGAAAAAATTGCCAGACTTTTAATTTCAGGTAACAACCTGGTTATTGGATTATCCTGCTTAACCCGTTTTGTTATTTTAATGTGGGTCCACTTTAAGAAAAATAATATTTAAGCCCAGAAATGAAATTTGAACATAAGGTGAACAGTTGGACTAGAGGGTCTTTTATGACTCCAGCACTAGAAACAGGACGCACATCATCTGCTATAGGAGAACTACTCCTTGACAGACTTTCTGTATAATAATGAAAATCATAACAGTGATTTCACCCACCATTTAAAGTATTCCATGCAATTAAATCATGCTATAAAAGGATTATAATGGCTGTACATGGGATAAAAACCACCTACTTTGATGTCAAGGTTCTCTGAGTCTGAACTGATAGGACAACACACACACACACACACACACACACACACACACACGAAAAAAATAACAGAATTCATGTTTTGTACCATCAGCTATAAAATAACATCATGATCTAATCAGTTGTGTCACATACGGCAACTCAAAAAAATTACAGCATTCCCTAAAACCTACCTCTTCTACATATTTCAACAGAAGAGTGATTTTAAATTCTGTCAAATAGCATTAAGTGGGGTAGAAATTTGAAAATGGTGAGGAGAATCTTTAACCCAGAAGTATAAATTTTATTTTAATTAAAGCTATTCAGAAATTATTAGCCCCTTGGAAAGTCCTGAGAGAGGTACTGGAACCAAAAGAACAAAGGCAAGGAGGAGGAACACACTTGAATGACAGCCAGGTGAACACCCTTGTTGGCGGGGGGGGGTCTCTGATAAACCCACGAGTGCCCCTCTACTCCCTAAAACCTACACTTGAACACCTGCCACGACAGAAAATACTGAAGTCAGATTGAGACAGCACCAAATAGGTGACACCCTCCCTCTCCTCCCCCCTCATCCTCTTCTCCTTGGGCCATACCCTGGAAGAAAATGAAGGAAAACTGGTAAGCAGTACAGTGAGATGGGAGGGCCCACCTCTTCATGGTCACATGATCGTGAACTACAGCTCAGACCTGACCTTGGTGGAGGGAAGAAACTCTAATGAGGATCTGAGATCAAAGTTTTGACTTGGACCACACTAGATTTTTCAATACCTGAAATGAGACATTTTTGATGTTGAAAGTGACTTGGTAGTCATAGGATTTTCCTAAGAGATTATCACAGGACAGGAAAGTGAGAGTCAGTGGATCAGAGAGGGCAGCAGGTAGCAAAAAAATGATGTTATCATTTTTTCTGTGCACCCAATTAATACTAGCAAGAAAATGGTTACACATGGTACTGAGAGTTCATAGTCCCAACAGCCAATATTAATACCAATATTAATATTGACCTCTGCCCCCACTGCTCCCTGAGCCACACAAAGCACTGTATGAGGCTCTCCATGCAAGCTCCGTGCCCTCCTTAAGCCAATCCCTTCCTGCAAGGAGGAGTTTCTCTACTTGGTCAGTCTGAGTCACGCACACATTCATGAATTGAAGACAAAGCCACAGGATTGAAGTTCCTACTGGTTCTATTGTAATCAAGTAGAGGGTTAAGAAGCATTTCCCAAAAGGAAGGGATGCTGAAAAAGAAAAAAAAAAAAAAAAAAGATGGACCTTACAATACCAAACGTGTGGCCTACCACATCAGCACACCCGTATTTACTTGTTCTGTTGTCAGTTGTCAGAAATCATCTACTTCTGCCTTTTAAACTAACCTACTTTTTAAACTTTTTTTCTTGAATAGTAGGATTGATTCAGAGAATCAAGGAGCAGGATGTCAGCAAGGCAGAGTAAACGTGAGGTAGACTTAAAGCAAACTGATGTAAATTTAATTCCTGGTTCTTCCAGCAACCTGTACTATTTGTGACAAATCACTTCATATCTCCAAGCTTTAAAACTTCTGTAAGTCTTACAAAATTAACCTTAAAAGAGGGAAAAATAGTCATTAGCCACATGAATGACCTCAAAAACAATTCAATACCTCCAAGCCTCACAAGTCTTTTGTTTTGTTTCGT
Organism: Homo sapiens; assembly: GCF_000001405.40. NCBI lineage: Eukaryota > Metazoa > Chordata > Mammalia > Primates > Hominidae > Homo > Homo sapiens. Next base: position 120,952,198 of record NC_000008.11, on the reverse strand, counting down.
TTTTCGTTGAGACGGAGTCTTGCTCTGCCTCCCAGGCTGGAATCAAGCAATTCCTTGCCTCAGCCCCCTGAGTAGCTGGGATTACAGGCGCCCACCACCATGCCCAGCTAATTTTTGTATTTTTAGTAGAGATGGGTTTTCACCATCTTGGCCAGGCTGGTCTTGAACTCCTGACCTCAGGTGATCTGCCCACCTCAGCCTCCCAAAATGCTGGGATTATAGGCGTGAGCCACTGCGCCCAGCCACAACTCTAAAAATCTTACAAAATAGGGCTAGGCACCATGGTTCATACTTGTAATCTCAGCACTTTGGGACGCTGAGGCAAGAAGATTACTTGAGCCCCAGCGTTTGCAGCTACAGTGAGCCATGATCATGCCACTGCACTACAGCCTGGGCAACAGTAAAACCCTGTTTTTAAAAACCATAAAAAAACTTACAAAATTAATCTAGAGAGAGAAAAGAATAGTCAACAGCCACATAACTGACCTCAGAAACAACTTTTACATATTTGATTTTCCTTAGATAAATAAGTATATAGTCTACATTATTGTGCATTCATTAGATTTTAAAGATAACATCAAGGAACATAAAACTCAACCTTATTTTGTTAAACAATAAAGATGTCTACTTTGTTCTATATAATAAACTGCCCAGGTAAAGGTTTAAATATAAGAGAAAAAAAGAAAAGTAGAAAGAGATAGAAACACCAAAAATTCTAAGAAAAAGGCAGAGACAAGCACAACGAAATTAAAAAGTCAAACCCAGAAAAACAAGCATCACAGAACCTGAGCAATACAGTGACTTCTATAGAATAGGAGCACCATCTTGTGGAAGGTAAGGATACTGCAGCTGAAGGCTTCTGATGCCTTACTCCATCTTCTCAACTATGCAACAATTGTAAACAGCAACATCACTTTCTTGGTACTTTTCCAATGAACCAAGTGAAATTAAGTAGAGGAACAAGACCCAATGTATGGACTGCAGGTTCCCCAATTCTTAGAGGAAATAATGGCTCATAGAATGTCTTCAAAACATCACAAATATGAGACACACATGAAAACATTCAGAATAAATCTAAAGGCAATGAAATTATAAGTGAGGCTGTCTTAATCTTAAGTTTTCTGTGACTTGTTTCACTGATCTCAATTAATTAGTGTATTTATTTGAATGTGAATATTTATAGAGTATATGTTATATACCCCAGATACCACTATGGCGGTGTGTGTGTGTGTGTTGCATGATTCCATTTATGTCAAATGTCTAAATAGGAAAATCCATGAGAAAGAAATTAGATTAACGATTTCCTAGGCTTGAGGTTTGGGAGCAAATGGTGGGGATGATGGCTAATTGGTACAGGCTTCCTTTTGGAAGTGTACCCTTTTGGGGGTGATGAAGAGGTCTTAAAATTGATGGCTGCTTGGGAGGCCAAGGCAGGCGGATCACCTGAGGTCAGGAGTTCGAGATCAGCCTGGCCAACGTGGTGAAACCCCATCTCTACTAAAAATACAAAATTTAGCCGGGCATGGTGGCACGTGCCTGTAATCCCAGCTACTCGGGAGACAGAGGCAGGAGAATCACTTAAACCCGGGAGGAGGAGGTTGCAGTGAGCTGAGATCACGCCACTGCATTCCAGCCTGGGTGACAAGACAAAACTCCATCTCAAAAAAAAAAAAAAAAAAAAAAAAAATTGATGGCTGCCATGGTTGCAAAGCTCATGAATGTAGTAAAAGTCACTGGAGTATTCACTTTCAAGGGGTGAATTCTATGGTAAATAAATTATATATAAATAAAGCTATTATCAAAACATGTATTTGTAAAGAAAATGCAGCAGAACTCATTGGGACATTTTTGAATATGTGTAATAAAGATAAAAATTTGCATTGATAAATATTTGTACATCATCCTTGTTAAAATATATGAATAAAATGTGTTCTGTGAAGGATTACCACTATTTGCTTGGTCTCTGTACCACACAGATCAGTCTGTACATATGATATAAAAACAAATTGTAATTTACTCCTACAGTCAAACAAATGTTGTTCTTTGACAGAGTGAACTCAAATCACTTACCTGTTTTGTGAAGCTGCCAGATACCACTTTGGGTGCTGGAGACACACCAGTGAATAATACAAGGGCCCTGGCCTTAAGGAGCTTTTGTTCCAGTGAGAGACAAATGATCAAGAAGCAAGTAATTGTAAAGTGCCATATGATATAAGATGTTATAATGCTAAATAAAGCGGTGTGGCAGACAGGAAGTGTAGGGATGAGGGAGGGGACTGCTGTTTTCTACAGAGTGGATAAATTAGTGAAAACTAAGCAGAGACATGAAATAAGCAAGGGAGTGAGTCATGTGGCTATGGAAGAAGGTAGAACCAAAAGCAGCTAATAAACGAGGTGCTTGGGCTCTGAAATCAGATATACCTGAGCCAGAATCCCAGCTCTGCCATTTACCAACTCTGTTACTTGAGCTCCCTAAGCTTCAATTTCTTCATCTACAAAATGAGACAAATAATGCATTATCCGATGTTGCAAAGGTTAAATGCATATAGAGTGCTTTTCACAGGGCCAGCCACATGACAAATGTACAGCAACTGTAGCCAACACCTATGTCAATTTGACCACGTGAACATGTAGATAGATATTTGAACACTCTTGTTTCATTTTTATGGGATTTTCAATAATAGCTAACATTTATTGAATGCTTACTCTGTACGTCTTAAAACCTCACAATGTCAAAAAAGGGTAACATTATTTTCATTTTATAGATGAAGAAACTGAGGCTTGATGAAGTTAAGTAGCTTGTTCATGTTCATGAACACAACTAACTGTGAGCCAGAAATTAGATAAAGGCCGTCTGACTACAGAATCTATACTGTTCGCCAGGATGCAAAACTAGCCCTCAACTAGAGTGCATGCAAACCAAGTGTCTGAAGCCAAAACCCAAACTCATACCTCCATTTCTTCCCACTCTGCTTAACGCTCACTCAGAATTACCTGATTTAATCATGCTACAATTCAAGTTTGACAGTTACACCAAAACTGCACATATATGCTGCCAAAACAAGTGGTCACTGTAAAGATTTCAAATTGCCTGGTCCAGTTGTTTTTCCATCCATAGAGAGCAACTTGTTATGGAGATGTGAAATCAATTTAGTCCACTGTAATCAACTTCTTTTGAAACATGGAATGGATAAAAACAGGAAGCACTACAGTCAATAACACACAGTAAGAATAAGTTTTGTTTGTTTTTTGTTTTGTTTTGAGATGGAGTCTTGCTCTGTCACCCAGGCTGAGGTGCAGTGGTGCAATCTCGACTCACTGCAACCTCTGCCTCCTGGATTCAAGTGATTCTCCTGCCTAAGCCTCCCAAGTAGCTGGAATTACAAGTGCACCATGCCCGGCTAATTTTTTGTTTGTTTGTTTGTTTTTAGTAGAGATGGGGTTTCACCATGTTGGCCAGGCCGGTCTCGAACTCCTGACCTCGGGTGATCCACCCACCTTGGCCTCCCAAAGTGCTGGGATTACAGGCGTGAGCCACTGCACCCAGCCAGAATAAGTTTTTCTTCTTGAGATGGAGTCTTGCTCTGTCACCCAGTCTGGAGTACAGTGGCGCCATCTCGGCTCACTGCAGCTTCTGCCTCCCGGGTTCCAGTGATTCTCCTGCCTCAGTCTCCTAGGTAGCTGGGATTACATGCACACGCCACCACGCCTGGCTAATTTTTTTGTATTTTTAGTAGAGATGCGGTTTCACCATGTTGGTCAGGCTGGTCTTGAACTTCTGACCTCAGGTGATCTGCCCACCTCGGCCTCCCAGAGTGCTGGGATTACAGGCATGAGCCACTGTGCCCAGCCCAGAATAAGTATTTTTAAGTAAATCCTCGTGATATGGTTTGGCTGTGTCCCCACACAAATCTCACCTTTTATTGTAGCTCCCATAATTCCTATGCATCATGGGAGGGACCTAGCAGGAGGTAATTGAATCAGGAGGCGGGTTTTTCCCATGCTGTTCTCGTGAGAGTGAATAAGTCTCATGAGATCTGATGTTTTTATAAAGGGCAGTTCCCCTGCACACACTCTTACCTACCGCCACATAAGACATGACTTTGCTCCTCCTTCGCCTTGCGCCATGATTGTGAGGCCTCCCCAGCCACGTGGAACTGTGAATTCATGAAACCTCTTTTTCTTTATAAATTACCCAGTCTCAGGTATGTCTTTGTTAGCAGTGTAAGAACGAATTAATACAGTAAGGATATGTATTTTTAAGTAAATCCTTGGTTCAGTTATGTGTATGTGCGTGTGTGAGCACTGCGTATGCTCTGTGTGTGATATAAAAATGCACTTTTTACAGTGGATTTTAATCTAAATACCTTGAAACAAACTGATGTAGGGGATACTCTTTGATCCTCTCAAAATATGATTTGTTGCCCACTTATGCCTTTTGCTTTCCAGGCTGGTCTGTTTAAATCATGTACCTATAAGATAAATTATCAAAATGGAGTTTTCATTCTTTGTTCAAACATGTTGCTGTCATGGATAGATGATATCTTTACCTACGTGTCAGAAAACCTGGATCAAGTGTAAAAATTTTTACTATTTTAGTGGTTATGATTCTCCCAAAAAACCTGTCAGATTTTTCTTTCATTGAGCAGACAAGTTATTTTAGCATCAAATATATATCACCTCAATTTACTAAGTATGAAATTTATGTCACACACTAAAAAAAATAAAAAATAAAAAAATAAAAAATAAAAAAAAAATCTCTTGCCTTAAAGAGACAAACTGGTTTTTGACAACCAGGTGAGTTCATAGACCACATGCTCAGCCATTCTTACGCATTTTTCAGAGTTGAAAATGTCATACATTTATATAATTTATTTGGAAGGCACTGACAATAATTGAAACATTATGGTCAGATTATTTCCTAAAATAATTCATTTAAGTAATTCAAGTGGTTGAAATTTAAGGGTACAAAACATCATGTGACACTAATAAAATTTTATTACTGTTGTTAAACTTACATAATTTAAAACACCTATTCAATTTAAAAAATATAGCTTCCTTCCTTATAACATAAATTTAATCTTTTAGTAATAGGTCAGAAGATGCTTTGGTAACTTTAGAATTTTCTTTATAAAATATAATTACTCAGAAACAGTGTTAAAATTGTGCTATTCATTCACCAACCGTTTTCTGTGACAGATAACATTTATCTGGGTAGCCCAGGTATAGTTTCAGAATTCCCCTCCACACTGCAACCACTACCAACTGAATAGTGTCGACATGGATTAAATGTATTTGTCCTTCTTATCATTAACCATTATATTGTCTAAGACCAATATTTTGGGGTTCAAGTTCTGTATCTTAGACTATCCCTGGCACTTGAAACAGAACAACAATCCAGTGTCATACAATGTGCTTTGTTTTATGGTTTGGAATATAAGGTCACAGCGTATTACATAACAAGGGAACCAATAGCTTCTCTTGCATAAAATAGTTATGATTAATATGACCAAGTCATGAGAAATCTAGCTTATCCCCATTGCAAGTGTTTTTCCCCACTGAACAACCACCACTCAAATCTTTTGTGAAATCAATAGATCCTCAATTTTAGATCTAAACAAAATAGACACTATATAACTAATAAACATGATACACTATATCAACAGAATGAAGGACAAAAACTATATGATAATCTCAATAGATGCAGAAAAAGCACTTCATAACATTCAGCATTTCTTCATGATAAAAGCTCTCGACCACCCAAGTATAGAAGGAACATACCTTAGCACAACAAAAGCCACATATGACATGCCCATAGCCAACATCATACTGAACAGGGAAAAGTTAATAGTTTTTTCTCTAAGAACGAGAACAAGATAAGGATGCCCACTTTCACCACTTTTACTCAACATAGTACTGGAAGTCCTAGCCAAAGCAATTAGGAGAGAGAAAGAACGAACCAGCATCCAGATGAGAAAGGAGGGAGTAAATTATGCCTGTTTGCAGATAACAGAATTTTATGTATAGAAAGACATAAAGACTCCACCAAAAAAAATTAGAACAGAAAAACAAGTTCAGTAAAGTTACAGGATACAAAATCAATATACAAAAATTAGTAGCATTTCTATACACCAATAGCAAACTGTCTGAAAAAGGGAACTGAGAAAGCAATCACATTTACAATACCTACAAAAAATAAAATAAAATACATGGGGATAATTTAACCAAGGAGGTGAAAGAGCTCTACAATAAAAACTATAAACCACTGATGAAAGAAATTGAAGAGGACACAAAAAATGGAAAGACATCCATGTGAATAGATTGGAAGAATATTGTAAAAATGATCATGCTACCCAACATGATCTACAGATTCAATGCAATCTCTTTCAAAATACCAATGACATTCTTACAGAAATTAAAAAAAAAAAAACTAAAATTATAATGGTACCACAAAAGACCACAAGTAGCCAAGGCAATCCTGAGCAAAAAGAACAAAGCTGGAGGCATCACACCATTTGACTTCAAAATATACTACAAAGCTAAAGTAACCAATACAGTCTAGTATTGGCATAAAAACTGATATATAGACCAACATAACAGAATGGAGAACCCAGAAATAAATCCATGTATTTACAGCTACTGATTTTTGACAATGACACCAAGAACTTATACTGGGGAAAAGACAGTCTCTTGAACAAATGATACTATAAAACAGGATATTTTTATGCCAAAGAATGAAACTAGACCCCTATCCCTCACAAGTACAAAAACCAACTAAAAATGGATTAAATATTTAAATGTCAGATGCAAAACTAGGAAACTACAAGAAGAAAATATAGAACAAAGCCCTTAAGGCATTTGTCAGGGCAAATTTTTATAGATGAGACTTCAAAAGCACAGGCAACAAAAGAAAAAAAATACACAAATGATATAAAATTGGAAAGTTTCTGCACAGAAAAGAAATCCACCAACAGTGTGAAAAGACAAACTTGCTGAATGAGAGAAAATATTTGCAAACTATTCATCTGACAAGGGATTAATAGGATTAATATCCAGAATATATATAGAACTCAAACAATTCAACAGCCAAAAAAAAAAAGTGATTTAAAAATAGGCAATGGGCTGGGTGTGGTGGCTCACACCTGTAATCCCAATACTTTGGGAGGCCAAGGCAAGAGGATCACTTGAGGTCAGGAATTCAAGAACAGCCTGGCTAACATGGTGAAACCCCATCTCTTCTAAAAATACAAAAATTAGCTGGGCATCATGGCATATGCTGTAATCCCAGCTACTTGGGAGGCCGAGGCAGGAGAATCACTTGAACCCAGGAGGCAGAGGTTGCAGTGAGCCGAGATCACACCACTACACTCCACGCTGGGTGACAGAACGATTCTCCATCTCAAAAAATAAAAAATATAATAAAATAAAAATAGGCAATGATCTGACTAGATTTTTTTTTTTTGACAGAGTCTTATTCTGTTGCTCAGGCTGGAATGCAGTGGTACGACCTCAGCTCACTTGCAACCTCCACCTCCCAGGTTCAAGTGATTCTCCTCCCTCAGCCTCCCAAGTAGCTGGGATTACAGGCACATGCCATGCCACCACGCCCAGCTAATTTTTGTATCTTTTAGTAGAGACGGGATTTCGCCATGTTGGCCAGGCTGGTCTCGAACTCCTAACCTGAGGTGATCTGCCCACCTTGGCCTTCCAAAATTCTGGGATTATAGGCGTGAGCCACCGCTCCCGGCCTGAATAGACGTTTCTCAAAAGAAGACATACAAATGGCCAACATGAAAAAATGATCAACATTACTCATCATCAGGGAAATGCAAATTAAGCCAAAATGAGATACCATCTTACCCCTGTTAGAATGGCTATTATTTAAATAGGACAAAAATAACAAATTCTAATGAGTATGCAGAGAAAAGGGAATCCTTATACACTGTTGGTGGGAATGCAAATTAGCATAGCCACTAGGGGAAACAGTATGGAGGTTCCTCAAAAACCTGCAAATTGAACTACCATCTGACCCAGCAATCCCACTACTGAGTATATGTTCAAATGAAAGGAAATTGATATGTCAAAAATATATCTGCCCTATGTTAATTGCATCACTATTTGCAATAGCCAAGATATGAAATTAACTGAAATGTCCAGCAAAAGAAAAGGAAATGTGGTGTGTATCTATGTAAACATATACATATATACACATATATATGTATATACATACATATATACACATATATATGTATATACATACATATATACACATATATATGTATATACATACATATATACACATATATATGTATATACATACATATATACACATATATATGTATATACATACATATATACACATATATATGTATATACATACATATATATACACACATATACGTATATACGTGTATATATACACACATGTATATACACACATATGTGTATATATGTATATATGTGTGTGTGTGTGTGTGTGTGTGTATATATATATATGCAGTGAAATACTATTCAGCCATTAAAAGAAAAAACTCCTGTCATTCACAGCAACATGGATGAGCCTGGAGAAGATCATGTTAAGTGAAATGAGCCAGGTACAGAAAGACAAATACCACGTGTTTTCATTCATATTTGGGAGCTGAAAAATTTGGTCTCATAAAAGCAGAGATTAGGATATGGTTACTAGAGGCTGGGAAGCAGGGAGATATGGAGAAGTTAATTAACAGATACAAAATTACAGCTAGATAGGAATAAGCTCTAGTGTTCTATAAATAGTGTTCTAAATTATTATTATTTTACCACCCACCTTGGTAAAAATTGAAAATTTTAATTATTTACATATTTCCCAATATTAAAACCTGGTAATTCTAGTATTAGAATTATGCTAACTTGTTAGAATCTAGCAAATAAATTTTTGAATTTTACCTTCATGAATTCCTAGTCAATACATCTCAGGATTGTTTTTAACTTCGTGTTTATAAAACACTACTCTTCAATGGGAAAAAACTTCTATCGGTAAAAGAATAAATGAAAAATTCAATAGATACTACACAGAACAACCGGTGCATGCATATATGCATCTATGTATTATGTATTTAATATACAATGCATATATATGTTACAAACACATACCTACAACTATGCCATTTACATACACACATAACTGCATACCCAGTACTTACTTGTTACAAATACATTAATTAATACAGTAAAACTTCAAGTTGTTCTACATTGATGTAGAATTCATAATAACTCGCCAAACTTGGAGAAGACATTTGCCTTTGGATCATAAGAAAGAATATATCTATTAAGCAAATTTGGTTAGCAAGAATTGGAGAGGGGGGCTGGGCACGGTGGCTCACTCCTGTAATCCCAGTGCTTTGGGAGGCTGAGGCAGGCAGATCACCCAATATCAGGAGTTCAACCTGGCCAACATGGTGAAACCCTGCCTCTACTAAAAACACAAAAATTATCCGGGCTCAGTGGTGGGCATCTGTAATCTCAGCTACTGGAGAGGCTGAAGCAGAAGAATTGCTTGAACCTAGGAGTTGGAGGTTGCAGTGAGCCAAGATCGCACCATTGCACTCCAGCCTGGGTGACAAGAATGAGACTCCGACTCAAAAAACCAGAATTGGAGAAGAGAACTATGGAAGAATGCTTTATGCTGTTTAAGAGAACAAACTTTTTCAGATACATTTGGAGTGTCTATTTGAACACATGGTGTTTTTATTTACATATATGGAGTGAAAATACTGATTAAAGATGTTCAGCAAAACAACTTGAATAAAAATGGTTAATAACTTTAATGCATTTATAAATACTTAGCACACACCAAATATAAACAATGAAAAACCTTGGGGAAAGTGATGTTAAGATATAGAAGGTTGGCTATAATTTATGTTTTCATATGCAGCCCAGCATTTTAACCTTGGGCGTTTTTTCTTGCTTAGCAGAGTATCTGGGCCACTTACTTCTTTTATTCTCCTAGAATCAAAAAGGTGCAAAAATCATTTTTACATAAGCCTAATAAAATAATTATGAAATAGAATGTTCCCCCGTCCAAATTTTATAATATTTTCCAAAAGCAATTATCAAAGATCTGGATACTGTCTGCTGTTTTCAATTAAATGCCTCATTACTTCCTGACACTGTCATGATTACTAGGAGTAGGTGGTTTCACACTAATTTAGAACTGTTCACAATACGTAATGCCAGAGATGGCCATTCTCACTTGCATTCTGAAGAATGTAATTCATTGACACTTTACAGATGGGAACAACTTGCATGATTAATGATACTGCTCTTTGTAATCTCACTCAAATGCCCATAAAAGGCACAGAATACCATCTGAAGAAAATATCTGCTTTACCCCAACATCAGCAGTACACTGGGAGAACATTATTTGAGTTTCTTTTAGAAGAAAGCATAGGTTTAATTTAAAGAATATATATTGTGGTTATTTGGTGGTTGGGGGTAGCAACTAGATTTCTGCCCATTAATGACAATAAATGTAGAAAACTCATGTGATCCCCTAGAATAAGCAACTCTGCAACTTATACATTGCGTGTTCCTACCCAATATATTTAATCTTTCTGAGTTTTCCTGTCTTCATAGTAAAAAATGAGGTACATGCTGTTTTGAGAATTAGAGATGATTATACAAAGTTTCTAGCACATAATAGGTGCTAGTGAAATGGCAGGTTAGTAAATGGTCATTGGCTAATCCATTCAGGCTCTTTTATTCTTGGGATGAACACATATGGCACAATAGGGGAAAACTTTCCTCTCACACCACACTTCTTGACATTTCTTAAAGCATGTGTTATACTCTGTCTTCCCAGAGATGAATGTTGGTGAACTGTGATAACATATACTGAAAGGATGTTTTTTCCAAATCTAACAACACTCAAATGTACACAAATCCATATAACGCAATTTGCTCTTGTGAATTTCAAGGACAGCATCTACCCTGCCTTTTTTCCTAGTAAAGGACCTTGTAACCAGGATAATGTTTCTGTCCCTTAGCCTTAAATACTGTGAGAAGGTATCTCCATAGAAGACTTTAAAAACACAGATATATTATTCTTTGAATCCCTTGATCAATGCCTTCTCTTCACTGTCCTAGCTCTCTCTTGCCAACCAAGGCTGCATTGTCAGTAGTTAATTTCAAACCTCTGATACTGCTGAAGTCCCTCTAATAGCTGCTTAAACACCTTGTCCTTACTTGATAATGCTTTTAGGAAAATGACTACAGGACTTGTCCTGCCAAATGAGTAAAAGAAGGCAAAGGTCATTTTAGCTGCCAATTCCTAATTCTACAACCGACCTGCTCAAAACAAAACAAAATTAAACACATACATCCCCTCATCAGTAGATCACCCACTGCTGACTAGTTTGTCATTGGACGGAGTTTGGATACCAGCTCCCTATTAATTATGCAGGACCTTCTCAGGGAAGCTGTAAGACTACTGATTGGCCAAGGGTGCTAATGTGCACCTGTGGCAGGTATCGTTTCTGCTATCACAAATATCCTTTAAGTAAAAACTCTCTTTTTGACATTACTGTTTTCAGTAAGAACCTACAGCAAGGAAGGGAATTATTCAAATATTCAGTCCAGGATCTAATTCCTAAACAGCTGATTAACCTTAAGGAGATGGATACTATGCTTTTGAATGGAAACCGCTCTCTGGATTTCCAAAGGAACACACCACGTCACTTGACAATTTCTCAGAATAACTAAGACTATATCACCTTTTATATTTAAAAGATATCCAAAGTTCCTAGAATAGTACTTCACACATACTAGTTATTTAATAAGTATTTGCTATAATTATTAAAATGGCGGGCAGAAGAAACATATTAACTATGTTCCATTAAGTTTGCTTTCAGATAGAAAAACTAAATAAAGTGTTTTGAGTAAGTTTATCAAACAATTCAGCTATTTCAACATCATAACCAAAATATTCTGCAAACAATGCTATGTGGCTATTTAACAATAAACCACAAGGAAGGTATGCAAAATTTTGAAGCACAGAATTGTTTATCCATTATAATTAATCATGGTTATAAATAGTCTTTAATTACTAATTTGCTTATTTGTAGTTTATGCTTCCCACAACCCCTCAATCCTACCAGGAAATCCTAATTCCCATCTAGAGGCAAAATTGATGATGTGATACATGTTAAAAAGCCCTAAAAATAAAAGTGCTACTCAGAAGAATGTTATGTATATTCAGCATCATTCGCATCCCTGAGTGACAATTCACTGTCATTTTACATATTTCTGGTGTCACACAGAACTGTCAAGGTTGTTTCCTCAGGACATCGTATTCATCTCACCCTAGTCTTCCAATATTAAAGAAACTTACTCTCTTCAGCTGACATGCGTGCTTAGATGACATTTAGAGTAGCATTGACCTAGAGTTATTCTTCTCAAAGATAATGGTTATTGTATTCGTTCATTTTTACACTGCTATAAGGAAATACCCAAGACTGGGTAATTTATAAAGGAAAGAGGTTTAATTGACTCACAGTTCCGCATGGCTGGGGAGACCTCAGGAAACGTACAGTCATGGTGGAAGGGGAAGCAAACATGTCCTTCTTCACAAGGTGGCAGGAGAGAGAATCGCAGAGCAAAGGGGAAGAGCCCCTTATAAAACCGTAAGATCTCATGAGAACTCGCTATCATGAGAACAGCATGGGGTAACTGCCCCCATCATTTAATGACCTCCCACGAGGTCCCTCCCTTAACATGTGGGGATTATAATTCAAGATGAGATTTTGGTGGGTTCACAGAGCCAGACCATATCAGCAGTTGAAGAATGTCCAGCTTTCCTCTCACCCCTAAAATCACACCATATAATCAGTCTCGTCCTCTTCTTAATGTAAGCCTAGTCTACCTGTAAGAGCACTGGTATTCCAGGGAATAGCAAATCACCTGAGGTCTTAAATTTGTCCTGTGATATGACCTGACACCATTAGATGGCAGCAATGACAAGTGACTGTGTCATCCTGACTCAGTTTTTAGGCGGACTAGAGCAGCACTTGGGAAAGTAAAGCAGTCTGTACGGTGGAAGATGAGTCAGACTCCTGGAATAATGTTTCAATAGGCCTAAATTTTCATTTTCTCCTACCATTCCCCATAAGATAGCTTGTTTTTGTATAGACCCTTCTGTTCTCTGGGAAAAAAATTCCTCTGGGTATTCAGTGTGTAAGGATTCCAAAAAACAATGGAACAATAGGAGTTCTTAAAAAGCATTTTATTTAGTTCAAGTTTTACTACTGAAAATGCCTCCTTCCCCTATTGTGACATGACGTTTGGCTCCATGTAAGGTGAGCAAACTTAAGTCTTTTTTTTTTTTTTTTTTTTTTTGAGACGGAGTCTCGCTCTGTCGCCCAGGCGGGACTGCGGACTGCAGTGGCGCAATCTCGGCTCACTGCAAGCTCCGCTTCCCGGGTTCACGCCATTCTCCTGCCTCAGCCTCCCGAGTAGCTGGGAGTACAGGCGCCCGCCACCGCGCCCGGCTAATTTTTTTTGTATTTTTAGTAGAGACGGGGTTTCACCTTGTTAGCCAGGATGGTCTCGATCTCCTGACCTCATGATCCACCCGCCTCGGCCTCCCAAAGTGCTGGGATTACAGGCGTGAGCCACCGCGCCCGGCCGCAAACTTAAGTCTTATTTCATGAAGCTATTTATGTCAAATTTTGGTGAAATGTCTTGAGCAAAATGAATTAGTGATTTACCTAAAATCATTACCTCACTCACCTTAAATCAAATCGGCATGATCCATTGCAAGAGCATATTTGCCCCAGTATTTTTAACTTCCAATATCATTTGAACAGTAAAAAGGCTGTGATACGGCAATGGAAGAACACTTTCACAGCATTCACTTCTACTGAGCTGGGTTGAATTTTCTTAGCCAACATTCTGCTCTAATTGACTAGTTGTAGTTGTCCCTCTGAGAGAGAAATGAGCATGCAAATAAAGCCTTCATAGAAACAGCTACACAGCTCCAGGCTCCTTCTCCTTTTTGAATGAACTAAGATTCACAAGTTGTTTCTGGCATTGGGGACAGCTCCTCCAGGCATTTGATGTGCTAAGCACTTGAATTATATTATCTCACTTGGTACTGCCAAGAACCCTATGTTATCATCCTCAGTCCATAGACAGGAAACTAAGGCTCAGAGAGATTGAATAACATGCCCAAGGTCCCACAACTACTAAGTGGTGGAGGACTGCCAACTCCAAGGGAAGACATTCCTCCTCAGTGGCTACAGACATGGTAAGGCGGGAAAAGACTCATGGCCACATGCTGAGGTCAGCCCAGGTCCCTGCCCCTGTACACACAAAGGACAGTTTCCCATCCTGCTCAGCTGATACAAAGGATCAGAAAGTGGGTGGTGGGACAATATGTGTCCTACCCCCTGCCAAAATCAACCCAGTAATTCTGCAACTACTCCCTACCTCCACCCACAACAATTGGGCATGCTCCTGTCTGAATTCACAGTGGAGAAATCCATTTTTGTCCTACTACACTGTCTCCCTCATAGTATATTTGAGCCACCTGCTGTTTATTTTTGTTTTGAGCATCACACAGCAGCTACTTCCAATTCCAGGCCAAGCCTGGGATATACCTTCAGATAATGAACTTAAAGTTAACCTATACCCCAGGAACCCTTTCTCCTGATTGGAAATAACTCCCAGTTTGCCCCTTACACTCATGTCTCTGCAAAAAGGCCAAGCACCCTCCACCCCTGCCCCCCAATCCCCAACACAATCCTCCAACACCAGGCCCACATTCCTGGAATCTTATTGATGTATTTCAGGCACTAACTTATGGAAAAATGATAGATTCCTTCAACAAAACTTCTCTTGCTATTTATCCTGTTGTTTTACCAAATAATAATAATAATAATAATAAAAGGAAGGAAGAATATGGAAATCCCCAACAGCTTCTCACCTCTAGAAGTAGAAAACAGAGTCAGGGGTATGTAAGAAGGGTGTGTATGAAGGGTGAGCTATCTCTCTCAGACCACTCAAAAATCTCAACGGTCTGTTTTTCTTCTCTGCACCTGACAATAGGGCCGGGGTCCACACTTCATGTGTCTGTATTGTTTATGCCTCTTAACCAGCTTTCTGGGTAAGGAGGAGTTAAAATCCTACAAAATCCTCTTCTTCACCACACATCCTGGCAAGTCTATTTCTAATTTACATGAAGACACTGCATACATTTGTGAAGATAGCCAGTGATCTGGGCCAGCAAAATAGAAAAATAACAAAGATCACCTTGGCATGCCCAGGCACATCCTAGTTTTGTACCACTCTTCTCCTTTAAAACACTTTTCTCTCCTCCCTTCCCATGGCCACCCAAACCAGGCTGCGAGTGGTTCCCCCATGCTCATAAACATTAGCCAGGGAGAAAGTCTGACCTCCAAAACATAATTTGGGTTAAAAATAAAAAGATAAGAAATCTTTCGTTAAGATCTGCTATGTGTTAGAAACAGATGTTTTGCTTATTTTTAGTTCAAACACAAAAGAACACCAGAAGATAACTCCCATTACCCATCTCCAGCTTCAGCAATCTTCAAGAGCCTACCACTTTTGTTTATCCCTCATATTTTTAAAGCATCTCCCAGATATCACATCTTTTCAAGTCCAGATACCTGATTATGTGTCTTTAATAGGTAAGAGGCTGTTACAGAAACATGATCATAATGTCATTATCACACATAAGATTAATAATTAATGTATAAAATCATCTCATAAATAGGCCACACTCAAATTCACCTTATTGGCTCAAAAATGCATTTTTACAGTTGGTTTGATTAAACTGAGATGCAATAAGCTTCATCCACTGCATTTGGTTGGTAGTCTCCTAAGATTCTTGTGATCCACGACAGTTCCCTTTCTCCTATTTCCACCCAAGATTTTTATGTCATCTGTTTGCAAGTCAAGATGAATTATTCGACCTGTAGATTGTCCTAAATTCTTTATTTGTTGATTTTTTTGTCGTGTTGTTTATCATTATGTCATGTAGTTAGGTCCAAAGGATGTATTTATGTGTGTAATAAGAATCTCTCATAGGTATTGAATACACTACCTATATAGCAAATCTAGAGTCCCAGGATTCCCAATTGTATATGTTTGCTGACTTTAGTACTGATTAGTGGGTTTTGGTGATGTCTATCTGATCCCTTCATTGCAGAGTTTCTCATCAGTCTTCACAGTTTTAGCAGCCGTTGATGATCACCTCCTGGATCCATTATTTCATCACAGTTAGCAAAATGGATATTTCCTAATTCTATCAGCCCTCCAGTATTTATTAGTTGGAACTCTTTAATAAAGAACAATTTTTCCTCATCGTTTATCTGAAAACAACAACAAAAGCCAGATTAATGCCTGATTCTTTCCTTTTGTCTTTTTTCAGAATAGTGAGTTAGTGCCCACACAACCTTCAAATGAACTTGTGGATTTTGCATATTTAACATGTTTCAAAACATTGTAGTCACTATTTGCTTTTAAATTATTCGCAAGTTTTCCCAGTGGGAGCTCTTGTATTAGTCCATTCTCACACTACTAATAAAGACATACCTAAAACTGGGTAATTCATAAAAGAAAGAGGTTTAATTGACTCACAGTTCAGCATGGCTGGGGAGGCCTCATCATCATGGCAGAAGGCAAAGGAAGAGCAAAGGCACATCTTAAATTGCAGCAGGCAAGAGAGAAATGAGAGCCAAGTGAAAGGAGAAACCCCTTACGAAACCATCAGATCTCGTAAGACTTAGTCAGTACCATGAGAACAGTATGGGGGAAACTGCCTCTATGATTCAATTATCTCCCACCCAGTCCCTCCGACAACATGTGGGAACTATGGGAGCTACAATTCAAGATGAATTTGGGTGGGGACACAGCCAAACCATATCAGCTCCTTAAGCTGCCTCATATATTTTATGCATTGGGGCATAACAGCATATCTCAGGCTCATCTCAAATACTTCCTGCTCATGCTAGAATCAGCCATTTCTCCAAGGAGACCTGGTTCCTTTAACATGGAAATGGCATGTAGATATCAAATTCTGGGTACTTGGAGTGATTATTGCTACTGAACTGATCACAGTTCTAGGCCTTGTCAGTAGACATGACTGAGAAAATTGTAGTTTTAAGAAAAAGAAAAATAAACTATAAATTCATACCAATATTTCTAATTCAAAATAAGGACTACAGAGTTTTTAACGATTTTTTTAAGTTCATCTTTTCTTGCTCTGAAAATTTTATCTCCTAAGGATAATTTAATTGTTTAATTGCTTTATCCTATTTTAGATATAATAAACTCAATAAGAATGTAAATATCACCACTAAAAACTAGCCAACAAAATTCAATCTAAGATGTCTTTGTACTTCTTTTTGTCCTTAGGATATATCTCCCTAAGGACGTACAATCAAAATATGTGTTCTAAAGTCACTTAAAATAAGTCTTGAGATCATTATGCCACAGAATTGATGTATGCCTAAGTTCTTCGTTTTCAGTTTTAAATTTTTAGAAATTGTTATATTTTGATGTGGTTTTCTCTTTTGTTTTTAATCATGTAAAACATTTACATAATTTCAAAGTCAAAAAATAAAATAAAGTATGTGGAGAAGCATAACTCTTCTGTATCCCCTACTCACCTGCTTCCTCCATCCAACTATAGGTAAGCATTTTTTATTGATTTTTGTTTTATCTTGATATTGCAATCATAAACAAATATGTATTTCTTATTTCTTCTCCTTTCCTATCTACACTGTAGTATACTATAAATACAGCTATGCATTTTGCTTATTTTGCTTAACAATATGTCCTGGACATTACTGTATTTCAGGACATACAGATATGTTTCTTTTCAGGGATACATTATATGACATTGTGTAAATATCCCAATTTATTTACCTAATGTCCCTTTGATAGACATTTGGGTTTCTGGCCTTTTGCTAGGTGGTCTTCTACGTTTGTGTTATTTAGTCCTCCCTAGAGTTTTGTCAGTTTGGCTTACTATTCTCATGTTAAAAGGAGGAAACTGGTATATAAGCAGTTAAAGACTTGACCAAAGTCTTAGAATTAAGCAGGGAGAAGGGGAAAGAAGAATTCCCCTGCTTCCATAATTTCTGTTATTTGCACAAGTCCATGTAATTCATACTACATTGAAAATGTCTGTTGACACCTTTATTTTAGAGTTGGAGGAGGGAGAAGTAAGTATGTGCTTTGCAGTAGATTGTGGAGAAAAATTTAGCCTTAAGTTCAAGGCTGGAATTTCAGGCCTGAGCCAGCCTGTGGGGAGGGTGTCTGAGGGAACAGCTGGCCATTCTGGCTTTGTCCCCAGCTAAAGGCCTGCCAGACATCCACAAGCAGGTGTGTCTATTTTGGGCAGAGGGATCTTCTCAGTGTCTGGTAAATCACAACATGTCAATTCTATCACAGCGTGCTCTGAACCCTGGTGCTCCCCTAATAAATTCACCAAAACTCCCTTTGAAGGATAGAGAACAATCCATTCTCTACTGTGCCTCTTAACAGTGACTTCCCTCTTCTTCCTTCTTATCCTACAGACCAGTGAACAATTATATATACCAAACCAAACAAAGCAGCACAGCTTTGGGTCAGTAAAAACCATTTTACATACTTTTTAGAGAAGAAATTAAGTGAGATTTGGAGGAAGCCTTAGGACAATAACCAAAAACTTTCATTAATTTTCCCTTTTTATCCACCCAATGTTTTTAAGGGAAAAGATTAATTCCGAGGGAAAATACACCCCAATCACGTTATTTTAAAATGAGCATCTCAAGCTAAGGCCTCATCTCAGAGCACTTTTAGCCCAATCTCTTCCCACATCCTCCTCTCCAAAATCATCACTGAAATCATTACAAGATATATGAGGATCATTCATTTTTCAATTTCAAGACACAAATCATTTTCACTGCACAGTTTTTAACCAAGGCAGAAGGAGACAGCCACTACATTTTAGAGATTTTGCAAAAGGGTTTAAACAAAGCAGCTTTCTTTTTCTGCCCCAGTAGTCACTGAATAGTCTTGTTAATAAAGGTTTTATTGTGTCATTGCTAAGCTTCTGAGACCAAACAGCACAAGCAAATTAGCCACAAGATCATCGCACCATGGACTGGGCAGCTGAGCACTTGGCTGACCATGTGGGGATCTGATTTCATCAGGGAGCTGAGTAGCTTCCCTAGCTAGCTGCACTCAGGACACTCCAAGCTCAGCGGCATGGACGTGCTCAACAAAGCCAGTACTCCAAGACTCTGCTCTCCATCTAGTCAAAACAGGAAGTTTGACATGTGAGTCAAAGGCTGGAAGTCCACTCACTCCACATATGTGAATTTATTTTCTGCAATGTGCCAGCGATGGAGAAGAGAGTGAGATGGAGAAGATACACCACTCCCTGCTGTCTGAGAGTGATATAGATAAATAAAAATACAGAGAAATACTTACATATGAGTTAAGCATTACAGTATAACATTGGGTATATTTTTTAAGCTCTATGGGCATCTATATGTTCACTTTTAAAGGAGGATAACAACAGTAATTACATCAGATTGTTATAAAGAGTAAAACACTTAGAATGTATCTGGCAGATGGTAGTTACTCCACAAATATTAGATATAATAATTATTAAGTGCCACTCCCCTAAACTTAAAGCTAAGTGTTCTCCCTCCCCTTCCTAAAGTACATTTCTCTCACCCAGTGTTTCATTTAATTAATCCAACAAAACTTTAATTTAGATGCTACTCATACTTGAAGAAGAATGGCACAGAGTTGAATAGATTTATCCAAGTCATACATTTCATAGAAAATAGACATGGAACGCAAATCAACTTGCATCGGTTCAGCCACAAAATTCCTTATGCTTTTAACCTGTACCTATGCCACCTTTTGTGTAAGAGTCAAAACCATTAGGCACAGAGGAGGGAGAGATTAATGTCAACAGGAGGTACTAGGAAGGCCTCCTGCAGGAAAACTAGGAAGGCCTCCTGCAGGAAAACATAGGAGTATACACTCCTCTGCTAAAACCTTCCATGGCTCCCTATTGCTTTAAAATAAAGTGCAAGTCTTTTACCAAAGGCAGAAATCCTCTCTTCCCTTTAGCACCCACATCTGAGTCACCAGCAAGTCCTATAAGTTATAACTACAAATTTTATTCCAATATATACATTTTTCTGCCTATTTCTACTACTACCACCCTAATCCAAGGTATCATCATCCAGTGCTGGTTTTTCCTACTAATGATCTCCTTGGACCTCTTCTTGCCAACCTACAAACCATTCCCTACACAGCAGCATGAGTAAGCTTAAAATGCAAACCAGACCATGGCACTCTCTTAAACTTTTTAAATAATTATCAATTTTGTTTAAAATTAAATTTAAACTCCTTACCATGGGTCTCTAAATATGCATGATTTGGTCCCTGCTTATCTTTTCAACTTCATCCCATCGATTTCTTCTCCTAACTCATTATTCTGCATTCATAAAGACCTCCTTTATTTTGTCCAACACAACACATTTTTTCCCAGCTCATGGCTTTGTACTTGCTGTTTTCTCTGCCAAGGATGCCTGATATGAAAGAAGAAAAAAAGAAAGAGGAAAGGAAAGAAAGAAAAGAAAGGAGCAAAGAGGGAAAGCCTGAGCTAAGGCACAAAGGCCAGAAGTAGAATGGTATAAGTAGAAAAAGATAAGCACTTTGGTGGTGCTTAAGTATAAACACAATGATGATAAAAGGATGAAGAAACACAACAGTGGTAGGCTAAGACCAGATTAAGTAAATATGTATTAGCTGTTATTGCTGCACCCAGAATTTAGCAGTTTAAAACAACAGTTTCAATCTCACACTTTCAATGGATCAGCAACTTGGGAGTAACATAGGTAGTTCTGGTTCAGAACTTTTTATGAGGTTTCAATTAAGACATCAGCCTGGACTTTAGTCATTTAAAGTCTTGAATGGGACTAGAGAATCCACTCCCAAGTTGGCTTTTGTAGGGCATCTCAGTTTCTTGCTATGTGGACCCCTCGATAGTACTGCTTGAATGTTCTCACGAAGTGACAACTAGCCTCCCCTAGAGTGCGTGATTCAAGAGAAAGAGCAAGGAAAAACCTGTAATGCCTTTTATGACCTATCCATGAAAGTCCCATACCATCACTTCTGTTATTTTCTGTTTACCGAACCCATATAAAGGGAGGAGAATTAAACTCTACTTATCAAAGGGAAATATTTTGGAGAATTTGTTAATAGCTTTTAAAACCACCATAGGCCTTATCCATCAAGCAACAAAAAGTGACTTAGGAAGTAGGAAGTTGTATTTTAGGTTAATCACCCTGGTGCTGATAAACTGATGGATTTGAAAATGAGCATATTGAAAGCAGACAGACAAATTCAAAGAATCCTGAAATAGCCCAGGGTGAGATCAAACAAACAATAGAAAAATAGATGTATTTGAGAAATAGTAAAAAGATAAAATTGTTGTATGAGGCAGAAAAATGCAAAAATTTTATGTCATATTTTAAATTTGAATTGATTTTCAAGATAGAAAATCCATGAGAGACAAAGAGGTTGAGGAATAAGAGCATGAGTTCACCATTGAATATTCTGAGTTTGAGCTCTTAAGTCTAGTGGATACTCATTTACCACTACAGCATGTGTTCTTGCCTTATTCTGATAACAACCTCCTTTTGTTGAGGGCGATCTACCCATACCTACTATCTTGCACAGAGCTCTACCCAGTGGTGTGCTGGTAAACAAACTTTCTAAAATAAGTAAAGCCCTAAGTTGTGATTTAAATATTCCCACTTTTCCAACTTAATGCTACAAACAATTTAACAACCAGCTCAGAAAATACTGAAATGTAGTTAACAGGCTCACTCTAGCACACTACTGGTTATCTCCCGTGCTTAGCAGTAAAGCACATGATCCAAGCCTAAGCCAGTCAGTGCACTGAATAACTTCTGGTCATGGTGATTGGTTCAGAGATGGGCAATGAGAGCCAATGAGATGCAAGGAAACTCTTGCTATATATCATGGGAAAAAACTTCCTTTTCCTCAACATATAAACGAGATGATGCAATGCAGCTACTGCACCATGTGAAGTTAATGGCTAGAGCCAACCCTATAGAAAGCTGATCTGAGAGACTAAAAGAAAGTAAATCTAGATGACATTATATAAGCCATAAATCTAGCTGTAGCTAAAACTAACTCTATTCATAGAGTTTTCAATTAAGTGAGCCAATAAGTTCCTTTATATTCTTTATTTTTGTGATTTGGTGCAAATAAATTTTGTATTGCCTTTCTTTTACATTCAGAGAATCTCAGCTGATACACTTTGTGACATCCAGATAATTGGTTATATGAATCTGAAGCTCAGTGGACAAATTCAGGATTATCAGAATTTAGTGAAAATTTAAACCTTGAGAGGGACAAGCTCACCAAGAGAGAGAACCACCCTGCTAATCCTAATATTCTTAAAATACTATAGAATCGGAGAGCTTGGAGAAGCATTAGAGATTATCAGATCCAACTCCTTCATTCAGTAATTAAGAAAACTGTAGTCCTAAATGATATAATAACTTGTCCAAGGTCATTTAACTGGTTATTTCATGACAGAGCCAGGACTGAATCCCTGATTTTCTGACTTCTATGTAGACTTTTTTCTAAATCATGACAAGCTCTGAGTTACTAGGTTTCATTTAACTCAATAAATATATGTTCTGCATATATTGTGAACAACAAATTGTGTAATATGTTAGTTTAATGGATAGCACTTTGTTTCAAAGCACATTTTATAATTTAATATTTTTGCCAACCTTGTAAAGTTGGTTAGACAAGTGGTTTGGAGGTAAGAAAATCTAGGCTTAGAATACTTGAATGACTTTTCCAAGGTCAAGTGGCCAGTGAGTAGCTACCAGTATAGAACACATGTCTTCCAATGTTCTTCCTTCTGCCTCTCTTTTAATGTAATGTTTCATTGCAAGTGCTTAAGGTATAAATTAGCACAGCTTCTCAGGATTTGTGATGACTTCTCAGAAACTTCAGAAAAATACATTCCAAGATATTTATACTCTGTACTATTTTTCTTTTATTCATATTTTAATTGAAAAATAAAAATGTGGTTTTTTAAATATTTATGGTGTATAACATGATGTTTTGAAATATGTGTATTGTGGAATGACTAAATCAAACTAATTAACATATGCATTACCTCCATACTTATCAGTTTTTTTTGTGATAAGAACCAAATTTTCAAGTATATAAAATCTGCACTATTTCTATAGTTCTTCAGGCTGCTAATATTCAGAGTGCTTAGCAGTCACAGTGCTAACATAGATGGTTTTATAGGAGGTATATTTGTTTCCTGGGGCTGCTGCGACCAATTACCACAAACTTAGTGTCTTACAATGATGGAAATTTATTTCCTCACCATTCTGGAGGCCAGAAGTCTACAACCAGGGTCATACTCCCCACAAAACCCCTAGGGAAAAATTTGTTCCACATCTCTTCCAGTTTCTGATGCCTGCCAGCTTTCTTGGCTTGTGGCTACATCACACTAATCTCTGCCTCCATCTTCACATAGCCTTTTTCTCATTGTATCTATCCCCCATGTGTATCTTATAAGCATGCTTGCTATTGGATCTAGGACCCATCCAGATAATTCAGAATGATCGCCTCTTCTCAATATCCTTAACTTAATGACATTTGCAAAGACACTTTTCCAAACATCACAACATTCACAGGTTCTGGGGACTAGGATATGAATATATCTTCTGGGAAGCAAAGGAGAAGAGTTATTCATTCAAAGGTCAGGAGCTTAACAAGTGAAGTGAATCAAAGCTCTGCCAAAGTGATGACCAAGCATTCTCTTTCCCAAACAGAGTCTTCAGTTTATGTACAAATTTTGAAAAAAGTCCAAGAGGTCAGTCTTCTGAAAAAATTCCCTACCATCAGCTTTGTCAGATAGCCATGAGTCTTGCGCTGGAGGTGAGAATATATCCAGCAAGTTGGGCCTGGCTTACATGCTTGGGCATATGCCCTGTTTATATGATACCCTCTGCCAAAGTCAGCTTCATGCCAAGAGGCAAACTTGAAAAGCCACTGTCGAAACAAGAGCTCCTGTTTATCTCTGACCAGCATAGCAAGTTCTCTGCATCACTCACTCTCAGAGAGCCGGCCACTAGACTAGCCATGCTCTTCCTGCTGATCCTTTGAACAAAGATTGATAGGTGTTGATTTCCAACTCCAGAGCTGTGTCTGTGATGTATCACAATCTGAAGAACTTACATATAAGGGATAGTCTTTCAGGGACTATTGACACCTCTACTGTATGATTATTCTTCCATGGGAAAGACATCCTCTTTTCCACACTATTGGGAAGAAAAATAAGGGAATTGATACTTACTGAGCACGATGAGTCTGTTTAGTTTGCCCCAGATCCACTCTCAATCCTTATTTAATCTGTTTCACAGCTGACTCCTGTGACCTTAATGGACTTCCTTACCAAATGGCTTCAAGTTAGGTTTAACCAATAGAAGACCCTGGAGGAAACTAGAGGGACGAAAAGAGAGGGAAGAAAGCTACACAATTCATTTCCCAATTCCCCAGTGATTGCCAAGGGCTGGGCACATTTCTCCACAAAAGGTCTCAGCACCTGCCTGATAGTTCTCCCTACACAGCCTTCTTAGGTTCTCCCTGGATCCCAGGAAACACTTCTTCTGCTCACATCTTCAGGCCTAAAGTTGGTGACCCCAGAATATTGTACTATATCTTGTAGTTTTCCTCTGCCCTGCCTACACATTGCCCTGCTCTACATTTTCCTCAAGTTTTCCTAATTTGAATGGGCCATGTTTTCTGGCAGGACTCGGACTGATGAAGCCCCAGTTGTTTTATGATATTTGCTAGATGTTTTGTTTTGATGATTACAACAGTCCTACAGAGTAGATACTCTTAACTCCATATTATAGATAAGGAAGCTGAGGTAATACTGCCCTATGAGGTGATATTGCGCTATGAGAAACAGCTAGCAAGTGAGCAGTTAGAAGTCAAACCCAGATCTGTCTAACTTCAAGCCCTTGGATTTTCAGCTATTTCTTCTCAATACTGAAGATATATCTCATAGGATGCCTGGAGAAACAGGGAGTTTTAAGGCACAAAAATGGCAGAATGGTTCAAATGCTTTATTCAAAGTTAACCTTTATAAAGCCATTCAGAGGCCCCAACTGTCTTTAGTATTACATGCAAAAAAAAAAAAAAAAAGATCCTGCAGACACAATAATTGAATGTAATTTATGTCTTTACTGTAGTTCCCTAAAAAGGAGCCAGGAGTAGATTACATTTATAATGCAAAGCCAAACTTCTTAAAGCCTCTTTCCGTTATCATTCTCCCTGTCTATATATGTCACATATGGCAGCTACTCACAAAATCAAATCTTTTTCCTAACCACCTCCATGCTCTCAAGATCTCCAATAACATACTTTCGGCCTCCTAGTCCCTTTGTCCTTTCTTTTTGTTGTTGTTTTCCTCCTGCCAGTAACTCTCTGCCTTTTCCAACAAAAATCCCTCTTGTCAGGACAGCATTAGGATAAATATCTAATGCATGTGGTGCTTAACACCTAGATGATGGGTTGATGGGTGCAGTAAACCACCATGGCACATGTATACCTATGTAACAAACCTGTATGTTCAGCACATGTATCCCAGAACTTAAAGACTAAAAAACCCTTTTGTCTTTTATTTCTTTTGGTTCCTGTCCTCAATTAACACACAACTGAAGAACTACTTGATAGCTACCTGAGCAACATATGCATTTTGTTGGGAGACTGGGAGTTTTGTTAATATACGAAGCTATTTGTTAACAGTTTTTCTGCCACATAGTATAGATTTACTGTTATTTCTTCAAGAAGAAAAGATGTTGGTGTCTCATATAAAATCTATGCTAAGGATAAAATATGTATTACAATTGCCTGGAGCAAGAGAAGGGTAGTGGGAGAGAGTGAAAGGACTATTCAATTCACATCATATCCATTCCTTCAATACACCAGCAAGCTATAGTGTAAATATTTGTTTGAACTCAAGTGTTTGGAACTCTGGACATATTTTGAGAAACATCATTACAGACTACATTTTTTAATCCATCATAAATAGTATTTGCATTAAAATTATAACAATTAATGATGATATTTCCTTATCAATAAATTCACCCTCTGTCTTCTATGTCCCAATCTAGTGACGCGATCATACAGTCAAGCTGACCCAAGAGGAGCTCTATCTACTAGAAAGTGATTCTAAGAACCATTACATTTCACAGCTTTTCTTAAACACCTTAATTGGCAGAATTCAGTAAAAGGTAGAATAAGTCAGTACAAGCAATTTGCAGTAGTTTTTTTTTTAAAGTAACATTTATAGTTTCAGAGCTGTTTATCCCAAAGCATTCTCTTTGTCAAGGCAAAACGGAGAGTAAAATATAAGAGGATGATTCACTCTCAGACTTGAAAGAAAGACACTCACAGGGACATTAGACAATGAAGCCAGCTCATTCCAAATCTATCTGTGGTTCATGGAGATGACAAGGATCTTCATTTCCCTGGTTTCAAAAAAGGCATCAATCACATTGAGAAAGAGTCAGTTTGTCTTTTCACTTGCACCCTGTAGGGTCAGGAGTAGAGAAGGTAGAGAACCAACACTTGCTGAGCACCTGCTGTGTGAGATATCACCGAGTAATTAATAACTTACCCTATATCACAAAAATAGAAAATATGGAGGCTGGGAGCTGAGGAGTATTTATATGTTTGTTGTCAGACCTCTCCACCTCCACCCTCCTACTAAATTATAATATCTGTGGAAGCAAGCAGCCCATCAGTCTGTTGCTAAGTCCCCAGAGCCTAACATGTTAGGTTGGTGCCAAAGTAATTACGATTTTTGCCACTACTTTCAATGGCAAAAACTGCAATTACTTTGGCACCAGCCTAATAGTACCTGACACATAGAAGGAGCTCAACAAGAATATATTGAATAAATGAACAAATGAATGAGTTCCTTCTGACTTCAAAGCCCAGGGTTATTCCACTTCATCTTGCTTGTAGCTGGAAAAACAAAACTCAAACAGTGGTTGCCCTTAGATTTCGAGATGTCTTCTATGCAGTGTATTGATATTAGGATAGTATTTCTTCCGTTACAAACAAAATAGTTCCCCGCCACGTAAGTTTGCATTGAAAAACTACCCAGTGACATCAAATTCAAAATGTATACCACAATTTTTGTTAGCAAACAAATCTAGTTCCCTTAATGATGATTGACCACTTAACTTCTACCCCTACAGTTAATGTGGGAGCAAATTGGAAAACAAAGTTGAGCAGAAACAATTACATTATAATGGAAATTCTGAGGAATATCTCATACTGTTTTAGGTTTGCTTTGGCTGTGTTTGCAGCCAAAATTCAGTCACAGTCAAT
The DNA here is from genome assembly GCF_000001405.40 of Homo sapiens. NCBI lineage: Eukaryota > Metazoa > Chordata > Mammalia > Primates > Hominidae > Homo > Homo sapiens. The sequence continues at coordinate 120,924,724 of NC_000008.11, read as the reverse complement.
CAACCGATTGTTTCCTCTGCATTACACCAAAGGAGTGGTTGTTCTAATTTTTTTTTCTTTGTCACTGAATTGATGAATTGCTTTGGCATCAGGTAGGTCAGGTAGTCAGCTTTTATCTTGGGAAATAATCATCTTCTGCTGGGAGAGCTATTCGGCTGTGTGGTAGTGCTTTATCATAGGCAGCACATAAGTGGTGCTGTTTGCAATTTGATAAACGTGCACAAGGCTCAGAGGTCCCCAAACACAAGTCTCATATGTAAACACAATCAAATCATGCTGTTAACTAGGGAACTGAATTGTCATTGCTCATCGTTCTCTGTCTTTTCCACTCCTCTGTAAAAAAAATCCTCATACCTCATTCTGTACAAGCAAATTGAGAGGCGTTTCTCAGTTCTGGGTAGCATTAAGATGAGCATCAAATATTTTCTATCTGCTTTAAACTGAATTTTTGATGGGGAAATACCATATTAAAACAATTTTATAAGAAACTGGAACATGGCGAGTGTGGTGGCTCACGCCTGTAATCCCAGCACTATGGGAAGCTGAGGTGGACGGGTCACATGAGGTCTGGAGTTCGAGACCAGCCTGGCCAACATACCAAAACCTGGTCTCTACTAAAATTACAAAAATTAGCTGGGTGTGGTGGCATGTACATGTAATCCCAGTTACTCAGAAGGCTGAGGCAGGAGAATTACTTGAATCTGGGAGGTGGAAGTTGTAGTGAGCTTAATCATGCACTGCACTCCAGCCTGGGCAACAGAGTTGAGACTGACTCCATCTCAAAAAAAAAAAAAAGAAACTGGAGCACTTTCAAAGGCTTTAAGGACATATCAAAATACTGGGGACTATCTAAGAAATGCAGAAGGATAGCTAGTTTTTTAAAACTTTTCTTTCCCAAAGCCTTTGGAATCATAACACTTCAGGTTAGGAGAAACCAGAAATGTTGCATGTATGTGCAACACACACACACACACACACACACCCCTACCTGTCTCTCTTTAGACACTAAGGACAAAAGTTAATTGTTTTAATTATTGCCAACATTTCTGCAGTGGATATTAACTGCATTTTAAAAATTATGAAATTGAAGCAGAAAAATTAAGCAACTTGCCATAGGTCCCATATTTAGTAAGTGGAAGAATTAAAATTGGAACCCAGTTTTATCTCTATGTCTTAACTACTACATGCACCACCACACTTCTATAATATTCCTGCCAATGTATGCTTGAATTCCTTTTTTGAACCAGTCCATGAACTCAGTTTATCCCATCCTCAGACATCTCTATTTGAATTGCCTACTCTATGCAGTGAATTAAAAGTTGTCTTTCTGTAACTCCCGCCTAGTGATCCTAGGTCTGGCTTGAGGCCTTTCTGAGTAAGTGCAATCCCTCTTCCAAGTGACAAGCTTTTGAATATTAAAAGCTGGTAATCATGTCACCTTGAGCTTTCTTTCTGGAGCCTGGGTAAATATTCCCAGGTCCTTCAGCCATCTTTTCTATAACACGGTTTTGTTTTCTTGGTTACTTTCTATCGTATATGTCTTCCTCTTAAAATATGGCTCAGTATTACTCATAAGATTTCAGCTTTCGTCTGGCCTCCCTAAGATGACCAGAAATCTTACCACCCTCAATCTATTAATGCATTGACTGAATTAAAATTTCTCTCCTCCCCAGCAATCCTGTTTTTAAATCTATACTTCATGGGAATGCAGCCTTGCCTCAGAGTCCCCCAGACCCCACACACAATGTCAAATCTGTAACAGTCCTCTTCTAAAAATGCAAAGCAAATCCTACATGAAATTAACCAGAGCACCCAATGGGACTCTATTTTATGAAACTTAATCCACTTTAGTGTCCTGCTTCTCTCCCTAAAGCCTCATGGTCCAAGCATCCTCTATCTTTAAAAAGTCTATAAATCCTTAAATGTCTGCCACAAACCCAGTTACTCTCCCAGGAAAGTACATGCATATCTCATTTTATTGTGATTCACTTGATCGTGTACTGCATTTTTTTTTTTTTTTTTTTTTTACAAACGGGAGATTTGTGGCAGCTCTGCTTCAAGCAAGTCTATCAGCACCATTTCTCCAACAGCATGTGGTCACTTCATGTTTCTGTGTCACATTTGGGTAATTCTTGCAATATTTCAGATGTTTTCATTATTATTATATCTGTTATGGTGACCTGTGATCAGTGATCTTTGATGTTACTATTATAACTGTTTGGGGGTACCATGAACCACTCCCATATAAAACTGTGAACTTAATTGATAAACGTTATGTATATTGTGACTGCTCCACTGACTGACCGTTCTCCCATCTCTCCCTGTCTCCTTGGGCTTCTTTATTGCCTGAGATACAACGATATTAAAATTAAGCCAATTAATAACCCTACAATGGCTTCTAAGTGTCCAAGTGAAGGGAATAGTTGTACATCTCCCACTTTAAATCAAAAGCTACAAATGATTTTTAGTGAGGAAGTTATGCCAAAAACAGATAGGCCAAAACTCATTCTCTTGCACCAGTCAGTTAGCAACACTGCTAATGCAAAGAAAATTAACATTGTTAATGCAAAGGAAATTAAAAATGTTATTCCATTGAACACATTAATGATAAGAAAGTGATATGAATAATGATAAGAAACAGCATATGCAGAAAGCTTTGGAGATCTGGATAGATCAAACTAGACACAACATTCCCTTAAGCCAAAGCTTAAGCCAGACAAAGGCCCTAATCTTCAATTCTGTGAAGGCTGAAAGAGGTGAAGAAGCTGCAGAAGAAAATTTGGAAGCTACCAGAGGTTGATTCATGAGGTTTAAGGAAAGAAACTTTCTCTATAACATAAAAGTACAAGGTGAAGCAGCAAAAGCTGATGCAGAAGACTCAGCAAGTTATACAGAAGGTCTAGTTAAGATCATTGATAAAGGTGACTACTCTAAACAAATTTTCAGTGTAGACAAAACAGTCTTAATTTGGAAGAAGATGCCATCAAGGACTATCATAGCTAGAGAGAAGTCAGTGCCTGGCTTTGAAGCTTCAAAGCACAGGCTGACTCTCTGGTTAGGAGCTAAGGCAACTGGTGATTTTAAACTGAAGTGTTCATTTACCATTCTGAAAATCCTAAGGGCCTTAAGAAATCTGCTCTGCCTGTGCTCAATGAGATTTTATTGTTTTAAATTTTATTTAAACACAATGGATGACCTCACATCTATTTACAGCATGATTTACTGAATATTTTAAGTCCACTGTCAAGACTTACTTCTTGGAAAAAAGATTCTTTTAAAAATATGGCTGCTCATTGACAATGCACCTGGTCAACCAACAGCTCTGATAGAGATGTATAAGTGGATAAATGTTGTTATCATGCCTGCTAACACAACGTCCATTCTGCGGCCTATGAATCAAGGGGTTAATTTCAACTTTCAAGTTTTATTATTTAAGAAATACATTTTGTAAGGCAATAGCTGCCATAAATAGTAATTTCTCTGATGGGTCTGGGATAAGTAAATTGAAAAACTTTTGGAAAGGATTCACCATTTTAGATGCCATTAAGAACATTGGTGATTCATGGAAGGAGGTCAAAATATCAACATAAACCAGAGTTTTAAGAAAGTTGATTCCAATCCTCATGGATGACTTTGAAGAGCTTGAGACTTAATTGAAGGGAATAACTGCAGATGGGATGGAAGTAACAAGAGAACTAGAAGTGAAGCCTGAAGGTGTGACCAAATTGCTACAGTCTCATGAGAAAGCTTGAATGGATGAGAAGTTACTTTTTATGGATGAGCAAAGAAAGTTGGTTTCTTGGGATGCAATCTACTCCTGGTAAAGATGATACAAACGCTGCTGAAATGACAAGACAAGATTTAGCGTATTACGTCAACTTAGTTGATAAAGAATGACAGGGTTTACGAGGATTGGCTCCAACTTTGAAAGAAGTTCTACTGGGGGTAAAATGCTATAAAAATTCACATGTCACAGAGAATATATATATAACTATATATTTATATATATTTACATATATTGATATAAATATAACTATATATATTAATATATATTTATATATTTATATAAATATAACTTTATGTATTTATGTATATTTATATATTGATATATATTTTTATAAACTATATTTATATATATTTATATATATAAATATAACTATATGTATTTATATACATGTATATAAATATATGTATTTATATATATTTATATAAATATAACTTTATGTATTTATATACATGTATATATATTTATATACATGTATATAAATATAACTTTATATATTTATATAGTTATATTTATATATATATATAAAATATATATATAGTTATATACATATATAACTATATATATAAATATAACTATATATTTATATATAATATATAGTTATATTTATATATATTATATATATTATATATATAAATATAAGTATATATTATATATATAATAAATACATATATAAATATAACTATATATATAGTTATGTAAATATAACTATATACTTATATATAGTTATGTAAATATGACTATATATACGTATATATAGTTATATTTACATAACTATATATACTTACATATAGTTATATTTAGATAACTATATATACGTATATATAGTTATATAAATATAACTATATATGTATATATAGTTATGTAAATATAACTATATATGTATATATAGTTATGTAAATATAATTATATATGTATGTATAGTTATGTAAATATAACTATATATGTATATATAGTTTTGTAAATGTAACTATATATGTATATATAGTTATGTAAATGTAACTATATATGTATAGTTATGTAAATATAACTATAGATACGTATATATAGTTATGTAAATATAACTATATATATTTATATATAGTTATGTAAATATAACTATATTTATATATTCATGTAAATATATTTATATATTCATGTAAATATAACTATATTTATATATATTTATGTAAATATAACTATATGTTTATATATATTTATGTAAATATAACTATATGTATTTATATATTTATGTAAATATAACTATACATATTTATATAAATTTATGTAAATATAACTATACACATTTATATATATTTATGTAAATATTACTATACACATTTATATATATTTATGTAAATATAAATATATATGTTTATATATTTATGTAAATATAAGTATATATATTTTTATATATGTATGTAAATATAACTACATATTTATATATATGTATGTAAATATAACTATATATAGTTTTATATATATTTATATAAATATAACTATATATAGTTTTATATATATTTATATAAATATAACTATATATAGTTTTATATATATTTATATAAATATAACTATATATAGTTTTATATATATTTATATAAATATAACTATATATAGTTTTATATATATTTATATAAATATAACTATATATAGTTTTATATATATTTATATAAATATAACTATATATAGTTTTATATATATTTATATAAATATAACTATATATAGTTTTATATATATTTATATAAATATAACTATAGTTTTATATATATTTATATAAATATAACTATAGTTTTATATATATTTATATAAATGTAACTATATATAGTTTTATATATATTTATTTAAATATAACTACATATAGTTTTATGTATATTTTATATATAAAAAATATATATGTTTTATATATATATAGTTTTATATATATATATATAGCCACAGCCACCGCAACCTTAAGTGACCACCACCCTGATCAGTGACCAACACCCATCAATGAGGCAAGACCCTCTACCAGCAAAAAGATTACACCAGCAAAAAGATTAAGATTACACTAGCAAAAACATTAAGATTACACTAGCAAAAAGATTAAGACTCAGATGATTGTTAGCAGTTTTTAGCAGCAAAGTATTTTTAAATTAATTATGTACATGTTTTAGGCATAATGCTGTTGCACTTAATAGACTACAGTATCTTATAAACATAACTTTTACATGAACTGGGAAAGCAAAAAATATTTCTGACTTGCTGTATCATGATATTAACTTTATTGTGGTTATTTGTAACCAAGCCCACGATATCTCTGAGATAGGCTCGTACTCCAAGGCTTTTCTTGCTTAATTTGTCATTACTGTTAAAAAGGTACAGTCACTCATTACCCTTGCCATTGCTGATGAGGCCAACCAGGAACAGGTGCATGACTCAAGTAACTGCACATGAACTGATCATCTCTGGAGTGGCTATTATTAACTACAGGGGAAAAAAATATATATATATGTGTATATATATATATATATATATATGTGTATATATATATATATATATATATATATATATGTGTATATATATATATATATATATATATATATATATATATATATATGCTTCTTATCAAATGGGGCCAAAGCAACCTCATCGTATATTCTTTTTAGATGCAAGAATGTTAGTCTTCAAGCTCCATTGTGTGAGAGAATTGTATTTGTTTTAACTTGTGAACTTTAATTTTAGTGCAAGTCTCCATTTGACTGGGGATTAATCTCAGGCAATTAAAGGTCTCCCTTCTTTGGGAGAAGTTACCTTTAGTTTGGGGGAGTTTATGGAGTGCCAGTGCTTTGCTGGGGAGAGCGCATCTGATTTGGGTTGTCGTTTATCCTCACCAGCATCTATCAAGTTGTCTTCCTCCTTGGGTCCCCTCCTGGTTTTCAGTCATTGCTGCACTTGGGTTTGGGATATGTCACCTCAATTGTTGAACACAGGCCTTCTCTTGACACTTGGGATTATTCTTCCTAAGCACTTGGGATGATATGTTTTGCAACTTGCCACACAGAGCCACAAAAACTCCGTAAGGCTGTTTGTGTCTCTTTCTTAATTTGCATTCTCCCAAATCTCTGGCACACACACCCTCTTAGGCTCCCTCTGAATTCCCAAACTTTTGAAATACAAAAATCAAGGAAAGACCCTTTGTTTCTCCTTTCAGTGTGCCATTATTTTCTTGCGATGAGCTTAGAACCTCCTTTCTATTACCTAAATGGCAAAAAGAGATTGTAAGAATAAAAAATCATTTAAGTTGCTATCCAAAAAACATTAGTCTTCTGGAAGCATAAATTCAGGGCACACACAAAGATAGGAAGATTCACTCAAGTCCAATGGCTTCACCAAATGACAATGGAGGGAGTCGTCTAGTTTCATAAGAAATGTGCCTCACATACCATCTTAGGCTCTCCTAAGTGACTTGACTGCTAATGTGACCTTTTCTTCCTCTATCTCACCATCTATGTTCTTGCAATAAACTCCTATCTTTGTCAACCATCTGTGCATGTCACTTCCTTGTGGCCCAGAAAAAAACTGACTGGCAGAATTAGTAAACAACATTATAGACTCCATAACACCTCCACATATCCACACACATACATACACACATACATACACACACCTATACACACACCTTTCTGCAGCAACACTGGTTGGTAACTAGATATCTGCAATAAGACCCACTGTGAAAAGATGAACTGAACCAAGCAGATTCTTGCTTTCAAAAGTTTAAACTGAGGAACAATCAACAATCAGATAATAATCATACCAGAAAACATGTATTGAGCAGATACTGTGTGGGAAGCATTGTGCTAATTGATTTATATGCATATTTCATTTAAACCTCACACCAATCATTTAAAGTAGGTATCATTACTGTCTTTACCTCATAGGTGACCAAATTAAGACAGAGAAATCAAGTAACATGCTGAAACTCATGTATCTAAAGCCAGGATTGGAACCCAATGATTCTGACTCCTGAGTCTAGGCTCTTAGCCACCTGTGTGACAAGAAACAGATGCAGGAAGAAAAGCCATATACAGTGTTAGGGTCATAGTAAACTAAAATTATGAAGAAACAGAAAATGTGTAGTGCCACAAGCTTGTGCAGTGATGTGGGGAATGGGAGGAAGATCTAATCTAATCAGAAGCATAACTAGATCATTCTGAAGAAATGACATTTGGGCTGAGATCAAAAGGTTATATCAGAGCTAGCTAGTCACCAGAAAGTGAGAATAGCACCTGCACAGCCCCACATGGGCTTGAAGGAAGCCCGGAATAGCTGGAGCAGAGAGAGTGTCAGGGAGACTGGTGAGCAATGACACTAGAAAAGAAAGTAGAAGCCACATCATGCTAGGCCTTGTAAAGGATGTTAATAAATTTTACAGGGAATAGCCATCCCGCAAGCAGCAGCTCAAGTCCTGAGTTTCCATCACCTCTTACCTCAAGCAGTTATCATGGATGAACAAACAGGATTGCAAACTCACAAGGTAGAGAGTCTGATTTGTTCAACTTGGCTGAGGTATCTCACGCTTATCCAATCAGCAGGAGGGGGCAGGGTCACATGTTCACCGGAGCCCATCAGTGAAGAAAAAGGGGTTTACTGCAAATATATGTATTAGACCACAGATTGCTGCACTCACCAGCATCTTTGAAATTACAAGATTCCCAGACATACTCAGATTTACCTGGGTCACTGAGTTTTATTGTAAAGATAAAACGGGACAAAAAAAAATAAAATAAAATAAACCCTGAAGCTGACTTAATAGGCTTGGAGCCAGGTCTTACAGAAAAAGAAGTTTATTCAGAAAACAGCAGTAGCACCAACATCTACTACACACAGCAAAAGTTCTGGCCACTTGGTCCTGTGATTAACCTGGCAACAGTTATCCAATTGGAATGTTCTGCCATTAAATGTTTCTTGATGAGTCCATGGCTCTGCTTCTACTTCTATTACTATGACTTAACTCTCTCTGTATCTTCTGTTCCAGTTCCCTAAGAGCAAGGACTTGTTGGAACAGTTGCCCTGTGGTTTTAGGCTTCCCTATTGAGGAGAATGCTTCTCAAGGTCTCCAGGGATAACCTAAAGAGGGTTGCCATTGCTCCAGTTCCATTTTTTCTCCAATCTGCTGAAGGCAACACAGTGGCGCTTTGAATAAAGGACTCAAGCTTTGTGCAAGGTGACTATTGCCAACAGGAGTCTAGAACTGGCCACAAATATATTTAGTTTGACTTGCACAACATTGGCTCACACAGTACTTATTTAAGTTTAATGTTTAAGCATGAATGATTTTTGAATAGGGAAATTTCACATAAAAACTCAGATTTCCAGCTTTCCTTGAAAAATTAGAAAGCCAAGAAACACTAGCCACAGTCAACAGATACTGAGTACTATATGAGCCATTAAAAAGCACCTGAGCTCTTCACCAGAGTCCCTACGTCGGGCTCCTGTCAAAGAGTTTCACTCACTTACCTGACCCTTGTGGGCACTGGAGTTGGAGAATGCTAAGGTAAGGAGTTATGTGCAGTTACTTTAATCAAAAGGGAGTTTATGGGGAGGCAGCCACTTGAAGAGTCACCACCTATAGTACTTCACCAATTGTAGATTCAGAAACTATGGCCAGTGTGATTTCATCACTGCTGGCAGCTCCTAGAGCAACTTTGAGACAGCCTCTCAATGCTGCTAGCTAGAGTCCCTGCAAGCTGCTGCCTAAACAGCAATTGATCCTTTACTTATCCTCATAGCTTAACCCAGATGTGACCTAAGCATTTTAAAAAAGAGGCAAGGATAGAGGAAGGAAGGCCTTCTAGCACATTGGCCCAATCCCATGTCACATCTTAGAGTTCATTCTTCTCTGCTCTAATAATGCCTATTACAAAACACAGTAATAATGGCATATCCTTGCCAAACTGCATGCTTCTTCTGGTTATCAGATGACCCAGAGGGGTAGATACACCTCATGCTGGTAAAATTGGACACTCACATTTGTTGTACTAGTACGTTCATGCTTCTCTCTTGAGACGAGATGCCACACAATGTAAGGTAAAAATCATTGTTTTACAGGCCAAATTGGTGTCTACCTATCTACCAGCCATATGATCCTGGGAAAGTCACTTAATCTGTTCCTGCTTCAATTTCTTTATCCACAAAATGTTGATAATATGTGTTTCAGTGGATACCCTGAGGATGAAACACAATGAAGGTGTACACTTACTTCTTCACCCCTTTAGGGAATGAAACAATCTCAAACTCAGCTGTTTTAATATTTAAATTAAAATAACCTCTCTCACCCCAGCCCTCATATTGTCATCATGAGAAGCTTCTTCTTGCCTTATTCAGGTTCCCATCCCCCCGAAGGCCTTCTGTAATGCAAGTGCTTTGTCCTGGTTTTCCAGAGAGAAGATCTGATCAGTCCTACCAGTGGCTGCATTTTTTCAAACCTGCTGCAGCTGTCAATGTCTTAAGGTGAAAGCCACGTGGCCTCAGTGGTGAACTCATTACCAAAGCATCCCACCATGCTGCCACATGCCCCTAAACTATGAAACCCAGGAGGCCCCGGAGCCTGCAGGCTGTGCCCAGCTTAGTGCAGCTGCTGTGGTCAGCAAACACACATCATGAAAGCAGGGAGAGGCCCTGTGGGTCCAGGAGGTAAATACCACTATGGAAGCATCATCCTCTGCCCCCACCTCATGGTTCAGCTTCTGATTTTACAGATTTTCAAGCTACCCAGCTCCTTTAACAGACACTTACAATCATCCACTTTCACAAATCACACACCCAATCCAACAAAGCCGAGTTTAAAAATGTTTCCCAACTCAAAGCACACGGTGGCAGAACCATTCTCATGGGACAAAACGCCAAGGCCCCCAAAGGTGGAGAATGCCCCTCCGCTCCTTCTCAACTCCTTCCATCTCCCACCACTGGAGGAGCTTGTTTCCTCCCTGGAAAAACATGGAAACATGAAAAGTCCCTGCCGATGCTCTTCTTCACCCTGCCTTGCAATTAAAGCCTCCCCTGTACCCCTTTTAGGGCCTCATACGTTTTAGACCACCCAATGACTTAGAGACAGGCTAAAATAGGAGCTATCTGACCATTCGAGTTTACATTTCTCGGCAATTATTTAGGACAGGTGTTGCTATGGTGCCCTGCCCTAAGGAAGATGGTGAAGCAGGTGGAGTGGGTAGAGCACGGGAGGAGAAAGAGTGTAGCAGCTGAGGATGGGAACTGATGACAGATCACCTGAGATCAGACCTCAGTTGTGCCACTCCCTTGACCATGTGATCTTGACAAGTCACTTAACCTCCCTATGCCCCAGTTTTTTCTTCTATCAAATGAGGCTATCACAAAGATTATAGGAATTAATATATGTAAAGCTCTTAGACCAGTCTCTGACATGTGAAAAAAAAAAAAGAAAAAGAAAAAAAAACCATAGCAAGAGTCACCTTTATTCCAGTTCCCAACAAGCTCCTCATCTCCATCTGAGACCGCTTGAGTCTGGACTTTATTGTCCATATCACTATCAGCATTTTGGTTAAAGCTATTCAACAACTCTCTAGGAAGTTCCAAACTTTCCTACATCTTCCTGTCTTCTTCTGAGCCCTCCAAACTGTTCCAGCCTCTGCCTGTTACCCAGTCCCAAAGTCACTTCCGCATTTTCGGGTATCTTTATAGCAGCACTCCACTCTCTGTGGTACTAATTTACTGTATTAGTCCATTTTCAGACTGCTATAAAGAACTGCCTGAGTAATTTATAAAGGAAACAGGTTTAATTGACTCACAGTTCAGCACGGCTGGGGAATCCTCAGGAAACTTACACTGATGGTGGAAGGTGAAGGGGAAGCAAGACACCTTCCCCACAGGGCGGCTGGAAAGAGAAGTACTGAGCAAAAAGAGCCCCTTATAAAACCATCAGATCTCGTGAGAACTCACTCACTATCACGAGAACAGCATAAGGGAAACCACCCCCATGATTCAATTAACTTCACCTGATCTCTCCCTTGACACATGGGTATTATGGGGATTACAATTCAAGATGAGATTTGTGTGGGAACACAAAGCCTAACCATATCAGTTTGTTTCCCTCATTTGGGGAACTCTTGCTACTCCATTCCTCCAATCCCTTGCTCCCAGATAAGTGTAGAAATTTCCATGGAGAAGGACTAACATGGTACTTTTGAAAGCCAGAAGGAGGACATTGCATACCTGGCAACAACTGAGAAGACATGGCGTCCCAAATTATATTTTGCAGTCCTCAGATATTAATATATTGTTGCCAATTTTTACATCTAACTATATTATTGGAATATGCTCTTTGTTGCTTGTTAATAAAGGGAACTGTTTATGGTTGTTAAAGTTAAAGGGGCCCAAAATAGTATCATCCTTCTTTCTTATCCAAGGTGAGACTCTAATGAAAGAGAAAGAGTTTGGTAAATGAAGGAAAAAGTATCAGATTTAGCTTAGCACAATGGTGCATGCCTGTAGTCGCAGCTACTCAGGAGGCTGTAGCAGGAGGCTTGAACCCAGGAGTTCGAGGCCATAGTGCACTATGATCACACCTGTGAATAATCATTACACACCAGCCTGGGCAACACAGCAAGACCCTGTCTCTTAAAAAAGAAGTCAGATGTAATACTGATAATGCTGATACAGAAATGCTTTTAAGTATGCCGCTACACTGGGTTTACCTATACTGGATTGCACACTCCCAGTCACAGGCAGCTCTGATCTACCTTAGATAGGGCTTTTGCTGATAAGATTATATTACGACCCAGGGGAGACAAAAAATTGTGCTTTATTCAATCAGGCAGATCCCAAAGACAAGGGAGCTATGCAGGGCTGTTTCTCCCCCACAGTCATCAATAGAGTATCACCTCTCTCCACCAAGATGACATGTCTAAGGGACAGAAATAGAGCCACTAATTCTATATGGAAATATATGAATGCGGAATAATATTCCTCCTAATAATGATATTTACCTATGACCCTTCCACTTTCCAACCATGGAAGCTCAGTTGTGTTAATTTTTCTGAATTTTGTGACACTTTTAATGACAAAAATAGCTTTCAATTTTCTTCTCTTCACTGAGGCCATTTCCTCCTTGGAATCTCTCAGAGGCTCCTCGATTTCCATGAATCTTCATGAAGGTCAGTATTTCCTGGGTCCCTGTTTTTGACCCTCCTGTAACTCTAAGTAGACTTTTAGGTGGTCTTAAAAGCATGTGTGATTTCACAAAGTATTTCTTGCCCCAAATTTTCTTTCAGTCAAGCTCCAGGATTATATAACTGATTTCTTAGTAAATATCTCACTGTGACCATCCCGTCTGTTTCTCACAAAGGGCTAGATCATGGCGTCTGAATCTCCAAGTCCCAGGGCAGGGCCTGACACATAGCAGACACTCAAGAAAGAAAGGATGGAGGAAGGGTAATTGAGAGAAGGGATACAATAGAGAAAGAAGGGAGAAGGAAAGGGAAGGAAGAAAAAAAAAAGAAGGAGAGACTGAAGAAGGAAGCAAACCTGAGGAGCATTGCTTTCATTAGTAATGAAAGGGAGAAAACATTTATAACTAGACATGTTTCCAATGTGTAATAGCTTTCTGAATTGGGGGCAGTTGATTAAACTTTCTGAACTTCCATTTTCTCATTTATAAAAAAATATTTATTTCAATACATTAGTTTGAGAAGTAACCAAGTTAATGTCTGTGAAAATATCTAGTACATGTAATAAACACTCAATAAATGTTGGTTACATTAAGGTATGCATTTTAAATCATCAAAGTACTGCCGACTGCTGAATTCTTTAAAGTACTCCATTGTACTTCACTTCAGACTTGAAAACCCTGATTTTGAATAAGACACCTGGATTAGGTCCCAAAGAGCCACCATATGGAAGAATTTCACTTGGGGCTCTTCCTATAAAACCACATCAAATATATAAATGTGGGCTGACTCCAGTCTATCTTCAAGTGGGTGGGGCACCCACACTCACTGCTACAATTATGTAGTGGAGCAGCTCAGTGCTTATCTGAAATCTTGATAATTATAAAAGGAGTCATATAGTCTTAAATAGCTTCTAAAAAAACACTACTGTAAAACAGAAGATGATAGTGTTTGCCTCAAAATAGATATCCAAACCGTTCCCTTTCATGATTGAAAACATAATAGTAAACTTAACTTCCTGTCCTGAATTCCTCATTAAACTTCTCTGTAGTTGAGTGAGTTTTAGAATTTCTCCCAAGCTGCAAGTCTTCAGTGACAGGCCTGGAATTTGGTGTGGAGAGAAGAGAGGCTGCAACCAGGATTGGGAATCCAGGTGCCTGCACTCATTTCCCTTAACCTGAAAACTGGCTTGGTAGGAAGCAAGAGGCTCTCAGTATTATATGTTACCTTCAAAATGGCCAGAGGGTGTAACTCCCAGCAATTTTTTTAAAGATTATATGGTGTATTAGTTCTTTCAGCACAAGAATTTTATATATATGTATATATATATATATATATATATATATATTTTTTTTTTTTTTTGAGATGGAGTTTTACTCTGTCACCCAGGCTGGAGTGCAGTGGCATGATCTCGGCTCACCACAACCTCCACCTCCCAGGTTCAAGCAATTCTCCTGCCTCAGCCTCCCAAGTAGCTGGGATTACAGGTGCCCACCACCAGACCTGGCTAATTTTTTTTGTATTTTTAGTAGAGACGGGGTTTTACCATGTTGGCCAGGCTGGTCTTGAACTCCTGATCTCAGGTGATCCACCCGCCTCGGCCTCCCAAAGTGCTAGGATTACAGGTGTGAGCCACCATGCCCGGCCTTGTCTTAATATTTTTAAATCTCCACTCGATACCAAGCATAACTTCTGACACATTGTAGGTATTGATAATCATTAATCAAAAGAATAATAGAAAAATCAAATGAAGGGAAGATTTGAAAAAATAACCAAATGAATAATTGAATGATGAATAAATAAGAGTCTGAAGGACAGTTCAATAGGGCTTTTCATGATTTTACTTTTATGTTCAAGAGTACATCTGCAGGTTTGTTATATTGGTAAATTGCGTGTCACAGGGATTTAGGATACAGATTATTTCATCACACAGGTAATAAGCGTAGTAACTGATAGGTAGTGTTTCTATCTTCACCCCCTCTCACCTTCCACCATCAAGTAGGTCTTGGTGTCTATTGTTCTCTTCTTTGTGTCCATGTGTACTCAATGTTTAGCTCCCACTTATAAATGAGAGTATAAACTATTTGATTTTCTGTTCCTTAGGATAATAGTCTCCAGCTGCATCCTTGTTGCTGCAAAGGACATGATCTTATTCTTTTTTATGGCTGCATAATATTCCATAGTGTATACATACCATATTTGCTTTATCCAGTCTACCGTTGAGAGGCATTTAGGTTGATTCAATGTCTTTGTTATTGTAAATAGTGCTGTGATGAACATGAGATGCATGTTCTTTATGATAGAATGATTTATAGTTCTTCGGGTATATACTCAATCATGGGATTGCTGAGTTGAATGGTAATTCTGTTTTGAGTCCTTTGAGAAATTGCCAAACTGCTTTCCACAATGGCTGAACTAATTTACACTCCCACCAGCAGTGTATAAGTGTTCCCTTTTCTTTGCAAGCTCACCAGCATCTGCTACTTGATGACTTTTTAATAATAGTCATTCTGACTGGTGTGAGATGGTATCTCATTGTGGTTTTGATTTGAATTTCTCTAATGATTAGTGAGGTTGAGCATTTTTTCATATGCTTGTTGGTTGTATGTATGTCCTCTTTTGAAAGGGGTATATTCATATTCTTTGCCCACTTTTTAATGGAGTTGTTTGTTTTTTCTTGTTAATTTGTTCAAATTCCTTGTTGATTCTGATTATTAGACCTTTGTCAGATGTAAGGTTTGCAGATATTTCCTCCCATCTGTAGACTGTTTACTCTGTTGATACTTTCTTTTACTATGCAGAAGCTCTTTAGTTTAATTATGTCCCATTTGTTAATTTTTGTTTTTGTCGCAATTGCTTTTGGCATCTTCATCATGAAATCTTTGCCAAGTCAATAGGGCTTTTCAAAGTGCTTAAAGACTTACAGAAGTGTCCAAATTTGGGCTTACATATTCAAGAACTACATTTTACATGGAGTGATGAGATGTGAGGGTCTAAACCCATATTAACCTGACTCATAAATCAATGATTAATCAATTAATCAATGATTAATTAATCAGTGTCAAATTACTAATTTACATTGAGAAAACTTAACTTTTAGCACTCAAAAATGCTTAGCCTAATTTCTGACTCACAGTAGGCATGCAACCATATTTGCTGACTATGCATAATATTTAGTCAACTCAACAAATATTTAATGAGCATACGCTGTGATCCAGGCACTGAACTTAGCATGGGGGATACAGTGGTAAGTAAATCTATCATATCATGATCAGGCAAGCCTCTTTAATGGAAAAGTCTCTATGGGAACTTGATAAAAATAAAAAAGTTTGCATGTTGCATATAAAACCAGAGAAAAGAGAATCTGATGATCTCAATAATAATTTTATTATCTGCTGGGTAGATATATACATCTTTCTACCTTCTTGATCTAGTATGTCACCTTAAAAAGAGCTGGCACCAGACACTTGGATCATAAATATGGTATTTTATCCTGGGCATGCTCTTTTGCTGTGATCTCTTTACCTTCAAGCAGAGGTCCAACACACTGTCTCCTTATTTCTGCATCTTCATAAACCTCACCCAATGCTTAGTGCCTACTGGCCATCTAGCACTTTATGAAAAACTATGAAATAGTGACCATACATTTCAGACCGAAAGACATGTATGCTAATCAGTGTGAAAGATTTATGAGGATAGCAGCACTTATGAAATCTTAACTGTCATTAAACTGGGAAAAAATCCAGCACAGAGCTACTAAAACCAGACAGACGCAAGGAAGGACCAGAATGAGTTGTGATTCTACACAGAAATGAAATGGAAAAATAAGACAATGTTATGTGTATACCTGGATCTGTATATCAATATCAATATATGTGCACTCATTTGTTAGGGCTTCTGTAACAACATCATCAACTGGTGACTTAAGCAACAGAAATCTATCGTCTCACAGTTCCTGAGGCTAGAAATCCAAAATCAAGATATTGGCAGGGTTGTTTCCTTCTGAGGACTGTGAGGGAGAAACTGTTCCACGCCTCCCTCCTGGCTTCTGGTAGTTTGCTGGCAGTCTTTGGCATTCCGTGGCTTATAGGAGCATCATCGCAATCTCTGCCTTCATGTTCACATGGCATTCTCCCTGGGTGTGTTTGTCTCTATGTTCAAATTGCCCCTTTTTATAAGAATACTCATTATAGTGGATTAGAATTCACCCTAATGAGCTCATTTTAAATTATCTCTGTAAAGACCTTATTTCCAAATAAGGTCACATGCTAAGGTACTAGGGGTTAGGGCTTCAACACATCGTTTGTGGGGACACAATTCAACCCATACAATATGTTTGTCATTCACAGAAGATTTCTGCACAGTAGTCAAGAAAATATAAACAGTGACACCTTCTAGGGTGTTAGACTATGAGATCAGGGGAATTTTATTTTTTGCTTTTCATCTTTGAATACTCTATAAATTTTAACCATGAGTACATAATATTATCTTGATTTTCAAATTACAACCAGTAATGCCTTCTTGGGGCTTTCTTCATTATGTTATTGGAAATAGGCAACAGAGCATTTAACAGAAAATGAATAGCTGTCCCAAACATTCCATGTCTGAAACAAGTACTTCAGGGGGAAGCCTAGATTCTGTTTCCAGTGAACAGTGTTTTACTAAGCCATTTAATCTAGGTTGTAAGCTATCTGAGCTGGTACTAGTTTAATCACATTTTGGACACAATGCCCAGTATGTTTTTGGCCATGAACTTGGGCAAAAGGCAATGTCTGTGACCCATTTATGAGTCACCAGATCTTATTGGCTAATGCCAAACAATATCTGTTCTGTTCTTAAATAGTGGATTAATGTGGAATTTGCTGTCTCTGCTAGCATCCCCCTAAAAGGACTGCAAACATGAAGCTAAGCGTGACGATCAGAGGCGCAGGCTCATTCCTGCTGCACGTGCACTTGGCAGTTTCCTCTAAGTGCTTCTGCAGTGCCATGCCTCCAAGGCCACAAGTGTGCATCCCACAGGGCCCAGCCAAAGAACTTCAGTATGCGCCCTTTATCAGTCCCTTCAAGGCCAATGCCACACAAAATTTATTTCAACTATCTCTCCATTCAGTTCTCACGTCTATAGAGAGGAAAGTCAGCTAATGGAAACCTTTAATTTCAGTGTCAGTATGAGATTGTGTTGAAAGAGGAGTTTTAATGTATAAGTAGAGAGGGGCTATTTAATTAATCAATCAACAACTTTTACTTTCTTTAAGCTTTTGCTGAGTAGCTGGCATTGGGGCACCACGTGAGTGCAGTGATTAGTGACAGGGGCATCAGAATCAGAAAGACTTGAGTCTGAGTATTGACTCTGTTAAATACTTAAAGTTGAACCACATGATACTTCTAGCATTAAATCATCCTGAAATATAATTCACTCAAGGCAATTAGAGAGCACATTCTTTCGTAGGATAGCAAAACTAGATTACTATTTTATAAGAAATGAATTCAATGTCATGTTAATAGGAAGAAAACTAATTTCTGAAAGATGAGAAAAGTTTTCCTGAATTAAAGTTGTTGCTTTATTTTTTTCCTGCCCAATACCTTTGAATGTCTACTCAATGATGTGGTCAGGGGCCAGGCTCTTTCTATCTTCTTGCCCCACCATCCTATCACATGACTTTTTCTTCACGGTGGCTGGAGATCTATTGCACCTTTAATTATCACACTTGCTTTTCAAGCAAGAGGAAGGGAGGAGGGTCCAAACCCTTATACTTAATGAAAACTCCTCTCATCAGAAGTAAGCTTATATATCACTGGGCAGAGCTGTGGCATATCACCACTGCTGGCTAGGCTGCTTCTGAGAAAAATGAGTACTTCATCCTCTATCCCCTATGTTAGAGAAAAGCAAAGAAGGTATTTGAGAATCTGTGTTGAGTGAGCCAATCCTTGACCAAGGCAGGGATGGAGGAGAAGATATCAGTTATATAATGAGTTATTTATTTGCAAGTTATGTTTAGCTTCACATTAGGATGAGGAACTAAGATTTAGAGAGGTTACAATTGCCCCAAATTTTGAGATAGGATTAGAGCCTCGGTCATTGTGTCTCCAAAGTTTTTGCATGTAAGAACTTTGCTTGCTTGGAACAAGAATCTATAGTTTTCCTTTAAGCACCTTTGATAGGAGTAATGTTCTCTATTAAGATATAGAAGTAACAATCAAGTTTGCAGTTGGCAATATACCTCCTTGACTGGCTTTAGGACACGGTGGGAAGAACAATGATTATTCAAGGTAGAGGCCAGCTACCCTACCAGGCCATTTCAGCTGCTGCTCTCTCAATATGGTAGGCAAATATACGTCTATTTTATAGTCACTGATAAGGTGTCCAATTAGATTTAAGTAACAGTAATTGTCTCCATCTCTTGTATTAGTTGAAATTGACAAGCTAATATACCTTTTATAATCCATTTTTAAGCTATAAGCAGAAGGATGTTTGAACTATTTTCTCAAAAAGCAAAAATATACGGTTCTCAGAACTTCTCCAAAAAGGTGATCAACAGGGCACTTATCAACTATTATTGCTAAAGAGACTGATGACAGATGGAGTTAGAAGGGTTTGATTTGGTTTCCAGATACTGTAAACTGTGGATAATCTGATGCACAAAGAGTATGAAGTGTGGAATGTTAAATAAAAAGTAAACCACAAGTGCAAAAGAGTCTTATGTCATTCAGTGGCAAGGTCTTCTGCTTACTCCAATGGCTGGTTATTTAGAAGAAAGATTCATCTTCACAGTGTGTCACCTAATGATTAGGACTGTACCTTGTGGAATATAGAAATGTATCATTTCAAGATAATACCTACCTCTGCATCACAGCACTAGGTGAGTCATTGGCAAAAGCACAGCACTTATGTCCTTGAAAACGAAAACTAAACTGCATGGCATACTGAATAAGATGTGCAGCTATAGCACTGGGAATGTAACAGAATCAGATAATCAACTTTGGAAATTGAACCACAGCAAATGACTCATTCATTCATTCCACAAACCTTTATTGATCACCTACTGAGCTAATAATCACTGTGACCCTATTTGGAATAACTAGAACACAGATTAAGGGAGATAATGTCCTGCTTTAGATTGAGGGCCTAGTTAGACCAGGCACCATCTCGCTTATTAATGGCTACCTTGAAAACAAACCTATCTTATCACCCCTCTTGGGAACAAGGGGGAAATGAGCACCCTATGACTGGGAGCATGCAAAACTAATTCTTACTATGACTTTAATGGGTTTTGAAGTCTTAAGAAGCAGGAACCTTTTGTTAAATAATCAAACAATTAAGAGATTTCTGAGAATCACACAGGGCTTATCCCAAAGTAAGCAAAAAGCTATTAGTCACCTACTGGGTTATCCAATTATTTATTAAATATGGTCTTTAAAGTAACCTAATGTGTATGAATTGAACTTTGGGAGATATTAATGGCCATGGGGTATGACCTGGTGACAAATTTCGCTTAGTACTTTGCTGAATGAAGCATTTGAACCAGGCATCACATTCATGATTTCTTGTGCCCCAACACCCATCTTACCCATTAGCAAATTTTGTATTATATTGAAATTGTCTCCTAAACTCTACCATGTGTTCTCTAAGGAGCTGAGAGTGTCCCTTATTCATCTGTGTATACTCAGCAGTTAACATAAAACCTGGTATATAAAAGATTCTCAATTAATTTTTGAAAGTATATGACTATATAAGCCATTTCTTTTTCAAAGGTAAAATTCGCAACTGGTTAGGATAATTATGTACATCAGAGGTATATAAATAACTATTCTTAAATTAATAAAAAGACAAAATAAATGGATGAGTAATTTTATTTGAAAACCTGTTTTCTTCTTGGAAACACAAACAAACACACAATCCTTTCATGTGTTCACATGAAGAGGAGAAACAGTGCCTAAGTCAGTTTGGGATGCTATATCAGAATACCATAGACCTGGTGGCTCAAACAACAAACATTTATTTCTTAGAGTTCTGGAGACTGGGAATTCCAAGGTCAAGGTGCAGGCAGATGTGATGTCTGGTGTGGGCATCCATCTTGGTTTGCAGACAGCTGTCTTCTTGTTTTCTCACAGAGCAAAGAGCAGAGAGAGAGGGCATATAAGTTCACTTGTGTCTCTTCTTTCATGAGCATCCATACCATCATGAGGGCTCCCATCTCATAATCTAATTACCAACAAAAGCCCCACTTGCTAATACTATCACAGTGGGGTTAGGATTTCCACATATGAATTTTGGGTGCACACAAACATTCAGTCCATAGCAAACAGTTTTTTAAAATGAAGTCTTAAGTGTGGTCTTTGCTCTCAGGGACCCTAGCCATGTAGGCGTGATTTATAATTCACCCAATGTATAGGACCAAGTCCACAATATTTTGTTCCATTGTTTCATTGCTTATTTATTTGATTTTTATGCAGGTTCACACCATGACAATCAGGTCCTCTCAGTAGCTAATAATTGGGTGCTATTTCACACTAATGTCTGATATTCATTTCATTGGGAAGGAAAAAAACATTTGTCTTTAAATAAAATTTATACAGAAATAGATTCAGTTACTAATTTAAATTCATGTACCAAAGCATTGAAATAATTTGGCAAAATCATTTTCTCTTCTCTGCAGTTCTTGTATCTCTTTTGTTTTATTGTGATACTTAATAAACAAGACACCTTCTTGGGAGGCATATTAAAGTGTGCAAAATTTAGATAATAAAGCAAATCCTGGGACACAGCATGTATCATACATTATTCAATTTTTAGAATTTCAACAAATTTTCAGCTATGCCTGAACATGTGAATCAAAACAACATTCAACTAAGATAGGTGGGTGCTAACAAGGAGGCCCTTTTCTCTTTTCCACTTGGGGAACCTCTCTATTTTGGCAGCAGCAGGACTAATTAAGCCTCATAAGTTATGTGTGGTAGAAACCAGAGACCCTATAGTTCTGATTTATTCAAAGGATAGACCCTCCTCATCCCCCAGCCTCTTACTGGATTCTAAGATGCTGCTTTTTGTGCATGCTTCTTTCCTTTGATTAAGACTCCATACAGATCTAAGGTAATTTCATCCAGTAAAATATTAGAGCTTCAAAGGAACTGAAGAATGTTGTTCTATGATAGTCTCAGCAGAAGCTTACAGGAAAAAAAAAGATGTTATCTTAAAGAGATTCATAGAGATAACTTTTGTCTAGTGAAATGAACCCCAGTAAAATTCCCAGGACAGTCACAAAGGTTTTTAAGAAAAATGAATTAGCAGAAATGCCACTAGCTTGGATTGAAAGGAACAGATACAGATAAAATGAAAAGAGGTCTTTGGCATCCCTGAGAAAACTGCACACCTGAAAATATGGCTACTTTTTACAAAAAAATAAAAATGAAAATAACTCAGAGACAGAGAATAGAGACAAGAGCCTAGAAGGCAGAGTCAACAGCCATAAGGAATTACTCTCAAGTCTTTAGTCCTATTTAAGAAACTACTACCTGTGCCTTGATAATTTTCAGAATGGCTATGGACTAATGATTCCTATATACCTTCTATTTCTCCCTTTTTGAACGGGAGATTTTTTTTCCATAAGTTATTGGGGTATTGGGGTACAGGTGGTATTTGGTTACATGAGTAACTTTTTCAGTGGTGATTTGTGAGATTTTGGTGAACCCATCACCCAAGCAGTATACACTGCACCATATTTGTAGTCTTTTATCTCTTGCCCCCTCCCACTTTTTCCCCGAAATCTCCAAAGTTCATTGTGTCATTCTTATGCCTTTACGTTCTCATAGCTTAGCTCCCACATATCAGTGAGAACATGCAATGTTTGGTTTTCCATTCCTGAGTTACTTCACTTAGAATAATAGTCTCCAATCTCATCCAGGTCACTGCAAATGTTAATTCGCTCTTTTTTATGGCTGAGTAGTATTTCATCATATATATATATATATTTCATCATATATATGTGATATACATATATTTCATCATATATATGTGATATATTTCACATATATATGTGATATATATATATATATATATCACAGTTTCGTTATCCACTTCATTGATTGATGGGCATTTGTGTTGGTTCCACAATTTAGCAATTGTGAATTTTGCTGCTATAAACCTGCATGTGCAAGTGTCTTTTTCGAATAATGACTTTTTTTTTCCTCTAGGTAGATAACCAGTAGTGGGATTGCTGGATCAAATAGTAGTTCTACTTTTAGTTCTTTAAGGAATCTCCACACTGTTTTCCATAATGGCTGTACTAGCTTACATTCTCACCAGCAGTGTAGAAGTGTTCCCTGTTCACTGCATCCACACCAACATCTACTGTTTTTTGATTTTTTGATTATGGCCATTCTCACAGGGAAAAGGTGGTTTTGAATTGTGGTTTTGATTTGCATTTCCCTGATCATTAGTGATGTTGAACAGTTTTTCATATGTTTGTTGGTCATTTGCATATCTTCTTTTGAGAATTGTCTATTCATGTCCTTAGCCCACATTTCGATGGGATTTTTTTTTTCTTACTGATTTGTTTGGGCTTGTTGTAAATCCTGGATGTTAGTCTTTTGTCAGATATATAGATTGTGAAGACTTTCTCCCACTCTGTGGGTTGTCTGTTTACTCTGCTGACTGTTCCTTTTGCTATGGAAAAGCTCTTTAGTTTAATTAGGTCCTAGCTATGTATCTTTGTTTTTATTGCATTTGCTTTGGGTTCTTGGTCATGAAATCCTTGCCTAAGCCAATGTCTAGAAGGGTTTTTCCAAGGTTATCTTCTAGAATTTTTATAGTTTCAGGTTTTAAGTCCTTAATCTATCTCGAGTTGATTTTTGTATAAGGTGAGAGATGAGGATCCGGTTTTATTCTCCTACATGTGGCTAGCCAATTATCCCAGCACCATTTATTGAAAAGGGTATTCTTTCCCCACTTTATGTTTTTGTTTGCTTTGTTGAAGATCAGTTGGTTGTAAGTATTTAGGTTTATTTCTGGGTTCTCTTTTCTGTTCCATTGGTCTATGTGCCTATTTTTATACCAGTACCTTGCTGTTCTGGTGACTATGGCATTAAACTATAATTTGAAATCAGGTAGAGTGATGCCTCCAAATTTATGCTTTTTGCTTAGTCTTGCTTTGGCCATTGAGGCTGTTTTTTGGAAAGATGTGAATTTTATAATTGTTTTTTCTAAGTCTGTGAAGAATGATCGTGGTATTTGGTTGGGAATCTCATTGAATCTGTAGATTGCTTTTAGCAGTATGGTCATTTTCACAATATTGATTCTACCCATCCATGAGCATGGGATGTGTTTCCATTTGTTTGTGTCGTGAAAAGAATATGATTTGTAGTTTTCCTTGTAGAGGTCTTTTGACTCCTTTGTTAAGTATATTCCTACGTATTTTTTTTCTTTTTCTTTTTCTTTTTTGCAGCTATTGTAAAAGTGGTTGAGTTCTTGATTTGATTCACTGCTTGGTCGCTGTTGGTGTATAGAAGAATTACTGATACGTGTACATTAATCTCGTGTCCAGAAACTTTGCTGAATTCTTTTATCAGTCCTGGGAGCTTTCTAGAGAAGTCTTTAGGGTTTTCAAGGTAAACGATCATATTGTCAGCAAACAGTGACAGTTTGACTTCCTCTTTACCAATTTGGATGTCCTTTATTTCTTTCTCTTATCTGATTATTCTGGCTAGGACTTCCAGTACTATGTTGAAGAGGAGTGGTGAGAGTGGGCATCCTTGTCTTGTTCCAGTTCTCAGAGGGAATGCTTTCAACTCTTCCCCATTCAGTATTATGTTGGCTGTGGGTTTGTCACAGATGGCTTTTATTACATTCAGGTATGTCCCTTGTATGCCGATTTTTCTGAGAGTTTTAATCATAAAGCAATGCTGGATTTTGTCCAATGTTTTTTCTCCATCTATTGAGATGATCATGTGATTTTTGTTTTTAATTCTGTTTATGTGGTGTGTCACATTTATTGACTTGCATATGTTAAACCATCCCTGCATCCCTGGTATGAAACCCACTTGATCATGGTGGATTACCGTTTTGATATGTTGTTGGATTCGGTTAGCTAGTATTTTGTTAAAGATTTTAGCATCTATATTCATCAAGGATATTGGTGTGTAGTTTTCTCTTTTGGTTATGCCCTTTCCTGGTTTTGGTATTATGGTCATGCTGGCTTCATAGAATGAATTAGAGAGGGTTCCTTCTTTCTCTATCTTGTGGAATAGTGTCAAAAGGATTGGTACCAATTCTTTGAATGTCTGTTAGATTTCTGCTGTGAATCTGTCTGGTCCTGGACTTTTTTTGTTGGTAATTTTTAAATTACCATTTCAATCTCACTAACTTGTTATTGGTCTGTTCAGGTTATTTAATTCTTCCTGATTTAAGCTAGCAGGGTTTTATCTTTCCAGGAATTTATCCATCTCTTCTAGGTTTTCTAGTTTATGTGCATAAAGGTGTTCATAGTAGGCTCAAATGATCTTTTGTATTTCAGTGCTGTCAGTTGTAATATCTCCTGTTTCATTTCTTAGTGAGGTTATTTGGATTTTCTCTTTGCTTTTCTTGGTTAATTTTGCTCATAGTCTATCAATTTTATTTATCTTTTTAAAGAATCGGTTTTGTTTCTTTTATATTTTGTATTTTTTTTGTTTCAATTTCATTTAGTTCTGCTCTGATCTTGGTTATTTCCTTTCTTCTGCTGGATTTGAGTTTGGTTTGTTCTTGTTTCTCTAGTTCCTTGAGGTATGACCTTAGATTGTCTGTTTGTGCTCTTTCAGACTTTTTGATGTAGACATTTAGGGTTATGAACTTTCCTCTTGGCACCGCCTTTGCTATATCCCAAAGGTTTTGATAGGTTGTGTCATTATTGTCATTCAGTCCAAAGAATTTTTTAATTTCCATCTTGATTTTATTTTTGACCCAATGCTCATTCAGGAGCAAGTTATTTAATTTCCATGTATTTGCATGGTTTTGAAGGTTCCTTTCAGAGTTGATTTCCAGTTTTATTCCACTGTGGTCTGAGAGAGTGCTTGATATAATATCAATTTTCTTAAATTTACTGAGGCTCGTTTTATGGCCTATCATATGGTCTATCTTGGAGAAAGTTCCATGTGCTGTTGAATAGAATGTGTATTCTGGGGTTGTTAGATGAAAGGCTCTATATATATCTGTTAAGTCAATTTGTTCCAAGGTATAGTTTAAATCCATTGTTTCTTTGTTGACTTTCTGTCTTGATGACCTGTCTAGTGCTGTCAGTGAAGTATTGAAGTCCCCCACTATTACAGTGTTGCTGTCTATCTCATTTCTTAGGTCTATAAGTAATTGTTTTATCAATTTGGGAGCTCCAGTGTTAGGTGCATATATGTTTAGGATTGTGGTATTTTTTTGTCGGACAAGACGTTTTACTATTATATACTGTCTGTCCCTCTTTGTCTCTTTTAACTGCTCTTGCTTTAAAGTTTGTTTTGTCTGATATAAGAATAGGTACCCCTGCTCGCTTTTGGTGTCCATTTTCACCCCTTTACTTTATGTGAGTCCTTATGTGTTATGTGAGTCTCCTGAAGGCAGCGGAGAGTCGGTTGGTGAGTTCTTCTCCATTCTGCAGTTCTGTATCTTTTAAGTGGCACATTTAGGCCATTTACATTCAACGTTAGTATTGAAATGTGAGGTACTGTTGCTTCCACCATGCTCTTTGTTGCCTGTGTACTTTGGTTTTGTTTTTTTTTGTTGTTGTTCGTTTTTGCTTTTTAACTTGTATTTTTGTTTTATAGGTCCTGTGTGATTTATGCTTTAAAGAGGCTCTGTTTTCATGTTTCCAGGATTTGTTTCAAGATTTAGAGCTCCTTTTAGCAGTTCTTGTAGTGGTGGTTTGGTAATGGTGAATTCTTTCAGCATTTGTTTTTCTGAAAACAACTGTATCTTTCCTTCATATATGATGCTTAGTTACGCTGGATACAAAATTCTTGGCTGATAATTGTTTTGTTTGAGGACACTGAAGATAGGTCCCGAATCGCTTCAAGCTTGTAGGGTTTCTGCTGAGAAATTTGCTGTTAATCTGATAGGTTTTCCTTTATAAGTTAGTTACCTGGTGTTTCTGTCTCACAGCTTATAAGATTCTTTCCTTTGTCTTGACTTTGGATAACCTGATGACAATGTGCCTAGGCAAAGATCTTTTTGCGATGAATTTCCCAGGTGTTTTTTATCCTTCTTGTATTTGGAAGTCTAGGTCTCTCACAAGGCTGGGGAAGTTTTCCTTGATTATTCCCCCAAATATGTTTCTCCAAGCTTTTAGAATTATCTTCTTCCTCAGAAGAAGATTATTCTTAGGTTTGGTGGTTTAGCATAATCCCAGACTTCTTTGTGGCTTTGTTCATATTTTCTTATTCTTTTTTCTTTGTCTTTGTTGGATTGGTTTAATTAGAAGACCTTGTCTTTGAGCTCGATTTTCTTTCTTCTAGTTATTCAATTCTATTGCTGAGACTTTCCAGAGCAGTTTGCATTTCTAAAAGTGTGTCCAAAGTTTCCTGAATTTTTGATCATTTTTTCTTTAAGATATCTATTTCCATGAATATTTCTCCCCTCACTTCTTGTATCATTTTTTGGATTTCTTTGCATTGGGCTTTGCCTGTCTCTGGTCCCTCCCTTATTATCTTAATAACTAACCTCCTGAATTCTTTTTCTGGTAGATCAGGGATTTCTTCTGGGTTTGGATCCATTGGTGGTGAACTAGTGTAATTTTTGGCAGGGTGCTGAAGAGCCTTGTTTTGTTGTATTACCAGGGTTGGTTTTCTGGTTCCTTCTTATTTGGGTAGGTTCTGTCAGAGGGAACATCTAGGGCTGAAGGCTGTTGTTCAGATTCTTTTGGCCCATGGGGTGTTCCCTTCATGTAGTACTCTCCCCCTTTTCCTATGGATGTGGCTTCCTGTGAGCCAAACTGCAGTGATTGTTGTCTCGCTTCTGTATCTAGCCACCCAGCATGTCTCCCTGGCTCTGGGCTGGTACTGGGGGTTGTCTGCACAATTCCTGTGATGTGAACTGTCTATGTGTCTCTCAGACATGGATACCAGCTCCTTTCCAGTGGAGGTGGCAGAGGGTGCAATGGATTCTGGGAAGGCCCTTAGCTTTGATGGTTTAATGTTCCATTTTTGTGCTGGTTGGTCTCCTGCCAGGAGGTGGTACTTTCCAGAAAGCATCAGCTGTAGTAGTGTGGAGAAGGACTGGTGGTGTGCAGGGCCCTAGAACTCCCAAGATTATACGCCGTTTATCTTTCACTACCAGGGTGGATAGGGAAAGACCATCAGGTGGGGATGGGGCTAGGCGTGTCTGAGCTCTGACTCTCCTTGGGCATGTCTGGCTGAGGCTGCTGTGGGGTATGGGGGTAAGATTCCCAGGTCACTGGAGTTGTGTAGGGGAGGATTATGGTTGTCTTTGCTGAGTCATGCAGGTTGTGAGGGAAGTGGGGGAAAGCTGCAGTCACAGGCCTCACCCAGCTCCCATGCAATCCAAAAGGCCTTTCTTACTTACACTGTGCCCCTTACCAACAGCCCGGAGTCTGCTTCCAGGTGGAGGGTGATGGACTTAGAAACTTGCCTGAGGCTATCTGACTCCCAGTTGTGAGAAAAAAGGGCTTTAGTTCTTCCCCAGCCTGTGAAATCTGCATGTCTGATTTGATTTGCCCCCTTCCCCTGGTTCTGGCCAGGCTTCTTGCCCCTGAACAGGAGATTTTATAGCTACTATCTTATGGGAATGCCATGATTCTATTTGGGTGTGAGTAGAAGAAATAACTTAAGTTTTAGTTCACAGGTCTTCGGCTTGAGAGAAACCATATGCAAGGAAATGTTCTTAAGGATTACCCTAGAAGCCCCATTCATGTCTGGACCATTTAAATGATAAGGAGATTCTGGACTTTGTGTAATATTGTAGTAGGGTGAGATTTTTTGGAGACTTGTAAGAGGGTGAGTATATTTTGCACGTGTGAGGGTTGTGAATCACTGGGAACCAGAATGAAGACTATGGTTGTCAGGCTTTGACATGACCCTGAATGATTATTACCTTGTAGTGTTCATGCATTTATACAATCCTTACCACACTGAATAAGGATGGGTCGTGTAACCAATAGAAGATTACAAAAATTATGGAAAAATAACTTCAAGGCTGGGTCACAAAAGACATTGTGGCTTTCTCCTTATGCTTTCTTAATTCACTCTTCTTCCCAAATGCACATGGAGAATTCACCAGGAAAGACTATATTTTAGGCAATAAAATTAGTCTCAATAAATTTTAAAAGATTGAAATAATATGAAGCCTTCTTTAATGACAATGGAATGCAGTTAAAAATGAATAACAAAATAAAATCCGGAAAATTTATGAATATACAAAAATTAAACAACACATTCTTAATCAACCAATGTGTCAAAGAAGAAATCAAAGGAAAATTTCAAATATATGAAAATAAAAACACAGCATACAAAAACTGGAATGCAGTGAAAGTAGTGCTCAGAGAGAAATATGTAACTATAAATGACTCAATTTAAAAAGAAGATTTGAAGTCAATAGCCTAGCCTTCTACCTTAAGAAACTAGAAAAGCAATAGCAAAGTAAGCCCAAACCCAGCATAAAGAAGGAAATAATAAAGATTACAGTGGAGATAAACAAAATAAAGAGTAAGAAAGAATAGAGAATCAACAAAACAAAAATTTAGTTCTTTCCAAACATCAACAGAATTAACAAAGCTTTACCTAAATTGACCAAGAAAAAAAGAGAATACTCAAATTCCTAAAATTAGGAATGCAAGTGGGGACATTACTACAGACCTTACAGAAATGAAAAAATAATAAGAAATTGAATAAACTAAATGATATTGGCAAATCCTAGAAACACACAAACTGCCAAAACAGACTCAAAAAGAAATAGAAAATATAAATAGACCTATAATGACAACAAAAAGATTGAATTAGTAATCAAAATTTCCATTTATCACTGGAAATCCCAGTGAAGATGGAGTCACTGGTAAATTTCACCAAACACAGAAAGAAGAATTAAAACTAATCCTTCACAAATTCTTCTAAAAAAATGGAAGTGGAAGAAACACTTTCTCACTTATTATATCAGGCTACTATTAATACCAAAGCCAGACAAAAACACTGCAAGAAAAGGAAACCACCAATTAATATCTCATATGAATATAGATGCAAAAGTCTTCAACAAAATATGAGCAAACAAAATTCAGCAGCATATTGAAATGATTACAAATCATGACTCAGTGAGAATGCAAAGTTGGTTTAACATCTAAAAATAAATTAATACTCCATGTCAATAGAATAAAAGCAAAATCCATATAATTATCTCAGAAAATAGAGAAAAAGCATTTGACAAAAACCAAAATCCTTTCATAATAAAAAACATTCAACTAACTAGGAACAGAAATGAACTTCTTCAACCTGATAAAAGACATCTATGAAAAACCACCAGCTGACGTCATACTTAATGTTAAAAACTTTGGTCCTAAAATCAAGAACAAGACAAGGATGTCCACTCTCCCCATTTCTGTTCAACATTTTACTGACAGTTCCAGTCAGGGTAATTGGGGGCAGGGAGGAAGGAGGGAAGGTAGGTTGGCGGGCAGGGTAAGAACCTAAATGGGAAAGGAAGAAATTAAGACTAGCTCTATCTACATATGAATGACATGAAAATGGACAAGCTGAAACAAAAATTCATATGGAATTGCAAGAGCGCTTGAATAGCCAAATGAATTATAAAAAAGGAACTAAGTTGAAAGATATACGTTGCCCAACTCCAAAACTTATTACAAAGTCACAATAGTCAAGACAGTATGTTACTGGCATAAGGATAGATATATAGATCAATGAAACAGAATTGGGAGACCAAAAATAAACTCATAGCTCTAGGGTCAGTTGGGTTTTGACAGAGGCACCGATACATTCAATGGGAAAAGAATGGTCTTTTCAACAACTGGATATCTACATACAAAAGAATGAATTTAGACTACAACCACATGTCATATACGAATATTAACCCAAAAAGAATCAAAAGCCTAAATTTAAGAGATAAACTCAAACTCTTGGAAGAAAATATGGGTTAAATATTTTTAACCTAAGGTTAGATAGTGTTTCTTAAAAATGACACCAAGAACACAAGCAACAAAATAAAAGGATAAATTCAACTTCATCAAAAATAAAAACTTATGTACATTAAAGGACACTACGAAGAAAGTGAAAAGACAATTTACATAATGGGAGAAAATTTTTGCAAACCATAGGGCCTAGTATAAAGAATATATAAAGAACTCAACAACAAAAACCCAATAACCCTATTAAAACTTGGATACAGAACCTAAACAGACATTTCCCTAAAGTAGATAAATAATTAGTCAATAAGGACATGAAAATATCCTCAACATCATTGTCATTAGGGAAATGCAAATTACAACCATAATGAGATGTCATATTGCACCCATTATTATGGCTAGAATTTTCTATTTAAATGGAAAATAACAAGTGTTAGTGAGAATGTAGTGAAATTGGAACTCATACATTGTTGGTGGTCTGTAAAATAGTGCAAATAGAGTATGACTATAAATAGGTTAAAATGCCTCTGTCCCAGGTAAGATGGGTTTGACATAAGAATGGTCTGTTTCAAGACAGGCCAGACAGCCTCATAAGTAAGATAATATCCGTGCCTACTGTCCCAGCATAATTGTTAGTCATACTCCCTCTTCTCTCAAGAAGGTCCTAGAATGGACAACAAATTATATTGCCATCCTCCTCATGGAAAGAAACTTTACCCTAAGGAAAGAGAGGATGAAGGCCCATTCCCTTTGCAAAGGGTTATGAATCATTAAAGCAGGGAAAGAGTAAATTTGAGGACAAGAGGCACTGGACTTCTCAAATTGCCTTTCATCCTATACCTCATGATGTCCTCCAAGCTGTTGAAAATATTACACAAATACATTTAAAAATTAAAAATATATATCACTAATAAATTGAGATCCCAAGGAATGTTATGTTTTTTCTATAACATAGTACAGCACAAGATGCTATAACAGAGCATAGTACAAGAGTGTGTAAGAAGTATTTTCCCTATTTCAATGTTAGATGTTAAAGCGAGGAATAGAGATACCAATGTCCACCTCATTGGCAGCAGAGAACACTGGATATGAATATGATAGAAGTGAGGAAGCTAAGGCAACAAATAAATTGATACCTAGAGATGCACACGTTTTCATTTATACGACAATTGCTTTTTTGTTTTAGTGTATACCTGTGGAAAGAGGAAGGTGATTACAGAACTGAATAGTAGTTATTTTAAGATGAGGGGATTATAAGTGGCTTTTTTACTTTATTCAAAACTTTTTATGTAGTTATTAATTTATGACTTTCTCATAATAATAACTTTTATCAAAAATGTTACCAGTTATATCAAGGTGCAATCAGAGAAGCAAAACCACATATATATGTGGGGGTGTGTGTGTCTGTATCTGTGTGTCTGTCTATATGCACACACACACATATATTTGCTACAGCGATTTGACTTTCTACAATTGTGAGAGCTGCTTAAGCAGTCACTGTGGGATGGTTGTCATCCTGTCTGGTGGTGAAACTTCAAGTCCAGAGGGCAGACAGTCGGGAAGAGAAGATGAATGTTATGTGGGAGTAAGCAAGATCAAGCTAGAACCACAGTCACAAGCCGGAGCCCACAAGCACAGACAGAAACCCCCGTCTGTTCTTCTTACAGTGGGTGTCCTACAGAAGCTAGGCATTTCCCTCACAGAACTACACACACATCTGACCCAAGAGTTGCAAGAATTGGAGGCAGATCCAAGGGAAAGTGAAATGGTTGTGGGCTGTCTCCGGCCTCACACCAAAGGTGAGCCTGCAAGTCAGTGACAATATGTGTGAACTACAAAACGGCAGCTGCATCACGTCTGCCCCACATCTCACCCAAAAATATCTCTTTTGTTCAATCCTATCCAGAAACATGCAAAAAATAGGGATTTGGGGAAAATGTAGGTCACTGTAGCCAAGTTGACATGTTACAAAGCCACCACAAAGTCAAATTGTGCTTTTTGTCAAAAACCACCAATAGTTTCCCTAACAAAAGATCATTAAAATCTGGACTAACATGAATCTCTCCTTTACCAGGCTATCTTTAGTATTTATTCCTAAACATTTTATTTAATCTAATTCAATCTCTTCCCTCATTGTAAAATAGGGTTAATAATATCACCTATTTTAGAAAAGTTATTAATTATGAGCCATAGAAACTGACTCTAGTATAGGATTTCTCAGCCTCCCAACTGTTGACACTTTGGGATAGACTCCTTTGTGACACGGGCTGCTCTGAGCACTGTAGAATGTCTCACAGCATCCCTGGCCAGGGCCAGATATGTCTATATCACCTCTGCTACTCATGGGCAGTCTTGCCTCCACCACAGCTGTAAGGCCATAGCAAGTACCCGGCTACGGTTATGGAACATCTGCTGCTCACCTAGCAGGATGCCAAGTACTGTGTTAGATCCAAAGAAGTCAGAGTTCCTCAGCTTCAAGAGGTTACAATCAGCCCTATAAATAATCAAGATTTGACCTTTCAATGAGGCCAAGTCCTTTAGCACGGTCCTGTGTCCAGGGAGAGCACAGGACACAGGATGGTGCTGGACTTTGGAAGACCTTATCACTGTTATTGAAAAGAACATTTTGGTCAGAGATAAATAATGGAGTGTTTCCACTTTCTCGTTTGGAAAGCTACTTAGAAAAGAAGGAAGTGAGTGAGCAAGGGTTGATGGTGATGTGATGGATGAGAAAAGGCTTCTCTCTATGCTGCAGTGGCCCAGAAACGGCAACAGTCACACATGTAGTGCTCGTTAGTGCTAGTGGGAGTTGAATCTGGCATCCAGAGAAGAACATGCCCTTGGAGTTGTACTTCCCTCTGTGGACAAATTGACATTGAGGAAACCTTTGCCATAAATAATCCCTGCTATTCAAGAGAACATTTATCCTCTTGCTGCAGAGTGAAGACAAAAGAGTCAACGAAGTTTTCAGGAGGCGATCACAGACTCTGGGAGCTCTCTTTAGGAAGATTAAGAAAGGCACAACAGGCATCAGAACCATAATGATGGATAAAACAAATAAAGAGGTGTTGAGTTGCTGAAACTTGCAATGGCTGTGTAATAGTCCATTCACACACTGCTATGAAGAAATATCTGAGACTGGGTAGTTTACAAAGAAAAAAGGTTTAATTGGCTCCCGGTTCTGCAGGCTGTACAGAAAGTATAGTGGCTTCTGCTTCTGAGGAGGCCTCAGGAAATTTACAATCATGGCAGATAATGTGGGAGCAGGCATCTTACTTGGCAGGAGCAGGACCGAGAGAGAAGAGGGAGGTGCTGCACACTTTTAAACAACCAGATCTTGCAATAACTCACTCACTATCACAAGAACAGCACTGAGGGGATGATGCTAACCCATTCATAAGAACTCAGCCCCCGTGATCCAATTGTCTCCCACCAGGCCCCATGTCCAACATTGGGGATTACAAATTCACATGAGATTTGGGCAGGGATACAGATACACACCATATCAGGCTGTAACAGGTACATAATGCTAAATGTCTGGGTACAGAATGAAAAAATCAGTTACATTTTATTTAAATAGAAAAAAATAAAAATAAGACAATGAGTCAGGGTCAAAGTCTATTCAGCTGAGCATTCTGTCCTTGGCAGTGCTATTAAAGGTATTTTGATGAAAGGTAATGTTGGCCCATGTTACATAAATGAATAAATAAGTGAGGTAAGGAAGGATACATAAATCAATAAAGAAAAAGACTCATGGCTTTGCTCCATGCAGTCATTCATGGACCAAGGCTCTTTCCATCTATCCTGAGAGCCTTTGGAGTCCACCACTGGATCCTCTGCATTCAATCAGTAGAGAAAAGAAATGAATGAATGTAGAGGACTTAGTGGGAAGTTTAGGGTCCAGACCTACAGGTGGTGTACATCATTTATTCTAATATCTTATCAGCAATATCTCAGTCACAAGGCCACACGTCACTGCAATCTAGTATATATATATAATATAATTAATATAATTAATATAATATAATATAATATAATATAATATAATATAATATAATATAATATGGTATGTGCTCAGAAGCAAAAGGGAAAATGGTTTGGTGAACCACAAAGTACATTTAATCTTATTGATCTGGTCCTTCTCAAACTATTTTCCAATTTGAAGAATCCTTTGCTTTTGTGTTTTTCTTACCTTGATTACTTCACCACCCTTCCTTGTAAATTCTCCAGCTCAGTTATGCCTCTCACGACTTGAGATATCAGAATTACACACCATAGTGGAAGAAAAAGCAGAGATGAGAGGAGAGGGGATGAGAGGAGAAGAGAGAGCTTCTGAATTGAAAAGACCCATAGGGCAACAAATCCCAAACACCTCATTTCACAGAAGAGGACACTAAGTCCCAGGGTAAAGCCACCTACCCATGGCAGCACACCTTTAAATATAAAACTGGGACTTCAGCCCAGTTCTCTTAATTTTCTTTTCAGTATTCTTACCAACAGTACCATTATTTCAAATGTGCACATGCTAAAATCTGTTACAAATGTGCAATTTTTCCAAGCAGTTTTTACTTATCTATGGCTTTAAAATAATGTCTCATATTTTGTTGGTAGTTTTGACCCAAGAAGTACATATTTGATAAGCATGCCTCTAGTCCAAACTAAGAACCCAGAGCTCTTTGTTTGAACTACTATCATTATAATTATTTTTCAATATTCATCAGAATGCATGTATGCACTGAACAAGCCTCCAAAAAGAAGTATTTGGAGACAGTTTTGCTTTTGGTTTTAACTTCCCTTTTATTTGCTATATTAGGATCATTTCAATTGCTAACATTGGAAAACAATTCAAAAAGCTTAATTTTCAAAATGGGATCATTGAATCATGTGTATATTGCAGGATTCAGGGATACAACCAGTATCATCAGAGTTATTCATGTCTATCCACTTTTAATTCTCTCTCTTTTTTTTTAGATACTATTATCTTTATTTTATAGGTGAGAAAATTGAGGCACAGAGTGTTTAAATCAACTTATCTAGGCTCAGGTAATGGGAAAGTGATGGAGCCCTGACTCACACCCAGACAATCTAGCCACAGCACCTGAGCTCTCATCACAGTGCTGTCCCATCTAGATTCAGAAAGCTATAAACAGTTCATGCTCAATTGTATGTGTATGTGTGAGAGAGCAAAATATATCTTTATTTTATTTTATTTTATTATTATTATACTTTAAGTTTTAGGGTACATGTGCACATTGTGCAGGTTAGTTACATATGTATATGTGTGCCATGCTGGTGTGCTGCATCCATTAACTCGTCATTTAGCATTAGATATATCTCCTAATGCTATCCCTCCCCCCTCCTCCCACCCCACAATAGTTCCCAGAGTGTGATGTTCCCCTTCCTGTGTCCATGTGATCTCATTGTTCAATTCCCACCTATGAGTGAGAACATGCAGTGTTTGGTTTTTTGTCCTTGCAATAGTTTACTGAGAATGATGATTTCCAATTTCATCCATGTCCCTACAAAGGACATGAACTCATCATTTTTTATGGCTGCATAGTATTCCATGGTGTATATGTGCCACATTTTCTTAATCTAGTCTATCATTGTTGGACATTTGGCTTGGTTCCAAGTCTTTGCTATTGTGAATAGTGCCACAATAAACATACGTGTGCATGTGTCTTTATAGCAGCATGATTTATAGTCCTTTGGGTATGTACCCAGTAATGGGATGGCTGGGTCAAATGGTATTTCTAGTTCTAGATCCCTGAGGAATCGCCACACTGACTTCCACAATGGTTGAACTAGTTTACGGTCCCACCAACAGTGTAAAGTGTTCCTATTTCTCCACATCCTCTCCAGCACTTGTTGTTTCCTGACTTTTTAATGATTGCCATTCTAACTGGTGTGAGATGGTATCTCATTGTGGTTTTGATTTGCATTTCTCTGATGGCCAGTGATGGTGAGCATTTTTTCATGTGTTTTTTGGCTGCGTAAATGTCTTCTTTTGAGAAGTGTTTGTTCATGTCCTTTGCCCACTTTTTGATGGGGTTGTTTGTTTTTTTCTTGTAAATTTGTTTGAGTTCATTGTAGATTCCGGATATTAGCCCTTTGTCAGATGAGTAGGTTGTGAAAATTTTCTCCCATTTTGTAGGTTGCCTGTTCACTCTGATGGTAGTTTCTTTTGCTGTGCAGAAGCTCTTTAGTTTAATTAGATCCCATTTGTCAATTTTGGCTTTTGTTGCCATTGCTTTTGGTGTTTTAGACATGAAGTCCTTGTCCATGCCTATGTCCTGAATGGTAACGCCTAGGTTTTCTTCTAGGGTTTTTATAGTTTTAGGTCTAACGTTTAAGTCTTTAATCCATCTTGAATTAATTTTTGTATAAGGTGTAAGGAAGGGATCCAGTTTCAGCTGTCCTAAATAAAATACTGGCAAACCGAATCCAGCAGCACATCAAAAAGTTTATCCACCATGATCAAGTGGGCTTCATCCCTGGGATGCAAGGCTGGTTCCATATATGCAAATCAATAAATGTAATCCAGCATATAAACAGAACTAAAGACAAAAACCACATGATTATCTCAATAGATGCAGAAAAGGCCTTTGACAAAATTCAACAATGGTTCATGCTAAAAACTTTCAATAAATTGGGTATTGATGGGACATATCTCAAAATAGTAAGAGCTATCTATGACAAACCCACAGCCAATATCATACTGAATGGGCAAAAACTGGAAGCATTCCCTTTGAAAACTGGCACAAGACAGGGATGCCCTCTCTCACCACTCCTATTCAACATAGTGTTGGAACTTCTGGCCAGGGCAATTAGGCAGGAGAAGGAAATAAAGGGTATTCAATTAGGAAAAGAGGAAGTCAAACTGTCCCTGTTTGCAGATGACATGATAGTATATCTAGAAAACCCCATTGTCTCAGCCCAAAATCTCCTTAAGCTGATAAGCAACTTCAGCAAAGTCTCAGGATACAAAATAAATGTACAAAAATCACAAGCATTCTTATACACCAATAACAGACAAACAGAGAGCCAAATCATGAGTGAACTCCCATTCACAATTGCTTCAAAGAGAATAAAATACCTAGGAATCCAACTTACAAGGGACGTGAAGGACCTCTTCAAGGAGAACTACAAACCACTGCTCAAGGAAATAAAAGAGGATACAAACAAATGGAAGAACATTCCATGCTCATGGGTAGGAAGAATCAATATCGTGAAAATGGCCATACTGCCCAAGGTAATTTATAGATTCAATGCCATCCCCATCAAGCTACCAATGACTTTCTTCACAGAATTGGAAAAAACTACTTTCAAGTTCATATGGAACCAAAAAAGAGCCTGCATCGCCAAGTCAATCCTAAGCCAAAAGAACAAAGCTGGAGGCATCACGCTACCTGACTTCAAACTATACTACAAGGCTACAGTAACCAAAATAGCATGGTACTGGTACCAAAACAGAGATATAGATCAATGGAACATAACAGAGCCCTCAGAAATAACGCCGCATATCTACAACTATCTGATCTTTGACAAACCTGACAAAAACAAGCAATGGGGAAAGGATTCCCTATTTAATAAATGGTGCTGGGAAAACTGGCTAGCCATAATTCTCTTTCTTGGTCTGCCTGACTCCGTCTTCTTGCAGGCAAGATACTTCCACCTGCTGGGAATGATGGCCACTGGCAAGGTCAGCTCTACAAATTTTAACTTGAGATTCAAAGGGAAGAGAGAATCTTTCCCTCCAACTGCAGCAGAAAATTTTGTCCCAGAGTGGGCTTTAACTGGCCTAGCTCAGTCACCTGCTTTTCAATGCGTGGATTTAGGTAGGGGAGCAGACACTATGATTGACAGCTCCATCAGAACTACAAGTAGTGGGTTAGGATTTCCTCCAGAAACCAGAAACAGGGCTACAAAATATGCTGAGCAGAGAAAAATAGCTGTCATAGTCCATTCTGCTTGTTGGCTATGAAAATGATATTAAACATTCAAGAAATGGAATGCATTTTTCATGCACAACTAAAATTTCAGCCACCTGATACATGAAGTATACACCTCCAGCCTAAGAGTCAACATGAAAATTCAGGACATTTTCCTTCCTCTCTTTAAGTCAAAAATATAGAACAGTAGATAGACAGTAAAAGATATTATCTCTCTGCCCAATACCTCCTGTTATTCATGAATATTCAATGGAAAATGCCAGATTTGTTGTTAATTTGGTTACTTATGCAAAAATTAATCACTAAGATATCTCTCTTCCCACCCAGAAAATAATAGAGCTAAATATTGGGTTTGGAAAAGGGCTATAAACACTGTCTATTCCATCTCTTTCATTTTGTGCATTGTGATATTGAAGACCAGAGAAGTAATATAATCTAGCTAAAGTTACACAGCTTCCTAT
Source organism: Homo sapiens (assembly GCF_000001405.40). Classification (NCBI taxonomy): domain Eukaryota; kingdom Metazoa; phylum Chordata; class Mammalia; order Primates; family Hominidae; genus Homo; species Homo sapiens. The sequence goes on along the minus strand of NC_000008.11, from coordinate 120,885,268 downwards.
TGAATAAATCTTGGGTTAAAACTCAAATTTCCTTCCAGGTAGTATAGTACTTTTTTCATTGTATACCATTATCCAAATTGTGTACATATTACATCCTAAGTTTTTTTTTAATGTAGAAGCAAATAGACGATTGTAAACTAAAAAGGGATATTTTCAGGTCTCATAATCTTCCAATTTTTATGCAACAACTCAAAAATCCTCCTCCATTCATATTTTCCAGTGCATAGTTCTATGATACCCAGAAAAAAAAATGGTGACTTCTATGAAGTTTCAAACTGAGTGGAAATGCTTGCAAAATAATTACTGATAAAGTCAGAAGGATGTGAATCATGAGGGCTGCCTTTCCAATTTGGCTTCTGAATTTTTTTCAAAAACATCTATCTCCTGCTGTGTTTTTATGCAATTATACACAGTATGATTCAATAGGGAAAAAGAGTCCCTAAATACCATGAACAGCCAAAATAAAGTTCTAATCAACTCACTTGAGTTTTTAATTGTTTCAAAATACATCCTAGGTACTAACATGACAATCCTTAACTTTTCTTATTTTAGTAGAAATTAGTTCTGTTGTTCTCGACCAATAAAGTTTACTTGGGATAAACTCTAGTCAGAAAATTCAACTTAAAATGAAATATTATCTTTTGCCCATCAGGTTAATAAATTAGGATTGAAAGTACCTAGTTTAGCAAGGGTGTGGGAAAGGGACCATCTCGTATACTTCTAGGGCAGATGTAAGGCATTAATAATTCTTCTTCAGGCCAACTTGGAAATATGTATTAAGTATCATTAAAAATATTCTTGCCTTTTAATCTAGTAATTTTACTTCTAGTAATTTACCATAAGAAAATTATCAAATACATACAAAAAGTGACCACAATAGTGTTTGTCACAACATTATTTGAGTTGGAATAAAAGGATATTACTAAATATAAAAAAAGCTGTGGTTAAATTAATCAGTGATAGCACATATGATGGAATATTTTCCAACCTAAATAACCAAGAATATAAGATTGGAAGTAACCTAAATAACCACAATATAAGATTGGAAAATAAACTTTGGTGGGTTACGATGATGAAACACTATGATGCCATTTTTTAAGCAGAAATATTTTACAATATAATCCAATTCATGCAAATTTTGCAAATATTTTTCAACATACCTGTACACACACACAAAAAAAAAACAGAAAGAGATACTTTAGAAGTACATATACCAGACAATTATTAGTACATATACCAAAAATATTAGCTCTGTCCAGAGATAATATCTACTTCAAAATGTTACTGTCAGGATTCAATTTGTGTGTGTGTGTGTGTGTGTGTGTGTGTGTGTGTGTGTATCCCTGTCAGAAGGCCTGGGAAATAGTAGATCTTCAGATAATACTGGTCACCTTCTTGCCTATACAACGTTTTCTGTATGTGACACTACTACACACTATTCTATATCTAACATGATTTGGCTCCAAGAACAAGGATGGAGAAGAATCTTGGGAAGGAGAATAAATCAGGCAGAAAACTTAGAAGCCTCTGAAACTCTGGCAGCATCTCTGCATTTATCCTGTAAAACCAAAGCCTTAAGTTGACATCAGCTTTCACATGACAGCAGAATGACAGGGCCTCATCTAGCAGTGCATGATCTGAAAGTCTACCTTTAGTGATGAACATAGACTAAGGGTAACCTCTTTCTCAGAAAGCGTTCTCTCATTACCTTTTAAAAGCATGAATCAGACCCAGGAAAGGCTTAGGTTCATTACTTTAAAATAACCATGTGAAGGAACCCACAGTCACATGTGCAGGCCTAATGGATTCTGCCCCCTGAAAGAGGCATAATTTTGGACTCTTCTTCCTGTTCCCTGTTGGGTTTCCATGGAAACAAGTGTCAGAGGGGAGTGGGTCAACTCTACTCATCTTGGGTTGGGGAGCTATATGAATGGGTAAGAGAGACAAAATCTGTCCTCTCTGGGAGCTAATTGGGTCTAACTATGGATGTACACTTGGCCATAACAGAAAAGTGGAGGGCCCTGAGGTGATGAGGGATTTTAAGGCCAGAGCAGCAAAAGCTTCACAGAAGTCTGACATAATTTTCATCTTCTCCAATTTGCTACCTGGCAAGCTGTTCTCTGACCATCTTTAGTCTGCTTTCCCTTTTGTTAAAAAAAAAAAAGGTAGATGATATCTTTTCAGACTATTAACACAAAGGGAGAAAGGACTCCCAAACCCAATCCTACAATCTGATTTAATGAAAATAAAAGTCAAACTGAGTGAAACATCAAAGTATTACTTCTCCGTGAAATGAATTAAACTTCAGAATGCACAATTACCTCAACTACTGGTTAATTCATTGTGGCAAATGCACATATTCCAGTATGGACCTCCACTCTCCTACAAAGCAACATTCATTATAATGGTAGGAGTTGGCTGGACCATAATAAACAGAAACACAGGCTCCAGAGTAATTTCTTTGACTTCAATGTGGACGTTTTGACCTCAGTAGCAGATGTCACACACATCTACTAAATTCCAGGGAGATATCAAAAACATCATTGGAGATGCTAGACATAAGTAAGACAGAGGGACATTTCAAGACAGGCCAAATTCCAGCTAGAATTTTCTGGCATAAATGCCAGTGAAATGTTTGACTGAATCAAGTCCTAATCATACTATATATTTATGTATCATTACTGCATGACTACTCATTTTATACTGGTCCAATACAAATAAACCCTTCTTATCACTATGATATACAGCCTCTCAGGAAGAAGGTGTTTGGATGAGAAAGAACAGCTTTTCTCCTACTATTTCACCTATGAAAAGACCCTTGGGTTCTATTGTCAAGTTTCCTTATATCAACTTCCAGGAAGAAAGAAAGAGAAAGAAAGAAAGAAAGAAAGAAAGAAAGAAAGAAAGAAAGAAAGAAAGAAAGAAAGAAAGAAAGAAAGAAAGAAAGAAAGAAAGAAAGAAAGGAAGGAAGGAAGGAAGGAAGGAAGGAAAGAAAAAGAAAGAAAGAGAAAGAAAGAAAGAAAAGAAAGAAAGAAAGGAGAAAAGGAAGGAAGGAAAGAAAAAGACGAAAGAGAAAGAAAGAAAGAAAGAAAAAAAGAAAGAAAAAAAGAAAGAAAGAAAGAAAGAAAGAGAAAGAAAGAAAGAAAAAGTAAGAAAGAAAGAAAGACCCTTTTGTTAGCATCTACATGTGTCCATCAGTAATGATAAGTATATCATGGTTATAAAGTCTCCGAAAATGAAGAAAACAATCTTCAGTGGCCAGCTTGCATTTTAAGGGAAAGAAAACAAGAGTGGAAGGGATTAATATGTCAAGCCACTCCCTTAAAGATATGAAAAAGTGACTTGGGAAGTTTTTCTTAGTTATTGTAGCCAAGCTCTTCCTATTCCGAATAAGAGTTACATTCACAATTTCTACCTTTGACCTTTATTCATTCAACAAGAATTCACTGTGTAACTGTGATGGGTCAAAGCGAAGGATTGGTACTTATTGACTGGTGACATATTTTTCCTTATTATGTAATCAAATATCCGTTATGTTCTTTCTTCCAACAAGAGCCTATGTCTCTTGAGGACTTGAATGATGGCACACCTTTGTCTATAAAATAAAGATCTGAGTCTTCTCCCTCCATGATGTTGTAACAACCTATCTTTCCAGCCCCATCCCCACCTTTCTCTTTCATTTCTCTCTATGACAATCCAGCCATGTTATGCCCCATTATGATATGAAGTCAGCACATTCTTGTTGGAATGCATTGCCTCGGGCAACCCCTCTACATGAATGCCCTTCTTCAAACTCTTTTCTTTAAAATGATACCCATTCTTTGGTGTCATTATCAGAGGCTATCCTGTCTACTAAGCCGCTGGAGGACCTCCAAAACCATAATCACAGTCTTCTTCCTCTGTGTTCCTGTAACACTTTGGTTTTGATCCTCTCTTTAGAAACGTTTCACATTCTTATTTCAGAGACAATAATGTCACATATTCTATTATATTTGAAGCTCATTACTTTAATAATGTCTTACTTATCACTGTAGCCTCTATATTATACATAGAAGACAATTAATAAACATTTTAAATAAATGTATTGATACTAGCCATTGCAATGAATGATAATAGCTAAGCAAACTCAGCCTGGAGGTCCACTAACAAATCATGGCTGAAATAATTATTTTACATCCACAAAATAGAATACTATGCAGCCATGAAAAATGGTGACTTAGAAGAGATTTCCAGGCTGTCACTCTTCTTTTCTCCTTAGTAGCTGTTTCAAGCTGCTTATATCATCTCAAACCCCCAAACTCATGTTTCTTTTTACTCTCAGCAGATGACTTTACCTCCTAATTCACAGAGCAGATAAAACAACCAGATTTAGGTTTTTTTAAAACAAAACTTTTTAACACGAAGCATACAAACTCATCTGTGTGTGTATCCATCCAGTCCTTCCATACAGTTACCCTGAAAGAGGTTTTACTCATCTTGCTTTAAGACTAATTTCCCTCCATGTGCTCAGTGTTATCCCCCACTGTCTTTCTTCTTCTACCCTTGCTGTATTGATTACTCCTTCAAATTTCTTTATCTTCAGTCACTTCCTCTCTATTGAGTCCTTCCCAAGGGCATTTTTAAGTGTTCATGTATTTGTACTTAAAAAAATAATCACCTCACATGACGCTGGATCCTGTGCATAAAAAACCTGATGGGGCCAGTTCTCTCTCTGTTCCCTGAATTTCATCTACTGTGCATTCCCTTAACACTGAAATCTAGCTTCCTTCTCCACCACCAAATAAAAATAATGACAATAATTCATCAAAATCATCACTTATCTACTTCTCACTAGAGCCTTTGAGTACTTCAACCTTTAAGCAGTTGCTTGATCATTTGGACAAAGCTCCTCTTTACAGTACATTTTTCTCCCGTTGTCAACTGCACTTCACATGGCTTTGCTTCTGTCTTCCTTGGTTCCCCCTTGTGAGCTTCCCCTCCTCTGACATCCATTAAATTTACGTATTTCTCAGAGGCTGCATCTAGGTCCTCTTCTCTTCTCATTCAAAACATTACTTATGAACATTTGCATCCACTGTAACTTCAATTACCATCCTGGTGCTGATGACTCACAGGTGGGACCTATGGTTTCTACCCAGATCACTCTCCTCAGCTCCCATCTCACACACCCTACTTCTTCACAGGCATCTCCATTAGGCTGTCCTGCAGGCACCATTTCCCAGCATTTTTCTGAAGTGCTCCATTCTACCACACCCAGCATTCTCCTCTTCTGCTTCCTTTCTCATTGGACAGCCCCACCGCCATCCAAGTAAAAAACTCAGATGGCATTCTTATTACCTCCCTCTCCTCACCTTCCACATCCACCCAGTCACCTTATCACGTAGAATCCACTTTCCAATATTTCTCAGGTTTACCAACTTCTCTCCAGGTCCACTGACACTACCCTACTCCAGGCCACTATCACCTCTTGCCAGGATTTCTGAAACAATCTCACAACTCATTTTTCCTGCCTCAGTCATGCTGCACTCTAATCTTTCCCTAGATTACAACAACCATGTCATTTCTAAAATACACTGTGTTTTTAGTGCGTATTAGATAGATACAGAGCCTGTGTCAATGCTCTGGGGAAGATTATGTCCCTACTGAAAACTCAGTGCTATGCCATTGCCCTCAGAATAAACTACAATATTATAATGAACTCCCCATTCCAGATTGCTATAATATCTGCTTAGCTCCATGATTTTTGTCTCTTACATGCTACCTGTCTTCCTTCTGTATGCCCTTGCCATCCTGAAAATCTCTGCTTTCATCAAGTGAACCTTCTATTTCACATTGCTTGGTCTTTGCTTACTCTGTTCACCTTACCTGTAACATTCTCCTTTTCTCCAAGACCACACTCTCATACCTGTCAATCACACCTGGCTAATGTCTACTCATACCTCAGATATTAGATTAGACATTGATTCATTCAGGTATCCTTCTCATGCCTACAAGTCCACTTTGAGTGCCCTTCTTTGATCTCACAGCATCTAGTAACCCTATTGTAACACCTAACCTAAGACATTGTAATTTCTGTTACTTGCCTGTATCCTGCATTATAAAATTCTTGAGGACAGATATTGTGTCAATGTTCATCATTTATTGATTCAACAAATAGTATTGCAATACTAATTCTAGAATTGCAATGGTGAGGAAAAACAGACATGTAGGTTCATTCATATTTCTTACAGCTAATTGAAAAACAGCAGACATTAATCAAATGATCATGCATAAAATTAACTCTGGCAAATGCCACAAAGGAAAGTTAGGTTTTATGAGAGCCTGCAATGAAGGGATTGACTTATTCAAGACAGCCAGGGCAAAGAAGGCTTCCTTGCTTCTGGAAGATGTGATAACTAATAGGAGATCTGACACCGAAGGTAATTAAAGGACAGAAAGAAAGGGATATGCTCCAGTTTAAGGAACAGCCTGTGTCAAAGCTCTAGAAGAGATTAAAGGAACTGAAAGAGATTCAATGTGATTGAAGCACTAAGAGAAAAAAATTAGGAGATTAACTGCAGACTGTACAAGTAGCTAAAAGTCCAGACATTCAGATTTGAATACTTATTCTACAGTCTTTGAAGGATTTCACACAAAAATATGATATAAGCAGGTATTTGCTCTGAAACAAATCACTCTGACTGCAGAGCAGACAATGGATTGGGTGGACCCAGAAATGAATGTTTGTATATCTGTGAGGAGACTGCTGCCATCATCTCAATGGCAGATGATAGTGATTTGGACTAGGTTGGTGCCATTGGACAAGGAGAGAAAGGGAAGAATTTGGGAGATATTTAAGAGATAAAATTAATAGTACTTAGTGATGGATTGATGTAGTAGTTAAGGAGAAATTCCCTAGAGCAGTAGGGATTTAGTAGCATTATAACAAATATCTATTTAATTAAATATCACTATGTAGTGTATAATATTTTGATTCCTAAAAATATATACCTATGGACTAAGTTACAAATTTCAGTTCTTACACTTACTGAGTAACTTTGATCAAGTAACTTAATTTATTTTGTTTTTATAATTTATTTTATTTTATTTTATTTTTTATAAACAGGGTCTTGCTCTATCACACAGACTAGAGTGCAGTGGTGCGATTATAGCTCACTGCTACCTTGAACTCCTGGGCTCAAGTCATTCTCCCACCTCAGCCTTCCTAGTAGCTGGGACTATAGGCATGGGCCACCACACCCAGCTAATTTTTTTTTTTTTTTTTTTTTTAGAGACAGGGTCTTGCTATGTTGCCCAGGCTGATCTCAAACTCCTGGGCTCAAGTGACCCACCTGCCTCAGCCTTCCAAAGTGTTGGGATTACAGTCATGAGCCACTGTACCCAGCCAAATAATTTAATTTCTATGTGACTAAATTTCTTCATCCATGTAATGGAGGCAGGGGAGGGAGCAGAAATATAACACAAATGTCATAGGGCATTTTTATGGAAATGAAATATAAAAATTGATATAAAGCATTTATCACAATACTTAATATACTGTAAATGTTGAATATATGTGAGCTTTTAAAATATGTATATAACTGTTCTATATTATTATTACACAAGCATGAAGAAAGGTTAGGAATCCTAACTTTAGCCATAATAGAGATTAAGGAGGTAAAAGTTCTGTACACTGAAAAATATAAAACAATAAAAAAAATTGAAAAAGATACAAATAAATGGAAAGACATCCTGTGTTCATGGATTGAAATAATCAATGTTAAAATTTTCATACTACTCAAAGCTATCTACAGATTCAATGTAATCCTTACCAAAATTCTAATGACATTTTAACAGAAATAGAAAAACAATCCAAAATAAATATGGAACCACAAAAAATCTGAATAGCAAAGGCACTCTTCATCAAAAAGAACAAAGTTGGAGGCAACACACGACCTGACTTTAAATTATTACAAAGCTGTAGCAATTAAAACAGCATGTATAGGCATATAAATTGAAACATCCACCAACGAACAAAATAGCCCAGAAATGAACCCACACATTTACAGTTAATTGATTTTGTAAAGGTGCTAAGAGCATACAGTGGGAAAAGAACACTCTATTCAATAAATGATGTTGGAAAAACTGGATATTCATATGAAGAAGAATGAAATTGGATCTTTTATCTCATACTGTATATAAAAATCAACTCAAAACATATTAAAGACTTAAATATAAGACCTGAAACTATAAAAAGACTGGAAAAAATAGGAGAAAAACTACACAATGTTGATCTGAGCAATGGTTTTTTGGATTTGGCACTCAAAGCTCAGGCAATAAAAGCAAAAATAGACAAATGGGATTATTTCAAACTGAAAGGCTTCTACACAGTGGAGGGAACAATTAATAGAGTGAAGAAACCTATAGATTGAGAGAAAATATTTGCAATCAATAATCTGATAAGGTATTGATAGCCAAAACACACACAAGAAAAACTCAAAAAAGAACTCAATATCAAAAAAAAACCCCTTGATTTTAAAATGTGAAAAGTATCTGAATAGACATTTCTCAAGACATACAAATGGGCAACAGATATATGAAAAAAAATGCTAAACATCACACCAGTTATTACAGAAATGCAAATTAAAACCACAATGAGATATCAGCTTATACCAGTTACAATGACTATTATCAAAATCACAAAAGATAAGTCTTGGCAAGCATCTAGTGAAAAGGCAATCCTTGTACACTGTTGATGGAAATGTAAATTAGTATAGCCATTATGGAAAACTGTACGAAGGGTTTTCAAGAAACTAATAACAGAACTACCATATGATCCAGCAGTTCCATTTCTGGGTATATATCCTAAGGAAATGAGATAGGTATGTCAAAGAGGTATCTACATTCCCATATTGATTACAGCATTACTTAAAACAGCCAACTTATGGAATCAACTTAAGCCCATCAATGGATGAACGGATAAAGAAAATGTGGTATATATACACAATGGAATACTAGTCAATCTTAAAAAAAAAAAGGAATATTGTCATTTGCAACAACATGGATGAATCTGAAGGAAATGTTGCATGAAAGAAGCCAGGAATGGAGAGATAAATATCGTATGTTCTCACTCATATGTAGAATCTAAGAAAATCGAATTCATAGAAGCAGAGAGTATAATGGTAGTTACCATAGGCTGCAGGGTAGGAGAAATCGGAAGATGTTTTTCAAAGAGTACAAAGTTGCAGTTAAGAGGAATAAATGATAAGTATTTAAAGTGATGGATAGGTTAATTAGTTTGATTCAATTATTCTACAGTATATACATGTAACATCACTGTGTATCCCATAATAATATACTGTTATAATTTGTTAAAAAATAAAATTAAATAAAAATAATAATTTTTTGAAAGAGCAGAGATTATTTCAGTGGTTTTATGGGGAAAGGAGAGAGGGAGAAAGGGCCCAAAGGCAAAAACAACACTAAAGAATGTATAGATGTGATTTGACCACATTTATAAATTGTTGCAAAATGACATGTCTACATATACATTTTAAGATAAATGTTGAATATTTTTAGTAAAAATAAAACTCTTATTTATGAGTTTATCTCCTTTATGTATGAGTATTTTAAAAATCTTTTCCGCAATATACGTATATATGTATATATGATCCTTATAATAAGAAAAAATTGGCGGGGTGCGGTGGCTCACCCCTGTAATCCCAGCACTCTGTGAGTCCGAGGCGGGCGGATCACGAGGTCAGGAGATTGAGACCATCCTGGCTAACATGGTGAAACCCCATCCCTACTAAAAATACAAAAAAGTAGCCGGGCGTGGTGGCGGGTGCCTGTAGTTCCAGCTACTCGGGAGGCTGAGGCAGGAGAATGGTGTGAACCTGGGAGGCGGAGCTTGCAGTGAGCCGAGATCACACCACTGCACTCCAGCCTGGGCGACAGAGCGAGACTCAGTCTCAAAAAAAAAAAAGAAAGAAAGAAAAGAAAAGAAAAAATTAATTTTGAACTATATGTCTCACTTTCTGAAAGTATGAAGTGATTCTGAAGCTTTATTCTCTTAAAACCTAATTCAGGGCTGGGCGCAGTGGCTCATGCTTGTAATCCCAGAACTTTGGGAGGCCAAGGAGGGCAGATCACCTGAGGTCAGGAGTTCAACACCAGCCTGACCACCATGGCGAAACCCTAGCTCTACTAAAAATACAAAAATTAGCCAGGTGTGGTGGTTCATGCCTGTAGTCCCAGCTACTCAGGAGGCTGAGGCACAAGAATCACTTGAACCTAGGAGGCAGAGGTTGGAGTGAGCTGAGATGGCGCCACTGCACTCCAGCCTGGGCTACAGAGCGTGACTCTGTCTCAAAAATAAACAAACAAACAAACAAACAAACCTAATTCAGCCATTGATGTCATCTTGTAATTTATAGTTTATTTCCACAGATTTCATGGCACTAAGTTTTCCCTATAATTTTGCTTGTATTTCTGCTTTAAACATTTAAGAGCTGAAATGCAAAAGAAATTTAAATACGTGTATGTGTTCAACCATAATGAAAGGAATACAAAATTACTGAAGATGATGACCAAGAAAAATTACAAAATAAAGCAGACCTGCGTATTTAAGCAGGGTGAACTCAGATTCAATAGCAGATAATAGTCTCAAGGACTGATTTATGTAACTAAATTAAAAAAATATAGTCTGTAATAATTACCCCTCTCTTTTAATCAAAAGTACTCAGACAACACTTCCCAAAAGCACAGTGGACACTTGCTTTAATACTGTATTATAGGAATAAATGAACAAGCAGAGGGAGGAGAAAATTAGAAAACATACACTATTGAACACTTTGCATTATTTCCCAAAGCAGAGAAGTTTTAGGTTCATTAAGGCACATCTAAAGATTATGTGTGCAAACAAGCTATCTGATTACAGAAACAATTTAGAAGAAAAAAAGTAAAAGGATCTAACCTAAACTAAATGAAGGTCAAGAGAGACTAGAATAAAATCATCAGGCTTTTGAACTAAAAGGTTCTCTAAATGACAATAGTCATATTCTAGACATTATAGCAAATGCATTTCAAATGTTCTCTCACTTAATGCCCACAAACAACCCTTTCCATTATACTATAGAGAAATACAGAGGCAAAGAAAGGTTGAATAACACTCCAATTAGTCCAAATTTCTAAATTCTCTCTTTGCTCAAATCGTATAGGGGGCTGGGGAAGAGGAAGCAAATTGCAGGTTTTGCTCGACAAAATCTATGCTTGAGTATAAAGGCAGAGGTAAAAAGTAGTATTTAGAAGTATCCACCTATCCCTTAAGACCAGATAACTTGAGTATTTTTTAATGAACAGATTTAGATAATAACTATAGCATAGTAAGTCTTGAATCCTCACTGATATTTGATTACGTTGATTGTATCAGTCAATGGACAGGCAGGCTCAAAAAGTTTAACTGAAGACAGTTTAATGAAAATAGTGAGTTGAGAGTAGGTTTAAAGAAAACCAAGTAGGTTTTGGTGATGGCCAAAGGATGACCTCAGCCTTGACTAGTGTTCTAAAGAGCAGCCTGTCAAAGTCAAGTAAAGGATTTGGGGGAATGGGACAGAATACATTAGCCGTATTTTCACTGCAAATGTTTGGAGGGCTAGAGATGTCATCTGAATGGAAACAAATTTGGATTTGTTCCAAAAAGAATATCAAATTTAAAGCAGGAAGGCCAAAGGCTGTCCTTCTGGATTTTGGTAGAGACTGGTAAGATAACAAGTTTTCCATGGAAAGATGATGTCTACCATTAACTCCAAATGGCTATTGGAAGAGTGAAATGCAAGTACAATCTGTGTTTGGGAATAATTGTTAAGCAGAAACATCTCAGAGACTGGATGATCTGAAGATGTTAAGGGAACAGGAGCAAAACCAAGGAGATATTAAACTGGAACCTTTTCTCCACTGAAATATTCGCCTACAATTTCTCATTTTGTGAATGAGTAAACTGAGGCCGAGAGAAGCAATGCTAAAGTAAAGCTAAAGACACATTCATAAAGCATGATTAGGACAAAAATATAGCTATAAGGAGAGCTACCAGTCCACTGTCTTTCCCATTAAACCATACTGACATTACTGCTGGGTGCCATTTTTTCCATTGCTTAGGTACTAACATAATATTATTATTTATGATTGTCTTAATTGTCTCCAAACACACATATTATAATTACATTGAAAAAGAATTTGATCCATAAACCTGCAGCCCTTACATATTGCCTTCATACTCATTCTCAACTATCAGAAAAGTAGCCTACTAATAAGAATACTAATAAAGATACAAAACAAAGAGCACACCTAATAAGCCAATGGTGGAAATATGATAAAATTATGAAACATGTAATCACTCCAAAAGAAGGCGAGAAGAGAGTAAAAAAAAAAACATGGAATGGATAGAATGAGGAGAAAAATATTAACACGGCAGATTTAAATTAAAAATCACGCAATATGTAAACACTGCCCCTCAAAAAAGGAAGATTGTCAGATTGTGTTTAAAAATTAAAAATGACAATCCAACTCTATGTTATCTATAACTAATACTCTTTAAACATAGGTAAAAAGAGTAAAAGAATGAAAAAGATATGTTATATAAACACTGATTAAGAAAGCTGAAGTGGCTATATTAATATTTCAGGACAAGAACTATTACCAGGAATATAAAATGATGTTATCTAATGATAAATTAACAAATTCATTAAGAAGGCATAACAATTCTAAATGTGTATACACCTAATAACAGGTGCAATATACACAAAGAAAGGTTGTTAGACCAAAAGTATAAATAGACAAATCCACAATTACAGTTGGAAATTTTGAGATATTTCATTCAATATTTGATAGAGCAAATATGCAGGAAATTATAAGGATTTAGAAGACCTGTACAGTATATTGGTCTTAACTGGAATTTCTCCAACACTCCACCCAATAAAAGCATAGGACACATTCTTCGTAAGTACATATGAAACACTAACCAATGTATATCGTATGCTGAACCAGAAAAGAAATCTCAACAGATTAATAATAATTCAAATCATGTAAATTATGTTTTCTGATTATAACAAATTAAATTTGAAATCAATAATTGAAAGATATCTGAAAAGTCTCTATTATTTGAAATCAAGCAACACACTTCCTAATAAACTATGGATCAAAAAGAACATAAGAAAGTACCTTGAACTGAATAAAAATAAAAATACAACACATAAGAATGTGTGGATATAGCTAAGACAGTGCTTAGAGGGAAGTTTATAACTTTAAATGCTTATATTAGAAAAGAGGAAAGATCTCAAATCATGATGTAAGTTTCCACCTTAAGAAACTAGAAAATGAAAAAAAAATCGTAAATTAAACAGAGAAATAAATAATAAAGGGAATGTTTAAATTATTGAAATATAAAATATAAAAATAATAGAGTACATCAATGAAACCAAGAACTGGTTCTTTGATAGGATAAATGAAATTGATAAATCTCTGGCCAGATTGATAAAAAAAAAAAAAAGAGAGAGAGACAGAGAGAGAGAAGACACAATTTGCCAATATCAGTAATAGAAGCGAGAACATCACAAAAGACCCTACAGATATTTAAAAATAAGTGAAAACTGTGAACATCTTTATGCTAGTAAATTTAACAATTTAGATGAAACAGGAAAATGAATTGAAATACACATACTACCCAAAAGAAATTGATAACTCAAATACCTTATATTCAAAAAATTAAATTTCTTCTTCAGAAACTTTTCATACAAAATTATCCAGCTCTACGTGGCTTCACTGAAGAATTCTACTAACTCTTAAGGAAGAAATAATAACAATTCTACACGATCTTTTATAAGATAAGAAAGGAACATTTCCCAACTCATTCTATGAGGTCAGCATTACCCCAAAAATAAAATCAGACAGAAACACTATAAGAAAACTAGGTATCAATACCCTTTAAGAATAGTGATGTGAATATTCTTTTAAAAATTTTAGCAAGTAGAATTCAGCAACATATGAAAAACATAATACATCATGGCCTAGTATTTATTCCAGGAATGCAAAGTTGATTTACTATTTGAAAATCAATGAATATAATTTATCCTATGACTAGACTAAAAAAGAAAAGCACATCCTCTCAATATATGCAGAAAAAGCATTGGATAAAATTCAACACAAATTCATAATAAAAATAAAAATAAATTCAGCAAACTAGGAATAGAGGGAAGCATTCTCAAACTCATAATGAGTACCTACAAAACACCTAAAACTAACATCATCATTCATGGTAAAGGACAGATACTTTACCCTGAAGATTAGAGCAAGACAAAAATGCCTTCTCTCACTATATCAATTCTACATGTAATGGTGATGCCTGCTTATGCAATAAAACGAGAAATAAAAATAAAATGCTTACAAATTGGAAAGGAAGGAGTAATTTTTTTTAATTTGCAGAACACATGATTGTCTATGTAGAATATTCCAAAAGAATATGTTAAAACTAACAAGTGAGTTTAGTAAGGTTGTAGATAACAAACTCAGTAAAGAAAAATCAATTACATATCCTATATTCTTTCGACATTGAAAAGTTTAAAATGGGCTATTTGCAAAAGCATAATTTAAAATAATTAGAAAAAAATTTTTTAAAAAGGCTAGCCTTTTAATATAAAATGGTAAAATATTGCTGAGAAAAATTAAAGATCTACATAAATGGAAAGATATAGAAAACTAATTATTGTTGAGGTGTCGATTGTCCCCTAACTGATCTATAAATTTGTTGCAATCTTATCCAAAATTTCAACACTTTCGTAAAAACTGGCAAGTTTATTCTAAAATGTACATGAAATGACAAAGGAATTAGTATAATTCACGACACTGACAAAGATGGACAAAGTCAGAGGATTTACTCTGCTTGACTTTAAATGTTACTCCTAAGGCACAGTAATCAAAGCAGTGCGGTGTTGGGGCCAAATAGATACACAGATCAATTAAATAGGAGACCTCAGAAATAGACACACACATATATAGTCAACTGATTTTTAACAAAGTAGCTAAGGCAATTGAGTGGGGAAAGATAATATTTTTCAAGAAATAATTTTTGAATAATTGAATATCCAAATTCAAAAAAAAACCCTGAACCTTACATTATATCATTTTTAACTTTTAATTCAGATCGTAGACCTAAGCATAAGAGCCAAAACAAGCCACAAGAAAAAAACATAAAAATATCAGTGATTCTGAATTTAGTAAGGATTAAGTAGAATTAAGTAGAACCCAAAAGAATGGAATATAAAAGAAAAAAATGGACAAATATGACTTCATTAAAATTTTAGCTTTTGCTCTTCAAAAGACACTTAATAAAAAGATAATCACAAATGACAGAAAATATTCACAATGCATGTAGCTAATAAAATATTTTCATCTAAAATATACAAGGAATCGCACAATACAATAATGGGGCAATGACCTAATATATATATATATATGCATATGTGTATATATATGCATGTGTATATACATTGCCTATATATGTATCCACACTAAAACCATGAGATACCGTTATGCATCCATTAGAATAGCTAGAATTAAAAAGATTGGCAATAGCAATTATCAACAAGTAATGGAACAACCAGAGCTTTCTTTCATTGCTAGTGAGAATACACACTTAAAAACAGTGGTAATTTCTATATAAGTTGTACATATACTTTAACCATATACCCTGAAATTCCATTCTTAGGTATTCATCCAAGTTATGGAAATATTAGTACACACTTGTACTCAAAAAACAGATTTATTCATAATAGCCTCAAATTTGAAAGAATTCAAATTTCCATCAACATCTGAATGGTTTAACAAAATGTGGTATGCACATACAATGAAATACAACTCAGCAATAAAAAGGAATAAACCACTATAAAAGCAATAACGTGAATAATATCAAGAACATTTTGCTAAGTGAAGGAAAAGACTGCATACCATGTGATTTCATTCATGGAAAATTATTTAAAAGTAAAATAAATAAATAAATAAATAAATAAATAAATAAATAAATAAAAATTAAAAAGCAGATCAATATTTTCCAAAAATCTGGAGTTGGGGAGAGGGTACTGACTTTGTTAAAGCTAACTAACTATGGCCTGAGAAGGACTCCGTATTTCTGTATTTGAGTCCTTGTAGAGAAACTGCAACCTAACTTAATAGGCAGACAAACTTGTAAACCTAATTTAGGAGTGTGTAACAATAGCTGAGTCTTGGCCAATCCCAGCAGCCATCCATCAACCACTCATACACCGCGGAGTGTTTGAATGGGGCAAACGCCAACCTGTAACCAATAAAGCTATTTCTGTACCTCACTTCCGATTTCTGTACCTCAGTTCCTTTTTTTTTTTCTTCTTCTTTTGTTTGTCTGTAAATCTTCCACCACGTGGCTGCGCTGGAGTCTCTCTGAATCTGCTGTGATTCTGGGGGCGGCCCGTTTCCCGAATAGTTCGCTGCTCAGCTGAACTCTGAGTTTAATTCCGCCGAAGTTTTTCTTTTAACAACTTAAAGAGACATAAGGAACTTCTTAGGATGATGAAAATATTCCATTTTATGATTACTATGGAGACGACACAATTGGTAATTTTATACAGTTGCATATCCATATACAATTATCAAAACACAACAAATTATTGCACTGAAAATGGGCGTATTTTGTTGTGTGTGAATTTTACTTTAACAATGCTGATTTTAAAATTACACTACAGACAAAAACGCCTACGGCCCTAATGCTGTAATTGTCAGTGGGAATTTCTTAAACTATAAGAATTTAATCTTTTGCTAATTAATTACATATAATCTAACACATGGTATAAAAATGAAACAGAATATTCAAAATACAGACTATTCTGAAGAGTTATGATAGCAATGCCAACTGTTGAGGACATAAAGCAGCTAAAACCTTTATACACACTGAAGAACTGTAAATTAGTACAAGTTCTTTGAAAAACTCCTTGCATTAACTTTTAATCCTAATCATATACATACCCTGTGACACAGCAGTTCCATGAGTGAGTATGTATCCAATAAAAATAAGGTCTTGTGTCCATTAAATAAAATATATAAGAACTTCATAGGTGCCTTATTTAGAATACTTCCAACCGGAAACTAATAAGTGTCCAAAAACAAAAAAATGGAGAAATCAATTGTGGTATAGTCACAAAATATACTGTTCAACAATAAAAAACTAACTACTGCTACCCACAACAATACAGATGAACTTTGTAGACATCATGTTAAATAAACAACAACAACAAAAAGCCAGACCCTAAATTCCTTTCAAAGAATAGGTAAAATGAATCTAAGTTGATAGAAGTCAGAATGGTGTTATTTTTGGTGGGAGTATTGTCAAGGAAGGGACATGAGACAGCCTTGTGAAGTGCTGGAAATATTCTAAATCTTTCTGTTTTTTCTTTTTTTTCTTTTTGAGATAAGGTCTTGCTATGTCTCCCGGACTGGAGTGCAGTGGTGTGATCATAGCTTACTGCCACCTCCAATTCCTGGGCTCCAGTGATCCTCCCGCCTCAGCCTCCTTAGTAACTGGGACTACAGGCACAAGTCACTGCACCATGCAAATATTCTATCTTGATGTGGGTGGTAGTAACATGGCTGCATACACATTTTTTCTGTAAATCCATTGAATTGCACACTTAAAATTGGTGCACTTTATGTAAATTTCACCATAATTTTTAAATTTTTGAAAGTTTAAATCATGCTTTAAAAATGTATAGAAACATTTAAGTGTAAATAAAGATTAAAAGATCATGACATATAATAGCCTTAGAATATTGAATACTATTCTTGCTCTGTGGGTAAGAAGCTGGGGCAGGGAAAGGATGCTTTTAGAATATTCTCTTTATAAAAATCCTTGTGGAGTGTATGAGCGAATTCCCAGGATCAGCTAGAATAAGACTTCAAACCACACAAGAAAAAAACAAACTCTCCGTGTATTTAATTAAAATGTCGACACTTCTTCTTTACTCCTCCCTTCTGAGTTTCCCATAAGGGTTAACAGTGGACAGACGTGGCATGACTGGAAATCAGCAGGTAATACACTTTAAGCCCTGTCTGCTTCTGAATAGTGGTGTACACTTGGGGTGCTAGTTACCCTCCCTGTGATTTCAGATTCTCAGCCAATAAAAACATTATTAATAGTTATAATAAGAATAGCTCCTGTCCACTTAATACCTATTGTGGGCTGGACGCTATGCTGGCTACTTTCCATTCAGTATCTCCAACTTTATTTGGTAGGTCTGATTATGGAGAGGCAATATAAGAGTGTGTTCTCTGGAGTCAGACTTCCTGAGTTAAAAACCTGGCTCTGCTTCTTCCCAGCTATGTAAACTTGGGCCTCTGTTTCCTCATCTGTAAAATGGGAATAGAAAAATTGCTTTTCTCCCAGAATTGTTGCTAGAATTAAACAGAGATAGAAATAGAGATAGATATATAGATAGATATATAGATAGATATAGACACACACACATATGTTTGTGTGTCTGTGTCTGTATGTGTGTGTGTGTGTATCATTGAGAATTTCCTGGCATGTAATAAGGGCAATAAAATATTTTCTAGGTAAAATGACAAAAATAATTTTAAAGGTGAGAAAATGCAAGCCCACGGAGGCAGTAGCATATCAAGGATGAGGCAATGACAGTGGTACACTCAAGCACAGACAAGGGGTGGGGGTGCATTGTCTGTTGGGAATTTTTAAAATAATAACAGCGAGACTTTTTATTATCATCATGCTCCAGCAACTCAAAACAATGTCAGAGATTAAGAAAAAAAACCCTCCTGGGACCAATTGCTTTCAGGTCCTATCCACTTTTGACAACCCCGAATCAAGGTTAAAACATTTGCCTAAGGCCACACAACTGCAGGTGATAGAGCTGAGATTTAAACCTACAGCCATCAAATGTGAAAGTCTATACTGACTAAACCTCCTTTAAGAACCATTTTAGCTCCCAAAACACATATAATTTCTATCTGCTGTATACAGTATCCATGTCTTCTTCCTTGAAACGTTTTTAATCCAAGAAATAAATAATAGTACCTACCATGTCCTAGATTCTGTTCCAGCTACAGAGGCTACAGGTGTGCACAAGAAAACGTAATTGCTGTTTCAGAGCTTGCATTCTAGTAGAGTAAGACAAAGTAAATAACGCAAATACAAACACATTATTTTCAGATGACTAATCCCTTAGCTACATATGGCTACTGAATACTTAAAATGTGGCTAGTTCAAACTGAAAAGTGATATAAGTGTAAAACACATGGATTTAAAAAATTTAATAGGAAAAACAGAGTGTAAAAGACCTCATAATTTTTTTTTTTTTTTTTTTGAGATGGTGTCTCGCTGTCTCCCAGGCTGGAGTGCAGTGGTGCGATCTCAGCCCACTGCAACCTCCGCCTCCCGGGTTCATGCCATTCTCCTGCCTCAGCCTCCCAAGTAGCGAGGACTACAGACGCCCGCCACGACGCCGGCTAATTTTTTTTTTTTTTTTTTTTGTATTTTTAGTAGAGACGGGGTTTCACCATGTTAGCCAGGATGGTCTCGATCTCCTGACCTCGTGATCCACCCGCCTCAGCCTCCCAAAGTGCTGGGATTACAGGCGTGAGCCACCGCTCCCGGCCAAATATTTTTATATATTTATTACATGTTGGTAAAGAAAACAGTGATAATATATAAAACAGCATATTTACCATTTCCACTGTTCTTTATTCTCTTAATTTCAAGTTTTCAGCTGGTATTGTTTTCCTTCCAGATGAAAAACTTCTTTTAATATCTTTTATAGTGCAAGTCTGCTGTCAATGAATTCTCTTAGCTTTTGCTCATTTGAAAAAGTCTATTTTGCCTTTGTTTTTAAAGCTATTTCCACTGAATAGAGAATTCTAGGTTGGGCCAGGCACAGTGGCTCACACCTGTAATTCCAGCACTTTGGGAGGCCGCGGTGGGCTGATCACGAGGTCAGGAGATAGAGACCAGCCTGACCAACATGGTGAAACATTGTATCTACTAAAAATACAAAAATTAGCTGGGCGTGGTGACGCGCACCTGTAATCCCAGCTACTCAAGAGGCTGAGGCAGGAGAATCCCTTGAACCTGGGAGGTGGAGGTTGCGATGAGCCGAGATCACGCCACTGCACTCCAGCCTGGGTGACAGAGCGAGACTCCACCTCAAAATAATAATAATAATCATCATCATCATCATCACCATCATAAATAAAAAAAGAATTTTAGGCTGATAGCTTTTTTATTTTTTCTTTCAGGGCTTTAAAGACGCCATTCTATTGTCTTCTGGCCTACAATGTGTCAGACTAGAAGTCTGCCTATTATTATGATTTACTCTGTATACAGTGTCTGGCTGCTTTCAAGATTTATTTTTTATCATAGGCTTCCAACAATTTTATTATAATATGCCTTGATATGGTTTTCATTGTGTTTATCCTGCTTAAGGTTCTGTTGAGCATCTTGGATATATAGATTTACCATTTTCAACAAATTTGCAAAAATTTTTGCCAGTATTTCTTCAAATAATTTTATGTGTGAACTTATCTTTCCCCTTTTATTAAGCTTAAATCACACATACGTTGACATTCAATGTTGTCCCCTGAGTCACTAAGGCTCTGTTTATTTTGTTCAATTTTTTCTCCCTCTGTGCTTCAGTTTGCATGGTTTCTATTGCTATGCTTTCAAATTCAGTAATTTTTTTTCTTGCATTCTTGGTGTTAATCAGTTGTTAATCTCCTCCAGTGAAATTTTCCATTCATGTATTATCCCATTTCTAGAAGTTCCAGTTTTAATCCTTCATCCCACTCCTTGTTAGGCTATGTTTCCCTTTAAATTTTAAAGGTATTTGTAAAGCTCTTTTAAGGTTCTTTTCTGTCAATTCCATTGCCTTTGCCAGTTTTTAAAATCTGTTTCTGGTGACTGATGCTTTTTGTAATAGAATAGACTTTAATTTACATTTTAATTAAATATATTTGTATAATATATAATATAATATTTGTTATTTTATTATAATATAAATTGTGATGCTTCTGTAATCAATTGAGTTGTTCTACTTCTTCAAATGCTTACTATTCTTAATTAGATTCTGGACATTGTACATGTTACACTGCTAAGAATACGTTTGCACAACCTCAGATATCACCATTGCCTGCATTACCCTGGCTAACAAGGAAGTCTTGAGTCTGTCCACATATCCAGTGCATTACTACTACAATCCTATTTATCACCAAGAAATCTCAGAGTCTGCGGCACTACCCTCTAACCTGCATCAGAACTGACGCTGGTACCCACTACTAAGAGCCTAGAGGGAACATCACATCCCTGGATTCCCTACACACACACACACACACACACACACACACACACACACATCAAATGTTCCTTTTTTTTTATTCTAGCAAACTTTTAAGTTACTTGTTGATCAGCTTGAGCTTTTCAAACTTTTCCTATAAGCTTTGTTACAGCAGGTTTCAAGTGTCCTTTACTGTAGAACTAGATTTTCACTCTTGAAAGGCATGACCCTCTAGTGTTTCCCCCTGAATACCTCAAAGCTTTAACAAGGGCTCCTTACTATGGTTGACCAGAACACAAACATCTCCTAGCCCTGCGTGTACTCTAGAAACTCTTCAACTTACGATTTCTTGTTTGTTCTTTACCCAGTCTCATGTAGTCTCACCCTTCACAACTGTGGTTTAGTATTCAAGGGGGTCTTCATACAGATTTTGGAGCTCTTTCTCTGGGCAGCTCCTCAATCTCTGGTTTTACTCGTTAAATTCCAGATGTCTCACTCTTTCTAAATTCCAATTGCTCTCCTTCTACGTGCTATCTGGAAAGTGCTTCTGGACAGAAAGTCAGATGAACATAATGTTCACTGATTTGGTTCAGCTGGGTCCCCACTCAAATACCATCTTGAATTGTTGTTCCCATAATCCCCACGTGTCATGAGAGAAACCGGTGGGAGGTAATTGAATCATGGTGGCGGTTTCCCTCGTACTATTCTCGGGATAGTGAGTAAGTTCTCACAAAATCTGATGGTTTTACAAGGGGCTTCCCCCTTCACTCAGTTATCATTATGCTCCTTCCTACCACCATGTAAAGAAGGATGTGTTTGCTTCCCCTTCTGCTATGATTGTAAGTTTCCTGAGGCCTCCCCAGCTCTGCAGAACTGTGAGTCAATTAAACCTCTTTTCTTTATAAATTACCCAATCTTGGGTATTTCTTCATAGAAGTGTGAGAAGGAACTAATGCATTCACCTTGCTTATTTCCCTTCTCTCATAAATTACAGCCCTGCACTGCCTGTTGTCTACTGTCCAGAAATAGTTGCCTTGTGTATTTCATCCAGTTATCCAGTTGTTTACTATGAGAGGATTAAGTCCCATCACGGTTACCCCATTATAGTCAGAAGCTGAGGTAAGCATGTATGAAATTTGGCAACTTATACAAATAAAAATGTTTTCTTCTTAAAAAGTAAATGGGTTTTTCTTTTTTTCAAGGTGATAGATTGGAGGCATTTTTAGCATGCCTCTCCCACTTGGAAAGACAAAATAGTGTGTCGAGATTCTCACTCTGAAATTTTTTCCAAGAAGCAACACGGGAACTTAATAGAAAAACCGAAAGGAGCTACAGACTCTTGGAAAGAAGCAGGAGGAAGTAGCCTCCACCACGAACCAGGTAAAAAACTGGGGGTTTGCATAGTGTGAGAAGGGGAGAGACTGCCTCTGTGACACACTCCCACTGGGGAGCCAGGCAGTCCAGGCCCTGGAGAAAAGTTGTGACTCTACCCAGTGCTGGAGCTGATTTAATGAGTGGTGGGGAGTATGTAAGAAGGAGCAGCATGAAGATATGCTTTGTGTGCAGTCCCAGACTCCAGCGGGGTGGAGGGAAGCCATTCCTGATCCTGTCTCAGGGGACCTTACAGAAGTCTGCCAGCTAACTCAGGCAGTGGTCACAGGTTGACAGAAGCTCCGAATTGATATTTGTGATATAATCTCAAGGGGGATGAAACCTGATGCCCAGAACCAAGGGGAGAGCAGGAAGTGTGCTAAGAAATGGGCACAGGAGCTGGGTGCCTGCTTTGTGGATGGACTGGAAGGGGTATAACCTGAAAGCCACTGTTTCTGTCTCAGTTGGGTAGGCCTAGAGCCTGGGGCAGTTTTGAGTTCTGAGTACAGGCTGCCTGGAACCCAAGTGTGAGACCTGTATTGCCAGATAAGTAGGAGCTGAGTAGCTGAGTGGGGCTTATTGCCACCTGCTATCCCCTGCTTCCTGCGTGGATCTTTTTGTGCAGCAGAGGCAGCTGTGCTCCTCCCAGCAGCCAGGGAACAGCTGTCTGATCTTCAGTGGGGCCACTGCTTGTGTCCACACTTGGGAAGCCAGAGTACAAACTTGCCTGACCTAGGCCCTACCAGGCTCTGCCCTTCCACCTACCCTGGTAGTGTAACACAATGGAGAGGAATATTTGGAAGCTCCATGGCCTTACCCATCACCTGAGATACCAGAGTACCTGCAGTGGGTAACATAAGGCGAGCACAAATTCCACTGCTACCACTGCAGCTGGTGCTCTTTGGCAAGCACCACCTCCTGGCTGGAGGCCAGCTGGCACAGCCCATTGCAACATCTGCAGGCACAATAACACAGCACTCAGGAAGGAGAATACTTTTATGTAACCTCAGCGATCACAATTGCTTGCATCATCCAGGCTAACCAGGAGGCCTTGAGTCTATCCACGTATTTAGTATATTACTATGACAAGCCTATTTATATCCAGGAAATCCCAGAGTCTATGGCACTACCCTCTGACCCCCATCAGGAATGATGCTGTTACCCACTACTAGGAACATCACATCACTGGATCCCCTGCAGACATTCCCCAGCACCAGACTGGAGTACAGCAGCCCCACTGGGTGGCTAGACCCAGAGGAGCAGCAGGATTCACAGTAGTCTTGCCCCCGCAGGGACTGCTACTCCTAGGGTAGAGGGAATGCGCCATGGACATCTGATGGGATGTCTCATGGGACATCTCAAGGGAGCATCCCATGAGACAAAAGAAATCAGGCTGCAAGCCCTGAGTCCCCGAGCTTTCCACTTGTGGGCAGTTTCTTTCAGCAGAGGCATAGGCACACTGCTAGGCTCACTGGGGAAAGTCTAGTCTCAGATCTACCCCGACAGTCAGGCAGCCCTCCCACTCATGAAGGGTCTTGGAGAAGGGAACAAATGGAGGATATGAATGAAAAAAAAATTAAACGAGATAAAGAGATATTTTAAAGAAAAATCAATCAGTATTTCTGGAAATGAAAGACATATTTAGGGAATTAAAATATGCAGTGTAAAAGTTTAACAATAGACTAGACCAAGTAGAAGAACGAACTTCAGACTTCAAAGACAAGGCTTTCAAATTAACCCAATCAGAAAAAAGTAAAGAAAAATTACAATCCTAAATATATATGTACCTAACTCCAGAGCTCTCAGATTCATAAAGCAGTTAGTACTAGACCTAAGAAAAGAGATATACAGTAACACAACAATAGTGGGAAACTTCAGCACTCCACTGATTGAACTAGACAGATCATCGAGGCAAAAAGTCAACAAAGAATCACTGGACTTAAAGTGCACCCTATATTTAGTTTCCCCTTTTTCCTTAGTAAGAGAACCAAGGTTTGGTTCAGGGTAGCTGGCTTTGTCTCAGCTTCCACTGTGGCTAAGGGTAGCTACATCACATAGTGTGGCTGACGAGATGTAACTGGATATCACTAGGAGGGATTCAGGGAAAGTTCCATAAAAAAAAGACACACTTAACTAAAATAAGTGCTGTGCCCTTCACCTCTGTCCCTTATTCTATGTAGATTGTGAACTTGACACTGGAAAAGGGGCTTTCATTTTGCAATCACCAAACATTTTTGAAAATAAAAACCCCATGCCAATGGAGTCTCCATGGAAACACAGAAGAAACCTGGGTTACTGGGAGTGTTGTTCAGCTACAAAATGAAGTCCGAACTGCCCCTCTCAGCACTTCTATTTATAGGAAAGAGAAACAGATCCCTGAATTATTAAGGAACCATTTTTTCAAGTTCTCATGACATGGAGCAGAACACAATCCCTAATGAATCATTGATACAACCATATCTTTTTTAAAAACATAAAAATAAAAAATTGAAAATGTGGCTATACATGAAGAAATTATGAGAGTGTCAAGTAAAGAGTTTAGATGCTCAAATGTAGGCACTAGGAATTGTCCAAAGAAGCACGTAGGATACCCTCCAAGGTGGAAACATAGAGCAAAAAGTAGAGATATGAGGAAATCATGAATCAGAATGAAGAGTGGTGAAGAGATGGACCAGGTGCTAGGTATTAAATAGTTGAAAACACAGAGCTTCAGCCATCAATGCCTAGACTGAATTAACATCAGCGGCCGCATCCAAGGGCAGATGGAGGCTTCCCATCCAAGCTAAACATCGTAAAACAGCATGAACTCTGCTGATAGTACACTCCACTGTGTAGAGCGCACCCAACTTCCCTTCATAGTGACATAACATTTAGTTTTAAACCAAACTTTCTGTGCAGCTGGTATGAAGTGGAAAGGCTGGGTCTGAAGTTGCCAGTGAAGCTTCTAGAGAGGAGGTGGGGTCCAAAGCTAACAGTACTCAGGGCTCACTTAGCCTTCCTTTTGCGGCTCATGCTTTCATGTATTCATTTGCTCATTTTTTTCAACAAACTTTTTGAAGTTGAGTATCTAATATGTATAGGTATTGCTAGCAAAAAATGGAAATCGCTAAGTACTAGCAAAGTATAATATTCAAAAAGACAAAAACATGACTCACATACAATATATAATGATTAATTTATATTAACTTCAGAAGGAATCAGTGAAATCATAAAATATTATCAAAGAGCATTTAAGCAACAGAGAATTTATAAGGATTAAAGAAAGAATATTCAAGTAAAATTTCTGGAAAGAAAGAAGGGAATAAAGAAAGAATATTCAAATAAAATATTCTATATAAAACTAGTAAGCTGTCCTCTGCAGTTACATTTTCTACTAGATAGAAATTATTTGCATCTCTACTGGACAAAAACCTACAAGTTAAAATGTGGCATTACAAAGTCAGGGCTCTGATTTGCTATCTAATAAATAGGATAGCAAACACAGACATATTTGCCTCAATTATTAAGTAGTCTTTGGGTAAGTCTGTTATACAGTGCTTCAGAATGACACTGAAAGGACACACAACTGTCTTTGCCTTGTTTCTAAGTATTGAATAATTTGGGGAATAAGAAGCAGATTCTGTGGGTTGTTCTTTTGCAACTACACTTCCCCAACTCCAGGAAAAGAAATAAAGAACTTAAGAGAATCAAGTCCTCAATGTAAACATATACCTGGAACTGCAATATGATACTTCATTTGATTCTTACCCAACCAAACAAGGTGGTTATTATTAAACACATCTAAAATATTTTTAAAATTGAGGCTAATAGCTTTGAGATCACGCACAAAGAGAGGGAGCTAATCTCAAATTTGTAAATGTCTGTTTCCAGCCTTCGAGCTCTTTCCACTTAGGCCATGTGGCCTGTCGTGAAATTTATAGATGTATTGAGCCATCCACTGATTGGTTAATTCAACAATACTTAATGAGTACCACCTACATACCCAGCAATCTTATAGGCCCTGGCATTGCAGGAATGAAAAAGCTTTTCCTTCATGTAGCTCACATCCTAAGGGGCTCCAGACCTTCATTTTGGACAGCCATCATTGCAAGCATTTCCCCCAGCTATATATATATATATATATATGTATATATATATATATATATATATATATATATATATGTATATATATATATGTGTGTGTGTATCTACATATATTTATATATAAATATAAATATATGTAAATATGTAATATATATTTATATATTATATATATATTTATATATTACATATTTATATATTTATATATAAACATTATTTATATATAAATATAATTTATTTATATATTTATATATAAATATATATATATTTAATACTAATTTGAAGTGGTTCTATTAAAAAAAGTGTGGTCCTCTTTCTGTTATCTCAGCCCACAGATGCCTGCTCCTTCTATCTAGTGGCCTCTGCCATTTCTTGCTCCCTTCCAAAGCCATTTCATTCCCTGAGTTCAGAGCTGCAGAGCTTTTCTTGTAAGTCAGACAGACATCTCACATACTCTATTCAAAGGTTTCACATGCCTACATGACAAGCAGCTGCTGTTGGGAAACCTGAGCCAGGAGCCCTTTCAAGCAGACTGCTCCATGAATGACCCTCCCCTGTGACTGCTGGTACAGGCTGGGCCTGGGATGGACAGTCAGCCCAGGATGAGGGTGGCTTTCACTTAGGACACATGACTCAGGAAGCTGCTCCTTACTACAACATGTTGCAGCTTCATCCTGTATGAGCATAATTCAGTCTGGCCCTTTTAGTGGTCATATACAATGGAGTGTGTCACTGGCAAAACAGAATTCAAAGCCCCCCTCCTCCTCTACCAGAGGTCCATGCGTGAGAGGGCTCCCTTAGGCATTCAGCAAGAATGCAAAACAGCAAGAGCACAGTTCATTGCAGCCCATGCAGACCATTTCCTTACTTGCTTGGAAATTGTGGTAAAACTCATTTCCTGCCTTTGAGCTGCAGTTATGTTTGATTGTGTAATGATTAAACAGCAGGCCATGAAATCCTAACCTTCTAGAGCTCTAAGGACTATATATCATTGTATGCCCCACTCCTCCGCTTTCAGACAAGGCTACACTACACCTGGGTCATTACATTCATATTGGAGAAATCCAGCTGTAGCCCAAAGGAAGAGAAGGCAGAGGCTCTCACTATTTTCCTCAATCAACCATTGCAAGGTTTAAGAATAATCTGCTGCCAAACACATGTTCCCTGGTGTGTCAATGAAATCCCTCAAACCACAGCTTAATGGTCCCTCCTTCTCTTGTTCTGTATTTGTAGAGATGTTGTGAGACAGGTCAGTATCCACTAAATTACAGTATAACACATTGCAAACACAGTCTTCCCTTCTCTAAATAATTCCAACTCTCAAATGTCTGGGACTATGTGGCTGTGGTGAGCGAGCCGTAAAGTTGAACTAGAATCCACGCATTCATCTCAGTGGACTCCCTGAGGGCCAGAAATAGGAGACTCTAACTACCCTGTGTAAAAAGTAATGTTTACTTCCTCTAGAAGGATACCCAGGTCAGGCCTACTCTTTTCGTTCCTAGACCAAAGGTGACAAATTGAGGCCCATTTATCATATTTTAAATAGTTTACCATGTATTTTAAAGGAATAAACCAAGCTAACACACTGCTCATTGAAATATGTTCTGTTGTCCTTCCTTGAAAAGTATACCTTCATAATGACAAAATTTGGAAAATATTTCTAATATCATTTATTTTAAAGGACTGGAAGCCAGCATAATATCAATGAAAACATGAAAACTGAAATTTAATTCAAGTTGGGGTGTTCTATTGGAAAGATGTCAATGTTAGGATGAGTTCTAAAGACATAAAAATTTTTAACTATTATATATTCCATCCACATAAATATTTTCTTTCATTTATTTCAGTGCATAACTATGTTGTTAAAGAGCCTCTCATAATTTGTGTGCTACCGAGAGTAAAGCCAAATTACATACACTTCTCTTGAGTCATTGTAGTTCTTAGTTTTTAAAAATTAATTTCAATTAGGAGAAATTCTGAGGCAATAAGCAATTGGAATTGTCAACAAACTCTTTAAACAATATTTAGATTCAGAAATTAATTATTATTTTACATATCATGTTAAAACATTTTAATGAGGTCACAAACTGTAACCACAGAAATGTCATTACAAATCTTAATTTATCACATAAATAAGGCACAATTGCATTTTAATTTTATCACCTCTTTAGAAAATATTCAAATTCTATAGTATTTCTTAAGATAAATGTGTTTCATTTTTCTCTTCTAGTGTCCTGTAGGAACTTAATTTAGTTGATGGCATTTAGTCAGTATTCTCAGTGGGTATCTGAGAGTGGTTATTATGTCAGACTTGACATGTTTCATTAAGACATCTCTCCTTTTCCTAAATCCAGAAAAAAAAATACGATCTCTGAATTGATCCCAATGTCATTTCTATAGGCATAGTTGAGAAAATGAATTGAAAATATGTATCCTTCAGAGTACAGAAAATGTTTTTGTATTTCAGCCAACATTCTACTGTGACAATCTTTTTAAACTACCAAGTTTGTGCCATTATCCTAGGCCTGCTGTCAGTGGTCTCTTAATCCCTTCAATAAAGTTGAATATTTTTTATTTAGTTTTTTGAGAATTTGTTAAATTATATTGAATATTTTTGTGAAAATAAAATTATTTACAATTTCAGCTTTAGTACCAGTGTAATGGCTGATGTAAAGAATTGGTATCATGCTTCACACTTGTTACATCCAGATCAGTGTTGTCCAGTAAAATTTTCTTCAGTGATGGAAATGTTCTATATGTGAACTGTCTAATACAGTAGCTTCTCTCCACATGCGGCAGTTAAGCATTAGAAATGTGGTATGACTGAGGACCTAAATGTTTTATTTTGTTTAATTTTAGTTAATTTAAATTTAATTAGACACTTTTGACTAGTGGCTACTATATTGGACAGCAGAGATCTCAACTTACATTTGAATATATTTAAAAGTAATATGAATTTATCATATTGCAAAATATTTCTCTGAACTTATCCCAATGTTGCCAATATTGTAAGAATTTCTGAATTCTGCCTTGTCCCTACTTGGAAACCATGTTTCACTATGCAAAATCTATTGACTTCATGCTATCTATAAAGCTCATTAATTTATCTTATTCTTACATAAGAATTCTACCAGTCAATTTCTTTCCATATTCTAATATCCATCTCCAATATTATCCCACCCAGGACTGAGATATGGAGAAGTGTTTGGCTGGGGCCTGAACTGTTTTTGTGCTAGGTGAAACTTTCTGAAATGGAGTCCTATCACCACGGTCTCTCTTATCCAAATCTAGGGTAAGATATGTGGGGAAAAAAAAAAATCTTGAATTTAAAAAGGAAGTAAGGAGAAGAGGAAAGGAAGTAGGATACAGTGATTTATCCTGCCCTCCTCCTTACTGTCTGTACTCAGGATGCCCAAATGTGGGAATAAATGATAGTTGGCAGCTTCTGACTACAAATTTCTTACCATTAAAAGGTTCACTATTCTGAAGAGGAGGCAAGACCTTACAAAATCAATATGTTCAAAAACTTCGATAAGTAATAATTGAATGAATGAACAAGGCACATATCTATATGCCACTTACCCCTGACAATAGAAGAGGCTTTCAGTCAACTACTCTTTGGGGCCCAATAATTTGACACATTTAACTATAGTCCTTAGAGGACCTTGAAAAATGATATTACATCCCGAATATTTAATTTCATCTGTAAAAATTAAGAAGTTTGCATATTAAAAAAAAGAAGCTTTCTTCCTGATCTTTACTAGGATGTTTATATGTTCACTATCTAGATTTTTAACAGAATTATCGAACCTCCCTCGTGAAATGACGACAAAAATGGTACATCCAGGTATTCCTCATTACAGGAACACCATTTCAGGGACACTATATATTAGTTTGTTAGGGTTGCCGTAACAAAGGTCTGCAAAATGAGTGGCTTCAACAGTAGGAATTTATTGTCTTATACATTTGGAGTGTAGAAGCCCAAGGTCAAGTATTGTCGAGGCCATGCTCTTTGTGCAGGATCTAGGAAATGATTTTCTGCAGTCCTGTTTTCTAGTGTCTGGTAGTTCCTTGCCTTATGGCAGCATAAATCCAACCTTACAAAGCTTTCTTCTTGTGTGTGTGTTTGTGTCCAAATTTCCCCCTTT
Organism: Homo sapiens; assembly: GCF_000001405.40. Lineage (NCBI taxonomy): Eukaryota > Metazoa > Chordata > Mammalia > Primates > Hominidae > Homo > Homo sapiens. Next base: position 120,854,328 of record NC_000008.11, on the reverse strand, counting down.
TTATGAGGACACTAGTCATATTTGATTAGGGGCTCACCTTATCCCAGCAGGACCCCATCTTAACTAACTACATCTGCAGAGACCCTGTTTCCAAATGACTCTTTCAGATAAGGTCATATTCTGAGGTGCTGGGGATTTAAGACTTCAATATATATACTTGGGGGTGGGGGACATAATTCAACCCATCATACATATATTCCAGATTCCTTCATTTTAAAATATACTGCTACATCGCATTCACATCATACTAGTATCCTTTTCTATATTCTTTATATATTTTCCTGGTAGATTATGTATCATTTCCATTTTATAGATGTGAGGTAAGAAGAGCAGAGAGAACATAAGTGATATTCCTAAATTCACAACTGTGTTTGTATAGGCTCATAGGTGGAAAGTTAATACTGAGTGTCAACTTGATTGGATTGAAGAATGCAAAGTATTGTTCCTGGGAATGTCTGTGAGGGTGTTACCAACGGAGATGAACATTTGAGTCAGTGGACTGGGAAAGGCAGACCCACCCTCAATCTGGATGGGCACAATCTAATCAGCTGCCAGTGCAGCCAGAATAAAAACAGGCCGAAGAATGTGGGAAGACTAGACTGGTTTAGTCTTCTGGCCTACATCTTTCTCCTGTGCTAGATGCTTCCTGCTCTTGAACATCGGACTCAAAGTTCTTCAGCTTTGAGACTCGGACTGGCTTCCTTGCTCCTCAGCTTGCAGATGGTTTATTGTGGGACCTCACATTGTGATTGTGTGAGTCAATACACCTTAATAAACTCCCCTTATATACACATCTTTCCTATTAGTTCAGTCCTGCTAGAGAACCCTGACTAATACACCTTGTCTCAAATGAGACTTTGGACTTGGACTTTTGGGTTAATGCTGGAATGAGTTAAGACTTTGAGGGACTGTTGGGAAGGTACGGTTGTGTTTTGAAATATGAGGACAGGAGATATGTAATGTATTAGTTCATTCTCATGCTGCTAATAAAGACATATCCAAGACTGGGTAATTTATCAAGGAAAGAGGTTTCATTGACTCACAGTTCAGCATGGCTGTGGAAGCCTCAGGAAACCTCCGATCATGGCAGAAGGGGAAGCAAACATGTCCTTTTTCACATGGCAGCAGGAAGGAGAAGAATGAGGACCAAGCAAAGTGGGGAGCCCCTTATAAAACCATCAGCTCTCATGAGAACTCATTCACTATCATGAGAATAGCATGGGGGAAACTGCCTCCATGATTTAATTACCTCACACTGGGTCCCTCCCACAACACATGGGGATTATGGGAACTACAATTCAAGATATGATTTGGGTGGGGACACAGCCAAACCATATCAGTTACCAATGCTAGTTTCAAAGTATCCTACTGTCAAGGACACTGATTTTATTCCAAGACTATATTTTATTGCTTCTTCTGCATACATGATTTATTTTTCTAAAGATGTCTTTATTACCATTACTCTAATTCCCATGTAAACTGAATATTTAAAAGCTACTCAGTCTTGCCTGCTTTCTCTGCCTATAAAAATTCCAACTTGATCCTTTGTCATTGTATTTGGTCTGAAGAACAAGATAAACCCTTAACAGAAATTGACCCTGGGTTCCGAGTCTTCTTGGAGACAAATTGAAAGGCTGTTGACCCTGGACTTCAAGCTCTGAATTCCTCAGAGTCACAGGATTATCCCAGGCATCTAGCTGATGAAATCTCTGCACTTCCACAGGGGCAAACCAGAGAGTTGGTAGGTAAAACCAAAAATCACAGGCTCCACTTGGCCATGTACTAGCTGTAAGTAATATCTCAGATTTAATAACATAATCTCATAATATAATGGGACTCATCAAAATGCATATAAAACATTTTATAAATTGTAAAGCAGTATACAAATACTAGTTCTTCGTGTAACGGGAAGTATATTTCACCACTCTCCCACTGGGCACTTTAGCTACCACTTCTAGCCCTGTCACTGCCTCCAACCATTTAGGCGTTCTGCGCACTCTCCTCTATTCCTCCATATCCTTCTCATGGAAACTGTGTTGTCCACATAGAGTGGGTAAGAGGAAGACTGACTAAATGTGAGGCACACTTAGGTCACATTCTACTGGATGACCAGTATGAGTAGAGAAGGCTGAGGATGGGAGAACCTGTCCAGAGTAGATGGTCTGGGAACAGTGACTGGTCCCCATCCTGCTTCCTGATGCAAACTCTAGATGTTCCTTGCTCAGGCCTGCATTGTTACTTTAATTTATCCATGCCACTCCTCCCTCGTCTTTCTTCTATACTATGGAATCTTCATCTATTCTCAAGCAGGGAAGGCCTGGAGAAGTTACACTGGACCAAATAATCTTCCAGTTATTTCCAAGTTTTCAAAGCTAAAGAGTCAAGAGTTTGAGTGCGCTCTTCTCTGACCCTCTGTGTTGACATTCCTCGAGTTAATGGATAATGCACATTTAGATGCCTGGTAACAGGAAGGGCTTCAGACCTCAGGTTCAAGGGAAATGGACTGAGGGAAACATATATGTTGACACTTCAAAGTATTATAACTACTTGAAGTTCTGGTCGATACTTAATTCATAGTGGAGAAACTTTTGCTACATTATAAGGCAAAAATCACAAGGTGAAACTCACTCTGTGTAGGTCATTTAATGTAAAATTAGTCACAGAGGCTCCAGTGGGGAGCAGAAACCTGGTACCATCTTGCCCTGCTAGTATCAGCTGTGTAATCTGGGGCTGATCCCTGAACACCAGTAGGTGGCTGAATAATAGCCCCCTAAGATATCAGGTCCTAATCTCTTGAATCCATAAGTGTTACCTTATATGAAAAAAGGATTTTTGTAGGTATGATTATATTGAAGTTCTCGAGATGAGGAGTTTATCTTGGATTATCTAGGAGGACCCTAAATGCAATCACAAGTGTCTTAGTCCATTTGTGAGGAGACTGGGTAATTTATAAAGAACAGAATTTTATTTCTCATATTTATAGAGGATTGAAAGTCCTTGATAAAAGTGTTGGCAGGTTTGATGTCTGATGAGGGCTGCTCTCTGCCTTCAAGATAGTGCCTGTTGCTGCAACCTCCAGAGGGGACAAATGCTGTATCCTCACATGGTAGAAGGAATGGACAGGTGTGTACCCACTCCCTAAAGCCCTTTTATAAGGGCCCTTACCCCATCCATGAAGGCTCTGCCCTCATGACTTAATCACCTGCTAAAGGTTCCACATCTTAATATATCACATGGGTTTGATTAAGTTTTAACATATGAATTTTAGGAGACACAAACCATAGCAACACATATCTTTATGAAACAGAGGCAGAGGGAGATTTCAGACACATGGAGAGAAGACAATGATGTGAAAATGGAGCAGAAAGTGACTCAAAGATGCTTACACTGCTGGCCATGAGATGAAGGAAGGGGCCATGAGACAATCAACAGTAGGAATGCTCACAGCCAGCAGAAGCTGGAAAAGGCAAGGACCCAAGTTGTCCCCTAGAGCATCCAGAGGGAGTGTAGCTGTGTAAATGCCTTGATTTTGGCCCAGTTCTGCTGATTTCATACTTCTGGCCTCCAGAACTGTGAGAGAATACATTTCTGTTGTTTTAAGTTTGTGGTAATTTGTTATAGCAGCCCTGGGAAACTAATACATACTTTTGAGTCCAAGTTTCCCATTTTCTGAATTGGAGGTGAAAGGGAGAACAGATCAGTAATTCTCAACTCTGTATACACAAGAGACTCAGTGGGAGAGCTTATGAAATATTCTGATAGGGGCCACTTCCAGAGACTCTGATTTAATACTCTGGGGTGAGGCCTGAGTATCAGTATTTATAAAAGTTCTCCAAGTGATTATAATGGTGCAGCCAGGCTTAGGAGTCACTAGACTAGCCTATATGGTCCTTCCCACATCTAACTTGCTTAGCGGTCTGAATATGAGATAAGAGATTACTAGAGAAGACAAGACAAAAGAAAAAACACCCAGGAGAAACCAAGAGAAGACTGAGTGGTATGTAAGAAAGCTAGAGGGCACCAGAGCAAATCTAGCTTTTCTCCTTGGTATTTGCTAGCCTTCCTCTCCTGGGGAGGGTGTAATCGTCTCCCCCAACAGTAAGGAAACATTTTAGATATACGTGACTTCCAGAAGAACTGCATCAAATGGTCAGCCAATTTACTTTTGTGCTCTGCCAGAATAGAAACGAAAGGACCAGCAGAAATTCAAAGAACTTTCTTTCTTAATAATTCATTAATCCATTCATGAAATTAGAGGGCTATTCAACAGTCGGTCATTCAACAAATATGTATGAGGAATATACTGTGTATCAGGCACCATTCTAGGTGCTTGAGATCTAATAGTAAACAAAATCCAGAAAGATTCTATTTTTCACAGGGTTCTAGGAAGAAACATTCTGTGATGAAAAATACATTGGGGGTGTGGAATAAGAAACGAGGTTGGGGGAAGGCGTGGTAGTGCCCATGCTTGGACAAGAAGGCCTCACTGAAGATAAATTGCAGCACAGCCCTGAAGTGGAGAAGGGCAAGAGCCATGGACATCTGGTTAGAGAGCTTCCCAAGCACAGGGAACAGCAGCACTGATGGCCAATATTTTCAGTAAATCTAGAGAATCAGCTATTCTCATAACTTGATTAAAGAATCTATGTATTTCCTTCTGCTTTGCTCTATTTCAAAATGCTTTGGAAATGGAAAATGGAGCTTGTTTAATTCCAAGTAGAATGGAGCATGGGGAATACTGCTTTGATGAGGAATTGGTTCTACCAATAAGACTCTTCTTTACCCTTTTTTTTTTAACCAATAAAGACAGGAAAGGGAACCTTTTCAAACAAATACCCCAAAACTAAAAGTTAAGCTATTGTGGGGCTTTGGTCTCCAAAGGGCAAATTCCTCAACAAGAAGCTCAAGGGAGGAACAGTGACCAGGGTGGCCGAAGACCTTGAGCTCCACACAGATTTCCTTGCTGTGATGTGATTTTCCTTTTACATTTTTGGACCAGTCCCCTTTCCAATTAGGGATCACAGCTGCTAAGAATAAAGTGGTGTCTGTTTAACTGGCAGAAGGCACAATGGCCCACTCAAGCCATCAGTGGGAGTCGTTGTTCGAGAAATATTGCCATTGAGATTTTCAAAATGCTAATGAAATTAATTTCTCTTTCAATGTTGATTGTCACCCAGCTCCTTTTAGAAAAATGAAGGAGGGGTTTTAATTTTAATTATAGTGGACCAAAAACATTTCTCATGAAAATACAGATTCAGAATTTTAAAATTGCCAGGAACTTTTGATATTATTTATTTAACCAACTCATGTGTAGAAGAGAATGCAGCCCAGGAGGCTGAGACACTTGGTAACAGCAACACTGCTGCTGAATGGCAGAGTTGGAACTAAGACCCAGTCTCTTCCATCTCCATCCTGCTTTCTTTCCACTATAGCAGGCTGTGCCATCAGAAATATTTGTTAGCAATATCTGTAATTCACCATCAAATTTTCTTTGCCATGAATGAGTGCCAAGTAAGTATCTTCCTCCAGCAAATTTTCTTACTGCTCAAACATGAAATCTAGGAAGATTTCTCATGGCCTTCTCCTCACTGAATCAACACTACCTTTTCCACTCAAGCAAGGGATGTCCTACACTGGACAGCCTAGGGGAAATCAAAGGAATGTATTCCTTTAGTTGGAGGCATGTTTCCTGGTGGAGCATGTTCTGTGGCTTATGTGGACTTTAGGTCTCAAGACTAAAGATTCATGAGTTCATCCTTTTCAGGTAACCTGATGAGCAGTTTGTTGCTGGTAAATCACTCCTTCCAGATAGCTGAGGGTGCTTCAGCCATCTGAATGAAGTGCCCTGAAGACTGCACACACAATAAGCCTCTTTTTAAAAGAAGATCCCAGTCCAGGCCTGGTGCCTCACACCCGTAATCCCAGCACTTTGGGAGGCTGAGGTGGGAGGATCTCTTGAGTCCAGGAGTTCAAGAACAGCCTGGGCAACTTAGCAAGACTCTGGCTCTATAAAAGAAAAAAAAATTAAAGAGAATTCCTCTAACAATCTGGAAAATAAAAGCATGATTCAGTCCCCACTTAGATTAAGCAAACTCTACTTTATCTAAATGCCCATAATTCTGCTGTGATTACCGGTAAACATGACCCTGGTTTAGACAGGAAGCTTTAGCACATAAAAAATTGCAATGAACTTGAAATGTAGATAATTTTTGTTTTTAAGGACTTCCATTCAGTCATTTATTCAACAAAAACATTAAGACCTACTAAAAGCCAAGCCCTATACTAGGCAATAAGGAATAATCTTCAGCTAAAATAGATTTCCAGTTTTGCCATGATTTACAGTGTGACTTTTGAAAAATTCATTTTCTATCTCTTTGCTTCAGTTTCCTCATCTTTAAAGTGAGAAATTTTAATACTTGCCTCGAGATCTTAACACACAAAATGTTAATACTTTACAAACTGTAAAAGTTTCAAATCAAAACAAAGATTTGTAAATACTGTATAATCAATCCTTTTGGAGGATGTTTATAAATAATAGTAAAGTGCCAGGCACTTGTACTAGTGTCTCAGCTCGCACTACTGTAATAAAATGCCTCAGACTGGGTGGCTTAAATAATAGACATTTATTTCTAATCTGGAGTCTGCAAAGCTCAACATCAAGGTGGCAACCAATTTGACTCCTGGTTAGGGATCTCCTCCTGGCTTATAAAAGGCCAGCTTCTTTCTGTGTCTTCATATGGTGAAGAAAGCGAGAGAGCAGGGGTCTCTCTTTGTCTTCGAATGAGGACATTAATCCTATCCCCACCCTCACCACCTCATCTAAACTTAATTACCTCTCAAGGACATCACTTCCAAATACTATCACACTGGGGTTTAGGGCTTCAACATATAAATTTGGGGGGCACACTAGGATCATTTATGCCTTCCTGAATCCTCCCAGGTAGGCAATATTATTTTCATAAAACCAGCAGTAACTGAGATGTACCAAGGGAAAGTGTTTGCCCAAATTCCTAACGCTAGGAGACAGAGGATCTGGGAATCAAGTCATGTCTGTTCACTGTTGACTCTGAAGGCTCTAGTGGGAAAGTCATACATATATGACTTCTACAAAACAGTCCTGACTACCACTGAGCAGGAGGGAATAAATGGCTATGAAACTCTTGGAGTAAACTAACCCAACTGGTTCATAAAATTTCATGCACTTACAATGATGTACATCCCCTGCCCCCAGCAATAGAAATTGTCTCCCAAGGCCAAATGCCTTATCTCTTGATATAAATTCCAGAACCATCAAAAGCAATAATGGAAATCATATCTCCAGGTCAATCAGTCTACAAATTTGACAGCTTTATCAAGACATGTTTGGTCTCTACTATCAAAAAGAATTTTTTGTCTAGGGCCAGGACATTTTAGCATGATAAACTCAGATAAATAAAGTTTACCTGAGGCTCCTACAAAGAATTTCAGGAATTGACCCTATTTTCAGGCCTAGACACTTGTATTTTTTTTCTATCAAAAGCAAAAAAATGAAAACAAAAGCCTGAAACACTAACAAAATTTCAAATTCAATAATTTCTTTAGAATATTAAACATCCAAGAAGAATATGAGGACCCAAAACTTTCTGGGGTTTTCTCCTTTTTTTTTAAGGTAAATCAGTGGTCCTACGTGCAAAAGCTGAAATCAACCTCTCAAGCACCTTTGACTTTTAAGTGAGTAGGACATTTTGTTCAGTACTTGCCTGACAAATTCGTGGCCATACTCTTGTTCCCAAGTAATAATCTAAATCCTAACCTGGGGCCACCTTGAAATGTTAGTTCCATTACGTCTTAGGTAGCAGAGAGAGGTTAAGGGAGACAAATCAACCCCTCAAATGTGATTTTCTGGCCACTGGCATTTTCCCGGAGCCTGAAACAAGGTCATCAAGTTAGGAACACACCAACTGAAAAGAGCAAAAAAGCAAACAAAGACTGAAGCAAAGGGCCAAGGCCACAGAGCAATAGTTGAACTCGGTTCCAAATAACTGTTCAGAACCAGTGTTAACGACACTCTTTCCCAATTCTGAGAGTGACTTTGATTTAATTCATTAGAATAATTCAATTATGCCATTTCTATTTTTCAGATTTTTTTTCTTTGCTTTGTGTAGTCCATCTGCCAAACTGCAGAGAGCCTCATTCAGGCTCACTGAACATATGCAGCTCACTTGGCCCCCACATATGCAGCATGTGTGTCATACTTATCATGTCACATAGTCCCAAGTTGGATTTATACATGTTCATTACTGTGTTGTGAAATGTGTAAAGACATTTATATTACTTCTTACTCATAGTGAACCCTGTATATGTTCTATCTTTTTCTGTTTAGCCTTAAAACAACCTTGCAAAGTAGCTGAAAAAGATACCATCACTCCCATTTTACAGATAAAAAACTATTAATAAGATTCAAGAGATTCAATGACTTGCATGATAAAGGCTAGTAGGTTCAGTGAGGTGTTACAGGAAGAAGATGGACTCTGTAGCTGAGTGGACCTTGTACTTACCACCTACTTTTCCTTCCTCTCTTTTTCCATTCCTCTATTCTCCACTTTTCCCCAGCAATCAATAACTACCAACTGTTTGAATTAAGCCAGGCAGACATTAGGTTCTGGCAAATCTGTGGTACTACTTCTTTTCCAATAATCCAAAAACAATAATCCCAAACGTGACCTGTGTCAAACTTGAAATTTTAGCTCCATTTCATCTTACCCAAAACCTGATCTTATCCTACATCTTAGCTACTACAGGTATTTTGCTGGCTATTGTGAATAAATGTGTATGCTGTTCAATAGTGCGGTACACATAATTTGTACCATAACTGTGACTGTCATAATCACTTAAGTATTCTTTGTCTCTAAGTAACCTTGAGAACAATGATTTAAGGAAACAATGTTTGGGGTAAATGAAAAGCTGAGCAGAGTTCCATGTATGAGAATGACTCCCGGGGAGCCTGTAAAAGGGAAGTGACAGCAGTTTCACCCCCTTGGTTCCAGCAAGCCACCATTTTTTTCAACTCCCTTACAATCCAACTACTGTTTTTTGTTGTTGTTGTCAGCAACAATGCTAAGTCTTAACTGATGTCTTTAATCACATGGCCCCAAGCAAGCTTCTGACCCCCATATTCTTCGTTCAGGAAGTGAAGAAACATACCCAGTTGCCTTAATGTAAAGGCTGAATAAGACTGTGTCTGAAAACAATCAGCATTTTTATGATTAATATCATTAGCAAAGGTCAGTGGGTGGGGAAGTGGGAGATGTAGAGAGATAGGAGAAGAAGAAGGAGAAGCAGTAGCATGGGAAACCTACAAAAATGTGTCTGTAAGTCAATTACTGATTTCCACATGTAGTTCCTCCTAGAGGAGAAAAAAATTAGTCTTTCTTAGGATATGCAGAAAGACATGCTAGTTCTGCCAGATATTAACAAGTGTTACTAGAAAAAAAAATGGGACCTATAATCCTAGCACTTTGGGAGGCCAAAGTGGGCAGTTGCTTGAGCCCAGGAGTTTGAAACAGCCTGAGCAATGTGGCCAAACCCCATCTCCACAAAAAAAAAGTTACCCAGGCATGGTGGTGCATGCCTGTAGTCCTAGCTACTAGGGAGGCTGAGGTGGAAAGATCCCTCGAGCCTGGGGAGGTCAAGGCTGCAATGAGCCATGATCTCGCCACTGCACTCCAGCCTGGCAGACAGAATGAGACCTGGTCTCAAAAAAAAAAAAAAAAAAGGAAAAGAAAAAGAAAAAGAAAAAAAGGGGAGTGGGACAGGAGAGAGAGAGGGGGTTGGAAGGTCCAATGGTCAATACTGGACTAAATAAAATTTAAGAATTTCTATATATATGACCTTTAATATGTGAATAAGAATGGATAGACAAGACGACTACAGATATGTTGGATTTACCAAATGGATATGACTGTGGAAACATTTTCTCAGAATCTATTTCACAGAATGTTCTATAGAACACAGTTTGCTCAATTACATCTGCAAAGAAACAAAAAAGACAAGAACTTGGGACAAAATGCAGTTGAATTTCTCACATTTATGTAGTAACTTACAGTTAATCAAATACTTCACTGATACAATCTCAATGTATGATGTTTTAGTCTCACTGTCCTTTGAATTTTACCTAATTCCATGTGGTTCTCAGTTAAAGTAGCTCATGAGCTATGTAAAAAACAGCAGAATCCTTTCTCGGTCTCCCCTCAATTTTTCTCATTCTTTCCATTCCTACTTTTTCTCCTTTTTCTTAAAGACTGGATACAGGGCTGAAGGGAAAGCCACCTCCATTCTAGACTCCACACAGGTCTTGCAGTTTTTCCTCTTCCACTAGGATCCTAAGTAAGGGGAGTACGGGGAGTGCTAGGAGTGCAGCTAGTTATTAGTTCAATGTATGTTTATTGAGAATGCAGCATGATTGGAAATGCTGGGAGGAAAAAACAACAAACTAGGACTATGTATAAAGGTAAATCCAAGTTAGATTAACGTCTCAGTTTCACTCCTGCTACTGGACAAGAGATAGAGACAAAAGAGTAGTCATCTTCTACTACTTTATATCATAAACATTGCTAGATCTGGTTTCCCTGATTAAGAATAAAGCCAGGTGAAAAAAAATCATCTGGTAATCTCTACATCATTTTTACTAAAGTGGCAATGTTTTTAGGAAATAGTATCTGTTGTTTGCCTCCCAGCCTTTCTTTTTCTTTTTTTTTTTTTTTTGTTTTGTTTTAGAACCATGCCTTTCCTTATTTCCTTAACTCTTGGTTCATACGGTTTGATAGAACTTCATCCCCTTGGATCAGGGAGGACACACAGGAAGAGAACTCCATCCTTGGGTCACAGGATCAGCTGAGGGATCAACACTTGATGTCAGCAGGTCAGAGAATGTCAACGTTTGCTGAAACTCTCAGGAAAAAGGAATTTATGTTCTCTGTGATTGTGATCTCTATCTGTGAGAGTGAGGTAAACCTGGAAATTCTGGTGACCATGTTAACCATCAATTAGAAATGGTTTCCTGAGAGTAAATCCCAAAGTGAGGAAGACAGAGCTGAGAAAGAGAGAGAACTAGGCAATTTCCTGACGGCATTATTTGCACAACTGGATTTAGCCCTCCTGAAGCTAGAAACCTTCTGAAGTTTTAAGGTTTTTTTGAAGGGTTCAGGCTTTACACAATGGTCTCAGCTACAATCTTTTGTTTCATACGAGCCCATTTTCTCCTGAGCCAGTGTGTAAGCCTAGCACCCTAGGTTACCAAGGCAAGAAGCACCCACTCTAGGACTTGCACAGTTTGACGATATTGACACACTCTTTTATAGCTCTCTGGGCATCCAGTGTCTTCCCTTATTTACTGATAATCTAAGTTATGCTTTCAAAAGATATAACTAGCACTATGAGGTGTTTTTGTTAGGAGAGTTTCAGGTTGTCTATTTGACGATGTTTCCAGATATAAAAGTGTAACTATTTTTTTAAAAAATATGTTTTCCGGCCGGGTGCGGTGGCTCACGCCTGTAATCCCAGCACTTTGGGAGGCCGAGGCGGGCGGATCACGAGGTCAGGAGATCGAGACCATCCCAGCTAAAACGGTGAAACCCCGTCTCTACTAAAAATACAAAAAATTAGCCGGGTGTAGTGGCGGGCGCCTGTAGTCCCAGCTACTTGGGAGGCTGAGGCAGGAGAATGGCGTGAACCCGGGAGGCGGAGCTTGCAGTGAGCCGAGATCCCGCCACTGCACTCCAGCCTGGGCGACAGAGCGAGACTCCGTCTCAAAAAAAAAAAAAAAAAAAAAAAAAAATATGTTTTCCATGGTAAAATATAGGTTGTCTTCTTTCTGACACAAATAGCCATTGAAAAGCTGTATTGCAACTGGATGACAACTGGCAAAGGGGAAATATAATTTTCCTGTTTATCCCTCTTTGTTTCTCAATGTACTTCTGTTAAGCTAGAGGTCTAAGAGCAGAGAACATATTTTTATTTGAGCATTCTGAGTCAGATTAATTAGTCCATGTTTTCAAAATGCTTTTTGAGATGAAATCTTTATTCATCAGCAAACCTGGGGGTTTTTTTTGTTATCATAATGATAGCACCTTTTAAAGATGCTAATTGGCCCACCTGCCATGAAAGAACAACTTCACCTTTGCATTTAATGACTAGAGACAACATACCTAGGCATCCTATTTATTAATTCACAAGTTAAAACTTCATAGGCAAGAAATATACACTTTTACTGTTATAATAGCAATGAAAATTCACTGCAATGAAGGAGGGCATTTTGTCAACGCTGTGTACCTCCTGAAAACAGAATGTTGCTTATGTGGGTGCCACAAGGGAAAACCCATTATTCTCATTGTTTCCATATCATTGTTTCTAAATATATGAGAAATATTTCCATATTTCTCAGCAGAGTAGACCTTATTGAAGTAGTCCAATCTCAACAACTGTCCTATGAATATTGCTTTATGCCATTTCTATTCTATTTTTATAGATGGGAAAGAGTTGTTTGTATTTTTAGCATTTAAATAAAACCTGGATCGTATCAGGTTGATGCAAAAGTAATTGCAGTCGTTTCCATTAAAAGAAATGGCCAAAATTTCCATAACTTTTGCACCCATCTAATAAAAACACAAATTCAAAAATAATATCAAAAGCCAGACTTAAAGAACGTAAGTATTTAGCAATCTGAACAGTAATGAAAAGATTTCTCTCAGGTTCGTTTCCATAACATGCAAAGAGAAAATATTATGTTCTCTGTAACATTACCCAAATATTCTTTGGCATTTTTTCTAAATTATATTTTTATCCATGCTGTATTTTTTTGGATATCAGATGTTTGATAGGGCATTTGAAATGAGTTAATTTTTTTCCCAGGAACTAAAATTATTTTTTATAAATTTTTCTTACAGAATCAAAACTATTTGGAAGTCAACATTAATAGCCCTGTCATCTGAGAAAACAGAGAGATCTATAAAAAAACTATCATAGAACACCAAGTATTCCACAGCTGTTTAAGCTTTAAATCTAAAAGTAAAATGTTCATGACACTTGCTTGAAAAGTGAGTTACAGAAATAAATTTAATTCAAATGCCTCTTTTTTAAAAATTAGTTTCGAAGCCTTTGTTCCATAATAGATGGCCCGATACATGTGCAATTCACTAGTTGCAAACATTTGGGGATTCTGGGTTACTTCTCTTGTGGACCAAGGTACCCTTGAATAAACTGAAATACTCATTCAGTAAAATGACACCCCAGAGTCAGAAGAGCCAAGGGAGCACTGAAAAGCACCTAAATTATTATTCTCAACCAGATTCTATCTCAGGCTAATCTATCTGGTTCATACATAGAATGAGTCTAACTGAAATCTTTGAAAGTCTGATGATATATAATGTGGAGAATCTGGCTTCTAAAGCAGTCTTATTTCTTAATTTTGAAAATAAAACAGGTTGGTTTACTAGTTTTTATACAATCCTATTATCCATAGTTTATCCACTATGTCTAAATAAGAAATTTATAATAGCTGGGCAAAGAAACTCTCTACCATCAAGGAAGGTATTTAGAAGTATTTTAGGGGGCTTCACGTATGTCTGTAATTTAAGACTTGGAGTAAGGAAGAGGTGAATGTGACATGCCCTCTGCTCTCAATAGTCCCAGGTCTGAGGAGAGGCGGATGTGAATCTGCAGTTATAAAGCAGCATAACAAGTGCAATGACAGGACACTCTTCCAAGTGCCTTAATGGCAGAAAGAAAGGAGTCATCAACTCCACTTGGGAAGCCCCGAGAAGACTTCCAGAGGAGATGTTTGCACCAAGATTGAAAGATGAGTAGGAGTTCTCTCCACAGACAAGAAGGACAAGGGGAGTCCCAGCAGAGACGTGAAATATAATGGCAGTTTGAGGGAACTGTGTACTTTCAGTAGGATTGGAGCGTTAAGTGTACTGAAGGAGGTGGTGTGAATTAAGGTTCCAAAGACACACATGTGCGTGTATTTACACTTTAGTATTTCAGTCATTTTTAAAAAATGAACAAATAAAAATAATGGTTTGATACATTGAGTTGAATCACAAATATACAAATAAATATATATCATTACAATTAATTTCACCTGTTTCATGTGGCTCCCACTTGGGGGTTGTATTATATATTTATATATTTTTATTGGGCAGCACTCTAGACTATGGGCTTCTCGTTTCTGCACCTTCTGTGCCTAATATGGTTCCTGTCACATAGTTTAATACCACACTCATCAAGAAACAACAGAAGGAAACAGAAGAGCTGTGGAAGATTCTGTAACACAGTGAAGGCAGTTGTTATCAAATGATTTCTCACTCAACAGTGGTGTTCTTGGACTGATATGGTGTGATCCGCTACTGAAAGATAATAATAGTCATCTTTTCTCAGTTTTGGCGGGTGGTGGGGGTGTCAATAAAAGGATTTTCTTTCTTTTCTTTTTTTTTTTTTTTTTTTTTTGTATTTTTAGTAGAGACAGGCTTTCACCGCGTTAGCCAGGGTGGTCTCGATCTCCTGACCTCATGATCTGCCCACCTCGGCCTCCCAAAGTGCTGGAATTACAGGCATGAGCCACCGCACCTGGCTAGATTTTCTTTAACTAGTATTTTTTGCCCATGAATTTTTATTAAACCTTCATAAAATAAAGTAAATAAGAAGCATAGTCAATAAGAAAAATGGAAAATAGCCCCCCTCTATCAAACATCGGGAGCTTCTTCAGAAGCAGTATTCCGGGTCCTTCTACAACTTATTTCTAAACCTCTTCCATTTCAGTCCAGTTGGCTCTCAGCTTCTGACCTTTGATTGCCTGCCTTGTTTGGGATCTTCTGCCCTTTGGACAGAAGTCAATATTTAGCTTTGCTAACCTTGATGTTTGATGCTACTCTAGATCTTGATTGTCTTCCCCTTCTGGCCTTGGGTAAGGGAATCATACCCTAATTTTGGCCTCTTGGCCTTCTTAGCAAATTCTAAATTGTACCCACAGAAACATAAGGTGTTAGGCCAAGAAGACTTTATTGCTTTGAGCACTTTGCCTTTGAGAAGTGTGAATCATTCCTAATGAAATGGGCATTGGTTCCCATTGATCTGGGGATGCCACAGATAACATTTTCATACTCCCTACAAGAAGGCAGAAAAGTTTATGCCCAAAATTCATGGTGGTTAGGAGCTTTGGAGAGTTATTGAGAATCTAAAAAGTAACCTGATTTCTGGTCAGAAGAGTGGGATGCTGAGGAAGAAGATTCACATCATGTGAAATGCATAAACTAAAAACTATAAGAAACATAACTTCCCTTGTCTTTTTTAAATTCAATTTAATTCTGATTCTCTACTCCATTCAACCAGGCTGGCAGAATATTCAATCTCGGACATTATATGGGTCTCCTGTCTCCCAGGTTTCCATCAGGATATAAAATACATAAACAATATCTTTTAAAAAAAAGAAAAGATATGGCCTTCTAATCTTTATGTGATGACCATTGATATCTCAGAGTCCAAGCCTCTGAGCTCCAGCCTCTCATGTTTATTAACTCCTGTGCCACTCAAGTGTCAGGAAACACTTTCTAAGGCTGGATACCTTCATGATACAGGTCCCACCTCCCCAGGCACTCATTATAGTCTTAACTTCTGAGTTCTGTATCCTCTTCAGGATACAGGGAGCCACATAGCAGTATATAGTATACACATCTATGCTAGTCTGGAAACACATAAATCTTTCTCCTCTTTTCCATTCAAAGGAATTTCTCTCCATTTCTTTGCCCTCAAAGACTTCACTGTTTCATCTCTCTCTCTGGGACATGATCTTTTTAAATACACATAGGATTTCACAAAAGACAAAAAGAGTTATTGACTCGAGGTTGCTTTTACTAAGGCTCTGGCTTCTACCAGATACCGGAAGCAAGATATGGTACAAGAGGTAAGAATAGAAAATACAAGGAGAAAAAAAGCATAAATGGATGTTTTAACCAATGAAGCTGAAAGAAGCACTATAAAAAAACCACAGATTTAGACAATGGCTTCTTTGTTTTTTTACCCTATCTCCAATAGCTAGTGTAGTACTTGGCTCAACAAACACAGATTGTATAAATGAATAATTGAATGAGTGAATGAATATTCAATGAGATTTATATTGACCCACCTTTCCTAAGGCATATCAAATTTAAGCTATCTCCATCATTTTCTCAGGATGCCCACCTAATTTGGTCTATCAATGTGGCAACTATCTCAATATAAAAGAAATAGACCTTGTTGTTACGGTCTGAACCTTCAGTGGTGCACGTGTCAGACTAGCAAGATGCAATCTCAGACATTTCAAACGTCTTCAACAAGCAAAAAGTTTGTGGGCCTCTTGTCTTTCCATTTTTGCATGAGGAACTTTGTTGGCAAAACTGGTAAATCTCCTTCCAATTTTAATATGAAAAGAGTCTGCAAATGACTGCTAGGCCAAAAGCCCCTGCAAAATCAGCTTCCATGTAGAGAAAAATAAATGAAAAGATAAGAGAGAGTGTGAGTGAGGCTCTGATGCCTTCAACATGTCCTCAGATTGACAGGACTCAATTTTTGCCTTACCCACTAAAAAATGATCTGCACTCATTACTATCCTTCCCTCCTTCAATCCCTCTTCCATATAAGAAATGTTTCCTCCCTTTTTGTTCTTTTTTTGTTTGTTTTAAACCTTTCCTCTGGTTCTGATTCCCCGTTTGTGAAAGCAAGCTCTTCTCTGTTTGGGATCTGTATTAGTTAGTTTTCCTATAATGTCAAACCCCAAAATCTTAGTGACCTACAATTTTAAAGTTGTACTTCTTTGTTGTATGTGTGTCATCGGTGGGACAGCTATGACTTCCTCTAGATTACAGTTCTACTGCACAAGTCTTCTCATTCCAGGATGCAGGCAGAGAAAGCAGACCCCAGGTAGAACACATCATCTTCACAGTAAAAGGGAAGAATAAGAGAACTGATGATGTATGTCAAGTCCACTCATATTCTTCTGAGTAAAGCATGTCAAATGGCCAAGCCCAAAGTCAATGGGATGGAGATATATAATCCTCTTAATTTTGCATAATAATGCAATTTGCCATAGGATCCATCTTGCTTCTTCTGGAATCCCCATCCATCAACGGTATTCTCTATGTTGTATCTCCAACTTGTCTCTCGCGTCACTCTCTTCCCTCCATATGTAAGCAAGCTTGGGACTTTTACACTAAAATAAACAACAATTAATCCTTCAAATTCAAGTTCCCTCTATTATCCAGTTACTCCTCTTTCCCCCCTCAAGATTCTTTTAAGAGCAATCAAAGTCTCCCATCTCTCTTCCCTCTTCAGCACACTGCATTGTGGCATTTCCCACCCTACCCACAAAACCCTGAAGTGGCTGTTGCCTAGGTAACCAATACTCTCCTAGTTGCTAAGTCCAGGGAGCACTTTTTCAGTCTTTATCTTCCTTGACCTCTTTGCCAAGATGAAGTGCTGTTGACCACTGCTGAGGCTATCACTCCTAGTGACTTTAATACATGCTCTCCTGGCTTGCTTCCTATTTTTATGGATGCAAACTCTAAGTATCCTTTGGAAACTGTGTTTCCTCCTGTTGTGGGTTTGTGGGGGCCCAATAAATAATACCTTCTTTTCTTGCAACTGGAAGACAGACAGGAAAGTCAGGCAAGTGGAGATAAAAATGTAAGCTATATTTACTGATGAAAGCTATATTGGAGATGTGGTTTAGTTGTGCAACGATAATGAATTTCCTAAAACTGAAACTCAAGAGTAGACATGTTTACTGAGTTGCAGGCAGTGGTAAACCCTCATAGGCCTCCTTATGGGGGCAGAAAATTTTTAATTGCTTCTCAAAGAGCTCTTTATAGGGAGGCAGATGCCAAATGGGATGGGGAAGAAAGGATTGAGCCTTCCCAGCTTTGAAAGGACAGTTCCTCCTTTCAAAGGCACCAAACTGATAAGCAACTCCTCTGCCCTCTAATTGACAGGGCAATGAGAGGTCAGGCTTGTTACTCCAACAGAAGTCCTGCAAGTCCCTCAGTGTGGAAATATGAGTCAGGGTGAAGGAGGCTCTGCCCTCACCCCACCCTCTGTCCCCCTCAACATCCATTTCTTTATCATTGGTGTTCTCCATATACATGCCAAGGCTACCATAACAAAATACCACAGACTGGGTGGCTTCAAGCATAGAAATTTACTGTCTCACAATTCTGGAGACTGGAAGTCCAAGGGCAAGGTTTCCAAAATTCGGTTTGGTTTCTCCCAAAGGTTCTCTCTTCAGCTTGCAGGTGGCTGCCTTCTTGCAGTGTCCTCACATGGCCTTCTCTCTGTGCTTGCACATCCTTGGCAACTCTTCCTCTTCCATTAAGGACATCAGTCATATTGGGTTACAGATCACCCTAATGGCATCATTTTCACTTACTTACACTTTAAAGACCCTAGCTCCAAATATAGTCAGATGCTGAGGTGCTGAGCATTAAGGCTTCGTTATACGCATTTGCAGAGGACACAATCCAGTCCATAACACCAAGATTTTATTCACTACTTTTTTCTCTACTGTAGCTACATGTTCTCTCCAGAATCTAATCTACTTATTTAGATTGAACTCTCACCTGGACACATAACTCAAATAACATGAATTTATTCTCTTTGGGAGTCAGGGATATTTAAGGAAAAATATATACAAGAGGGTGTGTCCAGGGAAGAAGACAACGGAAGGGACAATGAGCTTTCGGAAATCCAATCCAACACCAGGCCTTTGGCCTGAGCACAAAGAAAAAGGGGGCTATAAATGAAAATTAAAGAAGTTTTATCAGATTTTTGTTAAACCTCAGGCACAACCAGTTTGGTGCCCACTAGAGAAATGATGTTCCTGGGTTAGGAAAATAGGCAGTCTTTCCATTTCTTCAAGGGATATGCTGTGGCCTGAGGACAGTGAGGAGTATGTTGTCAATGGGTACTGCATAGCTTCAGGGATGCCCCAAGATGTTAGGCGAGCAAGGAAGCAGCATTATCATGATGAGTGCACATAGACATAGAAGATGGAGAGGCAGAACGTGACAGGTTCATCTCTTGTGAGACATTGTGGGGAGTCTTAGACTATGTCACTTGGAGCACAGACCTGAGGTACCACAGAATTGCAAAGGGGTGTCATGACCAGGAAATGTGGGTTTTAATTACAATGTAACTGTTTTTATGCTTGTTTGGGATGAGGCCTGGAAGGATGTGGGTTACACTGAAATGGCACACAGGCCCCACCTGTCTATCCTGCATCCTCTAACAGCATACCCCTTAGAGTCTACTGCCAGCCAGGACAAGTTATCTGGAACACCCAGAACTCACCTGGCTGCTTCTTGCTTCCATGTCATCGGCAATCTGACTTTTGTAATAAATGCCCTTCCCTGTCTTGCCCCACGATTATTACTCCATTTACTTTTGAAACCCTGCTCAGACATCACTTGGAGTGGGAAAAATTTTCTGAATGTCCCTAAATTTAATCTTTCCTTCTGATTAAAGGAAGGAGCATTCCATCCCTTTAATCAGAACTTCTATCTCTTTTCTTCTTTTATTGTTCTTCACTGACACTTGCATGGGCAGGGAGCATCCATGGAAAAGGAAAGACTTTCTGCTCTTAACTCTATGTGGTCTGGTCAGGACCCAGCACTTACACAGCAGTAGAGTTTCCAATCAAGATTTGTTGAAGTGAACTGAAGAGGAATGAACACAAGAATCTAGAAAATTCCCTTTATTTGCCTTTTAAAAAGATATCATGAGAGTAAAAAAATTTTAAGAAAAAAAGTAAAAGAAGAAAAATATATGCAGCACAGAAGGAAGTGTCTTTTAAAATATGTCTGTGTGTGTATGTGTGACATATATTCATTTATGTTAAGCAAAGCTCTGGCCTTTGAAAAGATAAATATCGGGATAATATAGAATGACATGAAGCCTTTCCCAGTATTTCCCATAGAACCATATAGCTAGGAGACAGCCTAAAGGTACCACTGATTTTCACATGGCAACGATGGCAAATTCTAAGGCACAGTGAAAAGACAGTAAGATAATGTTGAAACATACCCCATAAGAGTCATTCATTTGGTTTTTATATAAGGAGTGACTACTTGCTAAGAGGGAGCACTATTCTCCACTATTTCATGTTTCCCACTAGAAACACTAAAGTCACCCTCCTGGCCGCCTTCCCCACCCTGCAACCTCCTCCCCAGGAAAGAAGTGATGTGTCTAACTGAGCAGTCTGGGAGAAGGCACAAGCCTATTCTATTCCTTAACAGCTACGGGGCAAGCTCTGCTGTTGGGGGAGGCCTGTCTTGCCCCAGTAGTACCTGTGACTGAGTGGGAAGTTGTATCTAATTCCGGAGTTCAACATTAGGAAGCAACATCCTCAACCTGTGGGACCCCCTAAAACTCCAGCCCTGCTACATCATGTTCACTGCGACAGCCATATGGTCTCCTCCCTCAAGAAACTCATGGTTCGCAGTAGGGGCCAGACACATGAATATATAATTACAACATAATGTGGTGAGTAATGATTGAAATAAGCATGGGCACTGTGCAAGCACAGGAGAAAGTCACCTGATCCAGCTTGGGGAGGTCAGGGAATGCACAAGCAGCAAGCTGAGTGTTCAGTGATAATTAAAAGTTAGCCACCAAAATAGTAAACAGCAACTGCCATTTATTGACCAATTACCATGTTCCAGGATGCATGGTACGTCACTTTACATAACCTAGCTCAATGAATCCTCACAACAGTCTGTAAAATACGTTCTTACTTGCATCAGAACAATGGGAAAATGAAGACTTAAAAATTATTTTTCGAGTCACACAACTTTTAAGTGATGACGATGGAGGCATGCATTTTTTTGGTGCTTAAAATCAGGATCTGGCAAACTTTTTCTATAAAAGGTCAGATAATAAATATTTGGGGCTCTGTAGGTTATGCGGTCTTTGCTGCAACTACTCATAATTCTGATGCTGTGGTGTGGAAATAGCCATAAACTATACATAAATCAATAAGTATTGCTGTGTTCCAATAATACTTTATTTACAGATAATTTCAATTTGAATTTCCTATTATTTTCCAGTGTCTTCCTGAAATCTTCTTCTTCTGACTTTTTCCAACTATTTAAAAAGGTAAAAGCCATTCTCAACTGTACAAAAGCAGGCTATATACCAACAGGTAGCAGGTCAGATTTGGCCCATGAGCCAGTGATTCTCTGTCTTTGCCTTGAGTCATTTTATGCCCAAGTATCTGATTCTTTCCTGCAGTTTTTCTCCTCAATTGTGACGGTTGAGATCTTTGTTGTCTTTGTTTTTACTAAAGTATAAGTTACTGGATTTTCTTCGATGTCTTCTAAGGTAGAAAATAATTTGTCTTCCTAGACTGCACTTAGCTCAAAGTAAGAATGTTATAGCTTATGGGGGTGCCAATTAGAACTCATTACAGTAGGTCTGCCCTGCCATTAATCTGAAATATTTGGGAAAACTTTACCTCTTGTTCTTTCAGCCTTGAACTTTGTTTGGTTTCCGTTTGGTTTTCCCCTCACTATTCTCCAGCACATCCCTCTAAGAAAGCCATTCCTTTATAGGTACAGATGAGAAAACCAATAAGTAAAATGATGACTTCAGAAAATGACCCTTCAGTTTCATACCATATGGAAGTGCAGTGAACATGAGAACATTCCTTAGTTTCCCAAAGATGAGAAGTTAAAAGCCCTTGTAGAAACTGTGGCACGGAAGCCCTCTTGTAGGAAAGGCTCTAATAAAGTAAAATTGTCAAAGCTCAAGTTTGACCCTTGTAAAAATTGTGGAGGGAGTGGAACTTATTTTCTCAGCACTTTCCATCCTTGCCTAGAGTCCCTATGCCTGCTCAATATCTGCCTACCCACTCTGCACCCTTAGGTGCCCAGTGTCCTCAAAGCACCCTTTGTCAGCTACTTAGATCAAAGTCATAAGCAGAATAGTATTCTGTCTTTCAAATCTGTGGGATGAGAACGCTGTCTTAACATCCAGGAATGGGTCATTTCTGACAGAACTGCTAGTTGCCTACTCTAAAATCCCTTCTCCCCCCTTTTTTTTAGTAATAGAAGCTTACATTGTTACCCAGGCAAGTGACTGTCTGAAATATACTTTCCCAGCATCCTTACCTGTGAGATTCCTTAGCTGTGAGCAAATGATTAAGTTCTAAACAATGACATTTAAGGGAAACTTCTGTTTAGCAGCTTTCAAGAAGCATATTTAGATATCTGGTATGCAGCCCCTCTTTCCTCTCTTTTTGCCCCATTCTTCCTGGAGTATGGATGCTGTGGCTGAAGCTCCCAATAGCCATTGTGACCGTGAATATGAAGGACGGATGCAAGGGATGGTGGATGGAGAGCTGGAAGGAAAGTTGGTCTGATTTCATACAGCCACAAGTTAGCTCTGGACTACTCTAGATTTCTTTTATATGGGCAAAAACATAAAGATAAACCTTTATCTTATTTAAGCAATTTGCAGAGGGTTCCTATTATATGGCTCCACCTAACTCTAACTCTAATTTGATACAATAATCAAATTAGGCAAACCCATGTGGGAAGAAATATTATCTCTCTGGCTTTTTGAGGCAGTTTAACTTATATACCATGAGGTACTCAGCGGCTGGTAAATATGAGCACAGAAACCTCCAAGGCTGTTACAGCAATTTCCTGGCTCTTACTTGTCAGTTCCAGGTCAATCCTCAGCTCAATTCTGGACTTAGGGGTCTTTATCTTACCTAGAGAGACAAGGTAGGATAAAGGTCAAGGGCACAAACTCTAGACTTCCCTCGCCCATACCTGCTTAACCACTTCCCAGCTGTGTGTCTTAGAGTATATTAGTTCTAACCTCTTTATGCCTGAGTTCCCCAGCATAAAAAAGATGACATGAATAGTAACTACCTCATAGGATTATTGTAAGTCTTAAATAAGTAAATGTATATAACATGCTTATTATAAAACATCATCTAGCACAAAGAGATGCTCCCTAAGTGTGTGCTATTATTATTCATGTTATTATCATTAGTACCTTTGACAATTTGGCCTTGATGTTGATAACAGTTGATATTCCTACTACAGGGTTTTGTTTTGTTTGTTTGTTTATTTGTCTTTTTGAGACAGAGTCTCACTCTGTCGCCAGACTAGAGTGCAGTGGCACAATTTTCGCTCACTGCAACCTCCACCTCCTGGGTTCAAGCTATTCTCATGCCTCAGCCTCCCAAGTAGCTGGGCTTGCAGGCGTGTGCCACCACATCTGGCTAATTTTTATACTTCTTTAGTAGAGATGGGGTTTTGCCATGTTGGCCAGGCTGGTCTTGGATTCCTGACCTCGGGCAATCCACCCATCTTGGCCTCTTAAATTGCTCGGATTACAAGCGTGACCCACCGTGCCCGGCCAGCTTTTCTTGTTTATTTTACCCCTTTAGTAGTTTATTTAAAATATTATTTGAACTATAAAAAATAAACATTAACTGTTAAAAATATTCAAGTTGGGTATAAGTCAATAAAGTAAAAACTAAAACCCCTTCCTACACTGGTCTTCCCACTCTCACTCCCATTGGCAACCACTGTTAACTCTTGCACATGTATCCTTTCAGATATGTTTCATCCATGAAGAATCACACAGAGACATGGAGAGAGAGAGAGAGAGAGGAAAATTCCTTTGAGTAAGATATGTCTTTTTGTTGTTTTATACCAAAAAAGTTCCTAGCATATGTGCTATTCTACTTTTTGCTTTTTTTGCTCAATATCATTTGGACATTTTAGAAAATGTTCCCCTGGTATTAGGGAATACCATATGCATCATAATTGTTTCCATACTCTTACTATTATTAAAAAATTGTTACAATGTACTTCCTTGCACAGTATCTTTGTGCACTTGTATGAGTACATCTGTCAGAAAAATTCCCCAAAATAGAGTAGCTGGGTCAAAGTGTATGTTCATCATAGATGTTGCTATAAAGCTCTCCAAAAGAAGTGTGCAGTCCACTGATAGGGAATTGGAGTTCTGTCTCCCCACTCTATCTTTAAGATTGGATGTTTTCAAATTTCTTAAATGGTTGCCAACCTAAGAGATGAAAAATAATGTTTTCATTGTTTTAATTTTTATTACAAATGAAGCTGAGAACCTTTCTGAAAATTTATTATCAGTTTTATTTCTTTTTTTATGGAATGTGTTTGATTTATGTTTTTCCCGTATTTGAATCTTGCCATTTCCTCAAGGACTCTGGGTTTCTGTGCTCTGGGCAGCCTCACATAGAGACTCCTGCTGCATTTCTGGTTTCTGACATTGGCCATTCAGTTGTCATCTTGGCCTGAGAGTCCTGGCTCCAAATGCCCTGTCCTAAATGGGTCAGGGAGGGAATTGAGGGGGCAGATTTAGACACACCAATCTGGGATCTCTAAGCAACAGCACAAAACATCGTAGCTCCTCTTTTCCAAAGCTTTGGCTCATCCATGAGGTGAGAGGATCAGTTATGTGGCTCTAGGCCTCTCTAAGCTGCCACGAGTCCTCACCCAAAGGTCCTGCGTCTCCAACAGCACAACATATCCTGGAGAGAAATGCTTGCTCTTTAGTGAGGACTACACAGAAAGCCCAATAAGTCCTACCATTCTACCGTCATGCCATGTCAGAATTGAATCCCTTTGGGAATGGTTGAGCGGGCCAAAGTCCTCCAGGAAATAAGGTCTCCCAAGCGTGGGGCCATGCTTAGTTCACAAGATGGGAATCACCTTCTAGCAGCAACTGCAGCTCCAAAATACTGAGGATGTAGTAGAGAAAGTGGAGGTCAGGAAACCAGCTCCAGCTCCACCACCTGTTAGTGTCACACTTTGGCACTGGAATTTAAGACTTTGGGCTTAAATTCTCTCATCTTCTACTTCTTCATCTGTGAATGAGGAAAGATTTGTCCTTTCTACTCAGAAGAGTTATTGTGGAGATCAAATGAGAGTGTATATTGTAAAAATATTTTATAAACTGTAAAGGGCTGTACAATTATGTTTATAGCTATTATATGTTATTATTGTTAATAGTAGTAATTGTCCTACCAGTAGCGGTAATAGTAGAGAAGTAGTTCTTTACTCCTCTATAGCAATAGCTTTCAAAGGCAGAAGAAGTTCCATGGTGGTCCCTCAGGAGCACTTTTGGAGGGGAAGGACTGTATCCTATGCACCTATATATTAACGAGGGCCCGGCCCAGTGTCTTTGCCTGAACAAATGCTTAATGCTTGTTGAATGACTAATTGAATGCCTGAATGGATGAACATATAAACTGAATGCCACTTGGTTTTCTCTCTGACCTTCTTGGAGCATCTCTAAGATACCTTTATAGTAGTACCACTAAGGTTTCTCCTTAGACCTTCTTTTCTGAACAGGAGGGAACATGGACCTCCACCTCTTTATGGAGGAGCAGCAAACAATCTGTGGCTAATTTAAAGGCCAGTTTTAAAATTGGCCACATACAAAAGAGCAGATCAGCTCTAGCGCAAGCTGGCATGAAATGTAGTACAATTCTTGATGAATGCTCGGACGTTAGAGCCACACTACCTGGGTTCAAATCCTAGCTTGATCACTGCAGTTGAGTTAGTCTGCTCCCTCTGCCTCAGTTTTCCAATCTGAAAAATGGGGACAACCATCAATACTACCATATGTAATTTTTAAGAAAACTAATATCATCAAAACAGTGCCTGGAACATAGTAGGCACTGCATACATATAGCAATTATTATAAGTGAATATGGACTCAGTGTTGACAAGCATCTGATTTTTTTTCCAAGAGAAACTAAACAATTAATTTTTAGATGAAATTTCCCAGTTCCTCAAAATATGCCAATCAAATAAAATATATCTGTGGGCCATGATTCTGAAAGGTACAAAATTTGAATCACTCTTTCAAGAATGTGTACAAAGCTTTGTGTTGTGAAACAAGTGTGTGTAACACCCTCAAGAGGCCCTTTAAACTTGCCTTCACAATTCTCAAGAAAAGGCATGGTTCAGCCCACTCTTCCTTACTCAGGTGAGCCCCTTCACTGTCCTCCCATAGATCTTGCAAAACCTTGCTTTTCATCTACCCCAGGAAGTACCTGATCTCAGGAAATGAGGGCATTTGGCAAAAGCAACACATTCTCCTTCAGAACAAAGAGCACAGTTATAAATCCAGCTTCAAGAGCTCACCACTGTGCTATCCCTATAGATCTCCACCAGATAAGCCATCTGACCTCTGAGAACAACTGCATTACACAGTACCAACCTACTCTTCCATAATTCCTCATGCTTTTCCCATCCATCCTTGACCTTCTCACCACCACCCAATCTTCACCAATCCATGCCCACCATTGCTTTCAAGATCTAACTCAACAGCTCACTCCTCCGGACCTGCACTTCCCTAAGAATGCCCAACTTCCACATTTTTCTGGACATTTAAGTGTTCAGTCCCCAGCACAATGGGCTTCTGTGTGTGTTTGGTGAGTCAGAATAGCACAGTGACACTCTCCAGAACTTTGACCTCTGGTTGAAGTGGGGTTGAATCTCAGCTCTATCATTAGGGCAAGTTACTCAATAGTTTCTTCCACTGTCAGGTGAATAATCACAGTGGCCTGGGAGGGTTGTTGCAAGGATTACATCAGATGGCATATATAAAGTACTTAGTTCTCCATTTGACACATGCTATGAGACCTACTTTCTCAGTTTTACCTCTGTTTCCTGGGAGTTTCACCTAAATATTTTCTTTTAAACTGCAAATTGCCCATTTCTTAACAACAGAAACTGAGACCTATTTTTTAATCCCAGAAAAGTGTCTAGTACAGGCTGTTTATGGACTAGTCAATAATTGTTTCTGAAATTACTGGAACGTTTATATAATATTGAGGTCAAAGTCATGACAGACCTATGAATCAAGTTTAAAAGTTGATGGCCTCAACAGAATTGGTGCAGTATTGTGTAAAATGGTGATTCTCCAGACACTGAAAAAAAAAAAAAAAAAAAAAACACCGAAGTTCGACTCAGAAAAACTGAGTTATAGTACCCTTGGTAAAGTCCAACACCTTCTGCTAAGCTTTTATGTCCTCGTTAGAAAACCACCTGACCTGCCTGCATTTCCAAGAATTGTTAAAGATCAATGGCCATCATCATATTACTATTTGAAGTGAAAACATTTTCAAACAGAAATTAATATAAAAACAAAAGACCAGAGAATGGCTGGATAACTTACACTTCTTGTAATTACCTAGGAAAGGAAGAAAGAGGCAGGCTGTTTCTCCTGGAAACTTCCCAGTTTCCCAGCATTGTTAGGATTTGAAGCCTTGAAATGCAGACATAATTTCATCCTCTCCAGGATGACCAGAGGTCAAGCTGCACTTCCCAAGGCTACTATGAGCCAGGTCTTCTTGCTTCCCAAACTCAACCCCTGCACCTGTCTTAAGCCTGCTGTGGCTAAAGTTAATTTCTAGAATACTAGGAACACTTCTGGGAGCAAAGCCAGGTGCTTAACCAGAAATGTTTTTCTCTGGGTTGACTATGTTTACAGAAAATTAAAAGTGCATAGATGTATTAGTCCCTTTTCATGCTGCTGAAAAGGACATGCCTGATACTGGGTAATTTACAAAGAAAAAGAGGTTTAATGAACTCACAGTTCCACGTGGCTGGGGAGGCCTCACAATCATGGCAGAAGGTGAGGGAAGAACAAAAGCCTGACTTTCATGGTGGCAGAAGAGAGTTTGTGCAGGGAAACTCCCCATTGTAAAACCATCAGATCTCTTGAGACTTATTCACTATCACAAGAACAGCACAGGAAAGACTCGCCCCCATGATTCAATTACCTCCCACCAGGTCTCTCCCATGACACATGGGAATTGTGGGAGCTACAGTTCAAGATGAGAGTTGGGTGGGGACATGGCCAAACCAAATCAGGAGAATTCCAGCATCCCTATAGATTAAAGTAAACCCAAACTTCGTCTCTATCCAAGTGCCATTTTTAAAGCTTTTTCCATAATGTTGTTTTGTTTTTTTTACATTTGATTCTACTGCTAGTCTGTGGAAGTCTTCGTCACTTGACAACTGGGAGTTCAGAAAAAGGTGGAAAATTACTATCTGATAGTTGTTTCTTGCCTTTTTGAA
The DNA here is from genome assembly GCF_000001405.40 of Homo sapiens. Lineage (NCBI taxonomy): Eukaryota > Metazoa > Chordata > Mammalia > Primates > Hominidae > Homo > Homo sapiens. The sequence goes on along the minus strand of NC_000008.11, from coordinate 120,826,180 downwards.
AGAACCTAATATAAAAGCAGTTAGTCTCACGTGGAATCATACAGCAGAAAACAAAGTGTCTGCCATCCTTATTTCTGCCGAGCGTTGGAGCACTGGTGCAGGTCAATGGAGCATGCTATGAAGCAGAAGGAAGGCCAATTGGCTCACTGCCAAGAAGCCTCTTTTGCAGGGTTGCAGGGTTGCATTAATTGTATGAGCAGGGGCGGGTGGTCCTTGGAACTCAGGGCCTTCACTCTATCAGAACATGAGACTGGATGACAGTGTTGAGGCAAGACTTGCCCTATGCAAACAGCCTGGAGACTCATACAGAAATCCAGACCTCCAATTCACTTACTTAAATTGGGAGGTACAGATTCATGATCTGAAGACCAAATCCAGTCTGCAAGAGTCTTTTTGGTTTGCTTGCCTTTTATTTTATTTGTGGGGCCAAATGATATTTTTTACAATTTGAGCAATTTTTAAAAATCAATTAAAAGTATATTTCTTGACAATCATAGAAAATTGGAAGATCTGAACCCTGTGCTTTCCTGAATGGCAGCAATTGCTGGCTGGAGCTAAGCAGTGCTGCCCCTTTATGTGAAGTTTGTACTCCCTAGTTTTGCACATCTCTCTCACCATTTCTGATTATTCCCCAAACATGGGGCCATTTGTTATGGTACTTGCATTGTTTTCTTGTAATAGAGACATATCTCTCCTATAGTTATGACTCTATCAAAATTTGGAAAACTGAATAGAAGGCTAGAGGGAAGATTGTTTCAAGAAAATTGAAAGAGGACATGTTTCCTTTTGAAGGCAAAGAATAAACATTCTGGCCAGGTGCAGTGGCTCATGCTTATAAACTCAGCACTTTGGGAGGCCGGGGCAAGCAGATTGCTTGAGTCCAGGCATTTGAGACCAGCCTGGGAAACCTGGCAAAACCCCATCTATACAAAAAATACAAAAAATAGCTGGGCATGGTGGCATGCACCTGTAGTCCTCGGTACTCAAGAGGCTGAGTGGGGAGGATCGCTTGAGCCCAGGAGGTAGAGGCCTCAGTGAGCCGTGATCACACCACTGCACTCTGGCCTGGGTGACAGAATGAGACACTGTCTCAAAAAATATAAATAAATAAATAACAAAATTCTGATATAATCACATATGTGATGTATGTAAATATAATATGTACCTACCGTCATTCTCCTTCGGTTACAAGCTTCCACATTTGCCAAAGAATCATAATAATTTTTGCCTTGAAAGAATTTCAGAACTCACTGGTTTTAAAGGATGTTTTGTGACAAAATCTAAGTTCACTCTAAGTGGATTTTATTGTAGAAAATACAAAACGAAACACTCCCTTAAAAAAAAAGAGAGAATGAAGAAAAGAAAGGAGAGAGAGGAGTAGGAAGGAAGGGATCCCCAATATCCCCAAACAAATTTTTCAGTTGGTTAACTTTCTGGAAAGAAAGTAAAAGGCAGTAAAAGGTTTTGCAATCTTACTGAAATTTCTACTGCAATGTAACACTGATCGGACTTGGGGGCATTGGGGTTGGTGACTAAGAGGAACAGCCACAATTTTTTAACCTTTCAGGAAGCCTAAAGGACAGAATTTAAAGCATAGCCATGTAAGGCTGACAGACTCACTCTTCAGAAGAGAAGTTAATCCTCTTGGGGGCTTCCCTTTAAAAATAATTTTAAAGGCCCTGACTCAGAGAATCAGGAATGTAAAATTTGAGTTTCAATTGACTGAAGCCCAGTGGAAAGGGGACAAGATGTGGACTCTGTCAAACTTAAGTCTGAATTCCAATCCTTCCACTCACACTTAATGTGACCTTGAGCAGGTTTCTTCATCTCTCTGTGTTCCAAGTCTCCATTTATGAAACTGGGATGACTTCTGCTTTACAGAGTTGATATGAGGCTTGCATGAGAAGATATGGCAAACTGGTTAATTGCAGGCCCTCTCAAATGTTGGTTCAGATTCTCTTTTTTATTTCCTTTGTTTATAATTATGATAGCCACCATAGCATAGACTGGAATGTCTATTACATTTATGAGCCATCTAATGACGTTTCAGTCAAGGAAGGACCACATACATGACAGTGATCCCGTACAATTGTGTTATAATTGTCTAACATGCTATACAATTTTGTAGTCTAGGAATTAGTCCATAGCCTAGGTGTGTGGTAGGCTACAGCATCTAGATTTGTTTAAGTACCTTCTATGCTATTTGCACAAGAAATTGCCTAACAATGTATTTCTTAATACATATCCCCATCATTAAGTGATACCTGACTGTATTTGCCAGACTGGCGCCCCTTACCCTAACTTCCAGATTTACCTGCTTTTAAAGTTGCTCCAGTCCTTTTCTAAGCATTTTAAGACATTGGAGCAGGTGTTATTCTTTTTTTGTAAATGGTCAAGTTACAAATATTTTAAGCTTTGCAGGCCTTATGGTCTCTGTCAGGATTACTCAACCCTGCCTGCCATTGTAGCATGAATGGTAGCCATAGACAACATGTAAACGAATGTGTGTGGTTGTGTTCCAATGAAACTTTATGAAATCAAGTAGCTAGTCCATGGAAAATAGTTTGCCAGTCTTTGCACTTTACTATGAAACTTCAGCATCCTGTACACATTGAAACTGTAATGCCTTAGGATAAAAATTTCAGTTTGTTTTAGGAAAGAGAGGGAGGCAAGGGAAAAGGGAGAAAAGAAATAGCTGAAGAATTCAATGTGAATTTATATTCATTACACTATTATTTTAACTAAATATAGAGAAAATAATCTTTCCACTTGTCTTAAGCTATTTACTTTAGGCTGTTTACCACTTATTAGCTCAGTGATCTCAGACATAGTAAGACTAGTTAATATTTATTGATCACTTACTCTAGGTAAGTCCTGTGTCAAGTGCCTTACATGCACGATTTTATTTAATCTTTAAAATAATCCTATGAGATAAAAATAATTTGGAAACACTATTTTAAAGCCAAGTAAATGGAAGCTTAGAAAAGTTACTTTTCCTAGTATTACAGAGTCAGTAAATTAAGTAACTGGAATTTATATCTAGGTAGTTTGACTTCACAGTTGTTCAACCTGAGTTTTATTATACATAAAAATAAATTATCATTCTATATCTTACTGGTTTCTTGGAAAGACTACAACAGAGAAAGTATCTGAAAATACCTGAGTAACAATCATGGGGCACTAAATCAGTTCCTTTCTGTTTTTCTAGTCTACTAAGCATTCACAATTATCCAGCAATATTTTTTTTTAAGAGACAGGGTCTCACTCTGTCACCCAGACTGGAGTGCAGTGGTGTGATCATGGCTAACTGCAGCCTGGACATCTTGGGCTCAAGTGATCCTTTCTACTCAGCCTCCCAAGTAGCTGTGACTACAGGTTTGTGCCACCACACCCAGCTAATGTTTATTTATTTTATTTTATTTTTGTAGAGACAGGGTTTTGCTATGTTGCCCAGGCTGGTCTTGAACTTCTGACCTCAAGTAATCATCCCGCCTTGGCCTCCCAAAATGCTGGGATTACAGACATGAGACAACATGCCCAACCATTTATTAAATATTTGTTGAGTACCCTCTATCTTCTTGGGTTTGACTGATCTAGAACCACTGATTCCTTGGTAGAGGAAATTTCAGTGTTGGCTTGGCAAAAGAAATTGTTTCTTTAGCCAAGGATATATGATCCTGAAGAGTCTTTGGCCTTGAGTTTCCATGATGTATCTTCTTAATCTTTCTTAAAATGCTATCTTATCTGCATCAGAATCCTGTTGATAAAATTTACATTTTCAGACACTAAGATCGCAATCATCAGAATGTTTTGAGGTGGGGCTCAGGTTTCTGCATTATTATCCCCAACTCTATTTTGAAAAAAAAAATTTAACCTACAAAAAGTTGAATCATACAGCATAAACCCATTTATTCATTACTAGATTCTCTTACTGCTAATTTTTCCACATTTGGATCTCTTTCTCTTGCTGTTACATCCTCTTTGTTTCTGTCTCTATATTTAAAAGTTAGTTTATAGTTTACCATATTTCCTAGAGAGTTATTTTCTTTCTCCATTTGAAAGTCAGTTATTGACATCATGTCACCCCTAAACACATCAGCACATATACTTTAAGAGCAAAGACATTTCACAACCACAATACTATTATCACACTTAAGAAATTTAATTCACTTTGATGCAATTATATTTTCAAATATAATCTATATTTAAATTTCTTCATCACACACAAAAGTCCTTGTAGTTCCTCTTTGATGATTTAATCCAAGATTTTGCCTTTTATTTGGTATTCATGTTGCTTTAGTTTTCTTTCATTTGAAGCAATTCCACCCTGCTTCTTGTCTTCCATAACTTGACATTTTTGAAGAACCCAAGCCACTTGCTTTTTTGAATATCCCATAGTCTGAATCTGCCTGTTTGCCTGTATTTAGATGGTAGATTAGATCAAGCATCTATGTGGTACTTTGTGCACTTTTACTGGGATATATAAGAACAAAACAAACTGCAAAGAAATTTTGAACTTGTTCGGTAGTTTTGTTGTTGGTATTGCTATTGAAACAATAATTCTGAAACAATTTCCTTTTATACTGTAGAACGCAGAAAACTGAATTAATCTATTGGTATTTTTGAAAACCAAATTTCTCACTTATTGGGAGATACAAATGTGAATAAGGAAAGGTAAGGAAGTACCTTATGATGTTAGGTTTGAATTGGTGATATAAGTATGAACGCCTTCTGTCTTCCTTAGTAGCAATAAGCTTACCTGGTTCCTATGTGACCTTTCTTACTTGTTCTCCAGATCTTGGTTCCTATGTGACCTTTCTTACTAAAAGGAATCAGGGATCTTTAAAGGAATGGCTGATACCAGGACTAGGCAGATAAAATATAAGTTAATCCTGCCAGAAGGCAAAAAACAAACAAACAAAAAATGCTTAAGGACAAAGGGGACCTGTCAAAAGAATATAGGAGTCAGCTTGAAGAGGCTCATAGTGGCCAAATTTTGGATATCAAAACAACAAACAGAATGATAGTAATGAATATGGCACATTAAGGAAGAATCTATGTTGAAGTGAAATGTAAAAACGACGGCAACAAAAATAGCTGTATATGGGAGAAAGCTCTTCATTACAGAAGTATGTCTGCTGATAAATGTAGAAGGAATTATTAGATATGTTACTCACATTTTTAACATGCTCCCCATGTGGTTCTGATTCCCTCCAAAGTTTGGGAACAACTTCTAGATGTTACCTTGAAGCTCTTTAATTCTATAATAGCCATAAAACTTTAAACATAGTTCCTTCCCTGCATAAATAATATTCAACATAAACATATGAAAAACAGAGATTCTAGTTAGCCAATGATAATTTGTTTTCTCCTTTAAATTACTTCTGAAAGCATTTTTCTTCACTCTTCTCTATACTGGTCAGTCTGGCTATTCCTGAAATTTGCCATTCTATTGTAGTATGTTCCTGGGAGAATTCTTTCCCCTCTCTACTTCCACTACAATTTCCTTCCTCTGTGGTGCAAAATATTTATACTCATGGAGATGGGAAAAGGAGGCAGCTGCCTTAGACTGTCTCCAAGCTCTGCCTTTTGCTTGCTTTGGTTTTCTTTGTCCCTTCACCAGGCAGATGAGAACTTTCAGACATCCAGTTGCCTTTTTGGAGTTTAGTTCAGTGGACACTGTATGTAAATGCAGTGTTTTGTGATACCTCAAAGGGCTTGAATTTTCATTTCAGAAGTGAAGTACAGCAATTGCATTTTGCCTTTAAATGTGTGTTCTTCCTCCTGGCCTCCAAGTTTTACATCTAAGTAAATGATACTGTCTTAATCTGTTTGTGCTGCTAGAACAAAATACTTCAGACTGCCTAATTTATAAACAACAGAAATGTATTTTTCACAGCTCTAGAGGCTGGGAAGTCCAAGATCAAGGCACTGGCAGGTTTGGCACCTAGTGAGGGACTGGTCTCTTCTTCCAAGATGGCACCTTGTTGCTGAATCTTCCAGAAGGGACAAATGTTGTGTCCTCACATGGCAGAAGAGATAGAAAGGCAAAAGGGGCTACCTAGTTATTTCCAGCCCTTTCATAATGTCGCCAGTTGCATTATGAGGGCTCTACTCTCATGACTTAATCAACTCCCAAAGGCCCCACCTCTTAATACTATCATATTGGGTCTTACATTCTGACATGAGTTTTGGGGGAACACATACATTCAAACCATAACAAATACCTAAATGCCCTTATCTAGGCCCTCGACTATAATGCCGTTAGGCCATGACCTGTTTCATGTTCCACTATTCCCTCAAACTTGACAAATCTAAAATGAACTCACATCATCTCCTGACAAGTTCTGTCACACTCTTTCTGACTACCTAAGTTCATGCCTAGTATATTGTAACAGTTATGAGCATAAGCTTTGGAGGAGAACAGATGTAAGTTAGACTAGGTTTGAACCCCAACTCCAATGCTTATAGGAAGTGTGAACTTGTTGAGTGCAACATTCTCATCTGTAATATGGGGATGATATTACCTACCTCAAATAATTTCTGTCTGGAATCAATGGTATATGTTAAGTACACACAGAGTCTAACACAGTGTAAAGGTTTAATAAAAACTAATTATTATTTCATTGGCTTCTTCTCCTTTTCCTAGTTCTCTATCAAATAAATCATCACGAGCTGTTCAATCTTTTTTTAAAACCATCTCTTTTATTTCCACACAAATACTGATTTTTAGCCATCCTGCCTAGGCCATTGAACAATCTCCTTAAGTAGTTTTCCTGCTTCAGTTTGCCAAAGGCTTGTATTCCTATTGTGTGCAAGGAATCATGCTAAAGCATCTCAGTCTTTCCCAACTACGTATTCCTCAATCTGTCACAAGTATCTGTTTTGATAACACCTCTCTTTTGATTAGTAGGAATGAATGGCTTCTCAGTGCTTTTAAATAAATTCTACAGTAAGGTTCCAACATATCCATAGTGAAGAACTATCATTTAATCTGGCCCAGTCTGCTTCCAGATGTGTTCTGGTAAACACATAGCTTTCTTTTGGTGAATTGCTTATTGCCCCCACTCTAGCCATGAGGCTTTGGCTGTCAATCATGTTCTCTGTGTTCAGAAGGATAGACACGTAACCCAAGCTGAGTCACCTAACTCCTCTCTTTTCATGAAAGTTTTCTCGAATTGAGATTAGGAGAAAAGGGTCCTTTCCTTCCTGGAAGCCAAGCTGAGTACCATGAACCTGGAAGCTGCCAGTGGCCATGGTTTAGCCTTGTACAGCCTAAGAAAATGCAGTGTGCTGGTATCACGTTCTAGCTGTACTTGAGGCTCGTTTTTCCCTTGATCTTCTAGCAGATTGGCTATGTGAACCAATGCATTTCCCATTGGCATTTAGTGTCAGTTGAAATTCCATCATTTGGAGCCAAGTATTCTGACTAATAACACTATCTTTTCACCAGATCACTGTCTTATTTCTTTCCCAAACCCATCCAAGCTGGTCAACCCACTGCTCAATGAAGAAAACACACATCCTTTTTCTTCTTGCCTTTGACCAAGTTGGTCTCCCTACTAGGAATGTTTTCTGTTATGCTCCAAGGCTGTAATTTATTTAAGACTCAACTCAAAGCCTACCTTTTCCATGAAACTCAATTTGTTTGCCATAAGCACAAGCTGGACATCTAAAGTTTAGATTCTAAAGCCTGAAAGTACTGAAATCATCTCATATTATTTCTAATTATTAGGTCATTAATTCTTGCTATGTCTTTCCTTTCTACCAAATTAGAATCAAAATTATGGGCTCAATGAAACCATCAAATCAAATTCTATCATTTTATAGGCAAGAAACCAAAGTCCAGAAGTGAAGAGATAGTTCCAAATCACAAAACCACTTCAGGTAAAATGCATTACAATTTACTTAAAGATACTCACGTCTGACTGATAATAGTGAAGAATGCACTGAAAAGGAAAAGCATGAGCCAGTACCTTAAGTCACTGCAAAATGTCTATGTTGTTAGAAGAGTAGGGGGAAAGACAAAAAATAATTTAAAGAAAGTGCTACAGTTCGTTCAGTGATGAAAAATGAAAGGCCCTAAACATTCCATGATCTGGAAATATTCCTAGGCAGCAAAAGTCTTGGTTTACCTTTAAGAGATTCCCAGAGCAGTAGAAGAACTTGAGGCCCTTGCCAGAGAAGGCAGTGGGATAAGGATGTGGTATTTGGGGACTATTCCAAGTTTCAGTTATAGTTAAGAAACAGAAGGCAGAGATATCCATTTAGGATATAAGAGAATTCGTGCTAGTCATACTGATGGACTAAGAGTCCAGTACAAAGAGGTAACCAGGGATGGGGCGGGGGTGTCTGGAAGGAAACTGCTGGAGCAGAGAGGAGTGGGTCAGGTGAGTTATAAACAAAACTGAGCCAGCAGGTTATGATACAGAGTAAGAAAAGAAATTTGCCCTTTCTCATGAATCAAGGGAGAGACACAGAAATGACTCCATAAAGGAAGTAGAGATGGTAGAGAAAGGATGCAGAGGTCTCCTCACATATAGACCCCGATGGCAAATGTTCTCCTAGTAATTTAATAACCAATCTCCTTTGCAATCTGAAGAGTAATAATAGTTTAGCAAGGCCCTGAAATAGTTATTTCAAATTTCTTTTCATATTATTTTAAAGATGCATATGGGTGAAACTTTGATTTCTTATTCCTTTTTACTTTCCACATCTGATATACCTACTTAGGCCCATTTGCTGAAGTTTCTAGTATGTAGTGAGATAGATTTCTATTAGGATTTCACAGATCTGTTATGTTTGACATGTCTGCCAAATGGAATCTACAATTCCACAGTTTCAAATGTATAATCCCTGAGGAAAAATGACAAATTTATACCATAGATATCAAAATACTAGTACAAAGTTTGTTTCAACAGTGATTGTTATAGAAGAGAAGTAAAAAGAGTAGAAATCAATAACAGACGATGAAGGATAAACAACTAATTACTTTACAACTCTGCCTTAGGTTAAGCCTGAAAACATCCCCACAATCAAATTCTAAACATAGTGAGCAGTCAAATAACTCTCACTTGACTGACTGGTTGGCTGAGAGTCTGGGTGATGGTCTATCTAGTTTACCAAGGACTTGCCCAGGTCTATGCAGGTATATGCAATAGGGAGAGTTTCCCAATCCTTTTAAAATGGTGACATACCTGCTAGCCAACTGGGGCACACCAGAGACGAAAGAAACCACTCAGCCTTCTAATTATGTGCCATCCCCCATTCTCAGTGCTTTACCTTTAAAATAAGAATCACTAATCTAGCATTGGGATTTGGAATCTGGAGGCTGGCTGCTTCCAGACTCATTTCACTCTCAGCACTGCAGCTACCTAATTCTCCCTGTGGGCTCTTTGTGTACATGTCTGTCTTCCTGTCTTGATCATCTTTGCATCCCTGGGTGTGCCTGTCTCCAGCACCTGCCTAAGTTATTTACCAAAGTATATGCTCAGAAAGTGTGGGTTGATACCTGTTTAAATAGGCAGGCCTCATCTTGGGAGTTTTGCATCTCAAGAACCCCTCCTGCTCCGCTTTCATTCTGGTCTCTAACATACCCATAGATATCAAAGAGCTCTCCATTTCCTCTTCTCCAGTATTCACACTGTATCCACTCTCCATTCTATATGCACTGGAAAAATCCCCTTAAAGATGCTCAATCTGTTATTCACAAAACACTATCAAAAGCACAGTGATCATATTTTCCAAACTGAAATATTGGAGCACATATTCTAATCAGTAGAAATTTACTTAGCAGGTAATTGAAAGTAATTTTTGAAAACAGCACTGTTCTTCAAAACCCAAAACATATGGTTGTTGAAACTCAAAGAGGACAAGGAAGATGGTCTGTGTTATGATCCTCCAAGGCCTCAAGCTGTGGCCTGGTCAAACCTATCTCTCTGATCTCCTCTCTTACCTCTTTTTTCCTCCCATGGGCTGCCCCAGCCACATTGACCTCCTTTGGGTCTTTTGAATCAGACCAGCTTGGTTCTGTCTCGGGTGCTTTGCACTGGATTTTCCTTCTCCCTGGGACCCTCTTTCCTAGCTCTTTACAAGGCTTGCCTCTTATTATTCATGTCTCAGTCTAAATGTCACCTTTTCACAAAGGCTTTCCTTAATAGCCAACATCTCCAGTAGCCCCTGGTCCTCAGCAGCTCTCAATTTTATGACTGTTTTTTCTTCCTAGCATTTACTTCTACATGAAAGTATCTGATGTGCTTATAGTCCATCTCCACTTCCACCCTACCCTACAATGCAAGCTTCACAGAGAGAGTCTTTGCTGGTTTGTCCACTCCCGTATCCCAGCACCAAGAAGAGTGCCTGGGACATGGTAGGGGCACAACAAAATTTTATGGAATAAACAGAAGATGGTTCTTTCCCCACATGATACTGTTCTGTTATGTATCTGTGGCTACTGTGCGGCTGAAGATTGTGTGACCTACTCTTACAAGGCTAAATCCATCCAAATATCTGTAGGAAAATGCTATCTCATGGGAAAGAGCAACAGAAGGATCCCAGTTTGGGCTGGGTGGGAAATGGAAATCAGAGTTAGGACTGGAAGAGGATACAGAACAGGGGAAAGAGAGCTCAGTGAAAGAAATCTGGTAAAAAGGGGGCTTTAGGTATAATTTCCTGAATCCTGAAGTTGGACTGTTCCTAGACTCAGCTTTGACACAAACTTACAGTGTGGCCTTGAATCCTTCCTTGCTCTGCTCTGAGCTTCAAATGCCACATCTATGAGTAAGCAAGCTGGAGGTCGCTTCAGACCATTCCAGTGACCATTCTCTGAAAGGGGACACCTAAGAGAGTACATGCTTTCCTAATTATACACAGTATGGGGCTGCAGTGCAGTTGTCCCAGCCTTACTGAACTGAAAAATGAGGTCAATAAGGTACGCCTTTGAGAGTCAGCATTAACAATCAGAGGCCAGATATGTGGAGTTGTCTGAGATGGGAAAAACAAACGCCCAGGCCTGCTTGAGGGTGCAGGACGGGAGGAGGGTGAGGATTGAAAAACTACCTATAAGGTACTATGCTTATTATATGAGTTATTACACCAAACCCTGTGACATGCAATTTACCTATATAAAACACCTGTACATGTACCCCTGAACCTAAAATTAAAAAGTTTTTTTTTGTTTTTTGGGGTTTTTTGAGACGGAGTCTCGCTCTGTCACCCAGGCTGGAGTGCACTGGCACAATCTCTGCTCACTGCAACCTCTGCCTCCCGAGTTCAAGCAACTCTCCTGCCTCCATCTCCCAAGTAGCTGGGACTACAGGTGCCCGCCACCACACCTGGCTAATGTTTGTATTTTTAGTAGAGACGGAGTTTCACTATCTTGGCCAGGCTGGTCTTGAACTCCTGACCTCAGGTGATCCGCCCACCTGGGCCTCCCAAAGTGCTGGAATTACAGGCGTGAGCCACTGCGCCTAGCCATAAGTTTTTAAAAAAAAAAAAAAAAAGACAGGCGAAGTATAATAAGACCATAAGTCACCAGTTTCAACTTGTTAACATGTCTATAGAAAAAAAATGTGTCGACTTGGGGAGGGCAGGGTGTTCTCCAACCTTGGAAAGAAGGAAAGGCCAGAGGCATCAGCTGGTTCCACCCTTCTCCATATGGTCTAGGGGAAGGGCCTTCCTCCTCAGTGTCTCCCTCCCAGTGGAAAGGCTGGCTTCAGTGTGCAGATGAACACAGGGGCTGTAGCTAACAGGCTTTGAGGATTTTCAAGAGTGTAAGAGCAACAGTTTAGAGTCTAGACTCTCACAGCTGGCTTTAAATCCTGACTCTGCCATTTACTAATTACATGACAGGGGCAACTTATTAACTTAGTCCCCTTCTTCACCTGTGAAATGGGAATGACGGTAATAGTAAATATCCTCAAGAATTGCTGGGAGGATTAAGTTAATATGTGTAAAGCATTTAGAATAGGGGCTGTAATTATGATTCCAGTGGCAAAGCCATCTCTGGCTAACATACATGCCTCAGGCTGAATAATTGTCTCCTCTCATTCCGATGCAACTTTCAAAAAGCAACATACTCCTTCCCATGTAGGTTTGCTTACATAGAAAAAAAATGTGCTTATCACAGAGATTCTGAGAAATTCTCATCCCAGAGCCTACAATTTCTTATGGCAAATCGATACATAATCTGTGGTTGTGCCTGGGCCTCCCACATTGCTTGTCCACAGAGGCAAGATGCAGGCATGATGTTGATGCAGGATTTCTGTTCCAGGAGTGGATCTGTTTTGATTTGTAAATCTTCACACTGGCACTCTGGTGCCTATCTCAACCTTAGTGTATCTGGATTTCAACGCAGATACTCAGGCTCTGGTTTCACTGAAGAATGATGCACGTGAGTCCTCAGTCTCTAAAGCAAGGGGCCAGCCTCAGCTGCTTTTCCATCCTGAGAGTGGATGGTGGTACCATCTATATTAGCTCCTTGTCTGATTCTGCACATCACAAAGGGCTGGAGAGCCCCTGAGACTGCCATCCCTGCTCTGGCCATCTTTGCATGAAAGAGTAAAGAGTTTTTGGAAAATGGGTGAGTTAAAAATATACGAAAAGGGAGAGCTACAAGCAGAAGCATTAACCCAGGGCACCCTCTCACCTGCAGTGACTCCGCCTTCTCAAGAAAATGTCCAAATGTTTTCATTTCATTCCTTGACCTGGCTGGGACTCCGCTCTTTAGGGAGTCATCTGAGCCTTTAAGCCTCCTTGATTAAAAGTGTGAGTCATTCTAAAAGACTTAGAGAACTTTCAACGATGATACACATCAATGGGAATGTGTTCAATAAGATTTATTTCCTCTCAACACCTTGCTGGGTTGGGTTTACTTCAGGAATTAACAGAACTGTTGTGGGTTTGTTTTGTGTTGTGTTTGGAGAGAGGGTAGACAGCAGTGGGAAGGGGACGTAACTGAGAAGCATGAAACACCTTGAGTGGACCATGAGACCTGCTTAGAGTTAGGGGAAAGCTTGAGAGGTTCAAGGATAGAAGAACTCAGGGTGGTTCAGGTGTGACATGGGTTATGTGGGCATTTCTGGATTGCTCTGGGAAGGTAAACAATCATTATAATATTGTTACCCTGGTAAAATGCAACTTGAAATCCAAATAACTAACTTGCAAAGCAACTTTTGAAATACAACCCATTCCAACTGAATTCTTAAATGGGGGGCTTCTTATATGGGAACTCAGGAAGAAAGAGAGATCCCCAGGCAGCATTTGGTGTGGCACTGGGAAAACAAAGATAGGTCAAAAGCTTAAAGCATAGAATGAGTTAGAGCTGGAAGAACATTTGTCCCTGGGGTCTGAGGCAGGCATGACCTGTTGAAAACCCCAGGCCAGCAGAGACACCTGTCCAGGGCTCGATAGAAAACATTTCTTGCATTTAAGGACAGGAGGTTTAAGCCACTCGGGCTACGTTGACTCTTCATTCTAGAATCTTGGGACAGCGTATTCCCTTTTAACTCCTGGGGAGCCCAGGGCCTTGGTCTGAGTTTAGCTTCCTCCAGGGAACCCGGGTGGAAAGGAGAGACAGGTAAGAACTCCGCAGAGGCAGCGAAGCCTGGGTTTGAGGAAGCAGAGGGAGGAGACCTGGATCAGTTACAAATGAGTTGTTAAGACCCAGGGACAATTCTACGGGCTGGGTATGAAAGGGAAGTCGGCTCAGGAGGACCGAGTGAGGGCACCGAGGCGGGACGCACGCACCCGGCGAAGGTGCAGTGTGGGCGCCCACGGAGTGGGGGAGCTGGGAAGAAAGGGGGCTGCGGTGGGCTGGAGAGAAGCGGGACGGGGAAGGCGCTCGGGAAGCTGTCCCCGCGGCGTCGTGCGCTCTGGGGACAGAGGAGGGGAGGTCTGGGCGGGCGGGTGGCGTGTGACCGCCGAGGCTGCGGCGGCTGGAACAGGTGAGCGGCCGCTGGGTTGTGGGTCCCCGCCCTTCACCGCCAGCGTGCCTCCTCCCACGGACTCTCTCCAGCGCTGAGCTGCTCCGCGGCTCCCCTTGCTTTGGGGTTTTGCAACTGGCTGCTGGCTTTTTTCCCCTCCCCTGTCTCGGTCTCTCCTTCTTCTTTTAGGTTGCTCCACCCCGGTCAGGATCAGGCGAGGGGGAACCAGCCTGAGTGCAGCTGCCAACTCCCGCCGAGTGCGTCTGCGAACTCCCGGAGCGGAGTCCCGCGTGCCGCCACCTCCCCGCGGGACGCACTCTCCTCGCTCCCCCGGGCCCCGCGTCCTCCCCCCGGCCACCCTTCCCCACTTTTCCCCCCTTTTCCAATCACATGGCATTTTAAGAATGCCGGAAAGATGGCGGTAGCGGCGGCGGCGGCGGCGGCTGGGCCGGCTGGCGCGGGAGGCGGCCGGGCGCAGCGGAGCGGGCTGCTGGAAGTTTTGGTGCGGGATCGCTGGCACAAAGTTCTGGTGAACTTGAGCGAGGACGCCCTGGTTCTGAGCAGCGAGGAGGGCGCTGCGGCGTACAACGGCATCGGGACCGCCACCAATGGCTCGTTCTGCAGGGGCGCCGGGGCTGGGCACCCGGGCGCGGGCGGCGCGCAGCCCCCGGACTCGCCCGCCGGGGTCCGCACCGCTTTCACCGACCTGCCCGAGCAGGTGCCCGAGTCCATCTCGAACCAGAAGCGTGGCGTGAAGGTGCTGAAGCAGGAGCTGGGCGGGCTGGGGATCAGCATCAAGGGGGGCAAGGAGAACAAGATGCCCATCCTCATCAGCAAGATCTTCAAGGGGCTGGCGGCGGACCAGACCCAAGCCCTGTACGTGGGCGACGCCATCCTGTCCGTGAACGGAGCCGACCTGCGGGACGCCACCCACGACGAGGCGGTGCAGGCGTTGAAGCGCGCGGGCAAGGAAGTGCTGCTGGAAGGTAAGGGGTTAACAGCGCGCGGGCCGCGCCGGGCGCGCACACACCTGCTCGGCTTCCCACCCGCACGCTCACACTCACACTCACTCGGCCACATGCGGACACACCCCAGGGGGCCGGGTGTGTGTGTGTTGGGGGGGGGGGAAGGGTGGCGCAGGGGGTGGCAGCATAGAGTTTTGTCAACTTTTACCCACCCTGGGGGCAATTTGTCTCCAGCCCGCAGTCTTTCCAGGCTTTAATCCAGGAGGGGTGTATGGAAAAGCGAGGCTAGCAGGGTTTCCCAGCCGGATTGCCTGCTTAGTATACGTTGTTTCATTTTTATCTGCGGATAATCCTGGTAGAGTGTAGGGACTGGGATATGGAATTGAGAATGAAGGGTGAACTTAGAATATTCCTACATCCAACGTTGCCAAGCAGGGCTACTGCGTAATTGCAACTCATAGTTTTCCGCTTTGGCAAAATTTCCCACTCCAAAGCCTGGGCAGCCCAGCAGAAGAGGGTTGACTCATAAAGGGGTGAGAGAGAGGTGGCAATATTGTGAATGCTAAAACTCCGACTATCCTTCTGGACGTTCCCCCTGCAAATGGGGGACTAGGGTTATGCCTGGAGAGTTATGTCAGGGGCCGGGGAATATGTTGCAGTTTTGGGAAAAATTCGCTCTCCCTGCCGGGCATCTGGCCGGTCAGTCTGGATTCCAGGTTCCTCTGGGTTGAGAGCTGGTGAAGTGATTTTTCTGTCTGCGTTTTCTGGAGCCCTTTCTGAGTGGTGTGGAAACAACTTTGCATTTGTAAACAGTTTCCCCTGCGTGCGAAGAGCCTAGAAACTACTCTCTCTCTTGAGATCTGATGTCCCCAGTCCCCTCATTGTTGAATGTGAATAGAATAGGAACCACCGTTTTGCACTGTTCATGGCTATGTTGAGTTATGTGGGGGAGAAGGGCATATGGTAGTAAACTGAATTCTCCTGTCTGCCTACAGCTGCATTTCTCACTTGTTTCTCTTCTCTTTAGTGCTGTGTACATACCTCTGTCAGCACTAATAACGTGTAATTATTTTATCTATTTACTCAGCCTAGCCTAGCTGTAGATTGCGGTATCTGGAGTCTTTTATTTAGTGGTGAGTCTCTCTTGAGCTTAGTTGCTCCATGACATGCATGCTGAGTAAATGAATAAATGAGCCCGTAGCTATTGAAATAGACTGTTTCAGCTGAGACCTTGTAATATGGTGATTGATTTAAGCCCTAAACTAAGGACTTAAGTCAATTTCCTGCTTACCGAGTCGTGGCACTAGTGTGTGAAACTGAGAAAGTTTAAAGTAAGGGTGCCAGCATCACTAGTGTGTGACAGCTGATGCAACTCCCTGGTATGTCACGGTCCACCTCCTGGCCCACAATGCAGAGAAATCCTCCCCCACCAACCTTGTTTGTCTAGAGGATTTGCGATGTCTTCATAGTCAATTGCCACCCTGGACCCAGAAAGTGGAAAGCTGTTTGCTTTGGCTTGATGATTAACATAACAGAAAAAAAGTTTGCTTGACTCAAGTGTGTGTTGGTTTGTGTGACAAGGGGCAGGTGGGATCTGGGGCAAGTGTTATTTGGACTATAAACTGTTGGGCACCTGCTCGGTTTGCAATACTTACTGTAAATACTGGAGGAGGGGTTGGGGTGGGGCGGAAGGCGGGTCATTTTATTTTAGGTACCATACTTTATAATGTCCCTTCTTTTCTTCCTCTTTTAATGAATAATGACTTGGCAAAGAGGTAAAAAATATCTCTCACCCAAAAAGAGGAAGAAATTTCTCTGCAATTGAAAATAAACTTAGAGAAAGAAAAAAAATCAAGCAGTTATGTGACTTTCTTGAAACAGAAACTGAAAAGTGAGTTTTGTAAAAACCTCTAATATGACATTCTTAGAACACTTTGTGGTTTGTCACAGGCAGGACCTCTGGAGAAACCCTGTGGGTCTCTGAGATATGAACCTTTTTGGCTCAGTGTAGCAGCCTTATCCTCAGCCCAAGTTTTTCAAAATCAGCTGCTAATGAGAGAAGCGGAGGCCCTGCTCAAAACAGCGTCTCTTATTCTGAGCCAAAGTGTTCATTCTCAATGCAATGGTAGTCATCAAATACCATCAAGTCAAATATCACAATCCTCTCTTTTGTAGCTTAGTCTAATACAGGGATTCCCATTTGAGGGGGCTTATTAGGATCACCTCAAGGGCTTTTTAAGAAGACATACCTACTTCTTCGTATTCTGAAATGCAGTGTGGATTCCAGAGTTTCTACATAGGAGAGGCTTTGAAAATGTAATCTGGTTGTATGGCAGGGCAAAGGGAGATGTTTTAAAGGTACATTTATATAGCAAGTGCACCCTTTTTTTTAAAAAAACCTAGATTCCTTTTTGTTTGTTTATTGGGGGAGTAAATGGAGATTAGTTTAGTACTCCAACCACCGCCTGTATGCACCCCACCGCATGACATGCGCCCCCTGGTGGAGAGTTACTACCTCTACAAGTGGAACACCCTGTAAAGTGAAACCCTGGAAAAGTTTCAATGCCTGCATTCTAGGCATAGATTCCGCCACAGAATTAACATAACCTCCCTGAGTCTCAGTGTCTTCATCCGCGAGATGGGAATAAGGAAATCTGCTGGACCTGCTTACTTTACAGGGCTGCTGTATGGAAGAACACAATGAGAATGAAAGGCGTATATCAAATATCCGCTGGAAGTAGTTAGTTTTACAATTCAAATGAAATGAACATGAAACTATCCCTTCTCAAGGACAGTTCTATCTTTTTCCTTTACTGGAGTTTATATTTCTCATTTTTATAACACTTTTTTTGTACTATGGTGTAATGCTGGGAGACCATTCCTGTGAGACCAGAGGAGTTAAACAGAACCTGGAGAAAGAGAATCATAACAATAGCTAACATTTATTGAGCACTTAATATGTGCCAGGCTTTACCTGTTACACTTAACAGTAACTGAGGCCAGTACTGTTGTTATTATTCATTTTCCTGATGAGGAAATTAAAGCTTACAGACATTAAGTTTTTTGCATAAAGTAACATAGTGGCCGGTACGGTAGCTCACGCCTATAATCCCAGCACTTTGGGAAGCTGAGGTGGGCAGATCACAAGGTCAGGAGTTCAAGACCAGCCTGGTCAACATGGTGAAACCCTGTCTTGACTAAAAATACAAAAATTAGCCAGGCATCGTGCCCCATGCCTGTAACCTCAGCTACTGGGGAGGCTGAGGCAGGAGAATCTCTTGAATCCAGAAGGTGTAGGTGGCAGTGAGCTGAGATTGTGCCATTGCACTCCAGCCTGGGCGATAGAGCAAGACTCCATCTCAAAAAAAATAAAAAAATAAAAAATATAAATATAAATAATGTAACATAGCCAGGAGCATTCCAAATCTATCTGATATGAAAGCTTATACTTTTAACCTCTAGGCAATACTGATGCTCTGAGTTTCCACTTGGAACTGTGTACTTGAACTGGTTGGAGTTATTGGGTTCAAAGCATTCTTCTGCCCCACTCCTGAAGTGCTGGGGACAAATCAGCAGGAAACAGCAATTGTGTGGGCCACTCAAAAGGGAGGGACGGGAAGGAGGAGTGAGTCTTAAAAACCTAATGCACTAAATGTCTGCTGTCAAAACGAAGCTGCTGTAACATGGCCCAGCCCTACCATGGTTAAACACATGGCCAGCAAGGAGACTAAATGTAATCCAAACTTATATCGTGAATAAACTCTGCCAGTTAAGCCGGTGTTTAGACAATTTTCATTAAAGTTAAGATCAGGAATCTTCACATCACAAGCTCATTTCTCATTTTAAGGAGTAGGGGCAGGGACTGCGCATCCAGCCATGCAGGTATTGGACCTGTAATTCCAGCAACAGCATTCACATAGACCATAGTGTCAATCGCACCCTCTGGAGCTGGGCACAGTGCACCTGCACAAACGTCCTTGGCAGCTCCAGGTCAGGGGGGACAGAGGAGTTTTTTGCTCTTGGATTGATAGTAAAATAGTAATTTGAAATAGGTCGACTTTTTTGTAACTGAAGCTACAAGGAAATTAATTTATCCATAACTTTGTTGAGATCAAGGAGTCAGAATCTTCTGGAAGACTCATGTTGGAGTATGGAGGTGGAGTGCACTGAATAATCCTTTGATCCCAAAGGTCTCCTATGGAACTGAACTGGAAACAGTGGAAACTCAAAGAAGAAAGTCAAGGACAGTTGTTGACATTAACCCTGTCCGTTAGAGCTTCCCCTTCAGCAGTGCTCCCCTGGAATGTTTGCCTGAGATGGTCTGGAACCTCGCTGTCACAATCACTTTCTCCAAGGGTGGAAGTGGGAATGATCGAGGAGGAAGATGGGAGCAAGGGAGGGGCAGTGATTTTCTGGAATAAAATATCAGGATTGGAAGAAAATTTGAATTTTAAGGAATCTTATTTTATTTAGGATGTACAGATTCTTGAAGAATACCCAATACCCTGGGATTCAAGTCTTGAAACCTAGGTTTTTATCTTCTACTAGTTTCACTTTTACAAGAAATTTCATCTTTTTAGGGCTTAGTTTTCTTTACTGGAAAGCATAGGGAGCTGGGTTAAGCCATCTCTAACCTTATTCTGTCTTAAATCCTATAAACTCAGACCCAGTGCACATCACTAATAACAAAATTTTAACACCCCTTTTATTATTGTAAAGTGAATTTCACAAATAACATAGCCTAACTCTACTTTAAGTTTAAACATCAATAGAACGCCCTAGTAGTAATATAAAGGAGAAATAAAATAAATTGTTAAAACAAAAACCATGTTTCAATAGATAAATGCATGGACACAACTACATCAGAGGTCATAATGAAAGAGTTAGATGCTCGCACCTTTATGTTAAATCACTACCAATGCACGGCTGCACATGAAGATGAGTAGGGCTGTGTGGCATCATTTACATTTAGGAGCTAGACAAGCCTTTCACTGTGAAGGACTACCCCAGGTGTTCCAGGATCTCCAGGTTCCCTGGCTTCCTTCACTAAATGCCAGCAGTGTGACACCCCTTCTGCACTTCGTTGCTAAAAAGCCTTCATAAATTTCTGAACTGCCATTCTGGAGGGAGGTGTGGACCCCCCCACCTTCTTGAGAACTGGTGTCCTGTAAGAATGCTAATTCTGCCTCGTCACTTTGTAGTGCCTAACCTTTTGCAAACTCTTTTTCGAATGTAATAATAGCTAACACATGCAAAACATTGTGCCACATGCTGTTTTAAGCACTTTACACGGATTAACTCCCTGGATCCCAATGCTATTCGTATCCCTATTTTACAGACAAGAAAACTGAGGCACAGAGTTTAAGTCACTTGCCAAAAACACACCGTGAATAAGTGCTGAGTCTTAGATTCAAGCACAGGCCTTATAGCTTTTAATGCTCATAAATGGCCCTAGGAGATAAGTAGATAAGGGATGCTTATCCCCAATTTGTTGATTAGGAAAGTGAAGCTCCAAAGGTTGGAATGATTTGTCAGCATTGGTCTTCTGTTTTCTTTTCTGGTGTACTAGTTTTCTATTGCTGCTATAACAAATTACTAGAAACCCTAGTAAATTAAAACAACACACATTTATTACAGTTTTTAAAGTCCGAAGTCTGACACAGGTCTCACTGAACTAACATTATCAACAAAGTTTTATTCCTTTCTGGATGTCTAGGGGAGAACCTTTTTTTTTTAATTTTTATTTTTAAATCTTTTCCAGAAGCTGCTAGAGACCACCCACATGCCTTGGCTTTTGGTCCCATTCCATTTTGAAAGCCTGCAATGGCGGTCTAATTCCTTCTCACATCAAATCATTCCAGTCTCTTTTCTGCTTCCCTTTCATTTTTAAGGACCCTTGTGATTACTTTGGTCACTAAGAAACACACCAGGATAATTCTCCATTTAAATGTCATCTCATTAGCAACCTTAATTCCATCTTCAACCCTAATTCCCCTTTGCCACGTAAGTTAACATATTCACACGATCTGGAGAAGACCAGGACGTGGGTGTGTTTGGAGGAGAGGGTGGGCATTCTTCTGCCTACCAAATCTAGTTTGCTGAAGTTGTAATGGTAAGAAATGTCCTGGGTAGTCATTAGATGATGAACCGCACCTTTATAAATAATCGCTTCCTCTCTCATTGCAAGAGAGTTTCTCATCGATTTATATATTTGCTCTTTTAACAACTAATTTATTGAGTGTCTTTTATGTACTATACTCTACTAGAACATTGCCCTAAAGAAGCAACATTCTATTGACAGATACAGATAAGTACCATGCAGATACCTACAAGAGGGAGGAAAAATGGCTACATTATGGGCATTATGAGATGCTGTGGTAGCCCATGGGAAGGGTATCTGGTCTGCTCTTGGACAGGGCATTATAGAAGGCAAATGCCTTCAGGTAGCCTAAGAAAGAGTCTGGGCCTCATGTGTAGCTCAGTGTGGCTAAGAGGGCAGAATGTGACCTTCAGACTACTGAGGGGGAAGAGTGGGGAAAAAAAAGTAAGGAATTGAGGACCATGCCTTGGGGGGGCGTATTACAGAATTAATTTCAGATTGAGGGTAAAGTTTTAAGCAGGGAAATGTCATGCTCAGTTTTGCATTTAAGGTAGATCACCCTCTAGAGTAACATGAGGTTGGTAAGGCTCTAGTAAAATGGAAGTGCCAGAGAGTAGGTGACTTCCTACTCTCCAAACAGGTGCTGGAAATCAGATGATCTAACACCTCATCAGGCCCATCCTGCTGTATACTACACAAACTGAAGACACTGTGGGTGGACAAAAGGAAGTTAAAGCGGTATAAGGCATGGCTTCTGATTTCAGGGAGCTTCAAGTAATTGAGGAGGTAGGGTATTTGAGGCTGATTATGAAGTACTTGAGCCGGTGATTAGCAATACAAGTTAGCCTTTAGCACAGTGCCTGGAACATATTAGGCTGTTAAAATGTGTTAGAAAGGAAAAAATGCTAAAGGGTGGATGAATGGATGGGTGGAAGGAAAGAGGAAGGAATAAAGGGAGGGAGAAAGGGAAGGAGGGAAGGAAGGAAAGGAAAGGGGAAGAGAGAAAGAAAAGAAGGAGGAAAGGGAGAGAAAGAATTGGAAGATTAGTTGCCCGTTTTATGACTCACATCATCCACCACTCATACTACTGGACTGTGGTGGTAAACATTAGACATGGTATAATGAAAGCTATACCTTGTTCTGTAGAGGAATAAAGAATGACTTTATAGACCTAGGAAACATTTAATTTAAGCCAGTCTTTAAAGATGGTTGACGAAAGAGGAGCCAGACATGATTACAAAAGGTATAGGTAGTGTAATTATCCTTTTAATGTTATACAGGTATTCATAACCACCTTTCTTTTGACCCCCTATGGCTCAGGGACCTACAAGTCTGAATATGTAAGAACGCTTTCTACCTGAGGAGATGAAAACTGTCTGCTTAGATATTTTAATTGCTTCTTTTTTAAGCATATGTAGCAATGTGAGAATTCAGACCATTTTCCTTCCGTGAAGCTGGTCAGAACAGCCCTTCAGTTCCTTATTTCTGCTGTGGTTGGGAAATGCTCTTCATGTTCAGTGGTGCATTTTAGCAGTCACCCCATGGAGTGTGTATTAAAAATAACTCACTCCACATGGCTCCATATTTGTGAAAAGCTTCTAGCTGAATCTACCAGTGGTCTGTTTGGTGAAGGAAAATTATTCTGTGGTAGCTACTGGCCTACTAAGCGTTCCATTTCAAATGATGCACTTCAAAGCTGTTAATGTTTTCTAAAAGCCAGAAGTTCCCCTGCATTTATACCAAGTGTTTTATATACCAAACCTCATTACCCACTTCACTGGCCTTGACCTATAATGATGCTTGCCTTTAGCTCTGGCCTGCAGAGTTAAGACTTAAGACAAAAATATATAATACCCACCACAAAATCAATGCCCTAACAGACTCATGCAAGTGAGCGCCACTCTCAAACAGGGAAAGACAAGATGGAAAAGCTTATGATTAATAGTGATTATGTTGGAAATTAAAATGATGACCCATACTTTTTAGCTCAGTACTTTTTTATAAACGACTACATCTACCTGTGGTTTGAAGCATCATTCTTTGCATGTTGGTGAGTGTGGAAAGATATATCTAAACTGACTGGTTGGTGAGTATCACTGCATTTGACATATCCTATTTATTTGCATTGCTGTTCAAACTGCCATTGTTTCTTCCTGTCACAGTTTTTTTTTTGTTGTTTTTTGTTTTTTTCTCTTCTCAAAGCAGGTTAGTGCAGTGGTTTAGAGGATGGGTGTTAGATTTACTCCGTCTGGGCTTCAATTCCTATTCCATTTATTTCTAACTGTGTGCAAATTACTTAACTACAACTCTCAATTTCTTAATCAGTAAATTAACTTTCCTCTTTGTAGGTTTGTTCTGAGGAGTAAAGGGACTAAGTATGTAAAACAGTTAACTCATTGCCCGGAATTTGGTAAGTCCTAAATTATATAATATGTCACATTTCATGCTTAGCTAAGTATTATTTCCCAATAATTACTTCCCAATAATACTTAGAGTTCAATAATACAATAGCATTCAATTGTATCAGTTACAGGCTTTAATCATATGTTATATAAAGTTGTTTAGGGGTACAAGGAACAATTTGTGATTTGCCATATAGGGAATGGAACAGTGTAACGAATGACCAAGGCGAGGTTGTTTGCTTTGTGAGGTGAGAGTTATGATTCCACACGGGTGTATTTCCTTGATGATTTTTAAGCAGCATCAGATGTTTTCCATCAACCAGACCACAGTGTAGGCTGCTGTGGGTTTTGGTGGGCAAATATGAAATCTGTATTAAAATGCTGGTTGTGCAGAAACATGCAGGAAACTGTTTTGTAAAGGGAAAGCCAATACATAAAGATTTAACCTACACAGCAAACTTCAAACTTCTTTGAAAGTTTGAATTTTCAATTACTTCAATCTTCCAGTAATTATGGAAATGTGGAAATATTATTAACCGAAAAAAGTCAAAATGTTTCTTTTATTGACTGTTAATTTATAAAACTTCTTTCTATAAGTTTACATAAATGTAATAACATAATTGTTATTAAGCCAACACTATACTTTAGTTTTTTATTCTCTATTTAGTCCTGTGCTTCGTGAAATCCCAGAGGCCATCCCGTGGAAGATATATCATGGTTTATTCATCTTTAAGAAAGAAAAAACTGTCTT
This sequence comes from Homo sapiens, assembly GCF_000001405.40. Classification (NCBI taxonomy): domain Eukaryota; kingdom Metazoa; phylum Chordata; class Mammalia; order Primates; family Hominidae; genus Homo; species Homo sapiens. The sequence continues at coordinate 120,802,040 of NC_000008.11, read as the reverse complement.
CAATGGGGAGTCTAATAAGATAATTGCTTAAAGTTGGGACACCAAAGGGTTATCTCTTCAATGCAGGGAAAAATGAGAAATAGACCCATCACTCAGAAAGGGAACTTGCAACAAAGGAACTTGCAGGTCTCGAATTTGGTCCTAGTAGAAGGAAGGACAAATGTCTTCCCTGAGATTTTGATTTTACAATGTCATTGTGAATTTTTTTAAAAAAGTTTAGATAGATAATTTAATTTAAAGTGGTCTCAGGTGGGGAGGCCCCCGGACAAACGATAGGAGCAGCTGTGAATACTCTTTGGAAGAACTCTATGTCCATCCAAGTCTCCAGGGATTTTAAGATGGCAGCAATTTTCAAGGACATTCTCAAAATCAGAGATGATAAAATATGAAAAAATCGGACAGTTTGAATTGATTAAATACAGTGCATAATAGTCATACAATATTGTTAAAATCATGAATTTTGACAATATTTGTTAGGTGAGATCTTATTGATAGATTGAAGCAAAATTTTCATTCCATTACAGGAATGAAATTAAACTCCTTTCCTTCTAAAATAGAACAGTCTGGAGGAGAGACAGGTGTAGAGTAATAAATTACATATATATAAGTTACAAATAGATTTTATAAAACAATAATAAATTATAAAGGAGTGAATGTTGCCACAGAACTTACAGAATGACCAGAGAAGCCATTACGGATATCTGAAATTGAATGGAATGTTTCACAGAAGAGGTGACTTATGTAGTAGAGTTACATTAGCAAAGTGAAACTTAAAATATAGGTAATTATTTGGTTCTTTGAGGCCTTGCATTTCAAATACTTTCATCTGAAACATTCTTTCATCTGCAATGAAAATCAAGGTTAATGATATTTTCTTGCTTGCTTGTAATATTCCTATATTTTCCTCTGTTCTCTGCTTCATTTTTAGAATTTTTCTAAATCAAAATAACATATGATTACAGCATTTCTTTGCATACCTTTCTCCACACCCTCTTCTGCCAAGGATATTAGACTATATATTTCCCAGAATACAAAACTTAGAGTATTAAAATGTATATTCAAATATTAAAACATATATTCTAATATTTTAAACTCTATTCATACTAGAATATATTTTAATATTCTAAGTAATATGCTTATACTGCTTTTTCTTGATATATCAATTCTAGGCATTATTAGCTAAATCAGGCTATGTTTACAAAATTATGACCATGACAGTATCATTCCATTTTTTAGCCAAGTAATATCTATGATTAGATTTCTTAGAGTTATTAACCACTTCTGTTTTTCCTGTTTGCTTAGTTTTTTTGTACTTATCCCAATTTTTTTCTTTCGAATACAACAATAGATTTATTAAATTTCCAGCAGTGATTTTACTTTTTCAATGCTGATGCATATCAAACAATCCACCCATTCTGTATAATTTTTTTCCTGGAGCGCTGCTACTCTGGACTGGTCCCATCTAGGTCTGATGCATGACCATCCTCCTTGGGCTGTCCTTGACTTTCTCCTGGGTCTGTTTTCCTGGATCCATTGTTACTTTTTCTCTGAATTTACTCCCTAGTTTCACTGGAGCACATTTTTCAGTAGCTTCCTGAGAAAGACGCTTGGTAGGTAAATATCTGAAAATGTCTTTAATCTCTCACTGGATGGATAATTTGAATATGATATCCTAAATTAGCTGTTGCTTTCCTTCAGCACTTTCCAGAGTTACTGGTGAGAAATTGTATGGCATTTTCATTCTCTTTTAATAACCTTTTATTAAATCACTAATTGTCTAGGTTATATAAAGTTGGCGTGGGGCTTTTGTTAATCAATTTGCTAAGCATGTGATAGGTACTAATAAGCTAAAGCCATGACTCTTAACCTATGTTTGGAGGTTCCCCTGGGTACATAGGGTGCCCCAAGGAACTTGCCAGGATGCCAGGGAATGTTTTACAATTTCAAGGAAGATGTAGTAACATCTTTTGGACACCAGATAAATCATAACTTGAGTTTCAACATAAGATTGCTACATTCCTTCAATAATGTGATATCTTTTAAGTGAGTTTTCTGCAGTAGCTGTGATTTTTCAAAAAGTCATGAAAATTAGTATGGAACAGGAAATGAGAGTGGTAATATCTATTATAGTATAATTTCAAGTTTTGAAAAGTTGCATAATGCCCAGTAGGTGTCAAGTTTTTAGGACATAAATACTTACTGTTGTTTGGGCCTCATTACTTAATAAATAGATTTGTTAGGTATTTCTTTGGTCCCCAAGTGTGTCATGAAAAAATCACTAAGTCACTAAGGACACCGTTTACCCAGAAAATTGGGACCTCTGAACTGAAGACTCTTACACTATCTGCATGCGGAAATCCTATTAACTGAACATTGGACTCTCCCCATATTGACCCACTAATAAACTGATTTTTGTTGCTATTTCTCCACTTTTCCTTCATTTTTATTCATTTTTTTTTCATTCTGGAGAACTAGATTTTTATGTACAACTCTTGTATTGATTTTTCATTCCATCTATCATATCTCTAAGTTCCCAAACCATTTTCTTGTTCTTTGATTGTTCCTTTTTTATATAGCATCCTCTTGTTGTTTTGTAGACACATTATCTTTGCTTGTCTGTCTGAGCATATTATAATAGTTTTTTGAAGACTATTTTGCACCAGTATTGACTCAGATGTCTCCAAGTTCCTTTTTCTCTACTTTGTTTTTGAGTGTGCTATGCATATCTGATAATTTCATCTATTTTGAGATTTGTTCCATCTTTGTGTACCCCAAGAGACAGAATCTGAAATGAGGATCTAAGTGCAAGAAGTTTATTTGGGATGTAATTCTAGAAAACACTGGCAGTAAAGTGCAGACATGAGACAGTGAAGGGAATGAACCAATAAAGGCCGTACTGTTAGTTGCTCAGTCCCTCTAGAGCTCAGCATGTCCCAATTGAAAGTGAGTGAGAAAGCCGGTAAAATGGATTTACCAACTCTCCAGCCATCTTTGCGTTAAGGGTTGCTTCTGGGACATTAACTCCCTGGTCAGCATCTCTATGAGGGCTGTGTGTACTCCCAACAAAAAGATGCCTTCAGGGAGAGAACTGAAGGTATTTTCTGTAAGCAACCTGCAGCCTGTGGAGTTGAATGCAGAGGAGACATAATATACTAACATTAGGCTTCATCATAATCACATTCCTTATTCTAAAAGAGTTCAGAAGAAATCATGGTGGAAGGTGTATTGCACGCAGCCCTAGACACATTTTCATCTCAAATCTTTTATAAAAAGCTGGTTCAGACACAATCAAGATTGAATATATTATCCTTGGGAAGACTTGCAAGACAATATTTTGGGCCACCTATACCAGATTTTTAAAAACTTCTTGGAATGCATGGCTAGCAGAGTGTTTGTGAAATCCAGCCGATTGCTGATTGCACAGTTCCTGTGAGTAGATTATGTACAAGTTAGATTCATTGAACTAAAAAGGGATATTGTGTACATCAAGGTTTCTCAACTTCAGAGATAGTGACATTTTGGTTCAGATAGTTCTTCATTGTGGAGGCTGTCCTTTGTATTATAGGATGTTTAGCAGCATCTCTAGCCTCTACTCACTTGGTGCAAGTAGCATTATCTTCTTCTAGTTGTATTAAACCAAAGTGTCTTCAGACATTGACAAGTGTTTTCTGGAGGGCAAAAAGTCCCCAGTTGAGAGGCACTGGTGTACAGCCTACAGCTCTGGTTCTCATGCTTGACCACATATTATGGTCACTTGGGAAGCTTTTAAAGCCCTCATGATTGGATCCTTCCCCAAGAGGTCCTGATTTTATTAGTCTGGGGCCTTAGAAGGTTTAAAAGTTCCCCAGGTGGTTCTAATCTACAATCAAGGCTGGTCATTAACTGTAGGGCAGCAAATTGCTGAGTGTAAGACAATCAGATATGGTGAGGCCTGTGTTAAACTGGGCATCTTGTTGCCATATAGAAGAGATCTTCTCTTCTTACGGATTTATTTCTCTTTTTTCGTGCTTTGTAGCAAACATAAGACATTTTTAGCACACCTCTCTTTTAATAGTACTATTCTTGTGTGGCAAGTACTATTCTTGTGTGACAAGAGAACTACTGAGCCACAGAGTGACGATCAAAAGCTAGGCGTGGAATAAAGGTGTACAAACCAGCTTTGTGACCTTGTGCAATCACTGCACCTGCCTGGCCTCAACTTTCTCATTGATAACATAAGAATAGCAATGATGCTTTCTTTATAGGGCTGAGGTGACGATTAAGAGTTAATACAGAACTTAGTACAGTATCTGGCGCATAGAGGTCAGCATGTGTTGACTCTTATTACGAACTGTTTGTCTTCCTCCACTTGAGTGTATGCTCCTAAGAGATCAGGTCTTATCCATCTTAAAACTTCAGTGAACTGAGCAAAATTAACCCATTCTCTGTTTGTCATTAGCCATGGCCTTCACATAGAAGGATTTGGACAAAAAAAAAAAAAAAAAAAAAAAAAAAGAGAAACAAGTTGCTTTGGTTAATGATATTTACTGGCTGTAAAATAATGTGCATTAGTTTGGGTCAACAACTACTCAAAAATGTTGCCAGGCCATGGGCTTTTGTTATGTCAACTCCTGATTGAATATCAACCCCTGAATAACAAAGTCATATGTGCTGTCCCGATCCTTACTTCTAAAGTAGAAAAATAAAATTTTGAAATGGATTTACTGCTTTTCAAATATTATAAACACTTCACAATTTTTATACAGGTACACTTTATTTAAAATTTTAACGTCACAGGATCAGTATTTCTCATTTTGTTAGAACGTGTATTCTCTGCAAATTTATCTTTGCCTCAGATATGAAATGACAGGACACCGTGTTTTTGTACGGTGTGTTTATCACTCTGTATTTATCAGAGAAAAAATAAATATAAGTTTCTACAGCTATTCCAAACACTGAATTAAATCGTATATTCCTTGAAAATGGCCATAGGCCTGGGAGAACTATCTGAAAGAAACTTTTTAAAGAAGGAATCTTAGAAAATGGTTTGTAAAATTCCATTCTCAGCTACTGTATTTTTAAAAAATGTATACCTCTTTATATATTAATATTTGTGTGCATATAATGTAAAACATGCACACAAAATATACTTTGGGAAGGTTGAAACTTTTTCTTTTATAGGTGTACAGAAAGAGCATACATATAAAACACACATAATACTATATGACAGCTTTGCCACGTGAGTGTTCAAATAGAAATGCTATACACATAGACCGAGGGAAGAATCCTGAGACTTAGGAATGGGAAGGAATGCTCTCTTGCAGAGCCAGGGCGGAAAGTGGATGCAAAATAATTCATTCCTGTCTGCCCCTGCCTATTTTCATGCTGTGTGAAAACAGCATGCTTTCCCTAAAAGAAGCTTTAATATAAGTCTCCTCATCAGCACTTTCCCACCAGTTCGGATTAGTTAGACTCTCAGGAGCACGTCCCAGGCACTGGGAACCTCCCACTTCAAATGTGCTTTCTTTCAGTTTTTAACTCCAGACCTGTGTTGTTGATTTATGGCTCTCCTCTCCAGGCTTTCTACTTTTGCATTTTTTAATCTCTATTTTTTGGATTGACTGTGTCACCCCAAAATTCATAGGTTGAAGTCCTAACTGCCAGTACCTCACATGCGATCTTATTTCGAGATAGGGTCTTTATAGAAGTAATCAAGTGTATTAGTCCACTCTCGCACTGCTATAAACAAATACCTGAAACTGGGTAATTTATAAAGAAAAGAGGTTTAATTGGCTCATGATTCTGCAGGCTGTACAGGAATCCTGGCTGGAGATGCCTTGGGAAACTCACAATTATGGCAGAAGGAGAAGGGGAAACGGGCATGTCTTACCACGGTGGCAGGAGAGAGAGCTAAGGGGGAGGTGCTACACACTTTGAAATGACCTCTTGAAAACTCACTCACTATCATGAGAACAGCAAGGGGAAATCTACCCCCATTATCCAGTCACTTCCCACCAGGACCCTAGTCCAACCTGGGGGATTACAAATTGACATGAGATTTAGGCGGCGGCACAGATTCAAACTATGTCATCAAGTTAAAGTGAGGTCATTAGGGTGGGCCCTAATCCAGTAAGACTGGTGGCTTTATAAAAAAGGGGGAAATTTGGAAACATTCATGCACATAGGGAGGGGCCATATGAACATGAAGGCAGGGATGGGGATGATGCATCTACAAGCCAAGGAACACCAAGGATTGCCAACAAACACCAGAAACTAGGAGCAAGGCACAGAAGAGTCTCCCTCACAGTCTTCAGAAGGAACCAAACCTGCTGACACCTGGATCTTGAACTTTTAGCCTTCAGAACTGCGAGACAATGAACTCCTGTTGTCTAAGCCATCCAGTTGGTGGTACTTTGTTATAGCAGGCCTAGGAAACCAACACCCACTGTAGGAGGATTTAGAATAAATTTCATTAGAAGTTAATAGGGAGTGTATGAAATGAGTAAATAGTAACTAAATTCTAGCATTCTAGATATTTTTTCTCTTTGTCAAATATCTAATGACACCACCTGTCTTTACTAAGTGTTCAGATGAATTCTTGATCACCTCTAGGTGTGTGGTCAGGACAGAGAGAGCTGGGCAATGGCAAAGGTTGTTCAGATTAATTTGTGTTTATTAAATAGGTGGGACCAGGTCCCCTGGTACATACAGCACCACTAAATTTTGCTCTCATGCATGCCAGCCTTGCTATGTGTACAGTTACCAGAGAGCAACTTCTCCATTTTCTTTTTGTTTTGTTTTTTGTTTTTTTTTTTAACTTCTCCACTTGCTAAAAGAGTCAAAATCTGATACCTATGCAACTGAACTAATTAATAGATTTGCTAAAATCTTTACACGTATCATTGCTGAATAAAATAGTTATTTGATACAAATAAATTTTAAATGTATAAGTATTTCCCAAATATTGCATGGGACATACTTATGATGAAAAATATTTGTCATTCATCTGAAAGTTAAATTCAACTGCGTTTTTCTTTGCTGAATCTGGCAATTTTATTTATGTGACTTTCAAAATTATAGCCTTTCAGCCAGTCTGAGACTCTGGTTTGCAGCAAACCAGGAGTCACTAGAGATAGACTGACCAGAAAGTAGATGGTTTTAAAATGGTTTGTAAAGATAATGGTAAACCAAGAAGCTCTTGGGAAGGTATGGCCATGGTCCTTCTCAGAAGACTGAAGAACAGCTGATGGAAGGTGTGGTTCCTTCTCTAAAGCCCTGGCTCCTCTCACCAATTTTAGAGGAACCAGAGCTTAGAGCAGCAACTAAGAAATGGGGCAAAAGGATAAGGAATGAGATGGCAGTAAATCTTCAATCAGTACTGACTGAATTACTAATAAAAACTAATATTACCAAATAACCTAAAGCACTTACCAAGTGAAAATCAAAGAATCGGTCTCTTGATGCTGTTGTAAAACTAATTAACAAGATTATCATTAATAACAGCCCCTCTTTATATATTTACCTTGCACCTCATAGTACATATTTTTATATACTTGAGTGTGTGTGTGTATATATATATATAAAATAGTACATACACTACTGATATATTGAATAGCTTTCTCTAAGTAACACAGACTTTACAGAAGTCCCTCTAGTTAGTCATTTGAAAGAAGTGAAGGAAGGGGCTTACCTTCTGAGTTTTGTATGTGAAGGTCTGAGAAATTTAATGCTGTCATAAATTAACTTGAGCTGATGGGAGCTGGGAATGCTGGTACGGGAAGTTTAGAGAGGGAAATACACTTAAAAAAATTTCAGTGCTCCATTCCAAGTTACTGGATTGTGTCATCCTTCAGAATATTGTATGGTCTAAAGGACTTCTCGAAGTCTCTCCAGTTTCTTGCTGACTGGTATTGAAGCTTACCTTCTTAATACTGAATTCACCATCTCTGCCCATTCCTTCAGTTTGTTCATGAAGGGGAAGGGAGCCATGTGGAAAGAAAGCCTGATTTTCCTGATCTCACCCTATTATTGTCATAACTAAACCAATTGCAGGATTTTTTTCCTTCTACAGTATAAAAACATTTATTCACACTTGATCTATATTAAAAATAAGCTGAGACATATTTTACCATTGAGAAAGACACTGTGAGCTAGTCACACTATAAAAGTTCTTTCATATGCTTCAGATAACAAATATATGAACATTTCAAAAACTCTTAATAATTTTGGGGGGTTTTGGCAGCAACATTAAAATTCAGATTAATTCTTTAATTGTTAATGTGTTCTAGAATCTTGTATTAAATAAATAGGATTTTTAAAATCACTTTAGGAAGACCTGTATTTGACTAGTTAGAACAATGTAGAGTTTTAAGTTTAATAGGCTGATCTGCAGTTACACAACTCCTTAGACCCTAAGCACCCAAATCTTCATAATTCCGGTTCTCAGAAACCCAGGACACCGGAAGAAAAAAAGATTTTGAACTGGAGCTGGTTCCTTGAGTGGAATACTTCATAGATTGTATCCTGATAGATCACATTTGGGAACAGCATTTCTTCACGGGCAGCCTGTGTCCTCTCTCTTACATCTCAACTTGCTTTATCTTTTTAGCAGCATGATTAGAAGTGGTTACTGCAACTGCTGTGGAAAAATCCACCAGGAGGTTATCGTATTTAATGTTTCAGAAAACTTGCTTTTGAAGGCGATAACAGTATTTCTTCATCACTGTGCCTTTGGGCAAGCACAGATGTGTTGCATACCGTTAAATCACTCTCTTCTTAGGGTGCAATGTTGTTCTTTGAAAGTATTTGGTTCTCCTTCCACCTCTCTTTCCCCCACCCTCTCCTTATGCCAAATAAGGCACATTTCCCAGACTTACTCTCCACACCCAGCAAGGTATTGCTTCAGAAATCCTGAGTGATTTTTTTTTAACTCATTCCATCCCAGTTGCATCTCCAAGCTCATGATACATGTTTCTTATTCATTTCAGGTTTGCACACATTGAGCACCTCTTAGTATGGAGCCCTAAAGTAGATTCCAGAGATAGAAACGTATTAACAAAGCACCAACACACAGACCTATAGAGAGGCCACCTTCTTTTCTTTTCTTCCAGTGGAGTTTGCCTTGAATTAGAGTCAGGGAGAACCATAGTGTAATAGACACTTCAATCTTAGTAACAAAAAGGGTTGAAATTATATTTCAGGCAATGTTGATTCCATTAAAAGTATGAGTCTTGAGAGGGAAATGATGGAGAAGCAGAGGACTTCTTATGTGAATCAGGTAGTGTACAACATCCTGTACAACCAGCTACCTTTTCGTAAAATAAAATCCCAAACCTTTGAAATACCATCAAAACTTGCTACAATTTTAGCTTCAAACCAATTTTCCCATTTCCCAGGTTAACGCTATACTTTAGCTAAATTATTCAATTTACCATCTAAAAACACTGTAAAATATAGGACTTGCCACGGTACTTGGCTAGCAGCAAGCAACTAGTTTATATTTGGAGAAGAATGAGTGAATGAATTAACATGAATTATTTCTTCTTCCATTGCAATTAAAAAAGATTTAAAAGCTTTAGGGATAAAGTAGATTTTTGTTATATGGATGAATTTTATAGTGGTGAAGTCTGGGATTTTAGTGCACCCATCACACAACTAGTGTACATTGTACCCAATAGACAGGTTTTCATCACTTACCCCCACCCACCCTCCCCTTTTCTGAGTCTCCAATATCCATTATCCCTCTCTGTATGCATTTATGTACCTGTAGCTTAGCCCCCACTTATGAGAACATACAGTATTTAGTTTTCAGTTCCTGAGTTACTTCACTTAGAATAATGGCCTCTCGTCTCATCCAAGTTGCTGCAAATGACATTATTTTGTTCTTTTTTATGGCTGAGTAGTATTCCATGGTGTGTGTGGGTGTATGTATGTGTGTGTGGGTGTGTGTGTGTGTGTGTGCTTCTTTAGTACTCATATATATATGAGTGGTACCCACTCATCGGTTGATGAGCATTTCAGTCATTTCCATATCTTTACAATTGTGAATCATGCTGTAATAAACATACCCATGCAGGTGTCATTTTAATATAGTTAATGTTTTCCTTTGGGTAAATACTCAGTAGTGGGATTGCTGGATCGAATGGTAGATCTATTTTGAGAAATCTCCATACCATTTTCCATAGAGGTGTACTAATTTACATTCCCACCAGCAGTGTATAAGTGTTCCATTTTCATGACATCCACACCACCATCTGTTGTGTGGGTTTTAAAAAATTTTTAATAATGTTTATTCTGATTGGGGTAAGGTAGTATCTCATTGTAATTTTAATTCGCATTTCCCTGATAATTGATGTTGAGCATTTTTTCATGTTTGTTGGAATTTGTATATCTTCTTTTGAGAAATTCATAGCTTCAAGTATTCATGATATTTGCCCACATTTTAATGGGATTATTTGGATTTTTTCTTGATGATTTGTTTGAGTTCCTTGTAGATTCTGGATATTAGTCTTTTGTCAGATGCATATTTTGCAAATATGTTCTCCCATTCTGTAAGTTATCTGTTTACTCTGATGAGTATTTCTTTTGCTGTGCAGAAGCTTTTCAGTTGAATTAGGTCTCATTTACTTGGTAAAGTTTTATTTGCTTTCGGGGTTTTAGTCATAAATTCTTTGCCTAGGCTGATGTCCAGAAGAGTTTTCCTTAGTTTTCCTTCTAGAATTATTATGGTTTCAGGCCTTAGATTGAAGTCTTTGATCCATCTTGAGTTAATTTTTGTATATGGTGAGAAATAGGATCCGGATTCATTCTTCTACATGTGGCCATTCAATTTTCCTATCAACATTTATTGCCTCCTTTCCCCAATTTATGTTTTTGTATGCTTTGTTGAAGCCCAGTTGGTTGTATTTGACTTTATTTATGGGTTCTGTAGTCTGTTCCAATGGTCTATGTGTCTACTTTCATACCAGCACCATGCTGTTTTGGTTGCTATAGTATACATGTTTGGTTACAAAACATGTAACCAAAACTATATATAGTATATAGTATATAGTACTATATACTATAGTAGTATAATTTGAAGTCAGGTAATATGTTGCCTCCAGATTTGTTCTTTTTGCTTAGGATTGCCTTGGCTATTTGGGCTCTTTTTAAGTTCCATAGGAATTTGAGGATGATTTTTTTCGAATTCTTTAAAAAATGATGTTGACATTTTGATAGAAATTGAATTGAATCTGTAGATTGCTTTGGGCAGTATGTCCATTTTCATGATACCGATTCTTCCAATCCATGAGCACAAGATGTATTTCCATTTGTTTGTATCATCTATGATTTCTTTCTGTAGTGTTTTGTAGTTCTCCTGGTAGACATCTTTTGCCTCCTTGGTTAAGTAAATTCCTAAGTATTTTATTTTATTTTATTTTTTGCTATTGTAAAAGGAATTGTGTTCTTGGTTTTATTCTCATCTTGGTTGTCTTTGGTGTATAGCAGTGCTGCTGATTTGTATACACTGATTTGGTAACCTGAGACTTTACTGAATTAATTTATCAGATCTAGTAATCTCTCGGAAGAGTTTTTAGGGATTTCTACTTATAAGATTATGTCATTGACAAACAGAAAATTTGACTTCCTCTTTTCCAATTTGGACGCCCTTTATTTCTTTCTCTTGCCTGATTGCTCTGTCTAGGATTTCCAGTACTATGTTGAATATGAGTGGTGAAAGTGGGCATCCTTGTCTTGTTCCAGTTCTTAGGGGCAATGCTTTCCATTTTTTCCCATTCAGTATGATGTTGGCTATGGGTTTGTCATATATGGATTTTATTATTTGAGGTATATTCCTTGTATGTCTAGTTTTTTGATGGTTTGTATCATAAAAGGATGCTGGATTTTATTGAATGCTTTTTCTGTGTCTATGGAAATGTTCATAAGGCTTTTGTTTTTAATTGTTCTTGTGATAAATCCCATTTATTGACTTTCACATGTTGAAACAGGCCTCCATCCCTGGAATAAAACCCACCTGATCATGGTGAATTACTTTTTTTGATGTGCTGTTGGATTTGGTTGGCTAGAATTTTGTAGAGGATTTTTGTATCTATATTCATCAAATACATTGGTCTGTAGCTTTCTCTTTTTTTGTTATATTCTTTCCTGGTTTTGGTATCAGGGTGATACTGGCTTTGTAGAATGAGTTAGGAAGGATTCTCTCCTTCTCAATCTTTGGAATAGTTTCATTATAATTGGTACCAATTCTCCTTTGAATGTCTGGTAGAATTTGGCTGAGAATCTGTCTGGCCTTGGGCTTTTTTTGTTGGCAGCTTTTTTAAAATTACTGAGTCAATCTCATTGCTTTTTATTGATCTGTTCAGGATGTCTATTTCTTCCTGATTCAAGCAAGGTCGGGGGTTATATGTTTTCAGGAATTTATCCAATTTCTCTAGATTTTTTTGTTTGTGTGCATAGAGGTGTTCATAGTAGTCTCAGATGATCTTCTGTATTTCTGTAGTGTCAGTCGTAATGTCTCCATTTTCCCTTCTAATTGAGTTTATCTGAATTTCTTCTCTTCTTGGTTAATCTAGCAAGTGGCTTTTCAATTTCATTAATCTCTTCAAAGAACCAGCTTTTTGTTTCATTGATTTTTTTTCTTTTGGTTTCAATTTCATTAGATTCTGCTCTAATCCTTTTTATTTCTTTTTACTTGCTAGCTTTGGGTTTGGTGTGTTCTTTTTTTTTCTACTTCCTTGAGGCATGACATTAGATTATCAATTTTTGATCTTTCAAACTCTCTGGATGGCATTTTGTGCTATAAACTTTCTTCTTAGCACGCCTTTTGCTATATCCCAGAGGTTTTGATCATTTGTTTCACTGTGATCATTCATTTCAGAAAATTCTTAAATTTTCATCTTTATTTCGTTGTTAAAACAAAAATCATTCTGGAGCAGATTTGTTTAATCACTATGTATTTGTATGGTTTGAAGGTTACTTTTGGAATTGATTTCTAATTTTATTCTGCTGTGCTCTGAGAAGATACTTGATACTGTTTCAATAATTTAAAATTTATTGAGGCTTGTTTTGTGGCCTATCATATAGTCTCTCTTGGAGAATGTTTTGTGTGCTGATGAGAAGAATGTGTATTCTGAAGTTCTTGGGTAGTATGTTTTGTAAGGGTCTTTTAGATCCATTTGAGCTAGAGTACAGTTTAAGTCCAGTGTTTCTTTGTTGATTTTCTGCCTCAATGTTCTGTCTAGTGCTGTCAATGGAGTGTTGAAGTCCTCCACTATTATTGTGCTGCTGACTATTTCTTTTCATATATCTAATAGTAACTGCTTTATGAATCTTGGAGCGTCAGAGTTAGTTGCATATGTATTTAGAATTGCTAGATCTTCTTGTTGAATTGATCATTTTATCATTATGTAATGACCTTCTTTGTCTTTTCCTTGTGCTGTTTTTGCTTTAACATCTGTTTTATCTGATATAAGAATTGTTACTACTGCTTGATTTTGGTTTCCATTTGCATGAAATATCTTTTTCCACCCCCTTACCTTGGGTCCATAAGATTCCTTACATGTTAGTTGTATCTCTTGAAGACAGCAGATATTTGGTTTATGATTTTTAAATCAGTTATGCCAATCTGTATATCTTAATTGGACCATTTAGACCATTTACATTCAACATTAATATGAAGATGTGAATGTGAATGACTGTTCCAGTCATCATGTTAATTGTTACCTAATGACTTTGTTTTCTTACTTGTCTTATTGTTTTATAAGCCCTGTTAATTTTAAGCTTTCAGGAGTATCTATTCCAATGTGTAGCAGCCTTTTGTTTCAAGATTTAGAACTCCTTTTAGTATTTCTTGTAGGGCTGGTCTAGAATTGACAAATTCCCCCAGCATTTGCTCACCTAAAAAAGACTATATTTCTTCTTCATTTATAAAATTTAGTTTTGCTGGATGCAGAATTCTTGGCTGACAGTTATTCTATTTAAGGAGACTAAAGATAGGACCCCAATCCCTTCTAGATGTCAGGTTTCTACTCAGAAGTCTCCTGTTAGTCTGATAGATTTTCCTTTACAGGTTACCTGATGCTTTTGTCTCACTGCTGTTAGAATTGTTTCTTTCAGGTTGAGTTTAGATAGCCTGATGACTATATGTCTTGATGATTTTCTTTGTGCAATGAATCTTCCAGGAATTATTTGATCATCTTTTATTTGGATGTCTAAATCTCTAGCAAGGCCAGGGAAGTTTTCCTTCATCATTCCCTCAAATAGGTTTCCCAAACTTTTTGCTTTTTCTTCTCCTCAGGAACACCTATGATTCATAGGTTTGGCCATTTTACATAATCCCATATTTCTTAGAGACTTTATTCATTTCTTTTAATTTTTTTGTAATTTTTGTCTAATTTGGTTAATTCAAAAGCCTTGTCCTCAGGCTCTGAAATTCTTCTACTTGATCTAGTCTATTGTTAAAGCTTTCTTCTGCATTTTATAGTTACCTAAATATGTCTTTCATTTCCAGTAATTCTGATGGTTTTTCTTTAAAATATGTACCTCTTTAGAAAATTTTTCATTCATATCCTGAATTGTTTTTGAAATTTATTTATGTTGTTTTTTTTACCTTTCTTCTGTATCTCCATTAGTGACTTAATAATCAACCTTTTGAATTTTTTATCTGGTTATTTCAAAGATTGCATTTGGGTTTGAATCCACTGCTGTAGAGTTAGTATACTCTTCTAGGGATATTAGAGAATGCTGTTTTCTTTTCATATTGCGTGAATTGTTTTTCTCATTTTTTTCTTTTTTAGGTAAACTATTTCATCTAATTATTTTAAAATTTATTTTTGATTCAACTTTTTTTAAAAATTATTTTTCTCTTGAGGATGTGACTTTAATGTTTATAGGTTATTGTCACCTAGCTTCAGCTCTGGGTATTTTCCATGGTGAATACTCTGTATGAGTTTCTTGTTTATAGAGAATCCTTGTGTAATGGCTTTCTCAGATGCTGTTTGTAATAGTGATGTGTTAGGTATGTGAGCAGGTTCACTGTCTCCTGTTGGGCTGGAATGGCAGAGGTCTCATGAAGCTTATCTTATTCCCCAGTGGTATGCATTTAAAAAACGTTTTTTCCCTAGTACTTTCTTCATTGGGTTGAACAGTTCAGGCTTCAGGCGAGTGGGAGATGGCTATGGGTAAAATCTGGCAGTGGCTAAAGCGGGTGGACAAACACATTACCCTAACAGTGTGCCAAGGTCCCAGACTTGACAGAGGTAGGTGGGGAAGCTTTCAGTGAAATGCAATGAGGTATTTCAGGGGGAAGGGAAGGAGCCACAACAGCCTCCATTGCAAGCCAGCAGGAAAGCAGTCCTCCTTCCAGTCACACTCTTGACCTGGTATTCTGGCTATTCAGATCAGACCAGTACCTCTTTTCATCTGTAGGAATGCTGATGTTCTGTGTAGGGAGGGATTGTGACTCTACCTCTCATGCAAGCCTGAACCTGGAGGGTACTCCTCCTACAGGGATGCAGTCACCCTGAAGTGTTCCAGAAAGGCTGTCTACAGATGTTCCCATGCTGAACTCCTGTGGTAAAAGCCCCAGCTGTGTCTGCAGTGGTGGGCAAGGGGGAGAAGTCCCTTCTCTAAGACCCTTCATGAGCACCAGGGCTGCCTGATCGTTGGGCTAGAGCGCCAGACTCTTCTCACTGAACCCAGCACTGCACCTGTATCTCTGCTGAAACAGACTTCCCACAAGTAGAAAGTGCAGGGGTGCAAGGCCTGCAGCCTGATTTCCTTTGCCTCACAGGGTGCTCCCTTAATGTGGTGCATGCCTTCTTCCCTAGGAGTAGCAATCCCTGAGGGCCAGACTACTGGAAATCCCTCTGCTCCTCTTAGTCTAGCCACCCAGTGGGGCTTCCGCACCCCAGACTGTTGCTGGGGAATATCTGCAGACGGTTCAGTGGTATAACCTGTCCTCTAGTCTCCCAGCAGCAGGTACTGCGTCAGCTCTGATGGGAGTAGGAGGGAAGTCACGTAGATTGTGTGAGATTTCCTTGGTTATAAATAGCCTTAGTGTGTTGGCTTTCTCAAATTTCTCAAATGCCAGCAGTAGTAGTAATGTACTGGGCACATGGACAGACTCAAGACCTCCTGGTTAGCCAGCGTAATGCAGGCAATGGCAATAGCTGAGGTTGTGCAAGTTTTTCCTTCCTGAGTGCTGTGTTATTGTGCCTGCAGATGTTGTAATGGGCTGGGATGGCTGGCTTCCAGCCAGGAGGTGATGCTTGCAAAAGAGCTCCAGCTGTGGTAGTAACAGTGGGATTTGTGTTTGCCTTGTGTTTCCCAGAGTAGGTACTCTGGGGTCTCAGGCAGTGGGCGGGGCCATGGAGCACCCAAAATTCCCTGTTAATTGTGTTTCACTACCAGAGTGGGTGGAGGAGCAAAGCCACATGGGGGCCAGGTCAGACAAGTCCATGCACTGGCTTCTCATGTGCGGGCTCAAGCAGCAGCCCCAATGGGGATCAGAGGGCAGTTCTCAGGCTGCTGCAGTAATGTTCCAGTGAGGAGCACAGCTGCCTCCACTGCACAAAATGATCTGCGTGGGGATCGGGGAGTAGCAGGTGGCAGTAAGCTGCACTCAGCTCCCACGCATTTGGCAAGGGAGGTCTGACACCCACAGTGTTCTGCTAGCAGCAGCTAGCTGGGTTCCAGGCAGCCTGTACTCAGAACCCAAAACTGCCCCGGGCCATAACCCTTCTTGACTGAGACAGAAATCATGGTTTCCAGGCCATACCCCTCCTGGTCCACCCAGGAAACAGAAATGCCAACTCCTGTGCCCATGGCTGTAGCACACTTCCTGCTCTCTCAATGGTTCTGGTCATAGGGTTTCATTCCTACTCAAGATTATATCATGAATCTCAGCTGGGGGTTTCTCTAAACCCGTGACCACTGCCTGAATTAGCTGACAGACTTCTGCAAGGTCCCCTGTGAGGTGGAATGAAGAACGGTTTCCCTCCATCCCTGCTGGAGTCTGAGGGTGCACTCAGATGACATCCTGATGCCACTCCTTCTCATATATTCCCCAGCACTCACTAAATTAGTTCCAGCACTTAGTAGGGTTGAGGCCTTCCCCCTTGTCCTGGACTCCCCAGTGTGGGGTTGTGTCATAGAGGCAGTCTCTCCCCTCCTTAAACTCTGCAGACTCAGTTTTTCTCCTGGTTCACAGTGTAGGCTGCTGCCCACTGCTTCTTTCCAAGAGTCAGCAATTTCTTTCCGTTTTTCTTTTAAATTCCTGTGTTGCTTCTTGGAAAACTGTTTACAGCATGAATCTCAATACACTATTTTGTCTTTTCAAGTGGAAGAGGCATGCTTACAATGCCTCCAATCCACCATCTTGGAAAGAAAAAGCTATCATTGCCATTTTTAACATCATTTTTCCACAGCATTCCACACCAAGAATATTCCAATTCCAAATTCTGGAGAGAGAAGGGATCTGATTAGTGTGGCTCGGGTCAGGTGTCTCTCCTTTGTCCGGACAGCTGTGTCCAGGAAATCAGGCCATGTGGCTAGATGCCCACTCAGCCAGGACTCTGAGCACACTTTCTGAGAAGTGGCTCATGGTTATGACCTGCCACATCGTGGAGTAGCTTATGAAATGCGATTTATTGAGATATTATAGGAGATCTAGTATAGTCATCCCTCTGTATCTGAGGTGGATTGGTTCCAAGACTCCCTTGGATACCATAATCATTGGATACTCAAATCCCTTTAAAAAAAATGGTGCAGGCTGGGCACAGTACCTCACACCTATAATCCCAGCACTTTGGGAGGCCGAGGCAGGCGGATCATTTGAGGTCAGGAGTTCAAAACCAGCCTGGCCAACATGGTGAAACCCTGTCTCTACTAAAAATACAAAAATTAGCTGGGTGTGATCGTGGGTGCCTGTAATCCCAGCTACTTGGGAAGCTGAGGCAGGAGAATTGCTTGAACCCAGGAGGTGGAGGTTGCAGTGAGCAGAAATCGTGCCATTGCACTCCAGCCTGGGCAACAGAGCAAGACTCTGTCTCAAAAAAAACAAAACAAAACAAAACAAAACTGGAGTATTTGCATGTAACCTACACACATTTTCCCATATACTTTCAATCATTTCTAGATTACTTATAATACCTAGTACAATCTAAATGCTATGTAAATTGTTCTTATACTGTATTATTATTTACTTGCGTTATTTTAAAATAATTTTATTGGTAAAAAAATTTTTGTTTTATCTATTTCGAATATTTTCCATCTGTGGTTGGTTGAATCCTCGGATGCAGAACCTACGGATAGGAAGGACCAACTGGATCTGGAAGGGGCAGTAGGGAACAAAGAGTTTACTGATTGTTCTTCTTTGCCCTTGAAGTTGGACAGAGATTGAAGCAGCAGTGTCTAGAATTGGAAAGGACTAAAAGGGGTTACAAAGTGGTATTTTCAGGGGAAAGCCAGGACTCTATCAGGGCAAGTTGGAGGAAGAGGAGGGAGAATTTGAAAAAAGATGAAAAATAAGGAGAAAACTTTTTCCATAAGAAAACATTTCATATTATTTTAGGTTTTGGTTAGGGGTATTGACATTATTTTTTTTCATCTCATGATTAAATATGCATTTATTGAATGCACATGTGTATTCAGTATAATATTCAGTGCATATTCTACATGTATAACATAACTTTCATTTTAAACAATGCATTCCAAGTCCAAGCAGCAATATTATAAATTTTAAAAAAGCAACCCACATTTAGATTGAGATTTTCCCACAATTGTTGAATGATTCAGTAAAAGTGAGTGAGTAGGTGAAATGAGTTAGTGAAAACCAACCAACTGAGAGTGAGAAGTAGTGTATTTGGAAAATATCAGTGATATATAATTTATATAATTTACTTCCATGAGAAATACTTGCTATTCTGTTAGATTGCTAGCAGAACTTGTGTTCAAAATTAACCAGAATAGTTAAGCCAAGTTAGATAAACATATTTGCAGAAGCTTTTTAGGTTAGGATACAATTGCATATTATAGACCAACTATTGATTAGACACACTCATTAAGAGAAACTTTTTCTCTCTTAAACTTCCTGTGAAGAGATATATTCTTAGTATAAAGACCAGTGCATGAAGAGTTGACTGGAAATCAAAGAGAAACTTGTTTTCCTTGTTTTTCTTTCTGAGTGAAAAAGCAAAAGGTAAATATCATGGTCAAATGGAAAAGTAAATTGGATTTTAAATTTTCATGTGTGTTTTCCCAGTTTGAGGTGCTCAGATTTCATTTAGTGGTTCAGTTATAATTGACAAGACCTCTTAAAACGTGACGTATCCACTTGAGGGTAGAACTTTTTCGTGTATCTGTTAGGTGAATGTTTTTACATTATTGGATGGTAACTCTGTTATATAACATTTGTTACGTTTATACTATAACATTTTACATATATATGTGTGTGTGTGTAGGTATGTATGTATACATATTTATGCCTAATTTAAATTATTATTACATTCTGGGAGATAATGTGGTTTCTGTTCTCCATTTTATTTAATAGAGTTTTTAAAAATAGGTAAATGTGCAGGAAATCTCTAACCAATAAATGTTGTATTTCAGTTGATTTTAACTTTTAAAAAACTTTTTTTAAAAAAAGGTTTCTTTTAAAAAAGAAACTCTAAATGTTCGAGGGAAGGCTTCAAGGATTTTGTTTTCTCCTGGTTTCATGGGTTGAATTGTGTCTCCTCAAAATTCATATATTGAAATCTTAACTCCAGTATCTCAAAAGGTGACTGCATTTGAAAATAGGATTGTTGCAAATATGATTAGCTAAAACGAGGTTATATTGGAGTAGGATTAGCCCCTAGTCCAGTATCACTGGTATTCTTATAAAAAGGGGAAATTTGAACACACAGACATGCATGGAGGGAAGACCATGTAAAGAGACACAGCAAGAAGGTGATCTACCAGCAAGCCATGGAGAGAGGCCCAGGACAGTTCCTTCTCTCACAGCCCCTTAGAGGGAACCAACCCTGCTCACACTGTGATTTTGGACTTCTTGTCTCCAGAATAATGAGACAGTAAAATTCCATTGTTTAAGCCACTTGGCTTGTGATACTTTGTTATGACAGCCCTAGCAAACTAATACACCTGGCTATATGTCAGTAGTGGCTGCCACACAGAATGATATGGTCTCTCCCATGCTAGAGACAGACTTTATGTTAGAAATTCCAACTCCATGCCCCAGCTTCTAGGACTTTTCTTGTTCTTCTCTTTAACATTAGACATTTCTAATGTCCACTGAGGTTGAGCTGTGATATAATTTTCCAGGAGGACCTATAGAATCATCTGAAAATTCCTGAATAAGAATGAGTCCATTCTCTGTTTTGTGAAATTCATAAAAAGAGGTAGGTTGGCCACACACGTATAATACACAGACCTAGTAGGAATGCTGGGCTCTTGCTTTGACTCTATGCTCCATGGCCTTGGGTCACCCACTTAACTTATCTGAGTCTCAGTCTTTTTATTTGTAAGATAGAAGTTAGTCTTTTTGTGACTTTGTGAGTCTAAATTCAAATATCTTTATTACATAAGCCAAAGTAAGTGAATATGTAGTAATAACACTTAATAGTTTTCATGGTTCTTTTTCTCACCATTTTCATACATTATCCAAGTGAAAAATATCTTTGGTTAAAAAAAAATGGCAAAATACAGGATGTCTTATAATGCAAAGCACAGTGTCTGCTTCAGCCATCCCCATCCTCCTCAATGCCTAGCTTACTTCCCAGAGGAAACCACTTTTAACAGTTTCCATATTTAGCTCTTTTAGTGGTTACCACCCTAACTTTAAAAATATGCTTATGTTACATTTCCTTGATGATCAACTCTAGACATTATCTCTTTGCTCCCCACCACTTACTACTAGAATCACTGATTCAGCAGACATTCCCCATAGCCTGTAGGTCCACAGACCTCTTTTGGAGTCTCATTCTCTATGGATCTAATTTGAGCAAAGAGCTTTTGCTTCACTCTAAGGAAACCAGGGATTAGATGATCACGGGGCATAGCACAGGATGAGAAGGTGTTTGGCTTAATTACTCAAGGTCAAATTGGGCCTGAGTTGTAATGAGTTTACTCTTATATTTTTCTGTCTGACCACATTTATTTTAAATAAAATTAAAACAAAAGGTGAACTTAAAATATTGTATGTTACTTTTATAAAAAGGGAAATTATCTACCCTGATAGCTCATTTCTTTAAGAAGTACCACTTATTAAGAGATAGTTAACAGGTATGGTGCTTTATTCTTCAATTTTAAACATGAACTAAACTGCTATGAAGATGTCAGTTGATCATTTGTGGTGCCAGTTTGATTTGGTTTTGCAGCTTTCCCCTTCCAGAAATTTGCTATTGGTTATCCAAAGAGTAAGACATAAGAGAGAAAACAGAGTTGAAACCATTACTGTTTCTTGGAAACATGGCATTTCTGCAATTCAGATTTTTCTGGAAATGCTATAAAGTAAATGGCTTTGACTTATAATTTAGAAAACCTCATTATCATCCATAATGTCAGGAAAACATATTTTAGAAAAGTTTACATGTTGACCATTTTGGGTTTCTTTGAGCACTGCTCAAAGAATGTGACACATCTGTTGCTCATTTCTAAGTCCTGATTACGTTGAATGACTCACCAAAGTGGAGTCAGAAAACACTGATGTTAATGGAGTTTCATATTTAGCTACTGTATATGCAATAGTCACAGATAAATATTAAAGCATAGCTTAAGAAGAGATATTCAAGGATATGTCTGCAAATGAGGCAAGCCAATTTGGTGGTGGGGTGAAAAGAAATGTAGAAGGAGTTGTGTTTTCAGCACTTTCTGCTGCATACCAGCCCTCTTTCTGGAAATTCTTTCTTGCCTTGTTGGCTTTGTGATAGCACTCTTTCCTGGTTCTCCTGCTCTGACACGGATCTTTTTTTTTTTTTTTTAACTAGATCATCATTCCTTATATGTCATCAATAGGCTTTTAATCAGGTGTCATCCACTGTTACTTTTTTGCAACACATCCACCACTTTTCCATCAGCCCCCACCGGTCTCTACTCAATGTAATATATCTAGAGCCCTACGTGGATATATTATATTGTTTTTTGCAGACAACCCTCAAATCCCTTTCTCTAGCCTTTGCCTCTATCCCGAACTTCAGGCATGTCCACTGGATGTTCCTACATGGACGACCCAGAAATTTCTCAAACGTGACATACCTCAAACCAAAACTATCATCTTTCACTCTCCTGTCAAACTCCCTTCTAGGTAACAGACGAATGTTTTATCTATTAACACAAGCCAGAAAACTAACGCTCCGGCTCTGTCCCTGCCTATCTCTCAAAGTTCGTTTTACCCACAGCTTGCAAATTTTTATTCCTCTTTTTATGCCCTCTTCCTTTGTCCTAGTCAGATCTTATCCTGTTTCTAGATTACAGCAATATCTTCTACAGTTGGGCTCTCAGTCATCAGCTTCTAACTCTCCACTTTACAATTTTATTTTATTTTATTTTATTTCATTTTATTTTGAGACAGAGTCTCACTCTGTTGCCAGGCTGGAATGCAGTGGCACAATCTGGGCTCACTGCAGCCTCTGCCTCCCAGGTTCAAGCGATTCTCCTGCCTCAGCCTCCCAAGTAGCTGGGACTACAGGCACACAACACCACGCTCAGCTAATTTTTGTATTTTTAGCAGAAATGGGGTTTCACCATGTTGGCCAGTATGGTCTCAATCTCCTGACCTTGTGATCTGCCTACCTCGACCTCCCAAAGTGCTGGGATTACAGGCATGAGCCACCACGCCCAGCCTTACAGTTTATTTTTGGCCAGAGCTATTTTACTTAATAGAGGTGGTGATCATGTCATTTGCCTGCTCAAAAATCCTTGATTAGATCCTATGACTATCAGGATATGACTGAAACTTCATAGCCTGACATCCAATACTTTTTCATCTGTGCCCACTGCTCTTTACTCAATATAATATATCCAGGGCCCCACGTGGAGCCTAACATACTGCAGAGGCCTGATAAATAAATGAATAAATAAACAAATGAATGATGGAGTGGATAAATGAATAAATGACTCACTAGGCATTGAGCCTGCCAAACAGATGCATGCATCATGCTGCCAAGAAAGCTATTTCCCTCCTTCTGATATAGGTGAAATCCTATTCAATATGTCATTGTTTTTTCAGTTTTTTTAGACTATTCCAGTCTCAATCAATTGCTTCTCAACTTGTGATTCTGAGACATTTTATTCATGCTACAGTTGTAGCAGTTAATATATGTCAAGGTTATTTATATGTGTGTTGGGTGTTCACAGAGACAGGGACTCTTGATGGCAATGAAGACTCAGCTACTAGCAAAAAGCCTGATGCTCTTCGGAAATCAATCCATGTTTGAATTCCCACCACCACTAATTTCTTTCAGTCATATTATGTCTTTCCTGAAGTCCTGCAATAGCTTTATAAGTGTTTTCCCTACCTCCATTCTCATCCTAAAATCTCCTCCTCATTGTCCTACTAGACAAATCCTTTTGTTCTGAAAATGAAAAGTTTGCAGAAATGCCAGAGCACTGATGAAATTAGAGGTCAGGATTCCTGATTTAGAGGTCATTGCCTTCCTAAATGCATCTGAAGTTTCCACCTTTTTTGGTGACTAAAGTTGTTTTAGAGTTTTAGGCACCCTGGGTTGCGAAATAAATAGAATATCATTTTGTGGGGGTAGTAGAGATCTTTCTGTAAGTTTTTAGCTGCTTAGCCATTTCACATTATTTGTACTTTGTGAGTAAATATAGATTCAGGAAGAAATGTTCCTGGGAACAGGAAGGAGACATATCTAAGCCCGAAGTGAACTTAATGACTTTGTGTTTTCCCTGCTAACAGGAGTCTTGGAACCCACCTGGGTTGTATCAAATAAATACAATTATTGCAGTTCAACTAGGTCATGTTTGTGCACACACAAAGTTTGGATGTGGCAGAAGTAAATGACTGGACATTGTTAACAGAGCTGTGGTTTGCAAAACAGCAAAGGTTTTCAGACTGGAGAAAGGGAGTGAGTTCAGAGAAACATCAGTCTAACCAAAGTGTTTCTGCTGCTGCTGCAGATGCCACTGTTAATTGGAATTGCTTATTACTTCAGTTACTTTCAACAGTGCTTTGGGGGATACTCTTGCCCTCATATTGTCTAAATCTGTCCCTGTCACTAGTGACTGGATAACCCAGGGCATTTTAACAGGCATCCTATTACCTGACAGTAGGCATCCAGCTTCCTGTATTAAAAGTAGATATTTCTCCTGGGATTTAACCTTCTGTTCAAAGCTTGAACCACTTTGTTAGGAAAAATGTGGTCCTAATAATGTTTTCCAGTCACCTGTGGCTTGCAAAGTACTTAATGCTTATGAACTCATTAATCCTCTTCATGAAGCCAGTGAGGAAGGTAGATGTCAAGTTATGTTTTCCTCTTTCTAAGGGCTGTGAATCTGAAGCACAGACTTGCACAGACTGTTTGGGACATATCCATGGCAAATTGGGAGAAAGGGGCCTATCGTTTTGAGATGTTCAAACCCAAAATCTAGCGGCTGATTTTTTAAAAATTGTAACTTCAAGGTGGCTCTCCTCTCTATAGCTATCAATCAGAAATCCTCAGTGGGTAAATCTAGCAGGAGGCATTGGCTGAAAAATGGAGCTTTGAGAGCAATAACATCTGCTCAGTTGGGTGGGGAACAGATACTTGTAGTGTCAAGATTGTGATGCATGGTCTTGGGATTTTTCCAAGTTCAACATGTTTGTCAGTCTTTTGAGGCCCCTATTTATCCATGGTGTAAGGATTTGTTTAACCAACTATTTCCTCCTAATCCTTGCAAAAACATGTATGAAGTACACAACAGCAGTTGAAACCATAGTAGCAATTCTTTCAAAGGACCCAGTCTATGGCTCCTGGAAAGTTCTGTCCTTCCCCGTTCTAAATCTAGTGGTAGAAATGTATCCTAGTTGAAGATTGGTATTAGATGCTTACTATTAAAACTGGAATGTTAATTCTTACTTCTAATTAAAAGGCCTCATTTCTGTTCCTTAGATCTATTGGTGAGGTGATTTTTTGGGTTCTGGCCAACCATAGAGGGGAACTTTAATCTGCACGCTTCTTAGAGAACCCTGTTGCCACCTTATTATTTTCCCAATGAAGTATGCAGAGCCCAAGGACATGTAGATTGTTTATTCATCCATGTGTGCACTTATTCATTTAGGAAGTACTTTTTCATTATTCACCATGTGAAAACCATGTGCCAAGCTCCTGGGGGTACTGATATGACCAGGCTTATGAGGGGGAAGCAGGTGGGCCATTTAGCAGGAGGCCTTGTATTCATAAAAGGCCTCACATTAAGACTCTTGACATTGTTCCCAAACGAAGTTTTATTTTGGTTGTAAATAAGGGTCATTTGCAAAATACAAGCATTTACAAATATGTGAGAGTTTTGGTAATCCTGCTCTGGCATTTCATAACATCATAACGTGTCCACAGGTCTCAAAAGTGGAAGTGACCTGGGCTGGTTAGAACCTCTTGGAGTCTGTAGAAATGGCTCAGGCACCCTCCTTGTGTCTCATTACTCTGTAGGAGTCAGGCATCCTTCTCCCCAAGAAACAATGTAGGTGGTAACCCAGGATAAGAAAACATCTGGAAGCAGCCATGGAATATAAATGTTAGATAGCTGGAAGAAGCCACAGAGAGCCTTCAGTGTTTATGTGTCAGTCAAGGAAACTGACCTGAAAGAGGTGCAGGGGGACATCCCTAAGACCCACTGGCAGTTCACGGCACAGTGAGACTAGAATGGAGGATTGGTAATCTGAGGAGCTCTGCTGTTTCTTCCATAGAATTGGGCCCTTGATAAACACACATGTGCATGTGTCTTTATAGCAGCATGATTTATAATCCTTTGGGTATATACCCAGTAATGGGATGGCTGGGTCAAATGGAATTTCTAGTTCTAGATCTTTGAGGAATTGCCACACTGTCTTCCACAATGGTTGAACTAGTTTACAGTTAATGGGTGCAGCACACCAACATGGCACATGTATACATTTTTATGTAGCAAACCTGCACGTTGTGCACATGTACCCTAGAACTTAAAGTATAATAATAATAATAAAAAAAGAACCGGGCCCTTGACAAAAGAATGGCACTTAGACTGTGCTTTACCCTGTTACATGGTCCTCTGCACCACTCCCTAGGCATGGGCTGATGTCAGCTTCTTTCTGTTCCTTCCTTCTTTCCTTCTTTCCTTCCTTCCTTCCTTCCTTCCTTCCTTCCTTCCTTCCTTCCTTCCTTGTCTCCTTCCCTCCCTCCTTCCTTCCTTCCTCCCTCCCTCCTTACTTCCTTCCTTTCTTTCCTTCCTTCCTTCTTTCATTCTTTCTTTCGTTCTTCCTTTCTCTGTCTACCCCCATCCTCATCGCTCTCTTTTTTTCTTTCTCTGTCTTTTAAATTGAGTGCATCCTGGTTTTATACTTACTGCTAGTATCTTTTTGCTATACTCCTCCTTTGTTCCTACCAGCAATGGAGGTTGGCCCACATCAAAAGCAGAAAGTTTGGTTTTAATCAGCACAATATTTGCAGTGTGAGCTTTGATCTTGACTTCTGCCTGGGGCCAGAGCAGGACTTCACCGCAACAGTGAACTCAAGTCCCCGTGTTCTCCTCTCTGAAGCTGGGATCACCAGGATGTGGTTAGTATGTTGCGGAATGAATGTCGCTGGGATTCAAAGCCTGCAATGAGTTTTTTCGGTAAGTCCCAACTATATGAGAAAGAGAGCGAGAGGGAAAAAACCCATACAAAGCAAGCATCTCCCTTCTCCCCTCAAAACACAAAGAAGACAAACTAGGCCAGATTGACTATTTTCCTGTTTCATCCTGTTCTTATTCCTCTTCTTTGAGTTTTAGACAAGTATGTTATGACAAAAATTTAACTCCATATTTTCCCTGAAGTCTCTAAATTCTTTGAGCCGCCTCATAGATAGTACTTCTCAATGTGCCAAAGACTTCAAACAAGCCCGAACTTAACATTTTCCCCTAGAAACCTGCTCTTCTGGCCGGGCGTGGTGGCTCATGCCTGTAATCTCAGCACTTGGGGAGGCTGAGGCAGGTGGATCACTTGAGGTCAGGAGTTTGAGACCAGCCTGGCCAACATGGTGAAACCCCATCTCTACCAAAAATACAAAAATTAGCAGGGCGTGGTGGTGGGTGCCTGTAGTTCCAGCTACTTGGGAGGTTGAGGCAGGAGAATGGTTTGAACCCAGAGGCAGAGGTCACAGTGAGCCGAGGTTGTGCCACTGTACTCCAGCCTGGGTGACAGAGCGAGACCCATCTCAAAACAAACAAACAAACAAACAAACAAGCAAACAAACCAACAAACCCTCCTCTTCTTTGGTTTTTGTAATCTGCCACCAGGCTCCCAAGCTAGAAACCTTGAATTCACCTTACACTCCTCTCTCATTCACCACATTCTGTCAATTCTGCCACCTAAACGAATCCAATTACTGCCTTCCCTCCACTCCGTATGCCACACAGCTGCCAGGGAGATCTGTCTAAAATGCAAATCTGATAGTACCATCCTCCTCCTTAAAAAGCTCTGTGCATTCCCTAGACTCAGAGTCACACATGCACACTCTTAAGCATGAGATAGCCACATGGCCCTGGCTGCAGCTCAGTGAGGTAGCCCTGCTGCAGCCACACTGGATGTCTGACCACACCTTCATGGGGTGTGCTCATGAATGCCTCTGCATCTTTTCTCCAGTTAATCACACCACCTGCAATATTCTTTCTCAACTGGTCACATTCTGTTCTTTCTTCTAGATTCAGCTCACTCTCTCCACATTTAAGTCTTCCAAGGCCTCTCAGGTAGTTGGTTGCATCATCCTCCCACTTGGATTTGATTTACTGGAAGGAACATCGGCTTTGGAGTTTCACAAACAAAACTTAAGAACCTGTTCCACTCTGAATGTCATTGCTTCAACCATAACACAGACACAGTGCCAGCTTCACAGAACTATTGAGGGAATTAAACAAAGAAGCACTTGGTTTCCGATAAATATTAGTTTCCTTTCTATAGCAAATTTTACATAGAAAATTGCATGGTGGTTAAAAGTCTATAGCCCTGAATCCAGAAGATGTGGCTTTAAAGCCTAGCTCCACCACATACTTATGTGAGTGACCTTGAACGATTACATTTGCTTGAGCAAATTATTCTCCTTTCAATGTCCTTATCTCTATAATAATAGTACCTACTTGATAGGGTGCTTGGGAATATTAAATGAGATAAATATAAGGTTATTGTATTTGGCACACAATAATCACACAGTGGGTTTGGGCGGTAATCTTTTTTTTCCCATACTTGCCCTGCTGTATCATAATTATTTGTTTACACATTTTTTTCCCTATTAACTTAGGGATTCCTAAAAGGACCAGATGGTGCCTTACTCATACTTGTATCCTCAGGGGCTACCATGGAACACAGTGTAAATGTTCGGAAGTTACTTCTTCAAATGGATAAGGCCTGGTACGTTTCATCTGAAGTTTCACTTCTGGACTGTGGTCAGCCACACAATCTGGAATTCTTCCAGGGTACTGCTCCATGCTCACATCCATGCCAATCTCTCTTTATTTTTATTATTTATGTATTTATTTGTAATAGAGATGGGGTCTCACTGTGTTGCTCAGGCTGGTCCCAAACTCTGGGCTTAAACAATTTTTCCT
Source organism: Homo sapiens (assembly GCF_000001405.40). NCBI lineage: Eukaryota > Metazoa > Chordata > Mammalia > Primates > Hominidae > Homo > Homo sapiens. Next base: position 120,773,288 of record NC_000008.11, on the reverse strand, counting down.
ACCTCAGCTTTCCAAAGTGCTGAGATTACAGACATGAACCATCATGCCCGGCCTCAATCTCTCTTTAAAACCCACTTCAAAATAGGCTTCTCTAAGAAGATTTCCTCCATATTACCCCAAGTTCATTCAGAGCTCTCTTTTAAATCTCAGTTCCAGTTGCCTTGCTGATTTTTTAAAATTATTATTTCACACGTATGTCCTCAGTGGGCTTTTTTTTCAGTTCTTAAATTATTTCATTTGTTTATTTTTAATTTTAATTTTGGGGGCTACATAGTTGACATGTAAATGATAGGGGACTGGACTACCTCCCTCCTGTGATCTGTGAGTGATCTTGCTGCCACCAACAGTAGCACACTTGTTGTGGGGGCTTTCATTGAATAGTGTGTTACCTGGTCGGGTTGCCTCTCATGGCAGCATCTTTTTTCCCCATCTTCTTTTCTTTTTCTTCTCTTTCTGTTCTCTCCAAGGGCCCCTCCAGCCTTGAATGAGTGTTGTGATCCCTGTTTTAGACTAGAGGAACTTCCATTTCTGCCCTGGATGCCAGAGTCCATCAATTTAAAACCTGTTCTCTCCTCTTTCCTATCTGTGGCAGGTATATACAGTGTGGGTTGTTCCTCACCCTTCTCATTTCAGCTTAGTTGACTCCAGTGGTATTGGATGCCAGGAAACATTTATCCTCCTCCTTTGCTTGTTTATTTTACACACATACACAAACACACACACATTTTAAAAGTGTGCCCCTGGCTGGGCATGGTGGCTCACACCTGTAATCCTAGCACTTTTGGAGGCCTAGGTGGGTGGATCACTTGAGGTCAGGAGTTTGAGACTAGCCTGGCCAACATGGTAAAACCCCGTCTCTACTAAAAATAGAAATAATTAGCTGGGTGTGGTGGTGCGCACCTATAATCCTAGTTACTCAGGAGGCTGAGGCAAGAGAATGCTTTGAACCTGGGAGGCAGAGGGTGCAGTGAGCCGAGATCACGCCACTGCACTCCAGCCTAGGCGGCATAGTGAGACTCTGTCTCAAAAAAAAAAAAAGAAGAAAAAATTGTGTGACCCTAACCCCATATGTGAGAGACAATCTACAGGGTTCTGGAGAGGACAGATATAAAACAGATACAGGTCGGTGCAGTGGCTCATGCCTGTAATCCCAGCACTTTGGGAACCCGAGGCAGGTGGATCACTTGAGGTCAGGAGTTCGAACCAGCCTGGCCAACATGGTGAAACCTTGTCTCTACTAAAAATACAAAAATTAGCCGGGTGTGGTGGCACATGCCTGTAGACCCAGTTACTTGGGAGGCTGAGGCAGGAGGGTCGCTTGAGCCCGGGAGGTGGAGGTGGTTGTGAGCCAAGTGCGTGCCACTGCACTCCAGCCTGGGCAAGGGGAGTGAAACCTTGTCTCAAAACAAATAAATACATAAATAATAAATAAATAAAATAAAATAAAACAGATACAAAATGTGTTGAAACACTGTTAACAGAATTCTTAAGAGCAGTATATTTTAGATTTCAGTTAGTAGGGCTAAGTTATATTATAAAGAGGCTCAGAGAGCTTGATGTAAATTAAAGCTCTCTGTTTGGGTTTAAGTTTCAAAAAAAAAAAAAGAGGCATGGTTTCGTTTTGTTTTAAGCATGTTTTTCTATTGTCTTCATGTCACACCCTCGAGCTGAAGTGATTTTTGATTAGGGAGAAGACAGAAACCAATTAAGGGCTTCTCCAGTCCAAATGGAGTGACTACTAGAAGAAAGCTGTAAACGTACTACACTTGCATTTCACAATCTTAATGCATTTGTTTTCTTAGCGAAGAAATTTAAACACTTGTGATGCAATGGAACAGAAATTTTTTATACGTTTTTCCTAAATCTGTCTTTTTCTTCATTTTCACATGGAAACAGAAATTTGTCAGGTGCATTTTTCTTCAGAATAATTATTTTTCTGCTCTTCAGATGACAGAAATGGTAGAAATGAAAAGAGAACACACCACCTAGCATTTTCTTCCATTTTATAAATTTGGATCTTTTATCTCATTCTCTGGATTCAGAGATTCTAATTATTGTCTGGGTACCTGGACCTTTCTCTTTTCCCAAAACCTTGTTCACCTCCCTCTGGGACAGAGCAGTTTCCCTTCCTGGGGATACACAGCTGCTAGTTTTATTCTGTTCCGCCCACAAATCCAGTGTTGCTGCATCTCTAAAGTCTCTTTGATCTCCTCCCACGTAGTGATATTTTACCCTTCCATTGAGTGACCAACCTCCTGGGTAAAAAATGACAATCCAGGAAATAGATGATCCAAAGCGACTCTTCTTGCTATAGTATTCTGAGATCATTATTTCACACCTCTACCCATTCCCTAGCCTAATTAAAATGTCTGTAAACATGGGACCAGACATAAACTGCATAAGAAAATAAGCACAGACCATTGAAATTAGATGGTTCCATCATTAAAGGTCTGTACTTTTTAAAAATTTTTTTTTGAGACAGAGTTTTGCTCTTGTTGCCCAGGCTGGAGTGCAATGCCACAATCTCGGCTCACTGCAACCTCTGCTTCCTGGGTTCAAGTGATTCTTCTGCCTCAGCCTCCTGAGTAGCTAGGATTACCGGCGCCTGCCATCACACCCAGCTAATTTTTGTATTTTTAGTAAAGACAGGGTTTCACCAGTGTTGGCCAGGCTGGTCTCAAACTCCTGACCTCAAATGATCTGCCCGCCCTGGTCTCCCAAAGTGCTGGGATTACAGGTGTGAGCCACTGCACCCGGCGTAAAGGTGTGTACTTTCAAAGATACCTCTCTCAAACCATATTTATATTCTCCTTTTTAACATTGGAGACCAAATTTCTGTAAGATCTGGTTTTCAGATAAGCACTTGAAATAAGGCAAAAAAAAAAAAAATGCTTTATTACTAGACCTAGCTCATATCTTAAGGAGAGAGGTGGATGTCGTCTGTAGGGAATGTGAAGCCAAGGAAAGGATCCACACTGACCTCACTTCCTGCAAAGTGGATGGTGGTGGTTTCTCTTGTTACTTTGTATCAGTTCCTCCACCAGCATCAATATTTGTTGGGAGGAAAAGCCACCTGGCAATGTAGGATCAACAAATAGGAGAAGGCATCACAGTCATGACTACTGTGGAGTCAGATGTTGAAGTAGCTATCAGCATAAACTGGTAGGAAGAGATGCATTTCCTGATAGAAAAGACAGCTAGGATGCATACAAATGTTTCCCAGAAAATATAGTGGCTGGTTACAAGCAACTCCCATTGATTAGTAAGAGAAGAACTACGTGTAGCAGAGAGAACTCTGAGCTAAGAGTTCAACCCTGTTTTTGTTCTTGACCCTGTCCAACAGCAAACTTGTTTTTGAGTTTGAGTAAATCACATAATAATATTATGTATTGGGCATACAGTGAGCATTCTTTAGGCATTGTGTATATGCTGATCATCTATTGTGTAGGAAACCATCCAAAGCTTCATAACTTTAAAAAAGTATTCTTTCTTACCATTCTGGGGATTAATGTGCACAGCTGAGCAGCTCTTTTTGGGATACCTCCGTATGGTTGCAATTAAATTGTCAGTCGTTGGAAGGCTCTACTCACCTGACTGCAACCCCTAGGCTGAGATGGCTGGATCAGTTGAGGATTCTTGGAGCAGCTCCCTCTGTACAGTGTCTCCATGTGGTTGACCTGGGCTTCCTCCAGCATGGTGATCTCAGATAGTGAGACTTCTTACATAGCTGCTGGCACCACCGCCCCCCCAACCCAGAATGAGCATCCAGGAGACAGGAAGTGGAAGCTGCTAGTCTCTGAAAGTCTGGGCCTAGAAACTGGAGCAACATCATTTCTGCCATGTGCTCCACTGGTCAAAGCAGTCTCAGAGCTCCTCCAGATTAAAGAAGAGGAGAAATTGACTCACTTGTCAATAGGAGGAGTGTCAAAGCAGGTGCGGTCATATTTACTATGTTACTTAATACTTCTGGAAAAGGTTCTGACTGGGTTCCTCTTGTCCAGAAATCTGCTTGAAAAAAGGATATAAGGAACTATTGCCAAATGATGATCAAAATAATCAACTCTATTGGTGCTAAAACTGTGCCAAAAGCCACACTTCCTCCAGCTGAAATGGGGGCTTGTTCTACCCCTTTTGCCCTGAATTTCAAATAGAGGGACCCTGGGTCTAAACTGGCTGATCCACACCGTCAGATGCCTTGTCTGGAACTGAGAGAGAAGACGCCTGGCTGGACCTGCCAGGTGAGGCAAACAGGTCTATGTCCACAGGCCAAGAGAGAGGCTGGGAGTCTGTCGTTCTTTTAAGGCACCCACTGGTAGTGTGCATCAGTCTGATTAGTAGTAGCCTCTCCACCTGTGGTGGGGAGCCACTGAGATGGACCTGAATTTTCTTTCAGTCTTGCCCTTTCCTAAGAAGTAGATCAAGTCTCTGTCTCTTCTAAAAATGTGAGGAGGGCAGGGATGCATCAGGCATTTTCTTCTTCCCCATACCATCCAAAACTCCAGGATTATTGGCCATCTTTTGCAGAGAAGAAAACTGAGGCTCGGAATAGATTCACCACGTTTCCAGAGTAACAAGCTGATAAGGACTTGAAGCACATTCACAGGACGTCATCCTCTCTCTCTTTCAACATCTCAAAAATCAAACAAATATATGTGTGGCAAATCTTACTACCTCCCCAACACACTACTCCCAAGACCCACCCCTACTTATTTCTCTCCATATCCCTTATTACATTAGCATCTTGCATAGTGTATGTGTACTCATTCATGTGTTTGCTGTCTGCCCCTCCTCCCACTGTAATTGGATCAAATATAAATGATATCATTGGAATATGGAAGAGGTACCAATGTAGCTAGTGTTATTTGCACACACGATTTACCATTGTGTACCAAATAATACTCAGTTAATACCTGCTGCCTTTAGAATGTCCCCTTTATAAAGCTCTGAAGATATGGGCTGCCATGCACCAATCACTACTGGCTGTAGGGTACTCGCACATGGCTGAAGTTCTAGTGCTGGTGTTGATTCGCTGGGACTTGAACAGCATGAGGTCAATGCATTCCATAGGAGACTGCGGTAACATCATGTACAGGTGGGATAAGTTTCTTTTCCAGGTAAGATGTTCCTGGCTTAGCTGCTGTTTTCTGTGACAAGTTTTGTGGACAGAATCAACTGCCTGCCTTTCCAGCAGTGCACTTAGAACCTCAAAAAAACTGGCTCTTGGGCAGATCAACAAACCAATTGAATGCAGTTGCAATTTTAAAATCTGAGCCACAGAAAGATATTGTTGCTTGGCTAGGTTGTGACTATCTTCCCTGGATAATCCCTGCAGGACTTTTGAGGGAAGTAAAGAAGTGGCATCTCCCATTTCATCCATCAGAATCATCATTTAGGAATTATCAAGAATGAGAGAGGGTTAGTCTTGGAATGTGCAGAAAGGTATACATGGCAGTTACCAGTATATTAATAAAAATGCCACTGTGCTGAAGAAACAACCGAGCATAATAAAAGACTACTATCGAAAGAACTTTTGATTGTGGCACTCTTGCAATGGCTTTAGGTGTCTGATTGCATTTAAGGCTCAGAACAATCCTCTAAGGAACGATAATCTCCATTTCACAGATGAGGAGGAAGAAGAACAAAGAGGCTAAGTGATTTGCCCAAGGTCTCACAGTAATGAGTGTCAGAATCCAGATTTGAACCAAGACAGTCTGGCTGTAGAGCCTATGTTCTAAACAGCTATACCACTAGATCCTTCTACTACCTTTTTGGTGTTTTGTTGTTAACATTTTCAAGGTCTAAAGAGTGTATAAGCAAGCCAACTAACTTGCAAGTTCTTTGTGTTATTGAAATATATATGCATGGTGTGTGTATGAACACTTTATATACACTGTTGTACAATTATAAAGTACTTTGGAGTGGGAGGGGGTTTAGAAGTTTATTTCAGCTTCCCACCCAATGCAGGGGTCCCCAGAGAATCATCATTCAGCTTTCCTTGAACTTTAAAATCAGATGAATAAAAATACTAAGGGTCAACATAAGCGCTGATGCTAATAATTGCTGTAACTATGGAAACAAACTAGAATACAGAGGACAAAAAAAGGTTCTTACGAGAGAATTAAAAAAAGACAACTGAAATTCACCATACACACACAAGGTAGTGACTAGGCTTGGGAACCAAAATAAATTAATAAAGACTGGAAAATGGAGGAGAGTAGGATGAGAGAAGTGTAAGCACTAGATTTCTGGCCATCTGTAAAACATAGTTAAACTCTTTGTTTTGATTACATAAATATTTTGTGTTTGTGAAAAAAACTCTGGGATAATCATTCATATAATTAGAAATAAGATGCCTGGCTTCTAAATGGGCATAGAATATAAAACATAGCCTATTTAGGAAAAGAAATAGTGGAAGAGAAACAGTAAGAAAACAAATGAACAACAGCAATGAACCCCAATGTGTAAGCTCCATGGCAAATACATAGCTTTACATTTTTCTATTAAAACATAAAATATACCAAAGTAGATTTAACAATGATATGCAGTGATTTGCATTCATTACCTAATGACTAAAAATATTCTAGCCAATTATAGCGCTATACAGTATTTTGTAGGTTAACATCTTCTCTAATTACTTGGAAGATACACTATGTCTTATTCAATTTGGTATTGCCAATATATAATTGGCATATGATTGGTGCTCAGATTTATGTTAAATGACTTAATGAATTTTTAGAAAGTGAGTGGATAACAATATAAGGAAAATAGTATTTAAAGAAAAAATATTATATATAGGAGAGTGGGTGATTATAAATGTATAATCAATAGTGAAGACATAATGAAATGGAAACTTTATGTGCCAAAGAGCATTGCTATAAACCACTTGGGGCAAAAACTATTGGAAATACAAAGATAAATTGGTGGTAAGAGTGTGGGCTTTATAATCGGTCATACCTGGATTTGAATCATGGCTCTGATATTTAGTAGTTTGGCCAATTATTTATCCTTTCTGAATCTTATTTTCATCATCTACAAAAATGAGACTAACCTCATTGTGAGGATTAAGTGAGGAAATGTAGGTAAAAGTGAAGGAGGGAGAGATGTATCCTGTTCTCAGTGGTTATGCAGCATTTGGTCAATAAATATCCCCAGAGTGAGAACCCTCTTCTTGTCATTTTCACAGTTCTTTAGTGCCAGTATAATGCCTTGTTCTATTAAACATTCAAATGGCTGCTGAGTACTGAATAATTTTAAAAAGAAGAGTGCCGTAAACTGTTTCCTTGCTTAAAAACAGAAATCTAACTGTAGTGGCTTTACAAATTAGGGGTTTGTTTTCTTACATAAAGCTGAGACATAGGTGATCAGGTGTGGCTCCATGAATTTATGAAGGACACAACCCCCTTCTCTCCTTCAGTTCAACCAACCTTAGCACTTTCTTTCCATGCTCCAGGTCACAGAATGGCTTCTGAAACTCTAGCTATCATGGCCACTGCTGTGACTTGAATGTGCTCCTTAAAAAAAGAAAAAAAATGTGTTTTGTAAACTTAATACCCAGTGCAACAGTGTTGGGAGGTGGGACCTAGTGGGTAGTGTTTAGGTCATGAGGGCTTCATCCTCATAAATGCATTAATGCCAATTATTAAAGGGCTCGAGGCTGTGAGTTCCATTTCTTGCTCTCTTGCATGCATGCATTTTTTGCCTGTCTGCCTCCCACCATAGGATGATGCAGCAAAAAGGCCCTCACCAGATGCCAGCACCTTGATATTGGACTTCTCAACCTCCAGAACCATGAAAAATAAGTGTCCTTTCTTAAAAGTCACCCAGCGTGTGATATACTTTTACAGAAGCACAAAATGGACTCAGACAACCACAGTCTACGTTATAGGAAGAGGAAGGGCAACAGTCAAGGACATTTCTTCCACTTCACTTATCTCTCTTCAAAAACTCTCCTGGAATCCCTACCCACAAATTCTACTTATCTCTTATACCATCCATTACTCCCTATAAGGAAGACAGAGAAATGTGAGTTTTTCAGTTTTTTTGGTTTGGTTTTGTTTTGTTTTTGAGACAGAGTCTTGATCTGTCACCCAGGCTGGAGTGCCGTGGCAGGATCTTGGCTCACTGCAAGCTCCGCCTCCCAGGTCCAAGCAAATCTCATGCCTCAGTTTCCTGAGTAGCTGGGACTACAGGTGCCTGCTGCCATGCCCGGCTAAATTTTTATTTTTAGTAGTGATGGGGTTTCACCTTGTTGGTCAGGCTGGTCTCAAACTCCTGACCTCAGGTGATCCGCCCACCTCGGCCTCCTGGAGTGCTAGGATTACAGGCATGAGCCACTGCCCCCAGCTGTGAGTTTTTTTTTAAACTGGAATATAAAATAGCCACTCCATATAAAATAGAGTTTCTAATGTTTGTGAAGAAAGAGAGAATTGATATTAGGGAGGCAACAAAGAATCTGTCAAAATGATTGATGGTTTTCTTGGATGGGAACTTCTTGCATCACTTATTAAAGTCTACACTTATGTATTTAATAATTTTATGTCTAGTGGGTTTACTTCAGCTGAGCAGGGCCTGGGGTGGGGTCCTAAAGTAACTGATGGAGCTTTCCTTTGTGAGTTTTATCTGTTATATATTCTCTGAGAGGTTGAATTTAGAAAGTAGGGCAATTGAAAATGGCTAGGGATTACTGAAGGGTATTTATTAATTTATTTGACTGGTAATACAAACATTAGAAAAATCAACAGGGGCAAAAGAAAAAACAACTAAAAAGTAATTTTTTCTTCACCCTTGGCTCTCAGTTATTCAGCCCCTGTCTTTAGAAGTAACCACTGTGACTACCCACTATTTAAATTTTGTGTAGACTTCTGGATAAAGTCACTGCTTATAATGCATATATGGGTATGTAATCTAGTTTATTTTTTTAAGCAAATGAGACCGTATCAGACATACTTCTCTGCACATGGAATATTTCACTTAAGAGTATTTCTTGGATATCTTTCCAAGTCATACTTGAGAAGCTGCCTCATTGTTTTTAACAGCTGGCTAGTATATCATTGCATGGATATACCATTATTTATTCTCTTGATGAACTGTATATACCATAATTTATTTGGCTGAACATTTTGTAGAGTCCAATATTTTGCGCTATAAGTAAGACTATAATGAATAACCTTGGAAATATGTCATTTTGTGTTTGTGTAAAAGTACTCCAAGAATTAGAATTTATTCTGAGTCAAAAGGCATTTGACCTTATGACTTTGAGAACATTGCCAAATTACTCTCCATAAGTATTATGGCAGTTTTTACTCCACTAACAGTGTTCTGATGATATATTTTTGCTCATTACATTGTGTGACCAAACACTTGGTCTTCTTTGGAAGGCCAAGGCAGGAGAATCGTTTGACCCCAGGAGTTCAAGACCAGCCTGGACAACATAACAAGACCCCATCTCTATAAAACAAACAAATATTTTGGTGTTTGCTCACATAATAAACAAAAAAAAAATCATAGGTTGAGTATCATATTGTAAATTTAAGAGCTAAAAAAAATTTCTATTTATATTCTTTGCCCATTTTTCTCTTGGGTTGGTTAATTCTTATAGGTTGTCTTTATAGTTTAAGGAAATTAGCCTCTTATTAGTTGCAAATGTTTCCCATTTGGTTTTTACTTTGTTTATGGTATTTTTCATGCAGAAAAAATTTTTTAACTGTTATGTAGTCAAGTTTATTGACTTTTAAATGGCATGCAGATTTTACGTCATATGTAGAAAGTTTAATATCTCACATTAAGATTGTTTTAATAGGTCAATTTTTTCCTAGTTAGTTTTGTTTTTCCAAAGGGTAGCACAAAGACCAGTGTAACTACAAGCTACAAGGAAGCCAATTTCAGCTTCTCCTGGAAGAAAGAACATTTTAACAATTAGTCTAACAATGAAATCAACCCCTTGTTGTAGTTTTCTTCAGGGTTTGGTAAGCTAACCATTTTTAAGAGTATTCCAGGAAGCCTGTATTTCTTATTTCTGCAGTCCTCTATCTACTTTCCAAGAAGAAATTTACTTTTCACAATGGGCATCATTACCAGGCAGTTCTTGGAAAATAAGCACATATAGTAATGCGATATATAAGATTCATGATATCTATTAATAAATAGCAAAAGAAATTTAATGGAAATCATATAAATTGTTCTAGAGGAAGAAGTTTTTTGAGATAGTTCAGTATAGTGGTGAGAGACTGAGCTTGTGAGTCAGAAAGGCTAGTTCAGATCCAATTCTGTGCCTGGCTATGAACCTCTGAGCCTCAGCTTCCCCATCTTTAAAATGGAGATAGTAATACTACCTACTACATAGGATTCTTGACAGGCACTCTTAAAAGTCTTAAAGTTCTATGCATTTTTTGAAAGTTTAAGTTTTCGATAAATATTAGTTATTTTGTTGTTACTCTATTTGGATGCAATTCCATTGCCTAGTATTTTTTTTCTTTCGGCAAGCATTTATTGAGTGCACACTGTCTACTAAACACTGTACTGGATTCTGGGGTATAAACAAGAATAAACAAGGTACCTGTTCCCAAAGACCATAGCCTTAGGTTTTACAGAGGTATGGAGGCAAGATATTAATAAAATTTACTTGTTAAATCAATAAGGCCCCAAAGCACCATGCATTTGTAATCTAGAGTATGAATGGCACATATGGCAAAGTAACATGTTGGCAACGAGCCTATGAATGAATAGCAGCTGGATTGCAAAATCAAGGAGAAGCTTTTCCCCTACCCTCCGAACCCAAACAATCCCCTTCTTTCATCAGGTAACAAGAGATGACAGCACAGGGATCAGGTCCTAATGCACAGCCTTTCATGGCCCCAGTCCTGCTTTTCATTCTGATTAGAGGATAAAGGAAATGGGTTTCCTGGCTGGTCTCATCCTGGTAAACATTTTGCCTGCTTTGCAGAACCGCCACCCTATTTAAGTGCAATTTGCTGGACCTGCAGTTGGTTGAAAACAGCAGGGCCTTTGTCAGTGAATAGAGCTGTAGTGACAGGGAGGACATTTATAAAAATGCTGGTGTGTCTCATGCCCCGTGCCAGCTGGTGCTATTAGTGCTCTTTTATGTGTGTCTTGAAATATACTGTAATAAATCTTTAAAGGAAAGCCAGGACATAATGAGTAATCAAATTCAGTCCTCTGGAATTCATTGCAATGGTGGCTTCTAAACGTGGGTATTGCCCCACCAGAAATGGAAAACTGAGAAGTTAAGAAAAACAGGTTGTTCTTGAAAATGTATCAGAGACATTTTTGGTAAAGAATCATATTGGCCCTCTTCCAGTGGCTTTATTTTTATTAAGAACTAGAAATCCATGAGCTGAAATACACAGACTGCTGGAACCCAGCCTTGATGTGAATCCTGCATCTTAGTCTGAGTTACTATTTTAATAAAAAAGAAATACTTCTATTAAAAGTCTCTGGGTGCCCCATCAAGTATCCTATATCTATTCAATGTTATAATCGTAGAACTTGTACCATAGTGTAAGAAAATGTCTGGGAAGTGATGACTGAAAAAAGCAGTTTTCTTCCAGCTGGCATCTACCTGATGATCACCCCATATGTATATGGTCAAGGTGCGGAAGAGATCTCTCCTATTAAAAATACTTGATACATTTGGGTAATACAATGTGTTCCAAGTTTTCTCTTTTTCTTTTTCAATTTTATGTGCTATAGAATAATTTTAAATGATCAAAAATAAAAGAACTGTGGTTAGGTATGTATGTCTACAGACCACCCATTATTCTCCCTTCTGGGCAAAGTCTAGATCAATTTTTCCATTTGAGCCGGAGCTTCCTATTTGCAACTATAGAGATTAGTGTTGAATGCTCGGAGCTGCTAACATAGGAGTTAACTATGGCTTGTGGGTCAATTCCAGCTTACCATCTCTTGTTTGTTTATTTGCCTAGAAGTTAGTCTGTGTTTATTGTTTGCTGTAACTGTAGGTGTCAGAGGCTAAAATTTCTGCTGGTGTCCTTGTTTTTAGGGGGTCCCTGTTGTCTTGGGTTTCCCTGGAGACTCCTTTATAAATAGAATCTGAGCCTTGCAGTTCTTTTCAGCTATCATCCTCTGTTATACGGGAATCCTATTGATATGGCGCTAAAATGGAGGTGGTGGTAATGGGGAAGCACCCAATAACCCTATGATTTGCTCTCAGTCTTTAATGACTCCATCATTATAGATTTAAGAACCTTTTAATTCCTTTCCTTGTTTATAGTCTTTGCTCATTTTTCTGTCGGACTGCTTAACTTTTGCGTGTGTTCTTTATAGTTTTAAGAAATTAGCCTCTTGTTAGTTGTAAATCTGTTTCCTATTTGTCTTTTGACTTTGTTTACGGTATTTTTTCATGCAGAAAAAATTTTAAATATCAATAAATTTTACTATATAAAATTATTCACAAGGTCTTCAGGGTTTTTTTCACCCCTTAGTAAATGAGACAGGAAGGCTAGATGGGGCTGGAGTTGGGTATTTCCCTTTTTCCAGGTCAGATGGGCTCTTTCTGATAAAATCTTACTAGGTTAGGCTCTGGTAAAATAGTCTCCCTCAAAGACAGGTCGTGTTAAGGAGAACAGAACAGTCTGGGTGTATTTAAAAATGGTTACTTTTCCCCTCCCCTGCAGGAAGGATGAGGGGATTTTTCTTTGACCTTTACAGTGCAAACCTGGTTAAGCTTCAGCAGGTAAAACTCATACAAATGTGCCTCACCCACCTCTCTCAGGCTGGGTCTCCAGGAGTTTTTAATTTCTGAAGCTAGGCCAGGCTCGGTCTCCAGTAATTAGTAAATTATCCTTTAAATATGTCTACCCAATGTTGGCTCCAGTGAGATTTCTGCCCCAAGTAAGATATAATTCTTTGTATCTACCCCCTCTTCGGTTTTAGCAGTGGTGATTTGATCTGTAACCTCACTTCTCTGATAGACCTAAGAATTGTTGATTTTCAGGGTTTTTTTTTTTTTTTTGGCTTGTTTCTTATTGTGAGGACAGGAGTGACAAATACCATGATCTTTATTTACAGAACCAGAAACCAAAGTCTACCACCTGTGTTTGTATAGCTTGTGAGCTAAGCATGTTTTCAGGCATTACCAAATGATTGAAAAAATTTTAAATAATTTTTTGTGACATGTAAAAATTATATCAAATTCAATATCAAACTTCAATACTGTGTTCATAAAATTCTGTTAAAACATGGCCATTCTCATTTGTTTATGTAGTCTATGGCAGATTGAGTATTTGTGACAGAGACTGTATGGCCAACAAAACTTAAGTTATTTATCATCTGGCCCTTTACAGAAATGGCTGCTTTTTAGTACACTCTAGACATAGGTCCTGGTTAAGTTTGAATCCCTTGACACTGTGCTTGAGTTGAAAATCAAATGATGGGCACCTGTCAAGGGCTGGAGAGGATCCTCACATTTAGAGATGAGTGAAGACATAGGCCTTCTCTCAAGGAGACTCTAGGCTTGTGGGGAACACTAGAGGGCCAACCAAATAAGAATTTAACGGAGTGGTTCAGAATGAAAGGCTATGAAGTTCGTCTTGGGCCACAGGAAGTCATTGGAGCTCATCCTATTTGGTAGAACAGGAACTTCTTGATGATGATCCAAGGGCTGGATCTTTTTAGGAGTGCCAGGCTCAGGTGGACATTGATGTATTGCGCTTCCTGAGAACTGAGAAGTTTCAGCTCCAATCCTTCCAACAGTTATGGCTGCTGTGGCCACTTCAGTACTGTAATGCCACTTTCAAACACGCATACTTTGTTCATTGTGATTTTTTTTATTCTTCAGTTATCAAGAAGTATGCTAATTTAAGGAAAGAGTGGACTCATGTATCAGAAAAGTATTCAAAGCAAACCATCAACCTAATTTCAGAAAGTAGAGACCAGTGAGAGTTTCCTAAACATTTATAAAGGGTAGAATGCTTGGACATTTCTAGGTTGATCGTGAACTCTGCCAGCAGTGTTCACCCACTTGCTTTGCCCTCTGAAGGTATTTCAAGTAAAAGGAAAGATAAACCACAAACTGTTTAGCTCATGTATGTCCTATAATACATGTATGTTATTATCTCTGTGGAGAATAGGAGAACTTCAGAACTTTGTCTCTGGCCTGGATGGAAATTCTTTCAGTCCTTGTTGTTATTAACAACAGCTATAAGATGTCAGAAATGCCTCCTTAGCTAAAGTGGGTTGGGGCTGGGCAAGGTGGCTCATGCCTGTAATCCTTGCACTTTGGGAGGCTGAGGGTGGAGGATTGCTTGAGCCCAGGAGTTCAAGACCAGCCTAGGCAACATGGCAAGACACCGTCTCTATAAAATAATAATAAATAAATAAATAAGTGGGTTGCTGCCAAGGAGGGTCCATGCTGGACTTAGATGATAGGATGGATGCAGACAACAAGGAAATATACAATATGGAGTTCTTTATTAATTAATCACAACTTCCCTGAGGTCCAGATTCCTTAGGAAAGTTAGGTGACCACTCTTGGGCCCCCTGTGTAGGCCACAGTATATTAAGGTTTGCCTAGTCTGCAATTGAGTAGTGTCCTTGAGTCTCTCTGGCTGTGTCCCCAAATTGCAATTCTGACTGTACACTATGTTGTGGTTTGGCCTGGAAACAGGTATATTCCCTTGCCACCTTATATTTTTTATCAGAGTGATTGTGAAATCCACCCAGCAGATCTTGTCCATGGGCCATCAGTATATTACATTGCATATTAATGGAGCTGGAGAAATAGTGAAGCAAATAACCCATGCAAAAGTAACTAAAGCACAAATAAGGAACATGATATTGACTCTCTTGAATCTCTCACAGAGTATAGATTTGATGAGGACCTCTAACTCAATGTAAAGTCACCTTAATGAAATCTGTCTCTTATTATCATCATCCAGGCCCTTATTGAATATGTCTGGAGGTGAGAAACTCATATCCTCCCCTCAACCCATGTGTGTCAGTGTTAGACACTGCATTAGTCAGGGATCTTGGGTTTGCAAGTGACACAATCAATTTGTTTAAGCAAAAACAATATTTATTAGCTCTCTTGACAAAATTTGAGAAGTGCAAATTTCAAGAGTGAATATAAATAAGATTTAAATATTGGAAATCAATAATTAATTTTTCATCTTTTTCCCTCCTTCCTTTTCTCTATGTAAAGCTATTACAACATCACCTGGAACATAGTAAGTGCCCAATATGTGTTACTTGTTTTTACGTTTATTACTTCATAGGGTTAGCAGAAGCGATAAATGAGATAATGCATTTAGCATGGTTCCTGGTATCACCACCAATACCACTGCTGTTACTACTTTTCTTTCCAGTTTTCTCTGTTCTTCTCCTTTAATCTTTCAGAGTGTCTTTCCCACTTAGCGAAAAACATGGCCATCACTAACTTCCAAGCTCACATGTCCCTGCTTCACAATTAGAAAACATTTGGGATGTCTTCTTTCTGTTTCTTAAGTTCCCCATGGTAGGGAGAAATCTGATTAGCTTAACTTTAATCCAGTGTCTATACCTCTGTGGTCACAGTGGCCAGGAAGGAAAGATACCCTCACTAGAACATTACAGTTGGAATAGAGGGAAGTTTTTCACAGAAGAAGGGAAGACTTGTTAAGCTGACACAACTAGAAACTGCTAGAGACATCTGGGGTGATTAGGAGTGCTTTCATAAATTTAAACTGAATACTCGTGCTTCCTACTTTGATCTTCTCCTGAAACACGAAATGAATCAGTTCTTTCTCATTTGTGACCTTTCAGATGTTTAAATGCAGCTGTCATGTCTGACTACTTGGCACATTACAACATTCTACTGACCCAGGTCTCCTGTCTCTGAGTTACCTTTTATTCCAGTTTTCAGCTCTAACAGGACCCTTGTAGACTTCTTATTTCCTCCTTTTCTTTAACCTCTGTAATCACCTTGCCATCTCTCACCCTGCTTTAGTCCACAGAGTTCCCCTTAATCATTGCTCAGCTGGCCTGGTTACTGCAGACCAATCACCCAGTATCATGTAGGAATGCAGTCCTTTCAGCAGCAAACAGGTTTGGGAAACCCGATAGATCTGTTTTGATTCATGTGTCTCTCCTACTGAGTAAAAGTATGACCTTGAGAAATTGACTCAGCCTCTTTCAGTGTTGTTGTAAGGATTAGGGATTAGTTATGCACAGTCCTTAGCCCAAGGCCTGGCGTATAGTAGATGTACAATAAACAGTAACTGTGGTTACTGTCATTATTATTCTTATATCAATTCCTGGCACCCCAAAGGAAAGGAAAATGTGGTTAGAGAATTTATATTCCATCCCATGCCCATGGAGCAAAAGATCAGGTTCTTCCTATCCTGGCAAAGCCAGCATGAAGAGGTGACTTGACCACATGGGCAAAAATTGGACCTTGGGACTTCAATTTCTTTTTCTTGCAAGCCTCAGATGTCAATCCCAGCACTTAGGCCACTGGGAATGTAGCAGTGGCTTTTCTCTTGTTTTCTACCTCCAGTTTTAAGCCAATTGTCTTGAGGGATATAAAAAGCCCCATTATCCCAAGCTAGGGAATTAGAACGTTAATTCCATCCAGGTCAGCTATTAGAGGGTATAAAGGCAGAGATGACTCTTCTCTGGGGGCTTTACTGCAAGTGGTAGCTCAACTCATTCAACTCCATTGAAGAAACATAGTTTTTATATTCTTACTCTGGCTAAATGTCTTGGCATTTGAGGTTCCCCAAATTTTGGCTGTAGTCTACTTTTCCTTACTCTGTTGTACTCACCTTCTACCCATCCAGATCAGGTTAATTCCCCCTCCCAAAGCCCACTCTGTGAATAAGCACTTCTGAATATTTTATCACATCGTTACCCCAGTGAGTGTCCTGCATCAAACTAAATCCTACCCATCTTTACCACCTTAGCTGTCCATCCATCGCTTTACACCTGTCCATCCATCCATTGAAAAAAATTGCTATTTTAGGCATTGATACAGATGTAAACAAGACCAAGTCCCTGGCCTCATGGAATGTACATTCCAGTGTAAGAAACAGACAACAAATATAAATAGATGCTTTAATGTCAGTTGTATTAAGTGTATTAAAAATTAAAACAAATAAGGAAAGAGAAAATGATGTTGGAGGTAGAAGGGTAGAGATTGACTATGTTGGATATGCTCATTATGGTTCACAGAAGGGAAGGTCATCTTGTCCAGAATGCTCCAATGTAGGCATCTCTTTCACAGTACCTCTGAAAGATAGCAATCCATGGAGATGATGCACCGTTGATCTTAAGAGTACAGACCCTGGAGCTGTATTGACCTTGGTTTGAATTCTAGCTCAACCACTTGCTGGAATTCAGCTCAACAATGTGACCTTGGTTGACTTATTTACCATCTTCGAGACTTCTTATCCTTTATCTGGCAAATGGGGGTTATAATAGCACTATTTCTTCCAGTTATTGGTTGTTGGGAGAATTAAATGAAGTTATGTCTGTAAAGCTATTAGAACATAACTTGGAACATAGTACTTACTATGTGTTACCTGTTGTTACCTTTATTACCTCATAGAGTTAGCGTAAGTAATAGGTGAGAAAATGCATTTGGCATAGTTCCTGGTATCACTACCACCACCACCACTACTACTATTATAATTGTTATTTTTATTATTGTTTTCTAGTGACAGAAGACTTTTAAGATGGGAAGTTCCTCGTCTTATGAGTTTCCTTTTTTGACAGTCTGTTCATTAAATTGCCCCTTTTCACATTGAACTCAAATGTACTTCACATAAATATTTAGTTTGTGGTCCCAGATGGACCTGTCTACCATAACCTCCAGAGCTAAGCATCCAGCCCAATATAGTTTGGCTCTCCCTGATCATGACAGCCCATGGCACACCCTCCTCCTCTGAAATCCCCAAGCCACTTCTGTTAATACCACTCACTTGGCCCTTACCATTTATTGTTCTGATAGCTATTGCCTTATTATGTTAGTGTTTAGTTCAATCTACACCCAGAACATAAGTGCTCTAGGGCAGGATATTGTCCTACCTTTTCTTTTTATAATCCCCTTGGATGGAACCCTCTCTCTCTCTTTCTTCTCTCTCTCTCGCTCTCTCTCTCTCTCTCACACACACACACACACACACACACACACAACACCACAGCATAGCTTAGACTCAACATTTACGCACTGTGTCAAGGCCACTGTGTCACTACTGTGTGAAGGCCACTGCAACCACACTGGGTGACATGAGAACCAACACCATTGCCTCGGATACAAAGGTTGCTTGTATTTCACTGGAGCATCTTTTATTATACCAGTTTCTTCCATGTGCAAGTCAAAATTGTGTCTTTTTTAAATGTTCCTGCTGACTCATAATCTTGCTTGTCGTCTTTTCCTCCTCATTTACAACTCTACAGTCCATAATGTATTAAATGATGCAAGTTCCCAGCCTAATATTAGGGAAGGAAAGTAGTAATTGAATTCTTAAACTCATGTACCTTTCTGTAGCCTTTGCTTATGATCTTGTTTGTGCCCTGGGCACAGACAGTACACTGAAGGACTGGCCTTCAAACCAGCTTCTCCCATTGCTTTTCTCATGATAATAGTGAGTAACATTTATTACACATTCGCTTTGCCTTCATATACTCTCTACATCTACACTTCACATGCATGATGTCAT
The DNA here is from genome assembly GCF_000001405.40 of Homo sapiens. Classification (NCBI taxonomy): domain Eukaryota; kingdom Metazoa; phylum Chordata; class Mammalia; order Primates; family Hominidae; genus Homo; species Homo sapiens. The sequence goes on along the minus strand of NC_000008.11, from coordinate 120,754,614 downwards.
TTAATCTTCAGAATCACCCTCTGAATTTGGAACAATTCTTATCCCCACTTTAGGGATAAGAAAATTGAGACTTAGACAAGGAATCTCAATCCCAGAACTAGATTTCTTTTTCTTCTTCTTCTTTCTTTTTTGATACAGGGTCTCACTCTGTTGCCCAGGTTGGAGTGCAGTGGCACAATCACAGCTCACTATAGCTCAAGCAATTCTCCTACCTCAGCCTCCCCAGGAGCTGGTACTACAGGCATACACCACCACACCCAGCTAATGTTTTTCTTGATTTTTTTTGTAGACACTTGTTTTCACCATGTTGCCCAGGCTGGTCTCCAACTCCTGGACTCAAGCAATCCACCTGCCTCAGTCTCCTAAAGTGCTGGGAGAACTTTATTTCTTAACTATATTTCTTAACTATTCCCCCATATGATTCCATCAGGACCTGAGTGAGAGTGAGATAATTTTTCAGGTTCTATTCTCTGTGATGCAGCCTCTGGCCATGTATTTATAGTTTCAAATAGAAAGTGAGTTACTATCAGCAGGCCAGAAGTAGAAGACTTTGGGAAATTTCTTTTATCCATGGTATTAGTTTACAAACTTTAGTCCCTGATGTAAGTAGGCATCATACTCCCAAATTTAGATTGATGAGACAAATTAGAATGAATGTATCTATGATTGCAGGATCAGTCACAGGGTTTCCTTGATAGAATAATTCGCTCCTATCTTTTGATATTTCAGCTTGATTAGGAAAAATTCATTGTATACACAAATTTTTAGGCACATATCTAAGGCATAAGATAAGACACATGTGTGGATCCACTGGTTAAAATGTTAAATGTGTGGCTTGTTTCATCATTAAAGTCCCTCTAGTATGCATTTATTTGCTTCCCAGAAGAATTTGATCTGATCGTTGTTCTGCTGACCGCACACACCTGATGCTTCTCTGATCTTATCTGCTGCTACTCTCTGCCTTGCTTATTCTCCCCTTACTGTTCACAGGGAAAATGTACCAAGCACTGTGGGACCGAAGTTCTGTTCCTGCCCTCAGGGAACTTCCCATTTTGTTGAGGTGACAAGATTATACACATGGGATTATTTGACAGTTTGGAGCTACACAGTAGTGCTATTGAGAAATAGGGCAGGTCTTAAGAGGAGGATTTAGCGTAGATTTTTCAGAGAAGGTGAAGGACTTGAACTGGAGATTGGATTTTGTTGGTGGAGTAAAGAGATGGGGTTACAAGTCTGGGAGGTGGAGTGGGCATTGGAAGACCAAAGACAGCATAAAGGAAGAACTTTTTAAAGTTACGCAATTATATCATTACCATGTTTCAAACCATCTTGAAGGCATGATGCTGGAAGGAACCTAGCATGTGGGTGGACTGGTCTGATACACTTAACCATTTTTCCTTGGTGTGTATTATATGAGTTTCAAACAGTAGTTTAATGTGGTGCCTCAGGATTGACACAGGTGATTTCTATGCCCAAACTGCCTGTGATGGCCCAACTGTGATGTTCCTCCAGGGCCTCTGAAACACCCTGTGCCATCAGGCTTAGCAACCCCAAGGAAAATCTTGGAAAGGAGCACATATTGCTTCTTTTCCAGTAAAAACAAGTCTTTTTTTTTTTTTTTTTTTTTCTTCCAGCTTTTGTTTTAGGCTCAGGGAGTGCATATCCAGGTTTGTTACATGGGTAAATTGCATGTTGCTGGGGTTTGGTGTACAAATTATTTCATTACCCAGGTAGCGAGTATAGTACCCAATAGGTAGTTTACCAATCCTCACCCTCCTCCCACCCTCCATCCTCAAGTAGGCCCCTGTGCCTATTGTTCCTTTACTTATGTCCATGTGTGCTCAGTGTTTAGCTCCCTCTTATAAGTGAGAACTTGTGGTATTTGGTTTTCTGTTCCTGCATTAATTAACTTAGGATATCCTAATTAACTTAGGATAATGGCCTCCAGCTGCATCCATGTTGCTACAAAGAACATGATTTCATTCTTTTTTATGGCTGTGTAGTATTCTGTAGTGTGTATGGAATAACATTGTATCACAGTTTTCTTGTCCAGTTTTCCATTGATGAGTTTCTAGGTTGATTTCATTTCTTTGTTACTGTGAATGGTGCTACAATGAACATAGTTGTGAGTGTGTCTTTTTCCTAGAATGATTGATTTTCCTTTAGATATATACTCAATAATGAGATTGATGGATCAAATTCTTATGAGGGTGGTCAGGGAAGTTATTCTCACTTTACTGAAGAGGAAATTGATGTTCATGTGCTAAGACACAAAAATGTGATTTTTTAAATATTACATATATAATAGGTATGAAACAATATATATGATATATGCATATATACATATACACAGATATATTATAATGTGCTAACTTCAGCATTTCTGTGAGCTTTAACTTAGCCAAGGTGCCTGATCTGAGATCCAATTGGATTTTCATTCCCTTTTGGCCTAATGAACCACATACACCTGCCCTTCTCTTAGGCTTGGCTCTTGCTAATTATCTCTCTCAATTTGATGTTCTTCTCTTCTCACTGTGTATGTCATTTTTAATGAGACAAACCAGTGTTTGGGAGAGGTTTATGGGCAAGAAGAAAAATAAGACGATCACTAACAACTGGCAGCAGGTTATAATGCCAAGATCGTCTACAACATTTTAAATGACATGCTGAGCTGTGTGCTGAGTTGCACCATTTTCCATTAACTGCTTTCAGCCAGAACAAGATGAACAAGTGAGAATGGGTTGAAAAAGCGACCTGATCATAATGACTGCTATTTATTGGGCACCCATTGTGTGCAGACACTGTACTCAGTCCTTGCATATTTTTTTTCATTTAAACCTCATACTATTGTTATCACCATTTTGCAGAGAAATAAATGGAAGCCTATAGAGGTTAAGTAGGTGACTCGAGAAGATATAACTAGTAAGTGATGGAGCTGGTGGTCAGGAATTTCTATATATAAATGTATATATAATAGTTCATTAGAAGGAAGCTTTCAACATAAGTCAAATGCTTATGGGTAAAGAAAAATTGGGGGCCAGTTGTAAGACCAGACATTTACTTCCAGTGCCAATAACAATATTGTCACCATAGCAGGTGCAGAAATGATCATGGGGACAGATTTCTTGCACAAAAAAAAAGTATCCTTTAAGATTTAATTCGTATGGCTATTTGAATGTGCAGTAATAAAAAGAAGTAGGAATAGACACATAGAATAAGTAACTTCAGAGCCTTCACAAAACCCTCCTGTCTGAAAGGATATCCTCTACCCAGTTGTCGTGTCAGAAATTCCTTCCTTAGTAATTAATATCCTTGCATAGTTTTTTTAGGTGTCATCTTAATGTGGACAACATCCATCACATATCAGATTTCCATCAAAATTCAGTTTGTCTTTTCACATTTACTCCCCCTTCTTCCCTCTCCTGAGATAACTTAGCGTCCTCACTCCACTTTTTACTTAAGCACTGAATCTCACTTCATCATCTCTCCTCCATCAGAACTTCTCCATTCTGTGACTCTCTGTTCCTTGATACCTTGTTCTCTAAAGCTGACAGTGGGTGATCATAGGTCAGTTATTAGATGGAATCCTTTAGCCATAGATAATAGGATTTTTCTGCTTCTTAGAAGACAACGTCATAATAGTTAAGTAGCAGGCTGATTGTATGTGTTTTCAACATCTGAATTGTAATATATCCAGATGGGGGGTAGCTTGGGGAAGGGGGATTCTTTTAGATTCTGCAGGAGCTTTTCCCCATACTTAAATTCCTTCCTAATGCATAAAGCTGATTCTGCTTGGAAGAGGGAAGCCAGCCTTTCATTTTCCACCTGACACCTCATGATAGATGGAAATGTCCCTTCCTCTTCTCTTTCTTATCTCTCAGCATCCTTCTTCTCTGAACAAATGAGCATTCATGACCCTTGGTGAGTCAATTTCATTTAAACAGAAGGCCAGATACACCCCAGTGTATTCAATTATTTTATAATCAATTCCCTTTTCGGCAGCATCTTTCTCCCAAGAGTCAGAGGTCCCTTTACAAACTGTATTGGCAACATTATTACAAGTCAGAGCACAGTGACCTGCATCTGAGGACAGCGATTTAAGAGACAGTGAATATGAAAAGACAAATTTGATTTTGATGAATGATAAGAATTTTGTGTGTTATCAACATAAGGTGAAACCTAGAGAAACCAGTTCAACAAATAAATCACCAATGAAGGAATTTCAGGCAAATCAATCGGTGTTGGGGCAGTTAGGAGCTCAGCAATTCATTTCACATTGTAGACACTCTCCATAAAATGATTAATTGTATAAATACACTAATTCAAGATACTTGTTGAGCTTTTGCTATCACCAGACCCTGGGCACAGGGTGCTGGAGATACAAAGGTTTAAGGGAATAAGTAAAGGAAGCGGGCAATGGTGAAAAGGAAGGAATGAATGAAGGAAGGAAGGGAGGGAGGGAAGGAGGGACGTAGGGAAGGAGGGAGGGAGGGAGGGATTATTCACTTTAGTAATTGAATAATTTGTCTCTGACAGGAAGGGCTGGCCTTGCAAGCTCAACCAAGCTTTCTTAGTACTTCTTAATAATTAAAATAATTGGGCTATATGACTAAAAATTTGCAGGTGGAAATTTCTGTTCATGTTCTGTGATTGCTAGAGGTTTATAAAGCAAAAACTTTAAAACTTAGAAAGAACCATGTTATGGCTTTGAGTCAAAGACTTGGACAGTTTTTGCACCTGAAAAAGAAACAGAATCTAGACTCATGAGGAGTTAGGTAAGTTCACAGGAATTAGCAGACAGGAATTCCAAGAGCAGCACAGACCTTTCCGTACTAATGTTTCAAGCCAACCCACATATTGCAGTTGCTGAGCCACACCTAGACTTGCAGCGGAAATGTAAAGACAAGAAAGATATTTGGCTTCTAACTTCCCCTGAGTCTGTTTCAGTTTCCTTTTTTGCAAACCTTTATCAACAGTTGTTCATAAGACTTTCTCAATAACCAAAAAACTCAACAGGCAACCACAAGAGAGGGCCTCTTCACAGCATACAGACAGCCACAAGATACTACCAGAAAAAAATAGAATAAGATACATCACGTAGATACATAGAGAGGCTGTAGTGGTTTATGCAGAGTATATTGATCCAACTTCTAGACATGGAAAAATCAATATATTTAAGTAGCCTCCTTAAAATAAGTTGACTTTTCAGTAAGCAGTTTGGCCAACTGCTAGTGTACAGTGAAAGGAATAATTTAAGATTTAGCCTTGGCCACAACTAGATTCTGCAAACATGTACAGAAGAAAGAGAATGCTTTCCCTTTCCTTTTTACTACCTCCTGCAATCAGTGGTTTGCCCAAGCAAATTTTAAAAATTGGAGAAAACGGGTCTTTGGAAGAACTAGCTAGAAATAGGCTACAGCCGAGACCTCCTAACTAATCTGTTGAAGGACGTCTTCTCGTTCTTTTCCAGGCTTTCCTTTGATTCAATTTTGAAAAATCAGGCAAACTAGAAGATTATTATTATAACCACTGTTATAAGTCATTATAATTTTTTATAATTTAGATTTATATGATTACTGATTCACTTGTATTATGTTCTTATTGGGTGCCAGGTGTCATACTACCCGTTGCCTGTATAATCAGTAACAATAACAAAAATCACTACAAGGTTGGTAGTATTCTTCCTATAATTTGTAGAAGAGAAAAATTTAGACTCAGACAAGTGCAAATGACTTACTGGAAGTCCCACAGCTGTGAAGTTGCATGGCCAGGGACTTAAATGCTTGAGTCTGCCTGGCTGCAATGCCTGGGCTATTTCTTACTATGCCATGTTTAATGAAACTAGAATGCTGCCCTACACAATAAAACAAGGATATGTCTTTAGTGCCATTCTAGTCTTTTGCTGGGTAATGAAGCATTAACAGCATAACCCCTAGAAGAAATTTCCATTTTTTATTTTCCTTTGGAATTATCTGCCTTGAAGGTTCATAGTAAATTGAAGGGCTTACACATTTCTTCTTCTATGGGCAGCTTTATAACATACATATTTTGTATGTTATGTACTGTATTATGGGTCCTGTGAAGTCAAAGTCCCCCTGATCCATGAATCTGACTTTTCCAGACAGCAAATCACTTCACCATCCCTTTCCCTCTAGTCTTTACAATTCCTGCGTGAGCCAGATGCTTCAGAAAACAGATCCTTTGTATTGAATTTCCACACTGCAGTTCCCAGACTACGGAAGGATGACGACCAAATTTTTTATATTTTGTCATCTCTATTTATGTGGATAGATATATATTTAGAACAAGTTAAAAAGGAGGGAGGAAAAAAAACCCACTCCAAAACAAACAACTTCCTGATCTAATACAGAGGATACAGGAGACTTTACCATGAGTAGAATGGACAGGATGTCCACTGTTGCCACAACAGAGCTTATTTGAGTAGAGTCAAACTAATTTATCTGAGAGGATGCCTGGTTGCACAAGAGAAAGGGAAGTGAAAAGTTTGAGTTATTTAGAAAAGCAAACAGTTATTCTTTAGCAGGCATCAAACACTTAAACTCTGGCAAACAAGTCCATTCAAGAGCTCATCACACAGAAAATAACTAGCAATGCATAATATATCTTTTCTATGGCGAAAGAGTAAAGAAAGAAAGAAGAAAAATAATAATTTTATATCTACCCAGAGACAACCATGTTTAAAAATTAGTACATTGTTCTAGACTATTTTGTGTGTATATACATATGTGTGTATGGGTTTGCCTATTTTTTTATATTTTAATTTGAAATTTATGTTAAGTTCATGAGTGCATGTGCAGGTTTGTTATATAGGTAAACTTGTGTCATGGTGATTTGTTGTACAGATTTCTTCACCCAGGTATTAAGCCTAGTAACCATTAGTTATTTTTTCTGATCCTCTCCTTCCTCCCACTCTCCACCCTCTGAAAGGCCCCAGTATGTGCTGTTCTCCTCTATGTGTCCATGTGTTCTCATCATTTAGTTCCCATTTATAAGTGAGAACATGGACCTGGTGTGATGGCTCATGCCTGTAATCCTCGCACTTTCGGAGGCTGAGGCAGGCGGATCAATAGAGGTCAGGAGTTTGAGACCACCTTGGCCAACATGGCAAAACCCCATCTCTACTAAAAATACAAAAATGAGCCGGGCATGGTGGTGCACGCCTGTAGTCCTAGCTACTCAGGAGGCTGAGGTATGAGAGTCGCTTGAACCCTGGAGATGGTGGTTACAACTAGCCAAGATTGTGCCACTGCACTCCAGCCTGGGCGACAGACCAAGACCCTGTCTTAAAAATAAATCAATAAATAAGTGAGAACATGTGGTATTTGGTTTTCTGTTCCTGCATTAATTTGCTAAGGATAATGGCCTTCAACTCCATCCATGTCCCTGCAAGGGACATGATCTCATTCTTTTTTATGGCTGCATAGTATTCCATGGTGTATATGGGGTATGCCTATTTAAACAAAAATAATAAATAAGACCATGTGATATATTCTGTATTTTAACCTGCCTTTTTTTTTCTTTTTTACTTAAAAATACACCATGGACATTTTTCTCTGAAAAAACAATTCATTGCTTCCGAGTATTCCGTGCCTAGATCTACAACAGTTGTTGCTGTGCATGTTGCTCCCTATTACAAACTATTCATGATGACATCCTTGTGACTGACTGAATCCTTGTTCAATACTTACTGATTTCCTTAGGATAAATTAATTAAAGTTGCATGAATGGACTAAACACCATGCACATTTTCAAGATGATTAAACTGTCCCTGGAAACATGGTTTCAGTCTATAGCCTGAATATAGGAAATGCCATTTCTCCCATGTCCAGTAATACTGAATGTTTATTATACTGAATAACGGAAAGAAATCATTATTTTGAAAGCTGCCTGTCTATTCATCTTGATATCATAGTAAACGGCACAGTTAATCTTAAGGAAAGACTGTAACTTTTATTTAGAAAAATGACCACTTGGTTTATTTAGATGTGAAAAGCTAAAGCTGGGGTAGGTAAATTTTTTCTGTAAAGAGCCAAAGAGTAAATATTTTAGGCTTTGTGGGTTATAAGATCTCTGTTGCAACCACAGTTGACCCTTGAACAACACGGGGCTTGGGGCAGCAATCTCTGCGCTATTGAAAATTCACATATAACTTTTGACTCTGTACTCACTTAACCACTAATACCCTACTGTTGACCAAAGTCTTACCAATAGCATAATCAATTAACATATATTATGTATGTTATATATATATTATGTACTGTATTTTTACAATGAAGTAAGCTAGAGAAAAAAATGTTATTAAGAAAATCATACGGAAGAGAAAATATATTTACTATCATTAAATGAAAGTAGATCATCATACAGGTCTTCATCCTCATCATCTTCATGTTGAGTAGGCTGAGGAGGAGGAGGAAGAAGAGGGGTTGGTGTTGCTGCATTGGGGTGGCAGAGATGAAAGAAAGTCCAAGTATAAGTGAACCTATGCAGTTCAAACCTATGTTGTTCAAGGCTCAACTCTGCTCAACTCTGCAGTGGCACCAAACTGTCGTGGATAATGAGTGTGACTGTGTTCCAATAAAACTTTATTTACAAACACAGGTGGATTGGACCCACAGAGCTGGGGTGAACCAACCCCTGGGATAGACCCTTGGGCATGGTCTGTAAGGATTAGATTCAGACCAAAACAGAGCAATAATAGGGTGCATGACGGAGTAACTCTTGGGAGGAGAGGCAGCAGTTAGAGGCAGTAAAGATACGGGGGCAGTGGGACAAGACTTTGGGGTGAGAGAGAGTGTCCAGCGTCATGGCAGCTGTTAAGGATTACAGAGAAAGCCTTCCAGAGAGAAATTCACTATGGTTTGGGTGGGTGGCTGAAGAAATTCAGCTGAGGAATTGCATCATGTCTAAAATTAATTTTAAGATATTTCCTGTTTTGCTCCAAATAAGAGTTCTCCTCCATGTTTCTAAAGCCTTCAGTAAAATGTTACTGACAAATGAGGGAGCTAGGAAGGGCTCCTCCCAAGGAGTAGGTGGAAAAAGAAACATCCCCAGGAGGTGTCATGGTGAATGGAGTGTCTGAGAATTAATCTAGGTGAGGGAATCCAGACAAACTGTGACAGCAGAATGTAATTCTGCTTCTCTTCTGGAATTTTCAGAAGTCCCCTGGGGAATGCTGGCTTCTCTCCGTCTGTAGGATGGGGCTATATCGGGCAAGGTCCTGGCAGGAAATGGATGGAATGCTGGAGTAGAGGTGTGACCCAGGTTATGTAACCAACCACGATGGGGATGATGTCAGGGACTAGTGACAGTGGGGAGCCATCAGCACCCCAAGCATGGGAGGCTGGAGAGGGAGATGCATCAACAGGGGCTGATGAAAGCTGCAGTCAGGGAAGACTCTCCACTCTGCCCCACTGCTAACACTTGTGGCTCTGTGCAGCCAAGAGCAGAGAGGAACCTAGTTGGGCAGGACAGTTAAAATAACCACCGAGACCTCTTTTTTTCCACATTTGTTCTTCTGCCTATGGTCCTAATGTCTGCACCAAATAGAAGTCAGAGGACAAGCAAGACTGGTTAATGAAGCCCACAGAGGTCAGTCTCTCAGGACATCAAGAAAGACGATGGATTTGGGGGCAAGAAGTTGTCATGGAGAGTAACCAGCCATTTTATTTGGATAATAAAAGAAAGCTGTGGAACTTGGGATATCTATATTTTTAAAATCTACCAAATTATGGTATTATATTATTTCATGTAATATATGATTGTATTATTATTTTTAATGTGACAACAATATTAGGTGCTTTGGACATAGAAGAAGAGACAGCAATACAAATACAAATCATACAAATGTGATTTGCAGTTGCTGCTTGTTTTGGTTTTAGGAGTCTGAAATATTTTCCAACTTAATCCATGTTTAGTATCTATTCAAAGTTTCCTTTGTCCAGAAAAAACCTACCAACACTAAAAAATAATAAAATATTAAAATAGAAGGAAAAATTATTCCCACTGAGTTCCCCTGCAATGATAGCAATATATTATATTTACTGGTAAAAATGAAGTTGAATTTATGCCACTTCAAACATACTAAGAGTAACTGAAAGGTTTGCATTTGTATTCTGAGGGGGTGAGAATGATCCATCTTCTGCAGATGAGTCAGCTTCCAGGGTTGGTAGAGGGGCTAAGACAAATGATTGTTTTCTTGTGTAGCTCAAGGAATCTTTGTACGTTTTTCTGTTGCAGCAAATTGCATTGCTAACATTGATCTTCATTTGCTTAAATGGATGCATTAGTTCTTAGAAGGAAAGGAGAGGTGCTAGTTAATTTTTAGAGTAAGAGATGTAGATGTACTCTTCCAAGCATTGATTTAATCAGCTTCTCTTCCCAATGGAACTGGAAATAAATCGAAGTGAAGACCTGAATTTCCCCATCCCATTACCTTCTTGTATGAGGGATTCCCTTGCAAAAAAAAAAAAAAATTGAGACAGGGTCACCCAGGCTTGAGTGCAGTGGCACGATCTTAGCTCACTGCAGCCTCAAACTCCTAGGCTCAAGCGATCCTCCTGCCTCAGCCTCCCAAGTAACTGGGACCACAGGCATATGCCACCATGGCCGGCTAACTAATTTTTATTTTGTGTAGAGACAAAGTATACTATGTCACCCAGGCTGGTCTTGAACTCCTGGCTTCAAGCGATCCTCCTGCCTTGTCTTCCCAAACTGTTAGGATTACAGGCATGGGCCACTGCACCCAGACCCAAATTAAATTTTTATAAAGAAATGACATTTTATTGTATTGGACCCTGTGATATAATAGTAGTGGGCTCCGTACTTTAGTGTGAGATACACAAGTTTAGGAACAGATTTTGGCTATTTCATTGCCACCTGCCAACGTTGTAATGATGACACCCAGAAAAACCCCACACCTCTAAAAGTGCCTCTGTCATTAGACCACCTGCTTTTTATTGAATGTTTCATTCATAGATTGAAAGGGGGTTTTACTTTATCAGGAAACAGGGAATTACTACTTCTACCTTTGCTGCAAATCAAACTCCATTAGAATTTCATCTTCCTTCACTGAGGCACAACCCTTTAAACACAGGTCTTTGCATGACCCCTTATGCAACTTTCCATTAATACAGTCCGATCACTCCTGCCTGCATTGCGGATATCAGTTAACATGAGTAATGCTGGCCAGATATCAAGAATGTCAATCAAGAAACAAAGGAAAGGGTGTTTTATAATTACAAAACCGTGTTTTATAATTACCTCTGTGCTACGTGCAATTTCCTGACCCCAAATGATAATAAAACACAGTCATCCAATTACACAGTCAGCCAGTCTATGAGATCTGTGTCCTTTGAAGATTAAACTTCACTAGGATTGTCCTCACATATTTGGTCTCTACTAATCAGAAGTTTCCTTGTGGAACAATTGAGCAGAAAAACCCATAAAGAAGAATTTCTGTTCTATAGTACAGTCACTGACTTGCTTTCAGAGAAATGGTAGTCCCTGTGGTGACCTCTAAAGATCCTCCAGAGAGCTCCCTGCAGTAGACTCCTACCTCACTTTACTTTTTTCTAAATATCTTACTTCTGCACACTTGAAAGTCTCTGTACCTCTCCTCTTCTCATTTTCAAAAATATGAATTTTTGAAATTCGTATCTGGCTTTATGCTGGTCCCCAGAGATCACTGTTGGTTTCACTTGTTCCTCACCAACACTCCCAAGGTGTGAGTTGATCTGTCCTCCCCACTCTCTGCAAGACCCAGAAGAGAGCCCTAGTTTAGTGTTTAGAGATGCATGCAGTGTTTAGCACCTTCTTTGTGTAAAGTTCCCTATCTAAAAGATACCTATCAGTCTGTTAATTTCTGGAAAAAGGAAGGAAATGTCTTACTGTAAGAGGCAAATTCATTACTCCAGTCTGTAAAGGCACCATTTAAATAAAGCTCCTGAAAAGAACAGCTGAATGAAACACTGCCCATATGACTTAGAAGAGTTCACCAATGTGAGAAAGGTGGAGAACTTATGCTGTACCTTCAGCTGTAGGAGGAAGCTCAGCAAGGAGTCCTGAGCTGAGACAGGGATGCTCAGGTGCCATCCTGTGACTCGATCCCTTTGCTTCCTGTAAGAAATAAATCAGAAATAAATCACCTCAGACAAATGTGATGCTTTCAGTTGCTTACATCCTCCAGAACAGGCGAGCCAGTCACCTGCCTCAGTAACTTATCCCTTAGTCATTCTGGGTTGGTACACTTTTACTGATATCTCATGAAAATTCTTTTTATTGCTTTTAGAATCAATGGAACACAACATCCAAGAGAATCAAGAAAATCTTTTTTAAAGGCACAGCTTTCTAACTCAAAATGGTTTTACTTAAGCCAGGGGCCATAAGATGGCAGGCAGTGCTTTGCTTGGCTGTCAGAGGAATTGATTTTTCTTTTTAAGTTGAATGTCTTTGCTTCTGTTCTCCTGTTTTCAGAGGCCCTATTATTTCCTACAGTTGTTCATCCAGCCCATTCACCTGTGTATTCTACCTGCCCATCCCCTATGGATTAAACTTTTACTTCCTCAACTTTGTTTATAAAACACAATATTTATATGGCTACTTCTGTATCTCTTACACATACCCTAACTCAATACTGACCCTGGAATACTTTGGAGAATAGAGTTGAAGGCTTTGCATGTCACATACAGTCTTTATGGCATACTCCACCTCCTCCTTCTCCCCACTTTCTCCTCTTCCTTCTCTATTTCTCCTTCTTCTCCTTCTTTTTCTTTTTTACAACCTTTAAAAATGTAAAAACTATTCTTAGCATGTAGGTCCTACAAAAATAGACCAAGAGCCAGATTGGCTATAGTTTGCTGACCACTGATATAGAAAAATGAAAGTGGAGAAGACACTTAGATTCATGTTTTTAAAAATTAGGAGGGGGTAAAATACCATACTTCTTGGGTGTTTGTTTCTTTGTTTGTGTGTTTGTTTGTTTGGAGAGGGACTCTGGCTCTGTCACATCACCCAGGTGGGAGTGCAGTGGCGTGACCTCGGCTCACTGCAACCTCCGCCTCCCAAGTTCAAGCAATCCTCCCACTTCAACCACCCGAGTAGCTGGGACTACAGGGGCTCACCACCAGACCCAGCTAATTTTTGTATTTTTAGTAGAGACAGCATTTTGCCATGTTGGCCAGGCTGGTCTCAAACTCCCAACCCCAGGTGATCTGCCCACCTCGGCCTCCCAAAGTGTTGGGATTACAGGTGTGAGCCACCGTGCCTGGCCGTAAAACACTATACTTCTAACCACATGTATCTGAGTCTGAATTCGTAGAACATGAATCAAAATTGCCTAGAAATGCTTAAAACAAAGAAAGAAAATCAATGACTCGTTGCCATGAAGACTTAGTAAATTTGGACATGAATCTCTAATATGATCATGTGAGGTTAATGTCTCATCCAAAAGGAAGAGAGCTGTATAAAGTAGAAGTGGATACACTGGACACCAAGAAGATGCATCCTTCTGTGCAAACGCACTGCCTGACATTAGCGTGTGGACAGGACTGATGTGATGTTATTGTGCTAGTGATTAAAGTCACAGGCTGTGGGATCAAATCCTTGCTCAACCACTGACTAGCTGGGAGGTAACCAGTCTTAAGCTCTCTGGGCTTCAGTTTCCACATCTGTGAAATGGCTGTCATCATTGTAACCACTTCCTAGTGGTTGTGTGCTGTTGAGAAGATTAAAAATGCTTGATACATTTGGGTAATAGAATGTGTTAAAGTTTTTTCTTTTTCTTTTTCAATTTTATGTGCTGCAAAAAATAATAACAAAAAGTGATTAAAAAAAAAAGAAGAAGAAAAGAAAATAACTGTGTTTGGATGTGCCTACAGGCCGCCCATCATTCTCTCTTCCGGACAAAGTCTAAATCAGTTTTTCCATTTGGGCCAGAGCTTCCTATTTGCTGCTATGGAGACTGTTGTGGAATGCCTGGAGCTGCTTAACATAAGGCTTAATTACCCATGGCCTGTAAGCCAGTTCCAGTTCCCCACCTCTTTTTTCTTTATTTGCCTAGGAGTTAGGTTGTGTTGATTGTTTGCTGTAACTGTAGATGTCAGAGCTAAAATTTCTTCTGGCATCCTCTTTCCTTCTACCTCAAGTCCTTAAAATATGTCTGACACATGGAAATGCTCCGTAAATATTAGTTATTATTATTGTGATTACTCTTTTTGTTTTACTGCAAAATCAATGAAAGGAAATGGATAATTTTCTTCTGAGAGATCATACTCTAGACGAAAGATGCCAAGGTGATGGAGGATCTGAACCTGGATGCTTCATTCTATATAAAATATAACATGTGCCAAGTTCTTGACTGTGACAGCTTCATGGCTCAGAAGGTGGAGGAAGTGATGAGGGCAGCAGCTGCTATGGACCATCTTGTCTTCAGCCAAATATATAAGAGGTGCATCACTTTTCTTCCAGCTCTCCTCCTGTCACTAAATTTAAAGAATCTAAGTATCCACCCTCTGGCAAAAACAGATCATGGAAAAGAAGCAAGTAACTGCTTTCCTGCTGAATTTCTCTTAGGGCCATTGACTGATTTCCCCTGGGTATAGACAGGTTACTCTAGGAACATGGGGTCATGTATGGCTGTGCCATTTTTAATCATGCCAGCTCTGACTCTTCCATTAACTTTGTAATTTGAATATGTCACATGGTAGTTATGATCCTCCACTTCCTCACCAATAAAATGGGAGTAATAGCGACACTTCCCCACCTGTGCAGAAGGCAAAAATGTAAAGAAGAGTTAAAAAGCACTCGACAAGCCCAAGTGCTTTGTAAATATTTAATACTTAGTAGTTGAGGTAAATGTCAGGAGAATGTGGAGCCCAACATGAATCTTTTTGTTATGACAGCTCTTTAGATGTGTTTAATTCCCCAGTCCAAACACAGAGAACCCTGAACTTTTCTGACCCTTTCTCCTTGTCTTATTTTTCTTCTTCTACTATGCCCAAATATTTCCCATCTACCATTAAATGACAGTTCATTCGAATTCCTCTACAAAAGATAATTTTAGTTTATTAGGATCCTGCATGGGCTGCTCTCCACTTTGAGTTCCTAAATGCTTGTACAGAAAAACTTAGGTTTCTTGGGAAATTCCCTTTTTTGACAAAAACACCTCTTTGTGTTTGAAAAGGACTGAATGCCATTGTCTGAGAACAACCCCCATTGTTGGAAGTCCTCACTTCTCATTAGGCTAGCTCGTTTCCACAGAAAGGCTCAAATAATTTTCTTTCAACTTCACAACCCTACTGGGCCCTTGAAACTAAGCAGATTTTGCACCTGTTCCCCTGAGGAAGGTTTGCTGATTGATAGGAGGGGTCTAGGTAAATTGAGTATAAATAAACAGGTAAAAAAGAGAAGGCTTTTAAATAATGCATTGGGGTTTTTCCAGAGCAACTCTGTTTTCTCTTGAAATTACTAGAGATTTTCAGTAAACATTTGCCTGGATACATTTTCACAGAGGAGTTTGCCGCATTCTGAGGACCTCATTGGCTCCCACTGTTCATTGCTATGCCCATCTCACACCCACTTCAACTGTCAAACAGAAGAACAATTCTTATTAACAGTGATTTGCTTTGCAGTTTTAGTTTATTTCTAAATTGCAGACATGGTTGATGAGTGAAGTTGTTTTAGTGACTGTTTATTGGAACAGAGCAGAGAATAGAGTCAGGAATTCTTGAGGCTGCCATGTGTATGGTGAAAAATAGAAATAAAAACCATGCCATTTTGCTTAAAAAGAAAAATCCCCAGAAACCTTAATGGTGATACATGCAATCTGAGGCTAGATAGCTTGTATTTGTAGTGTGCTTTGCAATTTTCATAGGACTTTTATGTGCATTTTCTTCTCAGCTTTAAAGTACTTGTTTTGAGGTTTTTGGTTGATAACCTCCAGTAACAGCTGTAGAAGATAGTGCTAGGATGGATGATTGTGAGTTATAGGGAGGAACATTGTTACACTAAGAAGGAAGGAAGGAAGGAAGGAAGGAAGGAAGGAAGGAAGGAAAGAAGGAAGGAAGGGAGGTAGGTAGGTAGAAAAGGTCAATGAGCCTCTCTAAGACTTGCTTTCCTTTTCTAAAACATGAAGATAATAATAACTCTTACCCTATCTGTCCCGTAAGGTCTTCGATCACCTGCAGTAGACTGACTCTACATTAAAGTATTGCTTCATCCAAAGAGTACTTTAGAAGCTTTAGTGGGTGTTATTGGTTACATTATTATGACTTAGGAAAAGTTGATGTCTTCATCTGTTCAGGCTGCCCTAACAAAATATCATAAACTGTGTAGCTTATATACAACAAAAATTTGTTTCTCATGATTCTGGAGGCTGTGAAGTCCAAGGCAGATTTGGTGTCTGGTGAGGGCCCACTTATGGTTCATAGAAGGTGTCTTCTTGCTGTGTCCTCATAGTAGAAGGGGGAAGCACTCTCTCTCAGGCCTCTTTTACAAGAATACTAATCTCATTCATGAGGTCCTTATGACCTAGTCAACCCTCCAAGGACCCCATCTCCTACTGCTATCACCCTGGGAGTTAGGATTTCAATATGTGAATTTGGGGAGGATACAAACATTCAGACCATAGCAGTTGGTCCACCCAAAATTGTTTCATTCACTGGCCTACTGTGCTATAAAGTTCTCACTTTGGGAAAATAACACACTAACTCTATAGCATTTATGGACATATCAACTGGATTGGCTCAGCCACTTATATGTTGCCTTCTTAGGAGACCTAAGAAGAGTGAAAAATGGGATTATACATTATGACAATTGAAAGGGGTGGATAAAAGCTCTGAATTGGAGGATAACAGAAAAGAAATGAGGTTTGCATTGCAAGGTAGGTGGAGAGCATGCTGAAGCCAGACTTCACCAAGACATACCTTGACATGGCTGGCCCCAGGTTTGCCCTCAGCCATACAAATCAACAGCTGCTGTGTTCTCCTAAGTGACTCCTGAACTCTAATCTCTGCATATTGCTTGTGATTAGATCTCTCTGAGCTTGTTTTGGTTTTCATTTTCTTCTATCAAAAATTGCTAGTTCATAAGATATGTCAGAGTTGGACACAAATTACTTTTCTTCCTCTCTTAGAAATGACAAATGACTTTTCTTCCTCTCTTAGTATGTTCCTTAGAAGTAACATACACTATACAGTCATGAGATTTCTTTGAACTGAGAACAAATATCTAGCTGTCTTTCATTTCTTTGGTGCTTCATAGTCGACAAAGTGTTTTTTCATGCTGTATATAATTTATTTAGTGCAGTAACTCTATGAAGTAGGTAACCCCAATACTTTTAGGAAAATTAAGGTAATACATACCTACCTTGCAAGGTTGAGAGGATTAAATGGGACAACATTTGTAAATAACTTTTCACAACCCCCTGGGCATAGAGAAAAGTCTTATTTTTAATACCCATATTTTATGGATGAAGAAACAATTTCAAAGGATGTGTGATATGCTCAAGGTCACACAACAAGTTGAAGATGGATCTATCACTTGGACTGCCGCTCCATCATGCTAATATATCACGTTGATGAACAGTCAAACCATTTGATATTTAGGTTTAAATTCCATGTTACAAACTTTTGAGGAAGAAAGTGAGACACAGAAAGAAGGAAAGAGAGAGAGATGGAGAGAGAGGAGTTTAAGAACACTGATGGGCTAAGACACAGGTAAGACATGTTGAATACCTCCCCCAGGTGTGATTAGGATATCACGTAAAAATGATGTGTGCCTGTGGCTCAGGTGTGGTTATGTAATCAAAACGGCTGTGGGAATGAAATGCATTTAATTTTCCTCCAGCTTCCTGTTTCTAAGGCTTCAGTGTTTGAGTTCTGCCACACCAGCCTTTGCATATTAATAGACGGTTGGCAATCCCTGGGGAGCCCAGGGTGAGGGAGAGGTCCTCTGCAATAAAATCCAAGCTGGTTCAGTTGAAGGTATTTGTGAAGCCTTTTTATATCCACTTTGCTTCTTGACCTCCCAGCATACATCACGGAAATGTTATTTCCAGCACCTGAAGCTTTGGTCTCCAGCAAAACCAGCTCTTGATAGAATTCGGCAGTAAGCAGGTTCATGGTCATTGGCTCCTTGTTATTCTTTTTGGCCTCCTTGCCATACTTTTAGTTCTCTTCACTGATACCTGCCTGTTGCAGAGTCTTACGTTTGTCTAAGGTCTCTTCAGAATATCAACTTTTGTCCTGGGCCTTAGCTATTATCTCTCCAATTTTCCATGATTCACCAGTTGAGGGGTAATATGGGTAGGCTTTGTGTCCCCACCCAAATCGCATCTTGAATGGTAATCCCCATAATCCCCACGTGTCAAGGGAGAGGCAAGGTAGGGGTAATTGAATCATGGGGACAGTTCTGTTCTCATGATAGTGAGTTCTCATAAGATCTGATGGTTTTTATAAGAGGTTCTTCCCACTGTCACTCGGCACTTCTCCTTCCTGCCGCCTTGTGAAGAAGGTGCCTTGCTTCCCCTTTGCCTTCCACCATGATTGAAAATTTCCTGAGGCCTCTCCAGCCATGCTGAACTGTGAGTCAATTAAACCTCTTTCCTTTAGAAATTACCCAGTCTCGGGGAATTCTTTATAGCAGTATGAAAACAGACTAATAGAAGGGGATACTTTCAAAAGAACAGAGTTTACAATAAAAATACTTGGTGAACTATTGTGAGCCACCCATGGTGCTGCTTGAACCAACCTCTTCCTGCCTCCTGCCTGTTCTTCCTCCTTCCTAGGAGAATCCAAAGATGGCTCATTTGTTCCCTGGTGTATTAGTTTGCCAAGGCTACCAAAACAAAATACCACAGTCTGTATGGCTTGGCCAGCAGACATTTATTTTCTCATGGTTCTGGAGGCTAGAAGTCCAAGGTCAAGATTTGGTTTCTTCTGTGGCCTCTCTCCTTGGCTGCAGACGGCTGCCTTCTTCCTGGGTCTTCACATGGCCTTTCTCTGTGTACATATAACCTTGGTGTTTCTTTTATGTGTGTCCTAATAACACTTTATAATAAGGACACCAACCACGCAGATTAGATTAGGGACCACCCTAATGACCTCGTTTTAACTTAATCACCTCTTTAAAGAGGCTGTCTATCTCCAAATACAGTACAGTTCTGTGGTCCTGGGGGGTTAGGGCTTCAACATATAAATTGTGTAAGAGGTGGCACAACTCAGCCCACAACATCTTGTCACCTTGCTCCCTTCATGCCTTGCTGCCTCCCTTTTTGGTTTCTTTGGTGTCTTGTTTTCCATTCATCTGGTCTCACTTCAGGGCTCCAGGTCCCCTTATGGAAGTCCCTTGTGTCATCCTCCAAGCCACTCTCCTATTCTCCTGCAAAAATTTGCTGACATTCAAGCTGCCTTTGGGGTTTGTGTAAACTTTGTGGCATTGACCTCGGGTTGTCACATGCCCATAGCCTCATCTGCTGACTTGTGCTACAGCCCTCTTGCACCAGAGCAATGACACTTTTCATAAGACACAAAATGTACAGACTTGTATTCTCTTTCTTAAGTGCCCCTAAGTAGTTTGACTGCTTTTCCTGACTCATTCTTCCTATTTTATGTCCTCTCCTTCTTAGAACTTCACAAGTTCTTTTATGGGCTGGTTTGAAAAACAGTTGAGATGTGTTCACTTCCAAAGCTTTCTCATCCACTTATAGCCAGTCATCCTTTAACCATCTGGACCCTCTCAGAAATCTCTAAGCCGGAGGGCTCTTTTTCCTCTCAAGACTTTGCAGACAGTTAAAAGGCAGCCATCATCCAGTTTAGTGCTGGCCACATGACATAGATGCTGCAATTTTGCTCTCTTTCTGGAGGAGGTTCCACCAAGCTGTGTTTCAGCATGCATCATAGGGCTTCATCCTTCTGGTTCTGGGGTAAACCCTAGATTGAACCCTAGAATTGCCATCTAATTGTTCGATAACCCAGGAGCATTATTTCCATCGGTCTTATCCTCTTCATCTATAAAATGGTGATAATGACACCTACTTCTTAGTCTTGCTGTCAGACATGAAGTAAGGTGGCATAAAGCCTGGCGCATAGCAAGCATTCAATAAATGTTAGCTTTCGTGACAATTTTGCAAATAAAGCTTTTTTTTTTTTTTTGAGACAGAATCTCGCTCTGTCACACAGGCTGGAGTGCAATGGTGCAATCTTGGCTCACTGCAACCTCTGACTCCCGGGTTCAAGCAATCCTCCTGCCTCAGCTTCCTGAGTAGCTGGGATTACAGGTGCCTGCCACCATGCCTGGCTATAATTTTTTGTATTTTTAGTAGAGACAGATTTTCACCATATTGGCCAGGCTGGTCTCCACCTCCTGACCTCAGGTGATCTGCCCACCTCGGCCTCCCAAAGTGCTGGGATTACAGGCATGAACCATCGCGCCTGGCCTGCAAATAAAACTTTGTGACAGGCAGGAACTTCTTCGGTCATAAGCTTTCCTTCTCCTGTTTGTGCTCCTCTATAATTTGCATTAAACAAAATATTTATTGAATATCTGTTATCTTCTAAGCACTGCGTTAAGTTCTTTACATTTGTTGATCTTATTTAATTCCTCACCATAAGCCTTAAGGCTGATATTATTACTAACAAAACTTTACAATCCTGAGAATTTAGCCTTGAACAAGACAGATATTATACACTCCTGTCAGATCTTACAATACCGTGAGAAAGTCTTATGTTAAACTAATAATTATAATACAATAATTATAGCAGCCTACTCTTCCTTGAGGCAGTACCTACTTTCCTATAGTTATTACTGGATCTTGGAATTTAAATAGAGTTTCCTTACTATTGCTAAGCACTACATGTTGTGAAATTATATAATCAACTTTTGCATTCCTTAAGAGTCTTATCAATGAAAACCCTGAAATCTTAGAGATGGAAACAAATGGAAGGGATATGGTTGTTTGTTATGTCAGAGCTAATTATTTGTAATTACTTTGTAAGCAGGAGATAAATATTCATGCTTCATTCCTTCTTTTAGAAGGGACCAAGTAGTTTGGAAATCTCAGACAACATCCTGATAAAAGGCAGTTGAAGAAAGACAAATATTACTTGGTTGGCTTAATTGGAGTTTGGAAAAGATCTATTGCTTGGAGCTCCAGAATCATTGAGCCTGGGCCCTGTAATTCCACAGAGCAGTGTGCTGAACACAAAACCAATGTTGTATGGAGGAAAATGACACAGACGCCTATGCGTGGACCACCAATTGCCAGCCAAGGATACCTTTTGGTGCCCTCAATTTAAAACCACAGCCAGATTTTTAACATGGATAGACCTTCTCATTCATACAAAGTGATACCTCAAGTGTGATGACTCACTCTAGGAGGAGGAAAGAAACAGACTACTCAATGCTTCTGAAATAAATTATTGTAATATTTTACCATTTCGTGTTTGTTAGAAAGGCTATTTGTCTACCTCATACTTGGCATATACACGATTTGTACTCCCAGTCAGGGCCTGTTGAATGAAATTAGTTTCCTCTATCAATCATCCCTGTGATGTCTGTTACATGGACTAGCATTCTGGATACTACCTAATAGCAACAGTTCTAATGAAAATGGTCTAATAATATTGCTCCTTGCAACAGATGTGTTTTATCCCAAAGTATAAACTCCTTAAAGCATAGACAGGCAGAGTTGGCTCATGCCTGTTATGTAAGCTATCATGTCCTTTCTTTCTTTTCTTTCTTTTTGTTTTTTAGATGGTGTCTCATTCTGTCACCCAGGCTGGGCTGGAGTGCACAGCGTGATCTCAGCTCACTGCAACCTCCACCTCGTGGGTTCAAATGATTCTCCTGCCTCAGCTTCCCAAGTAGCTGGGATTACAGGCATGCGCCAACATGCCCAGCTAAATTTTTGTACGTTTAATAGAGACGAGGTTTCCCCATGTTGGCCAGGCTGGTCTTAAACTCCTGGTCTCAAGTGACTTGCCTACTTTGGCCTCCCAAAGTCTATCATGCCCTTTCTATTGAGTGGCCGCCTGCAAGTGTCTCAAAGAAATGTTTATTACCTATTTATAGAATATTTCTTTGTTCAAAATAGAAATGATTAACTCTTAACTGAAGTAAATGATATAATTACCTGAAGAACAGAAAGGAAACTTTTCATGCTCAAGAAGGCAGAACCCACATCCTCAGAGTGAGGTTTCTGCTTTTCTGGTTAAACATGAGTATTAACTGGAAAAGTCTACTTTAAAGCATGAGCTCTGGTAGGCACAGCTAACATTATTTTGGACACCTTCACTTTATTTTAATCATAAACTGTAATGCTGGCTTCCTCTTGGTTGTTCAATATTGCAGAAATGAGTCGAGTTAACCTACAAGTTGTAGGAAGCATTTGATGACAGAAAGAGACTTGAAAAAGTAGCCGATTTACCCGCAAGTCATATCAGCACTTTGAAGAAACAAACACTGCCACAGTACCCTGTTAAAAGTGTCAGTCATAAAGCTCTTTACAAAGGTATTGTGCCTCCAACTTTTAATTTTCATACCCTCATGGAGAGATAAGCATCCTCAAAAGAGCCCAATTGCCTTATAGGGCTTTCAAAGGAAGCTCCAGTTTTGAAACACTGCTCACTGCTTATACACTACCCCCATTCCCATGAAATAAAATTGTCATACTAGTCCCCTTTGCAGAAGTTATATAGCATTCGGGAATACTGAATGTTTTCTGTTGAAGTTCATCTTAGAGAGCTTAAAAATTCAACAAGTCATAATCATAACCCAGAATTAAGCCCATGGTATACAGCAACAGCTGGGGTCTGGGTGATAGAGAGGAACGAGTTCTGCCGTAGACATCTGCAGGTTTGGCTACTGGTTCTGGGTCTGGTACTCACTTGCTAGGTGATTCAGGGCCAGTCTTCTCTCAGTGAGCCCCAGTTTTCTGCCCCTGCCATGTAAAATGAGCCTGATATCTGCATGATCACCAAGATGTTTTCCTGCACTGACTTCCTATGACTCTGGGCAAGGCAGGGGAGCTAACCTTTTCTAATGAAATATTAAGCAATCAGGACTAGACGCCTTGGAAGTCATCTCTTCAAGCCCAGTCCTTCCAGGCTTTCATCAGCTGACCCAGAGAGGTGATATTGTTCCTATTGATCCTGTTTCTAATGCTCCGCCATTGACTAGCTTTCACATCTTTCACTCTCTCTGAAAGTAAAGAGCTGCTGCCCCTTTTTACAGAACACGTGTGTTTCCTGTATATTGTGGTTGTATACTTTCTTTGCTCTGACTTGTGAAAAGAAAGAAAAAACAAGAGAGCTAAGAATTCTTTTTCTTTTCTTTCCTCTTGAGCAAGCTGAAATGGGCAGGGTATAATTTAACTTGGATTTATAAAACGGCAGTTTATTCATTTAACTGAAAATACTTGTACTTTTTCTTCTTAGCTATTATTTATTATTTGTTTAATTTTTTATTATTATACTTTTTTGAGACAAAGTCTCACTCTGTTGCCCAGGCTGGAGTGCAGTGGTGCTATCTTGACTCATGGCAACCTCCACCTTCTGAATTCAAGCAATTCTCCTGCCTCAGCCTCCCAAGTAGCTGGAATTACAGGTGCTTGCCACCACACCCGGCTAATTTTTGTATTTTTAGTAGAGACCGGGGTTTCACCATGTTGGCCACGGTAGTCTCAAACTCCTGACCTCAACTGATCCACATGTCTCGGCCTCCCAAAGTGCTGGGATTATAGGTGTGAGCCACTGCACCCGGCCACTATTATTTATTAAGCAAACCCATGGCAGGCACTGTGCTAAACTCTCTCCCTAAAGATACACTATTTAAAAGGTTCAAATCACCATGAAAAATAGGTGTTATTGTTCCCACTTTACAGAAGATGAGATTAAAGTTCAAAAATATTAAGTGACTTGCTTAGGGTTACTAAGCGATGGACCTGAGATTCCGATTCATCCCAAAGATCCTAATCACAATATGTTTAAATCATTTTGAAGAGACGTAAGAAGGTGTAATGCTTTCATTTGTAAAACAGTTTGTTGTAAAATCAAACTCATTTTGAGGTATGTTTTAAGCTTACCACTTGAATATTTAAATTTCATTAGAACTGGGCCTGGCACAGTGGCTCATACCTGTAATCCCAGCACTTTGGGAGGCCGAGGAGGGTGGATCACCTGAGGTCAGGAGTTTGATACCAGCCTGGCCAACATGGCGAAACCCTACTCTACTAAAAATACAAAATACTCTACAAAAATACTAAAAATGCAAAAATTAGCCGGGCATGGTGGCGTGCACCTGAAATCCCAGCTACTCGGGAGGCTGAGACAGAAGAATCACTTGAACCCAGGAGGCTGACGTTGCAGTGAGCTGAGATTTGTGCCACTGCACTCCAGCCTAGGCGACAGAGCAAGACTCTGTCTCAAAAAAATAATCATAATAAAAATAAAAAATAAATAAAATTTCATTAGAACTGTTCCTGGCATAGGATAGGTGGGTACTTAATTTGGTTGAACAGATACTTGGATTTATAAAAATGAGATTTATGTGTGGGACATCACTAACGGGTTGTTGGCAGAATTATCAGTGCACCTGTTGTATGTTGAGTGAGACAACTGCTTTCGCAGGCTCTGTGTTTGCAGTTGACCTGATGCCACAGTCATGTGCATGGTGGCTTTAGGAGCGGCAGTTCTGGTAAAGTCTTGGTACACTAACTCACACTCTGTCCTTAAAAATATGTTAGTGGAAAGACTGCATCTAACAAACTGAGTGTCCCTTTTGGCATGTTTTTCAGTGGCATCACTATCCTGTGAGGTCGATGGTAAATTAGGCATAGTCCTTCTTCTGCTCTATCAGCTGCTCTGAAAGCAACAGGACTCTCATTTTCAGGCTCTTAGACAAACTTGGATTCTTGTAGGCAGAGCATAGAGCTATTAATCAAAATGACAGCAATTGTAATTATAGCTACATAGGGAAATATTATTTTTAAAGTTAATTTTGAATAATCAATGCATGCATGGAGTAGAGAATTCAACAAGTACCAAAACTCTCACCCTCAGCCCTCACTTCCATTCACCCAGACAGTCTCTTCCAGAATATTTCAGAGATATCTAGACATATACAAGCACATATATATTCGTACATTATTTTTTCTCACAAGGAGTAATAACATATTTGAACAATTCTGTACATTGCTTGGAAAATAAGATTTTCTTTAAAGAGTGTCCAGCACATACAGACCTGTTAATAAATATTTTGTCAAAACCACAGTGAAATACCATCTCACATCTGTCAGAATGACTATTATTAAAACGTCAGGCCAGGTGCAGTGGCTCACGCCTGTAATCCCAGCACTTTGAGAGGCCAAGGTGGGCGGATCACTTGAGACCAGGAGTTAGAGAGCAGCCTGGGCAACATGGCTGTAGAAACCACGCCTCTGAAACAAAATACAAAAATTAGCCGGGCCTAATGGCTTGTGTCTGAAGTCCCAGCTACTTGTAAGGCTGAGGTGGGAGGATCACTTGAGCCCATGAGGCAGAGTTGCAGTGAGGCAAGATAGCACCAGTGCACTCCAGCCTGGGGACAGGGTGAGACCCCATTTCAAAAAAAAAAAAAGGTCAGTAAACAACAGATGCTGGAGAGGCTATGGAGAAAAGGTAACATTTATACACGGTTTGTGGGAATGTAAATTAGTTCAGCTGCTGTGGGAAGTAGTTTGGAGATTTCTTAAATAACTTAAAATAGAACTACCACTTGACCTAGAAAACAAAATGTTCTACCAAAAAGACACATGCACTCATATGTTCATTGCAGCATTATTCACGATAACTAAGACATGGAATCAACCTAGGTGCCTATGAACGGTGGACAGGATAAAGAAAATGTGGTACATATACATCATGGAATACTATGCAGTCATAAAAAAGAATGAAATCATGTCCTTTGCAGCAACATGGATGCAGCCAGAGGCCATTATCCTAAGTGAATTAATGCAGGAACAGAAAACCAAATGCTGCATGTTCTCACTTATAAGCGGGAGCTAAACATTGGGTGATTTTGGACATAAAGATGGCAACAATAGACAATGGGGACTACTAGCCGTGGGAGGGAGGGAGTGGGGACAAGGGTTGAGAAATCAACTGTTGGGTACTATGCTCAGTACCTGGGTGACAGGATCATTTATATCCCAAACCTCAGCGTCACACAATATACCCAGGTAACAAGCCTGCCTGTGTACCCCCTGAATATAAAACAAATTTTGAAAAAGGAGAAAAAATAATAAATATTTTGTTTAAAAAATACTTCACAGCCGGACACAGTGGCTCATGCCTGTAATCCCAGCACTTTGGAAAGCAGAGGCGGGCAGATGACTTGAGCTCAGGAGTTCAAAACCAGCCCGTGGTGAAACCCCATCTCTATCAAAAATACACCCCTGTAGTCCCAGCTACTCAGAAGGCTGGGGTGGGAGAATCACTTGAGCCTGGGAGGTGGAGGTTGCAGTGAGCCAAGATCGTGCCACTGCACTCCAGGCTGAGCGACAGAGCAAGACCCTATCTCAGGAAAAAAAGAAAAAATAATAAATAAATGAAAAATACAAAATAAATCACAAAGGCAACGTGCAAGAGGGAAAGGGTGGGAGAAGGAATATCTGCATAGTAATACCGTACCACAGTTACACTCAGAAAGACTTGCCTAGGAAGCCAGGGTTCTAATCTTGTGTGAATTCTTCCGGTCTAGGATAGGAAGCTATATGGTATAGCAAAAAGACCATAGGGCTTGGAGTCAAACTCACACAGAATGTGTTCCATATTTATTAGCCCAGCAATCAATGAACTGAAAATTCTCATAGGCAACCACACAGCCTGGTGCTGAGCACATGGTAAATTTTACACAGGAATGATAAAAACTTCTGCTCTTTCATGAATCTTCTCTACAGTAGTTTGGCTAAATTTCAACTTGGGTCTTGTTGCAATAGTCTACATATGATGAAAAAACACCTGGTGGTAGTTTTCCTCTTCTCTGAAAGCAATGGCTAGCATTTATGGAGTATTACTATTGCTAGGCACTGTACGAAGCACTGCGCCAATGTGATCACATTTAATACTCATCACGACCCTTCAAGGTAGTGACTATTCTTGCTATTATCTTTAGGCCAGAAACTGAAGAGAAACATAAGATGACTTGCTCACTGTTCCCTCAAGTAAATAGACTCTCATCTGGCTGACCCCAACGTGTCTGCTCCTCACAGTCCTTGCCTGCCTCTTGTCTGCATCAAATGGTCTTATTCTCTGTAGACATAACCCTTGGACACCCCAGAAGAGAAACGGAGTTATTACCACCTCAGCTCAGTTCTGGCACACACCCCTAAAGCTTTAGGCAGCTTTTTAATGCATGACAACTACAAATAACAGGACAAGGCAGCCTTTGACCCCACATGTCAGAGATCCTGTATTATTCTTTACTGCATTGGCCAGCAGGCAAGAGTTTTTACTGAGGTGCATTTTCTGGTTTCTCTTACTTCTGTCTCCCAACCAACCTATCCTGGAGAACATCCTTGCCTTCTAATCTCTTGCCATCACAGCAGGCTTCCTATAATTCCTGCAGCATAATGCAAAAAGAAAGGAGGGAAAAAAGTGTTGACTGAGATTTCTGGCAAACATTATTTAAGCTGAAGAGGAGCACTGCAGATTGACTATTAGACACTACTAGACTATTAGTGCTAGTAATGCCAGGATGCTTTCTTGTCAGCATTCCAGTTTCAGATTTTTGTGACTGTTTAATTACCAACACTCTCCCACATTGCCAGGATGTGCCTCTTCAAAACCCTACTGGAAGTTCAGTGTCGATTACAACCAGCTACATGCACTTCCTACATTGTAGATCTCTAATAGCTTTCTGTATTCTATGGCACTAGCAGAAATAGTCCAGATAATGGCTCTAAATTTCCCTTTTAAATCTTGTATTTTTTTCCCATGTACCATGAAAACAGAACTGTTTTCTTTCTGCTGAAGAGTAATTTTCCTGGTAATGATATTTAAACAGGAGTCTATTTCAAAATGTCCACATTCATCTCACATGTTATCTGAAGATTCATTCATAATTTTGTTTAGCCATTTGAAAAATTGTGGGAATTACATATTTGATGTCAATGTTGAAAGAGGAGTTTAATCCACAGAGGGTTGAGTTTGTCAAGAAAATAGCATTGCTACAGAAATAGGCGGTTCTTTTGTGGAGAAACAAATTTAATCCTTATCCCAAAAAAAAAATGTATCCTCTCCAGTCAGCAATGTCTCTGAGAATGTCTAGGAAACTGGAGAAGATAATCTTAGTGCTAAAATAATATTCAGGTTTTTAAATGGTATCTAAGGATTTCTTCAGAAATGTATGTGTACAAAAATAGATTTTTCAAAACTGAATAAACATAGTTCTTAAACAATGATGAGGAAAATAGTTTTGCTTATACGGCACCAGCAAATGGGGAAAAATTTATTTCCTGTTGAATACATGGGAGAAACAGAAATCCTCATTGAGGTGGGAAGGGAGAGAGGCAGTCGTTTCAATATATTGAGCACTGAACACCCAGGCTTACCTCCCACATGGTTATCTGTCAGATTGATCAGATTGGTTTGTAACAAGTCAACAGTGATAACTTTATGTTTATGGTGGCAGTGTTCTAATTTATTATCAGTACTAATGATAATTATCAACTTCATACATTTTGCTAATGATATTGAGAAATTTTCAAATAGCAACTCTTAAGAAAGCTCTCCTGTCTGGGGAGATGAAGGAGTTGCCTTAAGGTAAGAATACAGATTAGACAGTATCTTAAAAGTCCTTTCGGCCCTATGTTACGATGAGGAATATTGTGTATGGTGGAACACTTCCACGGGCATAATTTAATCTGTCCTTTCTCTGTTGTAGATACTGCTGCCACCAACTCATTTCCTTCAATCCTCTTTTATTAGGTTGGTGCAAAATTAATTAATTGTGGTTTTTGCCATTACTTTCAAAAACAAACAAACAAAGAAAGTGGCTTCCAAAGCTGAAATCTCACAGGAGATTAGAGCTTTGTACACAACATTGTGAGCTAATTTGCAGCTGAATCTTTAAAACCTCGTGCTTCCTTTCCATCAAATTACTCAAAGTTTGGGTTCCCCTAAAAGCAGAGTCTATTTGAGACAAGGACCTAGGTGCAGGTAGTTGATTTCGGAGGTGATCTCAAGAAGTGGAATGAAGGGCAGAGAGATTGATACAGGGAAGAATGGAGAGTCCTTAAAGAATGAATACTGAGCTGGTTACCACTTTGGGCAACTGGGGTGGAATCTGACTGGGGACAATTTGAAGAATTGTTCAGAATGCACTTAGAATAATGATGCCCCCCACCTCCCATAGGTTTGAAGGCTGGAGCATTATCCAACAACCCCTCACCTCGCCCATCCTCTTTCCACTTACCTCCTTCTTCCCAGCCTCACATTAATTCCTCCATACTTGGCCAAGTGGGTTCTGCAGTTTTGCAGAAAGTTCTGAAGCAGAGGAGCTGAGGAGCCTTAAGACAGGAAGTCCTCACTGGTTAAAGGAACTGCTCATCACATCTGCAGCTAAAATAAGATGTGGTTCAAGTCAGGAGTGGTCAAAGGCATGGGCCATGGAATCCCATGAGCAGCTGCCACATTTTTAATTGCTTGTACTCCCCTACCCTGCATCTCCACCTCCTAGCCTACTTCCCTCCTGTTCACACTCTGCCTTGTGCATTTCACCCACAGTCTTCCATGGCCCCTCTAAGTCAGCTTGCCTCTCTCCTCATCCCCAGCTCCATCTCCCTCCTGCATGCCTAGTTCAACGGTGCAATTCTGCCACCCTGGCTTTTCTTCCTTCCTCTCTAGCTAAAATCATCTTTGTTTAGAAGCCTCATCTTTCTTATCTGGCTTTCCATTTCATTAAAACAACAAAAACAAATGTAGTTTCCAAAGGTCAAATGTTACATTAGATTAGAGATTTGTACACAACCTTGTGGGCTAATTTGCAGCTGAATCTTTAAAATCTGGTGCTTCCTTTCCATCAAACTACTCAACCCTTCTTCCCCACTCCATGTTCCCTAAAAGGGAATCTCAACTAAAAATAGCTTTCAGTGTTTGAAAGCAGTAATGTGGTGTGGGCTGAGGAGCTCAACTTGTGCATGCGTGGAGACAACTTTATTCTGACAGTCTCAGGAGACACATACCCCTTACCTGGCAGGTGACACAAGATGAAGGGCTCTGTGTTCTCTTGCAGCACTGAAGGCATGTAATGGAACTAATTAAAGCAGGCAGGCCTGGGCCCATGGCTCTCACTCATCTCAAAGCCCAAACTTTGTCAGAGTGTACAAGAGCTGGGACTGGCCATATTACCCATGTGTTGGGCAAGGTCCCCTGAAACAGGGCTCCTTTGCAGAGTACCCAGTTTGAACCTACAGCAAAAAGGCTGGCACACCTCCAAAGCCTTCTGCTCTCTTCCATAGGTTTCTTCTGTAGCTTCAGAGACCGAAAAGATCTTGGCAGAGCCTGAAGTAATCTTTTTCTTTCATGGAGCTGAGTTTCAGACTCTCTAGCTCTAACTCCATTAAGCATGCCTCCCTTGAGTTCCCAACACAGTCTTTGCTTCAATAGCATTGCTAATTGGGATGTAGTATAATTCATCTGTTCAAATGTCTGCTGCCTTCCCCACTAGACTGGAAACACCCTGTGGCAAGAGCCACTTCCTAGCAATAACAATAGCTGCCGTTTACTGGACATTTAATATGTGCTAGGTATTGTCCTGGGGTTCTAAACACATTTCATGTTCTTTATGGTAGTCTTGCTAGGCAGATATTATCATCCCCTTTTGTAAATCAGAAAATTTGAGAGAGGTCAAGTATGCCCAGGGATATACAGCTTTTGAAGGACAGAAGAGGAATTTGGGCCCAGTCGCCTATCTATCTGAACCAGTGCACCTAACTGGTGAGCTGTACAGCCCCTTCACTGCTTCAGTATATGTGTCTCCTGGCCAAGAAACCAACTAGCAGTGAATGAAGGGATATACAGAGTGGGCTTAGCAAACTCTAGGCTCATCTCACACATTTATTTACTTTGTGCATTTGGAAATAATGCCAATCACACTCATCCATCTACACTGAAGAAATGCCACGTTTTTTGCCTTCAAAAAATAATTTTAATTGGCTTTTTGTATAGTTTGTAGCATTGGCATATTTACTTTTAGTCTTTTCTAAGTATAAATCGTATGTAGTATATATGTGTATATGTACGTATGAATATGCAATATATATATAATATGTCATATACAGCTCCTTTAAACCTGCTTTGTTCATATAGCAACAACATAACACCATGAGTATTCTTCCAATAAAAGTATCATTGCTGCAATATAGTCAGAACAAGTGTTGTGATTAGATAATCAGATTGGAAGGGAATTTTGAAGTCATTACACACCTTTATCTAAACTAATGGTCTCCATTGGAACAGAACAGAGGACTCAGAAATAACACCGCACATCTACAACCATCTGATCTTTGACAAACCTGACAAAAACAAGAAATGAGGAAAGTATTCCCTATTAAATAAATGATGCTGGGAAAACTGTCTAGCCATATGTAGAAACCTGAAACCTGAAAGAAAGCCATATGTAGAAACCCTTCCTTACACCTTATACAAAAATTAATTCAAGATGGATTAAAGACTTAAATGTTAGACCTAAAACCATAAAAACTCTAGAAGAAAACCTAGGCAATACCATTCAGGACATAGGCATGGGCAAGGACTTCATGTCTAAAACACCAAAAGCAATGGCAACAAAAGCCAAAATTGACAAATGGGATCTAATTAAACTAAAGAGCTCCTGCACAGCAAAAGAAACTACTGTCAGAGTGAACAGGTAACCTACAGAATGGGAGAAAATTTTTGCAATCTACTCATCTGACAAAGGGCTAATATCCAGAATCTACAAAGAACTTAAACAAACTTACAAGAAAAAAACAACCCCATCAAAAAGTGAGCAACGGATATGAACAGACACTTCTCAAAAGAAGACATTTATGCAGCCGAAAGACACATGAAAAAATGCTCATCGTCACTGGTCATCAGAGAAATGCAAATCAAAACCACACTGAGATACCATCTCACACCAGTTAGAATGGCAATCATTAAAAAGTCAGGAAACAACAGGTGCTGGAGAGGATGTGGAGAAATAGGAACACTTTTACACTGTTGATGGGAGTGTAAACTAGTTCAACCATTGTGGAAGACAGTGTGGCGATTCCTCAAGGATCTAGAGCTAGAAATATCATTTGACCCAGCAATCCCATTACTGGGTATATACCGAAAGGATTATAAATCATGCTACTATAAAGACACATGTGCACGTATGTTTATTGTGGCACTATTCACAGTTCACTATTCACTATTCACAGAACCAACCCAAATGTCCAGCAATGATAGACTGGATTAAGAAAATGTGGCACATATACACCATGGAATACTATGCAGCCATAAAAAAGGATGAGTTCATGTCCTTTGCAGGGACATGGATGAAGCTGGAAACCATCATTCTCAGCAAACTATCACAAGGACAGGAAACCAAACACTGCATGTTCTCACTCATAGGTGGGAATTGAAAAATGAGAACACTTGGTCACAGGGTGGGGAACATCACACACTGGGGCATGTCATGGGGTGGGGGGCAGGGGGAGGGGATAGCATTGGGAGAAATACCTAATGTAAATGACGGGTCGATGGGTGCAGCAGGCCAGCATGGCACATGTATACCTATGTAACGAGCCTGCACATTGTGCACATGTACCCTAGAACTTAAAGTATAATAAATAAATAATTTAAAAATGAAAAAAATAAACTAATGGTCTCAAAGTTATTTTTAACTATGACTCATTTTTTTTCCCTAAGGAAACCTATATAAAACATCAATAGCTAGCATAAATAAAAAATGGCATTATGGTTATATTTATATGAATTTATTTTGTAAGTACAGCTTTGTCACATTTACTCATTAAAAAGCCAGCCAATTAGAGTAGTAAGGCTCATTCAACTAGGCAGCAATTTTTAACTGGAAGTTAGGATAACAGTTGAAGTTTTATGTAAGCCTCAGTATCTTGTTTTCATTGTGTAGGAGTCAGGGGATCATGGTCCACACAGGTATTTGTAACATCATTGTTTAACAGATGCCCCTGCAATTAGCTAAATACATGCCACAGGAGAAGCTTGATTTCAAGTCTGCACAAAAATGAGTTAACCTTGTAGCAGCACCCAAACTTTGGTGTTCCAACATATCCAAGTTTTATATAAGACACATTTAAATGCATGGGTGCCACTTTTTCTTACCATTTTTTAAATAGTCAAAAGTAAATTCTCATTAAAAAGTGAAATCTTAACCAAATATGTGTATAATCCCTTAAAGCATACTTTATAGAAGTCTAGGGTTCCATGACACCCTAGGGTTTTCTGAAATTCAGCTAGGAAATCACTGATTTAGCTTTCCCTAAAAGTCTAACACATTAATAAAAGCTGCAAAACAGGGAGGCTACCCAGGCTGTCTCAGGAATACGCCCAAGTATTTAAATCCCCTAATGATAGTCAGAAAATTCCTTCTCATGCCTGAGTTGAGTTTCCTAAGCTGGTGCCTAAGCTTAGCATAGTATATAGAAGGCTCTTGGAAAAGACTTGTTGACTGACAGATGGAGGCTCCTGTGGAAGGGTAAGGTAGGTGGTTGGCCACTCTTCTTCTCACCAAATAAATATGATCTAGTCTCCCACTCACTCCTGACTTGGTACTGTGATTACTACGATTAGGCAGCATCATTTTCTGATTAGCCCAACATCCTGCCAAAACAGTAATGACTTCTGCAAGTCACCTCTGCATAGAAAACATTTGGCTTGATACATTTTTACAGTGTGGGTTTGCAAAAGATACTGATCAATGCTCTTCATAGCACTTATGTGAAGCTCTAATACTTCTCGCCATAAGTCAGTATAGGATAGAGGTCTTTGCACTGGGTCAGGCAGAAAGGGAAAGCCGGTAATTTGAGTTGTCCACTTGAGCCAGTAATTGAATGTTCAATAGTTGTCTGGGGAGTTGGATTCATTTGCGGCAGATGAAAACAGGAGATGGTAGGCAGATCTGAGGCATACGGAAAAGACTCAGTTGTCAGAATAGGGTCATAGGGCCAGAGAGTCAGGAGGACTTGATACTCACTGGCCATGCATTGTGCTGAAGGCACGTAAATCTATCCTTTCTGGCCCACATTAGACTCGTGTGAGAACAGGGAGGATACTGGGCCTTCAGACAGGGGCCAAGGAGGGAGCTGGAGGGAGAGGACAGCCTCACCATCTGGGGTGCCAGGGAAGGTCTAATATGCTCAGGATTGGGCTGCCCCAAAGTGCATATGGGAATTTTCTCCACAGTCTTATGACATAGGTTATTTATGTTAGATAGTGAGCTTTTCCTCATCTTGCTGCCAGCCCCTTTGCCCTAACCCATGTATTTACTGCATCACCGATCACTGGAAGGTTTGATGGCTGCCCAGGCATTTAAGAGAATTTGGAAGCTGTGTTCTAATCCTGGAAGGAAGTATAAAATTTTAATTGAACTATGTAGACAGTTTGAAGTCATTTTACAAATAGGAAGGCGAGGCTTTTTGAGCCTTGCCCGCCATTCATGTAAGTGGAATTCTTCATGAGAGACAGAAAGGTTAGGTTCATTCCATGGCATGAGGACTGATGTGAGCAAAGGTGAAATCTGGGAGAGTAAGTGTAGTGAGTAGAGCAGACACCAGCACACCATGTTGGCTTTTCTGTCTTCCCTGTCTCTCTTTCCCTACATCCTGGTTTGTGCTTCCTGGATTCACCTCTCAAATAAACCACCTGCACTCAAGTCCTTGTCTCGGGTTCTGCTTTTGGGGGAAGCCAAACTAAGACAGCGAGTTCAACCTTCTTCAGCTGAACGTCATAGCTTTGGGGGAGAATTACATGGAGCAATGATGGATGGCAAGGATACCCATCAGATCAGCCATCTCAACCTGGGCAAGCTAGACAGACTCAGACCAACCACTTGTCCATGCTTCTAAGAAACTAGGAGTGTGCCTGAATAGAAAATGGAGTTTATTCAATAGTATTAACTCACTCAATCACAAGGTCCCACAACAGGTCATCTGCAAGATGAGGAGCAAGGAAGCCAGTCCAAGTCCCAAAGCTGAAGAACTTGAAGTCCAATGTTTTAGGGCAGGAAGCATCCAGCACTGGAGATAGATGTAAGCTGGGAGGCTAAGCCAGTCTGACCTTTTCATGTTTCTCTGGCTGCTTTATATTCTAGCGACACTGGCAGCTGATTAGATGGTGCCCACCCAGATTAAGGGTGGGTCTGCCTTTCTCAGCCCACTGACTCAAATGTTAACCTTCTTTGGCAACACCCTCACAGACACACCCAGGATCAATACTTTGCATCCTTCAATCCCATCAAATTGACACTCAATATTAGCCATCACACCAGGTTAATGAGTTCCTTCTCTATTCAGTCCCTCTGCTGTTGGACAAAACTTTTACCTTGCTGTTTGCTTCTGAGATAGTGAGAGTTTGGGTTTGAAGCAGATGCTGATCAGTGACCTTCACCACACTTTCCTAGTCACAGTATCACAGTCGCTCTGAACCTACCAAGTCAAGCCAAGAGACAGCATCTTTCCTTTTTGTGTGTGTGTAGAATTGACACTCTTGCCTTAGTGTTTGTAACATTTGGAGTTTATAGGGAACCACAGAGAGAAAACATACTCTATTTTGATTTCTTCCTGGTAGTTTTACTTTCTCTAAACTTTTTGTTTGGTTCAGTAGCAGCAAAGTACCTCCTACTCAGCCCCCCAACACCCTCACTTCCCACCTGTCAAACCACCCCAAGTCCTTATTTCCCTTCCCCTTCCGGAAGCAGTTAGGAGGAAGGGGGTGTGGTCAGAACCAGACCCACTTCTAATATTTTCAGAGCCCAAAACATGAGTATGAATGGAGGTCCATATACTATAGGTCTAAATATGTTAACATTATCAATCAAATTTACAAACATGTAATAAAATATATTTGGCCACCTTCTTTGCCAGAGCCTAATGAAGAGAAGTTGGTAGGAGACCAGGGGGAGAAGTGGCCCTGGCCTGAAGCCCATCCCCTCTTCTCTTCCCACCCCTGGTTCCATAGGCACTGAAACATGAATCCTGCTCACATGTGTGGACAGCTCAGCTCGCAAGCTCTATCCTTGCCCTGCCCCTGTAAACGTGGCTCCCTTTGCCCTCCTGGAGCCTAGAGGTTTTCTGAAAGCAGTGGCACAGTGACCCTCAGGAGGACAGACAGGGAGGACAGATGCTCACAGGCCCTGGGCCCAAGCTTGGAGCCTTTGCATCCTTCAATCCAATCAAATCAACACTCAGTATTAGCCATCACACCAATTAGACAATTCCAGGGTGCAGAAGGGGAAGGTAGGCTCCAATTGGGCCTATCCCCTTGGCCTGGAGGACTCTCCCTTACATGGGAAGAAAGACAGCCAGCAAAATACCAGAGCACAGCCCTCTAAGAATAAAAGGGACAAAGGCCTCCCTAGCCTGGTTCAAAGGGCAGGACTGCTCAGGGCTGATGGACGAGACACATCTAGTACCTCTTTTCTTCCATCTCAAGCCTGTCCGTGGCACTACTGTATGGCTCTTTTTTGAGGAAAGAGGGCTTTGTTTTTCATTTTATTTTTGCTTTCTCTAAACATGCCCTGCAGATCCTTCCTTTAACAGTGTGGGGACTGAACAAACAGCTTCTGACCCTGGCCCTGTTTCTGTATCTGGAGCAACACAATAGAACATCTGCCTTGACCTGGACTGCCTTCCACTCTGCACATCATTCTTGGCCATTTCCCATCTGTGCCAGGAGAGGGGTGAAGCTGTCAATACAAATCAACTGTATGGACTCCTGCCCGTTCTCTGCTGCAAGGGCTGGAAGCTTCCCCGTGATGAAGAAAGGCAACCTCAGTGCTTCGGAGGCTTAGCACTATTTGCCCACCCCAGAATCCATCAGGAAAACTGAAATTATAGAGTACATTGTGGCAAAGTTGGAACAAAACAACAACTGATGAGCATGAGTTTTTGTCACATTCCCTAGGCCACTGGAGTCACCCAAGCATTCCTTCAGCTTGGGCTGTCTCTCTGCAAAGGGCTCTGTGTTCTAGCTCTCGACTCGTGCAGTGGGAGAAGAGTCTTAATATACAGCGGCCCATTTGAGTGGTGTTCAATGGGCTGCACCACAGACTCTGGGATAGCAGGTGATATTTCATATCGCCTAGGCAGCACTGAAAGGAACATTAAGCTGCATTTCCATTATCAGTGAGGTCCGTAGTGGCCTGAGGATCAGAATCCGAGCATTCTAATCAGTCTGCCTAATATTTTCCTGGGCAGCCTCCTACAAGCCTATGATTAGTTTGCAGAGGAAGTCTGAACCACCTTTCTTAAGGGAAAAGTGATCTGCAAGAATGCCTGGAGCGTGATGAGCCAAGGAGAGATTCAGTGACAAGTTAAAGGGCCTTGTGCTATGAATAAAAGGATCACTTCTGGGGAACTTAAGGATTTCTGCAGAGAGGAGTAGCTCATTTGGCTGGAGTACTAAAATCCATGAAAACTGCTGAAAGACCAGTAAGGAAATTTCTGTTCAGAGAGACCAAGATTCTAGTCTTAGCCTTTGCCCTCATGTGAATTATTTTGCAGATCCCAAACCACCTAATACTGCTAGAAAAAAATCTTCTATTTCCCATGTTAAATCATGAAATTTGATAAGTTTAGGTTGAAGAGAAAAGCAAGGACATCTAAACTGAATACCAGTGTGATGCTTAGTTCCTCTGCAAGGCACCGCCAAGCTGACTTTCATCCTCCATGGGACACCTTCAAGGAGAGGGAACTCACTGCTTGTAGCTGTGGACATTTCTGATTACTAAAAGTTCTCATTAGTATCAAAATCCTGAACATCAAGTGTCTAAAAACAGAGACCTATATCTTAACCTCTAGCATCCTCCCCAAGTGAGGGAGGATGTGTATTTGCAAAGTCAGCTGCTGGAATAGATGTCATACTGCAAGAATTGACCTTCACAAAAATAGAATATTTTGCCTAGAATGTTGGCTAAGGAATCAGTTTTGTTTTGTGTGTGGCTGTGTGAAGAAAATAACATTTTATTATGTGAATAGTTTCAATAGGGATAAAAATTTCAGGTTACTAATGCATGAAAACACTTTGAAGTATATTTCAAGTGAAAATTGTCAATAATCATGATAATAATAATGGAACTCTGCACAGAATATATTCTTCTCAGGCAGTCAGTCTGTGGCAGACATGCTTGAGGTAGAAAAATTTATGCCTGCATTCATTCATTCATTTATGTATACATTCATCAAATATTTATTGACTACCAACTATGGGCTCAGCCCTAAAACGACCGGGATGAAAGACTGGAGTTTCTTCCCCTAAGAAGGAGCCCAGAATCTAGTGGGAAAGATGATGATGTAAACCACTCATTATGACACTGAGAAAAGATGCCAAGGGTTCTGTGGAACTCAGGATGTGCACCTGGATTAACTCAGAAGGAATTTCCCAGGGTAAATGGGACATCGCAGATTGATATCAGCTGGTTCTCTTCATTGCCTCCTCCAGAATCTCCAGTTCCCTGATGAGTTAGAGGTTTGGCTTTTTTACTAACCTTCACTCGGATTACTTTCTCAAAACAGTCTCTCCACTGCTGTGTGAGTGGGACGGCATCACGAATAAAGGGCGCACTCAATAAATGAAACAAGGAGGGGGAAAAAAAGGAAAGGAGAAGAATACCACCTCTTCTAATTGCCTGTCACTTTAACCTCTGGCAATTGGACCCTTTGGTCTGTGCTAAGTAACTGTCTCAGTGTTGACATCACATGAAATCGTCACAGAAACTTTATCGAGTCTCCCACCCTTTCACCCACTTTGTTTGTTTATAATACCTTCTAGGCATCCTCTTTTATTTATTGCTTCTTTCAAAGAGACCTTTAAATTATGAAACCCAAGTTTGTTTTTTTTGTTTTTAACCATTTATGCTCCCCAGATAAACAACTCATGTGATGTCAACTAAAATTTGCTATCGTTTTCTGGGCTCTGTTGAGTAACCAGCCTCACTTTTTGATGAGAACCAAGAAACCTGAGCATTGTATAAAAATAAAATATAAATTCCACTGAAATACAAGCAAGTTATCCTTCATTCACAGGTAGGCTAATGAACCAAATTTCCTTCTTCTCTCACAAGGATACTGTGAGCTTAATGAGACCAAAAAACGCATGTTTTGACTTTCACTCATTTAGGCTAAATTTGCTTTGGACAAGTGAATGGGTTAAAGTCAAGACTGAATGACCTGGAATGCATCTTTTTGAAGGAAATGGAGCTGTGCATGTAGAGGAGAATGAAAATAAGGGGAAGTTACAAGACAAAGGTTGGCTATAACTTCTACAGTTGTGTATTGAAAGGGAATTCGACTGTGATGGAGATTTATGTCTTTTAGATAAATGAAATTTCTCCAATTTGTGCTATTATGTAGCTCGTCTTTTCACAGAAATCCAAGACTACTGACAGATCAAGAGGTTTCACATTTCAGATCCTTTCAGCATTCAGCAAATGCAATAAATATCAGAGGTGGCCTGTGTTGAATGTAAGAACAGATGTTGTTTCTGCAGGAAGCAGGATGGAAACTTACACCCACTGGCTTGCTGCAACTTTGAGGAGACTTTCTTCTATACCTTCCTCTAAATGTGACTTGAAACCTTCCGCCGTGATATTTTAATAAACTTTCTATATCTTGATATTTCCTTTAAGGGTATCATTCTTGCCCAAGTTACCACCTTGACAAGAGACTGTCTCCATAGCCCATCTGTTAGTTCAATTAACAGGCTTCTGAGATTTTTGCTTGGGGACTCAGCATTTATATTTATATCTCATCCTCTAGAGTAATTCTTGCAAATAATCTTTGGGAATGGTGCCTGCTTCCTGTCTAGATTTGAAGATCCTGCTTCTAATGAAGAATGTTTTTGCCAGAAAAAAAAAAAAGGACTTTATATATCTCCATGATTCCATTTCTTTCTGGAGTATGGATTTATTTTTTGTGGCCAAATCACCTTCTGTGAAATGGAGTATTTGTATCCTACTCATGAGGGCCAGCCTCAAGTTCTCTTGGGAAAACTGAATTTCACAGCTGGCTGGAATTGTCACCACAAGTTTTGACTGTTTCTGAAGACAGCATTATGGATGGCTTGCACGCACTGCTTTCTTAAATGTAATCTAACAGAGGAGGGGTTCTGTCTCTGTGGT